>NC_000010.11:114120368-115370368 GCF_000001405.40 Homo sapiens
CGTGGTAGTAAGTTCTCACAAGATCTGATGGTTTTATAAGTGTCTGCAAGTTCTTCCTCCCTCTTCTCTCTCTCACCTGCCACCATGTAAGATATGCCTGTTTCCTCTTCCACCATGATTGTAAGTTTCCTGAGGCCTCCCCAGCAACGCAGAACTGTGAATCAATTAAACCTCTTTCCTTTATAATTACCCAGTCTGGGGCAGTTCTTTACAGCAGTGTGAAAACCAATTAATACACAGGCTAAGTTTTGCTGTCAATAATTTAAACAAAAATTTAAAATACAACCCAGCATTCAACTTAATCTGCTTACTATTGTTCACTGACTTCCAATCATATTGATAGAATAAAGACAACTATAGAAAGCAAAAATTCCCAGTCTAGTTAAAAAAAGGAAATTGAAGCTATTTGAATCAGTCTTGCCAACAGTCTGAAGAATCAGTCTGTTTAGCAAATGGTGCATATAAACAAATAAAGATGCCATCAAACTACAAGTTGGTAAATAGGCATTACCTATTTAATAAGTACAATATATACATAGAATCCTCTTGAAAAGTTTCATTTTATACAGAAACATATTTACAAGAAACAGTGTAATCAAATTAAAGGTATCTGTACAATACACACACACACACATATATATATGTCCTCTGGAAGATAAACAAGTTTCATCATTGCAGTCAAAATGGATAGCGATTTGCATTTTAGAAAAAGAATTCCATTCCAGAAGAAAAATACATCTCTAATATACAATTATATTTTTCATTTATTTTCCTAAAAATTCTCCATGTTTAGATTACCTTTTCAATTTTTCTTTGTTCATCTTTGAAAAATTTCAGGTTTCTAGTGCCACCAACTGGTGTTAATTAAAAATCAACAATCTTGGTGTCAAAAAAAATTGCTTTTAAAAAAAGGTTATTGAAAAATAGGCTACATAAAGCATAAATGACAACATGATTTATAAAAATATTTTCACCAGGGTAGCATATATAACAACATTTACATTATTAAGGATTCTATTTTTTTCTTTTACTGATAAATCTTGGTTTAAATTTGCATGTAACAATTTTTAGAAAATAATATACTGCAAAAGAAAGATTGGAAACATGCGTGACATGATTAATCTTTATGAGCACCAAATAGGCATTAATAATTTAATGGTAAAAAATCTAATGCCATCTTATGGTCTTTGGATTTTTTATTTTTTCTTAAATAATGAAAATCAAACTATGATAAAAGTTAGGAAACGTGCAGAACCACCAGGAAAACAGCAATTTGCTTTCAGCGTACCTTTGCAAGGATGTTCCAAAGCCTCATGTACGAGTGAGATTTCTGGGCCACTTGCACAAGTAGATAAACCCTCTTCTCAGGCCAGTTATAAAGGGCTGAGATGAGCCACAGAAGCCCAAGATCTGCTCTGATTGTCTCCTAGCTATTTTCTTTCCTCTTTTTTTTTTGAGACAGGGTTTCACTCTGTCACCCAGGCTGGAGTATAGAGTACAGTGGCAATCATAGCTCACTGCAAGCTTCAACCTCCCAGGCTCAGATGATCCTCCCAACTCAGCCTCCTGGGTAGCTGGGACCCCAGCCATGTGCCACTGCATCTGGCTAATTTTTTAATCTTTTGTACACATGGGGTTTTGCCATGTTGCCCTGGCTGGTCTCAAACTCCTGGGCTCAAACAATCCTCCCACCTCAGCCTCCCAAAGTGCTGGGATTACAGGGGTGAGCCACCACACCCGGCCCCAGCTATTTTCATTAGACCATGAACTCCATGAGGATGGAAATGCCCTGGTCTGCTCACTAGTATAAATACAATACCCTGTATGGTGCCAATACAATAGTATAGGTTTTCAATAAATGTGTTTATTAAATAAATAAATAACATGTTGGTAGCCTGATAAAATTTAATTTCAAGCTAAATCGCTTTAAATGGTTATGAAGATAGAAAGTAAAAACAAAAAAACCCCATCAAAGTTCAAATTCATTCTTCTGCCCAAACCTACCATTTTCAGTCCTTAAAACTAAACAGGCTAAAGTCTGAAGTGGTATGGGGAAAATGGAGTCATGGCAAATATTCACTTCAAAATTAAAACCTATTGAAGTGTATACATATACATACACAGAAAAAATCACTTCCAGCTCAAATAAACCACAATATTGATACATAACCAAAACAGCCTTGATATGTAACAACCAATAATGAACATATAAAACAAACTTCCCCCCAGGTCTCAGATTTATCCAGATCATTTTCCTTTTCCAGATACCCCATTCTCCTCACCATATATTCAGAGGGCAGAAGGCCCTCTAAATCCTTACATCAGGAGCTGTCTGTGAATTAGTATAGAGATAAGTATCTCTGATACATGTAATTACTTTGCTCAGTCCTGATCCATATACAAAAGCACACTGTAGACAGTGAAGAACAGAAGAAAACTAAAGCATTTTCTTTAAAAAATTTCCAGTTTCTAAAATGTATAAGGCAAAACAGGTAATAGAGTCAAAATATTGTTTGTAATACTTTTCTTCTAAAATTTTCTCATTAAACTTCTCCAAGTAGATGGTAGCACAAATATTAATACTGGAGTGTGCATTTTTGTCTAAAATGTATATACATTTTAAAGTGTATAGGCATAGGATACTATGGATCAGATCACTATTTGGTCTCCATTATACATTTTGTGCCTTGGGGAAAAAAATCCAAATATTGTAGTTTATGAACCTGTATCATAAGAAACTAGAAAAATTTAGTTATGTTGCCTACTCAAAGTAGTCTTTAGGAGTGTTAAGTAGTGTGTCTAGAAACAAATAGTAAAATAATTCAGATTTGATTGCACTTTCCCTCTTATTTTGATAAATTATTATTGGTAAAAAGAACAAGACACATTATGTTAAGACTAATACTTTTTATAACTATTCTAAAAATAAAACATCTTTGAACATATATTTTCATTTTGAAGTGAAAAGATATTTTTTTTGGGATAACATCTAATTCAATATATAGAAAAAAAGACATTCATTAAATAATCTAATCCTTAGTAAATTATTTTTAAACGATGTTGATTAAAAAATGTTAAAACACATTAAAAGGATATTGCCACCATGAGCCCAACTTTTAGAGCCCAAACAATTCTTTACAGGCTTTTAATCCATCATCCCAAAACTTAATTCCCTTAATGGGAGAAAAAGGGATGCAAAAATCCAAACCAAACAAGGCTTGCTGCAATATCTGCATAAGAGCCACGGTATCTTATTATAGTAATGATCTGAAGATAATGAATTATGAAAAATCATGCTCAGAAATTGTAAGTGAGAAATAATAAGGGGTGAGAAAAAATTCAATGACAGAAATATTGATACTACGGCAACACTTAAGTGTCTATCTTAAACACTGTAAAAAATCCAACAAGATAGAAAAATTTGGCTCTAAAATTAAGTTCCTTTGGTTACAGATATATACTTATTTTAGGTATGTGTGAGGTTTTTTGTTTTAAGAGACAGGGTCTTGCTCTGTTGCCTAGGCTGGAGTGCAGTGACACGATCATGGCTCACCTGCAGCCTTGACCTCCTGTGCTCAAGTGATTCTACCGCTTCAGCCTCCCGAGTAGCTGGAACCATAGGCATGCACCACCATGCCTGGATAATCTTTTAAAATTTCTTTGTAGAGATGGGGGTCTCGCTATGTTGCCAAGGCTGGTCTTAAACTCCTGGCCTCAGGTAATCCTCCTGCCTTGGCTTCCCAAAGTGCTGGGATTACAGGCGTGAGCTACTGCACCTGGTCTACTTTATGTTTTAAATAAATACACTGAAACATCACATTTGGGGGAACTGTATGATCACTCCACTATAATACATAATTAATATATCCATGGTAAAGAATGGTGCTCAAATGAAATAGTTTATAGTGCCATATGCTGGTTTCTTTTGGAAGCTGGTTCTTCATATTATCTTTACACAAGGTCAGTAAAACTAAAGTATTTCAGTTTCAAAGAACTATTCTCTCTGTTCTAATGATTGGATCCATTTCACAATTTAAAATATAAGTAAACACAGGAATTTTCTAAATTAATATGTAATTTAAAATCATATTTTAAGTAACTAAAAACTTTAAAAATTCAACCATTAACTCAAACAATCAGAATCTGAAAAAATGTACCTAAAACAGATAAGAAAACCTGACAGAGGCAAACAATGCCTGATCATTGCTAGTTACCAAGAGCTAGCTTTCCTATTAAGTTCAGCTTTCATTAAAACTGAAATTAAAAGATTTAAATATTCATACACATCCCTAAAACTCACCCGATATGCTGGAGTGTAAAAATAAACATTTTTATCATTTGTTTTAGTTGTCTTGATGTTGGAGAAATAGCGTATTACTGAATGTTTACCACCTGTTTTCATGCATAATTTTTAAAAGGTGAGTCATTTTTGACATTACATATTTTAAAGGGAAGAAATATGAACAAAGGGTTTTTTATAAAAGCCCTTGTAATGTTCAACACTTCTTATGAATACAAGCAAATTAAGTTGTTTAGATTCAATGACAGGCTGTCATATTGCACCATACAAAAACAAATTTCATCAAAGCTTTCAGTCTTACAGTATATACAGCAATGCATTCATATTGTAAAAGGGTATTTTTTTGTGTACAGATGAAGCAAAACAATATTTTTACTGGCTGAAACAAAAAGTGGAACAAAGTCTCCAACAATAGAGGTCAGTGGCACCTACTCCTGTGTGGCTTTTGTCTCTTTACTGAGCAAGAGGCTTGTTTTAGGTTTTCTTTGTCCTCTGTTCTAGTTCATGCTGGTGTTTAATAAGACGTTCTATTTCTGTTCCAAGTGTTTGTAGATTTTCCTTTAATAATTGGGGTGAGGGGAAAGGGAAGAGAAAAACAAAAGTATAATAAATAAAACAATTCAGTTTGAACTATTTTTTGCCTAAATTTTGGAAATGAAAGAGTGGTTAGTCCTAAATGCTATGTCAGATAAACTAGTGACACACAGCTGTTTTCAGTAAAGTACTCCTGTCCATTTCAAAGTAACACTCAAACTTTCTACTGAAGCTACAGCAATTTTTAATGCATAAAATGATTACTTACTATTACTGATTTTAAAATTATTTTTAAACTAACTACTAATTTTCAAGGCCCACCCACAGCAAAAATAAAATATTAACTGCAAAAAATAAAATAAAGCTGAAAAATAAATCAGAAATGTCATAATCTTAAAAAATTATTTTAGCAATCAAAACTAATTATATGTCAAAGCCCATCCAATGCAAATTTAATGACATCTTAGTGTCTGTCAAATACAAAATTAATTTTTGCTATTTTTCATCTTTCCTAATATAAAAAACTATACTTTTTAAAAAGAGAAAATCACGAAACTTCATCTTTGGGTAAAATGACTGCCTTGCATTACAGAAACAGCCCAGCTGATTGCTAGATCAGACTGTGAAACAGGCATCATTTTGCCATGTTTACTGGTTGGTGTGTGAATGAGAAACACAAATACCTTCAAAGTAATATTTTTTAGTAACGTATCCTCCAAAACAGCCTGTAATTTTCGGTTGATTTCCAAAGAGAGCTCCAATGTTAATCCATTGTCAGCTGGATGGGATGTATATAAAGATGCCATGATGCCACCCCGTCTACTTAAATGAACTTTGTTAAAATCAGATGCCTCTGAAGAAAGTGTGCCTGATTCTTCTCGTAAAATATAACTTTGAATTATTCTGCAAAACAAAATGATAGTATCAGTTGTGTACTTGTAGAATTAAAAAAAATGGAATCTGCAAAAGTCAACTAATCATAAAGATAAGCATAAAATAAATATTAGGTTAATAACCTAACTATATTAGAAAAGAATTCTCCTTATTCAGATGGTTTCTTAAACTATCTCATTTTTGTTCTATTGTAGCATTCGGAGTAAAGACATATAAACATTGCTTTTCTATTTCTTTCCTTATTAATCAAAAGTTGAGCTTTTTTGTTTGTTTTTAAAGAGATAAGGTCTCATTTTGTCACCCAGGCTGGAGTGCAGTGACACAAACATAGCTCGCTGCAGCCTCCACTGCATCGGCTCAAGCGATCCTCCTGCCTCAGCCTTCTGAGCAGCTAGGACCACAGACATGTACCACCATGCCTGAATAATTTTTTTTTTGAGATGGGGTCTTGCTATGTTGCTCAGGCTGGTTGACCTCCTAGCCTCAAGCAATCCTCCTGCCTCGGCCTCCGGCCTCCCAAAGTGCTGGGATTACAGGTGTGAGACACCATACCTAGCTGAGCAATTTCTTTATTGCTCAATTTCTGTTAATATTTTCTGTTTTCCTCTTATTAGACTTACAACTTGCTGTACTTTATGCTCTTTCTTTTAAAAGTCACAGGCAAACTTTCCTATAAGTCTAAAATTATTTCAAAATAAAAATTAAAAAGTCATTGGAAAAGGCCCACAATATAAAAAAACTTTTATTTACATAAAACAGAATTTGTGAGAGGAATTTGGCGCAGCACTCCTGAGTTACTCAGAGCTGGGTTTGGATCTCCAGCTCTAGGTCTGTCACACAGGGGATGAACGGTGACCCTGGAACATTTAGTGATGTGACCTGAGCCCCACTTATCTGCAAAATTAGAGAACTCACGCACTGAGTGGTTGTAAGCAATCAATGAGATACCGCCAAGCCACAGGCACAGCGCCTTGTACTACTAGGTACTCAATAAATTATCCCACTACATCCTACCCAACAGGAAAAAAAATCCACAACCCCATATATACCTCTTAGAGCCACAGTCATGAAAATAAAAAGCTAAGTAAAGCATTATCTTTTTAAAATCTAAAGTTGTTTAAGTATCTTAAAAATATTAACACTGACTGAACTCTCTATCACCTTAAAGGAAAGACGTGTTTTATTTCATCTTAGTATTCACAAAACCTAGAACATAATAGGTGACCATAAAAGACTGGGAACTGAATAACTATAATTATTTTTTGAAAGATAGGTTCTTGATATGACTAATTTTAAAAACAGTAACTTTGCTATATGAGTAACGGTATTTTGAAGACCGATCATGCTACCGTAATAATACATACTTTGTTTTTTTCCTAATTTCTTCCACCAGTTGTTTGATGTGGTCCTCCATAAATTCTATCTTTTCATTTTTCCGGGCATGTGCTTTTTGCAGCCTAACTATTCTCTCAATCAACATGGCCTTATCTACTTGTGGAAAGTTATCCACAGCTACTGAGGACCCAGTATTTTCTGGAGATCGATCTTCTGCACTGCTTCGAGCATTCAGGGACCCTGAAGACAAAAAAAATTGGTTTAGATACTGTGCTTAATCTAACATCACCTCTCATCTCATATATTACTTATTCCAGCATCATTTCAAATATTCACTCTAACAGAGTTGGACACAGAAGACAACACAGGTCAACGTGGCTGAGGTTCTGGTTTCTGAATATACTGGTGACAGAAGTACCAACAGGGTCTATACTGTATCTCTCAGGAAGTGGTAATAGAGCAACAAGGATCTCAAAAAGAATAACAAGTCTAAAGTGAGACCAAAATTAAACTATAACAGAACAAAGCAGAGAGGAGGAGGAAGGGAGGAGAGGAACAGAGGTATGAGAGGAGACAGAAAAAGAGAGGTTAGAATATAGTGGGTTAAGCTCTGAGGACAGCCTGTCTAGGTTCAAATACTACTCCTCTACTTACTAACTGTGTGACTTTGGACAAGGTATTTAATTTTCTGTGCCTTGGTTATGTCATCTTAAAATGGCATAAATGATATTATTTACCTCACAGGATTGTTATCCTCATTTAAATGAATACATGTGAAATGCTTAGAAAAAGGCATATAGTAAGCATTATGTAGTGTTAGGTATTACTTTTACCAACATCAATGAGAAGAATCTGATCCTCTTTACCCTACAAAGATTAGTTTTTTCCAATCCGATTTTATAGCTTTAAGTAATATATCTTATCCAAAGTTATATAATGAATAAATGGCAGAGCTGGGATCTAAATACATGTCTATAATTTCAAATCCATGTTCTTTCTACTACACATTTTTTCCCACTATTGTAACAACTGATGATGGTTTTCTCCTAATGTGCAACCTCTGGGAGGCAATATAGTGTACTGCCAAGCAAGGACTGTGGAGTCAAAGAGTTCTCACTGTGGATTTTGGGTGAATCATGCAGCCTCTCTGAATCTTGGTTTCCTTATCTGTAAAATGGGAATTATAATACCTACCTCACATGAATTTTTTGCAGGGTAAATGGTATGTTTCAAGTGCTTAGCATGGTTCTTGGCATTCCAAAAAAAGACACAAACACTGATATTTTGCTAATTATCATTTTCACAATGGGTTCAATCATAATTTTATAGACTCTACCCATTTTTACTTTAGGACATAGGTATATCATGAGAAAAACTAAAAGATGTAAAAATATATACATGTGCACATATATGTAAAAATCTGATACACAATGATGACATCTTCATTTGTTCTTGGGTGTTAAAAGAAAAAGAGAGAGACCACTGTACACCAAATCTCTTTGTATGAATTAACGTAAATTTCAATTTTAAAAAACGGAAGAGGAAGCTGTTGCACAGAATAAAGCAGCAGCAGGCTAGAAAAAAGAAGGGGCTGGGCGCGGAGGCTCAAGCCTGTCATCCCAGAACTCTGGGAGGCCAAGGTGGGAGGATCACTTGAAGCCAGGAGTTCAAGATCAGCCTGGGCAACATAGTGAGATCTTGTCTATACAAAAAACAAAACAAAAACATAAAAACAAAAAATAAACATTAGCTAGGCGTGGTGGCAAGTGCCTATAGTTCCGGTTACTTGAGAGGCTGAGGTGGGAAGATTGTGATTGAGGCTGCAGGGAGCCAAAGTCACACCACTGCACTCCAGCCTGGGTGACTGAGTTAAGACCTGTCTCAAAAAAAAAAAGAAAGAAAAAGAAAACACAACGAATAAAAAAGAAGGTAGGGAGACAGATCATCACATAGAACCCCATGACAAATCTGAAACCCCAGGTCATGAGTAGAACTTAAATATTTAACCAGAAACATTTTTTACAATATAATTATATATAACCACAATTTTTCATACTTCAAAATGAAACAAAGCATATCAATACTTTTTAAAATAAAAAATGCTATTTATTTATTTATTTTTTGAGACAGAGTCTTGCTCTGTTGCCCAGGCTGGAGTGCAGTGATGCGATCTCAGCTCACTGCAACTTCCACCTCCAAGTGATTCTCGTGCCTCAGCCTCCCGAGTAGCTGGGATTGCAGGCGTGAGCTACCACACTCAGCTGATTTTTGTATTTTTAGTAGAGACGGGGTTTCTCCATGTTGGCCAGACTGGTCTTGAACTTCTGACCTCAGGTGATCCACTCATCTCGTCCTCCCAAAGTGCTGGGATTACAGGTGTGAGCCATCACACCTGGCCAAAAATGCTATTTATTTTTATATCAATCATGAAATAACAACTAGAGCCACTAGTTTTTTACCTGATGAACTAGAACGACTTCCCATGCTGCTGACTTCTTTGTCATAGCTTCCACTCTCAACCTGATCTAATTTTCTTCGTGCTATAGGAAAAAGAAGATTATTCGTCACAATTATCAGGACCATTTGCTCCTACCATCTCTGACTTTAATTGCTAAAATCACTGAGGCAAAAATGGCATAGACAAGAGAAAGTTCTTGAATACATACTTTAGGCAGAGGGCTATGTCATTCATATAAAATGTCATTTGGAAATGTAAAAGTCAAGTACAAAATATACAGAAACAACATTATAACTGACACTGGCATCACTTAATTACAGTGGAGTTAACTTTTTAAAGTATTGAAAGATTTAGAAGTTCCTTACAGTACCAGAAATTTCTTCCAAATTTCCCTTCAATTACATCTATAAAAACAAACTAAACTCTATGGCAAATATCTGAATATATTTGTATTAAGTAAATGCTAAGTCCCTTTTAGCTTATTACTATATTTCACCCTATTTTAACACAAATAAAGCCGTGAGAAATAGTAGAGAATAGGAGGTTGAAATACGTGTCTTATTTATTTTTGTATCCCAAGCATATAGCACAGACACCCAATGACTGTATGACTTTTTAAAAGAAAGAAATCTGGAATCCAGTTCAGCAGTCAATTGTTATGTCTGGGTAATTTATAACTTTCTGGGGTCTGTTTCTTGAAACCCAGGTGAAGAGTTAAGTCGCAACGATTTCCAAGTCAGAGGACGCATCTCGGGTATCTGCACCCTAGATGCCGGTAGCCTAGATGCAGCACAAAAGAAATCACAGGAATGTAAAAGAAGATATCAGAACTGCTATTTATACTGATATTTAAAAATAGATTATTTTAAATTTCTATTTTTCATATGTTCTAATATATATAAAAGACTAACACATGTTTAAAATGTATAAATAAACATATCTAAATTGGATAACAAATGCCTAAGCACTTTTTATTGACAGGAGTATGTGATCAAAAGTTTAGATACTAATGCCCTAACATTGCTTTCCCAATTCTCATGTTTTGTGATTCTGTGAGTAAATGTCCTTTAGCATACAAGATATCCTTTAGGATAAAAGATCGGTCATGAAATTCCAAGAAGTTTAACAATTTGGTTTACTAATATTAACAAAGAAAACATACAGCTTCAATCAATGTGGCAGAATCACAAAAAATAAAATCCTAATGATTAAAAGAAACAAACACATTCATGGTCTAAGTGTGGAAGAATTTTATACCTTGCTGAAGTTGTTTGGTGAGATCCTTGATACTAGAGGCATGTTTACGTCTCTGAGTTACTAACTCATCTTTTAATTCTTCTACCTGGGTACTCAATGCTTTAACTTCTGTTTGTCTACAAGCGAGTTCAGCTTGCAGAGTTTGGACTTCCTCTTTTCGCAGTTCTTCCTCTTTCAACAACCTACTTTCCTGAATAGTAAGTAAAACAAAAACCACCAATTTTAGTATGTTTGTTTCCATTAATGCTCAGTTTATATAACCTTAACAATCTAAGGTTCTTGACAGTGGAGATTCTTCTATTATTATTCCTTATCAGCTTTTGTTTACTTGAGCTTCTCACAGTTCTCATATAGAAAAGCAGGGGGATACATTAAGGAGAATGTCATTCTATACATACCAAGCAACATGTGATACAGGTTGTTGAATTTTTGGACTAAAGTCTCAAATCATTTTTATGAGTAACTTGAAGACACTCTCATAAATTATAAAAATAGAAATTTAAAGTACCTTTTAAAAATATACAGTGATTCTAGTCAGGAAGGACACAAACCAGTTTTCTCATTTTCAAAAGTAAAATATTATTCATAATCATTTTAGGAAGAAATTTTATTATAAATTATAACAGTTGAGGAAAAACTGACATTTCTTACAGCAGTTGAAATTGTCAGAAAGTCAGTGTCCAGGAAAGAACTTAATTCAACTACTATTACTTTTATACTGTTAGGGAAATTTAATTTGTGCTTGTTACGTTGTTTTAAAAAAAATGTAAATTTATACTTACCAAATTAATATTTGTCTGTTTCATTTGTTCACACTGGCTTTGTAACTGACTTTCACTACAGGAAACTTTATCAAATTGTGACTGCAAAGAATTGGATTCAGACTGAAGCTGTGCATTCTTACTAGTGAGCCTTTCTGTAAACAGCAGCAGCTCAGATTCTCTTTTCCTACTGCCTTCGATGTCTTTTTGTAGGTCATTAATCAAAGAATTAAGACTTTCCACTTCTTCTTTCAAATTTTCAATTTCTTGCTTACCTCTAAAACACAAAATTTATATTTAAGAAAAAATAAACCATTAAAAGACATTAAATTAATGGTTTGGGAATTTTCATCTAGTCAAATGCTTAATAAAGGTACTTCTATTCATTCATCCAAATATTTATAAATGCCTAATATATGCCAGGAAATAAGAGCTGGAAAGAAAAGTGAGCAAGACCAACATGGCCTCTGCTTTCAAAGAGCTTTTAGTCAAGTGTGGAAATTATATGTGTAAAAAAACATTTTTTATGATAAAAGCACAGAGTGGGTTTGCCTAAACTAGTGTAAGTGATGCTCAAACTAATACTTGAAGCAGGAGTCAGCAACCTTTTCCTGTAAAAGATCAGATAGTAAATAAGTTAGGCTTCTGGGTCATATGGTTTTGCTGCAATTGTTCCACTCTGCCATTGTACTATGAAAACTGCCACAGATATTACATGAATGAGTGTGGATGTGTTCCAAAAAAACTTCACTTACTAAAAGAGGTAGTGGGCTGGATTTGTTTTGTAAGCCATGGTTGATCCCTGACCTAAAGGCAAAGCAGGAGTTACTGGAGAACAAAATATGCTCCAGGTAAAGGGAACAAACAGTATGTGCTAAAAACTGGGAAGGGAATAAGAGGCTTCTTGTTGGTCCTAACAGATGTTCAATATTGATGAAGAGAAAGACTGTACTATATCCCTAGCACTTAACACAGGGTTTGGGAAATAGGAAACAATCCATAAACATCTGTTAATCAACTACAGCTGAAATACAAGGGTGAAAAAAGGGAAGGCATGGAAGCAGCAAGGGACAGGTCACTAATCTTACAAGCCATGCTAAGGCAATGGAACTCACTAGACAATCTCTGAGGCAGTGGGAAATCAATGAAGAGTTTTGAAATTTCCTTTTAAAAAGGATTATACTAACCATAGTGTGGAAAACAGATTAGAGAGGATATAAGCAGAAAAAATACAAACTGTGGCAGTTTTCCA
Source organism: Homo sapiens (assembly GCF_000001405.40). Lineage (NCBI taxonomy): Eukaryota > Metazoa > Chordata > Mammalia > Primates > Hominidae > Homo > Homo sapiens. The sequence goes on from NC_000010.11 coordinate 114,133,160, forward strand.
GGTGAGAGCTGCTAATAGCTTGGACTATGGTAGTAGCAGCAGGGAAGTAAAAAGTGAATGGACTTGACAGATGTTACAGACTTAGCATCACTAATACTTTGTGACTGGTTAGATGTGTGAGGGGAAGGAAAGAAGAGCTGAGGATGGCCCCCAGCCTGCTAAGCTGGACAGTCACATGGATGCTGCACTCATCATTCATCCTAGGAACATGTGAGGAGAAGCATGGGACAGAGAAACCGATTTTGGAAATGCTAAAGTTTGAGGTATCTTTAATACTTGTGCCTGGAGCTTAGTGAAAAGGGCTAAAGATAATGACTCAAAAGTCCTGCAGCATACTATAAAAATAGTTGGGATCACCCAAAGTTACAATAAAATTAGAACAAGAGGGCATTATGAGAGAAAGAGAAGCCTGCCAAGGAGATTGAGAGAGAGTTGCCAAAAAGGTGAGAGGAACATCAGCATGTGATGGAAATGAAGCCAAAGGAACAAGCCTATCAAGAAAGACAACTGAATTCGACAGTGTTAAAAGATGATAAGAATTCAAGCAAGGGTGGGTCTGAAATGTGTCTACCATATGCAGGGATACATCAGTAATTTTTAATAAAATGTTGGGGTAAAAGCTAGAATGAAGTGGAGAGGTACAGAACATAGGAAGTGAGGAAACGGAGAATGAATACAGAAGATTATATAAAGTTTGGCTGCAAAGGAAAGGAGAAAAGCTGGCAGGGCAAAGCCACAGGAGTTTTGATATTTTTAAAAGACAATTATGTTTAAATGTAGAAAGAAAAAGAAAGTGGAGAAAGGTAAGACATAAAGGATAAAGAAGAATAATCAAGACAGAACCCAAAAAGTCAGAAGAGATGAAATCCATAGCGGAAGTAGAAAGACTAATTTGATTCAGAGGAGTTTCTTCCATGATAACAAGATTGTTTCTTCCATGATAACAGCAGAAAATATGGCTGCAGATGCAGGCAGTTCATGGGACTGATGGCAAAACGTTGAGACAACTGTCACCTGACAGCTCCCATTTTTTCTGTGAAGAAGTAAACACTTGCCAAGAGTAAATAGAAAGGTAAGAGGAAAAACTGAAGTGTGAAGAAAATGGTAGGGTTTAGAAAAGATGCTAGAAGATGGTGGAGAACCTCTGACCAAAGACACATGGTAAGATTAGGTGCATTAATATTTCCAGTTCAGGTTAGTGACCATGAATTTATTAGCAGAATCAATCTAAATGATGGTAAGGATTTTTTTAGCAACACTCAGCAGCTTAGTTATCAGCAAGGTGTGGAAAAGAAGCTATCTGGCTTCAAACTGAATCCAGGTTCTGTCTGGTAATGTCACAAGTAGAGTTTACTTAAATGGTTTTATAAGGAGCCAAGGAATAATGTCAGCTCCGGATCTTAAGCTACACACGTGCGAAGATCTAGAGCAAGATTTACCTTTTAGAAGAAAAAGTAAACACTGTGCATAAGTAACAGAATTTGAAAGCTAAGGAATGGATAAGAGACTCAACCTATTCTGTCTTATAAATTGCCACTACCAATGTTTAAGGAATATAAACTTTGATTTTTAGAAGCCATGACAGAACTCAAAAGATAATCCAAAGAAGTTCAGATAAAGAGAAAATATTTAAAAATTTCAGCTAGTAAAATTGTAAAATTTTTTGTTTAATGCAATAACTGCATTTAGAAAATCTTGAAATAAAATTTAAAAGCTTGCTTATTAATACAAACAGAAGTTGCTCATTTTGTACCTTTGAAGCTGCTCCTGTAGCTGATCTGCAGTTTTCACCTTGTCCAATAAATTCTGAATTTCAGCTTTTTGGCGATTAATAATTTCCTTATATTTTGATAATTCATCTTCTGTTCTTAATCGTTCATCTTCTAGACATTTCACCTATCAAATGATCACAACCAAGTTACAAACCATGTATTCTTGTTCTTTATAAACTATTTTGTATAGTGGTTACATATGAATAATCTAAAAATTCTAAAGCACCATTAACGTGAAGAAAATATAATGCGAAGTTTACAATCCTAGCTTTTAGTCTCAGATTTCTTATGATTCAGTCATGGGAGTTTTAGCATGTCATTTCACTTTTTACTGAATCACCATCTCCTCACCTGAAAAAGAATATATCTCCTCTACCTCAAAAAACTGGCAAGAAGAACAAATAAGAAGGTGTATGAAAAACAATTTAAAATTATTAAGTGACCTCAAATTCAGGGTGGTTAAAGGACTACTTCTAAATAAATGAATGATACACATTCATATTCATATTAGAAGACATACTAATCTTACAATAAAGACTATAAACACGAAGAGGACTTAACAGATTATTGGCCATTAAAACTATCCATCTATTAAATATATCCAGGAAAAATATAGCCTTCCTGTTATTTTCTGACACAGTTCTAAGGTCCAACTATCTTTCCAATTGATTCGTTGATGAGACTGCCTTTAGATGAGAAGCCCAAGGATAAGCTATAGACACAGCAAATGTGCTGTGAAATAGTAATGTTTGGCAAACACTTCAAAGGGACTAACATGGAAGACATTTTCCTTTCAACAAAAGAAGTTGCTAGGAAATTGCTCCTCTACTCTACTGAGTTCCTTTATTATGGAACATTTCTATATTAATGTCCTTTCCCCACCACTTTAAAAATCAGAATGAATTCAAAATTTAAGATATTTACCCTTCCTCTGGATTCATGACTAAAGACTGAATTACCTTTGTTCTCAGTGTTCTTAACTCATCCATACCCTCCTTAAATGTTCTCTTCAGATCTTCTAGTTCCTTTATTTTGGCATGATGCATCTTTAAAAAAGTTTAAAAGAAACAACAAATCATAATGTGCTAAACTATATCTAAGATTTATTGCCTGTTCCTTCCAAAAGGCCTTAAAAGTAGATAGCAATAAGTTCTCACTATTTCTCTTTCTGTATTTATTATGCAACTTAGGATATATAAAGAGCAAAACTACTCACCTCTAGCTGGTCAGATTTTTCTTGCATTTGTTTTTCAAGTTCTCCTTTTGTGACTCTAAGCTTTGCATCAAGCTCATTTGATTTAATTTCTTCTGACTCCTAGTGGAAAGAAAACAAAAAAAGTGTGACAATTTTTAACCCATTTCCCGTTTGCCCTGAGAATACTCGTCTCTAATCCTAATGTAGCATCATATACATTTCTGTTACGTTAGGATAAGAGACAAGTTCTGTTTAGAAATAACTCCAAGAACAGTTTTTTTATTTTATCTTCCACTGAAAATCAGTCAGATTTGTTTCATCCTCGAGTGTGTTTATGTAAAATTAAATGAGCGCTGGCAGCAAGCTGCACTTTTTTTCTAAATAGGAAATGGGTTAAAGTTTTATACTTTGAAAAGAAAGCATTGCAATTAAGTTTATTAATTGTGAAATACATAGTATACCTAAAATTATTAACCTAAGTTATTAGGTTATTAACCTAAAGTTATACATTTCCTTGCACTCTTCATTCTTCTGACATTTTCTAGGGTTTTTATTTGTTGGAAAAGTTCTCTTATAAAATCCATTTAAGTTGCAGGTACTTTAACATTGGAAATAACCTGCATTTCATTTAACTGCCTGCCCAACAAAGTACATTCCATATGCAGATGTAGAATATTGCACATATAGAAATTTAATGAAACAAGAGAACTGGCTAGGCACAGTGGTTCATGCCTGTAATCCTAGCACTTTGGGAGACTGAGGCGGGTGGCTCCCGAAGTCAGGAGTTCGAGACCAGCCCAGCCAACATAGTGAAACCCCCTCTCTACTAAAAATACAAAATTTAGCCAGGTGTGGTGGCAGGCACTTGTAATCCCAGCTACTTGGGAGGCTGGGGCAGGAGAATCGCTTGTACCCGGGAGGCAGAGGTTGCAGTGAGCCGAGACTGTGCCATTGAACTCCAGCCCGGGCGACAGAGCGAGACTCCATCTAAAAAAAGAAAAAGAGAGAACTGATATTTGCTAAAATTTGATACTAATCTATTTTAAAAGTTATGCATACCTGATATGTTTTTATCATATCCTGACAGTTTTTTCGTATCTGATCTGCTTCTTCCTTTGCTTGTGTTAATTTTGTTGTTGTTTCTTTGAGTTTATCTTTGGTTTCCTGCATTGACAAAAGACAGAGACACAGTTGGGTACAGCAACGTGATGAATGGTAAGAAGTGACCGGCAAGTAGGAAGGTTCTTGTCCTAGCACTGTCACTGAGGGGCCGATTATTATTCTAGCAATAATATTTTATGTTTCTGACAAAAAATTAAAATGATCTGTAGAGTTAACTAATAGCCATTAAATACAGTTAAATTTGACAGTTTTCAGCAAATTACTAGAAGTTACTAACCTGATAAGATGAGCAAAGTGTTAAGTTCTTTGTACACACACATCAAAGACAATTCTTTGGTTTACGGCTGTGGTATCTATTTAAAACCGTCTTTTGGCCGGACGTGGTGGCTCACGCCTGTAATTCCAGCACTTTGGGAGGTGGAGGCGGGTGGATAACCTAAGATCAGGAACTTGAGACCAGCCTGACCAGCATGGTGAAACCCCGTCTCTACTAAAATAAAAAAATTGGCCAGGCATGGTGGCTCATGCCTGTAATCCCAGCACTTTGGGGGGCTGAGGTGGGCAGATCATCAGAGGTCGGGAGTTTGAGACCAGCCTGACCAACATGGAGAAACCCCGTCTCTATTAAAAATACAAAATTAGCCGGGTGTGGTGGCGCATGCCTGTAACCTCAGATACTCAGGAAGGCTGAAGCAGGAGAATCACTTGAACCCAGGAGGCGGAGGTTGCGGTGAGCCGAAATTGCGCCACTGTACTCCAGCCTGGGCAACAAGAGTGAAACTCGGTCTCAAAAAAAAAAAAAAAAAAAAAAAAAAAAAAAAAAAATAAAAAAAATACACAAATTAGCCAGGCATGGTGGTGGGCACCTGTAATCCCAGCTACTCGGGAGGCTGAGGCAGGAGAATTGTTTGAACCCAGGAGGCAGCAGTTGCAGTGAGCCGAGACTGCACCACTGCACTCCAGCCTGGGAAACAGAGTGAGACTTTGTCACAAAAAAACAAAACAAAACAAAACAAAACAAAACAAAACAAAACATAAAAACTTTTTTTTTTTTTTTTTTTTGGAGACAGCGTCTCATTCTGTCACTCAGGCTTGAGTACAGTGGTGTGATGTCGGCTCATTGCAACCTCCGCCTCCTGGGTTCAAGTGATTCTCCTGCCTCAGCCTCCTGAGTAGCTGGGATTACAAGTATGTGCCACCACATTCAGCTAATTTTTGTATTTTTAGTAGAGATAGGTTTTGGCCAGGCTGGTCTCAAACTCCTGACCTCAGGTGATCCACCTGTCTCAGCCTCCCAAACTGTCTTTTTATAGACTGATGCTGCAATTTGGTTTCTGTTCCTAACCATTCTCCTAAGATGGCAACTCTGAAAGTTTTCAGGGGCTACCCGTATTAAATCCAATTACTTCTTCTTCTTCTTATTCTTTACTTACTTGCTCCGGTTCTGATCACCCCTGACTCTTTCAATATCCTTCCTGTTTCCATTACAGGACAATATTCTCCTTCTCTTTCTGCCCTCTTCATTGTTCCCTGACTGGCTTTTACTTCCTGTGGTGATTTTCCAAGATACAGCCTGGCCATGGAGCTCTTTCTTCATAATTCTCCCTAAGCAAACTGATCCATGGTTTTGCTTATCATGTGGATTTCAAATGGGACTTTTGGTATCATCTCCTCTCAGTAGCTTCCCTTCAGAAAAAAGGCAGATCAGATGCCGCCTACTCTGCTTTTCCATAGATATAATTTAGGCATGCCCTGGATTCTAATGATCAATACATTATACTATAGCTTATATGTTCCCCTAATACAGCATATAGCTTCTCGATAGCGACTAACTCAATACTTGCCACATATTAATTGTTCGACTACTATCTGTTGAATTAATACAGGAATATCTAATATAAGCCTCTAGTTAGGTTGGGTTCCCCAAATACCCAATACTCATCTCCCTTTGTTCCTTTTTTTTTTTTTTGCTGTTCCTCCACATGGGAATGCCTTTCCCTGCATCTCTTGAACCATCTAAATTGCATTAATAGGCCAGGTGCAGTGGCTCATGCTTGTAATCCCAGCATTTTGGGAGGCCGAGGCAGATGGATCACCTGAGGTCAGGAGTTGAAGACCAACCCTGCCAACATGGCAAAACCCAGTCTCTACTAAAAATACAAAAATTAGCCGGGTGTGGTGGTGCATGCCTCTAATCCCAGCTACTCAGGAGGCTGAGGCAGAAGAATCGCTTGACCCTGGGAGGCAGAGGTTGCAGTGAGCCAAGATCGCACCACTGCACTCCAGCCTAGGCAACAGAGCAAGACTCCATCTCAAAAAAAAAAAAGAAAAGAAAAAAAAACAAAAATAAACTGTTTCTTACATGTCATTAAAAAAAATAAATCTACCATGTAAGTACTGAAAGTTATATATTTTCAGTTGCTAGTTTTTAATAATAATTTGACTTGTATTAAAACTTAGTACCACTTTTAAAATATAAGCAATTATTTATTTTTTCAAATATTGACTTTTTAAAATACTAGACTCAATGGACAGGGAGGGAGAAAAAGAGACAGAGAGAAGGAACTTTATATATGTTTTTCTACTACTATATCATTAATAACTAAAAAGAGCCTGGCACATAGTAAGCACTTCATTCGCTCAAAAAATAGCAATTGAGAGATTCCCATATGCCAAATAAATATTTATTAAATAAATGAGTAAGGGAAAAGTGAGAATCACATTAAATGTTTTGGTTAAGGTATTGACTGTGTTTCACTTATTCATTCATTCAGTATTCACTGGGCATCTATGCACCAGGCATTGTTCTATGCTCCAGGGACATACTGTATAAGAAAACAAACATAATCTCACCTTCATGAAGCTCATATTCTAGTAATGGAGACACTAAATACAATACATAAGTAAAACATACTAGTAGCAAGTGCTAAGGAATAAAAATAAAGCAAGGACATGAGAAAGTCCGGATAGAATGAAAGTTTGGAGAGATGAAAGTTTAGATAGAATACCTGGGGAAAGTCTCATTGAGAAGGTGCTAGGTGAGTACAGACTAAAAAGACATGAGCAAGAAGATCTGCTGAAGGACTGGATATGCTAACTGAGAAATTAAGGATAAATCCAAGGCTTTTGGCCTGAGCAATGAGATGGAATGAGATGGATGGATTGTCATTTATTGACATAGGAAAGCAATGGAGGAAAGGGTACATTTTTAGTTCAATTTTAGACATGTTAAGTTTAAGATGCCTTAAGTCATCCAAGATGTCGTATGTCAAATAAGCAGCTAAATATATGAATCTGGAGTTGCCTTAAGTCGTTCAAGATGTTGGATGTCAAATAAGCAGCTAAATATATGAATCTGGAGTTCTGGGTAGAAGTTGTAAATCTGGGAGTCACTAGCATATAGTTTTCTACTCCTATGTTTTCAAGTACACTAATCTTGTCCTCTGCAGTTTTTAATCTGCTATTAATTCCATCCAATGTATTTTTCAGTTCAGACATTATGTCAATCTGTTTTTTTTCTCTTTCATGTCTCTCCTTATCATACTCATGCTTTTGTCTATCTCCTTGGACATATGGAATGTATTTATAAGAGCTGCTTTAACATCATTGCCTCATTGTCTACTAATTCTATTATTTATGTCATTTCTGAATCTTTTTTTTTTTTAAGACACAGGACAGGATCTTGCTGTGTTGCCCAGGCTGGAGTGCAGTGGCATGATCATAGCTTCAACTCCTGGGCTCAAGTGATCCTCCCATCTCAGCCTCCCAAGTGGCTAGGACTACAGGCATACACCACCACACCTGGCTAATTTTTAAAGTTCTTTGTGTAGAGATGGGGACCTCGCTATGTTGCCCAGGCTGGTCTCAAACTCCTGACCTCAAGCAATCCTCCCACCTCAGCCTCCCCAAGTGCTAGAATTACAGGTGTGAGACACCGTGCCTGGATCTGTTCCTACTGATCTAGTGTTCCTTCCTTCTCATGATGGGCTCCATTTTCCTGCCTCTTTGCATGCCTGGTAATTTTTGACTGGATGCCAAACACAGTAAATTTATGCTTTTAGGTGCCAGAGTTCTTCGTAGTCATTTAAATATTTTGGGCCTTTGTTTTGGGACATAGTAAATTTACTTGAAACAAATTATTTGAAGCTTGCTTTTAAAGTTTTGTTAAGGCAGATTTATAACAGACTTAATCTAAGGCAAATTCATCCTCACAACTAAAGCAATAACCTTCTGGGGGCTGCTTGATGCAGCCCTGCCTGATGTGTGTTGAGAGGTCATTTCTCTTTGACTGATGGAAACATGAACAATTTCCTAGCCTTGTGGGAGCTCTAGGGATTGTTGCCCCTATTTCTTCCCCCTCCTCTGTAGTTTCCTCTCTTAACACACACACACACACGCACGCACACACATACACGCACGCACGCACACATGTACTGATCAGTAGTCAGCTGAAGACTTGAAGGGAACTCACTGCACATTGTTGTATTTTTCTCTTTTCTGGGACTCTGCCTTGGTTCCCCATATTTTGAACTCTATCTCCTCAATTCAGGTAGACTGCTGGGCTGTCCAGGTTCTTCTTGTTCTGCAGACTGGAACTCTCCAGGAATACCTCATTTGTTTCCCTTCACTCAGAGATCACTGTCCTATGCTGCCTGTTGTCTCAAGTCTGAAAGCCTTCATTTCATATATTTTGTCTTTTGTTTTTTAAGGTAGAAGGGTAAATTTGGACCTTGTTATTCCATAATACAATATAGTCAATAGAATACAGTTATAGAACACTACAGTTATAGAACATAGAATATAGTTTTATTAAGTGAGATAAAATGGCAAAGCAAATAAGAAGCCCATTCTGGCTTCTAATGACTGGGCCTTCTGAGTAAACAAACCATTTAAGAATGACACTATCACTGACAACACGACAGCCTCGGGAGAAGAGCTTATTAAGCAACAGTCTTACCTCGGGTGACCTAGTGTACAGAACATATCATAAAATACACCAAGCCCTTGTCACACATTAGGCCTGTACTATATTACCATCTACAACCTCCTGCTGGTCTAGCTTCTGGGTCCAAGAATATTCTTCTAGCTTTCTCTGAAGCAGTTATGTCTGGCAAGCACCCAGCATAGTCAAACCATGGCAGCCAAAGAACCACAGCCACATCTATTGCTAGCCGTATATACGTTCAGTGAGATTATCTCATCCTGATATCAGGTAGGTGAATAAGTAGCAACCAGGTAGGCAAACAAGTAGATGAGGTACACTGGGGGAAATTCATCTTTATTTACTGTACTCCAAATAAAAGGCTTCTGTTTTTACAGGCTAGGTGTTTAAAACACATTTTCAGTTAAATCCCAAAGGAGTTTAGGGAAGGAAACAAATTGTTTCTCTTGGGTAGTCTGATGATCTGGGTAGCCAGCCCACCTACTCTTAAGTTCTGGTAATATGCACTGGGGGTCTGACCAGAAGCTACTGATCACAATGGATCCAGTAAGCTACAGGACTGCAGTATTATTAGTACCTAAGACTTGGTGGGCAGGAACCAGAAACCAGAAAGGGTGCCTCAAGAAAAATTTACTAAGTGTCTCGTGTCTCTTGCCCACATCTCAAGAGGTAGACTATAATAACCACATGATTATTAAATCTTGTATCCTTTGATCCAGGGACTCCTTCCAACATCCAATAGGTAAATACATAAAACAAGTAACCGGGAGCCCATCTTGGACACTCTTTGAAAGTAACGACTGTGTCTCCTAAGGCTTTTATAGCCTCCAAGTTATCTAATACAGTGTTATGCACAAAGCTTGCTGGTTAATAAATGCCTTTAGTTAAAAAGAACTAGTGAATTTCTACATACCAAGTCAATATGCTTGTTCATTTTCTAGCAATCTGCACCATGTAACCTTACAGAAGTCAGCCTTAAATCACCTCTCTAACCTATTTACAGACTACCTGGTTTCATCTGAGCTCAAAGCTGCCATTAAGATCTCTTACACAGATCTGTAACAGTTCTTTTGTTCCTAAGTGCTAGTATTCTAACAGGTTTCAGGAGCCTGTCTCTTAGCACTCTGGATGAAGATGAGGAAAGTACCACAGATATCAGACATGACCAAGTATGATGTTCTGATCTTGAAGCAACTCAGGTAGTTGAGAATCATTACTGTTTTTATGAATTTGGAATTTCAATTCCTCATTCTGTAACTCAAAGTAAAGAGAAAATTTAGATGGCTTAGCCGTGTTGAGCTCCAGAGACTGTCATCCTCCTCCTTTCTGAAAATTCTTTCTCTGCCTTGGCAGTTCCCTCACACATGTGCTGATTAGTAGGTCAGCTTCAGACTTGAGGGAAACCCACTATTCTCTAATCTACCTTTGACCACTGTCAACAGAGACTATTCCTCCTACAGTTTTCTCTGATAATGCTATATCAGAGAATACAATATAACCAAGGGTTATTAGCAGTTCTACTGATTTAGAACTATTTAATGCGGTAATCCACGATTATGATTTTAACCAATATCATTAAGACTGTTTGTGAAAACCTGGAAACTGATATTTTCATAAACTTACACTTCTTAAGTCACAATTCAGAGTTGTTCTTTTACTTCACATTCTATCATCTTCAGATTTTTATTACCTCTAATATCAGCTCAGTTAGTGCTTAAAATTACGGCATCAGGTATCAGCCTTTATAATTACTTATATTAGCTTTTTAATAAAATTATATTCACTAGGCACAATACCAATGGAGTCATATTTATAAAAAAGTTAAGGCAACTTATTCTTAAAATCTTTATATTATATTTAAATAAGAATGTATATTTTTTGAGTATAAAATCTTAGCATCATTGATTTTTTAAAATTTCTAGAGTTTACATTCAAATTTGGAAACTTACACATTCTCCCCCGTCCAATTTCTCAGTGTTATTTAAATTTTGCATATCAAAAAATGCTTAAAGAACAGGGCAAATTTGGGTGTTGCAAACTATGAATAGTAAAATTTAACATCCCACCCCATTTAATATGTAAATAATGTGAGGACATTTCTTTTTCATAATCACCAAATATTCAGGTCCAAACTAACTTGCAGGTCACTAAACTAAGCTTCATGCCTCATTAACTGTTATTGCATTTGCTCTTAAAACTCATTCTAATCTGAAAGAGCGAGACTCCGTCTCAAAAAAAAAACAAAAACAAAAACAAAAACAAAAAAACTCATTCTAATCATTATTCCATTGTATTACAGTACGTACCTTGTGTGAATCCATTTCAGCTTTTAATTTGTTTTGTGCCCACTTTACTTTGATGACGTGAGAGTTAATGTCTTCCTTTAATTTGTCTATTTCTCTGATGAGTCTAGTCGTTTCGCCTTCCTAAAATAATATCACTAGGTCATATATTTTCATTTATAGAATCAATTAATTATATCTTTTATATTCCCCACAAAGTAATCAGTCCAGTAACACTATAATCAAGGGCTGGCACACTATAGCCCACAGACTATAAAACTTATTTAAAGTCCAAATGAGAAGAGGGTAGTAAAATCCTAAATCCAATTAATAGACACAAAGATGATTTACATTTACATTTTAACCAATTGGATGTATTGTCAACACAACATATCTTTATGATTCTTAACTGGCTGGCATTAAGGTGAAATATGAACTAAATTGGTTTTGTCAGAATTCCTGAGAACAATGACAATATTCCTGAACTAAAAGCTAATGAATTAAAAAAAAATTTATCATTGAAAAATGATAATGCCCTGGAAATATGACCATTGAGAGGCTGCTAGTTAACAGGAAGGGTTCTGAATAGCTGGCTCAGTAACTAAATCTCTTTAGATAGTATCTAAGAAAGACATGTTTTTCTGTAAGAAAAACATAAATTTTCTTCTATGGTGATGTGTTATATTAAGATTATATCAAATTATACTTCTGGTTCTAAAACTATTCATTTTACACTACTATATACATATTTTACCAAAATATAATCTTCCCTTGAGATGCAAATTTCTCCAACATACAGATTTTAAAAGAAAGTTTTTAGAAAGCTCAAGAAAAAGTTATCTAATAAACAACATGTGCCAACACTTATTTTTTCCCTAGCAAACCTTTTCTCTGCAGACAAGTAATAGAACACTTGAATTACTAAAAAATTCATGGTTTTAGAAGGTAAACTAATAAAAACAACTTTACGTTTGAGTGTTAACCATGTTAAATTATGATTATTTGATTAAATATGGAAAAGCAAAGAGAACAAATTTCAAATAAGGTCAACATATTTCAAATGGCACAAGTTATACCTTAGTTTCATACAGCTGGTGCAACCGTCCTTTCTCCTGAGAAAGCTGCTTAATTTTGTTAGTGTTTTTCTCAAGTTCCTTATTTGCATCTCTAAGTTTTTTCTCAAGTGTCTCTTTTTCCTTTCGAAGATCTAAAGATTCCTTCTCACCTCTTACATATTTCATTACCATTGCTTCTTTTTCTTGGCGTGCCTCTTCACATTTCTTGTTGGCCTTCAAAAAAAATATTACTTAGCATTAATGAAAAATAATGTTTCAAATGGAAATGTATTGAAATACATGGTATTTGTCTCTTATATTACCAATGCATTGTTTGGTTTTTGCACAACATTCCCAGGACTTGTGCCATGAAATTTTAAAATGAAAGAAAAAATTTAAAATTATAGAAAAATGGTACAATATCCCTAGCATTTGCCTTTACCCTTTCCTGTTCCTTTTACTTCGGCTAATATGGTTGCTATTTTCCACGTACTCCTCCAGATCCCCTTTCCCACTTTTTTTAAATCCCAACTGGTGTCCCAGGAACATGATGACATCATGAACCCTATCAATAAGCTCTCTTGCCCTCAAACTTCCAGTTGGGTTCACCCAACAGAAGGCAGTAGGCAGAAGCTTGGGAACGTAGGCAGAGTGAGATCTGGCTCCTCCAGAGTTCCCACAGGTTGGCTGATGGCCACTCCCCTTGTCAGGTGCCCTCTCTATACAACTACCCTCTGGGGTGTAATACCTGCTCCTTGTCCAGCAGCCCTGAAATTCTGCATCTTCCCTTTTTGGGATCCCTACATCTTGTCCACACCTTGACAAAGAATCTTTTTATTAAATTATCTTCATCACCGGTTTAAGTGTGCCATCTGTTTTCTGCCAGGACCCTGACTGTATAGCCGACAATTTCTAAAATCTTAACTCCCTTTCGAAAATTAAGTAGCCATATGCTAACAAATGACCATTTAATTTCCTATTTATGTAAAGCTTTCTGAAGCATTTTACACTTAATAAGAAATACCTAACTGGATTAAGTATGAAAACTATATACTCATTTAAAAATTTTCTATTAGTATGAACTGGTACTCCATATTCTGAAATTTCACAGAATGAAAACTTCTACAAATAGTCCTTCTTTGAAGTAACTCATGGTTTGCAAATATGGTGAAGCACACATTTAATTTACAAAAGATAGAACTTCAAACTTTAGGAATTTTCAATATCTTTTAGTGGTAAATAAACACTGATGATGCAACTGAATTGAAGAAGGTAACTATTAAAATAAAGTGAGCAGAATGTAGGGAAAGCTTCTATGCTTTGATGAAAAATGGCTGCAAAAATGTTTCATAAAATTCTGGCACTGCTGATAAGCACATCTAGTCAACACTGAGAATGCTATACATACACATATAAGTAATTTTAAAAATCTCCCAATTGGGATTTGTTTCCATTGAAATAGTCATACTAATTTTCAAATTAAGAAAGACATTGCATTAGGGATATGATAGGCCCCGAGGTTGTAACAATGTGCTTGTAGACAAAGACTGAGAAAGTTATGCTGGACTTGGCCAACAGAATTAGATTTTTAGACAACTGAATATCTGTACTTAGAAAAAGTCAATAGCTCAATGTCAACTTTAAGAGAAGTCTGGTTTCATAATAATTTAATATTCAGATAATGTATCATCTATTGGAAACAAAGTAGCAGTTGTGGCCTCTGAAAGAGCTCACCATCTAGTGAGAAAGGCATATAAACAAACATTATAATATGAAAAATTATAGTAAATGAATGTACAAAGTCCTTCAAAACATGAAAATACTTACATCCCCTGGGAGGAGTTGGCAGGAAGGGTAAAAGATGCTATACTTGAGCTAGGTATTAAAGGCTAAGCAGAATTCTATAGAATGTAAGGGGTGAATCAAGGAAAGGAATTAAAAATAGAGTGAATATCATGTGCAAACACCTAAAAGTATAAAACAGCATGACACATTTAGGAGATATCAAGTTATTTTATTGGGCTTAAATTTGGTGTGTTGGCTGGAGTGGGAAGAAAGTAGTTATAAAAACAAAAAGAGGTATAGATTAGATCCTCAAAGGAAGAAGAATTTCTGTCATGGTAATAAGTTGAGGTTTTATTCCATAGTCAACATAAAGCCAAAGAAGAATTTATAAATCAGAAGCTCTTATTAAAATGTGTGTTTTAGTAAGATAACTGGTAGCAGCATGGGAGCTTCACTGAAGTTGAGAGATAGGGGGTAGAAAATAATCAAAAAAAGACAGTTGTAATAGACAAGGTGAAATATTATGAGGGTCTTGGCTGGATGCAAGGAGTCATGCCTGTAATCCCAGCACTTTGGGAGACTGAGGTGAGCAGATCGCCTGAGCCCAGGAGTTTGAGACCAGCCTGGACAACATGGCAAAATCCCCTATCTACAAAAAAAACAAAAAACAAAATTAGCTGGGCATGGTGGTGTGCACCTGTAGTCCCAGCTATTTGGGAGGGCTAAGGTGGGAGGTCTCTTGAGCCCAGGAGGTTGAGGCTGCAGTTAGCCATGATTGCACCATTGCACTCCAGCCTGGGCAACAGACCCTGTCTCAAAAAAAATAAACGGAAAATATTATGAGAGTCTTCACTATAGCAGGGAATGGCGCACCAGATAACGGCTCTGTTACTCATGGGGTCATCCATAGATCAACTGCAAAGGAATAACCTGGGGTGCTTGTTAAAAGTTCACACTCCTGGATCCTGCCCCATCCTGCTAATGGCAGCACCTACCTCACAGCATCATTGGGAGTATTAAACAAGACAATACAATAACTGTTATTTAAGCTATTATAGAAGGTCCATTTATGGCACAGATAAAGGAAGACAGGCCAATTAAGGTCTTTGGATTTATCCACTGTAAGTAAGATGATTATCATTGACTTGGATAAAGATAAGTAAAACATGAATAAGATAATCAATAGGACTCAACAGATAAAATTAACACAAAGTATATGAAGTGTAGCTTCTACAAGTATGGCAGATAAACCCTCCTCATTCAATACACCAAAAATTTTAGATGAAAAATAACAAACATCTTTTAATATATAGTTGAGCTCACAAGAAAGTATGGGAAATTTCCAGGGCTAAAAGATCTAAGACAAAGTAGAAATCCAGAATGGTATACTAGGGCTAAAACCTTTACTGCTCTGTGATACTTATTAATATCAGGCCATGGGAGATGTGGGTGGGGGAAATGTTATCAAGTCCCTGAAAATTTATAATACAGCTACACTCTCTTGTAAGTAGGGTTCAAATTCATTCTATCTATCTGGTCTATGAAATGAGGAAACCTCAATCTGGAAATTAAAAAGCAGGTGAATGTGCGTGTGCACATGAACATGGGTAAACACATATGGGAACCTATTTTTAAACAAAACTTACTAGGCTTAGTGACAATAGATGAAAGATAAACAAGTGTTCATTTTACTAATCTTTCATCTTTTCTATATGCTTGAAAATTCTCAAAAAGTTGGGAGGAAAAGTTAGGGGGAAAAAAGGAATGAGACAGATCTATTAATAATTAAATAGATCAGTCTTCCAAAATCTACTTTAATAATATCCACTTCTTAGGGTTGTTGTGAAGATCAAACAAGTTAACACTTGTAAAGTATTTTGAACATGGCTTTGCACACAGCTAAAAGTCAGTACATCAGCTACTATTATTAGCATCATCTACACTCTTCATCATTAAGGAGAAAACATACATAGCAGTGAGTGCAGTACATTGCCATTTGTTTTTTAAAAGCCAGGGGAGGAAAAAAGAAAAAAACACAAGAATCTATGCAACAAATATTTTTGGAAGGATACACAGGAAACTGGCATCAGTGGTTACCTTTAGGAAGGGGGTAAAATGTTTGGAAGAAGACTTTTTCAAATGTTTGAACTGCTACCATGTACACCAACTACTATTTTATTTTAAATATTAAGCTTCGAAGAGTTTTAGGAAGGAAGGAAGGAAAGGGAAGGGAAGGGAAGGGAAGGAAAGGAAAGGGAAGGGAAGGGAAGGGAAGGGAAGGGAAGGGAAGGGAAGGGAAGGGAAGGGAAGGAAAGGGAGGGGAGGGGAGGGAATGCGAAGGAAGGAAGGAAGGAAAGGAGGGAAGGAGGGAGGAAAGAAAAGAATGGAATGGAAGGAAAGGGAGGAAGGGAGGAAGGGACGAAGGAAGGAAGGCAGGAAGGCAGGAAGGAAGGAAGGAAGGAAGGCAGGAAGGCAGGAAGGAAGGAAGGAAGGAAGGAAGGAAGGCAGGAAGGCAGGAAGGCAGGAAGGCAGGCAGGCAGGCAGGAAGGCAGGCAGGCAGGCAGGTTGGCTCACCAGGTGATTCTAATGACTGGCTGGCTATGTTTGGGCCCGCTAAAACCAGTTACTTCTTAAGCTCTTAGGCTCTGTATTTCCCTTCAATTGGTACAAAAGGGTTCAGAACTGATAGCAGGAGAGTTAAACATAACATTTCTAATGCAAGGAGTCAGCATGTTTTAAAGAATCATCCAAATAAAGGCTGAGGATAATCTGTTTCCTAAAGTCCTTCCAGAATGCCATCTACAGTAGCAGCTTCGGGGTAGAAAGGGTGGGATCCATCACATTCAAATAATGAAGGTGTGAGTTAACCCTTTCAGATTCAATTCATTGTGAAGACTAATTGTTAGTCAGATACTGTGCTAGGTTTTGTGGATACAGAAATGAAGATGACAAAGACGTCATCCATAAAGAGTTCAGGCAAGTAATAAAAAAGCACTGCTTAAAATTACCTCTTCTGAGATCATATATACCAACTTAAAAAGATTACCAAGGTATATTAAGTATGGGAAAAAAGGTTACAAAAAAGATGTATAGTATCATTCCAATCAAATGGGGGAAAAAAGTATATGACCATGTACAAATAAACATGTGTGACTTGTACATGTATATGTAGTAAGATACATAATCAAAATACCAATAATTAGCTATGGAACAAGGAATGGGATATAAAAGGATTGTAGGCAGGGGAAGAATATGTACAGATTAAAAAAAAAATTTTTATTCCATACACTTTTTTATTCATCTGTATGTATTTATATATTGCTTTAGAATTTTTAATGACTTACTATTTTTTTTTAGACAGAGTCTTGCTTTGTCACCCAGGCTGGAGTGCAGCAGTGCAATCTCGGCTCACTGCAACCTCCGCCTCCCGGGTTCAAGTGATTCTCCTGCCTCAGCCTCCCAAGTAGCTGGGACTACAGGGATGCGCCACCACGTCTGGCTAAACTTTTCGTATTTTTAGTAGAGATGGGGTTTCACCATGTTAGCCAGGCTGGTCTCAAACTCCTGACCTCAGGCAATCTGCCTGCCTCAGCCTCTGAAAGTGCTGGGATTACAGATGTGAGTCACCACGTCTGGCCTAATGGCTTACTTTTATATAAAAGAATCACCTAGTATTAATACAATAGTGAGGTCCAAAATAGTCTAACAGTGTTAGCTTATTTTAACAAACAAGAGTCACCAGAATATCAAGTTAATAATGACAACGATGTGAGAAATACCTGTTCCATCCGTTGGGCCATCTCTTTGTGTAACTGCTGAACTGCATTTTTAGCTGTAACGTCTTGAGCTATTAGTTGATCTCTGGAAGCTTTAACTTCTTTATTAAGTTCTTCTATTCTTGATTCTAACTGTAAAGAAAATTATTTCCAAATTATTTTTATAGCTATACCAAATACACCACCAATACTGCAAATAAATATAAACAAAGTAAATAAACATAAAGAATACAATGAATATACTTCAGCTATTGAAATAAAAACTTTTAGCAATGTTTCTATATCTCACTGTCATTTAGTAAAAATCTGGAGATTCCATTAAGTTAAGGTATCTGGCAACCCCTAGAACATCCACAAAGGAATAACACAAAGAAATACAGTAGAGTCCCGCCTTATCTGTGGCTTCACTTTCTATGGTTTCAGCAACCTTCAGTCACCCACAGTTCAAAAATATTAAATAAAAACTTCCAGAAATAATTCACAAGTTTTCAATTGCATGCCATTCTGAGTAGTGTGATGAAAACTTGTGTTGTCTCACTATGTCTCACTGAGACTGTGAGTCATCCCTTTGTCCAGCATGTCTGCATTGTACACACTACCTGCCAGTTAGTCGCTTAGTAGCCATCTCAGTTACCAGACTGACTATGGCAGGACGACAGTGCTTGTGTGCAGCAACACTTAGCCCTTAATTAATAAGTGAGTTTACTTATTAGTGGCCCCAGAGTATAAGAATAGTGATGCTGGCAATTCACATGTGCCAAAGAGAGGCTTTAAAGTGCTTATTTTAAGTGAAATGGTGACTTGAAAGAAAAAAATCATATACTGAGGTTGCTAAGATCTACAGTAAGAATGAATCTTCTATCCATGAAACTGTGAAGAAGAAAAAAGAAATTCATGCTAGTTTTGCTGTCACACCTCAAACTTCAAAAGTTATGGCCACACTGCATAAGTACTTTGTTAAGACGGGAAAGGAGCCAGGTAGTGGCTTATGCCTGTAATCCCAGCACTTTGGAAAGCTGAGGAGAGGGAATTGCCTGAGGTCAGGAGTTCAAGACCAGCATGGTCAACACAGCAAGACCCAATCTCTACAAAAAATTTTAAAAATTAGCTGGGCATGGTGGTGCATGCCTATAGTCCCATCTACTCAGGAGGCTGAGGCAGGAAGATTGCTAGAGCCAAGGAGTTTGAGGCTACAGTGAGCTGTGATCCCACCATGGTACGCCAGCCAGAGTGATGAGACCCTGTCTCTGAAAAAAAAAAAAAAGGATGAAAAGGGCATTCACTTGTCAGGGGCAGACATAAACAGAAACATATTCTGATTGATGGCAATCGAGTTCAGTGCTATTGACAATTTCATGCATCTACTTAGGATCTTGGAATAAATTCCCCTCAGATAAGGGGGAACTCTGTACTGTATAGTGAAAATATCATGAAAGAAATTTAAATGTTATATTGGACAACATTCACTTAATGCAAAAGAAGGCAGTGAAGGAGGAATAGGGGAAGAAAAAAGACATGAAACATGGAAAACGAAAGATATGGCAGACATAAATCCCACCATCAATAATATTAAATGAAAGTGGATTTAATAATCCTATCAAAAGGCAGAAACTAACAGACTTAATTAAAGAAACAAGATTCAACTATATGTTGTCTATAGAAGGCATTTTAGGTTCAAAATGCAAGTAAACTGAAAAGAGTGGAAAAAAATATATAATGCAAACAGCAATCATAAGGAAGAGTGGCTATATTTACATAAAAAACAGACTAAAATTAAGAATGTTACCAGAGATAAAGAATAGCTCACAAAAATAAAACAGATCAAGCCATCAGAAAGATCTAACAGATAAATGTATATGCATCTAAGAATGTAGCATCAAAATATATGAGGCAAAAACTAACAGAAATAAAAGGGAAAATAAGTCAACAATAGTTGGAGACTTCACTATCCTACTTTCAATAATAAATAGAATTAGGCAGAAAATTAACACAGAAATAGGAGACTTAAACACTACAAAACAATGGAATCTAATACATCTATACAACACTCCACCCAGGAACAGCAGTGTATACGTTTTCATCTAGTGCACATGGAATATTCCATGACAGAGGATATGCTAGGTTACAAACAAACTTCCATAAATTTAAAAGATTAAAATCATATGAAGCATATTCTCCAACCATAATGGAATGAGACCTCAGTAACAGAAAGAAATATGGGAAATTCACAAATTTGTGAAAATTAAACCACATACTGCTAAAGAAACACAGAAGAAATTGCAAGGGAAATTAGAAAGTACTAGATGACTAATAAAAATGCAAACATAATATACCACAACTCAGGAGACACATCTAAAGGAATGCTTAGAGGAAAATTTATAACTACAAATACCTATATTAAAAAAGAAGAAAGGGGGCCAGGCGGGGTGGCTCAAGCCTGTAATCTCAGCACTTTGGGAGGCAGAGGCAGGAGGCTCACTTGAGGTCAGGAGTTCGAGACCAGCCTGGCCAACACTGTGAAACCCC
The DNA here is from genome assembly GCF_000001405.40 of Homo sapiens. Classification (NCBI taxonomy): domain Eukaryota; kingdom Metazoa; phylum Chordata; class Mammalia; order Primates; family Hominidae; genus Homo; species Homo sapiens. The sequence goes on from NC_000010.11 coordinate 114,153,615, forward strand.
GTCTCTACCAAAAATACAAAAATTAGCTGGGCATGGTGGCGGGTGCCTGTAATCCCAGCTACTTGGGAGGCTGAGGCAGGAGAATCGCTTGAACTCAGGAGGTGGAAGTTGCAGTAAGCCAAGATCACGCCACTGCACTCCGGTCTGGGTGACAAGAGCGAAATGACGTCTCAAAAAAAAAAAAAAAAAGAAGACAGGGTATCAAATTAATAACCTATACTTGCATCTTAAGACACCAGAAAAACAGCAAACTAAACCAAACACAAAGAGGAGGAAGAAAAAAATAAAAACTAGAATGGAAAAACAGAGACAAGGCCAGGTGAAGTGGCTCATGCCTGTAATCTCAGCACTTTGGGAGGCTGAGGCAGGTGGATCGCTTGAGCTCACAAGTTCGAGACGAGCCTGGGAAACATAGTGAAAACCCATCTCCACAAAAAAATACAAAAATTAGCTGGATGTGGTGATGCACGCCTGTAGTAGCAGCTACTCGGGAGGTTGAGGTGGGAGGATCACTTGAGCCTCATAGGTAGAGGTTGCAGTGAACCGAGATCGCAACATCGCACTCCAGCCTGGGTGAAACAGCCAGACCTTGTCTCAAAAAAAAAAAAAAAAAGAAAAGAAAAAGAAAAACAGAGACAACAAACAAAACCAAAAACTGGTTCTCTGAAAAGATGAAGAAAACTGACAAACCTTTAGCTGGAATGACTGAAGAAAAAAGAAAGATGACTGAAATTACTAGAATCAAAATGAAAGAGGGACATTACTACTGACCTTATAGAAATAAAAATAATTGAATAAATAAATAGTATGAACAATTTAACTTAGAGACAAAATGAACAATTCCTAGAAAGACACAAACTACCAAAACTGTCTCAAGAAGAAATAGAAGATCTGAATAGACCTATAACAAGTAGAGACTGAATTAGCATAATAAAAAAGAACAACAACAACAAAAACCTACCCACAAAGAAAAATTCAGTCCCAGGTGGCTACACAGGTAAAATTCTTTAAAACAATTAAAGAAGAATACCAATTCTTCACAAATTTTTGCTCTTCCCCCAAAAAGTAACACTTCCCAACTCACTCTATTAATTCCTAGGTATACACCCAAGAGAAATGAAAGCATATGTACACATAAAAACTAGCACGTGAATGTTCACAGTGGTATTATTCATAATAGTCAAATGGCAGAAACAACCCATTTTCCCATGTCCATCAACTGATGAAGGGGTAAACAAAATATTAAAACATCAAATATCTATATAATGAACTACTATTCAATCATTAAAAACAATGAAGTACTGATACATGCTACAACTTGAATGAAATCTTAAAAACACTATGTTAAATAAAAGAAGCTAGATAAAAAGGGGTACCTATTATATAATTCCATTTATATGAAACGTCCAGAACAGGCAAATATATAGAGACCGAAAGATTACTTGTTCCCTAGGGCAGGGTTGAGGGAGTACTGTTGGAGGCAAATGAGAAGTGACTACTAATGTGTGTTGCATTTCTTTTTGGGGTGATGACATGTTCTAAAATTGTGGTAAAGGTTGCACAGGTAAAAGTCACTGAATTGTACACTTAAAATAAGTGAACTGTGTGGAAAGTTAATTATATCTCAATAAACCTGTTGAAAAAGACCTAAATCTTATAGTACACATATACTAATTTTCCTTATTACAAAATTATCTAGAGCAACACTGAGCAATAGAAGTACAAGCCACATGTGGAATTTAAACTTTCTAGTAGTCACACTTTAAAAAGTAAAAAGAAGCTGGGCGCAGTGGCTCACGCCTGTAATCCCAGCACTTTGAGAGGCCAAGATGGGCAGATCACCTGAGGTCAGGAGTTCAAGACTGGCCTGGCTAACATGGTGAAACCCTGTCTCTACCAAAAATATAAAAACTAGCCAGGCTTGGTGGCGGGCCCCTGTAATCCCAGCTTCTCAGGAGGCTGAGGCAGAAGAATCGCTTGAACCTGGGAGGTAGTGGTTGCTATGAGCCGAGATCGCGCCATTGCACCCCAGCCTGGGCAACAAGAGCGAAACCCCATCTCAAAGATAAAATAAAATAAAATAAAATAAAAAATAAAAATTACAAACAAGTGAGTTTATTAAACCCAATATATCCAAATATTATCATTCCAATATTATCAATCCACATGAAAAAAATGAGCTGTTTTATTTTTATACTAACTCTTCTAAGTTACATGTGTATTTTACACTTACAGCACCTCTCAATTTAGACTAGCTACCTTTGAAGTGCTCAATAGCTATATGCAGCTGGTGGATGCCACATTAGATAGTGCAGATCTAGAAATAAAATAAAGAAGGAAAAGCTTTTCTCTTTAAAAACAACAACAACAACAAAAAAAGCCCACTAATAAGCTCATGAAAGGAAGGGCTCTGGTTCCATTGTACCTGTTCGGTCTGAAGTTTCTGGTCATTGAGTGACCTGACTACCGAAATATGGATTTAGCCTGTTAAGACTCCCTCACACTTTACCATTCTAACTCTGGTTTATATGTGGGGACCCTAGAGCACATAAAAATCAGGATTAAATACATACAATTTTACAAATACAGTCACCTTCCAATCATGCATCAAGTGAAAAATTGTTTTACCAATTGTTTACTGTTATTTTCATTATATAACTTTCTTTGAAAGATGAGACAAAATACTTTTAAGGCTAGAATGCTTCTAATCCTGTTCACAGAAGAAAAAGCACCTCAAAAATAAAGAGCAACTCAGCTTTCCTATTAGTCTGAATACTCACTTTGTTGATTCATGCATCAGAGGAGTTCATTTAAAAACTAGAAAGAGGCCAGGGGCAGTGGTTCATGCCTGTAATCCCAGAACTGGGAGGCCAGGCCAAGGCAAGTGGATCACCTGAGGTCAGGAGTTCAAGACCAGCCTAGCCAACACGGTGAAACCCTGTCTCTAATAAAAATACAAAAATTGGCTGGGTGTGGTTGGTGGCCGCCTATAATCCCAGGTACTCCCGAGGCTGAGGCAGAAGAATCACTTGAACCCAGGAGGCAAAGATTGCAGTGAGCTGAGATTGTGCCACTGAATTCCACCCTGGGTGACAAGAGCAAAACTCTGTCTCAAAGAAAAAACAAAAAATAAATTAAAAAAAAGAAGGAAAAGGACAGGCTAGGAAAGCCAGTAAGCCAGATACAATCTAAAGTATGACAGCCAGCCTTCACAATATAGTTTTTAAAAATACTGAGAATGGAACCATACCAAAATATAAACTTAAAAACATCCTAATGCCAGACATAAACTTTTATATTTCCATTGCTTCCTCCCTGTTGGCAACAACAGTCTAGTTGACTGTCAACTCAAATCGTCTTTTTGCTTATTTTGAACATAACAGAGTATGTTCTACTACATGCAGTACAGGAGTCACATGCATAAGAATAAACTTACATAAAAGGAAATACATCAGGCTATGAGTCCTACTTTGTAAAGGAGAATGGTTTAAATGCCATGCAATTCTCTGCATTTAAAATATGATTTACCTTATAGAACTCCAACCTACATGCAAGTTTTCAGAATTTTTTTTTTTTTTTTTTTTTTTGAGACAAGGTCTCACTCTCTCACCCAGGCTGGAGTACAGTGGCACGATCTCAGCTCACTGCTGCCTCAATCTCCCCGGCTCCAGTGATCCACCCACCTCAGCCTCCTTAGTAGCTGAGATTACAGGCGCATGCTACCATATGCAGCTAATTTTCTATTTTTTTTTTTTTTTGTAGAGACAGGGTTTCACCATGTTGCCCAGGCTGGTCTCAAACTCCTGGGCTCAAGTAATCCGCCCACCTTGGCCTCCCAAAGTGCTACGATTACAGGCATGAGCTGCCACAATCGGCTGCCAGGAATGTATTTATTTTATTAATTGAAGTATAGTCTTCGAAGATTTTTGTCTTTTTTACCTGTTTAATTGTGTTCATATGCTGCTTCTCAGTTTCTGTTCTTTTCTTTAGTTCTTCTCTTAAATTGTCTTTTTCTGAACAAATGTCTACGAAGAGCTCCTGATGCTTCTTATTTTCTTTAATTAACCTAAATATAAAAAGGGCAGTGTATGTAAAACATAATTTAAAATGGAGATAAAATAATATGTGGAATATAATTTCTTTACAGATCAGGGTACAGATATCTATAATTATTCATTATGTTAATAAATTAACATTCCTAAATAATCATTTTATAGTGAAACATAATACTTTGCAAAAGATTCTCTGGCCCATTAGGCTATTAACTTTTCCCTAGAAATATGAATATTTCAAATCAAAATAGAATCATATGAATGAAAAGCACACCCTTCCAGATTTATACCTTCAGGTATCTCAATTATGCACCAATCCTGTCAGCACTGGCACTCTTCAAATAAGTGGTTCTCAGCCACGGGCAATTTTGCCCTTCCAGGCATTTGTCTGAAGACATTTTTGGTTGTCCTAACAAGGGTAGGGGCTGCTACTGGCATCTAGTGGATGGAGGCCAGGGATGCTGCTAAACATCCTACAATGCACAAGACAACTCCAACAACAACAAAGAATCTGGCCCCAAGTGGCGATACTGCTAAAGTTGAAAAGTCTTGCTTCAGATTTTAAAAATATTTTAATGATAGTCTAATAGTTATAATGTACAGTCAATGTAAAACAGCAAAATAAAATCTAAGCAGAAATATCATCTTGAATTCCCCTAGAAAAACAGAAATAAAGTCTCAAAAACTGCCTGCAAAGTGCTTAGAAATGTAAGATGCCTAAGAAAGCTAACAGCAAGTACTCTAGGACTAATTAGCAATAGCTGTAACCTAACATTTATTGCACACTTGCTATTGGCTAAATTTAGCTTTTTTAATTTAAAAAAGTGTATTATTTCATTTAGTATTCAAAATAAGTCTATGAAATTATTATCATTACCATCACTTCTGTTTTACGAATTAAAAAAAAAAAAAACTAGTTAGGCATGATGGCTCATGCCAGGAGTCCCAGGAAAAGCACTTGATCCCAGGAGTTCCAGGCTGCAGTGAGCTCCACTGCACTCCTGCCTGGGCAACAGAATAAGACCTTTGTCTCTAAAAATAAAATAAAAATATTAACAGCAAAACAAAACTGAAGCCTAAGACTTGTTCCAGGTCACACAGCTAGTAAGCAGTTGAACTTTCAATTTTGTTTTGGATCCAGGTATACTTCCAAAGCCCCAGGCCTTTCCACCTTCTACTTTGAAGATCACTCATTAACTCAACCAGTACTTACTCAGCATCTATTTTATGTGGGAAATATGTCAGCAAATAGTCCCTGCCCTCGTGGAACTTACATTCTAGGGGATAAAATAAAAATGGACCCTAGATATATAATAAAATGTCAGCTGGTGATTAAATCCTATTAAGAAAAATAAAGGAGAGCGAAAAGCCAGAGAGTGACTTGAGCTGCTATTTTAGATAAGTAGTCTAGATAGGCCTCTCTGAGAAGGTGACAGCTGAGCCTAGGAATCAGTGAGGAAACAATCATACAAATGTTTGGAAAAAAGGCAAATATATGCATGTTTATTCAAGCCTTTTATGACACAGTGGTTTAACTTAGATCATTTATGTGAGGCATACTCAATTGCTACAGAAAACTACTTGAGACACAAGAGTCCTGCCTATAGTTCACAAGTGAACAACAAAGGGAGGGGGAAGTGAAAAGCAGTAAACACTCAATTTGTTACTTATGTGCCAAATGCATATTCTATATACAGACAACTGTTCTTAATTAAGAATTTTGGTCCCAGCACTTTGGGAGGTGGAGGCGGGTGGATCATGAGGTCAAGAGACCGAGACCACCCTGGCAAACATGGTGAAACCCCGTCTCTACTAAAAATACAAAAATTAGCTGGGTGTGGTAGGGCGTGCCTGTAGTCCCAGCTACTCAGGAGGCTGAGGCAGGAAAATCGCTTGAACCTGGGAAGCGGAGGTGGCAGTGAGCCAAGATCCGCCACTGCACTCTAGCTCAGTGACAGAGCGAGACTCCGTCTCAAAAAAAAAAAAAAAAAAAAAAAAGAATTTTAGGCTAGGCACAGTGGTGCATGCCTGTAATCCTGGCACTTTGGGAGGCCAGTGTGGGTGGATAGCCTGAGTTCTGGAGTTCCAGACTAGCCTGGGCAACATCGTGAAACCCCATCTCTAAAACAAAAAAACCACAAAAGTATTAGCTGAGCCTAGTGGTGCGCACCTGTTGTCCAAGCTACTTGGGATGCTGAGGTGGGAGGACAACTTGAGCACAGGAGGTTGACGCTGCAGTGAGCTGAGATCACACCCACTACACTCCAGCTTGGGCAAGAGAGCAAGACCCTATCTCAAAAAAATAAAATAAAGAATTTTTGGGCCAGGCGCAGTGGCTCACGCCTGTAATCCCAGAACTTTGGGAGGCTGAGGCAGGTAGATCACTTGAGGTCAGGAGTTCAAGACCAGCCTGGCCAACATGGCAAAACCCTGTCTCTACTAAAAATACAAAAATTAGCCGGGTGTAGTGGTAGGCACCTGTAGTCCCAGCTACTTGGGAGCCTGAAGTAGGAGAATTGCTTGAATCCAGGAGGCAGAGGTTGCAGTGAGCTGAGGTCGCGCCACTGCACTCCAGCCTGTGTGACACAGCACAACTCCACCTCAAAAAAAAAAAAAAAATTTGGTTGGAACCTTAGACAGTAATATTGATGTGTTCAAAAATCAAAGAACAGAAATAAAGAGAAGAATGGTGCTTGCCAGGGCACAGGGGGTGAGGGAAAAGGGGAGATATTGGCCAAAGCCTACAGACTTTTCAGTTATAAAATGAGTAAGTTCTGGGGATCTAATATACTCCATGGTGATAACAGTTAATAATATCATATTGTACACTTGAAATTTGTTTAGACAGTAGATCTTAAATGTTCTCACCACACACACACAAAGGTAACTGTGATGTGACCGATGTGGTAACTAACTTGATTGTGGTAATCATTTCACGATGTATATCAAATCATCACATTGTACCTCTTTAAATATATACAATTTTATCAGTTATATTTCAATAAAGCTGGGGGAAAAATGAGGGAATGTATAAACAAAGATTTGGAAATAGATGCATTCATTAAAATTTCAAAGAAAGTAAAAGGAAGTTTTCTTCATAGAAAATTAGATGAAGAAAAAAGTTAAGAAAAAAATTTAGTTGTTTTAGAGTTAACCTGACTCACAAAGTATTTTATTTGGAATTAAAAACATCATGTGTATAACCAAAAATTAACCTTGATTTAAAATAACATCTGACATTTGTGTAATGTCCTAATGTCCACAAACAGTTCCATCAGGTAAGTATTGTCACTCTAAGGTGAAAAATCTTTCACTCAAAGAGGTTGACTTGGCCAAGACAACAGAGCTGGCAAATGCCAATGGGTATCTTCCAAATACCAGACATCAGAATTATGATTATTCCACTCACCCGTGCTGTCACTGTTCTGACAGGATGAAGCAAAAAAGAGAAACCAATTTTCTACCCTATTCCTCATATTTTTAGGTAAATTTAACACCTTGTAACTGGTTCATTTCTAATAACCGTATTTGAAAAAGCTCTAAAGCTCCACTCACAAAGCTCAGATTTTAACTTTGCATTTGTTAGCATGTGGCCTTGAGCAAGTTACTTTTTCTCTCTCTGCGCTTCAGGTAACTCATCTGTACAATGGGGATAACAGCACATGTCACAGAGAGTTCTTGTGAAGAATCCATGAACTAATAAATGTAATATACCAGGCACCTAATTATCAGCATATACATGTTTACTGCTATTATTATTAAATGTATAACATCTTATAATTTATAAGGGAGGTATGAAAATGGTAAGAGTCTAGATCTCAGTAAAGTGGGAAGAGGCATCAGAGATAATCTCAAGAGGAAGGTCTAAAAGAATAGGTACAGGCTACAGGAAAATGAGAAAGTTACCCTATAAAATGCAAGAATAGCAGCAGCACTGATGGTTCAAGTACAAAAGCATACAGTTTATTCACATAATATAGTATTACAGTAAGGATATGAATAGCAACAGCAGGCATTTGTTTGGGGGTAATATCAAGAAGGGCCTTGGAGTCTTGAAGAGATACTTGCAAACCCAAGTTCACAGTAGCATTATTAACAACAGCCAAAAAGCAGAAGGAACCCAGATGTCCATTAATGGATGAATAAACAAAATGTGGTATATACATACAATGCAATATTATTGAGCCTTAAAAAGAAATGAAATTCTGACATGTTACAACATGGATAAATGAGGACATTAGGCTAAATGAAATAAGCCAGTCATGAAATGAAAAGTATATGATTTCACCTACATGAGGTATCATGAGTAGTCAAACTCAGCAACAGAAAGTAGAATGGTGGTTGCCAGGGACTGAGGGCAAGTGGAAATAGTGTTGTTTAACGAATACAGTGTTTCAGATTTGCAAAGTGAAAAAGTTCTGCAGATTGGTTGTCCAACAGTGTGAATATATAATAACACTACTGAAACGTACACATAAAAATGGTTAAGATGGTAAATTTTAAACTATCATGAAAACAGAACTTCACATATCCAAAACTGTATTATTATTTACTGAACGATAATCAATTATTCTGTTCTCTAAATTTTAATGTTTTAAACCAATGAATTTAGAATGCAGATTTTAAGAAAAAGTTGTGGAATTTTATGACTTGTTATTTCCTTTTGAGTTTCTCTTAGTTTTGACAATATACTTCTACATTCTTTCAAAAGTGAAAAATTTTGAGTTGTCTATAAAAATTTCTAGCACGTTAATACATTTACACTATTTAACATATTGAACTCAGATATCTGAAAAACTCGACATTTGCTCACACATTCAGCAACTATACATTTATTGTTCAACTACTATGTGCATGATTCTAATGTGCAAGTAAAAATGAACAAAATGGTATTTTCCTTTAAAGAATTTTATCTCGAATCCCTGTGCCTGTGAGGGAAAAAAAATAACCTAAAGGTATAAAAAACTTACTTTTTTATGATATGTTCCTGCTGCAAATATTTATCTTGCACACACTTTTCAAACAGAACTAATGCATGTTCTCCCTTATTCATTCCATTTGGTACTCGATGTTCTGCAAACTCCGTAGATAAGAGCTCAGATTCTATTTCTTCCAACAAATCCTCTGATGCTGAAACGCTCTTTATTTTTGAAATAAATTTCTTGGTGCAGTCTGTATCATAGGGGCTTTCTGAATAAGTCTTTTCATTAGCTGATTCTGGAAATGTAGATGACCTTAATTCCACCAATATTTGTGTTACTTTCTGTTCTGTTTCATTTGTTTTTGAAATATGTTTAGCAAAATTTCCACTAGGAAAATTAGCTATTTGTTCAGAATTTTCTGAGCCTGTGTCTGTTTTGGCACAAGAATCCTCACCTCCACCATGATCTGGAATATAATTTTCCTGGGCTTCAATTCGATTATTATGCTCATTAGGTTGACATAAAGTTTTATCAGTGTTTAATGACAATAGTTTGGACTCATTTTCTAATTTGCTGCTTTCATTGCCAGAAAACAAGTTGCATGAGTCTTCCTTTAATTCAGGTGTTTTCCCAACATTTTTATCAGAGGAAGTAGAGGCTATGTGGTCTGTCTCTGACATGCTGACTGGCACCAATTCACTTTGTAATTCTTCAAATCTGCTCCTGATCTTCGTTTTACATCTAAGAAATTGAAACATCAAAATTAAAAACCACTTTAAACCAAAACCCCATACAAACTTGCACACACTCTGTGATGTGGAATAACTAACACCACAAATTTTATCACTAACAATTCCTTTAAAAGCCTGTCCTTGAGAAAAAAGAAAAAGGACTAGGACAGCTAACCCAAGCTGGCTAGCTACAAGCAGTAGGGCCACTGCAAAGTCTGTCTTTCCTCCTTCATTTCAGTCAAACAACTTCATTAATTAATTTCAGTTGTAGTCTGGCATTCTCCAATCATCCCCATAAGATGTTAGGTAAGGAGTAACGCTAGCAACTAGACGAGTGCCAAAGAATGCTTAGAATTCCTTCAGCTCTGTAAAGAAAAAAAGACTACCTCATAAATCTGTAAGAAAATACTGGAGAAATAATACACCAATAAAAGCACTAGAAATCACAAACCAAGATAACAAAACAACGCACATTAAAGAAAATAAAAATTTACTAAGAAGGAAACCTAAATAACAAGACACAACTATCTATAGCCCAGAGATCTAGATTTGAGCCATAATGAAGTCAGGGTGTAAAGAATCCCTGGTAGAAATTAGTTTTTCATCCAGGCAGGAATCCAGGAAGTACCATGGTGATTTTCAAACATTCTCATCAGGAAAAAAACAATGTCCAGTACAAATAAAATGGAGCCCATATGCACTGCCTAGGTCAATAAAAGCAACTTTATTAATTTGACCAAGTTAGAGTGTGTGTGTGTGTGTGTGTGTGTGTGTGTGTGTGTGTATATATATATATTTTTTTTTTTTTTTTTTTTTTTGGGATAGAGTCTCACTGTCGTTGCCCGGGCTGGAGTGCAATGGTGAGATCTCGGCTCACTGCTACCTCTGCCTCCCAGGTTCCAGCAATTCTCCTGCCTCAGCCTCCCGAGTAGCTGAGACTACAGGTGCCCATCACTACACCTGGCTAATTTTTTGTATTTTTAGGAAGAGATAGGGTTTCACCAGGTTGGCCAGGCTGGTCTCAAACTCCTGACCTCAGGTGATCCACCTGCCTTGGCCTCCCAAAGTGCTGGAATTACAGGGGTGAGCCACCGCACCCGGCATAGGATAGATTTTTATATTGTTTATGGAGGTTACTATTCTAGCCATTTTATGACAATTAGTCATCTTCAAATATTATCCCACAACACATAATTATAAAATATTTCCACAATCTTGATAAAAAAAATTGTTGACTTCTTTTGTCAGGTATCAACAAAGCATGTACAAGGTAATGAGTTACTGAAACCATGTGAGGTTAGATTAAAAAGAGGACAGATCATAGTTTTGACAGAAATAACAGAGCAATAATTCCAGATAAGAGATATACTAATGGAAAATAGCTCTAGTTTATACATGAGATATAAACTAATGGAAAACTAATGGAGAGATATACTAAATTTTTAAATAACAAAACATGCATGGTTACATCAGGCTGGGATAAAGGTGGTTATCAGAGGATGATGAAAAGAGAGAGAGAAGACTGGTCAGGTAGATTCCATAGAAGGCTAAGCAGGAGTGAATTTTGTTAAGAACAAATCATAGTAAATCACAGTGACTTGTAGACTTAATTACAGTGCAGAGTTTCTAGCACATAGTGGGTTCTCAAATATTTGTTTAATTAAAGCCTGTAAGCACAGAAATGGTAACACTAGTATTTGAGAAACATTATTCTAGGAATGTCGAAAATGGGAGGAATAAGTGTAAGAAAGGAAAAGTAGACCAGCTTGTTTGCTAAATATGCTAATTTCTAGACTGCCCTCTGGGGCATCAACTAAGACAGCCATTGGCCTAAATACTCTACCTCTCTGTATAAATATGTTTCCAAACAACCAAATTATCATTATTTTGCTGCAGATATTTTATAACCAAGCCAAAGCACACACTAGTATTAAAGGCTTGGTTTAGACAATACAAATAAACGGAGTAAATAAAAGACCTCGTAAGTACTCTGTATTCCAAAATCTAGGACAAAATAAAATAATTCTCAAACAGAGGCACTGCCACCTACATTACCTCACCCAAAGTAACTCACTTTAAGATATAACTTGTGGGCTGGGCGTGGTGGCTCACGCCTGTAATCCCAGTACTTTGGGAGGCCAAGGAGGGCAGATCACAAGGTCAGGAGTTCAAGACCAACCTGGCCAAGACGACGAAACCCTGTCTCTACTAAAAATACAAAATTAGCTGGGCGTGGTGGCAGCCGCCTGAAATCCCAGCTACTCGGGGAGCTGAGGCAGAGAACTGCTTGAACCCGGAAGGCAGAGGTTGCAGTGAGCCAAGATTGCGCCACTGCACTCCAGCCTGGGCGACGGAGCGAGACTCTGTCTCAAAAAAAAATTAGCCGGGCATTATGGTGGGTGCCTGTAATCCCAGCTACTCGGGAGGCTGAGACAGGAGAATCGCTTGAACCCAGGAGGCGGAGGTTGTAGTGGGCCAAGATCGTGCCATTGCACTCCAGCCTGGGCAACAGAGCGAGACACTTTGTCTCAAAAAAAAAAAAAGTAAGGAGAGGGAGCACATCTTTGAGTCAAATTATACCTCTTCATGCCAAGCAGCTGGGAACAGCTTCAACTTTTCTTCAGAGAAAACAATGAGTTTGTGACTTCATTTTTTTTTTAATGGCTAGAACCTGTCTTAATTTCTGGAATAAGTTTTTTGTAGTAACCAAAAGTGGCGGCAAAGTTACATCGGACCAAGGGATTCTTAAAGGACTGCACTGCAGAGGAAAGTACAGAGGTTAGGAGTGTTTTACACTGTATGACTGGAGACCCAGTAAGGAAAAAATAAAACCATTTCACGTTTATACCCAGATTTAAGATTCCTCAGTAAACCAGTTGTACTACTTTTCCATTCTTATCTCTCAACACATTCCTGAAATCCTGGCACTCCATCATACTTTACTAGCCCAACCAGTCTAACTCAAAGATTCCCCCAACTTGCGTATTAACATTTCAATGGCTTTGTTCTCAACTAGAATGTTCTTCCCTTAGGTCTATCTGAAGTCTATGTTTAAAGGACCAATTCTAATGTCACATCTTCCTCCAAATTTTCTCTCATCACAAGTACAAAAATAGTCTCTCAGGGTAAATTTAAAAACACTGCATTTACACTCATCAAGCACATAGAGCCTTTCTTGTGACCTTTTTGAAGAGGCAGCATTTAGCCTTTTAAATGATCTTTGTACTTGCACGAAGATGGAACCTCCCTCTGAACTGAATCAAACTCTTAAGTCTCATGCAATATGACAGTAATAATAAATCTAACAAACATATTCTCTACTACATTTACACGCATTTTTGCAAATGCTCTTCAGTGGCTATACAAATGAAGGTGGGGTCAACTGGGTTTACACAGTGATCTAGGGAGCAAACAGCATTCAGTGGATGGAAAACAGGTTGTAAGATGACAATGTGGAAGACAGTATAGAACAACAAAAACGTGTCATCCTGCTGGATATTCATCTAGATTTAAAAAGCTGTTTATTTGGTTACCTAAGCTTAGAATGTTTTACATATCCTCCTCCTGTAAATTAAGGAAGACTCAGATTAACCTCAAAAGGCAAGTACTTTCTGTAACTTCTGTCAGCAATATGCTCATGACTTTAAGAAAAATCATGTAAATTGGCATGTGATAACTACTTAGCTTGCAAGCTGGTTTTTTTTTTTTTTTTTTTTTTTAAAGATGGAGTCTCGCTCTGTTGCCAAGCTGGAGTGCAATGGCGCGATCTCGGCTCACTGCAACCTCTGACTCCCTGGTTCAAGCTATTCTCCTGCCTCAGCCTCCCAAGTAGCTGGGATTACAGGCACGAGCCACCATGCCCAGCTAATTTTTGTATTTTCAGTGTAGACGGGGTTTCACCATGTTGGCCAGGATGGTCTCAATCTCTGGACCTCGTGATCCACCCGCCTCGGCCTCCCAAAGTGCTTGCACACCTTCTGATGATGTTCAAATGAATACTGTTTGGCAGCCAAAGGAAAAGGAGGGGATTAACAATGGTCTATGTGTATATACGTAACAAAGCCATCACCATAAATAGCTGCACAAGAGTGGTAGCAGATGGGGAGAAAAAGCAATGAACTTGATTATGTCCACAATTAACCAGAAGAAAAACAGTAAGCTGAGTCCTCATGTAGGCCTCCAGTTGACAATACTGATACAAGCCAATTTGGTTGCTGTCCAAGCTTTTTTGGGGGAGAGAGGTATGGGGTAAAAGGGGAGCCGTCATCGAGGCTACTAAGGATAGAATGGCAAGTAGTAGACTAAAGGGGAAGGATGTAAAACAAGACATTAGTTGGCAAGATTATTTTAATTTAAGAAGTGCTGATACACTGGGGGTGCAGCATGTAATCCCAACACTTTGGAAGGCTGATGTGGAAGGATTTATTGCGCCCAGGAGTTTGAGACCAGCCTGGGCAACATAACAAGACCTAATCTCCGTAAAAAAAAAAAAAAAAAAAAAAAAAAAATTGTTAAAGTTAGCTGGGCATGGTGGCATGCACCTGTAGTCCCAGCTACTCAGAAAGCTGAGATGGGAGGATCACTTGAGTCCAGGAGTTCAAAGCTGCAATGAGCTATGATGGCACCACTGTACTCCAGCCTGAGCAAGAGTGAGACTCGTTCTCTAAGAAAAAGAAATGCTTGTACAAAGCAAATTTACACTCATATATATATATAGTAATTACAATTATAGATTATAATACCTTTTAGCAACTCTTACTCATTAGGAGAAATACTATAATACAGTACAGTCACAAAATTCCTTTTAACTCAAATACTTTTTCTCCCTTAGAGTTGTTTCTGTTTCTGACACAGTACTACAGGACCAATTCACACTTCGAAATCATTTCAGTGGGTGAGAACTGGTTTCGCTCTTACTGGAGCTCATCAGCTGTAGGCAACTGGTCAAGAAACAATTTTTTACTTGCCTTAAAGTCAACCATTACCCACTCTGGAACTTATTTTTTAATGAAAGAACTCACATTTCTACAAAATTATTTCCATACAAGAGCCACGTAAATGAAAACACTGTCTTCTGGTTCCATTTCCTGTTTTTCTAATTAGCAGTATAAACAACAAAAAATTTAGGTTTGATAAACTGCAAATATTGCCCCTATATATAACATCACTATTGTAAAATCTAAGATTGGTTCAAGGTATTTTTCAGACCCTGCATTTTGATGGACCAGCTGATGCCTGCCACCTGGACCACTAAACTGGCTCGACTGGTCTTGTGACTTGGCACAAGAAGACAGCCTCAACCCCTTATGAGTCATCCCCGACCCAACCAATCAGCATTCCCCATTCCCTAGCCCCCTGCCCACCAAATTATCCTTAAAAAACCCTAGTCTCCTAATTTTCAGGGAGATTGGTTTGAGTAATTAACTTCTTACTACTACTTGGCTGCCTCTGCATTTCTTAAAACTTTCTCTATTGCAATACTGCTGTCTCAGTAAACTGCCTCTATCTGTGCAGCAGGCAAGAACCTGTCAGGCGATTACAAACTCACAGATATTCAGTAACAGGTTATCAAACAAACTAGTCTCATGCAAAGGTACTAAGAGATACATTTCCAAACTAGATGTTCATTTTTACCAAATACATATTGAGCATCTATTAATATGTATTCTAGGTGTTGGGAACATGGCAGTGAATAAAACAGAAATCCTCATTTTATTCTTCGTGTTTTACTGCCAATAAACACTACAGTATTATGAATTCTACAGTATTTAATGTTACAGTATTTTAACTTTAAGGTTTGCCAGGGCTCCATCAGAAGCTAAGTAAGAAATGCAGAAGTGTTTTAAGTATATTAAGAGAAATTTGGCTTCATTCACAGACTATAAATTTTTAAATTATAAACTGTAGTACCATTCTTTTTTTTTTTTTTTTTTTTTTTTCTTAAAAATGGAGTCTCACTCTGTCACCCAGGCTGGAATGCAGTGGTGCCATCTTAGCTCACTGCAACCTCTGCCTCCTGGGTTCCAGCGATTCTCCCGCTCAGCCTCCCAAGTAGCTGGGATTACAGGGTTGTGCCATCACACCCAGCTAATTTTTGTATTTTTAGTAAAGATGGGGTTTCACCATGTTGGCCAGGCTCTCTGGAACTCCTGACCTCAAGCAATCCACCAGCCTCAGCCTCCCAAAGTGCTGGGATTACAGGCATGAGCCCCTGCGCCCAGCCCATACCATTCTTAAATAATACCAGTTGTACACTTCTCAAGTAATATCCATTAAGCAAACTGAACTTGAGACCACTCCTGTTCTTCAATATAATGGTTTATTGTCCTTTGTAGGAAAAGTACCTACATCAAAAGAGTTTGTATTCTCCAAAAACACCTTGAAAGCAGCATAAACAAAAGAATAACATCTTTCTGACTAGTTCTATCAAGATTGATATTGTAATTAATGTCAGAAGTAAAATCAAATCAAAAACGCATCCACACAGTTCAATGTAACCTGCTCACAACCCCCAAATAACTGACTTTTGATAAATAATTAACTTTAAAAGATACTTTCTGGATAAAGCTAGCTACCTACTTATTTATTTATGTGTAGAAACAGGGTCTCATTCTGTCATTCAGGCTGGAATGCAGTGGCTCAATCATAGGTCACTGCAGCTTCAAACTTCTGGGCTCAAGCAATCATCCCACTTAAGCCTCCCAAGTAGATAAGACTACAGGTGCATGCCACCATACCCAGATAATATTTTTAACTTAGCTTTTTAAAAACAGAATAATAGGATGGAAAAGAACTTGTGTATGAAACATGAAAATGTTGTTTCACATGATGAAAATACCTGACACTTAAGTTTCATACAAGGTGAATTTATGCAGATCAAATTCTGCTTTTAAAAGATAAAAACTGAGAGGGCTATTTCAAAAAAAAAACTGTAAATAAGTTCTACAAAAAGAAATAATTTTTAAAGTAGTCACATCCTATTAAGCTTTTGGGTAAAAGCTAACTTTTTATTATTAGAAACTATTAGAAACAGGGTCTTTTTCTGTCACCCAGGTTGGAGTGCAGTCAGAGGTCACTTGCAGCCTCAAATTCCTGGGCTCAACTGATCCTCCCACCTCAGCCTCCTAAGAAGCTGGGACTACAGGTACATGCCGCCAAACCCAGCTAATTTTTAAAAATGTTTTGTAGAGATGGAGTCTTGCTATGTTGCCCAGGGTGATCTCAAACTACTGGCATCAAGCAATCTTCTCACCTCAACCCCCCAAAAGTGCTGTGATTACAGATGTGAGCCACCATGGTTGGCACAAATTTAACTGTAATATACTGAGTTTAAGTGAAACAGCATTAGAATAAAAAAGTTTCCTTTAGTTCACCAGTTTGAAAAGTTTGTTTTATGAGACCAAGGTTATTTATCCCTGTGGGGGTATGTTTAGCTTTACAATCCAGACTCAGGGCAAGAACTTTATGATATGTGCATTATATCACACACACACACACAAAGATGTTTAAAAAAAAAGACTTGAGCAATAGATGCGGCAAGACCCCCCCACCCTCCACCAACTCCCAAATAGTACCAAATCCTGTGATAGGATAACAGGACAAAGAGAAATTATGGTCCATCAAAATTCCATGAAAAAGAGGGTCAGTGGCCACATCATAGTTCACCTTATCAAGTTACACCATATATGTCATATCAGCTCGGTAATTTTACATGTCTCCTATAAATACTTTAAAATACTAAAGCAGAAAGTTATCAGAAATGACTTCCTACTAATACAGAAATCTAATTTGAAGATTGCACTTGCACTTTAATGAGTCTAAGAAAACATGAAAAGTATTATCAGCTAATTTTCCTCCAAATCTGAAAAGGAATAAAGTAGGTAAAAAAAAATCTGACCTATAGTTCCTTTTTCAAAAAGGAAGGCTCTCAGGCCTTCCTTTACAGGTGGCTCACACCTGTAATCCCAGCACTTTGGGAGGCCTAGATGGGAGGATCAAATGAGGCCAGGAATTAAGAGAACAGCCTGGGAAACATAGCAAGACCTGGTCTATAAAAAATAATAATATATAATTTTTAATTAAAAAGATTAGTATGGTGGCCTGTGCCTGTTGTCCTAGCTACTCAGGAGGCTAAGGCAGGAGGATTGCTTGAGACCAGGAGTTCAAGGCTACAGTGAATTATGATCATACCACTATACTCCAGCCTGGGTGACAGATTGAGATCTTGTCTCAAAAAACTAAACAAAATGAAGCCTAGTATCTTTAAAAAAAATTTTTTTTCAAGTTATAAGCCTGCATTACATTAAAAAGTTTGGGTTAATGTTTAAATTTTGAAGACACCTTTGGCCAGAGTTGGTTAATTTGGTATGCTCTACTTTATTAAAAACATGAACTGATAGTCTACCGTGGGATTATGTAGTAAGTGCGGTAGACATTACATAGTCTACATAATCCCACAATTATCAGTTCAAGTGTCTTAATGATAGACAAATGTTAATAAGAAATACACTCACAATCCAATCAAAACTATGCTGGTGCTGATTTCCACTTTGTGTCTACTGTCCCTTCATCTCAGTATTTTTCCTTTTTCTTACTTTTTAGCCCAAATACATTTTTTAAATCTCAGTAGCTAAGAAAGTTCAAAGCAGTTTGAAACAATAGATTAAATTATCTATGATCTCACTGCTGCCCCTAAAATGAATACTAAGTATAACATTTGCAATACTGTAAACTCAGTGATATGTTTATGAGAAATTGAAAAACCAGCTTTAGTTATTTTAAGGTAGAGATAAAAGAAAAACCTAAGTTTTACTAAAAGAAAAAAAATTTCAGGGTAAGGATTCTTACTTTAACACGAAACTGTTGCATGAATTTGAGAAACTAGTGCAGATTACCAGTCCTTCTTCAAAGGGAAAGATTATTTTCTAAATCTCCAAATAAAGCTGCTTTGTGCTTCAACCTACTGTCTCTTCCTGGAGTCAGTATACTGCAATGCTTTTATCTTCACTCTGTGATGTCAGCATAAAGCTGCAAATAGATGTTTCTAAACTGAACATACTAAGCAATCATTAGCTATGCTGTCACTGCATAGCATTAAAGGACAACTCTACTTTATGGGTGAAAGAACTAAAAGGTTAGAGTGGTCACTGTGATACACACCAGCCAACCCTTTCCGTTAGCAATAAATAGGACTCAAAAGCCAATGACACACTATGGAATCTCCACTGTTTAAAGAAACCTTAAGTTTATATGCAGTTATTCTGAATTTAACAGGGCCTTTAAAAAACAAACACAATCCATGCATTTCCAGGGAGAATCTTCAGTAATCATACGTTTGCCTATTATGCTGTAAAAAGTTTTAATTCTTAATACTGCAAGATTCGTGATCTAATATCTTCACTGCATTAAAAATAACATGAAAAGACCAGAAATAAAAGAGAAAAATGAACCTAGCCAATCATTACTGTTTTTTATTTGTGTAATGTTGGATAAAGAATTGAAGTTACACAGGGAACAGTGTACATTACACACAGAGATAGTTCAGTTTCACTATCAATCTCTCTTGAACCTGAATCCTTCCCACGAGATGAACACTCGGTAAATATTAAGGTGTACTTGATAGTTGGGAAAGCCACACCCACAACTAGCATACCTAAATAGATAATAGCAGATTAATTTCTTCTGAATGACTACCAGCACACCTCTTGAAACCCTGATTTACTGAACACCTTAGAAGACAACACCCGGCCTATCGTTTTGGAAGAAAAAAAAGCTGGGCATCAAAGGAACATGACACACATGCAGAGAAAACGGCCAAGTACCTGGGACTGTACTGCGTATTTTTACTATATTCTCTCTTCTGATTTCCACAGGTAACAAGATTATCAAGTGAAAGAAGTAGGATTCTAATCCAGATGTTCTGACTCGAAATCCAGGACTTTTTCCTCTAAACAAAATCAAGATGGGAATATTAGGTGAAGTTGTTAAACTGTTAACAGCTAAGCAATACTCACACCTGCACTGTTTCCCAAGATTGCTACTTAGGGACACGTAGAAGGGTTTTTGTTTTGTTTTTGCCATTTTTCATTACTGATGGAGACATAAATCTGAAACCCCTTCCTTACCAACCAAGGTTTATGAAATGCCTTGACGTCCTTGAAAGACAACATAAAGAACAGTATCCACCACTCCAAAGAATCACTTCTAAGGAACTTAGAATCACAGTAATGGAAGTGTTTGGAAGAGGGTAACAAGTCTTCACAACAGTAAATATAAAACACCCACATACAGTCAACTTGAGACGAAAAACGAAATAGGCGATTGAGTCTAGGAAAGATTCTCGAGCAGGTAGGGCTTGGCTGCAGTTCACACGCAGCCCAGGCAATGGGCTCGAATTCAGACGCTCTCGAGGCACAGCCCCCACGACCCCCGCTGACCCCTCTTTGCCACCTCCAAGGTCCCGGAACCGAAGGAGGAAGGCAGGGAGAGGAAAGGGCTTGAAACCCGTTCCCCAGCCCTCCCCTTCCTCCGCGCCCTCAAAGGAGCCAGGCGGGGAGCCCGCTCGACCTCGACCTCCACCTCGCACTCGCCCTCGCCCCCGCCACGGAACGTGCAGGAAGGAGCGGAAGGCTGGCAGCCCCACCGCACCGCCACCGCGACTCACCGGTGTGCCCCGAGTACCCCTCAGACACTTACCCCACTTATCCAAGCCTCAGGCCACGCCCTAACAAGGCTGCTGGAGCTCTGGCTCAGGGGCCAACTTTTCCATAGCGGGGTCCAACCAGCCAAGAGTGGGAGGAAAAGACCGCGGTGAGAAACACAGCCGACGCCTCACTCAGCGGCCGTTTCCCCAAACCCCTGCGGAGCTGACACATCAACAAAGATGGCGGCGACACTGAAGCCGGCCCGGTTACAGCTGAGGGGGCGGGGGCTCCCTGGAGGAACCAATCAGCGCAGCGCGGGCGGGGTGACGCAGCACACCTTGAGGTCCTGGGTAACCTGTCTGCAGTGGGCTGGGCTGGCGGAGCTCACCTCCCACCTCCCGGCCCAGGAGGCCCCACCTTGCGGCCCGAGAGGCCCCGCCCCGCACTCCGCCTGGCTGGGCACCCACGCCTCCGCGACCTGGAGAGCCGGGTCTCCTGCCCTTTGGTCGGGTTCTTCCTTTCAAGCTCCTCCGGACCCACGCAGCCTGTTTCTTTCTGCAGGACGCTCTTGTTGGCTATTACTCCTCCTCACCCTTTGGCCTGCATGAGTCAGGGACATAAAGCAATAAAAGAGAATTTGAAATTGTGGCTTCCCGGCTCTCATGCGGAAACCTTGCACCTTACGTGGGCGGAGTCGGCTGGAGCAGGCTACGATGGGGGAGACCTCTGGGGGTTCCATAACAGCGCGTTCGTGTCTTCAGCGTGGCGCTGCTGCCATTGTTTAATAATAAACTGTCGGTGCCTTCGTCTCTGGCTTCAAGCTGAGCGCATTGATGGTAGGAAGTGTCCTCTCCCGGCTGAGTAACCTGGCACGCAGCATGGCAACAAAAAGTGTATTGGGTACAGTTGCCTCGCCCGGCCCAGAGAAGGAAGGTCAGCAGTTCAGTCTCTGGAGGTTTCGCAAACCTCCTCAGTCCGGGGAAACGATGTTCTTTGGTTTAGGTCTTACACATATCTCATGAATGAAAATAGCTGATGCAGACGATTCTGCAATGTAAGAATTTGTAAAGCAAAACTTACTACTGTTCTGTTAAGCGTCTTCGATACTGTTGGCAAAACACACACACGGAGGTGTAATGGCACCTCACTCCTCCTTAAATGAAGGTACTACACTGAAGCACATTTTGCAGTTAAAGTGTCTTGTCATAGAAAATAAATGATTTGACTTTAAAACAATAAATCGACCAAGCCTTCCTAGGGAGACATTAATCCAAGGGGAAAAAACTGAAGAAACCTTAAGCTGTTTTCGGTACTCGTCAGTAATAACATAGGTATTACTATTTCTGAATATTTCTGAATTTATAATTAGTATAAAGTATATAAATATATCTTTGTGAACCAAGTTTTTCACCATAAGAGAAAAGAAATACAAATATAAACCAAAGACATTATATTAAAATTCTGCAATCCTATATTTGAATTTACAAATATCAGAATTAACTCATGGTACATTTTTTTCGTGAAAAAAAAGGTGTGTCCACTGAAAACTCTTAGAACAGTGACCAACCCATTGCACACTCCTATTCCCCAGATTGTGATCTCTAAAGAGCATTGCCCAAAAAAAGTTACCTTGGCTTCTCTTGGAGGTTAAGTGCTGATTCCCAGTAGGGGCAAGAAATATGCAAGATAGCCTAGGACATATTGCTTGTAGCAGAAAGCAAGGAAGAAAAGCAAAGATAACATGAACTGTACCCAAAAGACTCAGAAGGCAGTTCAAAGATGCCCCAACTTCTCAAACAGGACAAATTTAGCATTCAAAAATAATAACAGCAACTGGTTGAGACGCACTATGTAAAAAAATCAGTGAGTGCATTTATTTTTTTTAATGTCATTGACCCTCTTGGAAAGATGCCAACAAGTCATTACAATCTGAGAACTGATAAAGAATCAAGCATTCATCCTACCTTTCCTGTTGCAAACTGAATGTCAATCAAATAGTCAATGTGGGGAAGCTCTTCTCTGTAGAACTCCATGTAATAATTGCAGAAAGAAAGATAGATGATCACCATTTTGCAAACCCTGATGAAATAATGGATCTAGGTAATGGTCATCTGTGAATCTAGAACCATTAGATGAAAAACTGATAGGAAGCTTCGTATTGTAATGGATGGATGGGGCTGGCACCACTTGAACCTACTAGATCAATCTTAATATCCTCCAAAGTGAAACAACTACATACTATGTATTTTCTGAAATGCTACAATAGAGAAGCACAACACCACCTGTGAAGTATTCCTGCCGGGGGATGCAATCAACAAAATTGAATGGAAAAAAAAAAAAACCCTGCAGTTACTGTAATAAATAAATTGCAAGAGAAGTACAGGATTTAAAGAGAAACCCCTTTTTAAAATATATCACTGAGTGCAAATACAGGATGTTTTGATACTGATTTGAACATATCAACGATTTAAGATAACATCTGAATGGCTGGGTGTGGTGGCTCACACCTGTAATCCCAGCCCTTTGGGAGGCCAAGGTGGGCTGCTTGAGCTCAGGAGTTTGAGACCAGCCTGGACAACACAGTGGGATCCCATCTCTAAAAAGAAAATTAAAAAATAACATTTGAGGTATCTGGAAATGTTTAGTATTAATTTTATGATATTAAGAAATTATGGCCAGGCACTATGGCTCACACTTGTAATCCCAGCTACTGAGGCAGGGTGATGGCTTGAGTCCAGCAGTTCAGGACTGCAGTGAACTATGACTGTGCCACTGCACTCTAGTCTGGGCGGCAGAGCAAGACCCTTTCAGAAAGAAAGGAAAGGAGAGGAAAGGAGAAAAAGGAGAAAAGAAAGGAAAGCAAGAGAAATTATTGTTTTTAAAGTTGGGATATGTTTTGGTGATATTACTTAAAAAGTGGTAATCTCTTAAAGACACCTACTTACAATATTTTTGGATGAAAAGATACAATATCCCAGAAAGTAATAAAGTGCTTAACAAACAAAATACCACCTGATGATAGTATGTGAAGGAACAGAAACCAACTGAAAGAGCTTCCTGTGGCCAAAGCTGGAAAAATCTGAGCAAGGAAATACAGTAGTTTTGGATTAGAAAAGTATAAAATAAGAAAAAAAAAGTATAAAATAAATATCCGAGTCCGTTATTAAATTAGTAAATGGAGAAGAGACAAATCTCCCATGCAGAAGAATTTCAAATAATTTCTGCAGATACTGCATCCTCAAAGAGGGACAACATAACTCCCTACTCCTTAAATGTGGGCTTCAAATAATAGCTTCCTTCCAAAGTGTATAGTATGAAAAGGGAAGGGAAAAAAAAGAATATAGTAGAAAGACCCAACAAACACTACCACAGCCAGATGACCAAATCCTACATCAATTGTCATAATCATATTCATAGGATGTATGCTTGATATGATGCAATAAAAATGGCATTTTTACCTCTGTGGTCTTCCTTCCAATAACCCGTAACTCCTTTCCTACCAGCAGAAAAACATCAGACAAATTCCAAAAGTAGGGCATCCTACAAAAGGCCTGAGAGTACTCCTGGAAACTTGACATCAAGGTCATCAAAACAAAGTCTAAGGAAGTCCCATGGCCAAGAAGAGCCTAAGGATCCATGAAAACTAAATGTAATATGATATCCTGATGAGATCTTGCATCAGAAAAGGGACAGTAGGTAAAAACGAAGGAAATCAAAAAGATGGGCTTTAGTTAATACTGTATCAATGTTGGTTCCTTGGTTCCTTAATTATAACAAATGTATCATGCTAACAGACCATGCTAATAATAGGGGAAACGATGTGGCTTCTGTCAGAACTCTGTACAGCACCTTCTTTTCTTTCTTTCTTTTTCTTTTTTTTTTTTTTTTTGAGACAGTCTTGCTCTGTTGCCCAGGCTGGAGTGCAGTGGCAGTGATCTTGGCTCGGTGAAACCTCCGCCTCCTGGGTGCAGGCGATTCTCCTGCCTTAGTTTCCCAAGTAGCTGGGATTACAGGCGCCTGCCACCACACCCAGCTAATTTTTTTTTATTTTTTTATTTTAAGTAGAGACGGGGTTTCACCATGTTGGCCAGGCTGGTCTCGAACTCCAGACCTCAAGTGATCTGCCTGCCTCGGCCTCCCAAAGTGCTGGGATTACAGGCATGAGCCCCCACGCCCAGTCAGCACTTTCATTTCACTATTCTGTAAATCTGAAACTGCTCTAAAAAATAAATTTAAAAGACACATCAACTAAAGAAAAAAAATCAGGCTTTTAAAGAATTGAAGTTAGTGAAGTTAGTTTTATTCAGAGTCTTACTGAGGACTGCAACCAGGGAGAGCCCAGAGAATTTCTGTTAAACTACTCCAAAGCAGTGGGTCAGCACACTTTAAATATTAGGTGGTAGAGGTTCTGCCCAGGGGTTACATTAAAAGTGCCCAGAAGCTATATAAGATCAAAATATTTTCAAAGTTTGGGTGCGAGAGTAAGTCTAGGCATCATCATTAATCTTGTCCGTTAGGTACAGAAAAAGGCAAGGCCTAGATCTCTGAAAGTATCTTTTCTAAAAATGCAGTGACTCTGAGAGGTGGGAACCTGAGTTCTCTCCGCAGTCTTCAAGGCATTCTTCTGGAGGGCTGAGATGTTACTAAGTCAAGGGGTCTGAAATGCTGACAAACACAGTGAACAAACGTGGCTTTTTCACAGTGAGGGAGGACTATGCTGGGGGCCAGAAGCAGACGTTCGCTACTTTGTCTCACATTTACAATTCTCGGATTTGCTTCAAAACATTGCCCGAAGAGTGCCTGGGCTGCAGATGTAGACAAGATTAACCATGAATTGATAAGGTAGAAACTAGATGATAGGCACACAAGGGTTCCCTTATGAAATTGTTAGAAAAGTTCCATAGCAAAAAAAAAAAAAAACAAAACTTAAAAAGCTTGTCTTTAAGTAACACCAACAGGTATAATCACATGCCCTCAGTCAGGAAGCAAAGAAAAAAAGTATGAGCACGTGTGTGTTTACTTTCCAAGACCAGGCAGAGGCTGTTGATTATTTGGAAAACCTTGGAAGACCTTTAAGTGGCCACGGTGACCCAAGTGACCTTCGAGGAGACAAAGTCTGCATCTTTGCGCCCAAATTTGCCAAAGGCGTTGCCAGAGACATCTTTCTAGAAGAAGCTAGAACAAAATAAAAGTTTCTGCAAAGGAACTTTTTGAGCCTGTAACTAGAGCACAAGCTGCTTCCGGGGAAGGCGGAGGGAACACGTGGGCACATTGAGTTGCACGTGGACGCGGAGTGCGCAGGCGTGCGCTGAGGCCAGGAGGGCGCACTGGGGATTGGAGGCGAGGGAAGTGCAGGGCGCATCCCAGGCGGCAGGGCTCCCAGCATCGGCAGTCGCCATCACCGCCAGACCGCAGAGACAGGTTCGGATCCGCGGTCCTCTTGCCTCTTTCCAGGTCAGGGTTCCCAGGCGTATAGGGGAGGGAGAGGGCCTGCATGAAGGGGAAGGGAGGGGGCTTCGGTCGTTGGGGGCCAGACGTTGGGCGCTGGACGTTGAGGTTGGGCGTTGAGCGGGTACAAGGGGCCTGGAAGTGGAGAGAGGAGACTTGGAACCTTGCTGCGAGGGTTTGGTGTGGGAGGATTCTCTGAGTTTGGAAATAGCGCTTCCAGGCATCACTCCTTCAAATGCAAACGTTCACCTTCTCTCTAAGAGAAACTTGCATGTGGATTCAGTGCCTTCGTTTGACTAAAAATTACGATACAAACAATATTAACATTTACTAGACTTTTTTTTCCCTACTTTCCTCCTATAGGAAAGGAAGATGTGCTAGGGCATTTACTTAGATGTGGGTCAGCTGGCGCTAGTTTGTTTAAGGAGTTCCTGCTGTGTGCCAGTAGCTTTTCCGGGCCCTAGGGTCCTTGCTATAAATACGTTAGCCCTGCTGGGCTTCTGAACTAAGGGAGCTAAATGCTTCCAGCTTCCTTAGTGAGGCAGCACGGTGCTGTATGCTTAAATCCAAGGCCGTGGAGTCTGACCTGCGTTTTTATCTAAACTGTGTAAGGTGCTGGCCCTGGGTGGTTTGGTAAGTTATTCCAACTTCCCACGTCTCCCTTGTTTATCTGTAGGAATAACGAAATAAAAATACTTTAGTCCTCAAATTATTTTCATCTTAAGCCTGCAAGCTGGTTCCACAGGAATGGAAGAAATTTTGTGCTTGTAGGAGTGGTATAAAAGTAAAGCAGAAATAATAGCTGCCCTTTAAGCCCTTAGGAAGTACTAGCCACTGTGCTAAGTGATTTACTTCGTCTCTCATTTAATTCTCGTGATTAGGATTTGTGAGGAAGTTAACTACTGCCCTCTGCATTTTACAGTCGCTGAATCCTAGAAAGATGAAGTGATTTGCCCAAGATAGCGTGGCTAAATGAGGAAGACGAGACTTACCTGGCTGACTTAAGAGCTCATGCTTTACCGAAGCGTTGCGTTTTGTCTGTTTAAAACCGGAGTGTTTTTGTTTGTTCTTTGAGTAAGAGTTTCACTCTTGTTGCCCAGGCTGGAGTGCAATGGCGCGATCCCAGCTCACTGCAACCTCCGCCTCCCGGGTTCAAGCGATTCTCCAGCCTCAGCCTTCCTAGTAGCTGGGATTACAGGCCAGCCACCGGCGCCCTGCTAATTTTTGTATTTTTAGTAGAGACAGGGTTTCACCATGTTGGCCAGGCTGGTCTCCAACTCCTCACCTCAGGTGATCCGCCCACCTCGGCCTCCAAAGTGCTGGGATTACAGGCGTGAGCCACAGCGCCCAGCCAAAACCGGAGTGTTTTCTTTGAGTAGAATGGTTCTTGCAGAATACATGGGGTTGCCAGGAAGACAAAAGCAAACATCAGAGAAGGAAAAAAATGACAGCTGAGTATCTGTGCATACACTTTTGTTGTTAAAAGAACTCCAGCCTGTGGTATCCTAGAGGGAGAAGAAATGACTTACCCCACTATTCATAGTGTATCTTAGGAAGCCCCCAGCAACATCAGGGAGAACCGATAGGATTCCAAAGAAAAGAGAGGGTCTACCCTTAGGGAGCTTCAGGACTTAATGGGTTCAAAGCGTGAAGTACAGAACAAAGAAATCCAGAAAGCTGAGCCCTCATTTTTGCCTGTAGAACTATAGAAATGAGTCACTTTCAGTCCACTACTCTTCTAGTACATCAGTGATTCCTAATTCTGAGAAAATGAGGTACTCTTTAACGTAGAGAAATGTTGAGACCCTTCTAGTTAACCTTTTATGTTAGCTGAATCAACATTTAATTACTGTGGATTCCAGAATGATTAAATATATTTCTATTTATCACTAGTAGCATGAAAAAATAGTAGATTGTATATAGGGGGAATTATTTTAAAACTGGGTGAGGTTAGCCGATGTGGCTTCAGGGCCTGTGCAGCAATAATCTGTCACATTTGTTTACCTGGGTATCAAGTCTAAAGCCTGAGGTTGGGAATCACAGTATTATGCCATAGGGCCTGCCTACTTGTGATTCAGATATTCCCAGTGGTTGATACAGGATGAACCAAGTAGGAATAGATGCTAAGTCTTACTGGTGTTTTGTAATGTTAAAAATTCACGGCCCAGTGCGGTGGCTCACACCTGTAATTCCAGCGCTTCGGGAGGCTGAGGCGGGCGGATCACCTGAGGTTAGGAGTTTGAGACCAGTCTGGTGAAACCCCGTCTCTACTAAAAATACAAAAATTAGCCGGGCGTGATGGGGCATGCCTGTAGTCCCAGCTACTTGGGAGGCTGGGGCAGGAGAATTGTTTGAACCCAGGATGCAGAGGTTGCAGTGAGCCGGAGATCATGCCGCTGCACTCCATTCTGGGCGATGGAGCGAGACAACATCTCAAAAAAAAAAAAAAAAATTCACCCTTAAAAGCCTATTCTGTATCCCAGTTGTGGTGGCTGCCTAAATCTATGCCTGCGTTACATTCATAGAACTGTAAATCAAAGAAATCAAAGTCCATGTAATGGTATGATAATTACATATTTAAAAATAAATTCCAAAAGGTTTTAGGTGACTGAACGTTTTATCTGGATTCACAGTAGTACTGGCCACCTGCTCCAAAAGTTAATGCATAAATGGTAGTGTTCAAACTCAGGGACATCCTGACTTTCCTGTTGACGGGCTGCCAACCCGTGTCTGGAATCTTGTATTCCATTATGAGAGTCATGTCAGTATAAGAGTCTCAGATATTTTTGAAAGGTTGTGGTCACAGGGCAGCAACAGCTGGGAAGGGGAACCATTTTACAAAAAACACTGCAGCACAATTGGCTGTCCCGAATGAAAGGAAACAAGAAGTTTGTGGTCCCAGAACAGGTGTAGATGTCTATTTGCCCTGGGTGTTGTAACGAAAATTCCTGAATAGGGTGAGTCCTTCAAACATTCTCCAAATAGGGTGGACCTTCTTTTAAGTAAAAATCCTCTTTATTTGCTACTTAAACTTTATCGTGAGTCTAACGCGGATGTTGTTTCTAAAGTCAAATATATTTACTAATTTTTGGATTTTGGAGGAATTGTTTTGAGACATGAAGTTTTGTTATTAAATTTCAGTAAACCTCATAGCCTGATGTGCTTCTCCACTTAAGACTGCCAGATGTCATTTCGGACAGCAGGTGTCATTTTCCCTGTCCAGGTTGGCATGAAAGCAGTGCAATAGTGCATTTAAAATAGTTTTTATCATACGAATATCTTTTTTTTTTTTTTTGAGACAGTCTTGCTCTGTAGCCCAGGCTGGAATGCAGTGGCGTGATCTCAGCTCACTGCAAGCTCGCCTCCTGGGTTCATGCCATTCTTCTGCCTCAGCCTCCCGAGTAGCTGGGACTACAGGCACCCGCCACCATGCCCAGCTAATTTTTTGTATTTTTAGTAGAGACGGGGTTTCACTGTGTTAGCCAGGATGGTCTCAATCTCCTGACCTCGTGATCCGCCCGCCTCAGCCTCCCAAAGTGCTGGGATTACAGGTGTGAGCCACCGCTCCCGGCCAATCATACGAATATCTTTTGAATGCCTAGTTCTATAAAGCACCATGGTGGATATTGCAGGAAGTCAAAGGTATTTTTGTTCAGATTTTTAAAAATAAGAGTTCCTGCACTCAGGCAACTTAAAATAATTTAAATGACAGATATAACTGTCTATAGGTAACTGTAATACAGGGTATTGAGGCGCTGACTGTAGATTGACAGCCAGCATGAGTTACTAAGTAAGGACAGTGTTATGAAAGACTCTCGGGTGTAACACACAGCAGCATACTGAGGATCCAACTCAGTGTCTTAAGAAGATGACTATACGCTAGTTTTATGGTTTAAATATTGCTTTGATCCTTTACTTGATTTAGAATTAAGTTACCACATTTTTGGAAAAAAGGTTTACTATTAGATGATACTTCAGTCTTAAAAATGTTTTCATCTATAAAAATGATTCATTCAATATAATTTGGAAAATGAAAAAGACAGTGAAAAAGATATCCTCATCAACCCACCTACCCCAGAATACTCATTGTTATTTATAATGTAATATGTTTCATTCATCTTTTTTTAACCTGGAGTTTTGATTTTCTTTTGCGGTTATAATTATATTGAATATACAGGTTTTTTACTGCTTTTTCATTTGCCATTCTAACAGACATTTTACGGTGTTTCTGGAAACTAAGATTCTGAATGATAGTATAATAGGCTGTCTATTAAAGCCATCACAGTTAACTTTTTTTTTTTTTTTTTTTTGAGACAGTCTCGCTTCGTTGCCCAAGCTGGAGTGCAGTGGCGCAATTTTGGCTCGCTGCAACCTCTGCCTCCCAGATTCTAGGCGATTCTCCCACCTCAGCCTCCTGAGTAGCTGGGATTACAGGAGCCCACCACTCCTTGGCCTCCCAAAGTGCTGAGATTACACGTGTGAGCCACTGTGTCCGTGCCTTTTTTGCTATTTTGAACGGGACATTTTTATATATGGCATTTTTTGGTATTTAGGATTATTTTAATGGCATGATTTCTAGATGTAGAGGTACCAAGTCAGTGGCTAGGAATGCTTTTTAAAAACCCCATAGATATATACTTATATATTTCTAAATTGCTTCCCAGAAAGAGTATATTAATTGATACTCCCTTCAGTAATGAGTGGCTTAATTTTTTAATTGCACCCACTAGGCAGAAAATGCATACTTATTTCAATTTGAATTTTTTTTTTTTTTACTATAAATAGGGTTGAATGCTTTTCCCCTTATGTTTATGAACTTACCTTCTTCCTCTCTGCATTCTGTTCATGCCTTTTTGTCATTTATTTTACTGTATTGATTGGCCTGCAAATAACAGCTTATTTGATGCCTCAGCGTGTCTCTGCATAGGCAAACCAGAGCTGGAGTGATGACGCAAAGGAACCGCCAGACACACTTGGCTCTGCATTTTCTCCTTCACCATCCTCAGGCTGTGCTTATTACTCCCTAATTACAAAATGGGTGATAAGTCTCCAGGCCTCAGGAATGTGTTGCAGGAAGAAAGGGGTGAAGGCCTGTGCTAGCCACATCTGTTCCTGTTCTTCAGGATAGGGAAGAGCTTTCTCAGAAGCCCCCCTCAGGAGAACTCTGTGGCCAGTAGTGTCGCTAACTGTAGCTGGCAAATCAGAGGTTGAATAGCGTTTGAGTCTGCTACAGTTTCTGGAGGTTCTTAATATTTATCCCACTTTTGAAAAGGTATCAAATTTGTCATCTTTGTGATAGTATTTCCTGGACTCTTTGCTATTTTGGTAAGTTTTAATTGTCACATGGTTATGTTTGCTATCATTTCCTTTGTGATTTTTTTAACTACTTTTAAACTAAAGAAACTCTTCACCTGTGGCTATTGCAGTCTGATTCTCTGTGAAGCATAATCTGAGATGGAGATTTGTGTGTATTGTGATGAGTGAATGTAGCATGTATGATACTAGTTTTTTTGTAGTCGAGGTGGTTTTTGCAGTCCAGCATATACTCAGTGTTGAAAAAAAGGAATATTCTTGGTTGTATTAGTCCCAATTAGGTCAAGTTTATTGTTACTCATACAGTCTTTACTATCGCCTGTTTTCTGAGTAGTAGTTGTCTAAGATAGATGTGTCCTAATCATAGTGGACTGAATTTCTTCTCCTTCAGTCGGGTTTTGTTTTACACACCTCAAAACAACATTATAATGATTCAAAGATTCCTGGCTGCTTTATCTCCTTGGAGTGTTTGTTTTTTGTTTTTGAGACAGAGTCTCATTCTGTTGCCCAGATTGGCGTGCAGTGGCATCATCTCTGCTCACTGCGACCTCTGACTCCTGGGTTCAAGCTATTCTCCTGCCTCAGCCTCCCGAGTAGCTGGGACTACAGGTGCGTGCCACCACACCCAGCTAATTTTTGTATTTTTAATAGAGACAGGGTTTCACCATGTTGGTCAGGCTGGTCTCGAACTCCTGACCTCAAGTAATCCACCTGCCTTGGCCTCCCAAAATGCTTGGATTACAGGCGTGAGCCACTGTGCCCAGCCTATGTTTTCTTAATTAATGTAAAATATCTTCACGTGTCTCAATAGTTTCTACCTTGAGTTTGATTTTATGTGCTACTGATATTAACATTATATCTTTTTTGTTTTCTTTTATTTCAAGGCGGAGTTTTGCTCTTGTTGCCCAGGCTGGAGTGCAATGGTGTGATCTTGGCTCACTGTAACCTCCACCTCCCAGGATCAAGCCATTCTCCTGCCTCAGCCTCCCAAGTAGCTGGGATTACAGGCGTACACCACCACGCCTGGCTAATTTTTTGTATTTTTAGTAGAGACAGAGTTTCACCATGTTGTCCAGGCTGGTCTCGAACTCCTGACCTCAAGTGATCCACCTGCCTTGGCCTCCCAAAGTGCTTGAATTACAGGCATGAGCCACCGTGCCTGGCCTAACGTTACATCTTTTAGTTGTTTGCATAGCACATATTTTAGTCCTTTTACTTGGAACCTTACCATATAATTTGGTTATATGTGTGCCTTTTGTGCCTAACATTTTACTGAATAATTTTCTCCCTGAGTTTTATCTAACTAAGACTAACTCATTGATACTTGGATTACTTGGGCTTGATTCTGTGATCTTACTTGATGTTTTCTGTACTTGAATTTTTTTTTCTGTTGAATTAAGATTTCCTGTGATTTTAAAGTTATATATTCTGTTTCTGTTTGTCTGGGAGTTACTCTAATATTTTAATGCACATTCTTTGTATTTCTTATACAGAGTCTAGACTTTATTCCTCCCCCAACCACCACCTGATTCCCCTGGAGTTTTTTTGTTTGTTTTTTGAGATGGAGTCTCGCTGTGTTGCCCAGGTTGAAGTGCAGTGGCACAATCTCGGCTCACTGCAAGCTCCGCCTCCTGAGTTCATGCCATTCTCCTGCCTCAGCCTCCTGAGTAGCTGGGACTACAGGCACCCGCCACCACGCCTGGCTAATTTTTTTGTATTTTTAGTAGAGACGGGGTTTCACCGTGTTAGCCAAGATGATCTCGATCTCCTGACCTCGTGATCCCGCCTGCCTCAGCCTCTCAAAGTGCTGGGATTACAGGTGTGAGCCACCGCGCCCAGCCTTTATTTTTCTTTTGTAATTGAACGACATTGCTCTCTTATTACACAAAACATGGCAGTTCTCAGCCTGTCCCTTCAATTTAGGCGTGCTTATCCATAACAGTTTTACTTCCCCTGGCAGCTGCAGGATCTCCCCCATCGCTGCCCACCTGCAGTCATTCTGTTAGGGGTCTTCTCAGGGTCTGGTCCAATAAGAGTTCCCTACTTTCGAGGGTGCCTGTATATTTTTGTTTTTATTTCATTATCTTGTCTGTATTCTCATTGGATTAGGTTAGGCCTAATTTAAAATAAGAAATGAGATAATAAGTTGTAGGACACCAACTGCTATTTATTTTTTTTCTATTCAAGACCATGTTAAACAACATTTAGATATTACTCATGCCAGTTTCAGCTGTGACATTTTTCCTCCCGCTCAGCCATTTTGGGAGCAAAGCTATCAGTCACTACTTCAGAAAGAAGAGGTGTTCGTCCCTTTTAATTCCCCTGGGCAGGGCACTTAGAATTCTTTAAGAGTAACGGAAAAACAAGCCACCATCTTTTGTGGATAGAGGTTTCTCAGAGACACTTTGTGACAAATTAAACTTGGAAAGCTTGCAACATTTCCAACTTATTTTCAGAGAAAGATGCATAGATAGGTCCTTAAAAGCAGTAGGTATAAATTACAATTTGTGGAAGTTCAGCTGGAGATGATCAAAGCAGAGGCCTTGGCAAAACAGGAGGGAAGAGGGGTCAGCTGAGATGGATTGTGAAGCCTGCCCAGGATGGTCAGGCAGTGAGTGCGAGGGCATTCTGGGTAGAGGGTTCAGCATATTCAAGGATTAGATATAGCATAAAGTAGGAGAGGGTAGAGGGATTGTGAGAAGGTAGAAAGGTAGGTGACGACCTGATTTAAACACACCTCTTCCGTTGCATTTTGCCATTAAAGTGTAAGCTTTAGGTTGGGAATATTTTAAAACATGAAAGACCTTTTCAATTAGTGTTGCCTCAAAAGCTTTTAAAAGTAAGGAATGGTGTTGAACGCTGAGATTTTTGATTTTTCATGAGTTGGTCTGTTGATTTCTGTTAGAGTTCATACTTACAGAGAACTGGTGTTTTTCTTGTGCCTTGTCGGCCAAGTTTTGATGTCATGGTTATATCTGCTTTGGAATTGTTTTATAGGCATTATCTGTTACGTAAATATATTTGGGAGAATTCCTCTGAGCCTGCAGTTCTTCTGAAATTTTGAAATTAAAAGTTGTCTCTTAAATACATTTCTCTCCTTAGGCCTCGATGAGTGTTAAATCGCCATTTAATGTGATGTCAAGAAATAATTTGGAAGCACCTCCTTGTAAGATGACAGAGCCATTTAATTTTGAGAAAAATGAAAACAAGCTTCCACCACATGAGTCTTTAAGAAGTCCTGGAACACTTCCTAACCACCCTAATTTCAGGCTGAAAAGCTCAGAGAATGGAAATAAAAAGAACAATTTTTTGCTTTGTGAGCAAACCAAACAATATTTGGCTAGTCAGGAAGACAATTCAGTTTCTTCAAACCCGAATGGCATCAACGGAGAAGTAGTTGGCTCCAAAGGAGACAGGAAAAAATTGCCAGCAGGTGAGTGAAAACCACAGGCTTCCTACTTCTTCATTCTCATGGTTTCTGTGACTTACCAGAAGTATATATAACCACACACCAGTGGGCTATTAGCAGAACAGGCACATGACTACCTTACCGTATTTGCATTTCATTATTAATTTAGAAGGAAAAACCAGATACCAAGTGGCTACCTTTGGCTTCATTAATCTCAGAAAAAATTCCTGGGGAGAGAATGAGCTTTTTCCCCACAGAGGACTATACTAGGAATGTAGAAAGGAAACACTCTGGCTTTTTTATGGGTGTTCTAAAGATTGACCCGTATCTTAAAAATACTGTGCAAACTTCATGCATATATCGCAAAGATATAGCTAAGATTTTAACTGGTTTCACGTGATTTATTTTATCATTCCTTTAGTTCCCGTTCTAAAAACCTCTCTTGGCTGGGTGAGGTGGCTCACGCCTGTAATCCTAGCACTTTGGGAGGCCGAGGTGGGCAGATCACGAGGTCAGGAGTTCGAGACCAGCTTGGCCAACATGGTGAAACCCCATCTCTACTAAAAATACAGAAACTAGCCGGGCGTGGTGGCACAAGCCTGTAGTCCCAGCTACTTGAGAGGCTGAGGCAGGAGAATCGCTTGAACCTGGGAGGCAGAGGTTGCGGTGAGCTGACATCGTGCCACTGTACTCCAGCCTGGTGACAGAGCGATACTCTGTCTCAAAACAAAATAAAACAAAATGAAAAAAAAAAAAAAAAAAACCTTTCTAAAGAGGTTAGGACCTGGTAGAATTTAGCCTCTTTGAAGGTATATGAGTTGTGGTCTTCTAACATGGTGATATAATTCTCAGAATGTGCGCTTGGGCCTCTGGGCTTCCCCAGGAGGTCAAAACTGTTTTCCTCACAGTATTTGTCTTTTCTGCTATGCCAACTTTATACTAATGGTGCAAAAGCAAATTATTAGCTCAGCTT
Source organism: Homo sapiens (assembly GCF_000001405.40). Lineage (NCBI taxonomy): Eukaryota > Metazoa > Chordata > Mammalia > Primates > Hominidae > Homo > Homo sapiens. Next base: position 114,189,106 of record NC_000010.11, read on the forward strand.
AAGGCAGGAGCGCCAACCTGAGTTTTTCATCGTCATGCACTTAAAAGGAAAACCAGAAATGCCAACTTCAGTTAAAAATGCACTTGATTGAGCAGTAAAAAGTATTCTGTTAAATCTTGATCATTGTGTGCAGTATTTTTAGTATTTGTGTAATGAAATGGGAATTACTCCTGACTTTTACCTTCTGAAGTAGGAAAACCATGTGTGCAATTGAGTTGTAAGCTGAAGAGAAACTCTCTTCTTGGAACATACTTTTTACTTGAAAAGATGGACACTGGTTATTCAGACTTACCTGGCAAGCATTTTCTCAAAAATTAACAAAGTGAGCCCTTTACTTCAAGGAAAACAGCTGACATATTTTGTCAGTGACAGAGTTCAAGCTTTCAAGCAATTTCGGGTTTTAGGAAACTTGTGTCTGCCACTTTGAGCTTAAGGACTTCCCAAGACAGACTTTTCTGGTGAGATGCATGATGATATTAACACATGAATATTAATATTTTTATTTGGAGACAGTCTCACTCTGTCACCCAAGCTGAAGTGCAATGGCACAATCATGGCTTACTACGGCCTCAAACCCCTGGGCACAAACGATCCTCCTGCCTCAGCCTCCCAAAACCCTGGGATTACGGGCATGAACCACCGCACCAGGCCCTAACACATGAATTTTTGCTATTGCATAATGAAATGTGTCAACAATTGGAAATGCTGCATATAACTCAATGAACCTGTCTTTTCCAAATGACCAATGCGTGGTATTGCAGTCATGCATGCGCAGGAATCCAAAGTGCGGGATAATCAGTGAATTCTAACGTAACAATATGAAAAGTTCCTTGATGTGGTTTTAGAGTTCACATTGCTTCTAACCCTATGCCACTTGTTTTGGTGTACTATTAAAGGCAAATATCCTTCTATTATTTGCCTTTAACAGAGGAGAACATTAAGTATTCCTCCTCGTTGCAAATACCTGTCTCCGGGAGGCCAAACTTTTTTTTTCAGATACCAAAACCAGAAGCAACATTTCACTGAGTTGAAGGCAAAAGCTGTATATGAATCCAGCTGTCTTCTGTTAAGCCAATCATTAATGATATGCAAAAATGTGTAATTCTTCTATATTTTGTTTTGAAAAATATAGTTTTTAAAAATTATCAGCATGTAATGCATTTATTTTTAAATGGATGTTTAAATTTAGTTTTAATTTCTAATACAGTAAATATTGATTGAAATAAGCCATGTAAACAAAAGCTGTGTAGGGTCCTCAGCTTTTAAAAGTGCAGAGGGTTTCTGAAACCAGAAAATTTGAGAACTGCTGCCTTAGTGAATGGAGAAAAGTTCACAATGAGAGGAGCACTAGTCAAGAAAATTTTGAACAAGTCCTTTTATTTATATTTTTACTTTTTTTCAAGACGGAGTCTCACTCTGTTGTCCGGGCTGGAATGCAGTGGCGCTATCTCAGCTCACTGAAACCTCCGCCTCCCAGGTTCAAGTGGTTCTCCTACCTCAGCCTCCTGAGTAATTGGGATTACAAGAGTGCACCACCATGCCCAGCTAATTTTTGTATTTTTAGTAGAGACGGGGTTTCACCATGTTGGTCAGGCTGGTCTTGAACTGCTGACCTCAAGTGATCCACCTGCCTTGGCCTCCCAAAGTGCTGGGATTATAGGGGTGAGCCACTGTGCCCAGCTAAGTCCTTATTTTCTGTTGGGAAAAGTAGGATGTTGCTTATGTTCTGGTGTAGCTATAAGGTCATTGTGGTATAGCCCTGTTACTTGAATATCACCTAATTACACTATTTTTCATTATTAGCAATAAAAAGTATTATTTGGCTTTTATTTGAAATTGTGTTTTTCCTCCCCAGGAAACTCAGTGTCACCACCAAGTGCTGAAAGTAATTCACCACCCAAAGAAGTGAATATTGTAAGTTATTTTATTGTGTGTGTGCTTGTTTGGGTAAAAGATTCTAAACATGTTTTATTTATTTAATAAAGAAGTGTTCAATTTGTAGGTATCATTCAAGATCAAATGTTTTTTCTTTTATGTACATTTTTAAAAAAAGAAAACTTTCTTAGGTTATTGTAGATTCACATGCAGTTGTAAGAAATAATGGAGATCCTGTGTAGTCTTTCACCTATTTCGCCCATGTTAACATGCTGCAAAACTATAGTACAATATCACAACTGGGTTATTGATACACCATCAAGATACGGAACATTTCCATCACTACAAGGGTCCCTTATATACCTTGTTGCTTATGTTCTGGTGTAGCCAATCCACTTTTCCTTCTGCCCCTGCCCTCTTAATCCATAGCAGCCACTGATATGCATATTTCGACAATTTTGACATTTTTGAGAATATTATATAAAAGGCTACATACAAACAGTACGTAACCTTTTGGGATTGGCTTTTGTCATTTCACATAATTATCTGGAAATTGATCTAGGTTGTATGCATCAATCGTTCTATCCTTTTTATTGCTGAGTAGTATTCCATGGTATGGACAACTTGTTTAACCATTTACCTATTGAAGGACACCTGGGTTGTTTCCACTTTTTGGCGTTAAAACTAAAACTCTATATCCATTTATGTACAGAATTTTATATGAACACGTTTTTAATGCTCCAGGATAGATGTCCAGGGTACAATTTCTGGGTTGAAGACTAGTCCCATACTTTGTTTTATAAGAAACTGCCAAATATTTTCCAGAGTGACGGTATCATTTTACATTCTTACCAAGGGTGTATGAGAGCTTCAGTTTCTCTGCATCCTCATCAGCATTTGGTGGTGTAGGTATTTTTATTCTACCCATTTTCATCACAGATGTGTAGTACTATCTCATTGTGGTTTAACTTGCATTTCCCTCACGATTGATGATGATAAACATCTTTTCATGTGCTTATTTGCCATCTGTGCATCTTTGGTGAAATATTTTCATGTCTTTTGTCTATTTTCTAATTTTTTTTTTTTACCGTTGTTTTGAAAGTTCTTTATATATTTCAGATATTGGTCCTTTGTCAAGTACGTGATTTGCCAATATTTTTTCCTAATCTGTAGCTTGTCTTTTCATCTTAATAAAGTCAGTTTTTCTTTAATGGATTGTTTTTGGTGCTTTTGGTGTCAACTTTAAAACTGTTTGATACTCTGGATCCTGAAAATGTTCATTTTTTTCCCCAAAAAAGTTTGATAGTTTTCCTTTTTTTTTTTTTTTTTTTTTTTTTTTTTGAGACGGAGTCTTGCTCTTTCACCCAGGCTGGAGTGCAGTGGCGCGATCTCGGCTCACTGCAACCTCCGCCTCCTGGGTTTACGCCATTTCTCCTGCCTCAGCCTCCCGAGTAGCTGGGACTACAGGTGGCCGCCACTACGCCTGGCTAATTTTTTTTGTATTTTTAGTAGAGATGGGGTTTCACCGTGTTAGCCAGGATGGTCTCCATCTCCTGACCTCATGATCCGCCTGCCTCGGCCTCGCAAAGTGCTAGGATTACAGGCGTGAGCCACCAGATAGTTTTACTTCTTACATTTAAGTTTTGATCCATTTTCAGTTAATTTTAAGTTAAGAAACTTAAGTTTTTGCCTATGTATATTCAATTGCTCCAGTGCCATCTGTTGAAAATTCTCTTTACTGAATTGCTTTCACACATTTGCCAAAATTCAATTGGACATATTTGTGTCAGTCTAGTCTAAGTTACTTATTTTCTGTAGATATATGTGTCTGTCTTTCCAGTACCACACAGTCTTGATTCCTGGAGCTGTGTAATAAATTTTGAAATTGGGAAAAGTGATTCCTTTTGCTTGATTTTTCTTTTTAAAAAAATTTTTAACTATTCTAATTCCTTTGCCTTCCAACATACAGTTTAGAATAATCTCATCTCTACAAAAAATATTGCTGGGATTTTCATGTGAATTGCATTAAACCTGTATATCAATTTGGGAATTATTGACATATTTGCTGTGTTGAATCTTCCAATCTATGAACATGGTGTTTCTCCTTTTATGTAGCTCTCTGATTTCTTTATTTTGTAGTTTTTAGCTTACATATCCTATGCATGTTTTGCTCAATTTACACTTAAGTATTTGATTTTTTTGAGTAATTGTAAATACTGTTGTATTTCTTTCCCCATGTTCATTATTAATATGTGGAAATATGATTGGTTTTTGTATGTTTATCTTCTATCTGTGACCTTGCTGAAGTCTTTTTTTTTTTTTTTTTTTTTTGAGACAGTTTTGTTCTTGTTGTCCAGGCTGGACTGCAGGGCTGCTATCTTGGCTCACTGCAACCTCTGCCTCCCTGGTTCAAGCGATTCTCCTGCCTCAGCCTCCCAAGTAGCTGTGACTACAGTCATGCACCCCCATACTTGGCTAATTTTTGTATTTTTTAGTAGAGACGTGGTTTCACCATGTTGATCAGGCCGGTCCCGAACTCCTGACCTTAGGTCATCCACCCGCCTTGGCCTCCCAAGGTGCTTGGGATTACAGGCGTGAGCCACCGGGACCAGCCACTGAAGTCCTTTTAAGATCCCTTGCAGTTTTCTACATAGCCAATTATATCATACTGCAAATAGGGACAGTTTTATGTTTTCTTTTTCAATGTATATGCCTTTGATTTCCTTTCTTGCTTTATTGCATTTACTGTAGGAACTTTCAACACGAGGTTTGAATCAGAGTGACAGTGGACACCTTGCCTTGTTTCTAATCTTAGGGAGAAAGCATTCAGTCTTTTACCATTAAGTTTAGATGTAGGTTTTTGTAGATGTTCTTTATCAAGCTGATGAAGTTTTCTCTAGTCCTACTTTTCTGATCCTTTTTATCATAAGTAGGTGTTGAATTTTGTCAAATGCTTTTTCTGCATTGATTGATATGGTAGTGACTTCTTTTCCTTTAGTGTGTTAATTTGGTGGATTACATTGATATTTTGAATGGTTAACTAGCCTTGCATTCCTGAAATGAACTCCACTTGGTCGTGATATACAATTATTTTTATGTATTGCTGAGTTCTATCTGGTAATATTTTGATAAGGATTTTTACATAAGTTTTCAAGAGAGATTTTGGTCTGTAATTTTCTTTTATACTGTCTTTGTGTGGTTTGAGTATCAAGGTAGTATTAGTTTCATAAAATAAATTGAGAAGTGTCCCCTCTTGTGTTTGCTGGAAGAGAAATTGTATAGAATTGGTGTTAATTCTTCTCTAAACATTTGGTAGAATTCTCCAATGAAAACCATCTGGACCTGGAGATTTCTTTTGGGGGAGTTTTAAAGCTATGATTCAGTTTCCTTAATATTTATAATTAAGGTCTATTCAAATTGTTTCATATTGTGTTTGCATTTTTTAAGGAATTTGTTCATTTTGTCTACATTGTCAAATTTATGTGTGGAAGTGTTCCCAGTATTATTTTCAGTATTAGTGGTGTCTGTAGTAATGTTCCCTATTTTATTCCTGATCTTGGTAATTTCTGTCTTTCTTTTCTTTATTGTCTGTCTTGCTACAGATTTGTGTTCTACTGATCTTCCCAAAGAAATAGGTCTTTGTTTCATTTTTTTTCCTGTTTTTTAAATTAATTGATTTCTTCTTTTATCTTTATTATCTCTTCTGCTGCTTTTGGGCATGTTTTTTTGTCATTGTTTGGGGGTTTTTTTGTTTGTCTTTTTAGTGGTTGGTTGTTGGTTTTTTTTTTTTTTTTATTAGACAAGGTCTCCCTCTGTCATCCAGGCTGGAGTGTAGTGGCACAATCATAGCTCACCACAGCCTTGTACTCCTGGACTCAAGCAATCCCATTTGCTGAGCCTCCTGGAGTAATTGGGACTACAGGTGTATGCCACCACACCTGGCTTTTTTTTTTTTTTTCTGTAGATATGGGGGTCTTACTATGTTGCCAGGCTAATCTTAAACTCCTGGCCTCAAGTGGTCCTCCCACCTTGGCTTCCCAAATTGCTGGGATTACAGGCATGAGTTGCCCTGCCCAGCCTCAGTGTATCTTTTATTTATCTTGAAACTTCATCTTTAACTCATGTATTATTTAGAAGTATATGTTTTAGTTTCCAGGTGTTTGAAGATTATTAGTATTTTTTCTGCCACTGATTTCTAGTTTGAGTCTATTGTGGTCAGAGAACACCTTCTGAATCATATCAGTTCTTTTAAGTTTGTTGAGGTTTGTTTTATGGCTCAGGATGTGGTCTTAGTATACATTCTCTTGGCACTTAAAAAGAATGTGCCTCGTCTGTTGTTGGGTCAGACGACCTATAAATACCTAATAGCTCCTGTTGGTTGGTTATGTTGAGTTCTATCCTCTTGCTGATTTTATATCTAGTCATGTCAATTGTTGAGAAGGTATTAAAGTCTCTAACTATAGTCCTTAGTTGTCTATTTTCAATTCAGTTAGGCTTCATGTTTTGCAGCTGTGGTTCATGCATATTTAGGATTGCTGTGTCTTGTTGGGTTGACTCTTTTGTCATCATAATGTCCCTCTCTCTGGTAATTTTCTTTCCCTGTAATCTGTTTTATCTGATATTAATGCAGCCACTCATATTTTTCTTAACATTTACATATTTTTCCATCTTTTTACTTTCGGTCTCTCTATATTGTTATATGTAAAATGAGTTTCTTATAGACACCATATATTTAGGTAATGTTTTTTAATTCACTAGGGCAGTGTCTTTCAGTTGGTATGCTTAGACCGTTTACATTTGATGTAATTAATACTTGAGTTTATGCCATTTGTTTTCTGTTCTTTTTTCCTGCCTTCTTGTGGGTTACTTGAATACTTTCAGTAATTTTGATTTTTATCCAGTGTTTTCAAGTGTGTATCTTTGTATACCTTTTCCAGTGGTTGTTCTACATACGGTATCATGTATACACAACTTAGTTATCATTTTACCAATCTGAGTATAGTGCAGACACCTTACCTTCCCATACATTTCTTTACCTTCACCCATTTACGTCTTACATATTCTATCTCAGATTTAGAACGCCTTCAGACAGTTTATCATTTTTGCTCAAACTCTCAAACATAATTTAGAATGCTCAACAAGAGAAAGTCTATTGTACTTACTGATAGGTTTCATTTATTGGGTCTCGAACTCCTGAGCTCAGTCCTCCCACCTCAGACTCACAAAGTGCTGGGATTACAAAGTGAGCCACTGAGCCCGGACTATTGTGTTTTTCTTCTTTCTGTTTCAGTGTTCCTGCTTTTATCATTTCTTTTCTCCTTAGAGAACTTCCTTAAGCCATTCTTTTAGGATAAAGCTACTGGTAACAAATTCTCTTCATTTTCTTTCATCTGAAAAGTCTTGATTTCCCATTCATTCCTGAAAGATATTTTCCTTGGATAAGTTTCTCAGGTAAGTTTTCTTTCAGAGCTTGAAAAATGTTTTGTCACTTTCTTCTGGCCTCCATGGTCTCTAATGAGAAATCTGTCTTTTTAAAGATACCTTACTGCCATGTAGCTCTTTGGGTCTCCAGGTTCCTAGTCAGCCCACCTCCTCCTTTCCCACTTTCAGAGTCACCTTATGTTTGTTTTATATATAAGTTCAGGGTTTTAGTTTACCTTAATAGAAGGAATTTTAAAAATTTCCCCCCCCATACAGGTAAGGGATTATTTTCCTCTTTCTGCTTTCAAGCTTTTAATTTTCAGAATTTTAAGATGTGTCTTGGTGTTTAGTCTCAGTTTACTCTGGGGCTCACTCAGCTTCTTGAATTAGTAGATTTATATCTCCTACCAAATTTGGAAGTTTCTAGCAGTCTTTTTTTTTTTTTTTTTTTTTTTTTTTTTTGAGACAGAATTTGGCTCTTGACGCCTGGGCTGGAGTGCAGTGGCATGATCTGGGCTCACTGCAACCTCTGCCTCCTGGGTTTAAGCGATTCTCCTGTCTCAGCCTCCCAAGTAGCTGGGATTACAGATGCCCTCCACCACACCCAGCTAATTTTTGTATTTTTAGTAGAGATGGGGTTTCGCCATGTTGGCCAGGCTGGTCTTGAACTCCTGACCTCAGGTGATCCCACCTGCCTCAGCCTCCCAGTGTTGAGATTACAGGCGTGAGCCACTGTGCCTGGCCTCAGCAGTCATTTTTTGAGTATTTCTCAGCCCTACCTTCTTTTGCCTTTCTGAAGTCATAGAATACTAGATCTTTTGTTGTAGTCCCACAGGTCCCTGAGACTATTCATTTATTAATTCATTTTCACTCTTGTTCAGATCAGGCGTTTCTGTGGTTCTATCTTCAAGTTTACTGATTGTTTCCTGTTTTCCCTCCATTATGCTAGTGAGTCTGCTATTGTGTTTTGTATTTTTGTTATACTTTTCAGTTTTAAAATACTCATTTGGTTCTTTATATCTTTTATTTCTTTAGGGAGACTCCCTATTCATTTGTTTCAAGCCTATTCATAATTGCTTGTTAACATATTGATGACTGCTTTACAATCTTTATAGATAAATGAACATTTTTGTCATCTTGATGTTGGGCGCTTGATTTTTTTTTTTCCGGCATTTGTTTGTGATCTTCCTGATTCTTGGTGCAATGAGTTATTGTCTACTGAGTTCTGTTGAAACTGGGATATCTTGGGTATTATGAGACTTTTTTTTTTTTTTTTGATTGAGTCTCGTTCTGTTGCCCAGGCTAGAGTGCAGTGGCATGATCTCAGCTCACTGCAACCTCCGCCTCCTGGGTTCAAGCGATCCTTGTGCCTCAGCTTCCTGAGTAACTGGGATTATGGGCACGTGCCACCATGCCTGGCTAATTTTTGTATTTTCGTAGAGATGGGGTTCGCCATATTGGCCAGGCTGATCTTGAACTCATGACCTCAAGACGTCTGCCCACCTCAGCCTCCCAAAGTGCCGGGATTACAGGCGTGAGCCACCACACCCAGTCTCTGTATCGTATTTAAACTTCCTGTTTCAGCTGGCTTCCTCCGACACTGCTCTGGCTGCTTGTTTGTTACCGCCAGGTCGGGGGGTATATGTCCAGGTTCCCTACTCAGCCTCTGATATTCAACTCGGGGGCTCTTTCTGTTGGGTGAGGATGGGAGTTCCAGCTTCACAAGAGGCCTCAACTAATTGCTTTCTGGCTGACAGTGGTGAGTGCCTCATTACAGCTCCCCATCTGGTCTCTAGTGACACGGGTGGAGAGAGGCCCGACTGAAGGAGAGGGTATTAGGAGGGAGTAGTTAGTAATGAATGGTGGTGGAAAGTCTGGACTCTCCACTATGCCTTTTCTGACACCACCTTGGTCGGGGTGGTGGCACCTCATTGTTGCCAGGTGGAAATCCGGGTTCCCCATGTGGCCTCCGTAGGGAGGGATCTCATCCTCCTCCCACTTCAGGGATAAAGTGCTGGCACCCTATTCGCTTGGCCTTCTCTGATACCACACCTGTGAGCAGGTTGGGGCACCTCATTTGTAGCCTTGTGAGGGTGGAAATCTTGGCCCCACACTCTCCCTTTGTGGGTGGGAGTGGGGCCACAGTTTTGTCTGTGGTGTTTGGAGTAGAGCAGTTAATGTTAAGTTTTCTGTCTTGCTGGTCTGCCTCTTTTCTCATCCTTTGGCTAGCAGAGCAGGTTTTAAATTTTTTCTTTTAAATGATGAGGGTCTCACTGTGTTGGCCAGGCTGGAGTGCAGTGGCTGTTCACAGGCACTATCATAGCTCGCTACAGCCTTGAGCTCCTGAGCTCCAGTGTTCCTCCCTCCTCAGCCTCAGAAGTAGCTGGGACTGCAGGTGCCCACCACGACACCCGGCTAGAGAGCAGGGCTTTTCTTGTTGGAGCTTTTATCATCTCTGCCTTTTGGTGTTTCTGGGTTGCTGGCTTCTCCAGCACCCAGTCTGGTATATATGAGGCAAAAAGAAAACCCAGACATCTTATTGCCATGTCACTCTTTGGGTCTCCAGGTTCCCAGTCAGCCCACCTCCTCCTTTCCCACTTTGAGTCACCGTATGTTTGTTTTATATATAAGTTCAGGGTTTTAGTTTACCTTAATAGGAGGAATAAGGAAAAGTACATCTACTTGATCTTATCTGAAGTAGTCCCAAATCTAGTATTTAAATGGAAAAGTTATTGCCAAATTCTAACATTGCTCTTCTTTGTTCTTAATAGAAGCCTGGAAATAATGTACGTCCTGCAAAATCAAAAAAACTAAACAAGTTGGTCGAGAATTCCTTGTCCATAAGTAATCCAGGGCTCTTCACCTCCTTAGGACCTCCTCTTCGGTCCACAACTTGCCATCGCTGTGGCCTATTTGGTAAGCATATTGTTCTTGGGTGTCTGAATTCTTCTTCCACATATTTGAAAAACATTTTTATTGTGGCAGATGATGAAACATTAAGTGTAATTAGAACAGTGTCCCCATGCCACACACCCGTCTCAGCCTCAGCAGCTGTCAGCATCCTGCTGTTCCTCTTCACCCATCCCTTCCCATTCTTCCTGCTTCCTCAGCGGATTATTATAGTTTTTTAGGGGAAGCTCACATGCAATGAAATGCACAGACTTACATCCTTGTCATAACATAGGATGTTTCTGTCTCCTCAGGAAGTTTTCTCATGTCCCATCCCAGTCCCTACTTCTGAGAAACAACCATTGGTTTTCTACTCATGAAATAATTTTGCCTGTCATAGAATTCACATAAGTGGAATCATACAGCGTGGACTCTTTTGTATCAAGCTTATTTCATATACAATAATACTGTTGAGGTTAATCCATGCCGTTGCACGTACAATTATTTTTTGTTTATTGCTGAATAGTATCTCATTGTATGGTTATACCATAGTCAAACTGTTCTATTGATGAATATTTTGGCTGGGTCCAGCTTTTGTCTGTTATGAATAGAGCTCTCTAAACATTTCTGTACAAGTGTTCGTGTGGACATATGTTTTCATTTATTGTGGGTGCACAGGTAGACACACAATGGCTGAGTCAAAGGGTAGGTGTGTGTTTAACTGTATAAGAAGCTACTAAACCATTTTCAAGGTATTGTCCCATTTTCTTTTCCCACTGGGAAGGAGTTTTGGTTGTTCCACATCCTCGTCCACATTTGGTGTTTGTGTTTTTAATTATAGCCCTTCTCGTGGATAAGTTGGAATTGTCATATGCCTCTTGAGTTCTAATTTTTCAGTACGTAAGTCTTACTTGCATGGCATTTACCAGTTTACAGTTAAATTTGCAGTGCTCTCGTGATCAATGATCTTGAGCAGTTTTTTCTGTTTATTACTGGCTATTTGGATATGTAACTTTTTAAAAGTTTATTTTAGGATGGAAGCATTTGAGGCCAGACTGGTTGGTGGTTACTTCTTTGTGGGTTTGTTGTTGTTGTTGTTGTTTTTTAGATAACCTGTTTCTTTAGCATGAACACTGATGGGATTTTTTAAAAAATCCTTTATTTCAAGATCTCCCTGGGTTTTTCTGGGTGTGATTCTCATTGTTTATTTTTTGTTGTTGTTTTTCACGATACACAGCCATTTCAGTCGCTTGTACAAGTCTGTTTTCACTACAAGAAAGTTTTGTTTACTTTGCTTGATCTTGGCTCACTGGCACTCTGCCTCCTGGGTTCAGGCGATTCTCCTGCCTCAGCCTTCCAAGTAACTGGGACTACAGGTGCGCACCACCACACTGGGCTTATTTTTGTATTTTTGTAGAGACGGGGTTTCACCATGTTGGCCAGGCTGGTCTCAAACTCCTGACCTCACCTCAAGTGATCCACCCGCCTTGGTCTCCCAAAGTGCTGGGATTACAGGCGTGAGCCACTGCATGTTTTGCACCATTGCTTGCTGCTGCCTTTTTTTTTTTTTTTTTTTTTTTTGAGACAGAGTCTCACTCTGTCACCCAGGCTGTGGAGTGCAGTGGTACAATCTCAGCTCACTGCAACCTCTGCCTCCCGGGTTCGAGATTCTCCTGCTTCAGCCTCCTGAGTAGCTGGGATTACAGGTGCCCGTCACCATGCCTGGCTAATTTTTGTATTTTTACTAGAGACAAGGTTTCAAACCATGTTGGCCAGGCTGGTCTCGAACTCCTGACCTCAGGTGATTCACCTGCCTCAGCCGCCCAAAGTGCTGGGATTACAGACGTGAGCCACTGCACCTGGCCGCTTGCTGCTTTTATAACATATATTCTGAGGTCTATTAGGAAACTCAGTTATGTGTCCCAGTCTGATCTCCCTTTTTTTAATCTTTGTAGTCATTTCTTCTCTGTATTCTCAGAGTTTAAAAGTATAATCTGAACACCTGATCCTAAATAGCACAATTCTCTTGCCATGGCTAATAGAATGATATTTGCTAAAGTGTGGACTTTGAGAATGTCTTGATCTTCATCTGAACTATTTTGTGGGTGGTGTTTTCTAGGATCGCTGAGGTGCTCTCAGTGCAAGCAGACCTACTATTGCTCCACAGCATGTCAAAGAAGAGACTGGTCTGCACACAGCATCGTGTGCAGGCCTGTTCAGCCAAAGTAAGGATTTATGATCTTTTTATTCATTAAGGATTATGTAAAAGGTTCTGATACAATAAGCGTCCAATTAGTTAAGCAGACCACAACCAAGTAGAAGTTACTTTTTCTTAAGCTCTATAACAAAGTGTACAAATCTGAAGTGAACAGCTCTATGAACTTAATTTTCATGTGTATCATTTTACCAGGTAGTACATGTGAAGATTTATAACCTTCAAAGAGTTTTTCTTTCATGTTTAGAGCTTTAGAATGCCTTACTTTTAATGATGTGTACTTTCCTGGATTTTAATAAGTTTGGAACTCTTACATGCCTCTTGAGTTGTGTTTTTATTTGTAAATACATAAATTGTACTTGCATGGCATTTACCAGTTTACAAAACAGTTTCACATATGACCTCAAAATTCTGTGTAAGTAATGTAGGGAATTATCTCCATTTTACAGATAAGAAAACAGGCTTGGAGATATTCTCTCTGTCTGTCTCCCCCCAACCCTGTCTCTGTCTGTCTCATTAGGTGGCTTTTGGAAGAAGCACACCTGTGCACACACAGGGTGTGGACCACTGTGTAGCCAGCACTGGGGAGTTTTACATTACCACTGTGATTCTGGAAGAAGCTGTTTTGCTCTTTCAGGATTTTGTTCATTGAGAATACCATAATTGTGGTTGATAGCCCCTATGTTAATTGCCTCTGTAGTATAAATATTGTAATCTGTTGCTTTATTGCAGTTTCCACAAACTTGAAAATAAATCATCTATTGAAACAAAGGATGTGGAGGTAAACAATAAGGTATGGTATACTTTGTCTTTAAATTTTGAATAACTCCTCTTTATTGAATTAAGATGTAAGATAAATATTTTAGGCTTATTTCTGTATTTTATCAATATTTAAAGGCAAGTTTCCTATTATATAAATATGTACACCATAGTGATACAATCAGGGGTTTTTGAGAATTACTTCATCTTTTTTTCAAAAAGGATGTGGCAGTATCTCAGTGTAAAATCATGTGGATTAATCATGCCTCTGAAGGCACAGGTTTTAGCTTTATGTGCTGTACTCTAATAGGGCCTAGTTATCTATCTAAGGAGGATTTTTTTTCTGATAGTAGTTCCCCATTTAGGCAACAACATGGGCTGAATTATTTGTAATCCGAAAAACATCCGTCGTGTCCAACTCGTATTTATGAATAATTTTTAGCTTTCTTTAACTGCTTCTAGCCTCTACTTAAAAAAATGTGACTTCAGGTATTCATTCTTACAGAAAACATTAACAAGTGCAGATTTAAAATAATACCTCCACCACCACCATTTTCATTTTTTTTGAAATAAAGTCAACCTTCTCTTCACCCACGTGGCCTTATTCTTGGGTTATTCCCAGTGCTGTGCCCACTGCCTGTGGACAGTGGGTTTTAGTGACTCTTGGAGGCCTTCCCTATTTCTGTGTTCTTTTGTTCAAGCCTAAGAGTTAGGATATTGTGACTGCAGTTCCGACGTGTAGTGGCCATAGAATCATTGAAACATGTGCTTTTAAGTAACTCACTTCTGTGGTATTTTTCAAACCAGAGTGACTGTCCACTTGGAGTTACTAAGGAAATAGCCATTTGGGCTGAGAGAATAATGTTTTCTGATTTGAGAAGTCTACAACTCAAGAAAACCATGGAAATAAAGGTATTTGTTTTTCTTCAATCTCCATAGACACAGATCCAGAGAACTGTATTTATTCTCGTTTCCTATTTTTGAGTTCATGCGGTAGCTACAAAACATAAACATTGCAAAAACTGCCTACAATGCTGTTTGTGTCTTAGTTACAAAGCTTTAAGAAATTTACATTTCCTTGTGTGCCTTATGAATTATTCCTCTTTTTTTTTATCTTTGAAAGGGTACGGTTACCGAATTCAAACACCCAGGGGACTTCTACGTGCAGTTATATTCTTCAGAAGTTTTAGAATACATGAACCAACTCTCTGCCAGCTTAAAAGAAACATATGCAAATGTGCATGAAAAAGACTATATTCCTGTTAAGGGGGAAGTTTGTATTGCCAAGTACACTGTTGATCAGGTAACCTGTAATGAAATGAATTATTTAAAACGTTTGAGCTAACTTTGGTCGTATGAACTGAACACCAGAGCTTTTAATGATGCATGACAAGGCTTAAAGCCAGCCTCTGATCACGCTTCTATTCCTCTTCAGTATCCCGTGCTCTGTTCACCTTGCTTCCTCCCTGTCTTACTCCTCTCCAACTCTGTTTACGGGTTCCTGAATTGCTAGTTGTAGCCTGATGGCTAGTCTTAGAGCTTGTGTTTTATTTAGGTATTAGTGTGTGATAGTCTCATGGGATAGAAGTAGCTTTGGAATAGTTGTGCATATTATTAATAACATGTCCTAACTAGACAATTTTAGGGATTTCTTAGCAAGATTCTTAAAAAATTAAGTTGGCTTATTAATTGAGTGCCTCAGAACAGGAGCCTTTCCTTTGCACGTTCTATAGATTGATTGAGGGTTTTTTAATCTAAGATTGTGAAATGCTGTTATGAAGCAGAGTACCATTATATTTCACTTTCAGACCTGGAACAGAGCAATCATACAAAACGTTGATGTGCAGCAAAAGAAGGCACATGTCTTATATATTGATTATGGAAATGAAGAAATAATTCCATTAAACAGAATTTACCACCTCAACAGGAACATTGACTTGTTTCCTCCTTGTGTGAGTCTCTTTTACTTTCTAGATTTTTAATAGTGTCCCAAAGGAGCTGTTGTCAATGTTTTGATGGGCACAGTGTTTGCTTGTTCTATTCTGCTGTGTTACTGTACCTGTACTATGTAAATAAACACTCATGGGCTATCTTGACCTTATTTAGTTAACTACTGCCCAGGGTGAGAAACTAACATTTTTAGGCACATGTTTTCAATTTGCTCTTCAAAATAATCATTTCTATATTATAGTATCTAAAATTGGTCTTAATTTATGTATAATTGAAGGATAATTATTCTTTCATAAATTTCTCCAGCTTCAAGTACCAAAAGTAAGCGTTATGAATACAGTACTAACAGAGGCTAATAATAATTATACAGAAAATTGTCTATCTGATTAGTACTTGAAGATTTGTGATAAGTTTTCAGCATGAAATACATTCTTTTATATACAAATAATTAGAAAAAATCATTTTTAAATGGTAATTTTTGTAAGTAACCTGCGTAAAATTTTTCAGGCCATAAAGTGCTTTGTAGCCAATGTTATCCCAGCAGAAGGGAATTGGAGCAGTGATTGTATCAAAGCTACTAAACCACTGTTAATGGAGCAGTACTGCTCCATAAAGATTGTCGACATCTTGGAAGAGGAAGTGGTTACCTTTGCTGTAGAAGTTGAGCTGCCAAATTCAGGTAAGATCTGTCTTTTTAAATTGAGTACTTAATAGGATATGTAGTTTCCACCTGTTACTCAGAAGAAACGGAAACATCAAGTGAGGCCAGGTAAACTGCCCTCTGGAGTCATTCAGATTGTGACTGAACCCATTCTTGAAATTGGCAGTTTGTCAAAGACATGACACAAATTCATAGAATTAGGTGGCTGGCTAGATTTAGACTTCATGTGGGTGTAACTACGATCCCTTTAATAGAGCCATTATAATATCTACTCCTGAATATTGGCCCCTTTATTGAGAAAATTCTTGAAGTTCTCTGAATTAGTTTGTCCTTATATCAGTGCTTTTTCTTGGAGTAACCTTCACGGAACTGCATTTGGCTAGTACATAGTAGCTAAGCTGTGGAAATGGAAATGCTTTAGAATTCTCTTCTTCCCTTCTGGCCTTTCACCTGTTTGATAAATGACTTCTCACAGTGTGATGGGTGCCTCCCAGTTTCCAGGGTATCACCCCTCTGCTTTCAGAGATCTGGCATCATGGCTGATTTGGTAGAAAATCGGCTAATCTCTTGTGAAGTTAAGTAAAAATCTGTTGTTTGCTATGTTTCATGTTACAATCTCAGCTTTTGCATATTATTTCAGGGAACTTGAAGTTTGGGTCCATGCTGACCATTCTTTCAGCCATACTTATGTCTTAAATTAATTTCCCACAAACAGTAGTCATTCTAAGCATATTTGTGAGGTGGTAAACAAATCTTTCGTGTTCTTCAGGATTTCAAAGTGAGATCTTTTTGTTAAAATTTCTGTCAAATAGAGGGTAGAATGGTTACCAGAGGCCGGGAAGGGTAGTCAGGGGCTGGGAGTAGGTGGGGATGGTTAATGGGTACAAAACAAAAAATAGTTAAAAAGACTGAATAAGACCTACTATTCGATAGCACAATAGGGTGACTGTAGTCAATAATAATTGTACATTTTAAAGTAACTTAGACTGTAATTGGATGATTTGTAACTCAAAGGATGCTTGAGGGGATGGTTACCTCCTCTGTGGTGTGTTTATTTCACATGGCATGCCTGTTTCAAAACATCTCATGTAACCTATAAATATGTACACCTACTATGTACTCACAAAAATTTTAAAAATTGTATTTCAGAGAAAAAATTCTGTCAAGTGACTACAGTAATTTTGCCTCAGTGTTTTAAGCTGGGCACTACCATAGCTTACCCATAGGAACTGAATTGGCAAAACATATACCAACCTATTAATAGCTATGAACGTGTGTTGTATGATTGACTTGTTTCTTCTTTACGCTTTTCCCATAATTCTTTGTATAGTTTCTCAATGGAGGCATATTTTCTTAATCACTTTTTAGGAAAACTTTTAGACCATGTGCTTATAGAAATGGGATATGGCTTGAAACCCAGTGGACAAGATTCTAAGAAGGAAAATGCAGATCAAAGTGAGTATAGATTGATATTGAACGGTATAGCGACTTCAGTTATTGAAGACCATCTACCTACTAAACAAAGGCACAACTTTAGCACTGTTAAGACTTGTTAACGATAAACATCCTATGAGCAATTTAAATACGCTGTTTTATATTTAGTAGTATATCATTTCTAATCTCAATCTTTCCTGCCTGTTCTCCTCCTCTGTCCATTTTCCACATGAATCCTTAACATGGTAATCATCAGAGATTATGAAGTATTAAATATCATAACACTTTAGAGTTAGGGTTTGTTTTTTTTTTTTTTTTTTTGAGATGGAGTTTCACTCTTGTTGTCCAAGCTGGAGTGCAATGGCATGGTCTCGGCTCCCTGTAACCTCTGCCTCCCTGGTTCAAGTGATTCTCCTACCTCAGCCTCCGGAGGAGCTGGGATTACAGGCTCCCGCTAGCACGCCCAGCTAATTTTTTGTATTTTTAGTAGAGACAGGGTTTCACCATGTTGGCCAGGCTGGTCTCAAACTCCTGACCTGAGAGTGATTCGCCCGCCTCAGCCTCCCAAAGTGCTGGGATTACAGGCGTGAGCCACTACGCCCTGCCAAGTTAGGGCTTTTTAGCTCACATTTTCTTAGTTTGTTTTTCTTCCTTCTTGGGTATTCCACCAGTAATTAATAGGGCTGCAAAATTCTGTTCCAGTAGGACAGTGTTTCTGATGACTGTTTACTCCTGTAAAAGCTTGTGTGTGTGGTTTATTTAGATTAACAAGAGAACCAAGAAATTTTGCTTTCAGCATTTTACTTCCTCATTGCCTAATCACCTGTGTTTGTATTATCTTTTTGATCCTTTACTTTGCTCCTGTACTGATTGCTTTAGGAGTAGATATAATTCATTGTCTCTTACTCATTCATCCAGAGGTGATTGCTAGAGTAACAGTGCCGTGGTTGGACACATCCTATCACATAAGCACACTGGAATCATCCTTAAATCTACCTTCTTACCTCCCATCCTTTGCCCTAATTGGTTGCCAAGTCTTTATTGATTCTTCTTCCCAAGTATCCCTTGTATATGTCTTTTTTCTTTCTTTCCCTACTACCATTTTCTTAGCTCAGGAATCCTCATCATTCATGGACAATTGAAACAATTTTCCAATGTCATAGTTTATCTCCCTATCTGCATTCTTAGAGTACTTGCCTATGTGATATGCCTAAGAACACACATCTTGGTGGGACAGCTCTGATGAAAAGCTTTCAGTTCTTTGTCATTTAGAGAAGGAAACCAAACAGAGGTCTAGTGGTAGTCATGGTTGAAACCGTAGGTTCTGGTGCAATAGAGTGAGGAAGAATGAGGAAGATGAAGCTGGGGCCTGCAACATGGAGTGAGGAGCTATAATGGGAAAGGTGGGAACAGAATGGGAAAAACCTTGCCAGAGCAACAGAGGGTACATGCTTCCAGGAGGGGGAGTCATCAGTAATATCAGATGCTATGAAGGTATCCAGTGGAAGGAACAAGAAAACCACTGAGCAATATCTTCTTCGCTAAGGCACTGTGAAGGTGCCTTCATGAAGGCTAAGGCCAGTACAGACAAGCAGAAGAAATTATGTGGGATAGAGAAATTAGGTGTGATAGAGAAGTGCAGGGTGCAACGGAAGCAGGTGGGAGGGTACCTAAGACTTGCAATAAAGCCATCTGGAAGTGATGCCACACGGAGCAGGAAATAACCAGGTGCTGCCAGTGGGGAGTATGTTGCAAGAAAACGAACATGTGTTAAGGCCTAGAGATAGGGAAAAAGCATGAGCAGGCCTGAGAAACTGAAAAATAAGTAGGGCTAGATTTGACTGCTGGTGAAGAGGTATAGGATGGGGAAGTATTGGTCAGGAGGTAAGCTAGAGCGGATCATTAAAGGTCGCAGGAGCTGTGTTAAGGGGTTTGGACATGATTCTGAAGCCAACATAGAGAATGGAGCCTTGAGATACCTCTGGATTCAGTTTGTTGGATTCAAGTAATGTTGGTGGGTATGGAAGAATCAGATTTGGAAGTCAGAAAAGATGAGATATGGTATATTAAGAGTTCCCTTTAAACCACCTTCTTAAAAATTTAGCTGTGCCTCTGTCACACAATTAAATCAGTCCTCCTGTCCTGCCCCTTCTTGACCTAGCCTGGCTGAAAGCCTTTACAACTTGGTCTCTAATGTCAGCATACCGAGCTAGCGACATCACCATGCTTTTGTCCCCTCTCCTCCTACTGTGTTCCTAAGCCCAGCTGCACTCAGCCTGGCATTATGATTGTGCACCCTCTTGTGCTATTTATGACACTGTAGCTCCTGATTGAACATCTTCTGTCTCCTACAAGATTTAGACTATCTAGAGGCAAAGACTGTGGCCTTTTACTTAACTACTTCTTAGTAGTTACTTAACTACTTGCTTAGTATGGCATCTGACATACATTAGATGTTTAAGATACAATTTTTTTTTTTTTTTGAGACAGAGTCTCGCTCTGTCACCAGGCTAGAGTGCAGTGCTGTGATCTCAGCTCCCTGCAACCTCCGCCTCCTAGGTTCAAGTGATTCTCCTGCTTCAGCCTCCCAAGTGGCTGGGACTAGTAGGTGGGAGCTGCACGCCACCATGCCCAGCTGATTTTTTTGTATTTTTAGTAGAGACAGTGTTTCACCATGTTGGCCAGGATGGTCTCCATCTCCTGACCTCGTGAACTGCCCGCCTCGGCCTCCCAAAGTGCTCTGATTACAAGCGTGAGCCACACCTGGCCAGATATAATTTTTAAAAGCTGGCACAGCTACTCAGGAGGCTGAGGTGGGAGGAGGGCTTGGAGACCAGGAGTTTGAGGCCCCAGTATGCCATGATTGTACCTGTTAATAGCCACCACACTCCAGCATGGGCAACATAGCAAGACCTCTTAAAAAAACAATAACTCATGGAGGATCTTATGATGGACTCATGCAGCTGAATGGAACTATCCAGATCTCCCACTCCACCTATGTACACGTGAAGAAGCAGAAGCTGACTGGTCCAGTGGGTTACCTTAAGCCTGGAGATAGAGAACCAGAATCTCAGCCCCCTTACTCCAGTTTAGTGCTCTTTCCACCATTATGCATCCTGTGCTGTGAAACAACAGGACAACAGTTCATTTTCCTTGCTATTAAGTTTTTCTCTTGCCTTCTCCCTTATGTTGTGATTTCTTTTGGAAACATTTTAAGAAATGGTTTTTAATTTGAGCCTATCTCTTAACTTTTACACTTGAGATCATTAAATTTACTTTGGCTACTGTTTTGAGCCAATTATCCATTTCAATGGGATTTCTAACATAACTTCAACAATCGATTGTAACACATTCTGAGAGGTCATTCCTAGATATGAAATTCCCTCCACTTTTTGTGGTCTATCCCAGCCTCCCCTTTGTCTTCAGAGTCAACCTATAGGTTCATGGTGAGAACCATTTCCTTTAATAAGTCTATAATCTAGATAATTATTTTCTTATATTTCTGTGTTTAAAACAATGAAGTCAGCCTTAGTTTTATGTGAATGATATCTTATCCTTTAATTCCTTAAAACAGTAGTAGTTTTTGTTTTCCAGGATTCTGATAAGTTGCCATAATGTCTCTAAGTCTTGATGCTAAAAATATATTCCTTGCATAGTTGGAATTTTATAAACCATGTACTTTTTTCATTTCTGTGAGTTTTCTCTTCTGAGATACTTTTCACTGTGCTTTTGAAGCCTTTCCTTCTTAAACTCTTAGGTTAGCCCTAATTATTTTTCTCTTGACTTGTGACTTTATGTTGCTTGTATCTTTTTTGAACTGTTGAATGCATTTTAAATTTCTAATTATTTTATCCTAATAAATTGTTCCCTATGGGGTTTATCATTTTCACTTTAGAGTGAGTAGGTCCTAATCTAATCTGATGTGTTTCTACTTGAGTATAATGAGACGATATCTATTCCAAATTACATTTTCTTGAACTCTTTTAGGGACTATAAAGAGTGTATTATAGAGTGTTTTAATTAGATCTGAACTTGTCTAAGTCGCTGATTTTCTTTCTTGGACCAGTCTAGCTTTTGGTGACATCGAAAACTGAGCTTATTATAAACATTTATTACTGGGAAGAAGAAACACCATGACCTCTCAGACTGCCATCTTCCAGGAACCTTGCAGTCATAGTCATATTCGTTTTAAAATGATTAAAGCGTGCATAATTTTTTTTTTACTTTGGATGAAAACAAAATGGCTTATTTTTCTGTTTTCTTCTGATAAGGTGATCCTGAAGATGTTGGAAAAATGACAACTGAAAACAACATTGTCGTAGACAAAAGTGACCTAATCCCAAAAGTGTTAACTTTGAATGTAGGTGATGAGTTTTGTGGTGTGGTTGCCCACATTCAAACACCAGAAGACTTCTTTTGTCAACAACTGCAAAGTGGCCGTAAGTCAGCTTTCTTGATTTGCTCTATGAAGCTAAAATACTTCAAGAGACTTGACATGTAGAAATAATGTATAGATACGTATTTCTTTAAGATGTGATCTTTATCTGCAGGAAAGCTTGCTGAACTTCAGGCATCCCTTAGCAAGTACTGTGATCAGTTGCCTCCACGCTCTGATTTTTATCCAGCCATTGGTGATATATGTTGTGCTCAGTTCTCAGGTAAGGACAGAGTATTACTGATTTTTAAAATTTATTTTTATTTATTTTTTACTTAGAATTGAGTAAAAACCATTGAAACAGAGTCTTTGGTTTGCACTGATGGCTGGATTTAAAGCTTGAATATTAGAGTGAACCAATCATGTTTTTAAATAGATCAAATTAAACTGGTTGAAAGGAGTGTGGTCTGACCTGGGTAAGGGCAGAGCGTCTGTGTGTCAAGGAGGTGGAGATATAAAGGAGGTATTTTTGGTTATTTTGTCAGCCTTTTGGTTTTGGGGACTGGTAAAGATAATTTGGTTTAAGCTAATAGGGGGATGTGGAACCTCCCCAGGTTCATATCTTCACCGGTTTTATTGAAATAGCAAGAGGGCCTGGAAGTGTGGAGCTGTCATGGTGCAGCTTTTGGACGGCACAAGTCCTGCCTTGCGATAACCAGGTTCTGTTACTCTCTGCCGAAGAGAGGCCCGGTGGCCTCATGGAAGGGGAGACGCAGTAATCCTTCAGTAAATTCATCACTTGGTTAGTGGAGTCTGGTTGACTCATGCTTGCCAGGTGTTTTAAAACTAGTCTTGCTATTGAATGCTTCATGTATTGATTGAGACCTTGTGATTCACATGATCAGGATATGTTCTCTGTACTAATGAGCTAACTCTACTGGAGAGACAAGGCATGTAAACTAATGATTACAGCGTAAGACATAATTACTATAGTAAGCTATTAATATTACATTTTAGGAGTTGAAGGCTTCTGATAAGCAAAATTAGTAAACATTGTTCTATAAGCTTGATATCTATTAAAGAAAAATCTATAAATGACCATCTCTAAGTTGAGGAAGAAAGGTTTTTATTTACATCTACAGTGGAAAAATCATTTGAGATTGAGTCTCTCCCTTTTTCAGAGGATGATCAGTGGTACCGTGCCTCTGTTTTGGCTTACGCTTCTGAAGAATCTGTACTGGTCGGATATGTAGATTATGGAAACTTTGAAATCCTTAGTTTGATGAGACTTTGTCCCATAATCCCAAAGTTGTTGGAATTGCCAATGCAAGCTATAAAGTGTGTACTAGCAGGTATGAAATTTTTATAGCCTCCATATTCTTTAAAAATTCTACAGATGAAGAAACATGAAAAGATACACGAAATAGGGAAAAGCTGCTTCTCAAAACAACATCATGATCAGATGCTTAAAAGTTACTATAAATGTCATTTATCCCAAAGAAATCAGAGATTTCTTTCCATGTCAATTAGTTGGCTTCATTCAAACGTACCATAATTTAGAAAGAATATCCTATCTCAGAGGGCATTACATTTGCAGCATATCCAAGATCTTTTCCTCAGGCTGTGTTGCAAGATATAGTTATATCCCAAAATACTTCCTTAGGCTACATTCCCACAGGTGGAACAGGTCAGTAAGTCTCCTTCTTTTCATGTTTGTGATACATATTGTACATTTTCTTCCAGAAAGGGTTGACCTAGTTTACATGCCCAACGAAAAAGTATGAGAGAGTCCATTCTCATACACATTGGTGCATCAAAGGGTTGCTTCTATATTATTTCATCCTGGCCAATTTTGATAAGCTAAAGGTGAAATTTCAATTCGCCTCATTACTAGTGAGGCTAAACATTGTTTTGTAAGTTACTTGGCCCTTGCATTTCGTAAACTGACTGAAGCATAACTGTTGGATTGCTGATTTGTAAGTGCCCTTTCAGTGTTGAGTTGTAAGTGCCACCAATGTTTCATATGTTAATATAAGGGACCAGTACTTCTTCAGAGATTGTTTTATACTTTTGTTTATGGCTTTCTTAATTTTATTGGGCTATAATTTTCCTACCTACCATAATGTTCACTTTAGGTGTTAACTATACAATTCAGTAATTCTCAGTAAACTTACTGAGTTGTACAAACATCACCGTAATCTGATTTAGAACATTTCCATCACCCTGGTATGGTCTCTCGTGCCTATTAATGGTTAGTCCTTGCTCCCCAGGTAATAACTAATCTACTTTCTGGCTCTGTAGATTTGTGTTTCTGGACATTGTGTATCAATGGAATTACGTGGTTTTTGTTTTACATATTATAGAAGCTTTTTACAAGCTTTTGCTTTTTCTTTTTTTTCTTGGTAGAGATGTGAGTCTGGCCATGTTGCCCAGTCTGGTCTCAAATCGGCCTCGGCCTCCCGGCGTGCTGGAATGAACCATTGCCCACCAGCAGGCTTTTTCTTTGTTAATTATGCATTCATTTTTATGTTCTTCTTAAGTGACACGTTTCCGTTCCAGTGTTTGCCATAGGTTTCTTAAGTTTACCTTGGGGGAAATTAGGAGCTAAATTTCTAAATGCTTTCAGAATAATTGTAACATTCATTCAAAATTCTTTGTTAGGAGTAAAGCCATCATTAGGAATTTGGACTCCAGAAGCTATTTGTCTCATGAAAAAACTTGTACAGAACAAAATAATCACAGTGAAAGTGGTGGACAAGTTGGAAAACAGTTCCCTGGTGGAGCTTATTGATAAATCCGAGACGCCTCATGTCAGTGTTAGCAAAGTTCTCCTAGATGCAGGCTTTGCTGTGGGAGAACAGAGTATGGTGACAGATAAACCCAGTGACGTGAAAGAAACCAGTGGTAAGTCAAATGTTTACTGGATAATGCCTGTTCTGGAGTTCAGATGGTTCTATAAATAAATAGTTTCTTGTACTTATAAAAAGAATTTATGTTGAATGCCTTTCATCTTTTTAAATCAAGCATTCATCTAAATACTTGTAAGAATGTTTGAAAAATAAAATTTTATGGGGAGTTTTATAGGTTGCCAGCAGCTGATGATCAGAAATGTAAATTTGAAATTTACTTAGATAATAATTTATTGTAAGACTGACTTTACGGTTAATATTCCTATAAAGGCACTTAAAAAGTCAGTGGAAATTCAGTTCTTCAAAAGCGGGTTCCTCAGCCACCCCAACCTCGCTACATCCCTCCTCCACTATGTCCATTTAATGTTTAATTATTTTCACAGTTCCCTTGGGTGTGGAAGGAAAAGTAAATCCATTGGAGTGGACATGGGTTGAACTTGGTGTTGACCAAACAGTAGATGTTGTGGTCTGTGTGATATATAGTCCTGGAGAATTTTATTGCCATGTGCTTAAAGAGGATGGTAAGTTGATTCTTGTCATTTGTTTCTTTTTACAAATACATTGGCATAGATAATAACTTCACATGAGTTTGTTACTAAGTGATAAAAGTACCTCTTTCCAAGAAGAGCCAAGTGGTATTTGTATTTCCAAGAAAGATTTGGTTATACTTAGTTAGCTTTTATTCTCTTTTAAGCCATTATTTCTATTTTCAACAATACCTCTTTATATTTAAACTAGTTTACATTTCATAGAGTATCTCCTAAATTCATTTACAGAAATTAATTCGGCCTGGTATAGTGGCTCACTCCTATAATCCTAACACTTTGGGAGGCTGAGGCAAGAGGATGACGAGGCCAAGAACTCAAGGGTGCGGTGAGGCTTGATCATACCAGTGTACTCCAGCCTGGGCAGCAGAGCTAGACCGTGTCTCTGGAAAACAAACAAACAAACAAAAAACAAATTTAACTTGTGTTGAAGTATTAGTGTAACGTATAGATACATGTGTATATAGGAGTACAACATAATGAATTATCACAAACTCCACACACTTGTATAACTAGCCTCTAAGTCAAGCAATAAAACATTACCAGTATCCCAGAAGTTTCCCTCCTATCCCCTCCCATCATTACCTCTTCTTTCTTTCTTTTTTTTTTTTTTCATTGAGATGGAGTCTCGCTCTGTTGCCCAGGCCTGAGTGCAGTGGCACAGTGTAGGCTCACTGCAACCTCTGCCTCCCAGGTTCAAGCGATTCTCCTGTCTCAGCCTCCTGAGTAGCTGGGACTATAGGCATGTGCCACCACGCCCAGTTAATTTTTTTTTTGTATTTTTAATAAAGGTGGGGTTTCACCGTGTTAGCCAGGATGGTCTCGATCTCCTGACCTTGTGAATCCACCTGCCTCGGCCTCCCAAAGTGCTGGGATTACAGGTGTGAGCCACTGTGCCCAAGCTGCCACCTCTCTCTTTCAAAAGTAAACATCTTGCTTTCTAATAGCATAGATAAGTTCTTCCTGGTTTTGAACTTTCTAGAAATGGAATTACACACTATGCGAGCTTCTGAGCCTTGCTGCTGCCCCCTGCACTGTGAGATTGTTACATGTCTGTACCTTGTTTTTCCTTGCTGCATAGTGTTCCATTGTATGTTACATGTATCTGTATCTTATTTTTCCTTGCTGCATAGTGTTCTGTGAATTGTATTGCAGTTTCTTTCTACCATTGGACACTTGGCCTGTTTTGCTTGGGCTGTAAATTAGTGTTGCTGTGAACATTACAGCATATCTGGTGCACATGTGCAGGCATTTTCATGGAGTCCAAACCTAGGAATGAAATTATTAGGTCATAAAGGGTATGTAAATTTGCAGCTTCCCCATCTACAAAGGCCAGTTTCTGAAGTGATTCAGAAACATCTAGTTGCTCCACATCCTCACAAACATTGTGTGTTTTCTTTTTCATTTGAGCCGTTCTGATGAGCATCATTGATCTTAAGTTTTCCAAATATTGGTTTTTCTTTGTCAAATAAGGACATTAAAGTAGATAACTAAGGCCCTGTCTGACCCCATAGTTGTGAGATTTGTCATTTCTTCATTCAGAATCATCTGGTTGGTAGGCCACCATTCCATATAGGATAAAATTTACAGTTTTGAAGTTCCTTTTTATTTTTAAAGGTGATTATACAAACATAATATAAAAATTCTAAAGATGAAGAAGGAAACATGAAAACATGTTTCAAAAGTGTATATAGTGCAAAGTAAGTTTCCTGGTTCCTCTTCTCAATTTTCCAAATATTTTTTCAGAGATACTCTATACATATGCTTGTATGAGTATATATAATCCTTTTCTATATCTATCAACAGTATAAAATGGTAAGTAATTTTTGCATTTTTTCTTCCACTACATTTTGGATATCAGTTCACATACTGTTTTCTCCAGTCTCTTTTTAAATAACAGTTTTTATTTTGGAATAATTTTAGGTATACAGAAAGTCACAAAGATGGTACATAGAGTTCCTGTATACACCTCACCCAGCTTCTCCTGTAGTTAGCATGTGATCGTGGCACATTTGTCGCAACAAAGAGACCAACAGTGGTATATTACCATTAAATGAACCCCAAACTTTATTTGGTTTTTGCTAGATTTTTCACTAGTGTCCTTTTTCTGTTCAGGAGCCACTCTGTGACACCACATTGCTGTTTAGTCTCTATTCTTTTTCATGGCTACATGGTATTCCACTGTGTGGGTTTATCCTAATTTAATTAACCTAAGTTAACATCTAGTTGCTCCACATCCTCACAAACATTGTGTTTTTTCTTTTTTGTTTGAGCCATTCTGATGAGCATCATTGATCTTAACTTTTCCAAATCTTGGTTTTTCTTTGTTAAATAAGGACATTAAACTAGATAACTAAGGTCCTATCTGACCCCATGGTTGTGAGATTTAACCTAAGTGTGGATACACACTACTAAGTGTGGATAAATACAGGATTAGTGGTTTCCAAGCTTTTATTACTAAAACAAATCCTTGTACTGTGATTTTTACTTTAGGAGTAGATCTCTGGGACAAGTTGCTAAAATTGTAATGAGAGTATTAGGTCAAAGGAATATGTGTATTTGTGCTTTTGAGAGCTAGTGTTCTTCAGAGGCCAGCCAAACAATCCCCCAGCAGCAGAGTGTATCATTGTCTATTGTGTGTCCTTAAACTTTATTTAGCCTAATCTGAAAGGTGAAACATCTGAAACATTAGAATTTATTTTCCATTTTAGTAAATGAGCCTTTGTCACATTCTTAAAAGGCATTTGCTTTTCTTTTACTACTACTAAGTGGTTTAGATCCCTTCTGCATTCAGAAGCTCTCCATGGTCTGCATTTTGCAGGGACAGCTCCAATGTCTCTCTCCAGTGGCCACTTCTCCACTTCTGCGCTTCGCTAGCCTGCTGCCCACTTTTGGTTGCCTAATTTCATAATTCTGTCCTTTGTCTGAGAGCCATGTCTTCCTTCTGGAAATACCCTCTCCTTCAAATGTGATGTACTTTGTATTTCTGTATGAAACCTCCAGCACGCAGAGCTCATGAGCTCTGACTTCTTATACATTACCTGTGCCATCCATTTAGTGATTATAGTCACTTTCAGGACAGCTTTTATGTAGCTTCTGTATGGGCTTGTATGCTGTTTTCTTATCTCCCTGCAAAGTTCATGCTTTAGTGTACTGATAATCATGCTGTAATTGTTTCTTTTTGCCCAGTAAATCGTTGGTGTTGGGTTTATTGAAAGTATTAACTAAATAACAACTTATTTGCCCAGTAGTTTTTTAATAAGGAAAAGCATTGGGTAGACTTAATAGTAGTTTAGGGAGGTACCTGTCTTGATCATAAAAATCACGTTTTCTGACTTTAAAGGAAAATCTGTGTTGTTTATTTTTTAATATGTTCTTAATTTTTTAATCCTATGTGTATTTTCAGCTTTAAAGAAACTCAATGATTTGAACAAGTCATTAGCAGAACACTGCCAGCAGAAGTTACCTAATGGTTTCAAGGCAGAGATAGGACAACCTTGTTGTGCTTTTTTTGCAGGTAAGTTGCAATTGATGCAATCTTGACTTTTAGAACCTTATATTTCTTAACTTAACCTTATTTTTAGTGCACATTTTCTTAATGCTTAAGCAAACATTTTTCATGGCCAAGAATGAATGAATGCTTACAATGTCATGTGTTTTTCCTTCTCTTTGTAACAAGGAACTTACAAGTGATACTTTCTTGCCTTAACTTTATTAAACATTATTTTAATGCTTTTCTTTCCAGAATTTCTGTTAATATTAAAATAACTTAGCTCATGGAAGCGCTGTTCACAGCAGGTTCATTGTTTCTTCTGGTTACTATAAGTATTTACAGTATTTTGAAAATGTAATTGAGACATCTTCATTACAATAATTTTTTTACTATTTACTACTTAAATTATTTTACCACATAACAAGTAAAATAATCTGAGCCATTAGTACCAAGAGTATTATACATCTCCAAAACTGACAAGTATATTCAAGTCTTATCTTCACCTTCACATTCTGTTTATTGGATAGGTTATGAATGAAATCTTTAATTCATATCAAATGTAAAAGTATGGCACTATACATTTTGGAGATAGTCTAAAAATAGATTTTGAGAATTCTTTCATTCTAGAGATTTTTGAATTTTGAAAAATGAAAGGCGTGATTTGGGAAAGTAAGCAAATTTATTACCTACTTTTAGACAAAGGGTGGCTTTTTTCAAGATAAGTATTTCAAGTGTCGATAGAAAGGAAATGTTCCATGTCACAAACTGTGTGTTAAACCTAGGTGATGGTAGTTGGTATCGTGCTTTAGTCAAGGAAATCTTACCAAATGGACATGTTAAAGTACATTTTGTGGATTATGGAAACATCGAAGAAGTTACTGCAGATGAACTCCGAATGATATCATCAACATTTTTAAACCTTCCCTTTCAGGGAATACGGTGCCAGTTAGCAGGTATGGTATACAATAAGAAACTTTCTCAACTTTCTAATACTTGGGGCATATAATCCAAGTGTTAATATCTACAATGTTAACATTTCGTGTGAGTTAGAGGATCCTGCTTCATATTATAAAACTTAGAAATTTTACTTACAATATTGACCAAAAACGTCCAGTGTTGTCAGAGTAGGGAAGCGGCTCCTTTACTGACCACAGGAATAAAAACTGCACGATCCTCTGGAAGGCATTGGCAGGATTCCTTAAGAACCTCCAGCGTTCATACCTTCTGACTTAGTAATTTTGCTCCTAGTAATTTATCCCAGAGAAATCCAGGAATTGCACAGAATAGGTTACAAAAATAATTATTACACCACTGATAATAATGGCAAAATAACATAAATAGTCAATAATAGCAGATTGGGTAAATGATCCATAAAATGGATAATGATAGTACTTATTTTGTAGGGTTGTTGGGAGGATTAAATGAAGGTTTAGGACAGGGTCTGGCACTCAAAGTTCTACATGTTTAGCTGTCTATTGCACAGTCATTAAGATGATGTTAAATATGTGTTATTGATATGAAGAATTGTTCATGATTTAAGTGAAGAAAACAGGTTATAAAAGAGTGTTGTGATAAAGACAATAGACGTCAGAGCCAACTGCTGCTTGCTGTCTATGAGACGTTTAGGCAAATTATTTAAACTTTCTGTGCTTCTGTTTCCTCATCTGGAAATTATTCCTACCTTCCTCAAAGAGTTGTTAAGAGAAAAATATAAAGCACTTAACAGTGCTTGGCATTATACCTATAGTAGCGGTTATTATAAAAACTTTATAATAGAATATATAAGAGAATGTGTGTATATGTGTGTATTTTGGACATCTGCACATAAAAGTTGTGGCTGGTTGGATTCCAAAATTCAACAGTGGTAAAGTCAGGCAGCATAGATGGATTTATTTCTTCTGCTAATCTGTTTCTGTTTATTTTATAATATATTTCAGATTATTGTTCTTTTTTTAATTTTTTTTTTTTTTTTTGAGATGGGGTTTCACTGTTGTTGCCCAGGCTGGAGTGCAATGGCACAATCTCGGCTCACTGCAACCTCTGCCTCCCAGATTCAAGCGATTCTCCTACCTCATCAGCCTCCTGAGTAGCTGGGATTACAGGCATGTGCCACCACGCCCAACTAATTTTTTGTATTTTTAGTAGAGACGGGGTTTCTCCATGTTGGTCAGGCTGGTCTTGAAATCCTGACCTCAGGTGATCCACCTGCCTCCACCTCCCAAAGTGCTGGGATTACAGGCATGAGCCACTGTGCCCGGCCCAGATTATTGTTCTTAATTACCATATTTTATTCCAGTGCTGCTTAAATTATGGCCCCCAAACCAGCAACATCAACATGGGAACTTGTTAATAACTGCAGATTTTCAGCCCCCACCCAAGACCCAGACCTACCAAAATTAGAAACTCTGGGTAGGGCCCCACAGTCTGTGTTTTAACAAGGCCTCTAGGTGATTGAGATACATGTTCAAGTTTGAAAATCGCTGCTAAGAAAACAAGGGTGTAAGCCAAAATTATCCAAGAAAAATAATTTTTGCTTACATAATGAAAAACATTTTGAAGTTATTAGAAAACTCTCCACAAAGGTGGCAGTATATCAGCTGACATCTTCTACCAGCATAATGGTTAACTCATACATAACAGAACATGATGGTGAATTCTAAAACAGTACTCCTTTTTCTATTGGAAAATGCCCGGTAAAGATATGTTAGCAGAGAACGTAAGGAAAGATCCTGAGCCTCCTAAAACCCTAGAGTGTATTAGCAAGTGCATTATCTCTTAAGTCAGGCATGCAGGATGTAGGTGTATAATTGAATATTGAAGATACTGAGAATTGCTGACCTGAAAGTAAACTTGGCAAAGACCTGGTGCTGGGTACTACTAAAGCAAAAATGAAACTTGTTCATAGGATTCTTTTTACTGCTGTCCTTATTTTCTAGATATACAGTCTAGAAACAAACATTGGTCTGAAGAAGCCATAACAAGATTCCAGATGTGTGTTGCTGGGATAAAATTGCAAGCCAGAGTGGTTGAAGTCACTGAAAATGGGATAGGAGTTGAACTCACCGATCTCTCCACTTGTTATCCCAGAATAATTAGTGATGTTCTGATTGATGAACATCTGGTTTTAAAATCTGCTTCACCACATAAAGACTTACCAAATGACAGACTTGTTAATAAACATGAGCTTCAAGTTCATGTACAGGGACTTCAAGGTAACATTTTAAAACCATTTATTTGTTTAAATTTGTTATTCTTTGCTCTCAGAGACTATGAAAAATTTTCCATCATAAATGACAGTTTTCCTGTAGAGATATGCTTTACGGACATAGATTAGTAGGTTAATATTGTATTATTATTAAATTATTGAACAAACATTCATTTCAATGTAATTGTCAGATAAACATATACAGAGATATCTCACTTAGAAGCTTGAGTAAGTTGTAAGAATTATATTAAATATTTGACAGAGATGGAAATATACAGAAATAAACTACAGGAGTGTAATAGTTCAAGGATTTCATTGTAGACTGAACTTTTTCGTA
Source organism: Homo sapiens (assembly GCF_000001405.40). Classification (NCBI taxonomy): domain Eukaryota; kingdom Metazoa; phylum Chordata; class Mammalia; order Primates; family Hominidae; genus Homo; species Homo sapiens. The sequence goes on from NC_000010.11 coordinate 114,221,174, forward strand.
CTGCCCACAAAATCCCTCAAATAGAATAGATTGTTTTGTGAAAAAATACAGATTTTTATTTTGGGGATTTGGAAATGTTGATAATCATTTCATGAACAAATGATTGAATTAAATATGTTACTGAGGAAAACAACAGTACATTTTTTTTATTCCGTGTGAGACCTGTGTTTTGTATGTTTCCAGCTACCTCTTCAGCTGAGCAATGGAAGACGATAGAATTGCCAGTGGATAAAACTATACAAGCAAATGTATTAGAAATCATAAGCCCAAACTTGTTTTATGCTCTACCAAAAGGGATGCCAGGTAAGAAACCAAAATTTGAGACATATTTATGCTCATCTTTTAAACTGTAAAACGAAAGTGCTGGTCTTGAATTCCTTTGGGAATGAAGGGGAGAAAGAGGCTCACTGTTTTAAGGAAGAACTGATCATAACACTTAAGGCAAATTTAGTTACGAAACACTAGCGGGAACATGAAGGGAAGCCCTACTACAGTCAGCACCTACCTGCCCAGTAGCCTGGTCTACAGCTTTTTATAACAGAAGTGTCCTTAATTACTGTATAATTTCTTGTTTAAAAAACACATTATCTATATTGAATCATATTTACTGCTTTAGATATATCGAAAGACTTTGTAATCCATTCATAATCATAGCTTTACTATACCTTAGAGACGTAGAGAAATGTTTCACACTAGAACGAATCTTGAAGAAAAGTAGCATATAAAAATTTATTTTTAATTTTCCTTTTGTTGTTTCATGGAAGTTGCAATTAAGGAATCTCTTAAATGTATATGACTTTATCCTTGTAGTATCTGAAGATGAGTTAGTGCAAGCTGAGTGCTGTCTTTTTAGAATAATTTGCAGGCACTTTTAAAGCTGAAAAAATGAAACTTTTGTTTCAAATTTTCAAAGTTAGAACTGTGGTAATGCCAATAACTGCTCTTAAATTTATCTCTAATACTACAAAAGGATCTTTATTCTGTGTACTAAAAAGCAGGAGCTTAGGGTTATTTGATCCTGACAACATGTTGTATGATGAATTGGAAATGCTATTGAGGATAATTTTATTAAGTATAACACTTACTGAAAAGTACACTAAACAATTGTAAAAATACAGCTTAATAAGTTTTCACAGAGTGAACAAACCAGTATAACCACCTTGATCAAGTAGTTGATCCACCGGAGGCTTCCTCCCTGCCCACTCCCGGTATTGATTGCATCCCTTTTGCAAATGGCAACCAATAGTGGGTATATTTTCAAGTATCATGTATATTTTATATACATGTATATATTTTAAATATATTTTAATACACAAAGGGTTTTTGGATTGATTAGACTTGCCATTCTTTTGTATAGTGTTAATAGTAGCACTGGAAATTTTCTTCACAAAAGATTGCTTTTATATATTTTAGAAAATCAGGAAAAGCTGTGCATGTTGACAGCTGAATTATTAGAATACTGCAATGCTCCGAAAAGTCGACCACCCTATAGACCAAGAATTGGAGACGCATGCTGTGCCAAATACACAAGTAAGGTTCTTTTAGGGAAAATATTTGAGGGAAGGTATTTAGTCTGTTTTGTTCTACATGATACTATGTAGATTTTGGTATTTTAGCTGCATATTTCATTTGGTTTAGGGAGAGAAATTAAGGAAGGCAGTGTTGTGGATTTAATTCATATGTTGGTCATTCAGCTTTTCGATTCTATATAGATTATTTTTAGGCAAGGATATAGGTAGATTTCTACAAATCTGTCAGTACTTACAGATAACCAGCTCGAGATAACCACACTATTCTAGTGGATCAGTCACATTACATTTCTTTATGGAGGGGTTGCAAAGAATTCATAGGGTTCCATATGTGAATGTACTAAAAGAAGGATGGAATGCCTCAGGGAGTCAGGCTCATTGATGAGGGTATACTTTGATCCTTCTCCGTTTTAATGTCTCATTTTAACAAATTTCGTATGCTAATATAAATAACACTTGGATTTGCTTCTGGGATCAAGGTTAAGTGGGAGTGGAGCCAGGTTACAGTGCTGCTTCATGGTCCACAGTCAGGTCCAATTGGCAGGCAAGCATGGCTCCTGCCAGTCCCTGGGCAGAGGTGGCTAGTGGCAGGATGGCAGCCACGTGGGGCTAGAGCTGAGTTCACCTGGGGACAGGGCTGCTTTCAGTCAATAGCTGGGAACAAGGTCTTGAAAGTCTGCCACTGGGGCACAGGCCTGCCTTCTCAAAGAGCCTTCCTCAATCTTGGGCTCCAGTGGCGTTTCAAAACCCCCCATCTGGATCCCAAACCTCTCACAAAGGCATTTTTGTGATTAGATGGGCACCAAATTGTTTTTGTTGGGGAGCACAAGTTGGGGACCTTCAAACTTCATGGTCTTGCAGATATTGCACACTAGTTTTGTTTTTCTTTTGTATGAGAACTGGATCTATACTTGCCCTTTCTTTCCAGGATAAATCACAATTTTTGGTTCTATAAGTATTCTGCCTTACTTCATTAGGACTGCATAAGCACTGTTCACAGCTGAGCTGTGTAGTGTATTACAATTACCTTCTCTTTTGCCACTTTTGTCGTTGTTAGTGTTCTATAGACTGTCACTAATTATTTCCAGTGCTCTGCATTAGTGCAAATTCCCTCAAAGAACACAACATGTACTTTCTCAACATTACCATATTGGAGGCATCTTCAGCCTTCAGTCTGCTCCTGTACAGGCTGCTTGTCCCCCAGACCTGAGCTGTTATCCTGGGTTTTTCCTCACCATGCTGAGATCGTTTCAGCCCTGACCCTGTTGTTTCCTGGACGGCACTTCTGCCCCCCACACTGTGTTAGCTAGATTTCTTCTTCCTTCGTCCCACCTTGTTTTTTGGATCCCCAACTTCCCTTTTGATTTACTCCAGTATTTGGGTGGATCCTGTCCTCCAGAAGCTGAGAAAAGGTGCATGTAAGACAAATTTTCTGTTATCTCCCATGTTTGAAAAAGCCTTCAGCCTAATAGTTAATTGATAGGTTGCCTGGATGCAGAATTCTAGATTGGAAATGGTTTTTCACTTAAAATTTTGAGGCACTGCTTTTATTGTGTTTTAGCTATTGGTGTTTCTGGTCAAAAGATTAATGTTATTCCGGATTCCACAAACTTTGTATGTTTTTTCCGCCTTTCTGGAACTGTTAGTATTCTCACCTGTTTTGAAATTTATGATGTGACCTTAGTATGGTGTTTCTTTTTCTACCGTTTTGCTGGGCACTCAGTGGGTGGGCCCCTTACATCTAGAAATTCATGAGCTTCAGTTTGAGAAACTTTCCTGAATTAATGCTTTTAGTTGCTTTTGTTTTCTGTTCTGTTAGGAGCTTCAAGTCTTCTAATGCTGAATTTGAACTCTGCTAAATGTCCTCTTCTCTCTTTCATCTTTTTTGTTCTTAAAGAGATTTCCTCAATTTCACCTTCCAACTTTTTAAATTTAGGTTTTCATTTCTATCACATTTTTAATTTCAATAGCTTTTTTTGTTTTGTTTTTCATGTTTATGTGTTTTAATACTACCCTGTTCTTTCAAGAGTGGAATGTCATTTCTCCAAGGATATTACTGTCAGTCTTCTAATGTTCATTGTCATATTCCTCCTTGGTTTTCTGCCTTGGTTTCCCTAAGGTCCTGTTTTGTTTTGGTCTCCTCTGTGATGTTAGAGGCTTTCTGCAAATCTCTGGTGATCCTATGCTGTTCCTGTATTTAAGATGGGGCACTGAGAAGTTACTGGGAAGTTGCTTTGAGAGTGGGCAGGGGCTTTTCCACTGATGGCCTTCACTGTGGGTGATCTGGCTCTGCCATCTCACTGCAGACTCCCAGTGTCGCCATCTTGATGGGCTGTCACATGGACTGGTGGCCTCCTGCCTGGAGTGCACAGCTTGCCTGCCAGTGTTAAACTCTCCCTTGTCTACTCTGCCTCACGTTCTCCAGTCCATGCCCTCTGTGGTTCATTCTCTCAGGAGAGGAAACCTCCAGTCTTCTGCCCTCAAGTAGCAGCATTATTAAAACATGGGAACACAAAGCTCACCATTCTCTTTAGCAACTTTAAAAATAGGTGTTATATGCAAATGAGTGTATGAACCAAAGCCTATTCAGATGTCTTTGCAAGTAACTCTGCTTCCTTGGCCAATCTTCATTTCCAACTCCATCTTAACTCCTGCTTTTGAATGAGCAGCACCAATCGTTGAGACTTCAGGGGTTGGGGATTTGTGATGCAAGCTGGGATGCTTCTTGGCTTCCCCACTGCCAACTTTGGTTGAGCTACCATGGCTCTACTAAATCATTTTCATTCAGGCATCTGCTTTCCAGCTTCCAATATTCTGTTGTCTTTTCTCTTGTTCTCTACTCTATTCTACGCATTTAAAAAAAAAAAAAAAATCTGGCCGGGTACAGTGGCTCACGCCTGTAATCCCATCACTTTCGGAGGCTGAGGCAGTAGGATAGCTTGAATTCAGGAGTTCAAGACCAGCCTTGGCAGCATGGCAAGACTATCTCTACCAAGAATAAAAAGTTAGCTGGGCATGGTGGTGTATACCTGTATTCCCAGCTACTCAAGAAGCTGAGGTGAGAGGATCACTTGAGTCTGGGAGGTGGAGGTTGCAGCGAGCCAAGATTGTGCCACTGCACTCCAGCCTGGGCTGCAGAGCCAGACCCTGTCTCAAAAAAAAAAAAAAAAATTCTATTACATTTTTCATAGGAATGTAGAGGTAAATGCTTGTATTTAATTTGAACTGTAACCAGAAATTTTGGCATGGATTTTTAAGTGATGTAAATATAACTATGAATAGCCATCTTAAAGTAGGAGGAATCACTGACTGTAAGTTCTTACCTGAGATTTCATTCTGTTTTCAGGTGATGATTTTTGGTATCGTGCAGTTGTTCTGGGGACATCAGACACTGATGTGGAAGTGCTCTATGCAGACTATGGAAACATTGAAACCCTGCCTCTTTGCAGAGTGCAACCAATCACCTCTAGCCACCTGGCGCTTCCTTTCCAAATTATTAGATGTTCACTTGAAGGTAGACAGCTAAGTCACTTTCCAATTTAGGTTTCTGGGTATTTTTTTTTTCCTCTTTATGTTTCATAGCTCTAAGTCGGAATCAAATGGGTATTTCCAGTAACTGCCTTAATGTTTTTAAATATTAAGAGTTTTCAAATAAGTTTCATATTCTTTATTCTTTATCGAATTCTCACAAAAACTGTGTTCAGTCAGTCTTTGTTTTGTAGATTAGTTTCAGAGGGCCAGGGTTCAGAGATTCGGTTTTGCCCCTGGTTGCTAAGCTAGTAAGTGGCAAGGCCAGGATGTGAAACAGGGTGTCTGGTGTCTGTGAACCAGGGTGTCTGACCTCTCATTTGGGGTCTTTCTGCTTCGTCACATCTCTCTTTAGGGACTAAAGGCATTCACATGACACCATTTTTGGCTACCTTATGAAAGATAAATCTGCATATATTCAACTCCTTAGTTGGAATTTGAACAAAGTGAACAAAAATACTTAAAGTAGCTTTTTACTGTCGCTCCTGATGTCCTTATGCAGAGGACTTGCAGATAATACCATACCGATTGCTTCATGGTCCTCTTAGGTTTTGACTCAGAGTTGGAAAATTATCTTTGTTTCTCCTGTTGGAATATATGAAGGACAGATGTGTCTGTTTCGTGCCCTCTAGTCCAAGATTAGTGCTTGATGCCTTGTTAGGTGATCAATCAATATGTATTGAATAAATTTGTCTTTTGTAATGCAACAGCAGTAGTACATCAGAACACACCTAAATCCAGCTGAAGTCCAGTAAGCCTTTTGCTTATTATTCTTAGATAATTTATCTAAATTCTGTCTTTTTAAAAGGGACTAAAAGACTATAATATCTATTTTTTCCAGGATTAATGGAATTGAATGGAAGCTCTTCTCAATTAATAATAATGCTATTAAAAAATTTCATGTTGAATCAGAATGTAATGCTTTCTGTGAAAGGAATTACAAAGAATGTCCATACAGTGTCAGTTGAGAAATGTTCTGAGAATGGGACTGTCGATGTAGCTGATAAGCTAGTGACATTTGGTCTGGCAAAAAACATCACACCTCAAAGGCAGAGTGCTTTAAATACAGGTATTCTTTTCAAGTGTTATTAATAACAGATGTTAAGTGTGAGGAATAACAGATAATCAATTTAGTTGACTTGACCTTTTCTCACTTCCCATGCCATACTCTCTCCTCCTCCTCCACAAATCCAGTGGCAGGGTTCTGATTCCTGTGGCTGCCTGGGAGGGCCGCCTTGATGGAGGCAGTCCTCCGAGTCCAGATAGTCCTTAGATCAGACTTGTCAGCACTGCTGTGGGAATTGACACCAAGAGCTTTGAAAATGCCAGGCATTCTGCGTGCTTCTTATTTCCAATTTACTTTCTATCCTGATCAAACTGAGAAGTCATATTTTTGAGATTCCATCTTCCTGGTACTTCATAAGATGTATATTTGACAGACCTGGCCTCAATCAAAAAGAGAGATGATTGACAACCAAAACCTTGGAGACATGGGTTGTTAATGTGGTCAAATCCAGACCATGGTAGTAGATAATCTCAAAGCCCAAATGGATCCATCCAGGTCTTTGTAGTCGGAACCCATGCGCAAGGGGGAGAGCTATCTGTATATGTTTACACTCCCAAGTTTTTCTTCTTTACATTATGTGTTATCTAATGGCTTATTTTTCTTGTGCTTTTAGAAAAGATGTATAGGATGAATTGCTGCTGCACAGAGTTACAGAAACAAGTAGGTAAAATTTCCTTTAAGTGAAATTATACTCCTAACGTTTTTAGAAATTAAATCATATGGTTTCTTTTTCACCCACAGGTTGAAAAACATGAACATATTCTTCTCTTCCTCTTAAACAATTCAACCAATCAAAATAAATTTATTGAAATGAAAAAACTGTTAAAAAGTTAAGTAAGTTAAATCGTATGTTTTCGCCTCTTCTGTGATCACCAATAGGACATCTTCAGGCATATTGGCAGGATAGAGCTAATGGAGTGAAACCTATTGTAAGGCTGTACTTTCGTGATTTAATGACCTGAGGTTTGGTCATAATGCTTCTGCTGTTTTTGTAGGTTTATCTGATCGTTTTCCTTTGCTACTGCTAATGGAACTGAACCCCCAGGGGTATTCCAGTTGTAATAGCCTTTCCTTACTGTTGTTTGGTTCTGTGAATGCCTATGTTATTGATATGTGGAGGGACTTGTAAAACTTGTTGTGACATAAAGCTTAGCCTCAGATTTTTTGTCTAGATCTGAAATTAACTCAGAGCTCACTTATGCACATTGCTGTAAATATGTTTAGCACTTTTTGCGAGGGGTATCTAAAGGGCCAAGAACGGAAAGTGGATCTAAAGGGCCAAGAACGGAAAGTGGGCTGCACTGAGGGTATTTTTCATTTAAAAACAAAACATACTCCCTGCTTTTGGCTGTGGTGATTCTAGTGTCTAAAGAACATACTGGTGAGTTTTAAACCAGTGTTCCTCCCCACCCCACCCCCATATTTTAAATGTCTGGGATCCTTTGTTGTAAGATGGTTCTCAGAAATAAATTTTTGATTAAGAGCCAATTAGAACTTCTGATCAGGGCTGGGGGTGGTGGCTCACGCCTGTAATCCCAGCACTTTGGGAGGCTGAGGCGGGCAGATCACCTGAGCCCAGGCGTTCGAAGTCAGCCTGGCCAAGATGGCGAAACACTGCCTCTACTTAAAATACAAAATTAGCTGGGCATGGTGGTGCACACCTGTTAACCCAGCTACTTGGGAGGCTGAGACAGGAGAATCGCTTGAATCCAGGAGGCGGCGGTTGCAGTGAGCCAAGACTGCTATTATACTCCAGCCTGGGTGACAGAGTGAGAGTTTGTCTCAAAAACAAAACAAAACAAAACAAAAAAAAAAACAACCTCTAATCTCAGAATAAAGTTGTCTCTCCTCACCACTTTGAGTTGTTACAGTTCCAGCCAAAAGCAAAGGAACTTTGATTTACTTAATATGTGCACTTTTGTTGGTTAACAAATTTATATTAAACTGTTTGGAAATAGTTCAAGAGGTGGCTATAATACTCTTCATGAATCTTTTATGGGTGTAGTAACTCTCAAGTAGGAACCAACTGCCAACTGTGTTAAAACATATCTTTCATGTGGTAATAGACCGTTTCTTTGCGTTTTAAGAAAGGTCAATTGAATTATAAGCTAAATGTAATTAATGCAAGATCAACTATCTTGACTCTCATGTTTCCTTTTACAAATTTTGGGTTATTACAACTTTCAGTCCTTTCTAATACATTGTCTTAATACTGACTGTTTTGTATGTTTAAGCTTAAAATCTTTTAATCTTTTTTTTTTTTTTTTTTGGAGACGGAGTCTTGCTCTGTCACCCAGGCTGGAGTGCAATGGCGTGATCTCGGCTCACTGCAAGCTCCACCTCCCAGGTTCACGCAATTCTCCCACATCAGCCTCCCAAGTAGCTGGGACTACAGGCGCACACTGCCACACCCGGCTAATCTTAAACTTAATGGTGATTTTAATTTCATAGATCAAGGAACATGCAATGACATGGATTTCTGGAATTTAGTCCTAGTATCAAGTCACTATATATATATATATTTTTTTTTTATTTTTTATTTTTATTTTTTTTTGAGACAGTCTCGCTCTGTTGTCCAGGCTGGAGTGCAGTGGCGCTATCTCAGCTCACTACAACCTCCGCCTCCCGGGTTCATGCCATTCTCCTGCCTCAGCTTCCCAAGTAGCTGGGACTATAGGTGCCCGCCACCACACCCAGCTAATCTTTTTGTATTTTTAGTAGAGACAGGGTTTCACCGTGTTAGCCAGGATGGTCTCGATCTCCTGACCTCGTGATCTGCCCTCCTCGGCCTCCCAAAGTGCTGGGATTACAGGCGTGAGCCACTGCGCCCGGCCACCAAGTCATTACATTTTTAACCAAGTTGGTTGGCCTGTATGTTCTTCTTATCTGTGTAACAGGCATTTTTCCTAAGGATATTGAGTGTGCTTACACATAAAACTTAAAGTGAAATTTCATTGTTTCTTGATAGATTTAAGACAGGGCTTAGTAGCTTTCAAAAGAAAACTTGATTTAAAGCATAGTAGTTGAACTGGATTTTTCCTGACTGTGGGAATAAATAGATATTTTATTTACATTTGAATACAGTGCAATACCTTGTGTTTGGGTAGTACGTATTTACAAAGCATTTTTACATCTACTCACATACTTAATCTTCACAATGCCCTTGAAAAGAAAGTAGGACCCATTTTACAGTTAAGGAAGCTGAGGCTCAGAGAGGGTTACATGACTGTCCAAAATCACATACAGGCTGAAACACTAGGTCTTACGACTTAAAACAGTTGTGTCAACTTCCCTGAGCTGCTACGTGTACAGTATCCTTTTAGATCAGATCAGTTACATAGGGCATGAAACTAGAGGGTTACATTATTAGGAAAAAATAATGTACATGATTGCTTAAGCATTACTTCATTGTGGTGAAAATAGAGCTGAATATTTACTCCTTTAAATTATTCTTTGAGATAGAATGGGTGTAAAAATGTATTTTGGCTGGGCATGGTGGCTCAGGCCTGTAATCCCAGCACTTTTGGGAGGCTGAGGAGGGCAGGTCACATGAGGCCCAGGAGTTTGAGACCATCCTGGCCAACATGGTGAAACTTTGTCTCTACCAAAAAAAATATAGAATTAGCCAGGTGAGGTGGCGTGCACCTGTAGTCCCAGCTACTGGGGAGGCTGAGGCAGGAGAATTGCTTGAACCCAGGAGCCGAAGGTTGCAGTGAGCCGAGATGGCACCACTGCACTCCAGCTTGGGCAACAGAGTGAGACCCTGTCTCAAAAAAATAAAATAAAAGACAAACACATGTATTTCATCATCTGGAGAAATTTAATTGTTAGCAATTTAATTGTAAAATTGCTAAAACAGAAGTGCTGTGGTGATATGAACATAAAACCCTCTGTAATCTGTTGCTCAGGTGATGTTTCAACACACAAGTTAATGTCAGATATCTTTTATATATAAGGAGAGTGCAAACAACTATATGTTATATTTGTGAAGGGGAGTATAAACAGCTGTACTTAGCATATATTATGCTATGTTATGGTGGTCATTAATTTTCTTAACTGACAGGTCTGGCTTAAATGCGTAATTTCAGTTAAAAGTGAATATTTTGTTTGCTTGTATTTGAAATTAAAAGCCATAGCAATTGAGTTTTTGTGTAAGGCATAATGATAGTTGATTTTTTTTCTTTTTCAGAAACAGCATCTCTTGGAGGTAAACCCTTATGAGACAGGAAACAGCAAAGGCTAGCTTTAGGAGAGAAAGTACAGCACCTGGTGTTTTTATTTATGAGAACCTTTTCTTTGTCCACTTTCTCTGTAATGACCTTCTATCCCTCCGTTTTTGCCTGCCTGCCATTCTCCTATTAGGTTGGTGGTTTTTATTTTCCTCTAAGTTCCTTCCACCAAATAAATATTACGTAAAAAATTCATACCAAATCAATGAGAATACTGGCAAGGAATACATAGGGACTTTCTGCTATATATGTAACTTTTTATTACTTAAAGGTACCGAAGGAAGGCCAGGTGCAGTGGCTCACGCCCAGCACTTTGGGAGGCTGAGGTGGGAGGATCCCTTGAGGCCAGGAGTTCAAGGTTACAGTGAGCTATGATAGTGCCACTGCACTCCAGCCTGGGTGACAGATTTTGTCTTAAAAAAAAAAAAAAAAAAGTTGATATGAGTTTTATTTTCTGTCCGTTTGAAATATTTTGTAATATTCCCTGCATTCTCTGTCGTCTGCCTCTTCCACATAATGTCCTTTGCTTTCATGTTTGTTATCTTCTTTTTCTGTTCACTCAGAGGTCATCAATTTCTTTCTCTCCGTCCTTAATTGGATTATTTTTCTTTTGGCCTTTGGGCACAGAGTCTGACCTCTGGACCACTCTAACTGGAGAAGGAACTTTATGTTCCCTCTCCTGCTGTGTCCACAACCTTAGAAATCTGTAGCTAGATTTTTGTTGTTATAGATAGAATTTACTGTTTCTGAAACCCAAATACAGTTATCAGTTTAAGGTTAAAAAAAAAAAAAAAACGAAGAGTGTATATTTTTCCTGAAGCATGAAAATAATCTCAAATTCTCCTAAACCACGCATATGCAGAATTATGGGCTGGCTGACTTTCCTGCCAACCCCAAAGTTTGAATTTTTTTCATGATTTAACTGTCAGACTATGAAACCTAAGATGTTTCTCACCAACTCAGCAGATACTTGAAAGACTTTTTTTTTTTTTTTTTTTTTTTTTGCTTTTACTGGCAATGTACGTTGTCTAATCTGTTAAATGGGATATTTCCTCATGTAAAAAGTTGTTAAAACACTGATGTGCTTCTGTTAGATAAAAGCTCACGCTGCTTTGCCCAATAAAATTATTTCACTTCCCAACCAGCTTTCTCTTGTTTTCTTACTGCAGGCATTTTTGCCAATTTCCTTTTTTTTCTTGTACATACTGGGAGAATTAGAGGCTTAATGTGTTCATACTGTCTGCTTTATTGTTTGTAACCACAGAGGAAATACAAGAATATGCAATCACACAATTGCCGTTTTATTAAGGAAAATTAGGGAAACAAATCAAGGAACACAGAAAAATCAGGAGTCATTGTTTGGCTTCAAATTGTAACATTTTATCCTATGGTACTAGACATTTGAATAGGAACTGTTTTAATTAAATGGAATTTAATATTATTTGCTGATTCAGCTAATTTGCCTTGTTCTCCAAAAGAGACTAGTATCTATAGCACTAGCCTCACAAATAGAGATATAGGTTAAATGTCTCTTGGATTAATGAGACATACTGGATCATCAGGTCTTCCTTCTGAGTAGATTTAACATGTTTCCGATTTTGATTAATGTGCCAGCTGCATGTTTCATTCGTTCAATGAATATTTGAGCTCCAGCTATGAGTCTGACATTGAGGTATGTGCCAGATTTTTTATTTGGGCCAGCACAGCTCTATCATACCAGCTAATATGTTCTTCACATCCCCTCAAAATATCTGGTTTGGTCATAAATACAGTAGAGCTTCAGTCTTCAGATCCCCTCAGAATATCTGGTTTGGTTATAAGTACCATAGAGCTGAGACCGTATATCTGAACAAATGATTTAGTCTTGGGTGGAGGCCTTGTAAATATTAAGATAAATCTTACCCAGTTTGCCAGGGAGGAGATTTCTATCATAAGAACAGTGAACTCCTGGGGGTTGACAAGGGGATAAGGAGCATATTTGATACACTTCTTGTTTTGCTAAAATTCTTTTGCTGCAGCAGCTAGAAATGTAAAAGTCTCAAAATTGTGAACGAGGATTAACTACTATTCTGAAATTGATCTCTCTTGCTATGTAATAACAGCTCCGGAAACCAACACGTGAAGATCCTCACCAGCGGGACCCTAAGCTGCCAAATTCCCAGAGAGAAATTAAGTCATTGTGAGGCTCACTGCTGAGAGAGTGTCAGCCACGAGCAATAGATCACTAGTGTTACTAATAGGCTCCTCACCAACACAGCTGCCTGGAATTGGCAAGTCGAGCTCTTCTGGGATCAGCCAAAGAGGACACCTGGGCTCCTCCCCATGTAGGTGGTTTTGTGGCCCTACTTGCATCCAAACAGCCCTTAATACACACAAAATTGTCGGAGTGTTTTTTGCTTTTTCCAGATAAAGGGAATTGGAGGGTAACCTGTGGTTCTAAACATGCAGTTAAGAAAGAATGGTAGAATGGTTTTACTTGCCGGAATTAAGGTGGTGAAGTTCTGTTAGAAGTAAGGTTACTGCCCAGTCGCACAGGGTGAGAACTGCAGATGGCTCACCCAGAGAACCAACCATTAACGTTCTGGTATTGCCCTGGTCTACGCGCTGCAGTCTGATTTTCCTAGGAAAGTTCTTGCATTTTGGCTATAGTTTCAAGTAACCTAAAACTGGCTTCATTTAAGGTGTTAGCTAGCTGCCAAGCCTTAGCCATTTTTTCCATGCTTGCTTGCTTCCCTTATCACCCTGAGGGGATGCCATTTTTAACACCTTGTGGTGTTAACCTTTTGATGAAGAGGCCCCTATCTCCTGTGATGAGAACCTTCCAGGAAGTGAGACAGACTCTGATGCTTATTATAAGGCAGGAGCCTACTCTGCCTCCAGAGTATACCCAGATGCCTCTCTAAATGTGTTCCATGAATACTTAGTTAAGGCAGACATGTGATGACTAAAATTCATGATACTGGGAATTTGGAGAGGAGATGGAAATAACATGGAAGTATTGACAGTTTGAGGTAGAGCACTTAGAAAGTTTCATATGTTGGCTGAGTGGTTATTACACAAGCGTGTGCCTTTGTTCCATGTTTACTTGATTCGGCCAGAAAGCACATTTCCCAAAAGCAAATCCAATACAACTTTGCGCATAATTCTCACTGTCTTAAGTAGGAGCTGGGATGGATGCATTAACCCTTCAAACAATTGCTGCCTATTCCATACCTAAGTGGCTTTGGCTTGGAGATGGCAATATTTCTGCTCCTCATGTCCTGTGTCTCTCTCTGCCCCCAACTTTGTTCTCCTTGTTCTTGGCTCCACAGTTAAGAGACCACAGACCAAATTAGGCTCTGGCTTAATTTGCTGCTTGTTGAGCGCTTCTGAGTCAGGCTCTTTGTTTCCTCTAGGATGGTTTCTTTGCTGTTTAGTAGGTACTGTTTCGTGTTCTTTTATTTCTCAATAAGAGGGCTCTGGTTAGTGGCTGCTATGTGGCTTCTGGAAAATATACAACTCTTGGAGCTCTATTAAGCATCCTCCTTTTTGTCTGTTCCTTTCGTGTGTGCTTTACCTTTCATCATTTGAGGGACTGGATCAAAATATTAGTTGGGATTCTAGAGTTAGGAACTGTTGTACCCATCACCCTTTATAGGTCAGGAAACTGAGCAATCAAAAGTTAAGTTTCTTTTCTGTGTTACAAAGCCAGTAGGCAGGAGCCCCCTAATCTGAAGCCACAGTCACTTTACTACAATGGGTGCCTCTGGGTGATGCATGTCACCGAGTACGGATGTCTCCATTTATCCCTGAGTGAAATTCAGTCACCTCTGTGTTTACACTCTCAGTTTACACTAAGACTCTGTGTTTATACCTCTTGTGTTTACAACTGAGACACACGGGACAGCGCAACTTGAGAATTAACATCATAGAAGGTGTCAACTGAAGAATGAGAAAGTTCATGAATTTGGAAAGGAGAGCTTTATTTTTCATAAAGCGTGGCCACTGGCAGGGTAGCCATTGCTACAGTCTGGAAAGTGTAGCCTCCAGCCAGAAACCAGAAACACACTTCCAGGTTGGGAAAAATAAGACAGGAATTTATGCTGAGTGGAGTGGCCAAATACACAGTAAACTATAGGAGGAGTCATGAATATTTATGAAAGATGTACATGTGCAATTAAGCTTCATGACTCTTGATGGGTTACATGTACAAAAAAATGGTATTAGCATGATTCTGGGGTGGAGTTTTTGGCCCTCTTGGGTCAAAAGGTGAAGCAGAGGACACAACTCTCATGGTACATCTTCTATAGACTAGCCAGAGCCACTCCATGGTCCATTGTCTCTTAGGAAGGAATGCTGGTTGCTTGGTTTGTTGAAACCTTAAAAGGAAGGGGCAGCATCAAGTGGTTGGTTCATATCAATAGTAGAGGCCAGGTGCAGTGGCTCACACCTGCAGTCCCAGCACTGTGAGGATTCCTTGAGTTTGAGGAGTTCAAGACCAGCTTGGGCAACAGAGCAACACCTCATCTCTACCCAGAACAAAAAAACCACCAGTGCAATGGTACGTGGCTGTAATCCCAGCTACTCTGGAGGCTGAGGTAAGAGGACTGCTTGAGCCCAGGAGGTCAAGGCTGTGGTGAGCTATGATTGTGCCACTATACTTCAGCCTGGGGGATACAGTGAGACCCTCAAAGATAGCAGGGGTGGAGCAAGTCTTTCCCAAAGGGCTGGTTTCTGTTTAACCCTTAAGAAAGAAGGCTGGGTACTGTGGCTCATGCCTGTGACCCCAGCACTTTGGGAGGGTGAGATGGACAGATTGCTTGAGCCCAGGAGCTCAAGACCAGCCTGGGCAACACAAGGAAACCTCATCTCTACCAAAAAAAAAAAAAAAAAAAAAAAAAACCTGGTGTGGTGGCACGTACCTGTAGTTCTAACTACTCGGGAGGCTGAGATGGGAGGATTAATGGAGCCCAGGAGGTCGAGGCAGGTCTTGAGCCAAGGTCACACCACTGTACTCCAGGCTGGGCAACAGAGCAAGCCCCTTTCTCCAAAAAAAAAAAAAAAACTAATGGCTGATAGTGAAGGAGCAGGTATAACAAGCTGTTTCCCGTCTCCCTTCCAGTCATATATGGGAACTCCGCTTTTAAGATTTCTCTGGATAATTTAAGGTCAGGAGTTCGAGACCACCCTGGCCAACATGGTGAAACCCCATCTTTACTAAAAATACGAAAATTAGCCGGGCCTGGTGGTGGGCGCCTGTAATCCCAGTCACTTGGGAGGCTGAGGCATGAAAATCGTTTGAACCTGGGAGGCGGAGGTTGCAGTAAGCTGAGATCCAGCCACTGCACTCCAGCCTGGGCAGTAAAGCGAGACTCAGTCTCAAAAATATTTCTCTGGGGTCCCCTTGGACAAGAGGGGGTCCTTTCAGTCAGTGGAGGACATGGGGTTTTATTTCTGAGGGCATTTACTGTGTGCAAGTTACCAGGCATTGGGCTGCAAAGATGAATAAGGCAAGCTCCTGGGAAGCAAGAAGCTTACATGCCCCTTAGAATGATTGTAATTCATAATAACTTTATTTTTTAAATCCTTGTAAATCTTCACAAAGGAAGGGATGTCATGGATGACAAAAGTAGCTACCCAGCTTTCTGCATAAAAAGCCTCCACCCCTGCTGGTCACCCACTCAGCACTCAGCACTCACCAGGGCCTGCACCACCTGCCTTCCCTCCTGCCCAAGTGCACACCCCGGACAGACTGATTATACATTGATGTGAAGAAGTCTGAAGCAACAGGTATCTTCACTGTATTTATGCTTTCAGTTCTTCATAATCACAGAATGAAAATGTGAAATACCTCCCCCCCCCCCGCCCCCAATTAAAGACATGCCAAATACTTCAGGAACAACCAGGATTGAAATTTGGCTTCTCCAAGGTAAGCCTGATAAGGTCAAAGTATGCTGGTACCTGTTAAACAGCATAAGGGGTACAGGGAGAGGGTTGTCAAAGGTAGAATTTCCACTTTCTTGAGGACCTGGGGTCTGCCCTTGTTGGACATCTCTGGAGCAGCACAGGCCACTCACCCCATTTGACTATACAGCACTTAAAAATGTGGCGAGTCCAAATTGAGATGTGCTTGTGAGTATAGAATACAACAGGATTGGCCAGGCGTGGTGGCTCACGCCTATGATCCCAGCATTTTGGGAGGCTGAGGCGGGTGGATTACCTGAGGTCAGGAGTTTGAGACCAGCCTGGCCAACATGGCAAAACCCTGTCTTTACTAAAAATACAAAAATTAGCCGGGCATGGTGGTGTGCACCTGTGATCCCAGCTACTCGGGAGGCTGAGGCAGGAGAACCATTTGAACCTGGGAGGCAGAGGTTGCAGTGAGCCAAGATCATGCCATTGCACTCCAGCCTGGGCAACAGAGTGAGACTCTGTCTCAAACAAAAAAAAAAAAAAAAAAAACAAAAAAACAGGACTTTGAAGACAGCATAAAACATCTTTATTGATTACATGTTGAGATAATGTTCCGGATGTTTAGGTTAATACTGAAATCCAGCTTGCTGTTTCTTTTCACTTTTTATTAAATGTGACCACTAGAACATTTAAAATTACACACGTGGCTTGGTCAGTATTTCTCTGGGGCAATGCTGATCTAGAGGCAGAGACCATCCCTCCCCAGCAGTTAGACCTCAAGACTAACTGCTGTCCCCTGTGGGGATGATGTGGTGGTACATTATGTCTGCTGCTCTGGTGTGGCCCTGTTTTTATTTTTGGGTGCTCAGTAAATGTTACTGGGAGAAATGAATTACAGGAAAAATGAGTCCTTTCCTAGCCTCCTTCAATGAGGTTTGCAACATTAAAGTCACCACGGGCCACTTTCACTGGAAGCTGTCAGTGTCGGAGGTTTGGAAATTAACTGAGAACTACAGACAGGAAAGGTGTAAAGCAAATTATTTTCCTATCAGATTGACATTTACAAGAATAATGGGAAGGAGCATGGAAAAGAGGAAGCAGGTCAACCTTCCTTGAGGACAATTAGATAATAGGCATCAAAAGTCTTAAGTTGTATAAAACCTGTATCCTAGAAATTTACCTTTTCGTAGTTTATTCTAAGGAATTAATTGGACAAAAGCACAAAGACATCTAATTGTATTATTAAAATGGAAAGTTTAATATTCAACAATAGCAGATAGGTTAAGTACATTAGGACATTATGAAGTGGCTTAAAACGGACATTCAAAAAAAGGAAATGGAAAACCTGAGTAATGTACAGCTTGTATGGAATGAACTAAAAATATATAAATTTTTGCATAGGTAGAATGACATTGGAAGAACATACACCACAATGTTAACTGATTATCTCTGGGTGTTGGAAAATGATTGATTTATCAACTTTTTTACTGTTATTTCTTTTCTTTTTTTTTTTTTTGCAATGAACAGGCATGCTCTGGCAGTTTTTAAATGAAGTATGGAAATTATGGATTGTGCAGTCATAGTCAACGTTCATTGAGAGCTTACTTTATATAAAGCATCATGCTCAGCATTGTGCTTTGTGGCATTTGATTTTTTAAAAATCAAACGCCCTCCAATCTTAAGCAAGGATGATGGCCAAAAGGTCGGCTTATTACCCAACTGCAACAATAGGAGGGACAGGTAATTAAAAGGCAATTGCCATGACAAATAGAAAAGATGCCAAAGTCAACATTTTTTCAAGGAGCTATAAAGCCCGTGGAGGAGTCAGCTGACGGCACAGTGTTCGCGGCTGCACCGCTCGGAGGCTGGGTGACCCGCGTAGAAGTGAAGTACTTTTTTATTTGCAGACCTGGGCCGATGCCGCTTTAAAAAACGCGAGGGGCTCTATGCACCTCCCTGGCGGTAGTTCCTCCGACCTCAGCCGGGTCGGGTCGTGCCGCCCTCTCCCAGGAGAGACAAACAGGTGTCCCACGTGGCAGCCGCGCCCCGGGCGCCCCTCCTGTGATCCCGTAGCGCCCCCTGGCCCGAGCCGCGCCCGGGTCTGTGAGTAGAGCCGCCCGGGCACCGAGCGCTGGTCGCCGCTCTCCTTCCGGTGAGTCCCAGCCCCGAGTTGGCTCTGGCGCCCGGGTACCCGCCAGTGCCGGCTGCCGATGACCGATTCACGCTCCCGGTACTGGGGCCCCCTCTGCCCAGCCACCCCTACCCAGAGCACCCGGGCTGCGCGGCCCCGCCGAGGGTGCGGGCTTTGTTCGCATTGTCTGCGCGCACCTGAGCGCGGCCTTCCTGGCACGGCGGCGTCGGGGGAAGAGCGCACCTGGCGCGCGCCTCCCTCGTGGCCACTCGCGGTCCGTCCCGGGCGAGCTGGCGGGGTTTTGGGAGGGGTGCGGTCAGCAGGTAAGTGGGTAGGGGCTCCGGGTACAGGGGTGGAGGAGGGCATGTATTAAACCCAAGCTGCCCTCCTGGCACAGTAGCGGGGCCCCCTTCCCTGGCGGCCGCGGAAAGGGACTCGCCCTTTGAATAAAGGCTTTGGTGACATGCTCGCTTCCACCCCACACCCCACTACAGGACATACACAGGTGTTAAGGGGACTTGGGGCAGTTTTCCCAGGCAGAACGAGTGCCCCCAGCGAAGTGTCTGCAAGCAGAACCTGAGAGGGGCCGGCTGCCCCGAGAGTCCTCGCGCTTGGGCAGTGGGAAGTCCAGGGGTTTGTCGTTCTGGTGACTTCCCCCACCTGGCTCAGCCCTGCTTCCTGCATGTCTCCTTCCCTTCCAATAAGGCTAACAAAACTTTCCCTAGCTAAGCCGACCTTTCCCTCCCGCCTTGGGCCCTTGGCCACCTGCTGGGACGGTGAATGGGAGAGTCTCAGAATTGAACCTTGAAAACTTGCTGGGGGCACCAGACAGAAGAGAAGGGAGGAGGGCACCTTGCTGCTTGTGATTGTGGAATCAAGGGCTCCAGCTGAAGCTGAAAGGGGACTTAGCAATGGGGACCTCATGCCATGTGTTTGATGTCTTGGAGATTGGAATAATTAGAACGTGTACATTTTTCAAATTACAAGCTGCTTTAAGTAAAACCCCAGAACCTCTAAGTGTTTTATAAATTCAGTCCCAAAAATTCAAGGTCTCTTTTGCTGTTAAGGTGACACTATATTAAGAAATGTCGATTTATTGAAGAGTCAGAGAAGTGAAGAGGTCAGAAAGGTACCACTAGAGTTGGCAAAAGCCACAGGCATGAATTTGTAAATGCTGCTGGCTTTCAGCAGGCTGAAGCCATCCTCTCTTGTGACTGATGGGGGTTCAGAGCTCCTCAGGCCTTACTCTTCTTTTGTAAAATCCAGCCCAGAGCCATCTCCTAGTAGTGTAAGAATTTCTCAGACTAGGTCCCCAGGCAAATCCCAGGTTGGAGAAGAGGATTGCTTTCCTCATCATCTCTGGCTGAAAACCATCAGTGTATTTTCATTAAATCTGGTTTTTGGTCTACCGTACAGAGATTACAGCCAGTATTTCCCCTCTCTTCAATAGGCACAAGCCCCTGGGATATCCGAATCATAGTCAGAAGCCCATGTTTTTACAGATGAGGAAACTGAGACCCAGTTTTAGAGTGTTAGGTTCAAAGCAAAATTGAGCAGAAGGTACAGGTTTCCCATATACCTCCTGTCCCCGCCTATGCACAGACTCCCCCATTGTCAGCATCCCCCACTGCAGTGGTACATTTGTTCCAACTGATGAACCGACACTGGCACATCATTATGACCCAAAGTTCACAGTTTGCCCTGGGGTTTGCTCCTGTTGTACATTCTATGGCTTTGGACAAATGTAAAATGACATAAATCTGCCATTATAGTATCAAACAGCATAGTTTCACTACCGTAAAAATCTTCTGTGCATCCCACCCTCCCTACAACACATGGTAATCACTGATCTTTCTACTGTCTCAATAGTTTTACCTTTTCCAGAATGTCTTATGATTGGAATCATGTAGTACGTAGCTTTCTCAGATTGGTGTCTTTCGCTCGGTAATATACACTGACATTTCCCCTCCTGGCTTTTTAATGAGCATCATAAAAACAGAATAGTTATTTGGCAGTGACGGCATCATAAGCTTGTGGTGAAAATGCCTTTTTTGTTAATAACTCCCCTGATGTGTGTGCATCTTACAAAGCATTGTCCTCACATCCTCAGTACCTGGAAGGGTACCGGGCACAGGGCAGATGCTTAATAATTTTTACTGGGTAAATGAAATTTCATGTAATTATAGCAATGAGAGGGTCAGCAACACTACGAGGTTGTTTTAGAACAGTGGTCCTCAAACTTTTGCAGTGCATATATCAGTAAATGAAAACCTAGTTTAATTGGGAGGCCTGCAATAGAATTGCTCATTTTTAATTTTATCCAATAAGGCTATTTTAAAACAAATCCCACCCCCCTCCCTATCATCAAGGAGGCTATTGGAAGTCTGTTGGTGATTGTGTGTGTGCATTCCCTGCAAAATGTTTCTGTATAACCCCAAGGCAGCACAGTGGGACAGCTGAATGTATTTGAAGTCCCTTCCTTTGTGTGACCTTTCGTCTTCTAAACAGCTCTGGACTGCTTAATTTTCCTCTTCCACCTACCACATTAGCTGCTGACTTTCCTTGAATGTGATTACTACCCTCGGTCCTCCCCTTCCTTTTCCTGATCATGAGTCTCTTCTCTTGAACTAGATTTCCCTGGTCTCAAATTAGGAAACTTTGCCCTTGCCCCGGGAGCCTTTGCATCGTGGTTTCATGGGGTCCTGGCGACAACCTTTCCAGGGAAATAGGATGGATGGTGTTACCTCCGTTTTAGAGAGAAGGAAATTGAGAGACTGAAGTGGAGGAATTTACCCAGGAGGCTCATGCTCAGGTATCCTGCCATCAGATGGTTGCTCTTTCCAGAGCATCTGTGTACCGCATGCCTCATAGTACCAGGTGCATCTGCATGCCGATGCCTCTGTGTACCACGTGCCTCTGTGTACCAGTGCCTCTGCATACCGCAGTGCCCCTGTGTACCAGTAAATCTGTGTATCAGTGCCTCTGCATACCAGTGCATCTGTGTACTGTGTGCCTCTGCGTACTGGTGCCTCTGTGTACCGCATGTCTCTGTGTACCACGTGCCTCTGTGTACCAGTGCATCTGTGTACCGCGTACTTCTGGTCATAGCTGAGAAGTCCTGGGCTGGACTCTAAGCTGGGTTTTTCTCGCTCTGTGGCCTTGGGTCTCGTCTTCTCCAAGATCATTTCTTCATCTATAAAGATGTAAATGATAATATCTACCCTACAGATTATGGGTGTTGTTAAATGAAATGAATATATTAAATGTAATGATAAACTTTTAACATCATTCATTTAGAAAACATTTTACTATTTAGCAGAGACTTTTCTACCCTGTCTCACTGGATCTTTACAACACTGGGGGAGTTTATGAAACAGATTCTCCCCATTTGGCAGATGAGGAACTAAGGCAGGGGAGGTTGTTGCTTGCAGTCACCCAGCTGCTAGGAGCAGAGCTAGGTTGGAATCCTGTCTCTGGACTTTGGGTCCTGTGTGTGTTCTCCCACACCTCAGGGCTAATCCCAGTGTCCCATACAGTGAAATCGGGTTGTGTACAATTTAAAGCATTTTCAGATATCATCCATCAAAACAAACATGAACTCTCTTCTGGCTAAAAATGTGTCTGCAGATGCAGAAAGTATGGGAGGGCTTGTGATCTATGCCCATCTTCCCAGCTTTTCTCCCTAACCCTCCAGGGAGTTCACAAATGGCATGTTGCTTATTTCTTGGTGCGGACTTTTGGTTGTTAGGCCACTGGGTTCTGAAAATTTACTAATTATTTTAGGGGGAGCGTGACTTTCCCCAGGCAGCTTTTTAAATGCTCTCTCTGCCATATCAAACTAGAAATGTGTCATCTACCTCCGTTGACACTCTGAGCCTGAGCCAAATATTTTACCAAAGGTTACAAGGAAGATGATTGTTCCAGCAAGGACTTCCCCACCGGATATTTTTACCTCTGATTTTAGTCTTCCCATTCAGGTGTGTACTGTTCTGGTAAAGGGCTCAGATTTCCATCCTGCTGATTTGGAGGAGGCTGCCAACGGCTAATCTATTTGGGGTTGGAATTGCATTTTGTAAGGAGGTAGAAATGGTTTCCTCTTTTTCCCTACACTCATTTCATTTCCGATGGTAGAGAAGGCAGACATTATCCTGCAAAACTGCCTTCAGCGATCCCCAATCCGGCTCTTCTTTTTTTAAAAAGTAGCTTTGTTTTGGCTTTTATTTCTTCCTGTGTCACGGAAAATGTAATTCCTGGGTAGTGCACAGTGGAAATTTTTGTGGCATCCTGCAGCAGACTTCACATGCCTGCTGTCCCAAGTGCAGCTGGTGCTGCGTGGGAACCAGGATCCGAAGGCCACACTCTGTTGAGGAGATCAGGGGCGTGGAGAGCATCTACATCCATGGATGAGAACTCCAGAAGCCAGGAATAACAAGTGGGATTAGCATGAGTAATGGAACAGAAGGGAACAAGGTGATGAGCGAGGTGTAACGGAAAAGGCTTGGTGAGGCATACCTGAGAATGGGTGGTCTGTTCCAGCCCCTGGCTTGCAGATCACTCCCAACTACTTTGTAGGAAGCCAGAGGGCCCTGGTAAATCTCATCTTGTGCCGGATGGAGTGTGAGAGCTGCTGGCAGGTATTAGCTGGGGGAGAAATTGCCAACGTGCAGGATTCAGGGTGGCAGATTTTTTAAATTATGCTTCTGTGCTTCTGAACTGCCTCTAGTTCATAGCCTGTTTTCTGGAGCCTGGACTTCTGCCAGAGTGTCACCTCTTACCGGCAGCCCCAACACCTCTCCCTTGTTGAACATCCTGTGGCAGCTTCCCCCAGAACCGGGAAGGTGACGCTAGGAGGCCAGAATGGAATCTGATCCACTGATTAGCTGTGTAAGCTGGGGCAGAACACTTCACTTCTCCATGTCTCAGCTTCCTCACCTGTGAAATGGGAATAGTACACCCTCCCTGGCTGGCTGCGAGGATTAGGAGAGAAGACATGAAGGGCGGAGCCTGTGTGTCTTGTGGCAGGCACATAAGAAATGCTCATTACATGGTAGTAGCTGTTGATTTTTATTGTGGAATTCACCCTTTAAAAAAAAAGCTTTCCAGGTGTAGGGCTGTATTTTGGAGGTCAAATTAGTATTGTAGGAAAATTTTGATATGAGAGGGGAATGAGCTGCCTATTCGAGATGACTGGATGGGAATAGAGTGCAAACAATACTTCAACATCATCGCAATAGCGTTCATTTCATTAATCTTGGTATAAAAAAGAATGCAGTGAACACAGTGAGTGCAATGATGCCCTGAAAGGGTCCCTCTAGCCCTCCCACAGGAGGTATTCTGGTGCTTTGTTTATCTAGCAAGCAAGGACCTCCCCTACTATACATCAGGCACATGCAGGTCTCTGGAGCTCCAGCAGAGACTAGATAGTCTGTAGTCTCAGGCATTTGCCGCCTGGCAGTCAAGACAAACGTATCACTGGGCAGTTTCAGCGTGGGCTGTGTGACAGTAGGGATTGTATTGAGGGGGACAGGGGAGGGAGGTGCTGCAGAAGTTGCAGAGCCAACACCGTCTGATTGATCCAAACAGCTAGGAGAAGGCATTTGACATCCTGTGTGCATTTGCAGATTGCCAACATACATTCTATTTTAATGAGCAGAAACTTGGGCGCCTCTGGAAAAACATGCAGCTGGGCAAGCAGAGGCACATAGTGGATCGAGATCAAGCTGCTTAAGTTGGTCTCATAGCACGGAGGGAAGGGGACTGTGTTTACTGGGTGCCTTCCTATGTGGCAGGAACCTTCTGTACTTCCTTCCACTTTATCCTCACAGCAGCCTGGGGAGGTGGCTGCCAGAATCCTTGTTTTATAAATAATTAACAGGCCTGAGCCTCAGTCTCCTGCCAGTGCCCAGGGTCAGAAGCTGTAACTCCGTAAAATCGTCCTGAACCTAAGGAATAGAGACAGCATTGAGAAGCTCTTCACCGCATCCTCAATGCCTCGCCATTGCCTGACTCACAGGCGGCAGGTGGGGGCTTGTTCTGCCTCTGTGGTGTGGAGTAAGAGGGAAAAAAAAAATGTCCTTAGGGGAAAATGAGTCTTTCTTGCTGGCATGCACAGGGCTGGAAGCTAGCAGGAAGTATGTGCTGCAGGCCAGTATCCTTCTCACCACCTTTCTCCCTTTGATCGTGTCTGTAGAGCTCCTGACATACTGGCTCTTGCCATGTTAGGTGTCTGATTTTCACTTAGATCAGGAGAAGACTTGAGCCTCTTAGTCATTTGAAGCAGGAAGACCCTGCACGAAGACTCTCAGCTGGCAGGGACATTTGTTTTATAATAGTTTGTTTTAGGACTGCTTTGAAATCCAAGGAGCTCTATAGACAGTTCCAAGTGGTGCATATTTTAGAATTAGGTAGAATCTGGTGGCATCATGGAAATAACCACACAGTCTGAGAATATTGGGTGGTCAGTACATGCTCCATCCTCCAGGAGGACCACTCTCTGTGGCACCCTGGACTACCTGCCCCCGCCCCCCGCCCAAGATGATTGGAGGTCAGATGCATGGTGAGAAGGTAGATCTCTGGAGCCTTGGTGTTCTTTGCTATGAATTTTTAGTTGGGAAGCCTCCTTTTGAGGCAAACGTACACCAAGAGACCTACAAAAGAATATCACGGGTTGGGCTGGGCATGGTGGCTCACGCCTGTAATCCCAGCACTTCGGGAGGCCGAGGCGGTCGTATCACCTGAGGTCAGGAGTTCAAGACCAGCCTGATCAACATGGTGAAACCCCGTCTCTACTAAAAATACAAAAATTAGCTGGGCGTGGTGGCGCATGCCTGTAATCCCAGCTACTCAGAAGGCTGAGACAGGAGAATCGCTTGAACCCGGGAGGCAGAGGTAGCAGTGAGCCAAGACCATGCCATTGCATTCCAGCCTGGGCAACAAGAGTGAAAGAAACTCCATCTCAAAAAAAAAAAAAAAAAAAACGAGTATCATGGGTTGAATTCACATTCCCTGACTGTAACAGAGGGACCCAGGACCTCATTTTAAGACTGTTGAAGCATAATCCCAGCCAGAGGCCAATGCTCAGAGAAGTACTTGAACACCCCTGGATCACAGCAAATTCATCAAAACCATTAAATTCCCAAAACAAAGAATCAACTAGCAAACAGTCTTAGGAATCGTGCAGGGGGAGAAATCCTTGAACCAGGGCTGCTGTATAACCTTTCAGGAACATGCTACTAAAATTTATTTTACCATTGACTGCTGCCCTCAATCTAGAGCGCTACAAGAAATATTTGTTTTACTGAGCACCTGGCAATGCCTGAACCTCCCTATTCAGAAAGCTCCACATCAATAAACATGACACTCTGAAGTGAAAGTAGCCACAAGAATTGTGCTACTTATACTGGTTCGTAATCTGGAGGCAAGGTTCCGCTGCAGCTGCCCCCTCAGCCTGGGCCAGGCATGGTTTCTTCCCAGGAGACAAATCCAGAGTGTGGCTGTGGGGAAAGTGACCACTTTGCCCTGACTCGATCGGTTAAGGAGCTGTGCAATAACCTTCCCAGTACCTGAGTGAGTGTGTCACTTATTGGGTTGGCCAAGCCTAGTAAAGCTGTTGGAATGAGGATGTGATTCTTTTTAAGTGTGAAAAAAAAAAAAAAGATTTCTGTACAGATTTGTATTTGTTCTCTGGTGGCATTCCCTTAGAAATGCTCTGTGTCTGTCCAGCACCCCGGTAGGCCTGGTTGGGTTTCTAGTCATCTTTAACCACTTATCTCCCATATGAGAGTGTATAAAATAGGAACACATGCTCTACCTCCATTTAGGGACTTGCAACCTCTGCATCCCAGGTTCAAGTGATTCTCCTGCCTCAGCCTCCTGAGTAGCTGGAATTATAGGTGCCCACCACCATGTCTGGCTAATTTTTTGTATTTTCAGTAGAGACACTGTTTCACCGTGTTGGCCAGGCTGGTCGTGAACTCCTGAACTCAGGTGATCCACCTGCCTCGGCCTCCCAAAGTGCTGGGATTACAGACAAGAGCCACCGCGAAGGGCTTATTTTTTAAAAAACACTGGAGTCATGGCATGTGTGTAAACTTTAAATATGCAAATAACTATGTCAAAAAAAAAAACAAAACGGAGCTGGATGTATCTTGAGGTCCAAACATCATAGGTCCATGATGGAGGCAGGAGTCCAATGGGACTTTTAAAACCATAAAACAGCTTAGCCACATCAGGGCCCTTCTCTTCACTTTGTAAGGGAGGAACCACAGCCTCTCCCAAGGTCACAGGGCACCAGGATGAGGATGAGGGCCCCTGGGTTCATGTAGGCTCTCTGCCACCATGGGGCAGGTGTGGCTCCTGCATGGGTGGTGAAGTTTTTTTTTAAAAAAACTTCTCAAAAAATAATTTTTCTCAGCCAAGTGTGGTGGCATGTACCTGTAGTCCCAGCTACTCGGGAGGCTGAGGCACAAAAATCACTTGAACCCCGGGAGGCGGAGGTTGCAGTGAGCCAAGATCGTGCCACTGCATTCCAGCCTGGGCTACAGAATAAGACTCCATCTCAAAAAAAAAAAAAAAAGTCCTCTTCCTTCAGCCGGATTACGATTTATAAATAATTTAGATGATTAGTGGATAATTTAGATAGTGCAGGCTTTCTTCAGATGTTGTCTTCTTAGCTAGGGGAAGGTTTGTTAACCACATTAGAAGGTTTCAGAAGATGAGGACATTGAAAATCAGATCTTCAGCCTGTTGAATTCTAACTCCTCATGAAGAAATGGAGACCCTGAGAAAGAAGTGACTTTGCCCAGGGTCACGTGGCTAGTCAGGGCCCAGGCAGAGCCAACACCCGGGCCTCTTAACTCTGGGGAGAGCAGGAGAGCACACCTTCCCAGGGCCCGTGGAGGGCTGGGGTGCATTTGGGGGTGGATGAGAGAGGTATCCTGGGGAAGATGTTAGCTTGGTGTCTAAAACCAAAGTAATTGGAGTAAAGTCTTCCATGACTTGGGAATTGGGGACTTTTCTAGTTATTGTGGTGAGGGCCTCCAGGGTCATATCTGTGACCTGGAAAAGGCTGAGTTGGCATCTTGTTTGGCGGTGTGACTTGGGGCGTTCACAGAACTAATTGCTGATACTTTCTTTCTTTTCCTGTGTCCCTGTAGTTATATCAACATGCCCCCTTTCCTGTTGCTGGAAGCCGTCTGTGTTTTCCTGTTTTCCAGAGGTAAGATGTGTTTATTGGTGGTGGGGAAGTACTGGCGTGTTGAGTAGGGGGGTTGCTTGCTTCAAATCCTGTTGATTTTCAATTCTAAAGGTCTCTTGAATCCACCTGCATCTCCCCTCCATGGCCACCTCCCTAGTCCAAGCCATGTCATCTTGTGCTTGGACCACTGCAGTAGCCTCCTGCCTGGCCTCCCTGGGTCCCCCGGTCCTCCTCCAACCCATTCTCCATGCAGTGGCTATTTCTTTTTTTATTTTTAAGTTCCAGGGTACATGTGCACGATGTGCAGGTTCGTTACATAGGTAAATGTGTGCCATGGTGTGTGCCATGATGGTTTGCTGCACCTATCAACCCATCACTTAGGTATTGAGCCCAGCAGGCATTAGCTATTTATCCTGATGCTCTCCCTCCCCACCCCACCACTCGACAGGCCCCAGTGTGTGTTGTTTCCATCCCCATGTCCATATGTTCTCATTGTTCAGCTCCCACTTATTTTATTTATTTATTTATTTGAGATGGAATCTCTCTCTGTCACCCAGACTGGAGTGCAATGGCGCAATCTCTGCTCACTGTAACTTCCACCTCCCGGTTCAAGTGATTCTCCAGCCTCAGCCTCTTGAGTAGCTGAGATGAGAGGCACGCACCACCACACCCGGCTAATTTTTGTATTTTTAGTAGAGAAGGGGTTTCACCATATTGGTCAGGCTGGTCTTGAACTCCTGACCTCAGGTGATCTGACCGTCTTGGCCTCCCAAAGTGCTAGGATTACAGGCATGAGCCACTGCGCCTGGCCCTCAGCTCCCACTTGTAAGTGAGAATATGCGGTGTTTGGTTTTCTGTTCCGGCATTAGTTTGCTGAGGAGAATGGCTTCTAGCTCCACCCATGTCCCTGCAAAGGACGTGATCTTGTTCCTTTTTATGGCTGCATGGTATTCCATGGTGTATATGTACCACATGTTCTCTATCCAGTCTATCATTGATCAGCATTTGGGTTGACTCCATGTCTTTACAGCGGCCATTTCAAAATGCAAATTGGATCATGTCTGGACCCCTCTTCACCCCCAGCTAAAACTTTTCAGTGACTTTCTGTGGCTCTTAAGAGGCTTTTCTCATCTTACCCCGTGGCCATCCTGAGTCCCCTCTACGCCCTCTGCACCACAGCCCACTCTCCTTCCAGTCCTGCCCTGCATCCTTGCTCCCCGCCACCAAAAACATTCTGAATTATGTTGCCCCTGTGCTTGGATCACCCCCTCATCCCAACACTGCCACCCTGGCAAACTCCTCCCCATCCTTAGGCCCCAGCACAATTCCCCTGGGACCTCCAGATCAAGTCACATCCCCCTCTTCAAACCCCTTGTAGACCTTGCTCTGTAGCACTTAACACAGATATGAGTTTTGTGTGCATTTTAAAAAATGACATCTTTTCCATAAGATGTAAGGTCCTCAAGGAAAGAGACTGTACATTCTTTAACATTCTTTATTCACCACTATATTATTTCAGGGCGGGCATGGCTCACGGTTTATGCTTCAGAAATAGATTAATGAATAAATAATGGAGCAAATCCACTTTCTTTTTACTTCCCACTTTTTCCCTTTCAAGTTCTAGTCTCTTTGAAATATGAGAAGGTAGGAAGGAATTGATGTGTCTGCAGATTGTTGTCTTACAAGTAAGAACAGGTGGACTGGGCGGCCAAGCTGTCACAGCCTCGTGAGGCTCGGGGTCCCCTTCTGTAAAGCCAAGGGGTTGCACAGTGGCCTCTGGGATTATTTCTTGCAGTTCCTCCCTGGTCTGTGTTTCCATGAGTAGGTATTTGTTCTCTGCTGAATTGGCTACTGTTAATACCTGCCTGTTTCCTGGAACCTAGCGAGGATCAGAAATGCTGGTGGAAGTTGAGGGCTGGTGGCTCCAGCCTGGCTGCCCAGCCCAACTGTTTCCCTCTGTCTCTGAGCCAGGTGGGGTGGATGGAAAGTATAACACAGCAGCTTCATGGCCAAGGGGTTGGGGAGTGGTGAGATGTGTTTGGGGCCAGGGCCTGAAAGAAGTCTCTGGAGTCCTGGGCACAGTCCAGGTTCTGTTCCAGCTTGTCATGGACCTTTGCCTTCTGTGGCCCTGTCCAGCCTCCAGATTGCAATCACATGCACTTGTTCTGATCATCCTTGGGTTATACAGATGAGGCAGGGGAGGCCCAGAGAGGCCCTGTGACATGCCCAAGGTCACACAGCTATGTAGCAGACATGGGACTAACACCCAGTTCTCCCTACTCCTGGGCTGGCTGTACCGCTCAGCTTCTCTGGAAAGATAAGAATGTACAAAAGTTCTCTCTAAGACTTGGCTGTCACATCTGTAAAGTGAAAGAATTTGACTAGATTAGTGATTCTCAACTCTGCCTGCGCAATAGCGTCACCCATCCTGCAGACTGAAGTTCCGGAGCCCAGGCAGCTGGTCTTTAGAGGGGGCTGCCGACTTGGTTGGAAAAAGCAACAGCAATCACACATGAAGCAGCTGCCTGTTCAGGGGGAGCCTCTGCAGTCCTGAAGACATTTCACAGGGAGCATTGGGGATGTCACCCAGGCTCAAGGTGGGCTCATCTGAAGCCTGGCACCTGCCATGACAGCTGAGCACAGGGCACAGAGGCACAGTTAGTTAGCTGAGTGACATCTTTAGTGAGTGGTCTGTGCTCACAGAGCTCCCTTGCCTTCTCATCCTGGGGAGATGGCTGGCCTGCCTTCAGCTGGAGAGTTTGCTGGTAAGATATTTTAAAAGAAACTGTATTTTTCTGTTCTTTTTGGGGTCTTTAGGATTCCTCGGCTACTGGGCCCTTTGTCAGGAGAATAATTCATGGACTCAGCTCAGGAAACCTTAGTGCCTATGTGTTTACGCAGAGGGCTGGGCGAGGCTCTGTGGAGGACTGGGTGGAAATGCTTCTGTCCTCAGGGAGCTTCCAGGCAGGAAGGTGAGGGGCTCGTGGGAACAGAACCGCATTATGGGGTGGGCCGCAGTGGGCCCAGGAGTTGGCATGGTCGTGATCTCTGAATGCAGTGAGCAGAAAACCTGTAATTTTTTTTTTTTTTTTTTTTTGAGATTCAGTCTCCCTCTCGCCCAGGCTGGAGTGCAGTGGTGCACTCTTGGCTCACTGCAACCTCCGCCTCCCGGGTTCAAGTGATTCAACTGCCTCAGCCTCGAAAGTAGCCTCGAAACACACCCAGCTAATTTTTGTGTTTTTAGTAGAGATGGGGTTTCACCCTGTTGGCCAGGCTGTTCTTGAACCCCTGACCTCAGGTGATCCACCGCCTCAGTCTCCCAAAGTGCTGGGATTACAGGCGTGAGCCACCCCGCTGGCCTGTTTTTCTTTTTAATGCTGCCCCTGCCTCTGTCCCAATAAATGCCATTTTTTAAATGCAAGTAGATTTTTCTTTAATTTTGTCTACTGTCTTTCTTTCTAGTCTAAGTCTTGTTTCTGTCTCTGGTGGCAAAACAGCAGCGGCAGACTGTGCCAGACCTAATGAGAGAGATTTGTCTGGCAGCTTTTGGCTGTGGAGCTGACTGCTGGCACATTGACTTAGAATCTCCATGAGTAGAGATTGAGGGGAGGAGGGAGTATTAGGTGAGCAGGAGCTGTCTGCTCAAAGATATGGTATGGGGAGAGACTAGTTTAGTTTGCATGGGGGACTAGTGAACGGGAAGGAGCCGGGAAAGACAGAGCTGGAACCAGCCGAGGCAGTGCTGAGTTAGTAGGTTGACCAATAACGTGGGTCATTGGTGTCACTCCCCCAGACTGAAACCCTCTTTTGGCGTCTCTCTTGTCATCACTTTCCTGGCAGTTGCAAACCTTGAGACCAGGTGCCCTGTACTGTGTGATTCCTCCTGGCCTCCCTGCTGAATCTCCTTCACCTCTCTCCACAGCAGCCCCCATGCTCATCTGCCATTCAGGTTCAAACAGTTCTCCTGCCTCAGCCTCCCAAGTAGCTGGAACTATAGGCGCCCGCCAGCACACCCGGCTAATTTTTGTATTTTTAGTAGAGATGGGGTTTCACCATGTTGGCCAGGCTGGTCTTGAACTCCTGACCTCAGGTGATCGGCCCACCTCGGTCTCCCAAAGTGCTGGGATTACAGGCATGAGCCACTGCACCCGGCCTGCTTGTGTTCCTTCATCTGCCCCACTTCCGTGACCTGGCCGCTCCTGGGCTCTGCCCCTCTAGCTTTGTTTCCTCTGTGCTGTCACTGCACATTGACATTTACAAAGCATCTGAGTGTACCTCTCTTCTGCTGCTAGACACCTACCAGGTGCAGTTGCAGAGAGGATGTTGGCTTTTCCAAATGTCCCTTCTGGGGATCCCTTATTGTCTTCCATCATGGTTGGTTCACTGTTCAGCAATCCTGTGGCCTCCTCAGTGTCTTATCCCCACCCTCCAATTTCATTTCCCCTCCCCTCTCTCCTCTCCCCTCTCCCCCCTCCCCGTCCCCCCTCCCCGTCTCTCCCTCCCCCGTCCCCGTCTCCCCCCTCCTCTCCCCCACTCCCCCCTCCTCTCCCCACTCCCCCCAGTTATTACACCTGACCTGACACCTCACCCCCCTCCCCGCTTATTACACCTGACCAGGGACAAAAGTTTTCAGAATCACAGACTCTCTAGAACCCCACTGTGTGTTAGTTTTATTCTTTGTCTTCAAACTACCCACATTTAAATACAAAGATACCTCATAGAAGTGAGGTAATTGGGGGGTTTCTTTATGTTATCCGTCTGGTAATTTTTGAGATGCAAGAATCATCACTCCCCCACATTCTAGGTTTCTCTGATGTTACCTGTTTAGTCAAGTCACTTAATGTGGAGATTGAGCCTCCTCCCCTCTCAGCATTTTAATGGCTGCTTCTGGTGTTTTCTCTCCTAGTGCCCCCATCTCTCCCTCTCCAGGAAGTCCATGTAAGCAAAGAAACCATCGGGAAGATTTCAGCTGCCAGCAAAAGTAAGCCCAGGTTCTTCTTAACCCTCCAGATGCCCACTCAGACCTCTGTGTGATGGACTGGATGAGAACCATGTTCTTCCAGAGAGTTTCTGCCCCTTTCCCATCTTCCTTTCATGCTCTGGCCAGAGTCATTTTCCCCAAACAGGGACCTGACCAAATCACTTGGTTTAAAAACAAACAAAAGTGGGTGCCTGTAATTCCAGCTACTCGGGAGGCTGAGGCAGGAGAATTGCTTGAACCCAGGAGGTGGAGGTTGCAGTGAGCTGAGATTGCGCCATTGCACTCCAGCCTGGGCAACAAGAGGTACACTCCATCTCAAAAACAAGCAAAACAGCTCAGTAAACCTTTTTTTGTTTTGTTTTAAAGACAGGGTCTTGCTCCTGTCGCCCAGGCTGGAGTGCGATGGCATAATCTCAGTTCACTGCAGCCTCAACCTCCTGGGCTCAAGCAATCCTCCTGCCTCAGCCTCCCAAATAGCTGGGACCATAGGCATGCATCACCACGCCTAGCTAGTTTTTGTGTTTTTAGTAGAGATGGGGTTTCGCCATGTTACCCAGGCTGATCTCGAACTCCTGAACTCAAGCAATCCGCCCGCGTTGGTCTCCCAAAGTGCTGAGATTCCAGGTGTGAGCCACCATGCCCAGCCTCAGTAAATCTTTATTATTGAATTACTTGGCCTGTGCCTCAAGGTTTTCTGTTACCTGCTCACCAGGTAACGGGGTGGCTACTTGCCATGTCCATCTCCCACCATATTCCTTCCTCTTCCACCCTCATCAGTATCCCTCCACATTGCTGCTGTTACTGCTACTGAACTCTTGGGTAACATGGCCTCACATATCAGGGTGCCTGTGTCCACACTAGACTGTGGTCCCCCGAGGCCTGGGACCAAGCCTTTTCAGTGCTGCTCACTAGCCCAGTAGACCCCCTCATAGAACGTAATTGATATTGTTGAACTAGGTTCTTCCATTATTGTAATACAAAGGCTTTCACGTAAGGGCACATTTGTGAGCAGCACACCTGTGGTGCGTGTGCTTCCTGCTTCAGAGGAGGGCTGCTTCTGCAGTTCTCCCCTTTCATGCTAAGAGGGACAGCAGCCTGGCCCACCACAAGGCTGTTTGTGCCTTCACTCTGCTTCAGAAGTGAGACCGACTTGCTCCTGGTTGTCATCTGTCTGTCCCGCTCTCCCTAGTGATGTGGTGCTCGGCTGCAGTGGACATCATGTTTCTGTTAGATGGGTCTAACAGCGTCGGGAAAGGGAGCTTTGAAAGGTCCAAGCACTTTGCCATCACAGTCTGTGACGGTCTGGACATCAGCCCCGAGAGGGTGAGTGCAAGTCTTGTGGGTGTTTGTGTTAGGGCGTCTTCTGTGATAAGGGACAGAAACCCGGTCTCAAGCAGAGGAGGCATCTACTCGCTTGTGGAGCTGGGAAGACCAAGGGGCTGAATCCTGGTTCCTGGCATGGTGGGATCCAAGGGCTGAGTTGAGGCTATAAGGCATCTTTTTCTTTTTTTTTTTTTCCCTTCTCTCAATTTTGTTTTCTTTTGGTTGACTTCCTTCTCAGGCAGGTTTTCCTGACACAGCCAAGTTGTCCTGCATTGTTCCTCAAGCTAGTGACCCTATTAGAAATTAAGGGGACTTCTTTCTCTAGATCTGGCCAAAGTCCCAGGAGGGTTCTGATTGGGCAGGCCTAGGTCACATGATAATCCACTGACCAATCACAGTAGTCAGAGGGAAGAGAGTTTCTGGCCGGACCTCAGTTAAGAGCTCTGCCATGTTTTTGGGGTAGGGAGTAGATTTGACTTTCCTCTGGAAAGAGAGGTTGGGTTGTGTTTGCAGAACAATGGGAAAGGGAAAGCATGCTAAGCAGACTAAAGCTGTTACTACCTCAGTGGACTGAATAGCACAGCTCCTACCCTCTCTTGCACTTGAGAGGAACTATTCCTGCTTGAGTGAATCCAGCCAGTATCTTCATTTCTTGTTCTTCAAATAGTAGGTCTTAAATATAGCAGAGTGTGGTAGCTGTGGCTCTTATTTCTAAAAGGGGCATTTTTTTTTTTAACAATCCAATAGAAAAATGGGCAAGGAACACAGATAGTTCCCAGAAAATGAAACACGCAAGGCCTTCAGGCATATGAAAAGAAGCCCAACCTCACTCACTCAGAGTCAGCAAACCCTATGCCTAATATACAGTTTTTCACTTACTGGGTTAGCAAAAAAAATCCTAAATTTGGTGACATGCTTCATTGGCAAATCTTGAAAAAAACTGGTGTTGTCATACACTGCTGGTGGAGTGTGAAATGGTGCAGCCTCTAGGGGAGAATCCAATAGTATTCATCCCAGTTACAAAGGCTTGGACCCTTTAACCCAGCAATTCTACATCAAGGAATTTATTCTACAGTACACATGCCCATGCAAAATCGTACCCATACAGAGTTATTCATTGCAGCATTATGTGTATAAACTGTAAAATATTTCAGGCAATCCAGATGTACGCTGAGGGAGGACAGATAAATCCCTTATGATGCATTCGTATATTGAAACGCTAGGCAGCTCCAGAAAGTGAGTGAGGAAGCTCTCTGATATGGAAAAACACCAGAACAAGTGAAGTGTCAAAGTAAGGTGCAAATGGTGTGTATAATATGTTACTTTCTATGTAAAAGATAAAGGGGGATGAATGAAAATCTGTCTTTGTTTTCTTGTATCGGTATACAGTTTTCTTATATCTGTATACACTCTGGATGGATTTGTAAGAGGCTGAGGACAGTGGTTTTCATTAAGGGGGAGGTTGGGAAGTGAGTTGACAGGGCACAAGGCCAGAGGCAGACTCATCAATACAGACTTAAATATTTTCTGGATTTTGAATCACGTGAACCTACTCAAAAGTCAACTTAAAAATTAAGAGAGGCTGTGCGCGGTGGGTCACGCCTGTAATCCCAGTACTTAGGGAGGCCAAGGCGGGTGGATCACGAGGTCAGGAGATTGAGACCGTCCTGGCTAACATGATGAAACCTTGTCTCTACTAAAAATACAAAAAATTAGCCGGGCATGGTGGCACGTGCCTGTAGTCCCAGCTACTCGGAAGGCTGAGGCAGGAAAATCGCTTGAACCCAGGAGGCAGAGGTTGCAGTGAGCTGAGATGGTGCCACTGCACTCCAGCCTGGGCGACAGAGTGAAACACCGTCTCAAAAAAAAAAAAAAAAAAAAAAATTAAGAGATGATGTAGCCTGGAAAAGCTGTCATTACTTGGATGAGAGACTGGTTGCATACAGGTTGAGGAAGGAAGTGGTTTTCCAAGATAACATTCCTAGATTAATCCTAGTTAAAACCTCTAGGATTTAGAAACATACATGGCTTTTAATGAGGGCCAGATTTTCTGCAGAATGGTGTGTCATTTGGGGAGCTGGAGCACACTTCCTGGACCTTAGACCACCTTGCACCTGAGGACACCATAGCAGGCATCATTTAATCTAGGCACAAGCAGCCCAGAAGATTTCTAACCATGATGTTAACCCAGCATAGACCCTAAAAGGGCCAGGCAAGAAGCGCCAGTTCCCCACCATCCTCTGCACAGGACCCTGCTTTTAAAAGGGTTCCTTATCAGGTGTCATTAGTTACTCATGGAGGAATAACATAAAGAGAAGAAGCATGAAGATTAAACACTGTTGACCTTGGCATTGATGTAGTGTGTCCTGAAATGAGTAGCCTGGAGACCCTGGGGTTGGCTAGTTGGGAATGAAGGGTCCTATGGATTATTAATGCATGTTTCACAGATGAGGGAACAGGCTCAGAGAGGCTAAGTGACTGCCGAGGGTCACACAGCAACCTCAGGAGAGAGTTAAGTGTGGAAGAACTGGGGCTTTTGACTCAGCCCAGGACTTGCTCCATTAGGCCATTTGTCTTGACCCTCAGAATTCACACCCTGCTATCACACAGCAAATGGCCAGCAGTGTGGCAGTGTATGTGCGTGTGAGGAGGGAGTGGTGTAAGAAAACCGTGACAAGAAATTTCCTGGCTGATGCTATTGGGAGCAGATCCCAGAGTTCAGGGAATTTAACCTGAGCATTGCTGGACCACATCTAGAAAGTGTCATTGAGTTCTAGGGGCTGACTTCTTGGTTAGACTTGGGCCAAACAGTCAGTGCCCATGAGAAGGAGCCAGGACAGCCAGAGGCCTGGAAACCTCTATGAATGAGGGAACACGATTATCATTTTCATGTGAAAGAGAGCAGACAATGGCTCTGTTTTTTAAGGGTAGAATCTGGGTGTTCAGGGAGTTAGATTTGGGCTTAACCTGAGGAAAGCTTTCTTGCAGCAAGACTTGGGAAGCAGAGGAATTGTTTACTTGGGTAAGTGAATTAGTGTCTTGACCTCCAAGGTCAGGTGGACCCCTTGGCATGCTGCAGAAGGGTTTGCATGAGGGCAATTTAAGATGGTTTATTCTGACTTGTGGCTTCAGGCTTTATGTTTTTGCTGCTGCATTTTTTTGTATTCTCTTTTTGTTGTCTCCATGTACAAGGCATTTCATTCGTGCCATGTTTTACTTTTTTTAACTTTAGTTTTCAAGAAGAAATGTCAAGTAGCTGTAAATTAAGACTTTTATGGATGCTCTGTTGTTAAGGTGGATTTAAGGTGTTTGAAGTCTTCCTCTTAACACTTAAAAGCTGAGAGGTTCACTTCCTGGCTCTAATGTAGTGACTGGGGCAGAGTGATTATGGCTGGTAAGATAGCTGGGCGGGCCTGTTTCTGAGCGTACAGTAAACTGAAGATAAAAGGCAACTATTTTGTTCCCAAACCACCAATTAAACAAAATGCTTTAACTACTGACTTAAGCTGCTTCCTTCTTGTTTTGAAGTTCTGTTTCTTCCTGTTTAACTCAAGTAAATACACCCAGCTGTTGGTCTCAGGGGAGGTTATTTTTTCAACTAAGTAATTCATTCACATGGGTTCAATAAAAAGATGTACAGTGAAAAGTCTCCCTTTCACCCACACATTTTCCATTTGCCCTGTCCCTCAACTTGTGTTCTTGAGTCCCTTCCGGAATCACTTTGTGCAAATACAGGCAATATGAATAAATATTCTTCTTTCTCTCTTATTACACAAAGCGTAGCCTACCGTACACATTATTCTCTCATGCCTTTTTCCTCCTCACATTTTCATGGAAATCTTTGCGTATCTGTATACAGGTATAATTTTTTTACAGGTCATTAAAATGTTTCATCATAAGGATTTCTCCAGGTCTAATTAACCCCTATTGATGGATATTTGCTGTTACAAATAAACTGTGATCTCGTAAATAACATCATTTCACACATACGAGTAGGATACATTTCCAGTAGCCCTATGCATTTGTTTAAATTTTATTATTTTTAATTTTCAATAAATATTAAAAAATTGCCTTCCATGGATGTTGTACCAATTTACATTTCTACAAGCAATGTTTGAGAATGCTTGTTTCACCCCGAAAACATTGTATATGTTTTTTTGCTAAATGGATGGGGAAAAATGCTATTTCATTATGGTGAGGCCAGGTGTCTTTCCATCAAAGAGTTACTTGTATTTCCTGTTCTGTGATCTCTGTTCAAATCCTTTGCCCATTTTCTGTTGGATTGTTGGTCTTTTATATGTTGATTCCCAGACACCTTTTTATATATTGAGGAGGCTAACCCTTTAACATGAATTGCACATAATTTTTCCATTTTGTCTTTATTTTTTTATGCCATTAAGGTATGTTTCGTCCCACAGAAGTTGTTTTTTTTTTTTCATGTGGTCACATTTATCAATCTTTCCTTTATGGCTTCTGGATTCTAAGTAATAGAAAGTAAGGTCTTTTTACACGTTGAAATTTTAGAAATTCTCCTGAGTTTTTCTAGAACTTTCATATTTAGATTTTTCACACTAAAATCTTGAATTCATTTGCAGTTTATCCTTTATTTTTGGTAGATTGCTCTCCAGTTGTCCCAATATCATTGACTGACTAGATCATCTTTTCTCCCTGGTTTGAGATGCCCCTTTTTAATCACACACTAAATTCAAGGAAAACCCAGGAAGCGCTCCTTCCCAGAAGCTTCTTCCTGAGATCACCTACTGGTCCGTCTTCCTGTGTCCGTCTCCCCAATGTGTCCACTGAAGACTGAGATTTCTTTCTGCTTAAGGTGCCCAACAGCTCCTCCCCAGAGCATCCTGCCTGCAAAAAGGAACCCCACCCAGCTGATCCGGAGCAGATGCAGCCCGCCTGGTGTGGCAGGGCGTTTCCATCATCTCCCACGTCCCACGCCTGTCGAGGGAACGGCAGCGAGGGAATTCAAGTGGGGAGCAGAGGGCAGCATCATTGCTTAAATATGACTCACTTGGCCCATTTGCACTCTTGGCCAGAACTAGGGTTAGTTTTGAGAATAGTTACAGAGAATGCTGTTTCTCCAGGGGTTTTGGAGAACCAATGATTAGGTGCAGGCCTTGGGCCCTCGGGAGGAAAGCTGAATGTTTGTAGTCTTCTCTGCTCAAGACACGCTAGTGCCTTAAGGATCCAGAGAGCAACTTTACTCAGTTTCCTTTCTCCAGTTTTGCAAGGTATTGGATCTCCTATGGCCTCCTCAGTTAGGACACAAAATCTATGTGGATTCACCAGTGTTCTCCTTAATTACAGAAGAACTTCAGCCCCCATACTAGTCGTTTCAGTTGTAGATGCTGATTGTCCCCCAAATCTGACTGTGGTCTAGAGACCTGGCCTTTCCTCTAGCTTGGCAGGGGCAGGTCTGGCGGGGCTGACCACCCAATGAAGGACCGGGTTGTGGGGTGGCTGTGGTTAGTGATGAGTTATCAGTGATGGTGGCTATGGTTAGCTTCTGCGGCAGCCCCAGTTGGGTCAGTAAGTGTTTCGCTGCTGGCTTGTGTGGGCTGCTGAGAAGGCAGGAGGTATAACTGGGCCTTAGGGAAGACCACAGGCACAAAGTCCAATGGCCTGGCTGCCTTTCTTACTAGTCCTGGGCAAGTAAGCATTTGCCTTGGGCCAGAGGTATATATTCTCCATATTGGGGTTTCTCCAACCATAATGTGGGTGTTAATAGTGCCTCTGTGGATTAAATGAGATAGTGCCTGAAACTGCTCAAGACAGCACTGGCAGCTAGGAGGCAGTTGGTAAAAGTGAGCAGAGACCCAGCCCTAAAGATGCACAAGCTCAGCTGAGAACACTGCCAGAATGTTCAGCTGCCTAGCAGTAGGTAAGTCAAGAAGATTGAATTGGGGGTCATCAGTGCAGAACACAAACAGATTTGGCTGTTTTTTTCCAGGTTCTCCAAATTGGTCTTTGGAACCTCCTTCTAGGGAGACTGGAGAAAGCTCTGGCACTGGTGTTTGTTGAGTGGATGGGAGGCAGGGTTGTTAACTTTTCTTGCCCCTTCTTTCCTCTTAGGAATGTTTTTGACTCCAGTCTCGGGGCCCTGAGCCCCCTGTCTCCTACTGCAGGTCAGAGTGGGAGCATTCCAGTTCAGTTCCACTCCTCATCTGGAATTCCCCTTGGATTCATTTTCAACCCAACAGGAAGTGAAGGCAAGAATCAAGAGGATGGTTTTCAAGTATGTATGATCAGATACTGCTGTGGTTAGGGTGACGCCAACTGCTCTTAAAATTGCTCCCTTGAAGGGTTTGGTCCTGCTCTGGGCTCACAGAGAGGACTGTGGGCTGCTTTCAGGAGTCCAGCTGGGCACAGTTGGTCACATGAATTCCATTCTCAAGGCTGCCCCTCCTTATTGCATGATAATGTCCCAGGTAGGAATTTAAATGCAAGTAAAAAAATTGCTGCTGTGATGTACAGTTGTCAGTTACCTGGGAGAAAGTGCTATTGAAGGTCACGAATGGGGTTAAGAGCCTGGAGGAATAGGAGGAACACTGAGTCTTAATCCCATTTCTGTCCCTTGTGACCACTGCAGCTTGGACAGTTCACCACACTTCTCTGAGCCTCATTTTTGTGGTCTAAAAAGAGTAAGTGCCCCCCTGTTATTAAGAGTGCTTTAAAAATTATGAATATCTGGTTATGTGCTTATACATATACACACCTTATGTGTTAGTCTGTTCTTGCATTGCTATAAAGAAATACCTGAGGCTGGGTAAATTATGAAGAAAACTTTTATTGGCTCATGGTTGCGCAGGCTGTACAGGAAGCATAATGCCAACATCTGCTCCTGGTAAGGGCCTCAGGAAGCTTCCAATCATGGCGGAAGGCAAAGGTGGGGGGGCAGGTGCATCACATGGCGAGAGCAGGAGCAAGAGAGAGGAGGAGGTGACACACATTTTAAAACAACCAGATCTTATGTGAACTCACTCATCGCCAATGGATGGTGCTACGCCATTCAGGAGGGATCCGCCCCCATGATCTAGACAACTTGTACTAGGCCCCACCTCCAACACTGGATTACAGTTCAACATGAGATTTGGAGGGGACAAACCTCCAAACAATATCGCCCTCTAAATATATATATAGTCATATGTTTACTTACATTATAAGTTAGCTGATGTGTACATCTGAATATGATATGTGTGTTTATGCTCATATGTTTTTATACACTTATATTTTGTGTATATTTTATATATTATATATACATATAATATATATGAATGTGATATGTAAATATATGCATATATACATATGCACATATTGACACATACATGTATATACATACACACATATATATAATGTTCTTCACAAGCCCTCATAGAATAATGACTTGATTTGCCCCTTGCCACTCTGGTCTGTGGATCCACTCTGGGCTCCTGCTGCCCCTTGTACTAGTGTCCACTGAAGTCCTCTGAAGTCCATGGTCACAGCCATTTATGGCTGTCTCCTCCCATTGCAAAGGCTCTGAGCTCTGAGGGCCTTTTTCCAGTTGCAAGCCTCTGTAGGTCTACCAGTGCTCTCAAGAAGCCTGAGGCCCCACAATGGGCACAGCAGGGACTCTGGGAGCCCTGCAGGCCTCAAGAATGTCCTAGTAACCCTCACTGACTTTTATCTTAGACTCTCTATCCCAGCCCTTTCCTCTGCCGTCGAACAGATCAAGCGGCAAGTCATCATGCAAGAAAGTACAAAAGGAAAGAGCTCATTAATATGTGTTTATAAAATACAGTAGTGCACATCGGCCTTTTCTTCTTCCCCTGGAGCCTTGTGCCCTTGGGGCCTCCGAGAATTGGCTTCTTACAGAGAACAGTCTCAGCCTTGCTCCGTATCTTTGACTAAGACACACAGTGCAGGGGCTTCCTCCCAGATTTGTGGAATCACTGTCTGCTCTTGGTATATTTAGGAATATGCGCTTTGTTTTTGAAGCACAGTCTCACTGTGTTGCCTAGGCTGGAGTGCAGTGGTGCTATATTGGCTCACTGCAACCTCCACCTCCCAGGCTCAAGCCATCCTCCCACCTCAGCCTCCCAAGTAGCTGGGACTGCAGGCATGTGCCACCACACTGGGCTAATTTTTCTATTTTTGTAGAGATGGGGTTTCCCCATGTTGCCCAGGCTGGTCTTGAACTGCTGAGCTCAAGCAATCCACCTGTCTTGCCCTCCCAAGGTGCTGGGATTACAGGTGTGAGCCACTGTGCCCAGCCAGGAATCTCCCCCATTTTTTTTTTTTTTTTTTTTTTTTGTGAGACGAAGTCTCACTCTGTTGCCCAGGCTGGAGTGCAGTGGCACGATCTCTGCTCACTGCAAGCTCTGCCTCCTGGGTTCACACCATCCTCCTGCCTCAGCCTCCCGAGTAGCTGGGACTACAGGAGCCCGCCACCACGCCTGGCTAATTTTTTGTATTTTTTAGTCGAGATGGGGTTTCACTGTGTTAGCCAGGATGGTCTTGATCTCCTGACCTTGTGATCTGCCCGCCTTGGCTTCCCAGAGTGCTGGGATTACAGGTGTGAGCCACCGTGCCTGGCCGAATCTGCACTTTTAAAAGGCGTCTCCCCACCCTCCCCTGTGACTGTTACACACGCTAACTTTTTAAAAACAGCTTTATGGAGATATATTTTATATGCCATAAAGTTAACACATTTAATGTGTACAATTCAATAGTTTTGAATATATTTACAGAGTTAAGCAACTTTTACCCTATTCTAATTTTTGAACATTTTTATCACCTCACAAAGAAACCTTGTAAGTAGACATTGTTCCAAAGAAGATAGACAAATGGCCAATAAGTACACAAAAAGATTGTCAACATCATTAACTATTAAGGAAATGCAGATCAGAACCTTAGTGAGCTACCATGTCATAGCCACTACGATGGCTCAGAGACTGACAAAAACAAGTGTTGGTAAAGCTGTGGATAAAGTACAGCCCTCATCCATTGCTTGTGGGATTTGTAAGTGGTGCCTGCCACATTGGAAAAAGGTTTGGCAGTTCCTCAAAATGTTAAACATAGATTTAGCATATGACCCAGCAATTCCACTTCAGGAGAGTTA
This sequence comes from Homo sapiens, assembly GCF_000001405.40. Taxonomy (NCBI): domain Eukaryota; kingdom Metazoa; phylum Chordata; class Mammalia; order Primates; family Hominidae; genus Homo; species Homo sapiens. Next base: position 114,264,161 of record NC_000010.11, read on the forward strand.
AAAACACGTGCACACGAAAATAGTTGTATGCTAATGTTCATACCAGTGCTGTTTATAGCAGCTCCAAAACAGAAACAACACAAAATATCCAACTAATGCATGTATAAACAAAATGTTGTATATCCAAACAATGGAATACTATTCAACTGTAAGAATGAACAAAATACTGATTCATGGTACAGCATGGAGGAATCTTGAAAACATTAGGCTAAGTGAAAGAAGCCAGGCATAGCAGGTCATATACTATATGATTCCACGTTTTCTTTTTTTTTTTTGAGATGGAGTCTTGCTCTGTTGCCCAGGCTGGAGTGCGGTGGTGCTATCTCGGCTCAATGCAAGCTCCACCTCCTAGGTTCACACCATTCTCCTGCCTCAGCCTCCCAAGTAGCTGGGACTGTGGGTGCCCGCCACCACGCCCGGCTAATTTTTTTTGTATTTTTAGTAGAGATGGGGTTTCACCGTTTTAGCCAGGATGGTCACTATCTCCTGACCTCGTGATCTGCCTGCCTTGGCCTCCCAAAGTGCTGGAATTACAGGCGTGAGCCACTGTGCTCGGCCAACTTTTTTTTCTTTTTTTGAGATGGAGTCTCATTCTGTCGCCCTGGCTGGAGTGCAATGGCACGATCTTGGCTCACTGTCACCTCCACCTCCCGGGTTCAAGCGATTCTCCTGCCTCAGCCTCCCGAGTAGCTAGGACTATAGGCGCTCGTCACCATGCCTGGCTAATTTTTGTATTTTTAGTAGAGACGGGGTTTTGCCATGTTGGCTAGGCTGGTCTCGAACTCCTGACCTCAGGTGATCCACCTGCCTTGGCCTCCCAAAGTGCTGGGATTAGAGGCATGAGTCACCATGCCTGGCCATGATTCTACTTTTTGTGAAGTGTCTAGAATAGGCAAATACATGAAGATAAAAAGTGGATTAGTCATTGCCAGGGGCTGACGGGAATGAGGAATGGCTGCTAATGGTACAGGGCTTCTTTTTGGGGTAAAGAATAGATTTTGGACTTAGATAGTGGTGATGGTTGCACAGCTTTGTGAATATACTAAATATCACTGAATTGTACACTTTAAAAGTGTGAATTTTATGTTATGTAAGTTATCAATAAGGTAGTTTAAAAAAAAAATTTACCCATTATATGCAGTATGCATTTTCGGAGGAAAAGGCTGTTGGTTTAAGTTTAGGGCTAAAAGTCAAAGACCATTTGAGTGACTTTGACTCAAAGAATTCACCTCTGCTCTTGTCTGAAAAACTAATCAAATCTCAAAGAATTGGTACAAAAAGGAGCAAGGAGCATTAGAGATCATCTGGTATGTTTTCCCTCCCTTATTTTACAGAGGAGGATATTGAGGCTAAGAAGAAACAGGGGCCCTGGCCAGGATCAGTGGGTTACACTGCCAATCCAATAGGCCCCACCCAGCTGTCCTTTCCCACCTCTCACCACGCTCCCTCTCCCACACCCCCTAGATGATTAGTTGAGCTGCTTTTCAGCTGTGTTGAGGTCATAACTAAGGGCTTGAGAGCATTATTTATGACATATGAAATGGAGAGACACACTAAGATTGAGGACATTGAGGGTGGAGAATGAAGACTTCTTATGTGTCTGAACAAGGTCTGCTCTTCTGGGGCTGTGTATGATTAGCACTTATGTTTCCTAGGACAACTGTAAGTGACAACAAACAAGGAAAGGAGGCACTGATTTTTGGCCCCAGTTGTGGGGTCACTGAGGACACTAAAAATGAAGACAGGCTGTTATGAATCAGAATGGAGGAACATGGGCCAAATGGGAGTGATGACCTCCCCGGAGCACTTTGTTCTTTTTCTACAGTGAAGTTTTCTTTTTAAATTTTCAACTTTTGGCCGGGCGCGGTGGCTCACGTCTGTAATCCCAGCACTTTGGGAGGCCGAGGTGGGCAGATCACGAGGTCGGGATATCGAGACCATCCTGGCTAAAACGGTGAAACCCCATCTCTACTAAAAATACAAAAAATTAGCCGGGCGTGGTGGCGGGCGCCTGTAGTCCCAGCTACTCGGGAGGCTGAGGCAGGAGAATGGCATGAACCCAGGAGGCAGAGCTTGCAGTGAGCCGAGATCGCGCCACTGCACTCCAGCCTGGGTGACAGAGCAAGACTCCGTCTCAAAGAAAAAAAAAAATTAAACTTTGTAGGTACGTAGTAGGTATATATATGTATGGGGTATGTGAGATGTTTTGATACAAGCATGCAATGAGTAATCATCATGTCAGGGAGAATGGGGTATCCATCCCCTCGAGTGACAGTGAAATGTTAGATGCTTGACTGATTAGGACAGCTCAACTCAAACCCAGGACACTTGCCTTTCCAGACCGAGGCAGTCCCCCAAAAGTATGTTTTGAGGTAGTGAAGAAACCACTCTGACAACCACCTTATTGCTACCTTGCAAGAAGTTTAAAAAACATTGCAGTCAAACCTTCCAACATTGCACCCCACGATGACATAAAATCAAGATAAGACCTGGCTGGTGATTGGTTCCTGAATGCACAGAGCTCCTGGCCTGCTGGCTGCCCGGGCTTGCTCATTTCATTAATCTCATAGTAACACAACCCTGTGTTTACTGTGACTGAATTTTTTGGACTCCCTCCATAGCTTTGTCTCCACTTTACCTTGGCAGAAAACGGTTGATAGCCTTCCCCGGCCCCTTTCAAACCACATTAACGTTTAAATATGGCTTTTGGGTTAGAATTACAAAGCATTTTGTCCTTTTTTTTCCCCCTTAATATTATTTGGTATGTGCTTTTACATAAAGCTGTATTATTTTTCATGTTGATTGTTTTTAATGATTATTTAATAATCCAAGTTCAGGTATCACAATATATTTAATTATTCTCCTAAAAGGTAACATTTGATTCCAGAATTTTTGTCTATTGCTGGAAAAAAAAGCTGTAATCAACATCCCTGTACCTACAGTGGGTTTTCTTTTCTTTCTTTTTCATTTTGAGACGGAGTTTCACTCTTGTCACCCAGGCTGGAGTGCAGTGGTGCAATCTCAGCTCACTGCAACCTCCGCCTCCCAGGTTCAAGTGATTCTCCTGCCTCAGACTCTCCCGAGTAGCTGGGATTACAGGCACCCGCCACCATGCCCGGCTAATTTTTGTATTTTTAGTAGAGATGGGGTTTCACCATCTTGGCCAGGCTGGTCTTGAACTCCTGACCTCAGGTGATCCACCCGCTTCGGCCTCCCAAAGTGCTGGGATTACAGTTGTGAGCCACCGCGCCGGCTGGGTTTTCTTATGAATTATTATTATTGTTATTTTTAAGACAGGGTCTTTCTCTGTCACCCAGGCTGGAATGCAGTGGGGCAATCTCAGCTCACTGCAACCTCTGCCTACCTGGTTCAAGCGATTCTCCTGCCTCAGCCTCCCGATAGCTGGGATTACAGGCCCCCGCCACCACACCTGGCTAATTTTTTTTTTTTTTTGTATTTTTAGTAGAGATGAGGTTTCGCCATGTTAGCCAGGCTGGTCTCAAATTCCTGACCTCAGGTGATCCACCCACCTCGGCCTTCCAAAGTGCTGAGATTACAGGCATGAGCCACAGTGCCTGGCTTCTTATGAATTATTTTTCTTAGTCCGTTTCATGGCCTGCTGACATCAGAATGACCTGCAGGAAGGTGAGGGAGGAGGGGAGGGAGTGCTGGTTTGAAATCTAGATTTTCAGGCCAGGTTACAGACCCACCAATTTGGACTGTCAGGGAATAGGACCTGAAAATCTACATCATTAAGTCTCCTGAGAGATTTTTATGAACACTAGAATTTGAGACTAGACTCAAAAGATAAACTTCTTACAGTAGGCTGCTGTGGGTTCATTTTGGTAACAGCCACCCACTAGGTCCTCAGAGGTGCTAGACCCAGTATTTCATCCTCTAACAATACTATTTCTTTCCCCTTTTAACATGGAAGGAAACTGGGACTCAGGTCAAGTAACTTTTCCAAGTTTACCTGCTAAGATATTTCAGAACTAATATTTGAGCCCCTCCACCTCTGGAACTCATGTTCTTAATTACCTGTCTGCACTGATAGCAAAATGTTTTGATTCTAGCCCTCCCACCCCCCACCCCCAAAAGTTCATACATGGCAGTCATAACCCCCAAGACAGTAGCTGATCTGTGAACCTTCAACTTGCAACCTAGTTTAGTTCAATTTGAGAGAAATTAGAAAAATTCTGGTGAGACTCTGGCCTCAGAGCCCCCTGTCTGGGTTCAAGTCCTGCCTTCGCCACTCATGAGTGGCATAACCTTAGTTTAGACCCTTCTCTGGACTCTCCTATTCCAGAGAGCTGTGGTGAGAATTATATGGGCATATGCTAAGCATATATAGGTAAACATAGGTTGAGCACAGCGCCTGGCACACGCTAAGTGCCCAGGAAATATTAGCAGTTACTGTCACTATTCTCTGAGTGGGGTTTCCTCGTTTGTTAAACGTAGAAATAGACCCTGAGCTCAGAACAGACTCTTAGGCAGAAGTGCTTCCTGGAGTAAGCGGAGGGATTTCTTTTTCTTTTTTCTTTTTTTTTTTTTTGAGACGGAGTCTCGCTCTGTCGCTGAGGCTGGAGTGCAGTGGCGCGATCTTGGCTCACTGCAAGCTCCGCCTCCCAGGTTCACGCCATTCTCCTGCCTCAGCCTCCCGAGTAGCTGGGACGACAGGCACCCGCCACCATGCCTGGCTAATTTTTTTGTATTTTTAGTAGCAACAGGGTTTTACCATGTTAGCCAGGATGGTCTCGATCTCTTGACCTTGTGAAACGCCCGCCTCGGCCTTCCAAAGTGCTGGGCCTTCCAAAGTGCTGGGATTACAGGCGTGAGCCACCGCGCCCGGCCAAGCGGAGGGATTTCTTCTCACTTCTCAGAGGTCAAGCCATGGGGAATCTCACCTTACCTTGGTCGCAAGCCAGCAGACAGTTTTCTTGTGGTAACCCTTAACAGGGTGCTGAGGTAGAGAGGGTGACAGCATTGGTATCACTGTGCTGAGCAACGTGAAGGGTAAGTACCGTCAGGCCTGTGCAGTGGGCAGCCTGGGCTCTCATGTCCCTGAAACTTAATTTCTCTGTAACCACAGGCTGATGGTTGTGAAGAGAGAGGCCCAGACCCATTAGAAAATCTGGATGGGCCAGGCGTGGTGGCCCACGCCTGTAATCCCAGCGCTTTGGGAGGCCAGGGCGGGCAGATCACCTGAGGTCAGGAGTTTGAGACCAGCCTGGTCAACATGGTGAAACCCTGTCTCTACTAAAAATACAAAAATTAGCAGGGCATGGTGGTGAGTGCCTGTAGTCCCAGCTACTCGGGAGGCTGAGGCAGGAGAATCGCTTAAGCCCAGGTGGTGGAGGTTGCAGTGAGCTGAGAGTATGCCACAACACTCCAGCCTGGGTGACAGAGTGAGACTCTGTCTCAAAAAAATAAGAAAACAAAATCTGGCTGGAACCCAAGCCTTCCCCTGAAGGTGGTAGATGGAAAGGAAAAACAGTTTAATTCTGAAGGGGCCAAGGGCAGACCCCTGTGAGAAACAGAAAAGAGTATGGGGAACAAGCACTTTTTCTTTTCACTCCTGAAGCTGTGAGCCTGTAGGAGTGATAATGATCAGATGGACCACAAGGGAGGGGAGGCTTTGGGGAAAGAAGGCAAGGACTGGTTTAGAACCTCAGGATCCAAGAACATAGCCAGGAGGCCATAGGGCTCACTGGCCAGTGGGTAGAGGAGCAGGTTGCTTCAAAGCCACCGAAGCACCTTGGCTTTGGATGAGAAGAAAGTCTTGTGAGCATTTAAGCAGGACAGTTTAGAACAGGAGTTGGCAAACTTTTTCAGTAAAAGTTGTATAGTACATAATTTTAATTTTCAGGCCAGTGGTCTCTGTGTAGACAGTACCTAAATCAGTGAGTGTGGCTGTTTTCCAATAAAACTTTACAAAAATGGGCAGCAGGCCAGATTAAGCTGAGCCCTGGAGAGGAAAGAGTATTGGCTTCAAATTCAGCCAGACTGGGCTTAAACTCCAGTTCCGACCTCCACTAGCCAGATGAGAGTCAGGTGCCTTCACAACTATGTAACTATCTGTTTAAGAACTTGGGCTTTGGAAGTGGAGGGCCCTGGGTTCAAGTCCTGCCTTCACCACTCATGAGCGGCATAACCTTAGTTTGGCCCCTTTTCTGGACTCCTCTATTCCAGAGAGCTGTGGCGAGAATTATATGATAATATGCTAAGCATATATAGCTAAACATGGGTTGAGCACAGCGTCTGGCACATGCTAAATGCCCAGGAAATATTACCAGTTATCACTATTCTCTGAGTGGGGTTTCCTCATTTGTCAAATGTGGGTAAGATTAGTACCTTTTACCATGGATGTAAGGATTACATTCAGTAACAGGTGTGTGTGTGTAGTGTCTGGCACAAAGTAAAATGTCAGCGCTAATATTATCCTTTAGAAATGGAAGCCATTCTGCCCTCCCAGGAGCCCTGGAGGAACACTCTTTTTAAACACAAGAGCTCTTTGGTGAAGGAAACAGTATTAGTAGAGATCAGAATCGGGTTGGTGGTCTTCGGTATCTAATGTGTGATCCAGCAGGGTGTGAGAGGAGTTGGGGGCGCTTGGGAGTCAGTGGCGTGAGTGTAGTCTTCCTCTTCGGAGATTCATCCATGTTGGTATGCTCTGTTTTTCTTTGATAAGCCCATTGCCCAAGCCAAGCTCTGCTCGCTAGCTCCAGAACACAGGTTACATTGCTTACCTGTGTCTTTGCTTTAACCCCTTCCTGTAATCAGAATGGCCTCTTCCTTTCCTCATCAGCTGATTCACCAAGACCCCATTTAAAAGCTTTTTCCCCTCTGAAGCCTGCTCCCTGACAGCTCCACCCCACAATGAATCTGCTCCTCCGAATTCCTATTATTTGTATCCTTGCATTCCTTTTTCCTTGCTGTCTTGTAGATCCCATTTCTTCAACTAGACTGGGAGTTCTTTAAGGGATGGGATCGTGGTTATACTTCCTGGTCTCCATTTCACTATCTTCCCTCTAGTGGATCCACAGTAAATACTCACAGGTTGAAAAAAAAGTAAGTAAATTTTTAACCCATGCAAATGTCAATATATGTATTGTAGGCAAGACTGCTAATTCTAGGAGTTGTCAGCTCTTGTTGACACTTTTTAACTTTATGGAGCACCGCAAAGAAAACTGCCATTTAAGAGCTTGCTTAAGTTAGAAAGCAATAAAAGTGAAGAATATTCTAGGCCTGGTCCATAAATCCTTCCCAAGCACAATCTTCATGCTCTTTCCTTGTCTTCCTGCTGAATGGAGAGCATTTTGAGGACTGAGGGGAAGGTGGAACCATAACATGAAAGGAGCCTGGATTCCTGAGTAGCTGCTTGGAGGGGAGCCAACCAGGAGAGATGCCTGGGCAGGAGGACTCATGTCAGACTTGCATGAGAAGTAAAAACACACACACACACACACACACACACACACACACAGCAGGTAATGCCCATGCGTCTTGTCAGTTGGATGTTTTCTCATTAGAAAAATGACTATAGTTAGGGCTGAATTAAAGGTAGGCATTGCCTTAATTTATGGTTGGTACAATCTGAGTGTAAATGTGTCCCCCATCTAGAATCTGTGGTTAGTCACTATTTCAGAATAATGCTCCCACAGGGTTTTCTCTGTGTGTACTGTTGATAACCACAGTAATTCCATCAGCCTCACATTGTTGATCATGTTTGGATGGGCTACCATCCGCTGAATGGTTTGGCTGCAACAGGGACTGACTCACAATTCCGTAACCTAAAATCCACTGTAGTGAGTCATTATTTTCTGTCCAGCTGACACTCAAAGCTGGCAGTCCTCTCTCTGACAGGACGCTTACAGGAGCCTCCTAATTTGAGATTTAGCAGAGATCCTGCTCTGGGATTCCAGGATTGGTCAACAGTTCCTATAACTGAGCTGTGAGGATGAGAGGATCTCAAGCCACAGCAAATAGAGGACCATTGGCATCCCGATGAGATGGGACCCCTGTAACCTGCCCTGATCTGGAGGTGGTCAGACAGCTCAGCCTTCCAGCTCCCAACCCTGAATTTGGACATGGCCCACAAAGGCCTGGATCACAGAAAAGACTGTCATCACACCCTTGCCTTGAAGCCCTGTCCTTCACTCTTATGGGTCCTTCCTCACACAGTTTTCCTAAGCTCATTATCTGCTTTCCCAACCCAGGATGTTGAGCTGTAACAAGAAGATGATGCAGGGATGAGGAGATGGGAGGCAGGTGTTAGACAAATGACAAGAGCTGTCGGCCCAGAGTCATCACTCGGGGAGGAGAAAAACACACCCAACACACAATGACATTATGATAGAATACAACAGAGATGTACGGGGTGAATCTCAAGTGCATGGAAAAAATAATTTCTGTTCATTGTTGTTGTGGTTTAGATGGTAGAACTATCACTTTCAGCCTCTGCTAGGAGAAAGCTACCTTTCGCTAATAACGGAAGAGCTCATCGATTTCAGACTCTCATCCCAACTTCACCTCCCCACATCATTCACTTTTCTTTCTTTTTTCCTTCTGGGTGTGCACAGAGGAGGGCGCACGGAGACGGAACTTGCTCTGAAATACCTTCTGCACAGAGGGTTGCCTGGAGGCAGAAATGCTTCTGTGCCCCAGATCCTCATCATCGTCACTGATGGGAAGTCCCAGGGGGATGTGGCACTGCCATCCAAGCAGCTGAAGGAAAGGGGTGTCACTGTGTTTGCTGTGGGGGTCAGGTTTCCCAGGTAAGAGCCTCAGTCACCCTGGATCAGCCCTCAGGTGGTCAGCCTGGGGATCGTGACATGGCCATGGGAGGGAAGGGAGGGGACTGGAAGAGCCGTCCAGGTCCTTCCCTGGATCTGTCTTTTCCTCACTTTGCCATTTTGACTCCAGTGCACAGGAAGCTCCAATCTTTTGGAGCCTGTATTTGCATTGATTTTGGTTTTGTTTGAAAACTCAGTTGCAAGTGCCAGAAACTCTGCTGAAATTTATTTGGGCAAAAATGGAAATTCATGGAGTGATCTCATTCACTGGGTGGGATGGGGGTCCCTCAGGGTGTGCAGGAGCCAGGGACTTCAGTGTCATCGAGATTCTTCCACATATCTCTGCTGTTCTCTGCCTGTTGCCTCCTCTCGTACCCTGACTTTATTAGGAAGCTGGAACTGGAGCTGTGGACGGTGCCCAGCTCACGTCTTCAGAGCTCCACCCTGGAGAGAAAAGACCCCTTTCCACAGTTTAACAATCCAATAAAATATTCTAATCAGCCTGAGGCAGAGCCCACTCTTGGGGCCAAGGGAGTAGGAGTCTGACTGGCCACTCCCCCTTTACCCCATTTGTCTAGCTGCTGGGCAAATAGGCTTTCCTAGAAGAGAGGAGGGTACAGATCCTTAATGCTCTCAAACCAAAAAATGGACGTCACTTATGCCATGGACCAATAGTTATTGTGAGCGTTAAGTGAAATGACTCTGGTCTGGGCACTGTGTTTGCACACAGAAATCTCTTCATTAATTTTAGTACATTATTTAATTTCTCAGTTAATAAATCCAGGGTTGTCTTTCTCATGCTGGGCATTATTCTAGGTGCTTAGAATACAGAGACAATAATACAAAGTCCCTGCCCTCATGGAGTTTCCATTCTCAGAAAGGAACTAGATAATAAATAAATACATAATATAATTTCAGGTGGAAGTAAAATGCAAAAGGGAAAAATAAAGTAGGGTAAGAGGCTAAAGAATGATGGGGAATAGAGAGGAAAGCTATTTTAGTTTGGGTGGTCAGTCAAGGCTTCTTTGAGAAATTGATTTTTGAGCAGAAACTTGAGTGAAGTGAGGAGTAAGCCTTCCAAATATCAGGGGAAGGCAGGGCAAAGCAGGCAGGTGGGTGGTAAGTACAAAGGCCCTGGGGCAGCAGGTAGGCTGGCGAGTTATAGGAAGGAACAGCCAGACGGCCAGGGAGGGGCGGAAGCCCAGCAAGCAAGTGGCAGAAACACAAGAAGTAAGGGTGGAAGAGCCAGGAGTCAGCCACAGAGACTTGGTGGGCATGGAGAAGATGTTAGTTTATTGTGAGTAGGATGACAGACAGCCTTTGGAGGGTTTTAAGCAGGGGAATGATATCTTCAGAGAATCACATTGGCTGCTGTGTACGAAATAGACTGACAGGATAGGGGTGGGAGAGGAAATAGTAAGGGGAGAGGGGAAACTGATTAGGAGGCCTTTGGCATGGCTCACAAAAGAGATCATGGTGGCTCCTAGAGGGAAGCAGCTGCAGCCTCGACTTAGGATATGTTTGTTGTTTGTTGTTGTTTTTGAGACAGCCTCGCTTTGTCACCCAGGCTGGAGTGCAGTGGCGCCATCTCAGCTCACTGCAACCTCCGCCTCCTGGGTTCAAGCGATTCTCATGCTTCAGCCTTCTGAGTAGCTGGGATTATATGTGCATACCACCACACCTGTGCACGCCACCACACCTGGCTACTTTTTTTTTTTTTTAAATAGAGATAGGGTTTCACCATGTTGGCCAGGCTAGTCTTGAACTCCTGGCTTCAAGTGACCCACCCGTCTCAGCCTTCCATAGTGCTGGGATTACAGGCGTGAGCCACTGCGCCTGGCGTTGGCTTAGGATATGTTTTGAAGGCAGAGCAGTGAGCGGCCGCCACTGAATTGGAGGTGGGTGTGTGAGAGAAGAATTGAGGATTTTGACTTGAGCCCCAGAGTGAATAGTGGTGCCATCTCCCGACATGGGAAAGATGACAACGGGGGAAGAGCACGGGACATTGTGTTCTGTTTCAGACAGAGGAAGTTTGCGGTGCACATTGTACAGCTCAGTGTGGGAGCCGAGCAGACAGTTGGGTGTGAGAATCTGGAGCATGGAGGAGGGGACAGGCATGGAGATTGAAATTTGAGGTGGTTTTTAAATCTGATATAAGGTCACCTAGGTAGTGGGGACAGGGAGAGAAGATGACCAACGGGCCAGCAAGTGCAGGTCAGAGAGAGGAAGAAGATAGAGTGATGGAGACTAAAGAGCGGCCAGTAAGGTGGGGACATCCAGGATTGTGCCATGTCCTGGAAATGGTGATGACATCATTGTCATCAATCATTGTGATCAGCAAGTTGGCATTTAACACAGCCTGCCTTAGCCTTCATTGGCTCATTTTGTCTTCTCAAATATAGGCAATACAAACTCCTGGAGAGAGGAGAGAGGGACTTTGCCTCATGGCCCTCTGCCCGCCGTTTCCCACATTGTGCCAGACACAGTGCCTTGAGCATAGCCATTGCCAAAGATTTGTCCATGAGGGTAGAACCCACCACACGGTGGGAATCCCTGTCTCCTTCCAGTGCTTTCTTCTTCAGCAGGTAGCTGGAACAGTGCCTCTCAAACTGGACCAGTATTTTGTTTTTTTGGTTTTTTTTCCCCCAGATACACCATGGACTGATAACTTTTTAAAAATACAATAAAAATGAGGCCGGGCATGGTGGCTCACGCCTGTAATCCCAGCACTTTGGGAGGCCAAGGATGGTGGATTACTTGAGGTCAGGAGTTTGAAACCAGCCTGGCAAACAGGATGAAACCCTATCTCTACTAACAATATAAAAATTAGCCAGGCATGGTGGTGGGTGCCTGTAATCCCAGCTACCCAGGAGGCTAGGGCAAGAGAGTCACTTGAACCCAGGAAGCAGAGGTTACAGTGAGCCGAGATTACGCCACTGCAGTCCAGCCTGGGTGACAGAGGGTGACTCCGTCTCATAAAACAAAAATAAATTAATTAGGGGAAAAATGAAATAAACACAATATAAATTCAAATGTTTATTATTTGATTCAGCAGACATAAAATGACTGTCTCATCGCTGTCCAGTTAGTTTGTCAGTGTTTCAGTGTCTGCGCTTGTCCCCTCTGCACCAGCGTTTAATGCTTAGGGAGCTGCTCTGCCCACCCATTGCTCTTTGAGCAGCCATGGCCTAGAGAGATGAGAAGCCATTCCTTGGGAGGGGGATGGCCTGAGCTGAGGGCCATGTAGGGCTCCCAGGACCACCTGACCCACCCCTCCCCACTCCCACCAAAGGGCTGAGTCGCTGTTGCTCACTGGTTCTCAACGTGTGCTCCCTGGATGCAGTATCTTCGTCACCTGGGAGCCTGCTGGAAACGCACAGCCTGTGGCCCCACACCACTGAATCAGAAACTCAGAGTCAGAGAGCCTTGGTCTGCTCTTCATCCTGCCTTCAGTGACTCTGATGCCCACCAGAGTTTGAGGGTCACTGCCAAGGGCAGCGTGAAACTCTACAAGCAATAAAGCAAAAAAACTGATACTGGTTCAGTCTCTACTTTTATTTTTTTGAGACAGGGTCCCGCTCTGTCACCCAGGCTGGAATGCAGTGGCACGATCATGGCTAACTGCAGCCCTGACCTCCTGGGCTCAAGTGATCCTCCCACCTCAGCCACCCAAGTAGCTGAAGTAGCTGGGAATACAGATGTCTGCCACGACACCCAGCAATTTTTTTTTTTTTTTTTTTTTTTTTTGTAGAGACAGGGTTTCACTGTGTTGCCCAGGCTGGTCTCAAACTCCTAAGCTTGAGGGATTCTCCCGCCTCGGCCTCCCAAAGTACTGGGATAACAGGCGTGAGCCACTGCACCTGGTCTCTTTCCGCCTTTTGAGCCCCTTCTCTGACAGTTCTCAGCTCTGGCTCAGCATCTGAATTACCTGGCAGCTTGTAAGAAAGTCCATTGCAGGGCTGGGGGGCTCCAGGGCTGGCAGCACTGCCTGCAGACCGTGGCTGTGCAACGCCTCCCCTGTGCACATGTGCCCTCAGGGCTCAGTCCTGGGTCCTGGGAGGAGAATCTGTTTTATGTGCATTCAGAGGAGAATGGGAAGTTTTACAGACCTGAATTTTAGAAATGAATGGGATTTTTGCCCTATCGTCAAACCTTGGTCCACCCTGATGACTTTTCAAGGACAGGATTCTTCTAGATACATTACTGACTGCACGTCTTTTTTTTTTTTTTTTTTTTTTTTTTTTTTCTGGAGACAGACTCTCACTCTGTTGCCCAGGCTGGATTGCAGTGGCACAATCTCGGCTCACTGCATCCTCCACCTCCCAGGTTCAAGTGGCTCTCCTGTCTCAGCCTCCCAAGTAGCTGGAACTACAGGCACCCACCACCACACCCAGCTAATTTTTGTATTTTTAGTAGAGATGGGGTTTCATCATGTTAGCTAGGCTGGTCCCAAACTCCTGACCTCAAGTGATCCACCCACCTCGGCCTCCCAAAGTGCTGGGATTAGGCGTGAGCCACCACACCCCCCCTCCGACTGTGTGTCTTCTTAAAATGAGGTTTCTCAACATCGCCTAACCCTTTCTTCATGTCCTAGTGTCACCATCTGTACATCATTTTCCTCCTGGCACAAACAGCGCTGCCCTATGGCTATCGAGGTGTGCTGGCCGCTTCCTCTAGATGGCCTCCTATTGCTGGCCTTGGAGTTCTTACGTCCATTGTTTATCATTCCTCAGTCTTTTTTTCTGTTACCAGCTATGCTTGCTTGTTCTTTGCTTGCTGTCACCTCGAACCACTTTCTTTCATTTCCATTCCGGTTAACTGTTTTCCTCACCAGCTATGGGTCTGACAAAACCAGACACTAAATCTGTGCTGCCATCCACAAGGAACCCACGGCCTAGAAGATGAGGGGGCAGGAGGAGGGTGGGTATAGGACCACAAGCTGTTACAACCCCTTGGCACAGGTGGGAGGAGCTGCATGCACTGGCCAGCGAGCCTAGAGGGCAGCACGTGCTGTTGGCTGAGCAGGTGGAGGATGCCACCAACGGCCTCTTCAGCACCCTCAGCAGCTCGGCCATCTGCTCCAGCGCCACGCCAGGTAAGATCTTCCAGCCTGGAGGGAGTGGAAGTGCCATGTGGGGTCGGGGAGGGCTCCCTGAGGCAAGAGGTCAGGACCCAGGAGCCTCCCAAGGATGGAGGGCAGGCAAGAGAAACAGAGACCGGCAGCCTCCACCCTGGATGCTCTGCGTCTCCCTGTGCCCTGCCCTGTGGGTTTCCCAGCTGGGAGCCCCGAGCTTGTCTTCATGGAGGTAGAGGGGCCCAGGGTTTGAGACCCAAATGTAGTAGGTTCCCTGTCCCCTGCTCAAGAGACAGAGCCAAGTCTCCTCCCCCTGCCTTGGACCACACAGAGGAGCACAAGGAGGCTTTGTGCTTGGTGCGAGATCCCTGCATTCTAGTCGTCCTTGTCAGGGTCCACCCAGGAGCCACATTGATGACGTTATGTGGAATGTACATGTGTGCCCATTACGCAAAAGCTGTGTGGGGTGGGGCCCAGCAGAGGAGATGCTCAGAGACTGGATGCCCCGCTGAACAGGCAGAGCAGGGCCCTTCACCCAGAGATATGCCCTGACCTGAGAGAGCAGAAAGTGGCCAGCCTGGAAGTGTGGTGGAACCTCCCAGGAGCGGGAGCAGCTGCTGGGGAAGCGTGTGTGGCAGGAGGAGGTGGAACCCTGTCTCCTCCGTGGGTGTGGGTGTGTGTTGTGGACACAGACTGCAGGGTCGAGGCTCACCCCTGTGAGCACAGGACGCTGGAGATGGTCCGGGAGTTCGCTGGCAATGCCCCATGCTGGAGAGGATCGCGGCGGACCCTTGCGGTGCTGGCTGCACACTGTCCCTTCTACAGGTTTGTCTGCGCGGTCTGGGCTCGGCCTGGGTGGAGATGAAGGCCCCCACCCCTGAGCTGCGGGGAGGATAGTACTTTGGGGCCCTGCCATGGAGATTGTGACAGGGATCGAAGGAGACCTGGGAGGGAGCCAGGGACGTAGCCATGGGAGAACAGGGAGAGGCACAGCTACTCAGTGTCAGCATCCCTTAACACACAGCCCAGGTACCCAGGGTGAGCACTGGTGGCAGGGTCACAGGCATTCTGGAAGGCTGGTGAGTGAGCCAAGTGCTGGCCCTGCAGGGCGGTGGTCTGCACTTGGGATATTGATTTGGTAATTTGGTTCCTCTGAGCACCAGTTTCCACATTATGGGGGCTGAGTGAGGCAAGAGGATAGAGATCCTCAGATGAATTCCAGTCAGGGAGGCTATGGGATGCTGGGTTCTTTGGGATTGGAGCCCAGGCACCCAAGAGCACCTGCTGCCCGTCTGCCCACCCATCCCTCCCAAACACTCCCCACACTGTTCCTGGGCACTTTCTTTAGACTACCTGCCATTCAGCACCTCTGTCCGGAGACTGGTGACCCTGCCCCTCTCCCTTTCTGGGGGGCCGGGGCAGTGTTTGAATCAGCTGCATCTTTACCCATTGGTCCTCCCCCAGCGATGAGCTCACAGCACAGCACACAGCAGTGAAATGGATTGGCTGAGAAGCCTTAGGGCTGTGCTGGGCTGATGGAGAATCCAAAGACTGTTTCTCTGGGAAAGGCCAGCCCCCTACATAAGGGTCAGAGGAGATGAGGTCTCATGCCACTCTGGGGCCACCAGAGGCTCTCCTCAGAACCCAACCTCTCAAGTGAAAGGAGGAGTTGATTCGTTCCTTGGTGGCCACTTTCTAAGTGCCTGCTCAGAGCCAGGCAATGTGCAATAAGAAGACAGTACAGTTGCTGCCCCCAAGGAATCATGGTTTAGAGGAGGGCATTGGAAAAGGAGACCAGCGGCCACCCTGAGGCATCCTAGGTGTTGGGATGGAGTCTGTCCTCTCTGGGATGTCACAGAGAAGGGGCTGCTCGAGCAGTTTTGCAAGATTTGGAACTGTGGCAGTGGGCAAGGCGCTCAGAGCCGGGAGCGGCTGGAAGAGGCTGGTGGCTGCAGTGTATACTTCCTGGGCCTTGCATTCAGACTCTGCTCTCAGGCTGCTGAATTTTTAATCTTAGCAGAACCACTAGGGAGCGGTGAACTTACCACTGCATGTTTCTATGTTTGAAAAGGGGTGTGATAATAATCATACCTGCCCTACAGGTTTGTTGAGAACAGGCGGTGATTTAATAGGTAGATGTGTTAATATTGCAGGCTCCTAGAATGAAGCATTTGGGAGCTCTTCACCCATTTCTTCACTCAAGAAATACCCACTGAGGGCCTCCTGTGCTCCTGGCACTCACCCAGGTCCTGGGAAATCAGCACCAGCATCTCAGAAACACATCTACCCTCACAAGCTGACGCTCCAGTAATGGGAGGCAGTCATTCCAAAATGAATACAGAAAATAAACTGTTCAGTGGTAGCAGGTGCTGTGGAGGAACACAGCAGCAAGATGGGGATGCGGTGGGGTAGGCGGGGGGTTGGGGCAAGGTCACAGTTTGAAATGGAGTGGCCAGGGAGGGCCTTGCAGAGCATGTGGCATTTGTGTCCAGACCTGAGGGAGGTGGGGGGCAAACTGTGTGCAGGTCCCTGCAAAGCCCTGTTGGTAGTGTCTGCTCCATAAATGCTGATTCCCAGGGAAGCCTAAATCAGGGAGGGGGAAGGGCCCAGGGATCTTTCTGGGCTAGGACTTGTGGCTTTATGAGGTCACTAGGATAGACATGGAAGAGAAGACGATTTCTCTTGAATGAGCTGGCAGTTTGGCAAACTTTGTTTTTATTATTATTTTTTTGAGACAAGGTCTTGCTCTGTCACCAGGATGGAGTACAGTGGCAGAATCATGGCTTGGTGCAGCCTCAAACTTCCAGGCTCAAGTGATCCTCCCATTTCAGCCTCCTAAGTAGTTGGGACTACAGACACGCACCACCGTGGCCGGCTAATTTTTAAGATTTTTTTTTATAGATGGGGTCTCACTATGTTGCCCGGGCTGGTCTTAAACTCCTGAGCTCAATTCCTGCCTCCGCCTTTCATAGTGCTGGGATTACAGGCGTGAGCTACCACGCCCAGCCTTGGCAACCTTTATTTCAGCAACTCCATGAGCTCTGAATTGACTTGGCGTGTACTCCATTTTACCCCAGGGAAGACCCTGCCCTAGAGGAGCACCTGATTGGCCTGCCCCTGTGTGGGCAGCCCAGGGTGGGATCTTGTTGGAAGAAGCCTTATTTGGAGAACTTTAGGGAATGTTTCTGCCAAGGCCCAAGAGTCTCCTCAGGTGAGGCCATCCCAGGAGCTGCTGCCAACCCAGAGTGGGGCTTTCTGCCCCCAGATGAGGAACCGCTCCTGTGACAGCAGGGCACATGGCCCCGGAGACGCAGGAGAGGCGAGGGTGAGGCCCACAGGGTAGAGTGGGGGGATTTGGAGTCATGGTCAGGGTTTGGATCCCAGCTCTGCTGTGTTCCGGTAATTATGTGACCTCAGGGGCCCTAAGTGAGCCCTCAGAACCCATTTCCCTATCTGGAACATGGAGGGAACCATCTCTTCAGGTAGCTGTGGTTCATGGAACACCAGCAGGTGGAAGCCACCCAAGGAATGGTGGCTGCTGTGTTATCACAGAACGTTAGTTCTCCAGCAGACCTGAGAAGTCATTGAGTCCAGTGGCTTACATGTCTTGACCTGCAGAGCCTCGTGTGGACACTTGTTGTGTGGACCAGATAGTAGCAGCACACCTGGGGTGGAGGGGCGGGGCTGGGGCACTGCGGGAGGCCTGGAGCCTTGCTCCTTCAGTGCTCTTCTCTCCCCATCGAAGCTTTAAGGAATACAGTTGAAAAGTGAAGATAGAATTACTATACAAAGAGGAAAGTGAAGACCAGAGGAGGAAAGTAACATGTCTGTGGTCACACAGCCAAAATCCAGTTGCCCAGTTCCCAATATTTCTCTCCCTACTGCATCGTAAGCCTCAGAAAGTAACTTATAATAAAAAGCTGTTGCTACAGTTTGGGGTTTTGCATGTGGATGTCCCTAATTTCAAATGTGATAGCCAGCTTATGTTACCTTTTTTTTTTGAGATGGAGTCTTACTCTGTTACCCAGGCTGGAGTGCAGTTGTGCAATCTCGGCTCACCGCAACCTCTGCCTCCTGGGTTCAAGCATTTCTGCCTCAGCCTGCTAAGCTGGGATTACAGGCACATGCCACCACGCCCAGCTAATTTTTGTATTTTTAGTAGAGACGGGGCTTCACCATGTAGGCCAGGCTAGTCTCAAACTCCTGACCTCAAGTGATTTGCCTACCTTGGCCTCCCAAAGTGTTGGGATTGCAGGCGTGAGCCACCACTCCCAGCCTATTTTTTTTAATTGTCACTGGATAGTTTGAAACATTCCCTACTCTATGTGCAGAGAAAAGTTAGGGTAGAATCAAGAAACAAAACCAGGAAGTCTTTCTTACTTCTGCATTGGAATCTTCTATCAGCTTTTGGTGTTGTAAATCATCTTCTGTTTTCTGCCCTCCCCTTACACCTCTGATCTGTCTATAATTCTGTTTCCTTGGATTGTAGCTGGAAGAGAGTGTTCCTAACCCACCCTGCCACCTGCTACAGGACCACCTGCCCAGGTATGGTCTGTCTCTTGGATTTACAGGTTCTTTCAGGGCCCTGGGCCCAGGCTGCTTTGTAAAGTGGCTTTTACAATCCTGGGACAGAGGGTGG
Source organism: Homo sapiens (assembly GCF_000001405.40). Lineage (NCBI taxonomy): Eukaryota > Metazoa > Chordata > Mammalia > Primates > Hominidae > Homo > Homo sapiens. The sequence goes on from NC_000010.11 coordinate 114,282,666, forward strand.
GGTTGTGACTGGCTCCAGGGCAGAGGGATGGGGCACTTGGGGGGCAGAGGAGAGTGTGCTCTTGACTCCCTCAATGGTGTTTGCTCATTAAGAATGGAGTGGCGGCTTTGGGATTACTCCCCTGAACCAGTGTTGTGTGCATTGGTGAGAGGCAGAGAGGCAGGCACCGAGCACCAGCTTTGCAGACATCCTCAAAGCCAGCACCAAACTCAGGGCAAGATATCTGAGTGATTTCCTCCTCTATAAAACATAGTGGTTTGTCCGATGTCTGGAAGCCCATTTCCCTCCTCCATGTGAAAGGGGGTCATCGTATATGAGGTCCTAGTGAAGATTCAGTAGATAATGCCCATGGAAGTAATCCCTCAGCTGTAAAATCCCAAATTAACGTGAGGAATCATCGATGCCATTATGCATCATTCAGCATGGTTCACCAGTGTGCCCTCACTATCCCTCACTTGGGGTGCTAGTGACCCCACTGACCTGGGAGCTTGAAATTGCCCTTCAATGTGTAGGTGTCAGTCCTGGGGTGGATTTGTTACTCCCGATGAGTAGCCTGTCTCCCGGAAGCAATGCCGGCAGTTAGACACACAGGCAGGGCAGCGAGCAGTTAGACACACAGGCAGGCAGGGCAGCGAGCAGTTAGACACACAGGCAGGGTAGCGAGCAGTTAGACACACAGGCAGGGTAGCGAGCAGTTAGACACACAGGCAGGGTAGCGAGCAGTTAGACACACAGGCAGGGTAGCGAGTGTCCCTATTTGGGGTTAGGTGATCCCTTCAGTATGTTCACAAGGTTTACAGTTCCAGCACCACGGCCTCTGAAGCACAGGAGAATCTGAGAGTGGAGCTGTTTCTGCTCAGAAATTAGGGTTTGAGGACTTCCGGTTTGGAAACTAGAGTGAAATGGCTTTCAGTCCCAGCTTTGCCTCTTACCAATGATCTGACCTGGGGCATGTGACTTCTATTCATTGAGCTTCAGCTTCCTCATCTGTCATATAGGGTTTTTATAGTTCCTACCTAAGGTTGTGACAATGAAATGGGACCATGCGTGTATTGTGCTTAGCACAGTCCCTGGCACATAATAGATGCTCAGTTAAAGGCCACTGTCGTCGATCTCAGTGAGCCCCCAGCTATTTCCACAGTCTTCTGGCTGATACAACAGCAGCCCCAGCGAAGTGCCTAGACTTAGCCTCAATCTTTTCTGCCTTTGAAAAGTCTATATTTTAATTACAATGATGTGGCCATCAAGAAAGAGATTAATATTTGTAAGCAAAAAGGACAAGAAAATGCCAGTCCCAGTTGTGACCACACTCAGCTGCTTATCCAGCTCTTGGAATACATGATCACATGAAGACCTTGTTTGTTTTCTGTAACCCTGGGAAGGAGGTCATGTGGTTTTAGCTGCACTTTGTAATAATTGATAAGGAAAGCAATGAGATGCTCAGGCATGGACCACAGGGAATCATAGATCAGACGCTTCAGAATGGGCCACATTTTGACACAGGCTGTGGTTTCCCATGTAAACTTTCAGCTTTGAAGAGGCCTTGCTCATAATTTGCATCTCACATCCAAAAGTCAATACTGTCATTACCTGTTGGGGAGTGTTTTTTTAGTGCTGAGACTTTCTGCGGATTAATTCATTTAATCCTCACAATAACCCCACAGAACAAGTTCAGTTCCCATCACTCCTTTTTAGATGAGGATATGAAGATGGGAGAGGTTAATTAAGGTGCCGGAGGAAGTGGAAGAGGCCACATTCAGTCCTGAGCAGCCTGACTGCAGGATCCGAAGGCTGGTGTGTTTTGCTGTGCCAGGTGCAGAGGCCATTAAGACAACCCTGTGTAGAACTTAGAAGACAGGGCCCCATTGGCACCGCAGCTCTCTCTCAGTCTTGAGGCACCCACACTTGATGCTACGGGGAGCTTCCTCCTTGTCAAGCTTCAGTCTAACACCAGTTCATCACACAGGGCCTTACCAAGCCTGCTACAGAGCATCCTTTACCACCCGTGCCCAGCCCCTCCTTTATGAACTCCACAGTGCTTTCCCCTCTCTGCTGCAGATTTCCTGGTGGACTGTGGGGGAAGGGAGGGGCTGGGCCACTGCTAGAGCAGGAAGCCAGCTGCACCCACACCTCTGGCCAGTCCTCTCCACTCCTCTGTGCTGCGGTGCTTAGCGGTTAATGGGCATCTCTCTGATAGGCCCCTGTGACTCGCAGCCCTGCCAGAATGGAGGCACATGTGTTCCAGAAGGACTGGACGGCTACCAGTGCCTCTGCCCGCTGGCCTTTGGAGGGGAGGCTAACTGTGGTAGGTATGCACCGGCCCTGCAAGACTGACCACTGGGGAGCAAGAAGAGGACGGGCTCCCCTTTTCATTGCACGCCCTTCCAGCTGCTGGGTAGAAACTGGCCCTTGAACCATCTGCTTTCCAATGCACCACTGGTCTGCAGTTCACGTGGTGCAGCCTGTCAGTGCTCCGTGAGTAGATAATTGGGGTGGCTGAGCTCTGGATGAGACAGTGGCTCCCAGCTTATTAGCTGCAGAATGGTCACTGCTTGAAGTTTGAGTGCTGCCCAGCCCAGCTGAAGGCAGGAGTCCACCCAACTCTGGCTCCCAGTCCTGGGCAGAGTCTTTTCTTCTCTATTCTATGAAAGCAGAGCAAGGAGCCCCGATTCCTTTTGATTTTAGAGGTGTGAAATGAAGATGATAGTAGGCTTTACCTCACTGGGTGGTTGAGAGTTTTAAATAAGATTATGCAAAGTGCTTAGTACCATGCTTGACGCATATAAGGGCTTGATGAATAATAACTTTTAAAAACAAGTGATACTGGGTTAGTTGAAGATCTGTATGAAAACAATCTTGACCCTGTACCTCACAACCCTACCAGAAGTCAATTCTAGCGTGGCTATAGACCTCTGTGCAAAAGGCAAAGCAGTGAAGCCTGTAGAAGCAAACACAGGAGCATATATTTTCATGATCTTGAGGCAGACAAAGATTTCTCAGGACACACACAGGACTAACCATAATGGAAAAAAGTGATAATGTAGATGGCATTTTTCTTTAAAAAGTGGCTAGATGGAGACCCTTAGCGAGTGCCAGGAGTGCCATGTCTGGCCTTGTCTCTAACTCTGTGACGAGCACGGGTCACTTAAGCTTGGGGGGCCCACAGTTTCTCTGCACCATCTCCCTCCTGGGAGATGTTCGGCATCTCGGGTGGGACAGCTCGCATGCCGCATGACCATGGCTTGACAGTGGGTGTTGCTGTGATCCCCGCAGCCCTGAAGCTGAGCCTGGAATGCAGGGTCGACCTCCTCTTCCTGCTGGACAGCTCTGCGGGCACCACTCTGGACGGCTTCCTGCGGGCCAAAGTCTTCGTGAAGCGGTTTGTGCGGGCCGTGCTGAGCGAGGACTCTCGGGCCCGAGTGGGTGTGGCCACATACAGCAGGGAGCTGCTGGTGGCGGTGCCTGTGGGGGAGTACCAGGATGTGCCTGACCTGGTCTGGAGCCTCGATGGCATTCCCTTCCGTGGTGGCCCCACCCTGACGGGCAGTGCCTTGCGGCAGGCGGCAGAGCGTGGCTTCGGGAGCGCCACCAGGACAGGCCAGGACCGGCCACGTAGAGTGGTGGTTTTGCTCACTGAGTCACACTCCGAGGATGAGGTTGCGGGCCCAGCGCGTCACGCAAGGGCGCGAGAGCTGCTCCTGCTGGGTGTAGGCAGTGAGGCCGTGCGGGCAGAGCTGGAGGAGATCACAGGCAGCCCAAAGCATGTGATGGTCTACTCGGATCCTCAGGATCTGTTCAACCAAATCCCTGAGCTGCAGGGGAAGCTGTGCAGCCGGCAGCGGCCAGGTAAGGTCCCAGTGCCTGACCCAGGACCGCTGGTCAGTGGGCGGGTCCTTCCTCCTTTTGGCCACCACCTAACCATCATTTTCTGCCAGTGCCTCTTCTAGGGGCTGAAACCACAGCCCCACTCTTTCAGGCACCAGTCACATAAATAATTTTCAGTTTACCTGTCAACAAAATGGGACTAATAGTAGTACCTCCTGAGAGATCTTTAGTGAGAATTAGGTAAGATGGGCAGTGTACATGCTTAGTACAGAGTAAGCACTCAGCAAACTCTAGGTGTTGCTGTTATCATTCTTAATCACGATTTTATTGTTGTTGTTACTAAGAGCTCTGAATCTACTAAGCAGGCTCCAGAGCAGCAGCTTCCCAGCTCCTTTGATGGCAATCCACAGAAAAGTGTGTTCCTGGTGCACACATGCACATGTATGCACACATACACACACGGATGCATGTGCATGCACACGCGCTGGTGCAGCCACACACAACTGAAACAAACGCTTCCTGAGAGGATACTTACCCTGTCTACTTGGGATGCATTCTGACATTTTTCTCTTCTGTTCTGTTTTGCAAGCCATGAAGCTGATTTTTTATGACCCCTATTGGAAGGCACTCTAGAGAACACTGTCCCCACGCAGAGGCCTGGCCCATGGCCAGAGATGTAGTAGCTGAAACACGTCTTTTTTTTCTTTTGAGACAGGGTCTTGCTCTGTTACCCAGGCTGGAATGCAGTGGCACGATCATAGCTCACTGCAGCCTTGAACTCCTGGGCTCACGTGATCCTTCCACCTCAGCCTCCAGAATAGCCAGGACTACAGGTGCACACCACCATGCCCAGCTAATTGTTTTATTTTTTAGAGAGATGTGGTCTTGCTATGTTGCCCAGGCTGGTCTCGAACTCCTGGGCTCAAGCAATCCACCCACCTCAGCCTCCCAAAGTGGAGGGATTACAGGCTTGAGTGAAATGTAAGCCTTTATAGGGCTCCTGGAGTTCTCCCCTTGGTAGGTGGGCATGGGAAGCTACAGATGTGATTCTGCTTCTCAGCCCTGATGCCACCACTCTCCCCAAGGCGAGAGGCTTTCCCTCCTGTAAGGCGGAAGGACAGGGATTGGCTGCCCACTCCCACCCTGCCCCTCCAGGCTGGTCTAAGTGCTTTTGTTCTGCTGCTTTGTTTGGTTGGATTTTTTAAAAAAAATAATAGTTGTAGATTTATAGGAAAAAATAATTGACAATAGTGGAGAGTTCCCTATACCCCACACCCAGTTTCCCCTCCTATTAACACCTTGCATTAGTATGGCACAGTGTTATCATTAATGAACCAGTATTGATACATCATTATTTAGTGAATCCATGCTTATTTATATTTGTTTAGTTTTTACCTAATGTCTTTTTTGTGTTCCAGAATCCCATCCAGGACCCCACAGTACATGTAGTCAGCCGCCTTCCCCGTAGCTGTGATAGTTTCTCAGACGTTCCTGGTGTGGGAGTGGTTTTAAAAACCAGTAATCAGAGCATCAGCTCCTCTAACTCCATACTTAGAATTTCCAGTGGTTCCCCTTTGCACTTGGAATAAAACCCAAACTCCTTCCCCTGGCTTCTGAGAGCTCCCTGTGGCCTGGTCCCCACAGGCCTCTCTGCATCCCCTGCACAGGAGAGGCCTTCTGGCTCATACTTACTTGTCTTTCAGTTCTTAGGTGAAATGTCACCTCCCCAGAGAAGCTCTGACCCCTTCTCCCAGTCTTGTTATGTTCCCCTACTGGTCTCTCTCGAAGTCCCCTGCTTTTCCCTCCACGCTGCCGACATCATTTGTAATTCTATGTTCATTTCATGTCTGTTCCCCTAGACTGTCAGCCTGTTGACAGCAGGCATGGGCCCATTTTGTCCATACAGCATCTAATTAGTGCCCTGCATACTGGGGATGGATGAAGGCACAGGTGAAGATGTTGTCACAAAGGGTTGCCCACAAACCCAAACCCCATGGGTTACATAAGACAGGAACTTATTTCTCTCACATACAGTTCAGAGGTGAGTGGCCCGGGCCAGCAGGGCTTGGTCATCTTATGGCTTCCACCTTGAGGTCCAAGGTCACCATTTCTCAGCCAGCAGGAAGGGGGAGAGGGGAAGTGGAAGGTAAGCAGCTTCCAGCTGCATGAGTTTGAAATTGATCACGTCCGTCAGATAGAACTTAGACACGTGGCCACCCTAGCTGCCAGGAAGTCTGGGAAATGTGGTCTGGCAGGCACTCATCTTCCTGCTAATATTCTAGGAAAGTGCTGTTCTGTGGCTAAAAGGAAGACATAGAGGGTGTATTCTGCAGTGAACAGAGCACCCTGGCTGACCTTGGTCCTACCCAACCTGGCAGTCCCTGGGTCCCGTCGAGGGGCTCTGACTGGCACATCCACTGCTGAAGCCCCTCTGCTTGCTCCTGCAGGGTGCCGGACACAAGCCCTGGACCTCGTCTTCATGTTGGACACCTCTGCCTCAGTAGGGCCCGAGAATTTTGCTCAGATGCAGAGCTTTGTGAGAAGCTGTGCCCTCCAGTTTGAGGTGAACCCTGACGTGACACAGGTCGGCCTGGTGGTGTATGGCAGCCAGGTGCAGACTGCCTTCGGGCTGGACACCAAACCCACCCGGGCTGCGATGCTGCGGGCCATTAGCCAGGCCCCCTACCTAGGTGGGGTGGGCTCAGCCGGCACCGCCCTGCTGCACATCTATGACAAAGTGATGACCGTCCAGAGGGGTGCCCGGCCTGGTGTCCCCAAAGCTGTGGTGGTGCTCACAGGCGGGAGAGGCGCAGAGGATGCAGCCGTTCCTGCCCAGAAGCTGAGGAACAATGGCATCTCTGTCTTGGTCGTGGGCGTGGGGCCTGTCCTAAGTGAGGGTCTGCGGAGGCTTGCAGGTCCCCGGGATTCCCTGATCCACGTGGCAGCTTACGCCGACCTGCGGTACCACCAGGACGTGCTCATTGAGTGGCTGTGTGGAGGTGAGTGGGGGAATCCACACCCTCAGGGCTGCCCCCATGGCAGGCCCTCAGCCTGAGCCTTCACATACATCATGACGAGGATGGCAGCTCTTCCCAGCTACTGAGCACTTGCTTCCCAAGTGCCAGGTTCTGTGCTAAACCCCATGCTCACATAAAATCCTACAGTAGGCATAACCATCCTATTTGACATTTAAGGTACAGAAAGTTTAACTAACATAGATAACTCCCCCCAAACTTGAGAATTTATGCATTCCCTTTAAACAGAACACACTTTTAGAATATCCACAAGCTTCCTAAGGGTCTAAAGATCCCACATTCACACTGACTTGGGCAGTGACAGAGCCCAGAGCAAACAGGGCCAGGCCAGCCCAAATCCAGTGACCTCCTCTTCACCTTCTTAAAAGAGACAGGAGAATCACTTGAACCCGGGAGGTGGAGGTTGTGGTGAGCCAAGATCGCGCCATTGTACTCCAGCCTGGGCAACAAGAGCAAGATTCTGCCTCAAAAAAAAAAAAAAAAAAGTCTGCCATGTGTATGGCACGTCTGAGCAATGGACTCTCCATGAGTCTGTAGGAGAGCTGGGTCTTACTAACCTAGCCAAGTGGTATGCAGCACCAACCATGAGCTACCGGGGCAAAGGGAGACATGACTCTAGTAGCCTTGCACCTCTACTGGGCTTACTTAGGGTAGGGGTCTTCGGGTCTAACCCATGCCTGGCCGGCCTGGTGGGTATGGTGTTCTCCATTGTAGAAGCCAAGCAGCCAGTCAACCTCTGCAAACCCAGCCCGTGCATGAATGAGGGCAGCTGCGTCCTGCAGAATGGGAGCTACCGCTGCAAGTGTCGGGATGGCTGGGAGGGCCCCCACTGCGAGAACCGTGAGTGGAGCTCTTGCTCTGTATGTGTGAGCCAGGGATGGTATTGCGAGTCCTGCCAAGTCCCACAAACTCAGCTGAAGGCAGGTTCTAAAACATTCGTTCAGTGGAAGAAATTATTCAGTCGTTTACCCACGAAACATTTAGTGAGTACCTCCTGCATCCCAGGCATTGTTCTCAGTGCAGGAACATAGCAGTAAACAAATGAATAAAACCTCTGCCCTCATGGAGCTTCCATTCTAATGGGAAGACAGACAATAAGCAAATAATACAACATGTGGTGTGGTAGACGGTGCTAAGCACCCCGGAGAAAGTCATGACAACTAGGAGGGAGGCCACAGTTAGGAGCACAGTAGATCCAGGGTACAGGGATGTAGACGGAGGCAGGGATGGGTAAATGCGGTGGTGGGAGCTGCTGGAAGCTCTTTTTGGGGTGCTATTTGCTCAGTAAAATGGGAGGAACAGCTAAGTGAGGACGAGGAGGAGGTGCTAGAGGTTTGAGAGAAAAGAAGTCATTGTCAAGGGTAACAGATTAGGACCTAGAGAGTGATCGTTGGGAGGCATTAGAGGTCCAACTATGGCTCCTGTTCATGAGTTTGAAGTTAGAACAGCCAGAAATCAGAAGACAAGTCCAGTCGGAGCCTTGGTTTTTTGGCCACGGGCAGAGGTTGGCTTCCTAAGGCCAGAGAGAAGCTCTGGAGGATAATCACATGGGGTCTCTAATCTGGCATCTTCTGCTGGGGGCGAGGTGGGTTGTAGAGTAAGAGCAGGACCTGAAGGGGTCCTCAGAGGCTGCTGGAGGGCTGAGAAGGGGATGCAGACACTCCTGTCCTCAGACTTCACTTCCTTCCCCAGGATTCTTGAGACGCCCCTGAGGCACATGGCTCCCGTGCAGGAGGGCAGCAGCCGTACCCCTCCCAGCAACTACAGAGAAGGCCTGGGCACTGAAATGGTGCCTACCTTCTGGAATGTCTGTGCCCCAGGTCCTTAGAATGTCTGCTTCCCGCCGTGGCCAGGACCACTATTCTCACTGAGGGAGGAGGATGTCCCAACTGCAGCCATGCTGCTTAGAGACAAGAAAGCAGCTGATGTCACCCACAAACGATGTTGTTGAAAAGTTTTGATGTGTAAGTAAATACCCACTTTCTGTACCTGCTGTGCCTTGTTGAGGCTATGTCATCTGCCACCTTTCCCTTGAGGATAAACAAGGGGTCCTGAAGACTTAAATTTAGCGGCCTGACGTTCCTTTGCACACAATCAATGCTCGCCAGAATGTTGTTGACACAGTAATGCCCAGCAGAGGCCTTTACTAGAGCATCCTTTGGACGGCGAAGGCCACGGCCTTTCAAGATGGAAAGCAGCAGCTTTTCCACTTCCCCAGAGACATTCTGGATGCATTTGCATTGAGTCTGAAAGGGGGCTTGAGGGACGTTTGTGACTTCTGGCGACTGCCTTTTGTGTGTGGAAGAGACTTGGAAAGGTCTCAGACTGAAATGTGACCAATTAACCAGCTTGTTTGATGATGGGGGAGGGGCTGAGTGTGCAATGGGCCCAGGTCTGGAGGGGCCACGTAAAATCGTTCTGAGTCGTGAGCAGTGTCCACCTGAAGGGTCTTCCTTTCAAAAGAGGCTGCGGCCAGAGACTGTGGCTCATGCCTGTAATCCCAGCACTTTGGAGGCTGAGGCAGGTGGATCACCCGAGGTCAGGAGTTTGAGACCAGCCTGGCCAACGTGGTGAAAGTTTGTCTTTACTAAAAATACAAAAGGTAGCCGGGGGTGGTGGTGGATGCCTATAATCCCAGCTACTCGGGAGGCTGAGACAGGAGAATGGCTTGAACCTGGGAGGCGGAAGTTACAGTGAGCCGAGATCTCACCACTGCACTCCAGCCTGGGCAACAAGAGTAAAAATCTGTCTCAAAAAGAAAAAAATGTACTTAGGAGGGGTTAATTGTGGCGTGTTTATGGAATTCTTTCCTTATTCTCCTTTTAGTGGGGCAAAGAGAAGTAAGATTCTTAAACTCAAAAATATAGGATAAAGAAACTTACAGAGATTTTGCTTTTTAAAGCATTGATCTTACGCTGTCTAGGTTTTAATTTTGTTTTGCTTTGCTTTTCTACACAGTTTTTAAAGAAATATTTCAAGAAATGTTGGTTATTTATTAAACAGGGATATTTGTACCTATGTGGCAAAGAGGCATATTTGGAATATTCTCTGGCAAACTAGATACTTACTTCCCTATCGCTGCAGTATTTAGGAATTACTTCTTCTCCTTGGTTGTGTTGTTTAGAGTTGGATTTTCTGTAGAAATCTTTCTAGAGCTCTGATGTGACTCCAGACACTTTATCGTTTTTCTTTTTTTTGAGACGGAGTTTTGCTCTTGTTGCCCAGGCTAGAGTGCAGTGGTACAATCTTGGCTCACTGCAACCTTTGCCTCCCAGGTTGAAGTGATTCTCATGCCTCAGCCTCTTGAGTAGCTGGGATTAGAGGCAGGTGCCACCATGCCTAGCTAATTTTTGTATTTTTAGTTAGAGACAGGGTTTCACCATGTTGGCCAGGCTAGTCTCGAACTTCTGACCTCAGGTGATCCCCCTGCCTTGGCCTCCCAAAGTTCTGGGATTACAGGGGTGAACCACTGTGCCTGGCCCATTTTTCTTTATAAATATTGTAACATAATGTTTTATAGACAAACATTCAAGGGTACTTTGGCTTTAAGAACTTCAGGATTTCTGGTGCTAGAAAAGCGCTTGAAGCAGTATCACCAAGATTTTAGATATTAAAAAGTCTGGTGTACCAGACATTGAGTCATAATCATCTATATTCAAGGGATACTTTCATTGATAACTTTGTTATTATGCTGCCCTTCACAGAAGACAACGTCCGGGGCAGGATCACATGCTCCCTAGCAGATGCTGATCAGTGATGTCATAGAAATTACATGAATGCATTGTCTTTAAATAGCAGTTTAACCATGTTATAATGTAGGCTTTTTGTCTTGTTCCGGGCTGGTATTTGGGTGCCCTGATTGAATTACTTGGATTTAAACAGCAAACTGTGGGCTCTCGACTTACATAGTAAGGGCCTTTACTGTTTCTTTGTAGGAAATGGGTTTCTCGCCTTTGAAACATTTTTTCCCCTTTTGTAGTGACAGTGCCACTAAATAGTTCAGCTTTTGTCAGTCCCCCAGGAAAGTGCTATCCTATGGCCTAACTAGCCAAGCCTTTTTTCTTTCATTTAAAAGAAATTAGCTTTAATTTTTACCTTTAATTACTTATTCAAATAAGACAGAAATATATTTTCCTTGCAATAATTAAAACATTGCATATAGGCCATAAATTTCCTTATTTTCTCTGAACGATCCTGATTCCAGTCATCTTGTTGAATACCCTAGTTCTAATAATTGACTCTTGCTTTTCTAGAGAAATATTTCCAAATGATGCTAGTTTTGTCTCTTCCTTTCAAAGTTGTATACCACTTCTTTTTCTTGTCATTTTGCATTGCCTGGGACCTCCAGAATAATGTTTCATGAAGTAGCATGTATCCATATCTGGTTCTTGACTTTTTCATCATAATAATTGTTTTCTATGGGTTACTTATCAGTTTAAGAATGCTTAATTCCTAGATGAACTAAGAGTGTTTATTACATGTTGAGATTTATGGTATGCTTTTTCTTCCTCAAGATAATGCATTTTTTGTATTATCTGTTAATGTGATAGGTTATCCATTTGTGTATTTTCAATCATTGAACAACCCTTGATTTTTTTGGATAAACTCTATTTGGTCATTATGCATCATTCTATAAACCCTGCTGAATTTTTCATTTGCCAACATCTTATTTCAGATTCTTTTAATCTGTGTCCAACAATGAGATTTGTTTTCTTTTGCAATTTGTTTTGAATTTTTGGTATCAGAGCTATACTAACCTTATAATGGAAAATACATATTTCTCAAACTTTTACACTGATATATTCATAGTATTTTTTTATAATTTGAAAAATCTTGTCAGTATCTGTATTAAGGCCTCCATTTCAGTTCTGCTATTTCATATTGCCTTAGGTTGTCTATTTGTCTCTTTAATGAACCCGATTTTGATTTTGTCATTTTTAAAATAAACACATTTATGCTATAAACTTCCTTAATTACTACTTAGGCAACCTTCCCAGTATTGGTATGTTTCTTTTTTCCCAAGAATTCTTTAGGAGTATATTTAACTTCTGGGAGGAGTACTGATTTTTCATTCACTTATATATGATCAATTTCTGCAGATGTTTCCTGTGTCTTTGGTATGTTGTTAACTGTACAACTAAAATTTGCTTTCAGCCTTATCTATGCTCTTTGATTCAAGGAGGCTGAGTTTCCTGCTAGGATCCCATCTTGTAGTTCAGTGTGTAAATAACCAAAACATTTCCTCCCTTGAGAACCCCCCAGGCCCTGCCCCAAGTCATTTCATGAACTGAGGAAAACTTCAAATACAATGAACATTTTATTTTAAAAAACCTAACTAACTCACCACTTGGTAAAAGGTCACCAAATGTTTATGAGAGAGGAAATAAGAATAAAAAAGACATTTAGTTCTCAGGAACAAGTGTTAGAGAACTGATACACAACCCTCCAGAAATGAGGCAGAGATAATAGATGAAATGTTTCAACCTGTGTTAAAAAAAAAAAAAAAAAAATGCCATCAGAGGAAAAGACAGGGGCAGCACAAGGAACAGCACTGCCAATTTTAAGAGGGCGATCACCCTAACCAAAAATCACCACTTTGTTCTTGGAAGGAGAATGAACATTAAACAGAACTTAAAATCAGAGACTATTTATATTAAATAACTCTTCCCTTAAAAATGGCCTGACCACAGCAATGAATCTGTAAACACAGAGTAATATTTTTCCTACAGTAAAGAGTCACTTTAATCTCAAAAGATACTTTTCACTGTTCTAAATGACAGGATTTTAAGCATTTTTTCCTATATATAATACAGCATCACTTAAAATTTTATTTAAAGACAGTTGATTCAGGCCTGCCTTGGACTGGAAAGAAGTCTTTAACTTAGTGGGATTAGTGCTTCAGCTTGGTCCCAAATATTTTCCCCATTATTGTTTCTCAAAACTCATGTCATAGATGGTTTTACAGATGATGGTTTTACAGATGATGTCAATGCTGTTTAAAATCACTGAAGACTGAGTTGGGCCTGGTAATATTGGAGAGAACTGAAGGCAAGGATGGTTTAATCCCCAACTGCTAAGTATTGGATAAGAGATGATGGCCAGGAGTTTAGGTCTTCTCACTCACCAAAGACACGTGACCCATAAGACAGGGCCCTGCTTCCTTGATTCATCTTCCACCAAAGTCTAAACAGGAGGTTTTCACTATTTAAAAATCTTAGTAAAGCAATTGATGACAACTTCAAAAAAGAAAGAAACACAGAACATCCCTAAATACAACGTCTTGTTTACATCCAATAGACTTAGGTCTCCAAAGAAGCCTCCTTTTTGTTGTATTATTTCCTTTGGCTCTGAAAAGGGACAGAGCCTCCTCTTAGCTGAAGCTCTCCATTCACAGTACCTCAGTCTTTGCTTTTTCTTCTAAACAGACTCACCCTTTCGCATAGTTTTTGCTTTAACAAAGCAGGATTGTCACCAAGGTCCACATTGACATGAGAGTCTTTAGATGAAGCTTGTTTTCTAACTTGCTCCTTTCTTCTCCCATTCCTAGGGTACCATTCAAATACCAGCACCCACCCCCCACCAAAAAGATAGTTAGTTATCCACTGTAGCAACCTTGATATACATAGAAAAAATGTGAGAAAAACTATTTTAGGCACAGAGGTGATAAATGTTTCAAACCCTGTGTGTTCATCACTGCTTAGAGTGCCTATTCAGAGATTTTGAGACTGTGGCACAACAGCGAGTGCCTATAAGTGATGTCTCTCACAGCAACAAGGGAGTGGAGGTTCAGATGCTTGCATGGATTTATTGGTTAGCCATTGTTGTGGGACCTCCAAATATCTCCAGCAGGTAAGGAGGATAGGAATAAGGAGCAGAATTTGCCAAAAGCAAAGGCAGCCCTAGGCATGTTCTTTAGTGTACAAATGAGTAAATGAGTAAATGATTAATGATACTTTTTTGACTAGCCATCAGGGAGAAACCGCATCATAGCATGGATTCCTCATTCACAACTTGCTGAGAATTTTGCCAGTAGTTGGGTGGGCAACTTTGGGCAATTCAAACCACCTATGTGAGTCTGTTTCTTTAGTTTTAATGGTAGAAGTCCTGTGGAGTCACTGACTGACTTTTTGGTTTGAAAACTCAGTCATAATCTGTCCCTGAGCTGCAGCTGGCCTCCTGGAATCTACCCATAGCTGTGTGGAGGGCAAGAACTGAAGCATCCCCAAGCTCACAGGGAAGGATGCTCGAACCAAGTGCAGACACCTTTCTGGTTGGTCAGTGCCAGAGACTGAGCTGAAGGCATGGCAAAGCCATGGCCACTCCTTGGTGAGTGCCGAGCCCTTGCTCAGAGCTGGTGCCAAAAGCCACAAAGCACCACCTGGGTCAGAAGATGGGCCCCTACCTTAGTGACATTTCTGCTGGCCCCAAGGGAGGCTGGGAGTGACTGCTTACCTTGGCTTTCTGGAGTACAGTGCCTTTGCCTGTGACCACGACCGAGAGAGGCCTGTTCTTGAGTGTGGTTGCAGAGTTGACTGGGGTACAGTCTGGGGCAGAGGCAGGTGTGACAGCTTTGGGCTGTGGTTATAGGAGGAGAGCAAGGGCTGAGTCAAGGGGAGGGAGATGTGACCCACCCACCCCAACCCATGTCCAGGGAGCCCTGCAAGCAGCCCAGAGGCCGCAGTTCCAGCACTCACGCGGGGGCTCACATTCTCCAGGTGGGTGGTGTCCACGGTGGTGCCTAACGTCACAGGCCCTGCCTCAGCCTTCTTCAGGTTGTCCTTCACCTCCATGATGCTGAGCTCCAGGTCCACGCGCCTGCTCTCCTCGCCCCGGCACTCCTCGTCAATTTCCTTCAGCTTCTGCTCCAGGCTCGCCAGGACTTCCTTGTCTGGAGAGAGAATTATGCAGGTGTCAGAGAACAGCATCTCAGCCCAGGCCAGGGAGCCCTGCTGGGTGGAGGCAGGGTCTACATACCCCGCCACCCGAGAAGGACCACAGGTCTGGCCCCAACACTCAGAGCCAGGAGGGGCCTGTATGCCGGGGCAGCCTGGAGGCCTCCTTTAGCTAGCATTCTGCAAAGGCTGGGAGGCTCTTGGGGAGGAGAGCTCTGGCTTCACTAAGGGGCATGAGTCTGAGGCCTTAAGTCCCTTCTTGTAGGTTCTCAGAGACTCTTGGTTGCTTTGACAGTGACCCAAAAGGGTGAGGGGCTTTATTCATGGCCCATGGAGGAGGGCTGGGCAGCTTGACCTGCCCTACCAAGTTCCCTCAATCCTCTGGCTTCCCTACGCCTAACAGAGCAGGAGTCCTCAGCCCTGGCTCCTCCTGTTAACCCTGGACCTCTTGGGTTGATGCTGCCACACCGTGAAATGATGCCTAGGGCCTGTATCCTAGAAGCTCACTGCTGGAGGAAAGGATGGTATCACATATGTACCACATAGAGTCCTGAGCACAGGGCCACTGTTTAAGAAAAATTCACAGATGCTATTGAAGGACCATCTCTAAAGAGGGAAGGAAAAGAAAACGTATACTAATAATGTTTTGAAGATTGGAGTTTAAAAAAATACAGTTCAAGCTGGGTGCGGTGGTTCACGCCTGTAATCCCAGTACTTTGGGAGGCTGAGGCAGGCAGATCACTTAAGGCCAGGAGTTCGAGACCATCCTGGCCAACATGGTGAAATCCCATCTCTACTAAAAATACAAAAATTAGCTGGACATGGTGGCGGATGCCTGTAATCCCAGCTACTCAGGAGGCTGAGACAGGAGAATCGCTTGAACCCAGGAGGCAGAGGTTGCAGTGACCCAAGATCACGCCACTGCACTCCAGCCTGGGCAACAGAGCAAGACTGTCTCAAAAAAAGAAAGCCAGTGGGTGACTTTGCACCCTCAAGACCTTCCCTCACCAGTCAGCTGAGTTTGTCCTCAAACCTGCACCGCTGCTCTTGCTTATTCATACACCTCTACAATTTAAATAAGCACAAAGTTACTCCATGAAAACTAAGTCAAATACTTTGGAAAGGTTCTAGAAGAGGCAGGTTGCAGCTGGGCATGGTGGCTCACGCTCACACCTGTAATCCCAGCACTTTGGGAGGCCAAGGCAGGTGTCCCTTGGGCTCAGGAGCTCTAGACCAGCCTGGGCAACATTGCAAGACCCCATCTCAATATTTTTTTAATTTTGAAATTTTAAATGCAGCAGATTGCCAGGAAATAGCTGTCAAATGATACGAGTGTGATTTGGAAGATAATCTAGAAAGACTTCTTGGCAAGTATCTTAAGTTTTTGTTGACTTTCAAGAAATGAAGGCTGGAAATGAAGGCTGATGCATTAACAGGTGTAGTTAATGCATGAAGGATGACATGAGACTCCAGTCAGCCAACCAGAGCTCAAAAAATCTGCAGTGCCAGGTCCTCAAAAGATGGGCCAAGGAATATGCATTTAAGTGACAATAAAACACGGCCTATGCATAACCCTGTAAAACTTCCTTTAACTAGCTTTTACGATGACCTGCTGGTCCTATTGATGTTCCGTCAGAGGCTTTCTCTCTCTGTCCAGGAGAATGACCTTTCAGACAGGATTGGAAGAAAGGACACACAAGGGAGCACCCACCCAGGCCAAGGGTTGAAGGGGCCAGGGCCCACTGATTGAGAAGGTGTGGTGACAGCCAGATCTTCCGCCAAAAAGTTAAGCCTACACGGCCCTCTGAGCTGAGGGTCCCTCCCCACTGGGGGCCCCCTTACCTGTGCATTTCAGTAGGGTTTCCTTTAGCTCCCGTTTCTCTTTCCGGAGCTGAGCCAGGTGCCCCCGGATTTCTTCCTTCTTCTTTTCAAGCCTCTCCTTCTCCTCTGTGTACCGCTTCACCTCAGCTTCTGTCCGATTCTTGCCAAGCTTGATCTCTACAGACCCAGAGAGGGAAGCCCCAGGTAAGCAGAGCTGGATCATGAGGGCTGTCCCCAGTCTACTCCCCAGGCTCGGATAGAACCTGGGGCTTTGGCACAAAGCCCTGCTAGGCTGGATGCCAGACCTGGACAGGTCCCTCTACCTCTCTGAACTTGTTTCCTAATCTGAAAACGATGGTGTGATGGTTAATATTGAATGTCAACTTGATTGGATTGAAGGATGCAAAGTATTGTTGCTGGGTGTGTCTGTGAGCGTGTTGCCAAAGGAGATTAACATTTGAATCAGTGGACTGGGAGAGGCAGACCCGCTCTCAGTCTGGGTGGGCACCACCTAATCAGCTGCCAGCATGGCTAGAATAAAGCAGGCAGAAGAACATGGAAGGACTTGACTTGCTGAGTCTTCCCCAGCCTTCATCTTTCTCCTGTGCTGGATGCTTCCTGCTCTTGAACATCAGACTCCAAGTTCTTCAGCTTTTGGACTCTTAGACTTACACCAGTGATTTGCCAGGGGCTCTCGGGCCTTTGGCCACAGACTGAAGGCTGCACTGTCGGCTTCCCTACTTTTGAGGCTTTGGGACTTGGACTGATCCACCACTGGCTTCCTTGCTCCTCAACTTGCAGAAGGCCTATCGTGGGACTTGACCTTGTGATCGTGTGAGTCAATTCTCCTTAATAAACGCCCTTTCATATATACATCTATCCTATTAGTTCTGTCCCTCTAGAGAACCCTGACTAATACAGATGGAATCGGGCTAACTTCCCCAAGCACAAGTACCTGCACTGGTCACGCGCAACCTGTCCTTCACAGGTGGGCTGGCACCAGGTGGGGTGGCCACCACGGCATCCGGGCAGCTCGGTGGGAAGGAGATTCTCTGCTGTTCCGTCTGGATTTTGACGGTGGTGATTCTCAGGGAAGGATCCTCTGGCTCCAAACTCTCCAGCTGCTTTGGGGGAAAGCAGACCTGACTCAGCTGGCTGAAGGGGCGCAGGAAGGTGGTCTTGCTGTCCTGCAGGGGAGGCCTGTACCTGTTCTCCCAGGTTCTCTGGACACTTTATGCAGGGCTCATCTGGGGTGGGACCTGGGCCTGAGTCTGCCGGGAGGGCCTCAGTTGCATTGTCCAGGCAGGACAACGTCGGGGAGGAGGCCTGGGCCTGTGCACTGCTGGGGCCATGCAGAAAGGACTTGACAGGTGTGAGGTCCAGGTACACTCGGTCAGATTCTCTCTCATTTGGGTCATCTGCAACAGGGGTGGCTTCCTCGGTAGGCTCCACCTGCAGGAGAGAGTGAGTCTGGGGCATTCAACATTACCTCTACTCCCTCAGCTGTGGAGGGGGTACCAGCCCTGCCTCACAGTTCTGGTGCCCATCTCACAGTGTTCCAAGAGATCTCCCTCCCTGCTGGGGGGGCCACTGGCTGAGTCCTAGATATGTCACTCGAGGTGGAAGACCCAGACAGAGCACTTAACTTCCCTGAACCTTATTTCCTCATCTGTAAAGAGGAAAAGAGCAGCATCTTCCCATAAGGTGGTTAGGATTCAAGGAGATCATCTGCAGGAGGTCCTCAGCTCAGCACAGGGTTCAGTGCCCAAAACGTGGAAGTTGCCATCGGTGTGATCATCCCACTCAACAACCGATTTGGACCTGGAAGCCTACTGGTACCTCCACTCCCAATCCCACCACCACACCCCTAGCCCTGACGAGAGGGGTTCACCGGTGTTTCATCTAGATAAGTCCCCAAGCCAAGCAAACTGCACAGCCTCACATATAGGAGACAGCCTTGTTGCACTTAGGTGTCTGCACTACTGGCCTGGTAGGTGACTCAGAACCCACTCATCTCATCTCAGGGATACTCTAATGATCTCTGGCATCCAGGTGTTGAGGTTGGTAGGAGGAGGGCCTGGAGAGGCCCAGGCCACTGCCTGGCCGGGTCCTTACCGCAGCTGTGAGCTCTGACAGGTCCACGTCGTCATACAGCTCCTCCTGGCGGTCCTGGCTAGGCAGGCCATCGATGTAAGTGTTGGGCTCTGAGAACTTTCTCTGCATCAGTCTGGAAACAGGGCGAGGTGGCACACATGAAGCAGCCGGGGCAGGGTGGTGAAAGCACCAGACTCCAAGGATTCCCAGTGAGGAGTGGTTGCCGTGAAAGTGGTGGCCACACAAGAGATCTGGGGGCTGACACTCACCTCCATGGATCTGAGGGCACCTCCTCCCTCTTTTCCCAGTGCCTTCTTCCTGAAATTCTTGGTTCGAGATTTTCCTCCCAGAAAGACAAGCTTCCCTTGCCCATACGCCTCGTCCTAGGATCCCTTTGCCATCTTCTCCCCCATTCCTCCCTTCTAGGATCTCCTTCCAGCAACCACAACAAAAAACCCCTTCTCATTTCATCTTCACAATACACTTGGGGTGGCGCAGGCCAGACACTATCCCCGTTTGGTCCATGAGAAAACTGATTCTGTTTCAGTGGCTCAGCCGGCTTCCACGAGACTGGCTCTACCACCCTGACCAGAGAACGCCCTCTCCCTCAGCCCTAGTTTGCTCATCTGGAAACAGAAGCACCACCCCCTGACCTGCTTTTCTCCAGGGTGTGCTGGAGACCCAGTGAGGGATTCACCAGAAGGACAAGTAGGAGGTCAGGAAAGGTGACAGCTCTGCCTGGAGGAGCTGGAGAGTCTAACTGCCTCTGAGGATGCCAAAGCTGCCCCCGGGGCCCGAAGCCTGGCTCGGCTCCTTGCTCTTAGCTCAGCTCCTGGCTCTTGGCCGGGCCTCCCTGAGGGCTACTCCTTGGCTTCACATTTTCCTGCTGCTGGGCAGAGTGGGGTGGGACCCTGTGCTCCCTGCTGCCCCTGACTCTGGCTGACCCAGGGCCTACAGCATGGCCAGGAATAAGAGAGTGTACGGAGGAAGGGTCCAAATTACTCACAAGAGAGAGTTTTTGGCCGCACTCACAATACAGGAGACCCTATCGGCATCCACATAGTCGTAGGTGAACTCTTCTGGGTCTGTCTTGGAGCCTGACTCAGAGAGCAGGAGACCCAGCCAGTGGCCCATTTCCTCGGAAGACTTGGCCTGGAACGAGGCCAAGAGAGACATAAGCAGGGCCAGGCAGTGCTGCCTGGTGCCAGCCCCTCCCCACCAGGCCATGACCGTACCCCTACCCCTGAGCCTGCCCACGAAAGCCTCTGTAACAGCCCGGGGCTGTGCTTCTCCTGTTCACCAGCCTATCCCACCCCCCAGTGGCCCCAGATAATATTTCCTGTCGTCAGTGACATCTTGATGCCACCTCAATAATGCTGTGGACTTTTGTCCCAAGGGCCATATGAGATGTATATACATTGTGTTTCTAGGAGGTGAAAACTTATCACCAGGTGGTCACTATTAAAAACTGTTAGTGACCACCTGTTAATTAATAGTTTTTAAAATGATTAAAAAATTGTATGTCTTTTAAGTTGACACTTGTATTTTATGAACAATGCATGTCATTCCCCCAATCCCATATACAACAAGACTTCCTGGATCCCCAAGAAATAACAACATTCAAATTTATTTTGTTCATGGCTTCAGTAAAGTCGGGACATCTTTTAAATACCTTACACTAGCTCAGCTGCTAAATCATCATCAAAATCCCAGTGAATTTGGTATTTTTTTTTCCAGGGGACAATGCATTCTAATCAAATGCATCCATTGGGTACCTCAATTAAAATGTCCACACTGTTTCTTACCTTTATAATGAGAAAAAACTGCCCATTTAATCAAAGCTATAGGTTTATTTTGATGAGGAAAATCAGCCCCCTTTGGTATAACCCATAGCTCCATCACGTTTGCTGCTACATTCTCTTCATCAAAGAGGCCGTGATGAGCAGAATTTGACATTTAGTTGGTTTCCTTTTCCCAGTTTTTTTTTATTTTAAAGACAGAATCTTGTTCTGTCGCCCAGGCTGGAGTGCAGCGGTGGGATCTTGGCTCACTGTAGCCTCTGCCTCCCGGCTTCAAGCAATTCTCCTGTGTCAGCCTCCCAAGTAGCTGGGACTACAGGCGCCCACCACCACACCCAGCTAATTTTTGTATTTTAGTAGAGACAGGGTTTCACCATGTTGGCCAGGCTGGTTTCAAACTCCTGACCTCGGGTGATCCACCTGCCTCAGCCTCCCAAAGTGCTGGGGTTACAGGCGTGGGCCATCATGCCCGGCCCCCACTTAGTTTCAACTGGATTCTAAATACAGCTTTTCATGGGCCTCCCCTAGTCCAGGCTGCGTCTCTGCCCTGGACAGCTGCGACAGCTTCCTAGCAGGTCCCTTCTTGCCCCCTCCGATCCACTCCCACCCCAGTAGCTGGAGGAAGCATCTCAAAACCCCGATCTGAGCTTGCCGCCCTCCCCTGAAAGCCATCAGGGCTCCGTTGCTCCTAGGATCAAGCCCTGTCCCTCCCGCTCCAGCCTGTCACCCAGACCCCAGTACAAGTCTATAGCACCCTCCCCACTTCTTTCCAGCCATTGTAGCCCAGCGATTGGCTGGGTAATTTGCTGAATAACATCACACTCCCAAACTAGGATGTAAGTGCCACAAGGACGGAGTCCATATTGCTCTTGTCCACCATATTCCTGTGCTGAGAAGATGTCTGTTGATGGGGAACCTCTGAATGGATGAATATAAGCTACAAGCTGGACCCTGGGAAGCAATTGCGATGTGGGTCTTTCAGCCACCAGAGGGCAGGATTGGAGCAAAGTTTGGATGAGGACCTCCACATCAAAGACTAAGTGAACGGACATTCACGGGCAAGTGTGTGCTTCCATGCGTGGAAGGGACTCGGTCTCCGCCTGCCGCAGCTTGCAAAGCGTTATGTCACTTCTTATTTTTGTAAACGTAACATCACATCAAAGGGAGGATGGGGAGCGAGAGGAATGTAATTGTATCACAAAGCGAATTTTTTCCCCCAGATAAGCTCTAACAGTGTGGTTTTTACGTACTGGGCCTAGAGGCTCTCCCAGCTGGTGATACCCAAACAAAACAACACCCACTTTGAATCCCCAGCAGCTTTTCCAGTAGCTCAGAGAACTAAAAATACTCCTTCTGCCCTAAGTGCAGGAAGTAGCGCATGGTTCCACTCTTATAACGCAACTACTCTGAGGTCAGAAAAGGAATGGAAATTTTTAAAAATGCAAACAATCTCAGGCAAACGAAGTAAAAATAACACGCGGGGACATTGATTCTCCCTTAGTAGCATTACAGTCCTGGAGACTGGCAGCAAACAGCCACCACCGCCACACCCTGGCTGGCCCTGCTCCCCCTGCAGGCCGGCGGTACCTCAAGCTTGGCCAGCTCCTCGCCCTTGTGGAGGATGCGGAAGGAGTAGAGGTGGTCGGGGCTGGGGTCTGGGACCACCTCGCAGCCCACCAGGCTGAGGGGTTGCTGGGCCACCTTGCTCCGGTTCCGGTCCTGGTAGAAGTGCAGGTGATTGTCCCTGACAGAGCACCAGCGAGACTTCCACTGGCTGTTCACCAGCACGTTCAGGTAACCTGCAGGAGGAAGTGCAGATGCAGGAGGGGACAGGGCTGCAGGAGGGGACGCAGATGCAGGAGGGGGCGGGGCTTCGGGAGGGCACACAGATGCAGGAGGGGGCGGGGCTGCGGGAGGGGAAGCGGATGCGGATGCAAGAGGGGACTGGGCTCCAGGAGGGGACGCAGATGCAGGAGGGGACCGGGCTGCAGGAGGGGACGCAGATGCAGGAGGGGACTGGGCTGCAGGAGGGGACTGGGCTGCAGGAGGGGACGCAGATGAAGGAGGGGGCGGGGCTGCGGGAGGGCATGCAGATAAAGGAGGGGGCGGGGCTGCGGGAGGAGACGTGGATGTGGGAGGGCACGCGGATGCAGGAGGGGATGCGGACGCAGGAGGGGACGGAGCTGCAGGAGGGGTCGCGGATGCAGGAGGGGACTGGGCTGCAGGAGGGAGCGGGGCTGCAGGAGAGAGCGGGGCTGCAGGAGGGGACGGCGCTGCAGAAGGAGATGCAGATGCAGGAGGGGACGCAGATGCAGGAGGGGACGCAGGTGCAGGAGGGGACGCAGATGCAGGAGGGGACGGGGCTGCAGGAGGAGATGCAGGAGGGGGTGCAGGTACAGGAGGGGTTGGGGCTGCAGGAGGGGACACAGATGCAGGAGGGGGCGCAGATGCAGGAGGCGACGGGGCTGCAGAAGGAGATGCAGATGCAGGAGGGGATGCAGATGCAGGAGGAGATGCAGATGCAGGAGGGGATGCAGGTGCAGGAGGGGACGGGGCTGCAGGAGGGAGCGGGGCTGGAGGGGACGGGGCTACAGGAGGAGATGCAGATGCAGGAGGGGGTGCACGTACAGGACTGGTCGGGGCTGCAGGAGGGGACGCAGATGCAGGAGGCGTCGGGGCTGCAGGAGGGGAGGCAGATCCAGGAGGGGACGCGGGTGCAGGAGGGGACGCGGGTGCAGGAGGGGGCGCAGGGGCAGGAGGGGACGCGGGTGCAGGAGGGGACACAGGTGCAGGAGGGGACGGGGCTGCAGGAGGAGATGCAGATGCAGGGGGGGTGCAGGTACAGGAGGGGTCGGGGCTGCAGGAGGGGACGCAGATGCAGGAGGGGACGCAGATGCAGGAGGGGACACAGATGCAGAAGGGGGCGCAGATGCANGAAGCGACGGGGCTGCAGAAGGAGATGCAGATGCAGGAAGGGATGCAGATGCCTGGAGGGATGCAGGTGCAGGAGGGGACGGGGCTGCAGGACGGGATGGGGCTGCAGGAGGGAGCGGGGCTGCAGGAGGGGATGGGGCTACAGGAGGAGATGCAGATGCAGGAGGGGGTGCACGTACAGGACTGGTCGGGGCTGCAGGAGGGGACGCAGATGCAGGAGGCGTCGGGGCTGCAGGAGGGGACGCAGATCCAGGAGGGGACGCGGGGGCAGGAGGGGACGCGGGGGCAGGAGGGGATGCGGGGGCAGGAGGGCATGGGTGTCTAGGTGTGTCCTATGCTGGCACTGCCTCTAGGCTTCCTTAGAGTCCCCCAGATTCTCAGCTTCAGAACCCATCAGACACCTTCCCTGTCCTAAGGGATTGGAAGCTGCCCTGAGCTTTGGCTGGCTGAACCAGGCAATAGCGTGAAAATGCACAGCTACCTTCCTGCCTGGCCCAGTGGGGATCATGCATATCGCCAAGCCACATTAACACAAAGTGGAAGAATTAGAGACCAGGACTGAGATGACACACACACCCGTCACAATCCTCTGGACCACAGAGAACTTTGGATCATGAGAGGTGGGATCTCAGATCATTAAGCACCCCCAGTCCTGGGAAGGAGAGCAGCTGTATTCTCTCTCAGCCCTCCCCTAGCCGCAGGAAGCATACTTCACTGCTGAGTAGACATCCAGCAATCACCCAGCCACATCTCTTAAACAGTGACTCACAGGGACTGAGCTCCCAGGCCAAACATCATGCCCCCTGAGGCCACTGCCTGGCACCCTGGCTGGAGAAGCCGGAGAATGCAAAGACACACCTCCTAGCCCACCCCCACCACCCTGCCAGCCTCAAAACACAAGAAAACTCAACTGGGACTCAGGAAGGGAACCCAGAGATGGGACAATAATGGCCTTCAGGCCCCTGGAAGGATGACCCCCAATGTGGGACCCGCTTGGGGATCAAGATACCAGGCCCACCCCAAGATATTTCCCAAGAAAGGCTTGTCGCTCCTCCTAACCTCAGTTTCCCTGAGTATGAGCTAAGGCTGTAGAGATGACCTCTAAGAGCCTACCTGCACCCATACCCTCTGCACCAGTACAGGGTTCTCATTGTCCCCTTCATAGTCTCGGTTGTTCCCATTTCAGAGTCATTGCTCCTGTCCACAAGCACCATTCCAGCCCATTCCACTCCTACATGCCCCTCAAGGCTCAGGTCCACAAAGCTATCTCTGACCACAGGGCAAGAAAAGTTCTCTCTGTCCCTGAGTCCTGATAGCTACGAAGATGGCACAGTGCGTGCTTATGGGTATAAAATCATCACCTCCCTCAGGCAGGCTGTGAGCTCTCAGTACTGTGCCTGCCATCCTTCTGCTTGGTCCCCTTTTAGCAAGGTCCCTGCTATATACCCTGTAAATATAGATCAAATGAACATCATTTTTAAAAGAATACTAGGAGGACACCAATCAGTTACCCTTCACTTCCACAAAGGCCCCAACATTGCAGCAAGAGAGAGTTGGATCAGGCATAAAGAACTGCCTGCAGTAACAACAGACGGGAACCTGAGGGCTGCAGGCTCTCCATTCCTAGAGATGTTTACGGAAGACCTAAAACCCCCTGCCTTCGCTGTCTGAGCTCGCCTTCCTGCAGGTTCCAGCCCAGGAAATGAGCCTGTGGTCCCGGAGGTAGCTACAATTCTTACTGGATGTCTCGAGGGACCTCTCCACAGGCTCCAGTGAGGTGGATTTCTTCCTGCCCAGATTCATTAGGTTGCTCAGTTTGAGGCCAGCAGAACATTTCTTCTTGACTGTCAAGATGAGACAGAAAGCAATTCGTATTGCACGTGGTCCACCCACGTGCCCATGAGAGATGGAAAAAATAGCAAACCCATTTCCACTCCATCCACCCATCCCTCCCCGCTACATATGCGCGCACATATGCACGCATACACACACACACATCTCCTCAAACCAGGACCTGCAGGCCACAGTCAGGTGTCTTTAAAGTCACACACTCAAGAGGGGTACACAGACTTCTTATAGAATATGCAACCACTTGAGAATCTTTACACACTGTACTGGCTCAAAGAGATTTGAAATAGGGTTAGCAAACAAGAAGAGATGGAAGAACATTCTATCCCCAGCATTTCATGAAGCTTAACTTCAATTTGGCCGAGTCTCCCTTTTTCCTGGATCTAACAGCAGTATTTCCGAGTGGTTTATTAATAGGGGGCCATGTTAGAATCCGCTGCTAAAACCCATCAGGGTTGAGCCTGACAGCCCAGCCTCACAGCCTGGGACACCATTCCCCTCCCAACCACATGATGTTACCGTCTTTGGTTTCTGGGACCTCAGGGTGGCCATCCACGGAGCTCCCATACTCTGAAGCCGACAGGTACTTCTCAGCTATATCTGGCTATGGACAAAAGCGACATGAATGGGGATCACTGGCTGGGAACAGTTACCTTGGAGACCACAATTGAAGGGAAAATAATAGATGGCTCTTGGTTGTATGCCAGAGGTCAGCTGAGCAAATCCCTGCCGGCCACCTAAACGGCAGAATCCAGGTCACTGGTAGGACATTGGCCCAGCTTCCAAATGGCTGCTCAACCTGATGTGACAGTGACCCTGTAGCCAGTGGGCAGGGCAAGCAGGCTGCTCAGGGGTGGCATTAGAGTCTGCATCCCCTATGATGTTAACTGTCAAGCTAGAAACCACTCATACTGAGAGTGTGAAGAAGTCTTTTGAGAGCTGACTGTTCTAGCAATGTGAGCTGGTTCGTCTGCACAGGAGCAGACCATGTGATTTGAGTCCTGGCCGGAGCATTCTGCTGCCAGGCTGGTGCCCAAGTTAAATGAGCCTCTCTGAGCCTCACTCTGCATGTGTCACATAGGGATGACATCCCAGTCTGCTCACAGGGGTGTTGGGGACTCAAGATGATCCCTAGAAAAGTGTAGCTGCTGCTACTGTTAGAACATGAAACCCTCAGAATATTCCAATCAAGCTGCGTTTAGAGAGTCACCGACTCCATACCTCTGGAAAACAAGCTGACAGTCTCCCAAGCAACAGGACCGGCCTTAGGCAGGGTCCAGGGCCAGCAGTCCCTGGCCAAGGAAGCACTGCATGCCGAGTCTTTGAAGAAAACCCAACTTCTTTCCAACTTTTGTTTTCTTGTCAGTGGCCAAGGAATAAATGAGATAATGAAAAATGGCCCCTCCTGAGTCACTCTGGAATCTGGAAGGACTGTGGGCTATTTCTCCATGTGGGATGACCTGTGCCTTCTGGAGAGTAAGTGGCCTCCTTTCTGCTCGAGCCCTCTGTGTGCCTCTTGTTTTCCTCCCTGCTGGGGTGGGGACCCCAAGAGGAGCCACAGTGATGTTCTGGCTGTTCTATGTGTGCCCACGCTTCAGGACACCTACCTGCAGGTACTCAGGGACAGGAAATGTGACCCCACAGGTGATGATCCTCCTTTTGGCCAGAACCTAATTCAACTTTTTCAGCCTTGACCTTTAAGCCTAAAGCTCCCCGAAAGCACCATGCAAATGAGGACTACAGCCCTTTGGTTGCAATCAGCCTTGAGATAGTGCCCCAAGCCCAGAGGCGCTACTGAGGAATAAGGGGAAAGGAAGTGCCTCATAAAATCAATCTCCCTACTTAAGAATGCAGGCCAAAGTGACTGTTGTTCCAATAAAGCTTCCCCCTGTCTCCCCATTCGCCCACCCCCGGCACCTACAAGCAAGAAAATATTTTAGGTCTGTATCCGTTTCCTCCATTTTCCTGCCAAGCTAGAGTTACTCCTCTTTTCCAAGCAGTGTATGTTTCTTCTTCTCTTTTTTCTTTTTTTGAGATGGAGTCTCCCTCTGTCACCCAGGCTGGAGTGCACTGGCGCTATCTCAGCTCACTGCAACCTCCGCCTCCTGGGTTCAAGTGATTCTCCTGCCTCAGGCTCCCGAGTAGCTGGGATTACAGGCGCCCACCACCACGCCTGGCTATTTTTGTATTTTTAGTAAAGGCACGGTTTCACCATGTTGGCCAGGCTGGTCTCAAATCCCTGACTTCAGGTGATCCACCTGCCTCAGCCTCCCAAAGTGCTTGGCTTACAGGCGTGAGCCCACCCTGCCCGGCCTCAAGCATTGTATGTTTCTTATTAATTGGACTGAAATATAAAAACGAAGCTCCCAATTTTGCACTTTTAATTTTTACAGAGAAAACATGGAAGGGGACTCTCCCTCCAGGCAGGGCAGAGGCTTACTTTCTGGCAGTTAAAGCGCTGGGCATCCGGGGTGTACTGGTTTCCTTCAGATGCTCCTTCGGAAGGCAGGCCGCTCACTTCCTGGATGACCTGAGGCAAGAGGGAAGCCGTCAGCAGAGGCTGAGGTCCTCTGGCCAGCACTCACAGCCAGGCTGAAGCCAGGGCCCCTGCAGGTCAGGGGAGAGTGGGTGGAGGTGAGAGAGAAGATGAATTTCCAAGGAAGAGGACCCACCCGACCCCAGCCCCAAGGCCTGCATGTGGCCTCAGACCCAGCTGGGCAGGCTGCAGTGGGGAGGGCTCGTTGTTTAGCTCCTTTCCGCAGGTCCCACACGTTCATGGGCATGCGAGGGGGGGCCTTGGCAGCAAAGGCCAAAGATGACCAGAGCCACCAGCCCAGGGCTCCGCGAGCCCCTTTCCTGCCACCATTCCAGGCAGGGCTACTGTTCTGTTGCAGGCGTGATCAACAACTGCCTTGCTAGACAGTCCTCTGGCTTTTCAGAGGTCATGCAACTCTCTGTGGAGTCTCCACGCTGCCTGAGGAGCAGGCCTGCAAACTCCCTTGTTCCAACCACCCTCTGGCTCTCCCGACTCGCCTGCCGCCACCCACCCGCCCGCCCGCCTCTGGGAAGGGGCCTCTTCACTGGCTTCATTGACCAGTGGAGGAAGAGGGTCTCTCTGTAAAGGCTGGACACAGAAAGGCTGTGCCTTCTGAAAGCGTTCTTGTCTTTGAAACCCCAAGCAGAGGCTATGGGGCAGGGGGTCTCAGGAAGAGGGCGTGAGACTCTGGGAAGGGAGGCTGGGTCCGGAAAAGGATAGGTGGGTTTGGGCAGTCAGAGGAACAGAGCCTGGGCTGGGGGCAGATGCAGAAAGTCAGCAGTGGCTCTGACTATGAAAGCATTGCCTCAGTCTGAGCCAGGGGCACTCCCTTCTTGCCGGGGGAACTCCCAGGGCGACCAGAAACACACTACCCACCTGGAAGCCCTTTGGAAACGCAGAATTAGTTAGAGTGATTTCATAGATCCCCCTCTTTCAGTCTATGCCTAGAGCAGTTTGTGGAAATGGGTTTCAAATCAGAAGAGCCCAAGAACTCCAGTTCGGGACTGTGGTCCACACTGAATATGCAACCCAGTGTCATAGGAAGAGCACAGGCACTAGGGTTGGCACCTGTGTGACATTGAGCCTGAGCCTCAGCCACTGCATCTGTAAGCTGGGTCAATACCTTTGCCACGAGCCAGCTGTGAGCGCTTGTATGTCAAGCACCCAGCACAGGGCAGGCACATGGATTACCATCCCTATTAGCTTGGGCCAAATACACGGATGGCCCTGCCCAGGGAAAGTGCCACTAAGCCAGGAGTTCAGGAGTGGGGCGGGGGCAGGGTCATGCTTCCTGGGAAAAGCCCTGCCTTGTGCCTTCCTTTACTGGGACCGTCGTCCCATAGTCAGCATCTCCCGTTTACTGTCATATACCTGTCTCACCCTGGGCATGGGTGCGGATATGCAGAATTGGGACACAGAGGTCCAAGGAAGGTAGATGGGCTTCACAAAGCCAATGCAGGTAGGTGGAGAGCCCATCAGACAGGTGGACCAGCCCCCACTGCCAAAGCGCAAGAGTGGGCGGCTTCTGAGAGCAGGCATTTCCAGCCAAGTCCACCTCTGCACTTGTCTGAGCTGGGGGGAAGGGTCTCTCTGTGGAGGCTGGACACAGAAAGTCTGTGCCTGCTGAAAGCGTTCTTGTCTTTGAAACCACCAGCAGAGGCTATGGGGCCAGGGGCCTCAGGAAGAGGGCGTGAGAGTTTGGGGAGGGAGGCTAGGGGCCAGGGAGAAGATCGGTGGATTTGAGCAGTCAGAGGAACAGAGCGGGGAACTGGGGGCAAGAGCAGAGTGTGTGTGTGTGTGTGTGTGTGTGTGTGTGTGTGTGTGTGTGTGTGTACATATACATGCGCAATGCATGCATGAGCAAAAATGTGTATGCAAATGTGCATACATGTGCATTTGTCCGTGTGTGTACAAATGTATACATGAATGTGCATGTGTGCATATATGTGTGCAAATGAGTATGTGTGTGTAGTGGGTGAGGCAGGAGACTGGGGTAAGAAACCAACAGCCCAGAGCTCTGGGTCCTAATCAGCTCTGCAGCCCAGGACAAGCCCCCCATTCCCTCTGGGCCTCAGTGGTCTTATCTGTACTATCCAAGTTTCACGGAGCACTCAGTATATACCAAGCACAGTGCTAAGCACTTTGTGCACATTAAAGGATCCAGCCCCAAATCACTCAGCTAAACAGGGGTGAAGCCAGGATTTGAACTCAGAGCCCTGGCTCTTAAATGCCCAGGGCTGGCCTTTCAGAGCTTGTTAGCTCTCTCAGGAACCCCACCCTACATGGAGATCTGTGAAGCCAAACCACAAACCTGTCTATGCAGTGGCCTTTTTCTACATACCACTGTCTTTCACCACTTGAAGATTTTGCAATAAAGATGGGGATACCTGTCAGCACCTTCTAGAAGCTTGGTTAGGACAGGCCTGGCATTTCCAAAACAATTAGTGGATTTACAAAAACAGCCTGCCTGCTCCAAATCTAGGATACTCAGCCTAGGGGTGGACCAGTGCCTCAGGCGGGTACTGAGGTCCTGTTTTACCACAGCGGTCCAGATCTGTTTCTGACAGGCTCGCCAAGGTGGTTATGTTTAGCTGGGTGGCAGGTGGAGTGGGGTGGGGTGCGGGGTGGATAGAACGCTTCTGGGCTGAAGTGGTTGTGATGGGAGAGGGGGCAGCAGGAAGGAGGGGAGGGGCAGCAGGAAGGAGGGGAAGGGCTGCTCTGGCTCTCACTGGCCTCACCAGGGTCCCTGCTGGGTTTGGAGGTCCCTCTGGAACTGGGGATCCATTCCTGGTGCAAACTTTACATCCGCTGGAAGCATCAAGCCCAGCTTTCACCTGAGGCAAGCAAGCCCCTCCCCAAGTGCCTCATAATCACACCCAGGGACGCGTGGGCAGAGTGGGCCACGTGCATTCGTGGTGGGAGGAGGCACAGCACTGTGTAGACGGGCCTCGGTCTGAGAACCAATGCTGCCACCACTTGGCAGACGACTTTGATCCATCACCTCCATCCTTTGAGCCTTAATCACCACTCCTGTAAAATGGGGACATGAACATTCCCCAGCCATCCCCAGTGTGGTTACGTGGGTTAAAGATGCTAATAGTCCTGGGTCTATGGCAAATACGTGGCAAATGGCAGCGACATGTATTCTTCTTTAATAAGGAGGAGGGGGATGCCTCACTAAAGGCAAAAAGGGAAATGGATTTCAACTGCACCCAAGTCCGGGCTACTGGGGATTCAGAACTGGCAGCAGCACGCTGTAACCCATTTGCAGAAGACAGATCGTTACCACTTAGAACACAGGAAGCCCTGCAAACTTGAAGGATCACAAATCCTCTACCCCTGACCCTATCATCCATCCCTTTAGAAAAGCTGGGGGCCACAACTCTAGGAACCCCTCCAAGTGGCTCGGTGTCGCCCTCACCCTGAGCCACTGCTCAGCCTGGTCCTTGCTCTGCAGGCCCAGCACAATCACATCGGCATTCATCGGCGTGATCTTCAGCTTGTGCTCCTTCTTCCGCACTTGCTTCTCCTTGTGAATGACGCTGCTGCCCAGTAGGTTCACGTCCAGCTGAGGGCTGTGGTCCTTGGAGGATTTGTAGCACTGGAAGGAAAGAGAGAAGATACACCACTTTGCCAGGGGTGCCGGGCGGAGGTGATGTCTGCAAAGGAGGGGCCGCTGGACGTTGCAGGACTCACCAAGAGCCTGACTTAACCCAGCAAGACTAAGAGGCTGGACACCCCGAAGCAGGCCTGGAGCCTTAACCTCAAATATCAGCAACTCCTGTTCTTCACATCAGATTGTCCCTCTCTCCCTCAAGCCTCCTTCTCACTGGCCTCAGCCAAGGATGCTCCAGGATGCTGCCATCCAAATGGCTCAAACTTGCCCCAGGCCTGGAGGGCCTAAAATACGTCCTCTGTGTTCACCGTTCAGTTCTCCAAAGTGGACAGACTTTCACTGTTTCTCCACCTCTCTGTATTGCTTGCTTGGCTTCTGGAGTAAAGGATCCATAAGGCACAAAAACTAAGCCTCTTATCTGCCTAGTTAGGAAGATGATGTATTAACAAAGAAAGGAAGGACTCTTCCCCTACTAGAGAAAATACTTTATCCCTTGGCTTCCCATTTGTAAAATGGGGTTACAGGGTTGCTTAAAAGGATTACTTGAAATAACATTGGCACGGAGCAGGGCCTGTTGTAACCAGGCAAGAAAAGGTGTTTATAATAATTCCGTGGAATTTCAAATCAGGACACGCAACTGGGAATTTTAATTTAAAATAGCAGGAAACAGGACTGTTGTCAGAGTAATGTCTGGTTCCTTGCTGGGTCTGGTCTTGTAATCACTAATTCAAAATATTGTTGCTTCTGAGAAGATACCTAGCATTCTCATGCTGCACAGATAAAAACAGTAGCCAGGGCTGGGCGCAGTGGCTCACGCCTGTAAACCCAGCACTTTGGGAGGCTGAGGCAGGCAGATCACAAAGTCCGGAGTTCGAGACCAGCCTGACCAACATGGTGAAACCCCGTCTCTACTAAAAATACATAAATTAGCCAGGCGTGGTGGCGGGCGCCTGTAATCCCAGCTACTCAGGAGGCTGAGGCAGGAGAATCACTTGAACCCAGGAGGTGGAGCTTGCAGTGAGCCAAGATTGCGCCACTGCACTGCAGCCTGGGCGACAGAGCAAGACTCTGTCTCAAAAACAACAACAAACAAACAAAACAAAACAACAACAAAAAACAGTAGCCAGAATTGGGGCTGGGCTGGAGGAGCCTGACTGGACTCCAGCGGACAGGATGTGAAAAAGGACCAGGGGACAGAAAGATGTATCTGTCTCACAAAGAGGAGGATGGGATGGGGATGGGGGAGGCGGTGGTAGTCACAACCCCCTTTGAGAACTTGATGAAACTACTAGACCTTTCTGGTTCAGAAAAAGTACATTCATCCATACACACAAAATCCTGTATACAATTTCAGATTAGGGAGAAGTTAAAATCTCCTGACATAAACAAGCTCGAAACCTCTGAGGTCAGGGACCATCCTGTCCCTCCTTCCCTGTCCCTGCCCCTTCCCCAAGGAGAGGAGTCGGGGGACAAGACGACGTAAGGCAGACTGACCAGAAGCCTGTTGTCCTTGATGACACAGAGCTGCTTGGCCCACTGTCCCAGCCACTTCTTGCGCCACAGGAAGGCGCAGATGCGGGCGTCACGCATCAGCTCGATGCCGGCCTCCGGCGAGGGCCACTGGTAAGGGGCCGACTTGCCCTTGCTGCCGTCCTCTTCATCGTAGGACTCGTAGGAGCTGCTCACAGCCTCTCCGTCCTCTGCAAGGAAGACCAGCTCGGTCAGGGCCCCATGGGGCAGGGGACAGTCCTGAAGCAGCATCGCTGGGGAGGGCAGCAGGCAGGAGCAGCAGCAGCCAGACCACAGCCCCCGACTCTCCCTGCCCTCAAAGCAGCCCCACAGCCAGCAGCCAGATCCCAGGGCTGGCTTTCCTGCCCCCAAACCCCTCAGCAAGGCTTCTTGGATGCTGCCTGTGGCCACAAAACACAAATAACTGAAAACCAAAGTCTCTCCCTTTTCTTCCTCAAATCCTGTCACTCCCAACTCCACAGAAACCCTGAGAAGACACTGCCCCACAGACCAACTGTTTGCTCTTGACAAGGCCAGTTCTCCTACTCGGGGCCTCTAATTCCTCAAATGAAAGATGAAAGGCGTGGGGTGGGATGTTGCCAGGTTCTCCCAGGCCTGGCCTCTGGCATTCCAAGGGCTCAGGAGGAAGAGAACGCCATCCGTGCTCCACCTGAGCTGTATGTGAGGCAGGCCTCTGATGGCCGCTGGCCTGGCTGGGCCTGGCTCAGTCCTAGATCTGGGGAAGGGGCTGTGGCTCCTCAGAAATAAAAGTCCAAATAAACCACAGCAGGAAACACTTTCTGGGGAAAGGGGCCACCTTCTTACTCCCAAATACCCTCTCCCAGTCATAGCCCTTCTTCAAACCTCCACTCATACCCTCCACAGACACTGCTTGCTCTCCCTCCCTGCCTAATACCTCCTGGCACAAATGTAGCTCCTTTTACTAGTGTCTAACTTAAACCCTTCCTCTTTTGTTTTGAAAGAATCCTAAAACTCATCAGAGCACAAATCATGCACGATTCTACGCATACCCCAACTGCCTCAGTTTCTAGTTTCTGCCCCCACCACCCTGCAAGAGCTATTCTGTTCCCAAGTCCTACTGCTCTATTCAAGGACAAAACAAAAACCATGTGAAGAAAAATCAATCAGTTCATCTGTCCATCGATTGATTGATCTATCTCTCTCTCTATTCATCCATCCATCTATCCCTGAAAAGCAGGACATGGAGGAAAGGGAACCTCAGGATTTCAGTCCAACCCCTGGCACAGGAATCCTGTCTATCATAACCTTGATGCTCTGCCCAAATTTCCCACGGAGGGCTCACTATCTCCTGATCCCTGGATACTCCCATTCCCGGCAGCCCTGTCAGTTAGGAAATGGACTCAGCATCTATTTCCCTGACTTCCGCATGGCAGTCCTTGTTCTGTCCCCTTGAGTCAGGCTGAATGACACTCTGCCTTCATTCCCATGACACCCTTCAGAAGAGGACCAGCCCATAGACCCGTAAGTCTTGGCAGAAGAATCCAGAAGCCCTTTCTCCTATCTGTATAGCTAGATAAAATGTTGTCGATTTTACTAAGAAGCACGTTTGATTTTACTAAGAAGCACATTTGAAACAGAATATAGAAAAATGGGATGAGGCCTCTGCAATAGTTATTCTAGCAACAGTGCCAGTGAAAATGTGTTTTAATATTTCTAAAAACAACATTTTAAACATTTTAGTATCAATTTTCTTTAAAAGCCATGTGACACTACTTCTCTTAATGGCTTAATATAAAAGTGTATAATTTATACCTATTAAATAAGACTGAAAATAGCAGTATTACCCAGGATGGAACCCTGAACTCTTACGTTATAGGTGACAACGTAAATTAACACAGGCTTCTCAGAAAGCAGTCTGGCAGCCTGTTTCAAGAGCCATAAAAAACACCCATACTCTTTGATCCAATAATCCCAGTCCTGGTATTTTATCCTAGGAAACTAGTTTTTTAAAAAGAGAAGGGGCCAGGCGTGGTGGCTCACACCTGTAATTCTGGCATTCTGGGAGGCCAAGGCAGGTGGATCACTTGAGCTCAGGAGTTCAAGACCAGCCTGGGCAGCATGGCAGAACCCCATCTCTAAAAAAAATACAAAAATTAGCTGGGCATGGTGGTATGCACCTGTAGTCCCAGCTACTTGGGAGGCTGAGGTGGGAGGATGGCTTGAGCCCAGGAGGCGAAGGTTACAATGAACTGAGATCGTGCCACTGGCACTCCAGCCTGCGCAACAGAGTGAGACAGTCTCAAAAAAAAGGGCGGGAGTGGGAAAGAATGTTACATGCATTAGGATATTCATTCAAATGCTGTTTAGCAGTCAGCAGAAGGGGACTGGGTAAGTAAAGCATGATTTTACCCACTTAGTCATGTCCATGCAACTGTAATCATTTAAAACTCTGAAAACTAGTGTGCAGCTGGATAAACTCCCTAAGGTATGATAAGGGAGAAAGCACAGTTAGAACTATACATGCAAACAGATCAGCACTGCAAGCAACATAGAAAAAGCTCAAAATAGTTGATTTGATGGGTAGTAGGATCAGGGTGATTTAAAAATGTTTTTCCTTATTGCCAGTATTGCATTATCTGTATAATAAGCGACATTTAAAAAATGATATACTGTCATTGGGATACTTCCTTCAGTAACAAAAATTAATGGAGGAGGCTACAGAGTTTACTGTGAAGAATTTGGGTAAGTCTCCACTGTTCTGTGCTTCTGGGGTTGCCCCACATGTTTCATGAAGAATTCTAACATCTGCCCATCCTCCTCCATGGGGGTATTAGGAAACTAAGAACGGCAAATCATCAACAGGACTAGGTATGAAAGAAAAAACATTGAGAAAAAAAAGAGGCTGGGCATGGTGGCTCACACCTGTAATCCCAGCAATTTGGGAGGCCAAGGCGGGTGGATCACTTGAGGTCAGGAGTTTGAGACCAGCCTGGCCAACATGGTGAAACCCTGTCTTTTCTAAAAATACAAAAAAAAATTAGCCGGGCATGGTGATGGACGCCTATAATCCCAGCTACTCAGGAGGCTGAGGCAGGAGAATCATTTGAACCAGGAAGTGGAGATTGCGGTGAGCTGAGATCGCGCCACTGCACTCCAGCCTGGCGGCAGGGTGAGACTCTGTCTAAAAAAAAGAAAAAAAAAAGAACAACAAATCATACTCCTGGAGTATCTTGGAGGAAATTTAGAGCAAATATATTAATAATTGTTTTTACCCCTAAAAGGGATCACAGCACACCACAAACATTGCATATTCTTGGCCAGGCATGGTGGCTCATGCCTGTAATTCCAGTACTTTGGAAGGCTGAGGAGGGCAGATCACTTGAGGCCAGGAGTTTCAAACCAGTCTGGCCAATATGACAAAACCCCGTTTCTACTAAAGATACAAAAATTAGCCGGTCATGGTGATGCGTGCCTGTAATCCCAGCTACTTGGGAGGCGGAGACAGGAGAATCCCTTGAACCTGGGAGGTGAAGGTTGCAGTGAGCCAAGATCATGCCACTGCACTTCAGCCTGGGTGACAGAGCCAGACTCTGTCCCAAAAACAAAACAAAACAAAAACAGTATGATATTCTTAAAACAGATACTTGGCTTCTAGGAGGGGCAGGGTGAACAGGAATGAGAGGCAGGATGCTGAGATAATGCCATCCCCATCTGCCATCCCTAGGTAGACTCTACCTCACTGTGTCCTGTGGAACTGAGGGCAGAACAGCCATGCACACTGTGGGTCTTTTAGCCATGTGTTTTGATACCACATGGGTGGGGGGTGGGGGCTGTGGAAAGCCAAGTAGGTTGCTCCTCTGGAAGATCGCACGTGGCATGCAAGTGCAAGACTCATGCACGAGGACAGGAAGAAGACAGTGGCCACCCTCGGGACATGCACACATCTTTGAGAGACAGGCAGCAGGCAAGAATCACTGGCATTCCAGCTCGGGGAGTAAGCAGTACCCAAGGTGATCGTGGCATAAATGACTCCTTCGGGCACCTGCACCCATCTGGGGACTCCAGTGGGGAGAAATCCGCCAGAGTGACCTGCATAACATCCAGGAGCACAGACAGAGGGAAGAGAAGAGAGACAGAATGAAGAGAGGAGCACGCCCAAGTGCAGAGACACAAAGAGAGAGACCCAGATGTGGCAACTCGGCTGCCAGTCCACCAGAGGTTAGTGCTTGCCCATCAGAGGTGTAGGCTGTTGGGTGAGGCCACTGCTAAGCCAAGGACATCATTTCCTAGATCCAGACCCCTTCACATCCAGAGATGACCATGTGACTACTTGTCACCAAGGGACTGTGGGCAGAAGTGATGTGCGTGACTTCCGGCTGGTGCTGTTAAGAAGCAGATAGGGGTTCTCTGCTCTCTCTTTGCAGAGGATTTTGCGTCCCTCGAGGGTGGCCGAGACAAACATGGAAGGAGCCCGGGCACCTAATCTACATGAGGATGAGTAATGCCCCACACTGAAATACCCGAGTGAGAAACAGGTTTGCATTGTGTTACTATAAACAGGAGCTGCTGGGTTATTTGTTACAGCTGCTAGCAGTACCCCAGGGTGAGACACCATCAGTGAAGAACCTGGTATCTCTGGCAAGCAGGGCAGACCCCGATATCCCTAGCACAGGCCAGCAGGGCACTTATTACACATGTGCTCAGAGAGAGGGACATGACCCAGGGGAGCGGTGTGGGGATAGGGCTGATAGAGCAGGTCAAGAATCCAAGCAACTGGCCTTTTGCAAGAAGTCAGCAAATCGCTATGGCCGCCAACTATAGCAAGGGGCTGGGGCCCCACGCCTATTCCTCCAGTCACAACCTGCATGTCACACTGTTTGACCAGGCAGGACCTGAGGTCAGGCCAGCTTGTAAGGCAGGTGAAGGCCTCCCTCTGTGCTGACCATGACTGCTTCTCCCCAAGTCATCCCCAGGCCTCTCCTTGGCAGGACAGGCAGGGCTATGTTCCCTCCCACCTCGCAGCTGGTTTTCCTCCATCTTGGAGCTTTCCTGACCCACTCCACACAGTGAGTTCAAGCTGTCCTTGGGATGACCCCTAGTCCCGGCTACGACCAATATGAACTCACAGTTGAGAGACAAAACCAAGAAGCGCTGGCCTTTCTGACCACTTGTTTGTGTCGAGATGGAGTGTCTGACCCACAAACCGGCCCCCTGGTGCGTCTGGCAGGCAGGCCCCTGCTGGCCCGGCCACACCTGGGAGCAGGGAAGTGCTCACTGCGGTGAGTCACTGTTTCCACCTTCAACGCGCATCCAGACAGCAGCACCGCACCCTCGCCTTTGGTCTGAAATCACAGCCCGACTGGTGAGCTGGCACCACCTCGCATGCTCAGTGGGTCAATGCTAAGTGCTGGCTGCCCACAAAGCCAGCGTCTTAGAATAGACTCAGCCTAAACAGGCGCTCACTTCCCACAGAGTTCCCAGCAGGAGGTGGCAGGTAAGTGTGAAGGAAGGGCAGGGGAATCCCATCCCGCTCCCAGTCACCGGTCCCATCTCATCCCTGGTCCTGTTCTTTTTATTTTTATTTCAATAGTTTTTGGGGTTCAGGTGGATGCATTCTTTAATGATGATTTCTGAGATAGTGCACTGTCATTCGAGTGGTGTACACTGTACCGAATATGTAGTCTTTTATCCCTCACCCCCACTCCCAATCTTCCCCCGCTAGTCCCCAAAGTCCATTATATCACTCATGCCTTTGGGTCTTCATTGCTTAGCTCCCACTTATAAGTGAGAACATAAGATATTTGGTTTTTCATCCTGAGTTACTTCACTTAGAATAATGGCCTCTAGCTCCATCCAAGTTTCTGCAAAAAACATTATTTTATACCTTTTTCTGGCTGAGTAGTATTCTGTGGTGTGTATGTACCACATTTTCTTTATCCCCCTCATTGGTTGATGGCACTTAGGTTGGTTCCATCTCATTCCTGGTCCTGCTCTTTATGGAACCAACAACACCTTCCTCAGCCTAGTTCATTCCCAGCCCCAGGGGCCCTAGCCTTTTATATCTGCTGATTGATTTATGCTTTGAAAGCCCTTTCACCTACAAAGGAAGGAAAGAGAAGGAGGACAGAAGGGGAGGACCACAGTCCAGCTGCCACAGAGACGAGGGTCACAACCACTTCTTTCTGAATCTCAAAGCCTTCCTGTGTGATCAAATCCCCACACCAAGAGCACTTTTGATCCAACTTCCTCAGGCTGAGAGCCATCAGCCAAGGACAGAGGGTGTTAGCATGAGCCCTGCCTACAGAGCCGCTCACACAGTGTCCAGGGCGATCTTTTCAATACCTAAGTGATATAGTTTGGCTGTGTCTCCACCCAAATCTCGTCTTGAATTGTAGCTCCCATAATTCTCACGTGTCATGGGAGGGACCTGGTGGGAGGTAATTGAATCATGGGGGTGAGTCTTTCCCATGCTGTTCTCGTGATAGTGAATAAGTCTCACGAGATCTGACGGTTTTATAAAGGGGAGTTTCCCTGTACACGCTCTCTCTTGCTACTGCCATGTAAGACGTCTTTGCTCTTCGTCTTCCACCATGATTGTGAGGCCTCTCCAACCATGTGGAACTGTGAGTCCATTAAACCTCTTTCCTTTATCAGTTACCTAGTCTCGGGCGTGTCTTTATTAGCAGCATGAGCACAGAGTAATACACTAAGTTAGGTCAGTCCCTAAGTAACCCTCTGGAGGTTTGCAGTCTTTCCTCATTCAGAACTAGGCCAAAGTCATTCCTGTGGCTGGCAGCCCCATCTGCGTCCCCACCTCCTTTCATTCTCCCCTGCTCCTGCCATGCTGGCCTCCTTGTTGTTCCTCAGACACACCCAGAGCTCTCCTGCCTTGACGCTTTTGCAGATACCATGTTCTCTGTCTGGAAAGTTCTTCCTGAATGTATCTGCCTGACTCACTCTCCACTTCATTCAGGAATCTGTTTAAGTCATGCTATCAGAGAAGCCTTCCCTATCTAAAGTAACTCCCCTGTCCTGCAGAAGCCCAGCTCCTGTTCTGTTTTCCATCCTCTCACTTATCACCACCGACACATGCTGTTTATTTGTTGTCTGTTTTCTCTCACGGAATGTCAGTGCTGGGATGACTGGGCTCCTGTCCCTGACACAGCGGGAGCACCATAACTATGAGTCCAGTGAAAGAACATGGAAACTGAGCTCAGACTCAGCCTGACCGCCACTTCCATTGCTGACCAGGGCCTTGGGCCTGTTGGCCAACACTCCTCTCTTCTGTCACCTTTGTGCTGAAATCTCACAACTTGCAGGCAGGAACCACAGAAAACATCAGATGCAGTCAATCTATTTGTTGTGTACCATCCCTCATTCCTCCTTGCAGGACAGCTAGGTCTGCTGTGGGTCTTGGCTCCCCATTCACACTAAAGGCTGAATGCTCTGTGGCCAGTTCTCAATTTGGACCATGCTTTCCTGTCACAGCAGCCCAGACTACCCTCTGTCACCCAGCCCAGGATGAGTGTATCTGTTACCCCCAGGTAAGTCTGCACCAACATCTGTGCAGGAAGCAGTAAGTCACCCTCCCAAGCCCCAGCCGCTGGGATGTACCATTGAGGGATGTGTCATATGGCTCAGCCTCTTCATAGTAGCCCTCTGGAGACTCCGTCTTTGGGATGGCAAGCTGTTTCCGTTCTGGAATCTGTGGTATGAACAAATAAGACAAACGTTTGCAGATATGGTACACTGGGAGCAACTTGGAAATAACTCTTCGGGTGGAAGTCTAGAAGACAAAAATGCCCAGCTGGACTTTAAACTTTAAGCAAGTTGGGAGGGAGAACATGCAGTATCATGAATCCCATCAGTCACAGTCCATAGTGTTTGGTCTGTAGCCACGGAAGGGCTGTGGGCACGTTGTTTAACCTTGCCAAGACTCAGCTTTCTCCCCTGCAAAATGAGGCTCAAGCCCCCTACCACACACACAAAATATCATTATGTACATGATATATCATGCACTTAGCAGTCCAGAGAGTGCCCGGCTGTTGGGATAGCTATTGTGGCTTTTAAATAGAATATATTTTCTAAAAAGACAAGTGCTAATCAATAGCACAGGGAGAAAGAGGACCAGGTTTCTAAATCCTACACTTTTACCATAATATAGTTCAATCACTCATTCAGCAAATATTGGATGACTTCCATGTACTAGCTGAGAGGGACACATCGAAATTTCAGGAGTCAGTCCTAAGAAAAGCTTGAGTAGCTGGTAGATTTTTAACAGCTCCTGGTCAAGTGCATTGTGATATAGTAGTGCTATAATGGACAAGGTCAAAGTTCTGTGAGAACCACAGGAGGGTGTGAGGAATATTTAGGACAAAGGAAGGATGCCCAGGGTATGTGATCTTTGCGCCGAGCCTCAAAGATGACCCTGAGCTTATGTGGGATGAGGTTGAACGTGTGCAATTTGAGAATAAAAAACACCTGCAACTGTGTCAGAAGCACAGAACGTGAAATCATTGTGTTCCTCCCTTATTCCACCTGCATAGTAGGCACTAGACTATGAAGCTATGCTTCAATAAGCTACCTTTATAAACAACCATGGGGGAGAAAAAGAGGTAATTTGTTGCATTACTATTATGACAGACAGGTCGTGAATGTGTAAGCACCCTTGAACATGGGTCTCCAGTGTCTTTTGTTTTGTTTTTCTGACAGAGTCTCATTCTGTCACCCAGGCTGGAGTGCAATGGTGCAATCTCGGCTCACTGCAACCTCTTCCTCCCAGGTTCAAGCAATTCTCTTGCTACAGTTTCCCGAGTAGTTGGGATTACAGGGGTGCACCACCCCCCCCCCCCCCCCGGCTAATTTTTGTATTTTTAGCAGAGATGGGGTTTCATCATGTTGGCCAGGCTGGTCTCAAACTCCTGACCTCAACTGACTGCCCGCCTTGGCCTCCCAAATTGTTGGGATTACAGGCGCAAGCCACCA
The DNA here is from genome assembly GCF_000001405.40 of Homo sapiens. Classification (NCBI taxonomy): domain Eukaryota; kingdom Metazoa; phylum Chordata; class Mammalia; order Primates; family Hominidae; genus Homo; species Homo sapiens. Next base: position 114,324,542 of record NC_000010.11, read on the forward strand.
TGCCCGTGGTGTCTTTCTGAATCATGAAACTCCATGGGAATATGCATAATGAGTTCACAACAGAAGTGGCAGAGCTCGAAATGTATTCCCTCCCACTCTTGATTTTGAGAAGTCCTTGTGCTGCGCCCTCCGCGTGAGAGGGAAGGCCTGGGCCTTCAAGGAGGCTCCACGTGAAAGCACAGGCAGGCTGTGAGGTGGGGGAGGTTGTAGGGGGAGATGATGGAAGCAGCAGCCAATGGAAGGACGCTGCAGTGCCCTGAGCTCAGGTGGACCCCTGTGCTTTGGGGGAGAGGGTAATGCTAGGAATCCAGAAACTCCTGCCATGAAAAATGGATTTGGGGGACCCAGGATGGAGGTAGCTCCCCTACTCCTGGCCCAGGAGACAGTGGGAGGACAGGCAGCCTGTGCTTAGCCCCTGTGGGACAGTCCTCAGCCTGGGCTGCAAGAGTATCCCTTCCAGCTTCCCCAGGGTGAGGATACCAGGGTCCCCAGAGCCCAGTCCTGTGTGGTTTGGACTCTACAGTCTGTTTATATAGACCCTGGAGTTCATGTAACTTGATTTCAATCCGGGCTTCAGGACCTCATAGATTTAACCTTGGGTATGTGACAGCCTCTCTGAGCCTTGCTTTCCTTCTTTATAAAATAATAATACTAGGGTTGTTTTGAAAATTCAATGAGACAAAACGTGATAGTGTTTCCACAGGGCCTGGCCCATATTAAATACAAGGAGGCCATTGTTATCACTGTCTGGGGCCCCTCCACAGTCCCAGGGTCTGCAGGTTGCGCAGTGAGGGCAGTTAATGTGACAGGCAGTTAATGTGTTGTCCTGAAAGCTGAGACGAAGAGGATCGACCCTGTCGGGGCATCGCAGAGGGTTGGCTGAGGCCAGGCCACAGCCTGGGTCCAGCACCAGATCTGGTCCTGTACCAACAGAGCTGATATGAGGCACAGGGCAGGCTCAGAACAGCCTTCAGCCCTCCTCTGGCATGTGGCACCCCCTACAAAGAAAGGAATCAAAGAATTTGGTCACTTCATAAGCAAACCCGACACTGTACTGGGCTGACAGACGCACTGCTGAAGGGAGCCAGGTTGCACACCTCTGCCCAGGCTCCTGCCTGGCAGCCAGGCCCTAGCAGACAATGAGCGTGCCATTGGTAACTTCTAGTGTATGGTCCTCCCTCTTTGCCAGCCCCAGCCTGGTACAAGATCTTTGCTCTCTCAGCCTTTCCTGGTCCCCCTGGTCAGCCAGCAGCCTGAGAAAAGGCTGAGACAGTGACAGACTTGCCTGTGGTCCACTAACAACAGGCTCCCTAGGGTCCACAGGGAAAGGGTCCTCTCGCCTCTGTGGCAGTAAGGTCTCCCCAGTGGGTCCCAGGGCTCATCAGCCTGATCTGGCTGGGCCTCCAGCTCCAGCCTCCAAGAAACTCCGTTCCCGTCAGGTGGGTCCCATCTGGAGAAAAGCTCTGGGCACCCGAGATCTGGCCCAAGGTCAGGATTCTCTAGAGTCGAACAGGACAAAGGGAGGAGTGAACCCTTCTGCAGGAGCTCCCCATGGGTCATCATCACCACAGGGTCTGTCCCTGGGGGCCTCCTGTCCTGTCTAGGGTGGAGCCAGGCAGTGTTTTGTGAGTGTCTCCTAAGCTTCTGTTGAGAAGAAAAATAGCTCAGAGAAGTTTGAGCTACGCGAGGTGTGCAAAATGTATCAAGCCCAGGAGTATGGGGCTTCAGGCACCGTTTTCTCCCCTCCCCATTCCTGGGGGCAACTGTTTAAAGGCATTTTACTCCTCACTAGCTGCCTCATCCATTGTCTTCAGGTTCCTGTAATTTATGATACAAAGAACAATGTTTAGCTGATCGATAGCTTACAGTATTTTAATATAAAATATTGGTAAACAACTTAAAAACTGCCTCTTCTTTTTCCTTTGAAAACCCACTTGTAACTGCTGCCAATAGGAACATGGATTCAGGGTAACTTGAATCTGTGCTCTTGGGCTGCAGCCCTGAAATTTTGGTCAGAATAAACTCTCTACTTATATTTATTTTGTCTCCGTTTTTTGCCTGTAGGTTGACACTGCAAAATCTGAAAATGGCTCACTATGCAGAGACAGTGCAGGGCAGGAGTGGAGTCCGATCTCCAGAACCAGGCTTGAATTCTGACACTGGGACATCCTTGCTATGTGACTCCGACCAATTCACTTGACCTCTCTGGACTTGGCATAAGAAGGGGAGAATAGAAATATCTGTCACATGGGGTTGCTGTAAGGATTGAAGTGTGCCTATCACTATTCAATATTCAATACATATTAGTTTTTACTAATCTAAAAAATAAAATGTAAAAATAAGAAAGGGAGAAAAGTTTTGCGTATATGTGTTTGGTGGAGGATAAACTAGTGTACTCTGGGGGTGGGTACAGAGGAGACCATAGGGTGGAGTCCCAGCTCTCAAGAATGCTGGGTTAAATGATGAGTCACATGATTAAACAGACACAGTGACCTATTATCAGAGCTTCAAGGAGACAGATCCTCATCTCACAGGGTTAAGGAGAAAGGACTATTATTTTGATTATTATCATTATGATGGTGAAGACCGTGAATTTTATATATATTTATATATATATATATATATATATATATTTTTTTTTTAGGCAGAGTCTCACTGTGTTGCCCAGGCTGGAGTATAGTGGTGTGATCTCAGTTCACTGCAACTTTCAGCTCCCAGGTTCAAGTGATTCTCCTGCCTCAGCCTCCCGAGTAGCTGCGTACCACCACGCTTGGCTAATTTTTGTATTTTTAATAGAGACGTGGTTTTCGCCATGTTGGCCAGGCTGGTCTCAAACTCCTGACCTCAGGTGATCTGCCTGCCTCAGCCTCTCAAAGTGCTGGGATTACAGGAAGACTGTGAATATTAAATGAAGATCCAGAAGAGATTTAACATCAAAACCTGAAAAACTTTGACTGTTTGGAGGAAGGGACTGCGTGAGCGAGTCAGGCTTGGCAGGATTGACCAGACCAGAGGTCCAGAGGGCCGCAAATCTTTTCAGGAAAGGGCCAAAAAGTAAATATTTTAGGGACTTGTGGCCACTCGGGACCTCTGTCTTATCTCAGCTATTCAACTCTATTGCTTGCTGTAGCTCAGAAGTCCACAGACTAATACAACTAAATAAGGCTGGCTGTGTTCTAATAAAACACTATTTACTAAAGGATGTTACAGATCAGATTTGGCCAGTGAGCTACAGTTTGCCAACACCTGGCTTAGACTAGACACAAGAGCTGATGAGGGGTGGCTCAGAGGACCCGAGGCATCCTCACAGCTCTAACCATCCTGCCCCAGAGTATGCTGCAGAAGGCTCCCAGGTGGGGGTGAGTGGACAGGCCAGGCCCAGCCTCCGAGGCTAGCCACGGCAATGTCCTTTTAGGGATTAAGTGGTTTCCCCCACAGAGAAGCTCATGTAAGAGCAGGCCAGCGCATGGCCAGGCCTCAGAGGGACGATGGGGTGGAGATGGCCATGCTAGCCAGACCATCAACCATGGCCAACAAACATCTGTTTCTCCTGCAAGGACCACGGCACCTGGCTGTGCAGACAGCAGCCTGGAGAGGCCACAGCTGCCTGAGTCACTGTCCACACCCACGAGGTTGCTCCAAACCCCTGGCTGCCCCTTCTATTGCTGGACAGACCTGCTCTCTACTGAGTCTGTAGGGGTTGGAGTGAGGACATCTGGGCTCGTGGCCGATAAGCATCCCGAGCCTGTGACCGAGGCATGATCCTGGCCCAGCCATAGGCCCTGAGGACCCCAGGTGGATGTCCACGTGCTGCTGCAGGTGCTGCTGCAGGTGCCGGTGAGCCCAGGGCCAGGCAGCTGTGCAGGGCCCAGCCCTCAGGTGGACAAACCTCCCTGAAGTTCTGGGATCAAGGGAGGAAGGGCGGGTTTTCTGTCTGAGGAAGAGACGCCACAGGGCACTCCAGGCTCAGGGTTCCAGCCTGAGCTGGACAGTGACTCAGGCAGCTGTGGCCTCTCCAGGCTGCTGTCTACACAGCCAGGTGCTGTGGTCCTTGCGAGAGAAACAGATGTTTGTTGGCCACGGTTGATGGTCTGGCTAGCATGGCCATGGGGTTCCAGCGGCCATGGCCTCTCCCTGCTCTGGTTCTCCTCCTCCTTCAGAGCCACAGACATGACTCCACCCTGACGCTGCTCCTCTGGGGGCCTTGGACTAAGAGTGATGGCTGCTTCAGCCTGATTCAACAAGAGAGGAGGCCTGAGGGAGTGAGGACATGTGCTCATGTGTGTGGGCAAGGACAGGGAGAGTGCCCGGTGAACACCACCTACATCCCCACACCACATCTGGAACACCCTGGGGTAGAGGTGGGTGCCTTGCACAAGACCAGGTGGGACCTAGCCAGGGGACTCGCAGTCCACACCCGTCTCTGGTCCTTCACAGCAGAGAAAGTCCACAAAGTGGGAGGGAGCTGCCTTTTCCTGTCAAGTCAGCTGGCTTTGCTAGAAGTCTCCCTGGGGCCTGGAAGCTGTCCACAGGCAGTTACCACTTGGCTGAAAGGCCTCCTTGGGATCGTGCCATTCCTGGGTGCTGATATTTTCCCCAACTGCCGCACCAGTTCCTTTCAAACAGGGACACAAGCCCTAGTCACAGACGACAATCCAGGAAGTCTACTTCAGAGGGGGCCACGCTCCCCTCCCCACACTCAGTGTCTGAGGCACAGGGCACTGGCTGAGGAACAGAAGCCAGCATTGGAATCCCAGGGCCCGCAGGGACTCTCCGTGGCCCAATTAACTTACAGCTGTAGCCAGGTCCCAGACCCTGGGCCCCTCAGTCCATGCTGTGCTTGTAAAACACAATTTCTAGAACACTCACACAGTACGCGGTGCTCATGAAACTCTGCCCCTACCCACCAGGTGGGGACCCACCAGCAGCTGCCCCTGGTGGGGCAGAAGATGGCACTTCCACTAGCAAAGCCCAAGATACCTTGGTCAGAATCAGACGCTGGATTTAGGATAGAAAAGTTCCAGCCGTGGCTCAGAACAGCCACCTTTCCACTCCCACCACCCAGCAAGCAATGCCTGGGCCATACCAGAAAACCTCTGGTTAAAGCCATCAGCCAATGGATGGGACAGCAGAGGGGCTGTGCTCTTCCCCCAGGTATCAGGGCTGAAAGTGAGGGGAGCCTGGCACTGGAGGGAGCATAGCTTAAGCCTTTGCTCTGTTACAGAGAGAAGCAAATGTCAGGGAGGCCCAGGCTGGGGGAGGAATTGGGAACAACAACAACAAAAACCTGCATTTAAATCCTGGCCTAGTACTTCCCAACTGTGGGACCGTGGCCAGTGGTTTTTAACTCTGAGTCTGTTTCCTCATATGAAAAACAGTGACAAAAATACCCATCCCTCGATGGGTGGTGGGCGGATGGTGTGTGTGCATGGTATGGGGTTGAGGCTCAGGGTGTAGCAGTCGCTGGCATTGTCAGCATCACAGGGACACCAGGGACTCAGGTTCAGTCCCGACATCAAGCCTCACTCAGCCTGAGATGAGGAGTCTCCACCAGCTGTCACCCAGCTCAAGGGACGGCATGCAATGGGACACTGTCCCAGGTTCTCCAGAACTGCCCACCCACCCCACATGGTAGAGTCAGATCCTCAGCTGTGGCCCCTTCCCCCCAGGAAGGCACGAATGAAGGGGCCAGTCCAGAGCCATTCTGGGGCTGGGACCCCCTCCACGGAAACATGAGCCCACAGATCAGGTGACGGTCAGTTGGCAGGAGCTTAGCTTCCTGCTGGCGCTGACCCAAGACCCCCTGGCTACCCACATAAACCCTCCTAAGCTGAGACCCCAGTCCTGCCCCAGGATCCCTCCCCAGCCATGCCCTACAGAGGAAAGAACCTGGGTTCAAATGCTGACTCTGTCACTTACAGGCTGTGTGACATTAGGTTTCCTCACCCTTAAAATATAAACACTACCACTTACCTCACTGAATACTAGCACAGTATGCCACACACAGTGGTGGGGGGGCTGCCATCCTTAGCCCATTAAATAAGCCCATCTGACGAGACAGATGTGAGCATTTCTTCCATATAAACCAGGAAATAGAGGATTAGAGACTTTAACTTGCTCAAGTTCAAAGAGCTAGTGGCATGCAGAACTGGGATTTGAACCCACATCCATATGATTTTACAACTCCATCCACATTAATGGATATTTAGGTATGGCCTACATCTGTCCATGTCTGCAGATACTGGACACAAAATAGTAAACGAGAGACAAGGTCCTTGTCCTCAGGAGCTGACATCAGGAGAGGAGACAGTAAACAAGACTTCCAGTAGCAGGTGCCATGGAGTGGGTAACTGGGTGGTGGGTAGATAGCAACCCAGGTGCAGATGGGGGAGGGATGCCTTACTTAGCCAGGTCAGCAGGAGTCTCTCTCAAGAACTCTGGAGAGATGAGAAATTGGTAGAGGCCCAGGAGGTACAAAGTCTCTAAAGCAGGCCTGACCACAGTGACAGAATCCAGGGGCAGAAAGGAGGCCAGTGAAGACCCTGGATGAGGAGGCAGGACATGCAGCTGAGCCAGATCATAGGCCCTGAGGCCATGCTAAGGAACGGGATTTTTTTTTTTCTATGTTTAATAAGAACTACTGGTAAGGTTCAAGCAGGTAGTACAGTGTGATATGTTTTATGAATTTTTACTTTTCCTTTAAACTCCAGAACAATGTAGGGGAATTAAATTATTTATTTATTCACTTATTTTATATGTTAGAGATGGGGTCTTGCTATGTTGCTCAGGTTGGCCTGTAGTGGCTATTCACAAGTGTGATCACAGTACACTACAGCATCAAATTCCTAGCCTCAAGCAAGCCTCCTGCCTCAGCCTCCTGAGTAGCTGGGAATACAGGTATGCACCACTGCACCTGGCTAGTGCAAATTTTTTAAAGGTCACTGTGGTCTAGGCTGGTGACCACAGCTGTTCATGGCCCTGTTCACATGGTGCTGGATAAAGAGCCTGAGTAGCGTCAGGTGGCACTCAATCAAATGTCCCCAGACCCATCACCCTCAGCATCCGGAGTACTGTGGCCCCAAGCAAATCACCTGTAGGCAGGTTTACTTTTGCTCTGTCCCTACACGTGCCTTGTCCCAGTCCCTGAACACAGTAGCTGCTCAGAAAATGCCAGACACTTAGTGAGCTGACACCTGTGGAGACAACTGGAAGTTCAAGGGGCTCACGTCAGGGAAATCAGGGGTCCTGAACTGATGCTTACCATCTTGGGTGGCGGGAGGTCTGGAAGGCTCTTCTGAGGGGCCGAGGAGTGCTGGCTGGGCTCCCCATTGGGTAGCAGGCCCTGCTCCTCAGGCGCTGCGGGCAGCAAAAGGAAAAGGCTTCGGTGAGGGGTGACCAGCCTTACACAGGGTCTCCTTCCTCAGGAATGCCCGGTCACATGCACCCTGTGAGTTCTTTTTGAGCAGGTGTTAATTACCCAGGCAGGCGGTCCCTGGAACCGAAGTTGTTTTTCCTCCCTGCAGTAATAGGGTGCAGGAGTGCCCCAGACATGTGCCTGGGGTTTCTGGCAGCCTCTGTACCTGCTCCCCTACCCATCCCATGTCAAAAAAAATGGTCTAGCCACAGAGCTTTGGCCAGCAGAGAAGCTGCCTGGTGGCCACTATATTGAGCCACTCTCAGCATGGACCCTGTGATTATGGCTCTTTCCTCCCACAGTTTACCCAGAAGGCAAGTGACCCCCGCCAGAGTGGCCAACCTCATCTGGATGAGCTCTGCCATGTCCCAGGCTTGGTGAGGGGCAGGAAGTGAAGGAGCCACACTGGGGAAGTGAGGCCACCAACCCTCGGTGCACTTGGAAGGAAAGGTGCCGAAGACACTTCTGAGCCTGTCCATTTCAGCCAGCCCTGGGACAGACAGGCTCAGGCAGGCCCGATATCGGGGATTTGGTGGCTGATGTCTCAAAGACAAGCCTTCAACAGGACTGAGTGCTTTGCCATGCTGTGTTCCCACCCCTCTCTAAGCCTTTGTGGTTAAGTCACAGGCTTGGAAGTTAGGAATTGGAGCTTCTTAGCCTGCGTCTTCTGCAACTAGGCAGCTCTGCATACCTCTGGGCCTCCCCGGGGTCTTGCCAGGCCCCTCCCTGGAGGTTTTAAGGGAAAAGCAGAGAGCAGAACAGAGCAGAAGAGTGAGGCACCATGGAAGAAAACATATGTCCTTCCCATGGGAGACTAAACGTTCCGCCAAAGTCAGCACCTTTGAACATCATCTTTGACTATTAAGGCAGTTGCTGACACCACCATTTACTTCTCTCTCCTCTTCCTCAAAACAGACTTCTATCAAAAGACATAAAGGCAGAACCGTGGGATCAGCACCACACACAGCTGCTTTCTTCGAACATCTGAATTATGACTTCCTGTTCCTGGGATGATGCTGGGAACAGCCAAAAAGTTTTAGAGCCAGATTCCTTATCCAATGGGCAAGGAAGGGGTGGCCTGTTGAAACATCCTGAAATACATCAACCCAAAATACGACCAACAAAAATGTGGCTTCCAAAAATAACTCCGCCAGGCGGGTCTGTGTGCCGGCTGGGAGGAAAGAGAGGTGGGACAGAACCAGCTTGGACCTTCCCCCATCCCAGGAGTGGCCATCATACCAGCGTCAGTGATCCCAGCCTCATACCTTTGCCTTGAGACTCTGCATTCTGTTGCTTGTTGATGGTCACTTTGTTCATATAAATGTACTCCTCATCAGAGCCTGCAGAAGGAAGGAGACACAGGCTTTGTGTGACTTCCTGAAGAGAAAGGGCCTCCAGCTAGAAACCCTGTTACTCCAGAGCTGTTTTCATCTGCCTAGGTTCCAGTAAAAGCACACAGCATTTTCAGTGGATTGAAAGAATAGTCCAACATGCAAAGAGCTGACAGATTTCCAAAAGAGAAATGGCAAGTTGCTGACTGCTAGTTTTCTAGCCTGACCGAGGGTGTGGGGGCAGGTAAGATACAGAAGGATAGCTTATGGTATAAAAATCCTGCACTTTGGGAGGCCGAGGCAGGCGGATCACTTGAGGTCAGGAGTTGGAGACCAGCCTGGCCAACATGGTGAAACCCTGTCTCTACTAAAAATACAAAAGTTAGCCAGGCATGGTAGCTATAATCCTAGCTACTCAGGAGACTGAAGCAGGAGAATCACTTGAACCTGGGAGACAGAGTTTGCAGTGAGCTGAGATCGCACCACTGCACTCCAGCCTGGGCAACAGAGTGCGACTCCATCTTAAAAAGAAAAAAAGAAAAGAAAAAAGAAATCCTAAGTTCAAGATCTGCCTTGTATTCCACCAAGTAGAGATGTCTCTGGGCTTCCTAGCATTTCATTTAAATTGTAAAATATTTCCTGTCATTCTCACCCTAGTCTGAATTACTTGAATGGGCTGATCCAGTGTGTATAGATAACCCAGGTCACACTGAAGACCTGGAAGTTTAGTTCGCAGGCCTCTAGGTAGGGGGCCATTGGATGGGTGAACGGGGACCTGAATAGCCAAATCATGTGATTTCTGAATTTAAAGGGGTATCCTGAGAATAAGAACTGAGGAACCACCAGCCACCTGCTCTACCCTATAGATTATACCCTGCAGTGGCACAATCCATGCCTCCTTTAAAACCACTTCTGTGCAGGTTAAGTCACCTTTCCCATGCCTGCCTGGGCAGAGAAAAGCTGGCCTCCTAACTCTTGCTCCATTTCCAATCCCCCAAGGACCCTTTCTTCAGAAGTCTTCAGAGGAAGCTCATTCTAGTGTTTCTCTTCATCAAAATCCTCTTGAATTTCTTCTGCAGCCTTAATTTGCATTTCCTAGAAACTTGTGGCTGATAAATTCCAGTGGTTAGAGACCGCGTTACTGAGCCAAAGGACCCAGTTCTAACCTCTGGCGAAGGAAGCAGTTCAGTGTCACTCTGTTGCACGACCACAGACCGCCCAAACTCCAGCCAACAGGCCTGCAAAAGCAGGGACCCGAGAGCCAAGAGGAACAGGAGGGGGCTGGATACAGCCTCAGTGATGAGCACCTCTGGTTGTCATCTTAGTGCCTTGCCCTGCCAGGACCAGTCAGCAATGTTACCCCTGTGCCAGGGACTGCAGCAGTTTATGCAGTTGATGCATAGTGGGAGCTATGAGGTACAAATGGAGTGAACCGGAACTCACAGATTCCCACCCACTGAGACTCAGAGGGGGCTGGGTCAGTCCCTTCTCCAGCACATGGCAGAGGGGAAAAGTGCCCTGCAGGGAGAGGCAGGAGACGGGGTCTCAACCAAAGCTTTGCCGTAACGGCATCATTCTGGGCAAAGCACCTAACCCTTGTGCCTCCGTTTTCTTGTCTGCATGACAAAATACTGCCTGTTTCAACCAAACTCTTCAGTTCTCAAGAGTACAAAACTCAGATACTAGGGGGTTTGGAAAGGTAAGGTAACCTTACAACTAAGATGAAAAATGACAGCTTAAAACATGGGACATGACTCAAAGGCTCAACAATAGGAAAATGGTAACAAACCATGGCACATCAACATATATAACAGCAAGTCACCTTTAAAAACTAAATGGGTTACTGAAGAGGGTATAAATTGGCATGGCCATTTTAGAGATGATTTTGGAGGATACATTTTTGTGTTCATATTCTTTGACCCAGCATTTCTACTGCCAGAAACTTATCCTACAGATAAACTCTAGCATTTAAAGAAAATTGTATTTGAGGACATTCACTACAATACTGCATGATTTTTTTTTTTAAAAAAAGAATACAACATATGGCCGGGCACGGTGGCTCACATCTGTAATCCCAGCACTTTGGGAGGCCAAGGTGGGCGGATCACGAGGTCAGGAGATCGAGACCATCCTGGCTAACATGGTGAAACCCCATCTCTACTAAAAAATACAAAAAATTAGCCAGGTGTAGTGGTGGGCGCCTGTAGTCCCAGCTACTCAGGAGGCTGAGGCAGGAGAATGGCATGAACCCAGGAGGCAGAGCTTGCAGTGAGCTGAGATAGTGCCACTGCACTCCAGCCTGGTCAACAGAGCAAGACTCCGTCTCAAAAAAAAAAAAAAAATTCAACTTAAATGTCTACCAATAGGTTAAACATTAGGATTCATCCAGCATTGAACTCTACCCAATCGTGAAAACTAGCAAGGTAGCTCTGTGTCTGTTTACAAAGATACCCAAGACCTAGAGTTTAATTATAAGATCATGTTTCAGAATAGCAAAAAAAGAAACAGTATATGAATCGTCAACACATGGAAATGTGTGCATGCAGCAATTCTAAATATAAAAATAACGTAAAGCAGAAACAGAGGCAAACCACAGCTACTCCAAAATATTCAGATAATGCTGATAAGGATCAGAAAAGGAACTGGAAGAACATAAATAGTGTTCAGTGTTCATTTTTTTTTATATCATTAACTAAGTTCACATACCTATACAAAAAATAAAAGCCAAGATGTTATTGTTTTAAATGTTGGATTCTGAGCAGGTGTTTTCTCTCTAAGATGATGATTTGTAAGTTGCAGAGAAAACTCACACTGGCCACTTCATGAGGGTGCATCGGCCCACCTCGGGTGGGCTGCAGGCTGAGGCTGACTTGGTTTTGATTCTCAGAGGGTTGTTAATCTAGGACTCTCCAGGTTGGTAAGTAAGAAGTTCCCAAGACCTTCTGCAATTGTGGGAAAAATACAGTAAACCTGGCCCTAGACTGGGAGGCCACGGACAGGCAGGCCAGACTGCTCAGTCCTGTCTGGGAGGCGGCAGCCTTGGGCTAGAGAACTTTCTATCATTCACTCAACTATCTGACGAAGTGCATTCAGCATCAGCACTGTGCTAAGTGTTGGGGATACAGCAGAAAACAGATGTTACCTCTGCCTTTGTGAACCCCACAGTCCGGCAGGAGAGACATACCTGAATCTGATCGTTACACAGTGGGTGGGAAATGACTACGGCCTGAAGGTGTTGGGAAGATGAGCTCAAAGTGCTTAGAGGTCTGCAGAGGGTGGTCCTTCCCAGAGAACTGGCATAGGGTGGGGAGGAGGAACATGAACCTCTTTGCTACCACTGGATACAGAACATTTGAAGTGCTTTTGATCAGAGGGGCAGCCACTGAAATGTCCCTGGAGCCTCTGAGGGTGGGGGTGGGAGTGTGAGGCAGGAGTGGGGGCTGGTGTGGTGGGGACACAGCTGTCACTGGTGAAGGCTAGAATAGACAACAGGGAGCCAAGCCCTCAATAAACAGATCTTAGTCTATGCCTGGACCTCTCCATCCAGACAAAAAGCAAAGAGGGTAGAAAAATTTGTGTTACACTGAGAAAAAAAGAAACAAAGATCAGAAAACTCAAAGAGGCAATTCCCTTTGTGAAGTGTAAATGCACACATACACATCCTGCCCAAAATGTGTGGAAGTCCCAGAAGCTCAGCCTGTTGGACCACGGCTATCTTGAGATGATCACCTCGCCTCCACCTACAAGTCTCAACAGGCTGAGCTAAGTTTTGGGTAGAGGTGGGCCTGGGAGGCCGAGGGAAAGAATGCTGTAATTTCAGGTGCGGTATGTGTGTTTACGATTCTGTCCTGTGCGACACGACAGTTAACTGCAGTGCAATGGAGCAGGGGGAGATAAGGTTAGGTCCACCTGTCCAGGCCCAAGCCCTGGCTCTGCCCTCAGAGCCGTGTGCCCTCAGGCAAGTGACTTTCAGAGGCTTGGTTTCCTTGTTGGTAAAAAGGGAATACACTTTGGGATAAAGGATGAATGATGTCATCCATGTCATTTACTGCATTAAGTACAGGGACACAGAAAGTACACAATAAATGTTGGCTGCTATTGTACCTACTCTGCAGTCTAAGGGGTACAAAGAGGACCAGGAGGGAAGTTCCGTTAAACAGTGGCTATTAACAAGTGGGCTTCGCTTCTGAGAATGCAGGCCCCAGGCCTCAGTGTGGCTGTGCATGGGTGGCACTCTGGAGGTGATTCACCTTGGGGAACCCATGACCAGTTCTCAGCAGCTTCCCACCCCCTACGAGCTGCAGAGTCCACGGAGAGGGGAAGGCCTGACTTTATAAGAGCCGATCAAGGGCAGAACAAAAAGGTCATCCTACAGGAAGCCACATCATAGGTTAATTCAAAAAAGAGACCACATGTAGGAGGCGCTGCCAGAGTGGTTAGCACCAAGATCCACGGGTCAGACTTATCACAAACAGGTGGTTTCCAGTTCCCAACAGAGGTGTTTCTTATCATTGAACATTCAAGGTGGAACATATCGGAAGTGGTGTGGGGAGTGTACTTTTTAGAGGATTCCACTGATGAATCCTTCATGGAGTGAATCATCCCCCTCCAACCTTCCCGCTTTGTAATGTAGATTTCCCATCTGTGTTCCCACGATGGGCTGCTTTGATGTGCTGTTGACCAGCACTCCCGGCGGCAGGCGGGCGGACGCTCCCTACAAAGCCTTCAGGAGCATGGGAAGCTGCAAAGTCTGAAAGAAAACACCTCTGATGAGAGGCTAAGGCAGATGATTCCTCCAGAAGAGAAGACAGATGGGCATATAGCGACATGCCTCGGCTTTACGACTGCTTATTCAGAGAATAGAAACTAGTTCCACAGGGAACAGGGAAGGGGAAAGTCCTTGAAATGTAGCCTGGCAGATTCAGGTTGGACACAAAGAAGCATTTCTGGACTGTGATGGCCAGGGCAGGTGGAGACTTCCCTTCCCTGGCAGGACTTGGCCTGTTCCCGCTGGGAGGCAGATGGATTAGATGCCCTTGCACGGTCCCTGACCGTCCCCAAACAGCATTTCCAGTTCTCAAACATCTGACATAAAAATCAACTCAACTGTTATGACTTCACAAAAAGGGTTTTCCTTTTTTAAAAGAATCTGAATTTGCCAGAAATAAAACCATATGTCCACAAGACGACTTTTTCAAGAATGTTCCTAGCCGCCTCCTTCGTAATAGTTCAAATCTGTGAACAACTCAAATGGCCATCAGTAAGTGAAAGGATAAACAGATTGTGATGTATTCACAGAATGGAATACTACTCAGCAATAAAAGGAACAAACTACAGACACACTCAACAGCATGGATGAATCTCCAGAGAAGCCAGACATACAGTACACATCGTATGAATCCATTTATACAGAGCTCCAGCACAGGCAATATCAACCAGCACAATGGTTGCTTGTGTTGGGCGGCTGGGAATGGCCAAGACAGAACTTTCTGGAGGATGGAAATGTTCTATATCTTGTTTTGGGTGATCAGGACGCAAGGGTATACAATTATCAAAACTCACTGAATTATTTCACATATGTGCACTTTATACGTAAATGATCTCAATTTTAAAAAGACAGAAAAATCATGGACTCGGGGTTCTGTAATTTACAAAGTCTTCCAACTATGTTTTCCCTTGGGTTGTATAATATTGGGCAGGTTAAACTCTCCAGGTCTCAGTTTCCCCCTCTATAACAACAGCACCAGCCTCACAGGGATGTCTTAAAGATGAAATGGGTTATTACATATGCTCATGGGAATGCTCATTAAGCCCTAGCTATTATTATAATTTATTATTCCATCTCTACTTTCAACCAGCATGGAAGAGTGCTTTGAAAATACTTCACTTAGGCCGGGCGCGGTGGCTCACGCCTGTAATCCCAGCACTTTGGGAGGCCGAGGCGGGCGGATCACGAGGTCAGGAGATCAAGACCACGGTGAAACCCCGTCTCTACTAAAAAATATAAAAAATTAGCCGGGCGCAGTGGCGGGCGCCTGTAGTCCCAGCTACTCGGGAGGCTGAGGCAGGAGAATGGCGTGAACCCGGAAGGCGGAGCTTACAGTGAGCGGAGATCGCGCCACAACACTCCCGCCTAGGCGACAGAACGAGACTCCGTCTCAAAAAAAAAAGAAAATACTTCATTTAAAACCTTACTCGTGGGCTGCTGTGTCAAGTGACCAGAGATTTCTGGGGCTCGGGCCCAACTCGGGTCAGTCCCGCACCATTGTTATGGGGTGAAGTGTGTCCCCTGAAAATTCATATATTAAATCCTAGCACCCAGTATACCTTGGAATATGATTGCATTTGGAGATAGGGTCTTCAAAGAGGTAACTAAGTTAAAATAAGATAATTAGGGTGACCCTAATCGACTATGACTGATATCCTTATAAAGAGAGGAGATTAAGGCCAGGCATGGTGGCTTACGCCTGTAATCCCAGCACTTTGAGAGGCTGAGGTGGATGGATCACCTGAGGTCAGGAGTTTGAGACCAGCCTGGCCAACATAGTGAAACCCTGTCTACTAAAAATACACAATTAGCTGGGCATGGTGGTGGGCGCCTGTAATCCCAGCTACTCCGGAAGCTGAGGCAGGAGAATCGCTTGAACCTGGGAGGTGGAGGTTGCAGTGGACTGAGATCATGCCACTGCACTCCAGCCTGGGCAACAGAGCAAGACCCCGTCTCAAAAAAAAAAAAAAAGAGAGAGAGAGATTGGAGATTAGGGTCAGGCATGGTGGCTCACGCCTGTAATCCCAGCACTTTGAGGGGCCCAGGCAGGGCGGATAGCTTGAGCCCAGGAGCTCAAGACCAGCCTGGGCAACATGGTGAAATCCCATCTCTACAAAAAAAAAATACAAAAAAAAAAAAAATAGCTGGGCATGGTGGCATGTACCTGTAGACCCAGCTACTTGGGAGCCCAGGAGGTTGAGGCTACAGTGAACCATGATCGCGCCACTGCACTCCAGACTGGGTGACAGAGTGAGCCCCTGCTTCAAAAAAGTTAATTAAAAGAAGAGGTGACTGGGACACAGACACAGAGAAAAACCCATGTGAGGACACAGGGAGAAGACAGCCATCAGCCCGCCAGGGAGAGAGGCCTCAGAAGGGACCAAACCTATTGATACCTTGATGTTAGACTTCTGGCCTCCAGAAGTGTGAGAAAATAAGTGTCATTTATAGCACCCAGCCTGTGATCCTTAGCTATGGCAGCCCGCACTGACTCACAACCATCTCTTTTGGCGTGGAGGCCTCTGCACCACCCAGGGCCCACACTCACTGCTGCTTTTGGTGTAAAGCCGGAGGAGCTCCGCCAGGCAGCTCTTCTTCACCAGTGCTGTGCTGCTCAGGTTCTCCTGGTCAAGAATCTTGAGGAAGTCATCCAACTCTGTCAGCAGCTGTTCCAGGGCTAGGGACAGGAAACAGAAGAAACTTATAGTGGCTGCCCGCTCTCCAAAGCCCAGCTCAGATACACCTCGGGACCCTGCAGCCTCCCACCTCGAACCCTCTGGTCCCAAGAGGAAGGGTTTGGTGTGAGGTCTGGCAGCGTATGGGGGGACTGGGCAGAAGATGGGATTCTCAGCTCCAGGGCCACAGGGAGAGAGAAACAGGCCCTTGGCTTGGAGATGAACAGCCTCCGCTGAAGTCCCAGCCCTACCAGGTGCTGGAAGAGTGACAACGGCCTCGTCGGCCAACTTTCTATCTCCTCCACTGCAAACGCCTGCCCTCACAGGGCTCTTGTGAAAACTAAGAGAGCACTACTTCCAAAATGCTTTGAGAGCTGTTGAGCTCTGCTCTTAGAGCTGTGGCTAGAATGAGGGTTACTCTCATCTTGATCCTCTCCGGGTGGCTTTGGGCCCATTTACTTCTTAAGTCTATTAGGTCAAATGCTTTGTAAAGTTCCTTCCAGTTCTGAAGCTCTATGGTTGTAAGCCTCGCCTTGGCTTGACTGCACGGCTTTAAAGTACGAATCTGTTCACAGGTTGTCCATGATTAAAAGCCACACCTGGGCCGAGCACAGTGGCTCACACCTGTAATCCCAGCACTTTGGGAGGCTGAGGCGGGTGGATCACAAGGTCAGGAGATTGAGACCATCCTGACCAACAGGGTGAAACCCCCGTCTCTACTAAAAATACAAAAATTAGCTGGGCATGGTGGCGTGCACCTGTGTTCCCAGCTACTTGGGAGGCTGAGGCAGGAGAATCGCTTGAACCCGGGAGGCGGAGGTTGCAGTGAGCTGAGATCACACCACTTCACTCCAGCCTGGTGACAGAGCAAGACTCCATCTCAAAAAAAAAAAAGAAAAGAAAAGAAAAGAAAAAGGCCACACCTGGTTCCTCAGAAGCCCTACCTGGCCTCCAAAGCCCTGCAGACTGAAGCAGCCTCCCCCGTGGTCACTGTCATACTCCACAGCCCGGACACAGCACCCCTCTTTCCTTCTCTGGTCTTCACACATCATGGTCTTCTCCCCCTCTGCTAAATCACAATTGTCCCTGTGTTACCAGTGGTAGTTATCCGTATAGATCTGCAGCTACCTCAATTCTTGCCTCCTCAGAAGAAAGAATTTGAGAGGCATAAGGCAGAAGGGGAAACTGAGACAAGTCTCAGAGCAGAAGTGAAAGTTTATTAGAAAGCTTTAGAACAGTAAGGAAAGGAAAAGAAGCAAAGTCCAACTTGGAAGACGGCTACGTGGGTGACCTGAGAAAACAAGTGTGAGGCTTGACCGCTAGACTTGGGGTTTTCTACGCTGGCATACTTCTGAGATTTGCCTTACTTCTCCCACTCCTGAGATCTTATTGGGAAGCTGCTGATTGCTTTCAGGTGTTTTCTATGAGGAGACTGCCTTTCTCTGGCACTAGCTGTGACCAATCATTCCTTTAGAGAAACAGTTAACAACTGCCTGACCATCACCTGGTGGTCATCCAACACTCCTAGTGTGTGGGGTGAGGTGGGGAGCCCTCTCCTCCCTGCTCATACCTAACTAGCTATCCGCTGTAACACCTCAGGTCTTGGTCTAGATAACATTCCTCCTGAGACACCTTCTCTGGGCCTCTTTAACAGATCCATGTTACCAGCACTGGCCTCTGTGGTGGGCTAAATATTGGGCCCCTAATGATATCCATGACCTAACCCCTCAAATCTGTGAATATGCTACTTGACGTGGCAAAGGGACTTCACAGATGTGATTTAATGAGGAGATTATCCTGGTTTGTGCAGGTGAGCACAGTGTAATCACAGTGGCTCTTATAAGCGGGGAGGTAGGAGGGTAAGAGTCAGGGAGATAAGATGCTACCATGTTGGCTTTGGGGATGGAGGAAGGGACCATGAGCCGAGGAACACAGGTGGCTTCTGGAATCTGGAAAAGGTGAAGAAGTAGATTCTTTCCTAGAGCCTCCAGGAGCCCTGTGGCCCCCTCTCAGATTCTGATCTCCAGAACTGTAGATTAACGAGTTCGTGTTGCTTTATGTCACTAAGTTTGGTAATTTGTTACCACAGCAATAAGAAACTGAGACATCCTCTCACAGCTCTGACTGCATCACAGCGTAGCTGTCTGTGTCGCCATTTAGCTGCAAGCTCCAAGGACAGGCTTTGTGTGGAGCTCACATTTCCAGGGCCCAGCACAATATCCAATAAATATTTGTTGACTAAATGAGTAAATGAAAGCAAAGCAAATCTATCCACTTACTTTGTACATGAAAGAATCCCATGGCTGAATTATAAGAAAAATAAATTAGTGGCCTGGATTAAGAGTAAAGAGAAGTCCACTAAAAATCCAGGTATCTGGCAGGTCCTATCTAGCCAAAATACTGGAACAGATGGGATTTTAAAAAGCATCTCCTCTACTTATCTAGCTTACATAATACACTCACAACACTGAGAACCCAAACAATTCTTCCCCCAAATGGCCTCCATGAAACCAACTCCTAGGGTTTACTGCATGAATGAGCTGTTCTGAAACCTGGACCCCAGCAACTTGCCCACCATCCAGAACCCTTGGCACCTCCTGCTTTCCTCGTGATCACTCTGCTCCAGACCAGCATGAGCTCCCCGTCTGCATGGGCAGCCTTTCATTTGTGTCACTCTAGAGGCAAGTCAGTGGCTCAGGAGAAACAGGCACTTTGTGGGAAGCCTGCACTCATTTGCTCACCTCACCCCTGCTCCTTTGTCTCCCTGGCATTGCTGGTCAGCCCCACCATGACACTGAGCAGATTTACAAATAACCAGCAAGGAGGGAGGGAGGGAGGCTGGCACTGGGCTCACCAGAGTGCAGGGCAGAGACTAAGCTCTTCCAGGTAGTTAAGTGTTTGCACAAAGAGCATGGGTCACAGGAGCTTCTCAGCAGACAGAGAAGCATCGGCGGGATCAGTTACTATGGGCATCACTAGAGGTTGCACCTGGCAAAAGTTGCCCTGTTGCCCTTGACCTTAACCAGTAGGGCCTCCCACCATCTGACCCAGGGGAGCTTCTCTGCTGGAGCTGGAGGCCCCAGCCCCATGCCCTGCTGTGACCAGACTTGCTCACCAAGGGCCAAGAGCCGCACTGCCAGCATCACCACACCCTCATCCAAGGCAATGGTGCTGCTGGGCCTGGATGACTGAGCCGAACCAGAGAAGAACGGGAGACAACACCAAGGCAGAGAAACTGAATTAAACAAGGAAATGAAAGGAGCGTGATGATGGCAAAATTCCAACTCTTGCCTGAGATAAAGTGAGGAGGGACCATAATCTAGCCTTATAAATGAGAGCCCTGATGGTCTGCAAACAAACATTTCCTACTGTGAAGTCCACGAGCATTGACTCAGCATCTGCTAGGCTGGCCCACAGAAGCATTTAAAAGAAAGAATAAAGCATGTTCTCCCAACTAAAAGGCCTTAGCTTGTGTTGTGTTTTGTTACTAACAGCTATTCATGAGTTTCCTGTCGGCCCCAGGAACTCAAAAGCAGTGAGCTTAAAGAAGCCAAACCAGGGAAAATAAATGGAGGACAACGACAGTGAGCCTTGAACTCAACTTCAGGGGACAAGGGAAAGTGAAAGGGCCTTGCAAGGCAATCGGGGTCTCAAGCTGCATTTTTCCTGACTTCTGAACTTCTCAAGGCTGTCCCTCTGCTGCCACTTCAAAAAAAAACCCATAAAAACTGTAAGTATCTTTTCACTTCCGCATCCTTGGCTATTCCCAAAAGCTGCCCAATTCCTGGAAAATAGCCTTTGTTTCTATTTCACGTGAGCCAATATGTACCAAGCCAAAGGGTGGAAAGTGCTGGGCCTGGCCCTGGGGAAACAAAGGTGACCCCAAGGGGTCCTCAGCCCTTCCAGAGGCCTAGTGAACCCAGGGTGAGAAGAGAACTAATCAAGGGATGTCTCCAAGGACCAGCAATGCAATAAGGAAAGTAAGGCAAACTCTGAGTTTATCAGGAAAAGGAATTGTAGCTCGTCCTTGAGGAATGCATAGGAGCTCACTGGAAAGGGGCAGAGGCATTTTAAGAAGAAGGGATGGCTGGGCACAGTGGCTCACGTTTGTAATCCCAGCACTTTGGGAGGCCAAGGTGGGCGGATCACCTGAGATCAGGAGTTCGAGACCAGCCTGGCCAACCTGGCAAAACCCTGTCTCTACTAAAAATACAAAAACTAGCCAGGGGTGGTGGCGTGCACCTGTAATCCCAGCTACCCGGGGGGCTGAGGCAGGAGAATCGCTTGAACCTGAGAGACGGAGGTTGCAGTGAGCCGAGATCACACCACTGCCCTCCAGCCTGGGCAACACAGCAAGACTCCATCTCAAAAAAAAAAAAAAAGGAAAGAAAGAAAAAGGGATGAGATGCTCAGAAAACTTGAGCCCTGAAAGTACATGTGTTTGGGAAACCACCCAGTGGCTCTGTGTATCGGGGGAACATGGAGCATCGAGGTGGGTGGGGGTGGGCCTCAAAGGGGAGAAGGTGGGCTCTAAGGCCAGAACTGTGGATTGGGGGTGATGCAGATGAAGAGGGCTTTATTATTCTGCTCAGAAGTTGGTGCCTTATTCTGCAGGGTCATGCAAGGCTGTTCTTTAAGCAGACTAGAGAGAATAATCCTGAAGCTGTGGGTCCTCAAGAGGATGGATGGAAGGGGACTGGCAGTGGAGGCAGGGAGGCCAGTTAGATAAACTCATTAGTGCATATGGAATGATGAGGGTGTGAGCTAATCATGGCAGCTGGGCACCATGCCATCAGCTGTGCCCCTACCACCTCAATTCTCACAACCACCCTGCAAGTGCACAGCTGTGGGAATGGGCTAAGGAGGCTGAATTACAACCCAATTTGGCCACATCCCTGATGAGTAGCGGCACGGGGGATCAAATCCAAGCATATCCAAGTTCAAAGCACTTGTGTCTGCCATCCATCCGTTGGCTGTAGTCATTCCCAGGGAGCCAGGAAAGTGCATCTGAGTCATGGCCCCTGCCCATCAGTCCTTCATACTCCACAAGGCAAAGGGTGTGGGGATGAAGAGAAAGAGTGGACTGGAGACATGAGACAGGGAGAGCCCACAGGACCTGCCGATGTGGGCACTGGGTGGTGGAGATGCGGAAAGCCATCAGACACCGTGGTGAACCAGGCAGCCGTGGTGCCTGCCCGATGTAGGCACTGGGTGGTGGAGACGTGGAAAGCCATCAGACACCGTGGTGAACCAGGCAGCCATGGCACCTGCCCATCGGGGAGCGGGTGGGCCAGCCAGATGTGTGGGGAAGAGCAGCTCTTGGGTGCTGTCTGCTGAGGACAATGTCGAGACCCTCCTTCTCTTCTAGGCTGTGGCAGGTGAAGGGGAAGCCCCAGGGTTGAAGGAGCGCAGGCCTGGGGATGAGAGAGAGTCAAAAGGGAAGGATGTTCCTTCCCTTCCTCTCTGGATCCATATCATTGTTCCAGGTCCAGCCAGGCCCCTTCTCCAGAAAGCCACTGTGACCAGCGGCACTCAGCTCTCTTGCTGGCGTCTGCCTCCCTAGGTTGTGGACTGTCAAAACCAGTTGCGCATAGTCGTCTGGGTGTGTGTCTATCTCCAGGGCAGAAGCTCTTTCCGGTCAAGGGTCAAGATTTATAGATTTGGGTGTCCGACAAGGTGCTAAGCACACAGGAGGCCATAGGCGATTCTCCTCCAGACACACCCTTTCGGGATCCAGCCACAGGCTTGGGGAAATAACAATCAACAAAGGCAAGGCCCCAGAGTGCCAACCTCAGTGACATTTATCAACCCCCAGGGCTGGGAGGGGTGGGCATCCCTTAGAGGAATGTGGCTATTGCCCTGAGGCCCTGGAACTCGCTCACCACATTTCCTTTCTCCCCCACCATCCCCCACACTTTCATTTCGGTCTCTTCCTCGTCCTCCTGTGGAGCGAGGGAGAAATAAATGTGTTGTTCATTCTGGAAACTGTAGGCCCTTGTGCAGGCTTTCCATCCCGGCTCTGTTAAAGTTCAGGGTTGTCTGCTTAGGGTCAATAAGTTTCTTGTTTGAGACTTCCAAGGCCCACGCAGGGCTGGGCGGTTCAACTGCTCGATTCATTGCCCTCCTCTGTGGTGAAGCTCTTCCTCCAGATGACCTCCTCCCCCAGCTTTTCTCATCTTGAGGCTGTCTTGCTTTTTGGTCACTAAGTTCCCAACCATAAACGTCTTCCCAACATGCCGAAAAAGCCACTCTTCACGGTTTCCCTGCTGTTCTATGCACACATTTTTATTTATTCAGCTGCATTTGCTGAAGACCTGAGATGGAGCATGATTTTCCTTCCCAATGTCAAACTGAGCAGACCTGCGCTTTATATAGAAAGACTGTATCCCTCTGCCCCAACAGTTCCCAAGATCAAGCCACTGAATGTATTATCCTCATGAGCCCAACTGCTGGGGAGCAGTCAGTGTTAGGAGCCTGTGACACTTTCTGTGAGAAGCAACAGCATCCTACAGATGCCAGGGAGGGTGGAAAATGTCGAAGATCTTCCTCCTGATCAGAGAGAGCTCTCAAGTTCTCAAGATGAGCTTC
The DNA here is from genome assembly GCF_000001405.40 of Homo sapiens. NCBI lineage: Eukaryota > Metazoa > Chordata > Mammalia > Primates > Hominidae > Homo > Homo sapiens. Next base: position 114,347,318 of record NC_000010.11, read on the forward strand.
TGGAAAAATACACTCCTCACACCACCTAAGAAGGGTGACCTCAGAGCAAATGCCCCTTGTCTTCAAAAATGCAAAACACTGAGTCAGCCTTTAGCACGTATCTACTATACGTCTGGCCTGTTCATAGAAAGTGGGATTTTTTTCTTATTTTTATTTTACTTTACTTTCTTTTTTTTGAGACAAGATGTCACTCTGTCATCCAGGCTGGAGTGCAGTGGTACAATCATGACTCACTGCACCCTTGACCTCCCAGACTCAAGTGAGTCTCCTTGAGTAGCTGGGACTATAGGCATGTACCACTTGAGACTATATGGTCTCAAGTAGCTGGGACTATAGGCATGTACCACCACGCCCTGCTAATTTTTAAATTTTTTGTAGAGACAGAGTCGTGCTATGTAGCCCAGGCTGGTCTTGAGCTCCTGGCCTCAGGGGATCCTCCTGCCTTGGCCTCCCAAAGAGTGTGAGCCACCACACCCAGCCTTCTTTTTTTTTGTGATGGTAAAATACAGATAATATAAAATTTACTACTTTAACCATCTTAAAGTTTACAATTCAGTGGTGTTAAGATTCCCAATGTGTGCAACCATTACCACTATCTAGTTCCAGAACTTTTTTTATTACCTCAAAGGAGAACTCCTTAGGCAGTGACTTCCCTATTTCCCCCTAGGCTCAGATGCTGGCAACCGCAAATCTGCTTTCGGTCCAGTGGATTTGCCTATTCTGGGTATTGCATATACATTTTGCATCTGGCTTCTTTCCCTTAGCATTATGTTTTCAAGGTTCATCCATGTTGCAGTAGGTATGGCTACTTCCTTCCTTCTTAAGACTGAGTACAATTCCATTATATGGATATACTACATTCTACTTACCCATTCATTGTTGATAAGGCAATGGCTTTTTTAAACAAAAAACTTTTTTATTGGGATATAATTTAAATACAGTAAACGCTCCTGTTTTTACTGTGAAATTCTATTTGTTTTGAGAAACACCCTCAGCTGTGTTAGGCACAGAACCTTCCCACTACCCGAGAAAGTTTCTTTGTGCCTTTTATAGGCAGCCCTCTCCCTACTCCCACAGCATGGCAGCAGGAATAGCTTTCGGAGTCTGACTTCTTTTACTTAACATAAGGCATATGAGATTCATCCCGGTTGTAATGCATGAGAAGTTTGCTCCTTTTTCTTGCTACATAGCATTCCATCGTGTAGATGTAGGAAGAATCTTTATAGCCCCTCTGCTGGGCACTTCTGCACAGAACAGCAGTTCCTGCTTTCCCACACCAGATTGCCATGCTCTCAAAGGCACCTCACTGCTGACTTTACAGGACGTGCTCTACTTTAAGTTCACGCAATGTGTAGCCACTCAGAGGCATGCATACAAGAGGTAAAGCAGTGATTCTCAGCCCGGGCTGCACACTGGAATCACTGGGGAAACTTATAAGAATCCTGATGCCTGGGTGCACCCCCAGAATTCTGCTGTCATTCCTCTGGGTGTGACCTGGGGCAGCACTTTTCAATCTTCCCAGGTGAGTCTAATGCACAGCCAAGGTCAAGAACTGCCTAGCTAAAGTTGTGATGATTTGCTTTATGAAGTCTTTTTACCTAATAAAATTATGTGTAAAAAAATGCAAACTTTCAAAGTGCTCCTATATGATCCTTCTGATCTACATGTAGAACTTTCTAGGCTCATGCCTGTTATAGAAAGTCAGATATATTTCAAAATACATTTTCTCCTAAAGTCCTTTTCCTTCTGGACAGTAAGAGTGCAGAAGGCCAGGCTGGGGCTAGGTGCAGTGGCTCACACCTGTAACCCCAGCACTTTGGGAGGCCGAGGTGGATGGATCACTTGAGGTCAAGGGTTTGAGACCAGCCCGGCCAACATGGCAAAACCCCGCCTCTACTAAAAATACAAAAATAAGCTGGGCATGATGACACACACCTGTAATCCCAGCCACTCAGGAGGCTGAACCATAAGAATCACTTGAACCCAGGAGGCGGAGTTTGCAGTGAGCCGAGATCGCACCATTGCTCTCCACTCCAGCATGGGCAACAAGAGTGAAACTCGGTCTCAAAAAAAAAAAAAAAAAAAAGAAAAGAAAAGAGAAACAAAAAAGAAAAAAGAAGACTGAGCCAGGTGTGGTGGCATGCACCTGTAGTCCCAGCTACCCTGGAGGTGGGAGGATTGCTTGAGCCCAGGAGTTCAAATCCAGCCTGGGCAACATAATGAGAGCTTGTCGCTTGGAAAAAAAAAAAAAAAAAAGAACACAGTGTAGAAGGCAAGGGTCAAGATGTCTCAAGATATCTATATGTTTACATATCACTGTACTCAGTTTTTTGTCCTGCTTAAGCTCTTATCCCTGAAAATCAGCACCCAAAGCAGACTGTAGTCATTTCTGCCTGCTTGAAACCCAGTAAACTGAGCCAAATGTAAATAACTTTCTCCAGTGTAAATACTCAAGAAGTTTTTCTTTATCTCCATCTCCAAGAAATGGCGAGGGGGGCGGGGGGGTTTGCTTCACTTGCTAGCACTGTGAATGCTCTGCTCCCGCCAAGCCTGGCCTGCAAGGGTCATCTTGCCATCATTTTTGCAAGATCTGCTTTTTCTCACCTATCTTTGAGTCTCATCACTTAAAACACTTTCCCCAGGAACAGCCCACCCTCCACATTCCCAGATTAGCCGTTGAAACTGAGACAGGACAGATGCTGGGCTGTGGCTTGCACTACTGGAAAAACAACTTGAGTTGCTCACTGCCGACCTCTCCAGTGGAACAAAACTCCCCAAGAGCAGAATTCCAACCCCAGCTTAGGAGCCAGCTGGAATCAGAGCTTCTCAGACAGGGCCTTTGAAAATTCACACAGTCACAGCTGAAGACATGAAACCAAGCACAGAGAAGGAGAAAAGACCTCAGTCCTACCAAGGGCCACATCCACTCTGTCTGGAACTGCCCAGAAGCACTACCTGTCCATCCGGCCCAATAGCACACAGGGCTATTACTTGACGATTCAGCCGTCTTTATTGTTCTCTGTTGTCCCATGGATGCAAGTCCTTTGTCCCCAAATGAAATTGAAACTTCTGTGTGGGTAGGGACTATATCTTCTGGTTTGATTTCCTCCCCCTCTGTGCCTAGATAGTGCTTTGCTAAGGTCGGTGCTTGGAGAACATCTGCCGAACATAAGGCTTCTAAACAGATAGACAGACACATACTACCTGCCTTCACTAACGAAACCTCCTCCTATTTAAAGGTTCTGGGCTGGTCAGTCCAGTAGACCTGGGCAAAGGGCTCACAAGTCCCATCTGGGCCAGTTAACGTCTCTAAAACGAGCCACCAGAGGCAGCCCCTGGCAGCTGATGGGCTGGAAGGACAGGAGGCATCTCACTCTTGGATGGTGCTCTGATGGGAGAATTTTCTCAAGGGTACAGGTGGGAAGGGCATGGAGGTGGCTTGCTCCCCTAGGGATCAGAATCAGAGAGAACCCACGGTGAAAGAAACCCGACCCCTGAGGCACTCCAGCAGTTCAGAGGGCACGTGAGGGCAGACTCAAGACACTCCAGGTTCCAGCGGCGACCAGGGTCCAGGCCAGACAAAGAGGCTTTGGGTCCCGGGAGGCCTTTGTTCCTCAGCCCATTTAAGACATTCCTTAAATGCAATCTACCAGAAGAGTGGCTTCATTCAGAGCCAGCGGGGGCCAGTTATGCGGGTGGGAGGCACAAAGGTTTGCCTGGGTATCTCCCTGCGCGGCAAGTCCCACAACCAGCACAAACCACTTTAGCCTCAGAACAAGAGGCTGATGGGGGTCACTCGAGTTCACATTGGAAAGGCTGTGTTGGATAGGAAAAAAGAAGGCTGGAAAATGATAACAGCAATTATCTTTTGGTGGAGGGGCTATGGGAAATTTTCACTCCTTCTTTATAGCCTCCCCTGTTCCTCAACACAGAAGAGCATGGAGTTTTTACGCAGAGAAAAGAAGTTGTGCAGTGGCCGCTATGTTTTCATTTGGAGCCGTAAATCTAAGGTTGTCCCTGTTTACTTGATATTTGTATCAGAGAAAAAAGACATATTAAAGATGGATGGAAGGGGGAAAATCACCGTATGTCCAGATTTACTGTTTCCTTCCAGCATTTGGCAAAAGTAATGAGACAGCATTGGACAGGTGTGCTGGTCGGGACCTTTTCATCCTGTCCAGGCCCCTGCCTCCAAGCAGGTCAAAATCAGCCCCAGCAATCCAAAGTGACCACCACTCTGAGGTTGGAGTCAACCGGGGGGAGGCACGCGAGGCTGATTAGGTGCCCACTGGACCACCAGGCAAAAGCCCTTCCTTGGGGCTTCAAGGAACCTGGGCAGGAGAAACGAAGGCCTCCTGGGCCACCCCCCTGCCCCAAGCCTCTTTGGCCCCTGGTGGCTGCTGGAAACTGCAGTGCCTCTCACTTGAACTTATGCGCCCTCTGAACCGGAAGTGCCCTAAGAGTCAAGTTCCCCTTGCCCTGGGTTCTTGATCTTGCAAGAAGCAGCCACCTCCGCCCTTCCCACAGGTACCACACTCCAGATTCAAATTGCCTAAATATTAGTTCCACATCTTGGCTCACTCTTGGCTGCACCATATACTGGCTGTGTGGCCTTGGGGAGCTTAATGAGCCTCTCTATGCTTCAGTTTCCTGGTGTGTAAAATAGGGCTAATAATTGTACCTAGGGACTAATTCGTGGGATTAATGTGAAGATCACAAAATAACCTCCTAAAGTGCTTATACTACATTAAATGTTAGTTGCTAAATAAAACCCTCATTCCTCTTATAAGAGTGGTAGAAAAAACTCTCCATAGACTGTAAATACACACACACATTACAATTCTAGCAGACAGCTTCAAAAAAGCAGCTGTAGGCTGGGTGCAGTGGCTCACACCTGTAATCCCAGCACTTTGGGCGGCCAAGGAAGGCAGATCACCTGAGGTCAGGACTTTTGAGACCAGCCTGGCCAATATGGTGAAACCCCGTCTCTACTAAAAATACAAAAAATTAGCTGGGCATGGTGGTGCAAGCCTGTAGTCCCAGCTAGTCGGGAGGCTGAGGCAGGAGAATCGCTTGAGCCAGGGAGGCAGAGGTTGCAGTGATCCAAGATGGAGCCACTGCACTCCAGCCTGGGTAACAGAGCAAGACTCTGTCTCCAAATTAAAAAAAAAAAAAAAAAAAAGCAACCGGAGATGTCCTGTTTGATTTTACAGAACTACTAAATTATGTCCTGGTAGACAGCAACAGGGGCAGGTGAGGAGGAATTTGGGTTAAACCCTTGCAGGAAACCACCTTCATAGAAACATACAGTACTGAGAATGAACGAGTGAAGGTTTTCAAAGCTTTCTGTAGCTTAGCCCAGGTGTCAACAGGTTAAAGCCAACACTAGAAACAGGTCGAAAGAATGAGCGTCAGCTCCATGCTATGATTTGAGAAGTGTCTACCAGGTCCTTTGGTGTTTTTCTCCATCCTTCTGCCTGTCTGCCCCCTTTCCACTGCTCCGACAGCCACAAGGGGCAATGTTCCTTTCGGCAAACAGCACGGCACTATCAACATTGCCCTAGAAGGAATAATCCATGACTGTGTACAGTGGATACCTGTTGCTTTTCCCCCTTCCCCCTCATCCATTCACTCATATTTGGAGCCAAATTTCCCTGGGGAAACCCCCTTTCCTTACTGTCTATATTTGTGGAACTAAAACGCCACACCCAACTCCATGGGCAGTCACGTGACCTTGGACCTAACCAGTCAGAGCATTTCATTCCCCAGCCACAATGACTGGCTTAGAGACAGACCCATGACCAGAGCCAAGCCAATGAGCATCAGCCATGGGACTCTTCCTGGAACTACTAGGAAGTGGGCTTTTCCTTCCTGGGGGTTGAGCTGCTAGAATGTTGGCCTGAAACTTTTGTGGCCATCTCCAGAAACAGTCCGCCTGAGGAGGGAAACGGGGCCTGGAGATTCCTGACAGCATCATTTCAGCACTTAGATTCAGCCATGACTCAAACTAGCTGTTCTTCTATACCACTCAGTAATATGTGGCCAAAGCACCCTATTTGTTTGTTTAAGCCAGCCTGAATTAGGTTTCTTTTGCTTGCAAACTGAGAGTGAACTACTAGCACATTGTTGGACCCCAAAATCTGGACCAGGCAGTCTGCAGATCCAATTCTAGTTCATTCTGTGAAGTAGGCATTACCATCCCCAGATTTGAAGCCAAGGGAGGCCATGTGGTTCCACCAGGGTCACACAGCAAGTTCAGCGCTCAGAATCAACAGGTCCTCCTGGCCCCAAGCCTAGAGTTTATTCCATTGCTCTGAGTCGACCTTACATTGGTAAAGATTTGCTTATTAAAACAGACTGTACAGAGAGTGGACTTCAAAAACATTCTAAGGACAGCAAAGTGTGGGAAAAGATCCAGATAAAAGCAACTTGAGAAGCCTGGGATATAATGTCACCAAGTCCTGGGGTGGGGGACAGAGGATAAGTGGATAGAGGACAGTGAAGACAAACTTCCACCAGCCTTAGAAAAAAAAGGGTGGAAATGGAAGGGGGAATTCCAAAGACCCAGGAGGCCAAGTAGAGCAGAGGCATGGCATCTTGGGAGACGGAAGGATGTAAAGAAAGACCTTCACTTATTCCAGGGAGTGCTGACGGATTTCAAGATTGTGGAGCCCTCTGGGGTAGCCTGATGGGAGATACAAGAGTGGAAGCTGCAACTCTTGGCTCATGGAGCACGACCGCTGTGGAAAGAATGCCATCCCGGAACCTTCGCGCCTGAGTCCTCAGTGCCAGGGGCCAGAACCTAGAGGCCAAAATAGCTGATGAAATGGATGGAACGTGATTGTTAAATTATGAGGCACCACAAGAAAAGGGTCTGCCTAAAATGATCCTTAATATTAGGAAGAGTGGAAGAGCAAAAGCCGCCACACAAAGGAGCAATTTTAGTATAGCAGGTGGTTCTGAATGGCTGTCAAGCTTCGACTAACTTGCTTCTGCTGATCGTAGCACCTCTAATGGACAAGAACCAATAATCAGGGGACAGCCTGTGTGTAATTCCTTTATCTGAACCATATCAACTTGAAATCAGTCCTCTTAAGCCTTGAAGAAGTTAGAGAACAATAATGAGTGGAAATTAATCATTTGGTCTATTTTTCTCCTTCTTTGTATAATGAGAGGACCTATCCCATATGGTTCAGATTTGACCGGCCCCACCTAAGCCATAGGAGAAGGGGATGTAGTTGAGGTCTGGTCATCCCTCAGGCCCTGGTGATGAGTTCAACTAATTCAAGCAAGACTGTTATCTGGGATTTGCTATATGGGCTTTGGGAGAAAGAGATCTTTCTTCTCTTGGGATTGCAAGCCATGAGGATGCATAATTGGAGTTAGAGGAGACCCCTCTTTTTCCAGTCTAACGATTAAGCCAGTGCTCAGAAGGAACAAAGCTAATAACTAGAGAAAGAGACAAAGCCCTGACCACATAGCTAGGGTCCCTAGGTCCAGCCATGCCTGAAGCTAACTTTGCACCTGCCAACTACAAGAACCAACAAATTCCCTTTTCACATAAGCTAGGCTTTAGTCACTGATGACCAAAAAGCCTTTCTAAATATAGAAGTGAAGGTTGAACAAATGGTGGCTCCATATAAACCATTCCCTATATAAGGCATACCCCAATTTTTCAAGGTCATACAATGGCCCCATAGAATCTAACTTTCTTGCTCCCTTTGAAAAGTCCAAGCACAAAATCGACAGGACCAGGTAATTATCCTGGATAAACCATGGCCAAACAACTAGAAAAGTGCTGATGATGGCCAACAAACACCGAGGGGTATGGCTGTAATCGGTGCTATTTAAACCACAGTGGAGTATAGCAGGCCTAGGGATGGATGCGGGTGGGGGGAGGTTGCCTCCCCCACAGAAGCCTTTCTCTTCTCGCTCTCTCTTTTTTTTTTTTTTTTGAGACGGAGTCTCACTCTGTTGCCCAGGCTGGAGTGCAGTGGCACGATCTTGGCTCACTGCAAGCTCCGCCTCCCGGATTCACACAAACTGCTGTGATTATAGGCGTGAGCCACCACGCCCGGCTCTCCTCTCTCTTTTTTCTGACTGATGCTCACATCCCTGTGCGACTCTCCATGGTCCCCAGTACAGGGCCCACAGCAGTGCTTTGGAAACTATGGGCATAGTCTTTTAGGTGGGCTGTGCTGTCAATTCAGTGCATTAGCACTGGTAGCTTAAAAAAAAAAAAAGTTTTGCTGAGTTTTGCTGTGAACTTAAAACTGCTCTAAAAATAAAGTCTTTGCAATACATGTAGTAGAAAATATTTGAATGCATACCATCTAATAAAGGCACATACTCTATCAAAAAATTTCTGTCGGGTCCGGGCACAGTGGCTCATACCTGTAACCCCAGCACTTTGGGGGACCAAGGTGGTTGGATCACTTGAGCCCAGGAGCTTGAGACCAGCCTGCGCAACATGCAAAAACCCTATCTCTACAAAAAATACAAAAAACTAGCCAGGCATGGTGGCACATGCCTGTGGTTTCAGCTACCAGGGAGGCTGAGGTAGGAGGAGAATCTGAGCCCAGGAGGTCGAGGCTGCAGTGAGCAGTAATTGCGCCACTGCACTCTAGCCTGGGTAATAGAGTGAGACCCTGTCTCAAAAAAGATTGTTTCAGGTGTATGTGTGTGTGCATCAGTGTGTGCATAGGTGTGTGTGCACACCCTGGGGAACAATATAAAATACATTTCTTACCATGTATATAAAATACATTTCTTACTATGGTCACAATCAAAAAGTTTGAAAAACATTTATCTGAAACTCCCAAAGCCAGAGATATTTTGAAATTCAGTGTATTTTGGAACAGTAACATGGTGCATATTCCCCCAGCAGAGTCTGGGGAAATACTCAGGAATAAAGTACATTAATATTTCTATAATAAAATACACAATTATTTATAGTAAGTGGGATAAACAGATAATGAGTCGCCTCACATCATTTCAGGGCCGTTTTTATCTCCAAATTAGTTTGTGCCTGCTTTCCAAAAAACTTCTGGTTTCCAAGAAACTTCGGTTTCCCCCGCCAAACAAACAAAAAGAATGTAAAATAAACATTTTTAAAATATTGATGACATGTTGAAATGATGATATTTTGGATGTGTTGAGTTAAATAGTCTATTCTTAAAATTAACTTCATCTATTTTTCATGTTTAAAAATGTTAAATGTAATTTAAATTTAAGTGTCATTAAAATTACATATGTGTTTTAAATTTTATTTCTATTGGATAGTACTGATCTAAAACATCAGAGCATTTTTAAAAGTCATCCCTCTGATTAAAACAAAACAAAACAATGTTCAGAGAGAGAAAGGGACTTCATCCAAGTTGCACAGAAAACCCAAATTTCCTATTCCTGCCCAAGGCTTTCTAAACCCAATTTCGAGTAGTTTTGTATCCTAGAGAGCAAAGGAAAGAAGAAAGGTTATTCTTGAATGAGAATTCCATGGGAGCAGTGAGTAAAGCTTGGAAAAGGGCTTTTACATGTGTTGGTCATGATTTACCAAGGTGAGAAGGCTCTAAAAAAGGAAAGTTCTCTCCTCAGGAAAACAGCTGTGCCCTGGATGAAAAAAATGTGGTTACTCCGTGCAGGCTGTACTTTGTTTACATGAACAAGAGCCAGTTATTCATCACAGAAATATTCTAAATTAAACCCTTGAAGCCCCATTATATAAACAAGCTAAAGGTATCACAGAGTTTTGAGTTGGACCATTGTTTTTCTTTAATGTTTCAGCCAAAATTTGTCAAAAGAAACTGCTGATGTACAATTTCAGACTCTTCCAGAGCATTTCATTTGGGGAATAGTTTGCATTTGGCTCTTTAATCAAATCCTCTCTTCCCTTTCTGGCCAGTCTCAAAAGGACGCCTCGGATCCTCACCTCCCTGCCCTGCCTATGCTCCTTGCTATAATTTCTCCAACACTGTGGCCTCCAACTTCAAACACCCTTAAATTTCTTTAGCTACTCTTTCTCTGGTGTAACCACATTCTCTAATGCAACACCCACACACACTCATACTCACTCTGAACTGTTATCCCCTTGACCTTGAAGCCAGGCTTTAACAAGGCCCCAAGGTGTGGTCAGCATTTCAGCCCCTCCCTGTCCCAATCTCACAGTACCCTTGTCTACCCACAACAACATTTCCCAGGTAGTGACTGCATAGCCAATATTCCATGTTGGATATGCAATATGGAATATCCAATATTCCATTGAAAGCAGTAGTGAGTATCGGCTCTCTCTCTCTGCCTGGGTCTTGCTAAGCAATGCAGTGGGGAAGATAAACATGCAAATTCCAATTTCCCCATTTCTAATTTACATGTATTCCTTGAAATAATAAAAGAAGAATGCATGTTGCAATTCTGTTTGCATTAATGTAGCTGTGTCCCTCAAATAGGGTGCTACTAAAAGGAAATGTTTCTTAGAATCAGTGACATTTTAGAATCAACCATTAGTCAATCAGCTCCTGTCCTTCCAACCACGGTTATTTTCCATTCCCTCACAGGGGCTTATTTGCAGTGTGTTAAGTTTCTTTTGACAATACACACTTTCTAAGTGTTTTTAAGGGCCTTCAATGCTAAAATTGTGTCTGTCTCAAATCTCAAACCAGATTCCTACAGTATAAGCATCATGTCTGAGAGTTCAGCCTCCCCAGAACAATCCTAGCTCTGAATCCCAGTGTGGTTCGGGAGTTGCTCACTTCAAAGTGAAGTTGAATTAGAAAAACCTAGGAATAAACAAGCCTCTCTTTTGTTTTCTGTTGTTCTGAATATAATTTGGCATAAAGTAAAGCAAAAATTCAATGACCTCTAAATTCGGCAACAAGGATTAATAGGTTTTATGATGGGTAATTTTCTATTGAAATAAACTAGGAAGATAGAATTACAGTTAAGGAAATAACACAAAATGCTATCAATAATAAAGCAGTCAAAGAAAAATAAGTCTACAACCCAAACAAGGGAAATTGCTTTTATTAATAATAAAGTCAGCCAAATGATGACAAAGGATATCTCACTGAACTCAGACTCATAATAAAACTACATGGTATATCTCATCATCCCTTAGATGAAGAAACAGACTCAGGGAGGTTAAATAACTTGGCCAAAGTCACACAGCCAGAAAATCCAGATCTGAATTCAAATCACTCTAACTCCTTCCACCATCACCTCAGCTGGCCTCCCTTACATTTTCTTCTTTCAATGACAAATAACAATAACAATAATAATAATAATGATCATAAAAACCAGAGTCATTTGAAAATAGAGCCTTAGGCTGGGCACGGTGGCTCACACCTGTAATTCCAGCACTTTGGGAGCCTGAGGTGGGTGGATCACCTGAGGTCAGGAGTTCGAGACCAGCCTGGTCAACATGGCGAAACCCCGTCTCTACTAAAAATACAAAAATTAGCCGGGCGTGGTGGCAGATACCTGTAATCCCAGCTACTGGGGAAGCTGAGGCAGGAGAATCGCTTGAACCCGGGAGGTGGAGGTTGCAGTGAGCTGAGACTGCACCACTGCCCTCCAGCCTGGGCAATAGGAGCAAGACTCCATCTCAAAATAAAAAAAAAAAGAAAATAGAGCCTTAGCAGAGAAGGTATATCTAAGAGACGACTGTTCGCCTAGATTCGTATATACATACAGGAGAATTATGGTCCATTTTGACCCTGGTTATTAGTACAAGTTGTCAGTGATCAAATCATATCCTCTGAGAACAAACAGTAAAAGAAAATGGTAAAAAGACTCAAGAAATACATTACAAGAGGTAATGTAAGAACTGAGACCACTGTGATTAGGATTCCTGGTGTGTAACACTGAGTTGTTCAAACACTTGACAGGTTTATGAGCAAATCCAGCATGGTGATGATTTTGTTAGTATAATATTTGTTAAGCATGGGTGGCCAAACTGCAAACCATAACAATGTTATAATTGGGTTTAAAATGACTTTTGGTATTCAAAAGGCTATATGACTTCTGATAAAGTTAGCTAATAAGAAAACAAATCCACCACTCAAATGCATTTTGTGAGCCCCATGTGTAAACTTTCCTTGTACTTCTTAATGGAGCAACTGGGAAATGAAAGATGGTGCGAAGGAGGCTGAAGGAACATCCACAGACCAGTACTGCTGGTGTCATTCATCTGAGTCATCTGCAAATGGATCAACTTTCCCCGCACCCTGCAGAGCAGTTCTGCTCATCAGAATGAGTTCATGGGGAGTTAGAACTGCTAAAGGAAGGTAAAGGTTGGCTGGCAAATAATGTTTTAATCAAAGCCTTTTCCTCTGGATTTTAGGCTTCAAACAAGTGATCTGTTGGCTTAGTATGGACCTGGACAAAGAAACCCAGATAGTTCTTGGTACACTGTAATAGTATATCCTATCCATCATCTCTTTCATTCATTTAACTAAAGGTGCTGACGTGGTCAGGGCAAGAGGCAAAGGAAGCCAGTGGAAACTCAGAAGGCTAAGTAAACATCCCATCTTAAGGGCTCCTCTTTTGGATTTCTGCCTTGGCCCCTCCAATCCTGTTTTAACTGGTGTCCTTCACCAAGGACATATATGTCACCAAGGACATATATGACATTGCCACCTTACCAGAGCTAAGGACAAACATTTTCCCACAAAGAGAGTGTGATGGTTAATTTTATGCATCAACTTCACTGGGTCACAGGGTGCCCAGGCATTTGGTCGAACATTCTTCTGGATGTGCTGGTGAGGATGTTTCTAGGTGACAGGAATATTTGAATCAGTAGACTGAGGAAAGCAGATGGCCCCTCTATGTGACTGGCCCTCATCCAATCAACTGAAGACTTGAATAGGACCAAAAGACTAAGAGGGAATTCCTCCTGCCTGTCGGTCTGAGCTGAGACATCAGTCTTGTTCTGCCTTTGGACTAAAAAGTTGGCTCTTCTTGGGTCTCAAACCTGCAGGCTTTCAGACTGGAACTCTGATTGGATCTTCTGGTACTCAGACCTTCAGACTCAAACTAGAACTACACCATTGACTCTCTTAGGTTTCTAGCTTGCCAGCCACAGATCCTAGGACTTCTCAGCCTCTATAATTGTGTGAGTCATTTCCTTATAAGAAATCTCTTCCCAAATAGATAGATACCTCGATATCTCAATATCTAGATAGATAGATAGATAGATAGTTAGATAGATAGATAGATAGATAGATAGATAGATAGATAGATAGATAGATAGATAGACGGACAGACAGATAGACAGACCGACCTACTGGTTCTGTTTCTCTGGAGAACCTGACTAGTACAGAGAGCTTCTGCAAACCAAGGAGATAATCTGTTCAATTTGAAATACATTTTTTAAATGGCAAGAAAAATGTTACACAGTTGGAAATTAAACCATTTACCACTATTATTCTGAAACCTAAAACTTCCTAGGTACTTTTATCTCCCAAATTTATTCCAATGAACATAGTTCAAAACCCCACAGATCAGGACAATATCTTGGGGTTGAGGGTCAGAAGTTCTCAGAACTTTCCACATGCATTTTCTTTTTCAAGCAAAATTCCTGCATCATTACAATGATTTCCTCCTGCATTAGTCTGTTTTCATGCTGCTGATAAAGATATACCTGAGACTAGGCAATTTACAAAGGAAAGAGGTTTAATGGAGAACTCGCAGTTCCACATGGCTGGGGAAGCCTCACAATCATGGTGGAAGGTGAAAAGTGTGTCTCACATATCGGCAGACAGGAGAAGAGAACTTAGCAGGAAAACTCCCCCCTTATAATTAAACCATCAAATCTCGTGAGACTTACTATCACAGGAACAGCATGGGGAAAGACCTGCCCTCATGATTCAATTACCTCCCACCAGGTCCCTCCCACAACACGTGGGAATTCAAGAAGAGATTTGAGTGGGGACACAGCCAAACCATATCACCCCCACTTACATATATTCTCTTCTGGTGGAATCACAGGACCAAGGGTCAGAAAATCAACATGAGCAGAAAAAGGTGGGCAAGTTTCTGTCTGGGAAGGTGTGGAATTCAGTAGCATTCCTGTAATGCCTTAACCTATCCCAGTCCAGAAATATCAATGAGACTGTCTGGAGATTGTTCCCAAACTCCGGGCACCTGACTTTTAACACAGACTCATACCCTGAAGGTACCCTGTAAAACGTTAAACCGAAAGCCGGGGGACAGTACTCACTCAAGATCAGTACTCCCATCAGACACAGGAAACCTGAACAGAGAGGCTAGGACACCTCTGGTGCTGGGTTTGCAAAGTGATGGAAACATCTTGGCTTCCCTTTGGCAGCTACGAGGTCACATCCTATAGTGGAGCCCTGTCCCAAGCCAGCTACATCGTTGTGCTTCCCACGGCTTCATTTCCTTGGGAACTCACTTCTGCACCAAATATGTATGGAGCACCTAACATGTGTTAGACCCTTAGATTTTGTCACTAAATAAAATGGGTATGGCCCTCTTGGAGTGTACATCCACATGTCTCAGTATAGGTTATCCTGCTATAACCTAGAATTAGGTTATATTAGCTTTTCTGCACCTCTTGGATGAGGCTCCATGCAAAATTTCTGGTATTCTTCTGCGATTCTCTATGCAAAAATGGATGGTAGGATATTTTACTATCTTACCACGACAGCTATTCAATTTTTTCTTTCTTATGATAAAGGGTGGACCCTGTATAGTGGAGAGAGCTGGATTGGAATTTAGGAGTTCCACTAACAAGTGCTGTGAACTTCAGCAAGTTTTATCGCTTCTTTGAGCCTTGGTTTCCATGCCCATAGAAGTGAGGGAGAAATCAGATCTATGTCTCAAGGTTGGTATGGGAATTAAATGCAATGACACATGAAAATTGCCAGACACAAAGCACTATTCAATACATGTTATTACTACCCACTGCAGTGGGTTGATTTGTGCCCTCCCCAAAAAAGATATGTCTAAGTCCTAACCCCTAACGCCTGTGAATGTGATCTTATTTAAAGTTGGATCTTTGCAGATGTAATTAGATTAAGGATCTTGAGATAAGGTTATCCTGGGTTTAGGGAGGGCTCTGCACCCAGCGACTGGGGTCCTTGTAAGAGGAAGAAGAGGGAGATCCAAGACACAGAGAATAAGGTCTTGTGAAGACAAAGGCAGAGACGGGAGTGATGCCACCCTGGCCAAGGAACACAGGGCACTCCCAAAAGCTAGAAGAGGCAAGGAAGGATAGTTCCCTAGAATCAGCAGAGGGAGCGCGGACCTGCTGACACCTTGATTTTGGACTCTGCCCTCCGGAACCATAAGAGAATAAATTCCACCTGTTTTAAACCAACATAAGCTGTCGTGGTCATTTGTTATGGTAGCCCCGGAAAATTAATACACCCCCATCAACTCACGGAGCTAGAGTAGAATAGGGGTCCGTAGCTTTAGGAAGAAAACAAAGAGCCCCTGTAAGGAACAGACTTACAAAAGATTAACCTCATTAGAAAAAAATCTGATTTTCCACTGGATTATAAGAATTTGATTATATTTCAAATCAGTCAGACAAAAACTTCTGATTTGAAAACATTCACTCTGCTGAAACAAGGCCCTCCATCTGTGCCATAGATAATTATGAATAACACTCACGAAAAGCTGACGCACAGTGGGCCGGGGAATTCCCTGGTGGCAGCCCGACAGGTGGGGAGGGACAGCTGCATGGAGCCCACCAGAGAGGACTGTGCCCAGGCTGCTCTCCGCTGGGGTCGGCCCCTCACTTGGTGACAGTGGGATCCGAGCCTCTCAGCACTGGGCGTCGTCATCTTGCAGGAGCAGGTTCTGAACACATAAGCAGCAAACTGGGGAAACGGGTTCCTGGGAATCAAGGAGAGGCAACTCTTGAAATGTATGCTGGACTTAGAAATTCCAAGTTGCATCTCTTGGATGGTCCTTGAGCCCACCGGCTTCTTTACCGTAACATGTAGCCTGCAGAATTCACGACACACGCTCTGAGGCAGCGTTTCACTGGCCCAGAATCAGGCCAGCGGTCCACTGTGCCATTCTTGAGAGCTAGTCCGCTGGGCCCTCACCAGCCCCAAGCAGGAAGAATGAGGCTGAGCCCTTGCTCTCTGATCCTGGCTCCTGGTCCTTCATGCCCTGTCGCGGCTCCAACCAACATTTACCAAATGCAGAGGCACTGGGCTGGGCACTTGTGTAATTTAATTAAATTTCATTTAATCTTCCACAAGCTTGTGAGATGAGATGAGATTTTATTAGCCAATTGTAAAGCTGAGAATGCTGAGTTAAGTAACTTTCCTAACGTTATAGATGAAACAGGTGGCAGAGTTAAAGTCAAAGCCTAGATCTTTGGCCTGGCATTCACTGCTCACCCACCACCTCTGGGAGGCCTTCCTTGATCAGTCCATTTGGCTTCTGTCCTCCAACATTCAGCCGGTTCTGTTCATATCATGAAAGAACAGTGCTGTTGTGTGATGGCCTGCTATGCCCATTCTACTCACATTGTTTTATTTAATCCTCACCACAACCCTATGTGAAATATAGCATTATCCCCATTTTACAGATGGGAAAACTGAGGTCTCTGACAGAGAAAGTGCCTTGCCCAAAGACACATAGCTAATGTGCAGAACAGGATTTGAGCCAGGATCCTAAAAGCCCATTCCTTTTCCCCAAACAGAACCCTGTCTGTGCTGCTGACTCAATAGCAAGGCATCTTTGAGCAGCAATTGTTGCTGTGGGGCTAGTTAAAGGTTAATGTCACTAATATTTCATTCTTTGAGTCCCTCTTTGCTTGCTGACATTCTCCTGTGCAGGCTGCAGCTTTGTTAAAACTCAGTCACAGCTGTGACAACTGCAGAGGGTCTGCCCCTGGGCTCCTGCTGCTGTCCAGGTCAGGGAAGGGGCCTGGCAGTCACCCCTCATGTGGGCCAAGATCCTGGGGGCCTGTATCCATGGCCCAGGACTGACGCAACAATGTGCCACAGATTAAATGGCTTAAAACAACAGATGTTTATTCTCTCGCGGTTCTGGAGGCTGGAAGTCCAAAAATCACAGGTTGACAGGGTCCCACTCCCTCTGGAGTCTCTGGGGAAGAACCTTACTTGGCTCTGCCTGGTCCCTGGAGTTTGCTGGTCATCCTCAACATTCCCTGGCTTGTGGCTGCATCCCTCCCATCTCTGCCTCTGTTGTCACATGGCATGACATGTGTCTCCCTGTATGTCTCTGTGTCCAAACTCTCTTCTTCTTATAAGGACACCAGTCACGGGATAAGTGCCCGCCCTAATCCAGTATGACCTTATCTTCACTTGATTACATTTGCTAAGACCCTTTTCCAATCACATTCCAGGGCTTAGGACCTGAATATGTCTTTGAGGGGAATACAGTTCAACCCACAACAGGACACAGGGAAGCCCAAATTAATAAACCCCCTTCTTTGAGCCCTCTCACCTGTGGCCCCTGCACTGAGCAAGATCCTTCCTCCTCCACTACCGGGGGCTGAGCTGATTTACCAGGCTGGCTACAGAGGGCCAGGAATGGGAGGGGGAGCCTTCTGAGTCCTCATGCTCCTTCTCGGGTCATGAATTTTGTTTTGTTTTAACATCCATGTTCCAGACCAAACCTTTCTTGGGGGCCTTCAAGTACCTGGAGGCCTCCCAGTTGAGTCAAATAACATGACAGGATGAAGAGCCAGAGTCCGGGGGCATAAATGTGCTAAGTCATTGGTTCAAGACAGGTGGTAAGTCATATGCAGCCAAGGGCTGGCACCCCTGTGCACCGTGCTTCCAGACTTTCCCCAGCTCTGTGTACCCTAACGTTCCTTAGCAGTCAAGGTCTGTTTAAGGCCTGCCTCTCCTCTCCTACTTCCCCTGGCCCAGAAGTGTCTAGGTATGGACATTGTTCTCTTCTGGTATGGACATTGTTCTCTTCCATTCCCAACCCAACACATAATGAAGGAACCCCCAGGCATACGCTCGTGGCTCCTCCAGGGAGTCTAGTTGGTACTGTTATTCTTGGTGATCCCTGGGCACCAACCTGAGAGGAAATATAAATGAGGCACCAAACTCCCAGTCATTAGGCGGCCATTCAGATGATCCAGAATATGTTTCAAATAATTTTTTTAAATTTTACTAGAATGAAAATATAAAATTTTAAATCCTCATAGAGAATTCCTAGAAACAAATAATATCTAGGATCAGGTTGAGAAAGATAATCTTTATCCTGTATAGAAAACTACCTACAGTAGCCCCAATGAACTGGTCCCCTTCCTCAGTGATACTCCCCATGAGGCTCATGGCCCCTACAAATGCCTTTCTAGCCCAATTTCTTCCAAATCCAGTTACCATGATGGATCTAAGGGGAAGCCTTTCTTTGACCGCCCTTACTTTTCTTTTTTCTTTCTCTCTCTCTCTTTTTTTTTTTTTTTCTTCTGAGACAGGGTCCTACTCTTCTGCCCAGACTGGAATGCAGTGGCATGATCATGGCTTACTGCAGCCTTGAACTCCTGGGCTCAAGTGATCTTCCTGCCTCAGTCTTTCAAGTAAGCTAGGACTACATACAGCATGGGCCACCATGCCCAGATAATTTTTAATTTTTTTTTGTATAGAGATGGGGGGTCTTGCTATATTGCCCAGGCTAGTCTCAAACTCCAGGCCTCAAGTGATCCTTCTGCCTTGGCCTCCCAAAGTGCTGAGATTATAGGTATGAGCCACTGCACCCAGCCCATCCTTAATTTTCTAGATGCTCATCACGTACTTGTAACCATCTCTATCTTTGGGGCTACAATGGATAACAGAAGTAAGTGTGTTCCTAAGATAAATATTTAGTGAGTAGATTCATTAATTACAGAGAAGAGCTGTGTGCCCTTCTTCCCAGTAACAAGATGCTACTTCTAACCAAAAAGCCAAGACTGTCATATACACGCGAAATACATGAAATACGTAATGGAGGCAGGCATGGCTGTAAAAGGCATGCTTGGTAGGGATTCTGGGAAGAGGAATTCCACAGCAGACACCAGTGGATAGTGCTGTGCAGCGTACTCAAGACCCAAGGGCAGAGATGATCAATGGAAGGGCAGTGCAGGACCCACTGGCTGTGACCATGTTATTTATTTGTGCCCTACACACTTCCTAAAGGATTTCTGAAAATGGAAAGAGAAGACCAAAACCCGAGCCTGAAGAAGGAGGAAGAAAATATACTCCACACTTCAACTAGAGTTGTAAAGAATATGAAATGGAGCTCCACCTTTCGAGGCAGTCAAAGAAGGGAGGTAAAGGAAGGGAAGCAGTTATTCTTATCTGATAAGAAGAAACCTACCAGTTCTTCAGGGGTGGCCATTTTCTTTCTGATACTCAGTTGTAAGAAGTATTCCTTGGCCGGGCGCGGTGGCTCACGCCTGTAATCCCAGCACTTTGGGAGGCCAAGGCGGTCAGATCATGAGGTCAGGAGTTCAAGACCAGCCTGGACAATATGGTGAAACCCTGTCTCTACTAAAAATACAACAAAATTAGTCAGGCGTGGTGTCGCGCGCCTTTAGTCTCAGCTACTCAGGGGGCTGAGGCAGGAGAATCGCTTGAACCCAGGAGGTGGCGGTGCAGTGAGTTGAGATCACGACACTGCACTCCAGCCTGGGTGACAGAGTGAGACTCCTGTCTCAAAAAAACAACAACAAAAAAGAATTCTTCACATTTGACAAATCGAGCCTCCTCCATGTGTTTTCATATTAACGCAGTGTCAGGGCCGGGCTGGTCAGCTAAGATGGCTGGGCTGCACCACACCAATGAACAAGGCCCCAAATGTGTGGGAGGTGAAGGCTAACACATCGCTTACTGGCTGAGCTGAAAGGAAAATAGAGCTTTGGGTGACTTCCCATCTCTTCTGTGTAACAGGAGCCTTCTTGACAAAAGGCAAGAAGACAAATAGCCCTTCTGGAAACACCCTGTCTATACCAGGGCAAAACCTCACCAGCTGTTTGCAGACAGGCATGTGGGAATTTAGATTTATATCAGGCCAGCTTCATGTTCTCTGAGAACTTGTTACAGAGAGCAAATTTGGTGGTGTATTCCATCCCTAAAATGCCAGGGGAAATATTACCCAGGGATTTGGCCCATCTGTCTGGGGCTGTCTCCACTGCCCACCCCTCCCCTACTTCAACATAGGGCAGTCCAACACTGTACAATACAGGATGTGGTCGTGGGCAAGAGCTAAATGTGAAAAGGGTTGTTTGCAGAGCAGCAAGAAACTGACCAATAATGAGTCCAGTCCTCAAAGCAGCTGATAACAGGGGACTGAGGCCCAGCTAGAATGCAACCCCCAGTAAATCACTGTTAATTGCCAGTAAGACAGGAATGAAGGCTCTGCTTGAACTTGCAAGTTTATTTCAGGTTATTCCAAGCTTTCCCGGGCAAGGAGGCAGAACGGGCAGAGGGGGTGGAAGAGAGACTGCTCCCCACCCTTTTCTAACTGTGGGATAATGTTTTGCAACATCAACAGCAGCCGCTGATGGCTATGGGAAGGCGCACACAAATTTAATTTAATACAAACAGAAAGTTTGCTTATTCTTCCCACTTTTACAGTCTGGGCTGAAGCATGGCATTTGGAATAATTAACTACATGAACACATTAATGTACACCATGCACAGACAGGGAGCAGAGATAAGAAGCCTGAGTCACCAGGAGCGGGATTCCACAAATGGCTGCTAAAAGTGAGTTGGTGCAGCACTGTCCTACTTGATACAGTAGATAAGAGGACGTGTAAGGCAGATGGATGGATAAAGAAAGTGTGGCATATATACACAATGGAATATTATTCGGCCTTAAAAAGAAGGAAATCCTGCCATTGGCAACAACATGGATGGACCTGGAGGACATTACGCTAAGTAAAATAAGCCAAATACCGCATGATCTGACTCATATACAGAATCTGAAAAAGGTAAACTCACAGAAGCAGAGAGTAGAATGATGGTTGCTGGGGGTGGGGGAAATGGAGAGATGCTGGTCAAAGGGTGAAAGTTTCAGTTATAAGATGGATAAGGTCTGGAGGTCTAATGTATAGCACAGCAACTGACTATAGTTAATAATAACAGCGTATTGGTTTGGGGGTTCTGTTTGTTTGTTTGTTTGTTTGAGACAGGGTCTCGTACCATCACCCAGGCTGGAATGCAATGGCAGGATCATGGCTCACTGCAGCCTCCACCTCCCAGGCTTAATCAATCTCCTGCCTCAGCCTCCTGAGTAGATGGGACTACAGGTGCCACCAAACCTGGCTAATTTTTGTATTTTCTGTAGAGATGGGGTTTTGCCATGTTGCCCAGCTTGGTCTTAAACTTCTGAACTCAAGCAATCCACCCTCCTCCGCCTCCCAAAGTGCTGGGATTGCAGGCATGAACCACCACACCCAGCCAATGTATTGTTTACTTGAAATTTTCCTAAACATGGATCTTAAGTGTCCTTACAACACACACACACACACACACACACACACACACACACACACACACACACAGAGTAACTAAATGAGATGATGGCTGTGCTAATTAGCTTGACATTGGTAATCAAGTCACAATGTACATGTATATCAAATTTTCACACTGTATACCTTAAATGTATACAATTTTTATTTGTCAATTATGTCTCAATAAAGCTAGGGGGGAAAAGATTGCACCTGCCCTCAAGGAGTTGGCCACGGCAAAACTGATGCCACTATTTAATAACTATAACAAAATTAGAAGAGGAACAAAATCCTATCTTTCATAAAATCCAATTATGAGATTTTTTTGGGGCCAACTATGGGTGTTCCTCATGACAGTGGTTTCCTTGGCTGGGTGTGAAAAATCACTTCCGATTTTTAAAAACTTTTTATTGGCTGGGTG
Organism: Homo sapiens; assembly: GCF_000001405.40. Classification (NCBI taxonomy): domain Eukaryota; kingdom Metazoa; phylum Chordata; class Mammalia; order Primates; family Hominidae; genus Homo; species Homo sapiens. The sequence goes on from NC_000010.11 coordinate 114,369,184, forward strand.
TAGTAACTCACGCTTGTAATCCCAGCACTTTGAGAGGCCAAGGTGGTGGGAAACATTGAAGCCAGGAGTTCAAGATCAGCCCTGGCAACATAGTGAGATGTCTGTCTCTATTTAAAAAAACAAACAAACAGGCCGGGCACAGTGGCTCACGCCTGTAATCCGAGCACTTTCGGAGGCCGAGGCGGGCGGATCACGAGGTCAGGAGATCGAGACCATCCTGGCTAACATGGTGAAACCCCGTCTCTACTAAAAATACAAAAAATTAGCCGGGCGTGGTGGCGGGCGCCTGTAGTCCCAGCTACTCGGGAGGCTGAGGCAGGAGAATGGCGTGAACCCGGGAGGCGGAGCTTGCAGTGAGCCGACATCGTGCCACTGCAGTCCAGCCTGGGCCACAGAGCGAGACTCCGACTCAAAAAAAAAAAAAAAAAAAAACTTTTTATTATGAAAATTTTCATACATACGAAGTAGAGAATAATAAAATGAGCCCTCATGAACCCATTTCTGAGCTTTATCAGTTATAAACATTTTGCCATTCTGGTTTTACCTATGCCTCCACATTTTTTGGCAAACTACTTAAAACAAGTACATTTAAAATATAATATGTATACGTACTGCAATATGTATAAATACTTCATTGTGCCTCTACCAGATAAAACCTTTGCACTTCAGTCCAAAACCAGTGACCACACCCAACAAAATTAACATGCACTCATTGTATTCTTCTGTTATTTTGGGTTCTACCTGCCCACATACAGGATGTAGAGGGTAGTAACGGGAAGAGAGTCTTTCCTGGAGTTGAGATACCCAGTTCTCTTTTGCCACCACCAAGCAGGGTGACCCCAGGCCAGCTGATCCCCCTCCCTGACTCTGTTTCCCCATCACTAATAGAAAATTAGAGATACTAGTGTCTCAAGTTTTCTCCAATTCCAAAATACTCCAAATACTGTTTATAATTCACTTTAATTCTCCTCTTTGAATAGTCTAATATATATGTGCCTATAGGTTAATTAAATCCACTCTGCAAGACTGAGGAGCTCATAATTAAAGTATCCTAATCAGATCACACACACCAGAGGCTGCTGGTTGGTTGAAGGACTCCAATCTGAAGTCCACACCCAGAAGCAGCTACTACAAGCCTTCAGCTATTTTCGTGGTTGCTAAAAATGTTTCTTTGCTGAAATGAGTGGTGCTCAGGATAAATGGAGTGGCTGGAAATACTGTTCCAGCACTTCCACCCTCACATGAACAGGATGTAAGAGTCTGGGTAAGCCCAGCAGGCCATACCATTCACAGTTGTATCCTAGGCTCAGGACAAAATGCAGTGCAGGGTCCACAGAAGGCTGGAAGATTCTGTTGCCTGATCCACTAGGGTAGCTAAATCCTGCCCCGTGTATTTTCTTGCACTTACCTTAAGCCAGATGTTTTTTGGGCAGAATACCTAAATGCCAGAGAGCTGGGGCCCAGAGGATAAACTGTAAGACTGTTTTGGGGCCTGCTTGCTAACAGATTTTTGGAGTACAGCTAAATTTGGTCTGAGACTTGTTCTCATTTGAACATCAATTGGGGATGAAATTCTGCGGAGGGGACCTGTGCCCCGCTTCTGTATCTTGCCATTGGAGGTCACTGGGTTCATCGAAAGCACCTTTGGTATGGTTATCCACTTCCACTATTTCTCTCCATCTGGAATTCCTTATTTTTCCCCACTTTTCCATAAATCCCATGTAACCGTTAAAGCCCAGTTCAAGTCCTGCTTTCTCCAAAAAGCCTTCTCCAACCATTGGGACTTAGATGACAGCAAGACAATATTAAACGGAACCTTAAGTCTCTCATGACCATGACATCTACTTGGGGACTGCAGCAATACTGTGAGTCCTCACTGTGACAGGCTGGTGTCCACTGGGCCACCTACGGGACCCATGGAGAGGACACTCCGTAAGTGCCTGGCCGCTGGCTGGCAGGGCCAAGCTGGAGCTGCTCCTTCTGTCTCATCTCTCCTCATCAGCTGCTGGACAGAAGTGGCTGAAATCATGCCAAACGCTTTGCTCAGCCTGGTTGTTGATACTCAGTTCTCAAAGGAGAGAGCCAGGTGGGTTTGTGCTGAGAAGGTGATGGAAAGGAGAAAGGTGGGGATTTGGTCACCATCCTGGAAAGAAGAAATTCAGCTCAGCTGGGAAGAGGCAAATCAGGGAAGGAAAGCCTTTGAGGTGCGTAGTTGTAAACACTGATTCTGAAGAAAGTAGACTGGCAGGGCAAAGCCCCCTCATCAGTCCCCCGCGAAAAAAAGATGATTTACCAAGCTCAGAATTTGGGCCGTGGAAAAACTCCTATGTTTACTTTTTCTTTTTTTAAAAAAAACAAATACAAATAAAAACAGCACAAAGAAAACCAAACACCGCATGTTCTCACTCATAAGTGGGAGTTGAACAATGAGAACACATGGACACAGGGAGGGAACATTACACACTGGGGCCTGTTGTGGGGTGGGGGGCTAGGGGAGGGAGAGCATTAGGAGAAATACCTAATGCAGATGATGAGTTGATGGGTGCAGCAAACCACCATGGCACGTGTATACCTATGTAACAAACCTGCATGTTCTGCACATGTATCCCAGGACTTAAAGTACAATTATAAAAAAAATAAAAAATAAACAGCACAAGAGCAAAAGGAAGATTTTTTTGGGGGGGTGGCGGGGGAAAGTCCCTTTATAGCTCATATACCTAGTGAACTAAATAGGACTCCAGTGTATGGATAATATGGGTGAGTCTTCTATATTTTATCAAGGAAAAAAAAAGATAAAATGGAAGGCCTCTCCCCATGGGAACCACTACATTAACTTCTCCCCAGCAAGTCACATCTTGCAGAGACAGCAACAACAAAGGTTCTTTCCCTTAACTTGGACGAAACAGCAAAATTCTTGACTAATCTGTTCCAAATTGAAGTTTCTTCTTGGGCTTGGGGATTGATGCTCTAAATCGTTTTGTGGAGAATCTCAGGATAGCTGGAGAGGTTAACCCCAGATTGACCACTGCTGGTCCAGTCCCTTGGTCTCTGGGGATGCCCTGGGAGCCCCCACTTCTAGCCAGGAGCTTGGGATGCCATTCTTCATTCCAACAGTTCCCAGATTTTCCCTCTGTAAACACCAAGCCCAGCCTTGGGCTGACTTGCCATTGTGTGTCTGAGAATTTATGGCTCAGATAAGGGAAGCTGCACAGGGCTGGGCCGGGTAGGAGGGGCAGGGTTTGCCACCCGTGAAATGACCCAGTATTGTCTTTTGCTTCATTCTCCATATCTCAATATCCACAACAGGCCAAGGGTAGCCAGCTCCGGAAGCTTCCATGATGCCAAATACCTTCTCAATGACTTCTTTTGTATATTTCCTTCTATTTTTATTAAGCTTTTATTGGAAAAATGGAGTGTATGCATATGATGAAAACATATTTATATATACATATATAATATATATACACATATATGTATACATATTTATATGCACATATGTGTACATATATAAAGCAACAATTAAAACATATGCAATGAAAATTTCCCCCATCTTAAAACCCTCCCAGTGTCAGCCCCTTCCTGGCAATGACTATCAATAAACTGTGCATCCTTCCAGGAATTTCCTATGCATAATATTCTCTACATAAGATATTCACAGAAAAATACAGATAAAGTTATTTTATACAAGTAAGCTCACACTATTCTAGCATCCTGTACCTTGCTATTTTCACTTGCTAATGTGCCTTGGAGGCAACAGACAGCTGTGCCCCATTCCTTTTACCAGCTACGTGGTATTCCATGGAATGGATGCAATGTATGTTTTAAAATATATCCTTTTCTTCATAAAATACTACATAATTCCATCCCGGGCAACAGGGTGAGAACCTGACTCTATAAAAAAATTTTAAAATTAGCCAGACTTGGTGGCATGCACCTGTGGTCCCAGCTACTCAGGAGGCTGAGGTGGGAAGATCGCTTGAGCCCAGGAAGTCAAGGCTACAGTGAGCCACGATCATGCCGCTGCACTCCAGCCTGTGTGGCAGTGAGACCCTGTCTCAAATTTTTAAAATTCCTACATAATTCTTATTTTGCAAAATTTGCATTACAGGAAATGCATGTCAACGAGGAAAATCCCTTCCTCCCCACTTTTTTAAACTTTTGGCTGGGCACAGTGGCTCATGCCTGTGATCTCAGCACTTTGGGAGGCTGAGGTGGGCAGATCACCTGAGGTCAGGTGTTCAAGACCAGCCTGGCAAAAAGGCGAAACCCTGTCTCTACTAAAAATACAAAAATTAGCTGGGCGTGGTGGTGCATGCCTGTAATCCCAGCTACTTGGGAACCTGAGGCAGGAGAATCGCTTGAACCCAGGAGGTGGAGGTTGCAGTGAGCGGGGATTGTGCTATTGCACTCCAGCCTGGGTGACAGAGACAGATTCTGTCTCAAACACCACCACCAACGACAAAAAAAAACAACAACAAAACAAAACAAAAAATTTCAGTTCCAGCACTTCAAAGTCCCCTGACCACAGGCTTCCCCAAAAGGAGGACACTGAGACATTCACTTGGTGGCCAGCAGAGAGAAGATCAAGGCCACGGCCCCAGAGCTCCGTCTCTGCTCCCTTGTCCCCCTCTTGAAGTCTCTAGGCCTTTGTCACCATGGTTACCTGCCAACCCCTTATCCCCCAGGTAGCGAGATAATCTTGCCCCTTCTCTGCCCATACAATCAGCACAGCCTAGGTCCACAGCGGACAGAAGATGCTGGTTGGGATGCAGTGAAGTCCCAAGACCACCCTTTCCTAGGATATGTACAGGATACAAAAAATAGAGCCCCTGCCTTCACGGACCTTCTGTGTCATATCAGAGTGACAACACACAGCCCCATAAGCTAAAACCATCTCCTATAAACTCTGCGAGTCCAACCCATTCTCACTCCTCCTCTGTTGCTTCAGCATTCCGGGCTTGGGAGGATGTTTTGTCGGTTATTTCATAGACTTTTACATGTTCACCCCTTAAATCTCCCAGGCAACGCGACCCCAAACATCCCAGCTAAAATTACAGATTTGAAACGCCTGCACATTATCATTGGATTTTTCTGAAACTTGGTCATTCAAGCAGAAAGGGAAAAAGTGTTTCTGGAAACTTTCTTCGTGAGACAAACAGCACAGCTGGCTAAACCTCTGGCACAGAACCATAATGCCAGGGGCAACAGGACTGACAATCAGGACAGTGGTCTCATTGAAGGAGCCGCAGATGCGATCCTGCCCTGGAGCCTCTTCATGGACACCCAGCTGAGCGAGAGAGACTCCCCTTCCCCAGCCCTGGCCTCAAAATAAACGCAGATGCTTGGAGCACTGGCTTTGATGAGCCATTCTCCCTGGTTTGGGAGCAGCAGCGTTTGCTCCGGATTTGTGCTGTCTTTAGCTGCTCAGCATTTACACAGGAGCTGCCAGAGTCCTGAACTCACCCCCTCGCTGGATGATTCTAGAAGAAGAAAAAAAAAATGCAGCTGTTTCAGCTTCTCCATCCTTGGAAAGAGCTTCCAACTAAGAGCTGGAAGGGGCCCAGCGCTGATGCTGCATCCTGAAGAAACTCTTTCCTAGACAGATTTTAGAGAGCTAGGCGTGTGGGATAGGAAGGAATGGAGGATGGGGGCAGAGGGAGGGAGGGGGTGGGGGTGGGCAGAGAGGTGGTTTAGGTCCCTTAGGGCCACGGAACAGGGGCATGGCTTTGGTGAGAAGGGAGTTTGTCATTAGACCAGACATAACCTGCATATTCTTCCAGGTTCACTAAAGTGTCTGAGCTAACCTAGTCAGGTCAGGCATTACTCGGGGCTACTGCCTGATCCTCTAGAACAGGGGTCAGTGAACTATATACCTAAATCAGACTCGACACCTGTTTTTATATGGCCCTCAAGCCATACAAATGGCTTTTACATTTTTAAATGACTGAGGAAAATCAAAAGAAGGATAATATTTCATGACGCATGAAAATTATATGAAATTTCAACTTTGGCGTCCATAGATATTTATTGGAACACAGCCATGCACTTTTGTTTACATAGTATCAGTGGCTACTTCCAGGCTACCATGCCAGAATTGAGTCATTGCAACACAGAATATATGACCACAAATCCTAGAATATTTCCTATCTGCTCATTACAAGAAAGCTTGCCAGCCCCAATTCTAGAGCAGGCCAACAGGCAAAATCAAGGTTATCTTTCAGGAACTACTACTATAGCCAGAGAGAATACAAATGTCCACAAACTTTTTATTGACAAAATTCAAAATATAATAATAATACTTTATTCCAATGCTTTGTGATACAGATCTACCAATGGGAGTGGAAATTTTTTTTAGTGGGGGTAACATTTTGCTTAATTGGGGTTCAACATTAGCATTTCCTATCATTAAATCAATTGCAAATGTTTATTCATAAAAATCATTCTTAGCTTGAAGGCCCTTGGCTGAGGTAGTTTTCCAACTCATGCCCTAAGACAAAAAGAAAAAAGTGGCTAGGCATCATAGCTCACACCTGTAATTCCAACATTTTTGAAGGATAAGGAGGGAGGATTGCTTGAGTCCAGGAGTTCCAGACCAGCCTGGGCAATATAGCAAGACCTTGCCTCTACTAAAAATTTTGAAAAATTAGCCAGGCATAGTCCCAGCTACACAGGAGGCTGAGGCAGAAGGATCACTTGAGCCCAGGAGATAGAGGCTGCAGTGAGCTATAATCACACCACTGCATTCCGGCCTGGGAGACAGAGTGAGACCCTGTCTCAAAACAAAAAATACAAAAAAACAAAAACCAGAAAAGTGACTTCAATTTTCTAATTTCATACTCCAGTCCTCTAAGAGTCTAATCAGGAACAAATATAAAAATTTTAAATGGAATCTGGGAAAACAAAATTTACATGGCCAGTTGTACAGTTTCCTCCTACCTCTGCCAAAAAGCCACCCCCTTAAAGGAACTGCACACACTAAACCTTGTTGGAGAGACTGTGAGATCTTCCAGGGGAAGAAATATGTTTATTCATTGCTGCATAAACACATTGACTTGTGAAATAAATCAATATATATGGAGCATTAACTATGACCAGACCTTGTGCTCGGATCCAGAGGAAGTGGAATAGGGGTGACAAATGCAATACAAATCAGTATGAAATGTCATCTACACTTAAGGACTTCCAATTTAGTGGGGAAGAGAGGGAATCAATGCCAATTAAGAGAACTAAACTTTGATGCTGATGATTCTACTAAAGTAGCATCTGACTAGCATATAGACAGTCTAGATTGGATCCTATAAATGAACATTTGTTTTAACATGGGGTAGAGCCTATTCAGCTTCTCTTACTCAGAAGAATCACTGCTCCCATTGGAGGAGAATTCCAGCAATTACCTAACTCAAAAGAATCTACAATCACTGCTCCACTTGGAGGAGAATTCCAGCAATTACCTAACTCAAAAGCCACAAGGAAGAGCATTTTGAAATGATCACAAGGGCTGATACAACACTGCCAATTCAGACCCTGATAATGCAGTTGCTGAACTCGTTACATCCAGAACTGTCGACACTCAGTTAAAAACACTCACAATTTCAACACTATCCAAGGGATAGAAATACTGAAGACTTAAGAATAGAGAAACATGGGAAGAATAATAGACCACCCAAACAGAATCAGCTAGAGACTGAGAAACCACTGCAGCTTTTGGGCCTCCCTAGAAGTCACCACCCACAGAGCCATGAGCTAGGAGGGATAGGAGCAAGATGGAGTAGAGACCCCAGGAGACTGGGCTTGGCATATCCCTCACCTGCTGACCCAACACAGGGAAGGTGAAGGGCACTCAACTTGGTGTTTTCAAATATCACTGGGGGCATTATACAAGACAAGGTCATAATACATGTGAAACATCTCCTTTGGTCCATGGTTTACTAATTCACACTCACCCATCTCCTTCCTAGTCCCAGACTTCCCAAGTCAAAGAACACTTCTGAACAACCAAATATGAGATACTATGAACTCCATCTAACCTAGCACACAAACAGTTATCACACAAGTGTAGCAGAAGGAATGTTTTACCAGAGTATCTGGAAAGCCTAGTAGAAATATTCTGCCTTAAAACCCTTCAGAGAGGCCAGTTCCAAGGCAAGAATCAAATGTGGCTTGAAGCATGATTTAGAAACTAGATGACTTTGGGTCAAGTCTGATCAAAGACAGTGAGGTGCTTCTTGGAAAGAAGTCACCACTGTACCCATCAAGTTGTGGTGGGGTGGTGGATGGGAGGACACAAACGTTTGTTGACTGATTGCTGTATCATAGACACTGTACCATATGCCATATGTACTTAATCAAGGGAGTATAACTTAGGCATCAGTGGTCAATGTTGCTTATGGAACCAAGGTCTTGGCAAAATAGCAGTCAATGGTATAGAGTGGTTATTCGATTTCCCCAGTGTGATGATGGGGTTTATTTAATAATTATTTATTGAGCTGTCATACTTCAAGATACAAAAATGAGCAAGATGCATTTCTGCCCTCAAATGCCTTAATTTCAACTCAGCAAGGTATCTGTGAACCAAGTGCTGAGAAACACAGAGGAAGGAGGACCTGTTGGCCTGAGAGGCTTAAGGAGAGAGCATCACATAGTTGGTTCCATTTCCAAGGGAGACTGAAGTCCTCCATATGTCTGAGGGATTCTACAGAGAGCTCAAATGTGTTTCCTACACTTCTCAGGAGTACTTCCCAAGAAACTGTATTATGGTTTTTTTGTGGGTCTTCACTGGTGCCACCCCTACGATAGGCTGTGTCGCTATTTGCCGTAAAGCCTCCCAGGCAAGGAGGGCTGCCACAGCAAAAACAGAACCCGTGTTAAGGGAAAGGTCCTTCAGAATGAGGGTACCAATCACCAGGTGTTCTGCCACCTGCAAGTGGATTGCTCTGCTTGCAAGAACCTGAAGAAGGATTCTTCTTTACCTTATCCACGGAATTCTCAAGACAGCGGCTTACAATTCTTTTCCGCTTCAATGCTAAGCATGTTTCTAAAATAAGCATTAGCTCTGTATTGACACAAGAAATTGACTGGGAATTTTCAGTCAGTCAGGGGCAAAACTGTGTCGTCCTACTGAAGCTTATACCCATACCTTATTATTCTATTAGCTCTTTCCAGCTGACACACTTGTAATTGCTTGGGTGGAATCCAGAAAAGGTGGAAGACACACCAAAATCAGAGCCCCTTCCAGGATAAGCTGATACACTTCCCATGGGCAAATGTTTAAAATATTGCCATTGTCCTCATTATATCCTCAGAGGCCAAGAGATTTAGAACATAAACGAATGTCTTCTAGTACAGTGGACTATAATTTCTGCGTGAGAAATGGTCCGTCTCCCTCAAGCAATGGAGTCTTGCTCCTTCTGCAGTGGTATCTCGCTTCTTCCAGATTTTCAGTGCACCTCTAAATCTAAGATAGTGACTGAAATTAAATTAGCTGTCCCCCAAAATACTAAAGCCAAGAAAATGGCCTAGAGGAGGAGAAGCAATGGCCCCCCATCTTCCAGCTCCTCAAGACAGTCCAAGAAGTTTCCAGAGAGAACCCATGGAGAAAGAAGCTTGTTCCAGGCCATGCACCAGATAGAGAAGTGACTACCTGTCTAGCTCCTCCACCACAGTGATGTCTAAGACAAAGTCAGCAAAATTGGGATCTTCAAAACTAGGTCACTCTGATCGGGACTAAATATACTATTTTCCCATGATAACAGGCACAGCAGCTCATGCCTGTAATCCCAGTACTCTGGGAGGCCGAGGCGGGCAGATCGCCTGAGGTCAGGAGTTCAAACCAACTTGGCCAATATGGTGAAACCCCGTCCCTACTAAAAATACAAAAAAATTAGCCAGGTATGGTGCTGGGTGCCCATAATCCCAGCTACTCAGGAGGCTGAGGCATAAGAATTGGTTGAGCCCGGGAGATGGAGGTTGTAGTGAGCCGTGATCGCACCACTGCACTCCAGCCTGGACGACAGAGTGAGACTCTGTCTCAAAAAAAAAAAAAAGGAATAAACTGGTTATCACTGGCCATCACTGAGGGAGTCTGGATCAGAGAGCCCCAGACCTGTCAACCATAAGAAAGCACCTGCCCTGTTCCAGGCTATGCAGCAGATAAAGAAGTGACTACCTACCCAGCTCCTCCCCCACAGTGATGTCTAAAACAAAGTCAGCAAAATTGGGATCTTCAAAACCAGGTCACACTGACCTGGACTAAATATACTATTTTCCCATGATAAAAAATAATAATAATAAAGAATGAGTCACCCACCACCAGATGGAATAGTTAAAACTTTGGAAAAATGCATCCCATAAAACAAACGGTCTGGAGGAATGGTAGAGACAGGGAGGAAGAAGACAGACAGATGAACATTTTTTTCCTTTAGAGGAAGTTTTGAAATATTAAGACAACTTGGATTGCATGTTTATTGCTAGTTCCAGGCAAAATCCTTTTGAGGTTTTATGTTCCGCATGGGTTTACCCCACATTCTTACATGTGAACACTTCCAGGGCAGTCATATGATGCTGTACTAATCCCATAACCCCCAAACCCCAAGTGTTTGATAAGTCTGATGATATGAAAGTTAAGCAGGTCTTTTCCTTGAGTGAATCAGTTTCCTTGCCTTACAACTCCCCAGAAAGTGGAAATTGGCCAAGGTCAAAGACTGGGTCTGCCTGGGAAGAGATGATGATTTCATTGGTTGCGACTTTATGGGGCTTTGTATGTTTTCTGTGGCAAATGCTTTTGCTATCCCTTTGTGAGGCGGCAGGGGCGGGGGAATCCCAAACTCCATCCCTTCCAGGGATCTTGAGTTACACAGTCTGAGAAGAGAATATAGCCAAAGTCAAACCCTCACTTCCTTACTATCTAGGTTCTCAATGGCAATTTAGCACTGGGTGATGACCATATTTATGTCCGAGAGGCTTTCATTCCAAGATGTGGGGCTGTCCTCACAAGACTCACCACAGTCCTTCTACCATGAGAAAGCCAATGGCTCCAGTGAACACATTAAATGGAATTTTCCACCACACTTCCCTGGACTGTTCCTCTCTTGGCAAGGTGCCCAAGAACACCTGAGGCAGTTGCTTTTTGAAAGGCAATACTGCAGGTTTCTGTCTCCAGATTTGTCTCAAAGCCTCAGTTTCCTTGTATTTAAACTAGGAATGAAAAACTCTACCTTTCCTCATAGACTTATAAGGATTAAATAGGGCAATTTATGTAATGCATTTGTCAGAGGTCATGGGAGCAGAACTAGCTTTTATTCATTACAAGCTTCTAGGCAGCAGGAACAATGTTGGGTTTGATTTACACAGTCTCTACCCCTGCACTATATATAAAGGTCTAATAAATGCTTATGATGAGTGTGTTTTTAAAAAGTAAGAGTGAGGGAACATATCATAAAGCCACAATAATTAAAGCAGTACATCCACAGCACATGAATGGACAGAGAGATCAATGGAAAAGATTAGATTATACAGAATAGACCCTGATGTGGACAGTGATCTCATTTACAACAAAGACATTGAGAAGACATTACTACAATGGGGTATCCATCTGGAAAAATGCAAATTTGGACCCTTGTATCATACAATAGGAAGAATTTTAGGTGGTTCAAAAGTTTTAAACATGACATATAAGATTACAAAAGTACAGAAGCGAACACAGCTAGTGGGTATGTAAAATGGTGCAGCTGTTTTAGAAAACAGTCTGTCGGTTTCCCAAATGATGAAACATAGATTACCACATGACCCAACAATTTCGCTCTTAGGTGTGTGTGTATGTATATGCATGTGTGTGTATCTCACACCCAAGAAAAATGAAAGCATATGTCCATTCAAAAACTTGTACATGAATGGTTACAGCAGCGTAGCAGCATTATTCATAATAGCTAAAAAGTGGAAACAACCCGAATTTCCATCAGTGGTGGAATGGATAAACAAGAGTTGTTATAGCCATACAACAGAATATTATTAAGCCATGAAAAGCAATGAAATACTGATACAGGCTTCAACTTGGATTGAACCTTGAAAACATTATGCCAAGTCAAAGAAGTCTGTCACAAGAGTCTACATAGCATATGATTCCATTCAAAAGAAAGTTCAGAATAGGGAAATCTGTAGGAACAGAAAGTAGATTAGTAGTTGTTTTAGGGATGAGGATGAGGAGAGGAGGATGTAAAGATGAAGGGGTGATCAATAAAAGGTACAAGGTTTTTTATTGAGATGATGAAAATGTTCTGAAATGAACTGTGATGATGGTGGCCCATGTCCGTGAATATACCAAAAGCCATCAAATTGTACACTTTAAATGGGCGAATTGTATGGTATGTGAATAATACCTCAATAAAGCTGTTTTTTAAAAACACAAAGAAAACACAGGAGATTTTTTAAAGTATAATTCTAGGGAAAGACTTTCTAAGTATAAGCAAAACCCAGAGACATAAAAGGAAATAAATTTGACCACAAAATAATTTTTAAAAATCCTATTTCAGAAAAATAAATATAAAACAAGTCAAAAGATAAGAAACTGGAGAAATCTTTGCAACTCATACTTAAAGGGTTAATCTCCTTCACACATAAAAAGCTCCTAAAAAATAAAAAGACTAACAATCCAACAACAACAAAAAAGGATAATGCATATGAAGAGAGTGTACACACACACACACACAGAGCTCTTAAACATATGGAAAGATGTTCCATTTCACTCATAAAAAAAGAAGTATAAATTATCAGGAAGAGATCCCATAAAGAGATAGCTTTGCCCCTTCTCTGGGGGCAAAGATGACTAAGTTTGATACCAATTTGTTGATGAAGGTTTGGGGAAACAAACAAGACATTTTGCTGATGAGAGTGAAAAGGGACACAGCCTCCCCAGAAAGCAATTTGGTAACATCTTTGCAAATTGTAAGCACACATATCCTTCAATCCAGCAATTCTATTCTGAGATTTTATGCTACAGATATTTTTTATGTGTCTGAAATAACCTACATGCAAGGCAATTCATGGACGTGTTGTTTGTCATAGCAAAGGATTGGGGGAAAATGTAAATGCCCAGTGATTTACATATAAAGGAAAGACAGCAGAAGTACAAAGAACACAGCAGCATATCTATCAGGAATGAGCTCGAGATACAGCCTTGACTTAAGGAAGAAGGTCCACCCTCACTTACATGTGAGAGCTAAAAAAGTTGATCACATGGACATAGAGAATAGAGTGACAGATATCAGGGACCGGGAAGGGTGGGTAGAAGAACGGGAAGGACAAAGACAGGCTGGCTAATGAGTTCAAACATACATTAAGAGAAGAAATAAGTTCTAATGTTTGATAGCACTCTATCAATTTAGCAATGATATTATGTATATTTCTTCTCTTTTTTTTTTTTTTTTTTTTTTGAGACCGAGTTTCGCTCTTGTTGCCCAGGCTGGAGTGCAATGGCACGATCTCAGCTCACTGCCCAACCTCTGCCTCCTGGGTTTAAGTGATTCTCCTGCCTCAGCCTCCCTAGTAGCTGGGATTACAGGCATGTGCCACCACACCTGGTTAATTTTGTATTTTTAGTAGAGATGGGGTTTCTCCATGTTGGTTAGGCTGGTCTCAAACTCCTGACCTCAGGTGATCCGCTCGCCTCAGCCTCCCAAAATGCTAGGATTATAGGCATGAGCCACCATGCCCAGCAATATTATGTATATTTCAAAGTAACTAGAAGAAAGGACTTCAAAGGATACCAACACATAAAAATGATAAACACTTCAGGTGATGGATACCCCAAATACCCTGACTGGATCATTACACTTTCTATGTATATAACAAACACTCACATGTACTCCATAAATACGTCAATTATTATATAGCCATGAAAGAGGAAAAAAAAGATCAACAGTGGTATGCTCTGTTTGGGAGAAAGAAAAAAAGTTGTATATACATGGCTGCTTATATGTGGACAATGTTTTGAAAGATACATAAAATCTGGGGCAGTGTTTGCCTCTGGCAAGGGCAGGTGAATGAACCTGGCTCTGAGGGACTTCCTTTTTGCTGTGCTCTGTTGCTTTTTAGAACTTATTACCATAGGGGTTGGAAAGGAGCAGGCAAAAAACAGGGACAGGAGGGGAGGAAAAGGAGGAAGGGAAGGAAAGATGGAAGGGAGGGAACACAAGAAGGGTGAAGGGAGGGAAGGAGGAGAAAAGAGAGAGGAAAGGAGCTTTTTTATTATCGCAGAGAGGAGAAAAAGATCTGGAGAGTGTAACACATCCCTGATAGATATTATCATGGAGGGTGGAATTCTAGGGATTTTCATATTCTATGTTACAAATTTCTGCCACATATGCATATTTTATAATAAGCATGTATGACTTTGCCATAAAAATATAGATGTAAAATTACTACACTGAACTCCTTACAGAGTGAAATAGCAATTTGAAATGTGTAGCTGTTGTGTATGCTATTTTAAATTATTTAAAATAACTCCATCTGAAAAACCAAAAACAACAAAAAGAAGAGGAGAAAGGAAAACTAGGTTTACCACATTGGGTCCAACCAACTTGGAAATCTGACCCTTTCTCTTTGCCCTGGAAAGTTGGGGGAGACATAACCAGGGAGGGAAATGGAAGCAGAGCTTGGTGGAAGTGGGGATTGCCAACACGTAGCCCGCAGGCTGACAGAGGCTCTCCCCGTCTCTTCCTAAACCCTCAGTCCATCTTCTCTTCTTCTCAGTCTTCCCCTCCCACCTCCAACCTCGTCACAGGAAGAATGAAGCAGGCCCCGCCTTCCGGTCCTGCCCCTAGCGCTTCTCCCTTGGCCCCAGTGCCCTTGTCCATCCAATGACAAAGGATGCAACAACATGGTCTGCCCTAAAAGGACCGGACCCTCTCAAACCCCATGATCCAGTGACAACTGCAGAGGGTTTTACATATATGTCAAGAGGAGGAGACATCCCATAAGGAAGCTTCCAGAAGGCAGTGCGTGAGAGGCACCATCATTCACTCTGATTATTCAGGACCTTTCTTGGCAGCCACGAATCCCATCCTTGCCTCCGCCTCTGTCTTCAGCTGCACCCTCCCCACGGCTGCTTGGCCTTCCTTGCTTCATCAATGGCATCTTGTCTGTCGTCCCCCCCCCGCTGCAAGTGATGAACCAACTTCACTGGAGCGTCTGCTGCAGGCTCTCTGAGAAGGGCCATTGTTCCCCCCACACTTGTCCAAAGCCTCCATTTAGGGCCGCTGTGAGCGTAGATGGAGGACATTCATCACTGGGAACACTTGCCAGCAAATGAGAGACAGCTGTTGGGCTTGAATGGCATGTGGCTGAACGTTGCCTGGGGTGAAATTTATTTTTCAAGTGAGAACAACCTCACTTATTTTTCCTTCCAAATTTTAAGAAACAAGAAAGTACTCGCCTTCTTCTGCCAAGCAAGAGTCCAGGGCCATCCCACTAATCACATAGTAGGTAAGGCCCATGGGGAGCCCAGCAGCACCGGTTAAACACCTACTTCCAGAGAGAGGTACAGCCACAGCCTAGCCCACGGCCTACTGGGGGCTGTGCCCTGTGGCCAGGGACCACGCCTCACCTCCTGTGATCCTCCATGTGCCCACAGCAGTGCGGGGCCCACACACTCAGTGGGGACTTCCAAAGGCTCCAGGCCTGGTTGAGAGGGGCAGATGGGAAACTCAACAGAACCTCTTGGGAATGATCAGGAACAAAGCAGATGCCCACCTGTGTGCCAGACACTCTGCAGCACATTTTAGGAGCTGTAAAACAGAGACATCAGGAACAGAGACCCACATAGGCCAGGGACTCGAAGCACTGACTGAGCCCCATATGAAGTATAAGCAGCAGGGGCCAGAGGTGATCAACCAGGGCTGGCTTCCAGGAGGAGGCAGGGGGGCAGTGAAGGTGGGTGTGATCGGGAAGGTGAAGGGATGGAAGCAGGCCCCTGTCATGAGGAACAGCATGAACAAAGTCCTGGCTGGACCAGCAGGGACAGGACATGGAGACAGGAGGGCAGGAAGCCAGGCACACAGAGAAGCCCCGTTTTAGGAGAGGCTATTTCATCAGGCCAGGGATCTCTTCAGAGACAGCCACAGAGTCCCAAGCTCAGCTGTGAGTGATGCTGGGGCACCTTCTTCCCCATCCTAAAGGAATGCACCAAGATGACTTGACTGCAGCTGGAGGACTTGACATCCTGGTTAACATCAGATCCAAACATGGCTGCAGGTCAGGGTCGAAGCCATCTGAGGATGGAGGTCATGTCCAGCTTGATCAAGCTAGACCAGGCAGCAGAATGTGCCAGAGAGTCAGATAGAGCTGGGTTTGGATGCTGCCAGGTTGGCCGTGGGCTTTTGCTGGGGTTACCCCTGGCCTCAGTGTCCAGCCTCAATGTCTTCCATCCTCAGAATCAGGATAATGACAATTACCCCTGGATGCCTGCCTCCCTGCCCCCACACCCCATTGTGATTCTGCCAGCCTGTAATAAAATGAAAGTGTCTGACAGAAAAGCCTTGGGAAGCCTTTGATTAACATTCTTAACTCAGCCTAGCTCAGGCAAACAAGTTCCAGCATTCCAGGGGACATCTCCCTGAGCAAAGCAATGCCAAGAACGTCAGTGAAAGATTCTAAAATGCTTTTCTTATTGGAACCCTTCTGGTGTTTAGCCACTCCAGGGAGGCTGCAGGTACCTGGTGGAGGGTGCGAGTTGAATAGTTCAGGTTCTCACCACCCCCCGCCCCCCCTCAGGAGTCCCTGAGGATTCACTGAGACAATGAGTAGAAAATGTCCAAGGAAGGAACGAGAAGCCAGGGAGCACGGTCACTACCAGATGTGGGCAGCCAGGCCGAGACTCGGCTGAGAGTCTGAAAACCCACCATCCAGTAGTAACAGCTTCCCAGTCTGTTGCTGTGAGACAGGTAAGTTAAGGTCCCAGGCCCTCGGTAACCTCATGGAGAAAATGCCTATGGTAGGACTTCTGACACCTTCAACGGAATATCTGTGAGGGGAAATGAGGGAAATGATGGAATATATTTTGAAATAAAAAGGAAAAGGAACTGGGCATGGTGGCATGCATCTGTAGTCCCAACTACTCAAGAAGTCGAGGTGGGAGGATCGCTTGAGCCCAGGATGTCAAGGCTGCAGTGAGCTATGATGGCACCACTGCACTCCAGACTGGGCAACAGAGCAAAACCCCATCTCCAAAAAAAGAAAAAAGGAAAAAAGGAAAAGGTACTAGCATTAATTATTATTTTTAATAACCACTCTTGATTGTGATGCCCTGCTTAATATCAACAAGGCAGCAGCAGCTGCAAAGCAAGGAAGATGAAGAGAATCAGGGCCGACAGGTGGGGGCTCTTCCCCCGGCAGAGATGGTGCTAGAAGTTAGGAGAGGTGAGATGAATGTGTCCCAAGCAGCCCTGCCCTACCCAGGCAGCAGCCGGAACTGCACCTGCTCCACAGCAGCTGCCAGGAGGCCCAGGGGTTCCTTAGGCCCAGCAGGCCCTCCTGGCCAGGCTAAGGAATCAGCAGCCAGGGAGTGACCGAGCAAAGCACACCCAGCAACGGCACATCCCCAGGCAGATGTTCTTCTAGAGTTGCAACTCATGCTCAGGCCATGTGGGCCTCGGTCCTGGGACTGCAGAGGGCTTACTGGCCTCCATGCTTCGCAAAATGAGGGCACTCCCATTGCAGACAGGCACCCTGGCATGGAAGGGTCCATTCCCTGCAGGACTGGAATGAACTTCACTGGCCTGACTGAATCCCTTACTGAGCCTTCACTTCCCTGTCCAAGTGATCCTGTATCTAATTGTTCATCTCGTCAGCCAATCCCAAACACAATTCCACCCAACCCTGGGTCTCCATGGCCAGGGGAGTCTGCCTTCTGGCCATAAATACTCTAGAACTGATCATTAGTCAGGAGCAAATTAGCAATAGCTATGGTAGCACTGCAGGCTTCCCTCAGCCTGGAATTGCAATTCCTGATGCAATGGTGGAGAGTCATCTTACACATCTGTTCAGTGATTTCCAGTTTTCAAAACACTTTTATGCATAGTTTTTCATTGATCTTCCCAGCATTCTGCATTGTGAGGAAAGTGGTGATTATTACAGATGGGGGAAACTGAAGCTCAGGTGATAAAAGACTAGTACGTTTTCCACACTGATGGGGTCAGAAAGAGGAAACAGCTCTCCTTCATGATTCAGCTTCCCCTGCCCCACATAGAACCTAATGGCAGCATTACTAAAAGCAAAGGCTGTAGGCATCAGAAATAAACATGGCAGACCCATGGCACATACAGCCCAATGCCTTGTTTCACCACCACTGGCTAGCACTACGGGGCTCTGACCATGTGCTGAACCTACTGCCAAGCTCTCTAAGGGCAAAATTTCACTCCAACCCTACAAATCCCCAAGGAAAAAGCTATCAACCCTTTTCAGATTAAGAAACTGAGGTTCAGAAAGAGTAAGTAATTGCTCATGGTTGCAATGTCCAAGCCTGATATGAACCCAATCTGCACGAAGCCACACCCTGCAACTTTCGAACAGTATTTATTTCCTACAGCTAAACACAGACCTCAGACAGTCTGAACAGTGGGGGATGAAGCATTCATGCCTCATGGAAGGAAGCACTTGGAAGACTCTGGGTAGGTCAGGGATCAAAAAGCTCCTTTCCTTCCTTGGCTTTACCTGGTGGGAAGGACACGGGACCACAATGCAGGGATCTCAGGCAATTTTCCTACCCCTACCCCCAGTAAGTACAGGCATCCTTCATGTCCTCTCTCATCCCAGCGCCCCCTTCAGTGAAAAGTGGACAACTACAATAGGTTTGTGGCACCTTGACCTCTTGGGAGAAAGATGAAGGAGGATATTATTTTAGGATATGCTCAAATTTTTCCTGTGGAAAATAGATGGATCCAAGGTGGTCTACCTGGCGGTGACTTACCCATTTGGAAGGGACAGTGGCCACTCAGATGGGTGGCGGGGAAGCTCAGTTTCACTGCATGAAAGCTCCCTCGCACCATCCTGCTCTCCCATTTCATCTCTCTCTACATTCCCTCTCAATGACAAGCTCCTCTCAGCCCTCATGAACACACACACACACACACCCATTCAGAACCTTTGCAACTGCCACTGCCTGGGCCTGGTTCTCCCCACAGCAGGCTCTTCCTCTTCCCTGAGGTCTCAACCCAAATGTCACCTCCCCAGAGAGACTCTCCATCACCCCCAGGCTAATGTTGGACACCACCCCCCACCATCACCAAGTTACTCCCACAACATCCTGCTTTCTTTCTTCACGTTGACTCATTACTCTCTGAAATGAACCTGTTTTAGAACGGTGCTTGCATGTTTGTGGTCTGCTTTCCTCCACTAGAACACAAGCCCCATCAGGACAGGGGCCTCGTCAGTACTGTGTCCAGCCTACCTCTGCACTGAGACAATGCTTGGCACAAAGTAAAGCTTAGAAAATGTCCATTGTGTGAATACCTGGATATTCTCCCATTTAAAGGGGCTAATTAAGGACATCAGCACGTTCATTACAAAATCACACATCCTTTGAACTGGAAGGGACCCTGGGGCTGATACTTGAGCTTGAGAAAACAGAAATGAGGATTTCTATTGTCCCCTCACTTAAGATATCAATATCCCAAGGGACCCAGAAATTGGAAATGCAGGTTCAGAGACATGGGCAGAAACTGAACACTGTCAGTAAAGGATGGACAGGTTGGATGAAGAACAGCTAGAAGGAAGAGGCATCAATAAGCAACATCCAGGGCATGAGAAAGAATGCTGGGAAAACAGTGACACCACCAGTGCCAACCTCAGGGGTTATTTCTATGTTCCGGAAGACTTAAGCTTTAGTTACTGACTTTAAATGCAATTGGAGTTGCTGCCCACACCCTGAGCCCACATCCAAAAGGGTTAGCTCTTCTCTTGCCCACACTTGCGAGACCCCAGGCAGCACCAGGTCCTGCCTCTGGGGCCCAGGCAGGACACAATGCGAGGCAAACAGGGACTCTGGTCATCTGGTCCACATGGACCTCTGAATCTCAAAAAAGGATTTTTTTAAAAAAGAAAGCAACTATTATTTCAAGTAGAAATAGAGATGATGGAACAAAAAAGATCAGGGGCCAACTCTGTCCAGATCAGATCAACCCAGGGTGGGAAGTGGGGAGAGGGAGTGTATCATGCTTGGATACACTGATTTTGAGTGAATCTCCTAAGTGAAGAGGAGCAAAATGAACCCCCTAGCTCAGAGTCTAGCGATCTTGTGTCCAATCCATCAGGTACTAGAAAAATCTAATTCCACTGCATTTTACTCAGTGTGATAAACATTTGGACGCTGGCTGTCAGCCATGACCTGTACTTAGTGATGTGAACCCAAGGATGACTAAGAGCTCAGGCACTCAGAATGGCTGGAGGTGACTGAAAAAATACACAGCTATGAAAAGCCAGCCCTACCACCCCAGGCTTATTCATGCATCTCCCCCGTTCTGTGACAATGGTGGACTGCTAACCACCACTACAGCCCTCGCAGTCAAATGCAAGCTTTAGAGTCAAACGTAGGGATAGTCTGTTATCACAGCTTCATGAGAACTTCTTGGACAGTCCAGAAATTAATATGAAGGAAAATGACCTTCCCATGATTCCTCCATAGGGTGAGGGGTGGTGGGGAGTCTCCTCCCCATCCTTTCACAGCACATGGCTTGAGCTTCTGGTATTGTTCTCACTATGTCAAATTCTGCTCCAAGTCAGAATTATTTGTAGGCTTCTGGCATTGACAATAGGCTACAAGCAAACTCATGCAATTTCCTTTTCTTCCCCATACCCCATTCTCCTCCCGCAACAACGATGACCTTCCTAATATGCACCTTTCCGTTTGTATGTGTTTTGCTCAATGTGGACTGCTTCGTGAATTTTGAATGACTGTAAATGCTATTGTCCACTGTCCTATTCTGGTTCCTGCCTTTCCATCAGCACTGTGTATTAAAGATTCATCTATGCCATTGGATGTATATCTCAGCCATTGCTTCTACTGCTGCATAATTCTCTAAGACATGTATCTATCAGTTCACCTGTTCCCTCTCCCAAGTGACACCTAGACTGCTTCCCATTCTCCACCATGACAAATAATGCTGCAGAGATCATCCTCAACCCTGCCCCCTTATGGACCCATGCAGACATCTCTTTGGGAATTGCTAGATCGTATGGTAAGTGCATCTTCAATGCAATTAAGAAAAATCGGCCGGCTGCGGTGGCTCACGCCTGTAATCCCAGCACTTTGGGAGGCTGAGGCGGGCAGATCACGAGGTCAGGAGTTCAAGACCAGCCTGACCAACATGGTGAAACCCCATCTCTACTAAAAATACAAAAGTTAGCCAGGCATGGTGGCACGCACCTGTAATCCCAGCTACTCAGGAGGCTGAGGTAGGAGAATCGCTTGAACCTGGGAGGCGGAGGTTGCAGTGACCCGAGATCACGCCACTGTACTCCAGCCTGGACAACAGGGCGAGACTCTGTCTCAAAAAAAAAAAAAAAAAAAAAAAATCCTACCTTCCAGACTGGCTGTACTAGCCTATACTCCCTCAGCTCTGCATGAAGATGGTTGAACCCAGCGTCCCTGGGAAAATGGGGCATTGTGCCACCTTCTCATTTCTGCCAGTCTACTGGGTGGTGGTTTTGGTTGACCTGCCTCTGATGACTAAAGAAGCCCAGGCATTTCTTCAGATACTTGTCAGCCTTTTGGCAGCTTCCTTGACCTGTAAACTCCTGTTCATACCCTTGATTCACTGTCTTTACTATGTACATTCATGCCTTTTTCTGGTTAATGTGCCTTGTATATCCTAAATGTTAATAGAACAGCTTTTAGACATTGTAAATCTCTCTCTCCTTTCTGCCAGCTGCCTATTAATTTTGTCCAGGGTGTCACTCAGTGAACAGAGCCCTTAACTTTGATGTAATCCAACTCTAAGAAAACCTGAGGACAGCAAACATTTCTCATTCAGTTCCTGTTTCTTTCTTTTCTTTTTTTCTTTTTTTTTAGACAGAGTCTCTTTCTGTCACCCAGGCTGGAGTGCAGTAGTGAGATCTCAGTTCACTGCAACCTCTACCTCCTGGATTCAAGCGATTCTCCTGCCTCCGCCTCCCAAGTAGCTGGGATTACAGGTGTCTGCCACTATATCTGGCTAATTTTTGTATTTTTAGTAGAGACAGGGTTTCACCATGTTGGCGAGACTGGTCTCGAATTCCTGACCTCAGGTGATCCACCTGCCTCAGCCTCCCAAAGTGCTGGGATTACAGGCATGAGCCACTGGGCCCAACCAATTTGTGTTTCTGGACTACTCACAATATACCACACGTGAGATTAGTGCTGTGAACACCAAAAATACTGTCCTTGGCCCTTAAGGAGCTTACAGCCTACTAGAAATATAGACTTCCATCAACAGACACAATGACCACGGCCATGAGGGTTGTACAAGATGAGGTGAGGGTTAAGGGATCCAGTGGCAGCCAGGGTCAAGGTGTCAAGGCCCAGTGAGCCTTGACAAACGTGCTTACCAGGCAGCCCTGAAGCATTTCAAACCAATTGACCAGCACGTGGAAAAGCCCAAGTTAGGGAGCTACAAGGAGCCCGGTATGACTGTGGCATAGAGCCAAGTGAGGAATGGCTGCAGAGGCTGGAAAAATAGGAATGAGCCAGGTACAGAGGGGCTCAGGCTTTCTCCAGAGCAGTACAAGGAACAGCACACCTCCTTACTCTCCCCACAGCCACTGGTGAGCTGCCCTAGATGCCGCCTGCACTCAAGGACAGGTCCTGGTTCAGGGGTCTCAAGAAATCTAGGCTTATCTTAGCTAGGATAGCAATGTATTGAAGTCTCAGAGAAACCCATAGACAGAATCCTAGAAAGAAGAGCACAGGGGCTTACATTTGTAATCCCAGCACTTTGGGAGGCTGAGGCAGGAGGATTGCTTGAAGCCAGGAGTTCAAGACCAGCCTGGTCAACATAGCAAGACCCCGCCTCTACAAAAAAATGAAAAATAAATTATTCAGGTGTGGTAGTGTGCACCTGTAGTCCCAGCTGCTCAGGAGACTGAGTCAGAGGATGGCTTGAGCTCAGGAATTTGAGACTGCAGTCAGCCATGACAGTGCCACTGAACTCCAGCCTGGGTGACAGAGCAAGACCCTGTTGAAAGAAAGGGAAAAAGAAAGAAAAAGGGTTTGTGTGCATCCAAGTTAAACTATCAAGGTGGATAAGAGATATCCATTGGACAGGTCTGGATTGTCCTGAATTAAATTAGGACTTTCCCTCCTTCACCTCAGTTCTCAGCCACAAAATTCCCCAACTCTCAAGGGTGCTTGTGTCAGAAATATACCGAATAAAGTCATTAGTGACACCACAGAATCTTATCCAGGAACTCACCAGGAACGCTGCCAGCCAGCTGTTTCCTCCTAAATCTAAACCATTTTCACACTCATAATGGTAATTTTTTTAAAAGCCATTTGGGGAGAATATTTGCTGCAAGCTATGTGACCACCTTTGTTATTTTTTCCAAACAGAGAAGAAATCTATACGCACAGACACATGGCAGCCAAGCCTGAAAGCATAGAGGAGGCCTGCGAGGAACTGAAGTCTCTCCACTCCAATAGAACAAGGTCCTTTGCACTCTCACTTTCTCTCTTCCAAGCTGCCTCAACCTTCCCTTGGCAGGAAAATAAATCTTGTAGGACAAGTCTTACACTTGAGGACATTAGGTAAATAGCTTTAAGAAATTTTAAGAAAAAAGGGGCTGATTGTCATCCCACATCTCCTTTCCCCCAACACGCATGTGCCCCTATCATACCTGATACCCGGAAAGTAAACGCTTAGGGCTGCAAGGAGAGGAGGAAGCAGGAAGGCCCCCAAGATAGGAGCACCCCGTATCCTCTGAACCTACCAAAGGCATTTTCCAACACAATCCTTGGATCACTTTTGCTCTGAGATGATTCCCAACTCTATTGCTAGGCAAAGGGAGGTAACTAAGTGCCCCAAAGCCACCAACACTCTCCTGGGGCTTCCTGCTTAGCACAAGAGGCTTTCACTCCCATACTGCCATGACCTGCACCAGGGGTGAGAATGTAGCCAAGAAACGAGGCTGACACTGACCTGAGCCCACACTCTCGCCCTGATTGGTGAGCCCCTGTTCTCACACAGGGAATGTGGGCTGCTGGTTTGCTCTTACGCTCAACAATAAACATGCTCGTGGCTCCCTGCATACCTGAGAGCACTCAGTGATCCACACTCTTACCTCCGGGTCAGAAAAGCAAAAATCCACATGCTAAGGGCTTCATTCATGAAGTAGAATCCCCGAAGCCTCTTTCATCGTGAGTAGAGACCTGGAGGCTGGGGACAGGGAGGGAAGTTGGGGGTGGAATGGGAGAGTGAGTCAGGCTTTGTAAGGATCTGATCTCAAAAGCAACAGCCTGAATTCTCCCTCCGAGAACAAAACAGCCTTTCCACTCTCAAGGGAACCAGTGCGTGGTGAGTTGGGAGCGACACCTGGATCCCGTAACTCTTGGAGATTTGCTGCCAGCCAGAGCTGTTTACAATTACATACACCAAAGCAGCCTCAGAAGGGCGGGAGATGGGCGCTTGCCCGCTGAGAAGCAAGGAGGTCAATGGGAAAAAATTATTTTAGTCAACGTTGAGCCTTCATGCTTGGAACTTTTATCCAAACAATGGACACATTCTCATGCTCCCCCTGGGAGGACACCAGTCCCTCCTCTGATACTCAGTTCCAGGAGACTTGGGATGGCGGTGGGAGGAGCCCCTCACAGTGCAGGAATTTTGATTCTACCCCTTGGTGGTCAGCGAGTCACAGCACTGTTTAAGGACCCACAGAAAGAGAGTACGTGTGCCCTTTCCTGGGACCCTAATCACCGTGACACTAACCTGCACTGTGCCGGGGGGACGACCGGCAAAGCCCCAGGGTTAGCAAATAGCTCTGGACCTGAGGATTGTGGAAGATGTCATTTCTTGCAGCAGGCCATGAGAAGTGACACCCTTTAGGGCTTGAGGAAGCAGCAGGGGCCACAGTGAACAAATTCCATTGAGGCCTGCACTTCTAGGAGGGAGTAAGATACTGAGAATAAGCCCCAGTTTCCCCACCCTGACTCTGAGGTCACCAGCCCCTCCTGGGAGAAGCCTGAAATTCAAGCCACGGCTATTTGAAATGAGAGCCTGAGACCACCAGAGGCCTGGGGACCAGGAGAGAGTTGGGAGGGTCTGACTCTATCCTCTGTGTCTTTCTGGCCTCAGGTTCTCAGTGGGAATCCCTTCTTTGGACTCAAGATCCAGGAGACCTGGAGACCTGAATGGAAGTGGTAGAAAGAAACAGAGTGAAAAAGTGGGAGAAAGTCAAGAGGGGAACAAAAGAAGAGAGGGGAAGAAGAGAGGGAGGGAGAGAGGGAGGGAGGAAGCAAGAGATGCAGGTGCAGGAGCCAGCGTGAGCCTGTGCGTCCAAGAGGCGTCCTGAAGCACCCACAACTCACACTTGTGTGTGTGGTTTTGAGATCCACCCTTCCTGCTTTGCCCCAGGCTACTTTCAGAACATCTGGGATATTACCGACTTGAACCAGAGACAAGCTTCCACCGACTCCTGGGAGACATGAGTCTCACCCAGCTCAAGTACCTGCCCCTGCTCTCTCAGGAGATTTCCAGGGGCTCCAGACATCTGGAACCGTCACAGCACAACTGTGTCACAGCCATACAGAAACCGTGCTTGACCACCATGCACGCCACGATCCTCAGCCACAATTCCGGTAACATCAACGGTAGGGACCCCATCTCTAAAACATGCCAAAGACATGTGATCCAACTCTGCCATGTCAGTCAAGGACCAGCTGCCCTGCACTAGGCAGTCAAGCAGTAGGTGCCACTTCACCATCCTTTATTCTCCCTAAGTGTGCAGGAAACTGCCAAGCAGAAGCCACAGAGGGCTTCTGTTAACTGTAGTACCTAATGTTGGTGTTCATCTTTATTCAAAGAATGTGCTAGAATTGGGTGCCGCAAAAGTCCTGACAATGCAAAGGGCGGTAGGGTGTTGACCATTGTGAGCTGATAAGGAGTCTAGGATAGTAACAGAATATTTGCCTCCAAGGAGACCCAAGACCATGAAGATGGCCCAAGCAAACTTGCCACCCAGTAGGTCCCAGCTCTGATACCGGGGACACGAAGCACCCTAGAAGAGTTCCTTCCAAAAGGACCACATTTGAATTTTAGTAAATCAGTTCAATATGTTCTAGGACTGTGGGTATTAAATAAAAGAAGTCAGTGAAACCTCCAAACAATAAGCTCATTCAACAATCTTTTTTTTCTCCCCCCATCTGGGGACTTGAATACAGTGAACATGAATAAATCCTGTTGTATAAAAACTGGGGGAGAAAAAAACGGGGGGTGGAGGATGGAAGGAAATGGCAGGATTCCCACTTGTTGGGCTAACAAGAAGGCTAAGACAGTCCCCTAAACCCAAACAGATGCCAGTGTGCCCAGGCAGCCCAGGGGAGATTGTGGCAGAGGTGTGCAGCCCAGGGAAGGAAACATCTGGAATCCCCCACTCATAAGCTCCCAGCTTCTCCCTTGCACTCAAACCAGACGCGGGCCTTGGGGCTGCCCCAAACCCGACCCTTCTTAGGTAGACCAGCCACAAGCCAGGCCTGACCCTGCATCAGGGAAATTTCACTTCAAATATGCACAAAAACACTGCCTGCCTCTCTAACATCAATGCTTTCCCCCAACAAAACTAAGACAATTAGAACTAAGGATTGCACTGGCTATGAGTCTGTAATTCTTCCAGAAAACCCTGGAACAGGTGGAAGAGACCTGCCTTTGTGGGTGACTAGTGGCTTGGATGTGTTTGTGATTTTAAAAAGTTGCATGTGGGAAATTCTCCTGTATAATTCATGGTTGAACATGACCTCAGCCCATGTAGTCCTCACGGATGGAAGTTCCACAGCCTTCCAACAGGCTGTGCTTAATAGAGATGCAGACACAGACCCAGCTTCCCAGGGTACAGAGCCAGACAAAATTCACCTGAAGAACAGGCAAATTCAACATGGGCTTTGATTAAAAAACAAATAAATAAATAAAAAGGAAAACACCAAGATCTTAAGAGTCCATTCAGATCACCCAGAGTGATACTTCTTCCTTCTTGGGGACTTCCACATCCTGTCCGCTGGCCTGGTGCAGTGACGACTGGTAATTCTGCCCTTGCATCAGAAGGCTTCTCCTTGTCTAGAAATAAGAGGACTGATTCTTTACATCAAATGCGACTGGGTGTGTTATTTCGATAAATCATGGGTTCTTCCCCTCAAAATCAATCCTAGCTAGCATAGACAAGCAGGACTGCCAAAAACAAAAAGTCAACCAGGAAATAATTATCCTGCAGACTTGATTACTCAATTCTAATACAATAACTTTATTGGTAGAAAAAAAAGACTTGCAGACAGGCTGCCAAAGCCAGTACATTAGATCCATGTGTGGGTAGCAGCAGAGTTCCCAGGGTGGGAACCTGAGTCTAATGCTCTTATATTCCATGGTCCTCCTGGGCTTGTTGGCTGCCTGGCCTTTAGGGGAGCTGCTTTTGCCTTTTCTCTAAACAGAGGGAGAGCTTCCACTATCACACTGATTGTGCCTAATGAAAAAGTCTCTGGCATTTAGGATGTCATCAGGCATGAGCCCTTGGCCTTTTTGTTTTGTACCAAATTTCTCACCCTTTTCTGCTGCATACACCTCCAGAACCATTGCAGACACACCCACACCAAGACTCAGTTGCTAATTACAACCCATGATACCCAACCTTGACCTTGAACCTTCATCTTATACCACAGCATCACAACTGCTAGAGTGTTTTTAAAAGTCAGCTTTATTGAGGTTAATTTACACACAGAAAAAAAAAAAGCCCTTTTAACTACACAGTTCTGAATTGTGACAAGTATGTATGGCTGTGTAACCACTACCAAAATGAAGATACTGAACATCTCTATCATTCCAAAAATTTCCCTCACGCCCTTTGTGGCTCACGCCTTCCCCCAGTCCCAGTCCTGGCAACTACTGATCTGTTTCCCTATAGTTTTGCCTTTTCCAGAAAGTCATATAAATAGAATCATTCAGTGTGCAAGCTTTTGAATCTTGAATAGCAGTATGCTTCTTTCACTTAGCATACTGGTGTGTATCACTAGTGGTAAGTTACGATCTGCCAGTTTTTAAGCCTTGGACTTTCACTTTCTTGTCAAAGAGACAAAATAATTGGTTCCAGCTCATGTTTGCTATGGAGAAATCAAACTCTTGATTCAGAAACTTTTACTAAAGCTTAGGTCCGGTAATAGGGCAACTCACCATCTCAGTTTGCCCAGGACTAAGGGGATTCCTGGGACACCAGACTTTCAGTGGTAAAACCAGGAAAGTCCCAAGCAAGCCCGGAAGGCTGGTCATTCAATTTGGGAAAGCTACCTCCAAGGGTAGGACTGTACATTCACCCAGCTTGGATTCTTCCTGGTACACAGTGGTTGCTGTCTCTGAGCTAACAGCTGGCTAGCCTCTCTTGCTTTAATCTCCAGCAGAAGGCTGATTTGCAGTGTGCTGGGGCTGAGCTTCCGTACAAGCTCACCACAGTCCACCAGGACTGTATCTGCCTTTGAAGTCCTGGGAGGAGCTCCAGGAAGTGAGAAGAGAACTCAGGGGCCTGCTTAGAAAACAGCAGAACAGGATTTCTACTGGCATGGGTGCCTCTCCCCACTCCTCCCTAATACCAGACTCCCCTGAGAGATGTGAGATCCGTGTTCCCTGGCCTCACTGTGTTTTTGCATCAGTCCAATGCAACGCGTCCAGGGGGAGGCAGGCTCCTCCTGTTTTTCTACACATTCTCCCTTCTCCCCGCTCAATGCAGTTTGTGGTTAGTTTGTTTTTTGAAACTAACTGGGGAGAATATGAGAGTCGAGTGATAGAAAATTAGGAAAGGGCTCAAAGCTACTATTTGAATTTAAGGGTCTCTCCTATGTGGACTTAATGAGACATCAGAGAAAAGTCAGGCAGGGCTAGGATGTAGCTCTACACATAACAAATGAGCAGTTCGTCACCTATCTCTTTCTCCACTGACATGAAGAATACACAGATGCTATCTCTGAGAAGCTAGGATGCCTAGAGGCTGAGAAGCCCCAACTTATATCTCCCAACAGCATTGAAAAGCACACAGTGGGCAGAGCCCAGTGAACTGTGAAAAGGCAGGAACTGGTGGGATCAGAACCACATGCCAGAGGTTTCAGGGTATCTGCTCCCCTGCGTTAATTTAACATTCTCTTTCTCAAAGTCTTTACCAATAGCTCTTACAAGTTATTCCACCAAGTGGCCTGCAAGGTAGATTAGTAATCATTATTCTCACTCATACAGATGAGGAAACAAGGCTGAGAAAGATTAATTGACTTGCCCAAGGTCGCATAGCGAGTTAGTGGCAAAAGCCAGATTAGAATCCCGAGCCCCTGAGTGCCCAGGCCGGTGCCCAGCTCCTTGATCTCCCTCAACCATCCACCCAGAGCATGGGCAGAGCCAGGTCTGCACCCTCGGGAGCCCTGGAGGCCAGGTGAGCTGCTGCAGAGGGCACAGACAGGCTCATACTCACACGCAGAAACCTGCCGGATCCTTCTCTGTACCACCAGACAGCAACACCCCTGTGCTGGAATAGACAGAAATAAGGCTCAAGTCGGGAAAGCCAAGGGTGGCCACTGTGGGCTTTCATCTCCATTTCTGGAATCTGCCTTTGAGATTTTGCTTCATTTCTTTTTGTGAACCAGGTCTGTTCTCCAGAGCTAGAGCACGGGAGAATATGTGATCTCTTTGCCTGGAATTTGTTCATTTCCCCACTCCCCAATCATGTCCCAGATACCCACTATGCAGCTGGCAGTGTGCCAGGGGCTGGAGAGGGACATAAGGAAAGACAAAGTCCCTGTCTTGAAGGAGTTCAGCCTGGCAGGGAAACAAACATAGACATGTACAATTATTAGACAAATGTGACACTAATTCCACAAATATTTGTTGCCCACCTGCGATGTGCTAGGCATTAATGAGGCTATCCCAAGAGTAATGAGGGTACACAGTGGGAGTCAGGGGAGGCTTCCTGGATGAAGAGACATGTGGGCTAGGTCCTGAAGATTGAGGAGAGTTTAACTGAGCAGGTAGTCCCTCCCTGGCTGAAGGGACACCGATAAGGAATGAATTTGAAATTGCTTTGAGCACTTCTTTCCTAAATAAATCCTTGAAAAGGAATTCTACCCTTTTAGAGACTCAGTTCTCAGGGATATTATATCCTATTTCTGACTGTCTGGACTGTTGCTTAATCTCTGTAGGCCTCAGTTGGCCTGTCTCTCAAATGGGAGTGAATAATGGTCCGTGTTGCAGAGGGTGGCTCTGGGCTCGATGAACAATCTTTGGAGACACGGTCACACAAAAGTCCTTGAGAAATGAATTCCTCACATGGCCTACGGCATTCTCTTTCCCACTAAGTCTGCTACTCTCCAGCTCTCAACAGGAAATTGGTTTTATTTATAAGAATCACAATCCTAAACTGACCTTTGCTGGGCTACCCACCCACATTCCCTCCCTCATTTCCCTCTCCTCCCCAAGACACATCCTCTCTCCAAAGATTCCTCAGTGACCACAGAACAACTAGCATCGAAGAACCATTGGAAAGTCAGATAGAGGAACACTGCGAACACTGGAGGTTGTTTTCCAGATGGGGAAACTGAGGCCTGGAGAGCTCAGCAGTTTGCCCAAGGAAATGAAGCCTGTGGGTCTCCAGGTTCCTGAGCCACTACTTTCTTCATTGCACCATGACTGCCTTCATGTCTCAGCCAGGGCTCTGGACAGAAAAAGCCATCCTCCCTTGGCTTGAGGAAAGTCTCCCTTCTCTGAATGACAGAAGCCTTTAAAGAAACATTTCCCGTTATGAAAGGGAATTGGAAGAAAACTGGCACAGCTTCCTCAGCTTTGAAGCTCCTTGGCCTTTCCTGGCCCTTTAATTGTGCTGGAAGCAGCCCAGCTCGCAGGGCTCCTACCCCTTCAGAAGAGAGGAAGGGCCCAAAGCAGAATTCCCCCACTCTGCTTGGCCTTTCAGCACCAAAAGTGACCTCTCAGTATTTCTGTTTCAGACCATTTCATTGCCACATCATCCAGGGCTCCCACGCAACTTCAAAGTCAGGGAGCTCAGGGTCAAGTACAAGGAGCAAACCCTGAGCTTAGGATTTTAAGCACCACATTTGAGATCGTTTTTAAGCAACGTTCCCATAGCCTTTTAAAGCCTCTAATAGCTGAAGGTGATTACAGTAGATTTCTGCAGGTATTACAAGATTTGGTTAAGGCACATCGTGTGAGTATCGGGGGGGCATCCCTTTCACCCCACACTTGCTTTTACTTTTCCAGGTGAGGAAAGTGTATATAAAATTACTGATCTTTTTTGCTCTTTTGACATTTCATGTTTTTTGGAGGAAATTTGGTTCCCAACTTTGGCTGCATATTGGAATCACCTGAAGACCTTTAAAAAATACAATGCCCAAGCTGTACCCTAGACCAATTAAATCAGAATGTCTTGGGTGGGGCCTTTACATCCATATTTTTGAAAGCTCCACAGATGATTCCATGCACAGCAAAGGTTTAGAACTACTGCCTTAGATAGAACTTCAACACAAAAAAACCTGAGTTCGTAGGCATTGAAAAATAACAAATACAGATGATTCCTGAAGGTAGCATGCCCATCTCTTTTAATTTGCTTTTCTTTTCCAGACCTTCCCTGACCACAGATCTCAGGATTCCCATATAAACTTTGAAGTAGTATTTTACTGGATTGACTCTTTGCAGTTCATATCTGCCTCCAATGCCCTAGAGCTAAGCGGGGGGACTGGATGATCAAATTCAGAAACAAAAGAACCGCAGAAAAAGAATAATAACACTTTCAACCAATTACTGTGATCTAAATTGAAGCTGAATATCTCAACCAGGCCCATCTGTATCCAAGTATGATGCAATTTCAGGAAGCTTCGGCATGGATGTTCCAAGCACAATCCACAGATAGTAGGTCAGTCACATTTGGCCCAGACCCACTCACCAGCTGGGAGAGCAGTCAGAACCAGAATGCGTGACCACACTGGGTGAGTTCAGCCAATGGGCTCATGCACAGCGATAAAAGGATGCTCTTATGAGAGTCATAAATATGTAAACACATAAGGATGGGAACCTTCTCAAAGCACCCTGTAGGATTTGGCCCCACATCCTGACATTTGCGAGAGCCTTACTGCTTATACAACGCCAAAGAGATTCACATACAAGACATAGCCATTTTACCATCGCTATTTATGGCAACTCTCATAAAAGTGCCATCTCTCTAGGAAGGGACTCCCACATACTCCCCGATCCCTTATTTTTGCTTGGGTGAGTCATGGCTATCTAGCAGAAATCTTGGAAGGGACTGGGAAGAAAGTCTGGAAGTGTCTCTGCAACAGGCATGTCACATGGGTGATATTCCAACCACCCATCATCTCCAGACCTCACTTTACATCCTACAAGACAATGGAAAATCCACTCAGAGCCCAAAAATGATAGGCTATTTTTGGAGGATGTACAATATATATAACAAGCAGGCTAAGGAACATGGAAAGACAATTTCTCCTACATGAACTGCTTTATAAGATTTGCAAATTAGAGAAAACATTTTGAGACTCTGAAGACAGCCATGAGGCATTTCCACCTACCTGAGAGAGGGAGAGCTCAAAATTGGAAGTACAGAAACAGAATGAAGAGGCATTTAAATAACACATTTAAAAAGTGTCACACACAATAAGAATTTTTCTTTACAGTTTTTACTTAGGCTCCAGGAGCCCAACTAAATAAACCTGCTTTTTCCGTTTAACTTTGTTGTTTAAACCACTATTCCTAGTTATTCCAATAACTATTCAATCTCAACTTTAAGAAGATGGCCCCAGTCTCTGAAAAGCAAGAAGAGACTACCGATTCTAGTCAGTCACACTGGTTAATCAGAGATGGGCTTCATTTTGCATTTTGCATAGAGGAACTTTTCCATTTAAAGGGTGTTCAAAGCACAACTTATCTGCCTCTCAGGAGAATGGGGAATTCTATATCCTGGGGCTAGGGGATCCCCAAATTCCTCAGTGAAAGGTGTAGTAAACCTATTAGCAGCATGACACCAGCGAGACAAAATAAAGATTTTTCTCATGAGTCAAACACTGGAATTTGAGTTGGATTAGCCTCTGAAACCTAGATAATTCTCAGGTTTACCCACTTATCACTCTGTGTCTGGTTTACTGCAAAATGATCAGGCAGATACATGTGTTACCAAAAACATAAGCACCCTGACCTGGAAACGAAGTTCCCTTCAGTTGGCAAAAACTGATCCTCTTCGAGGGTGGGAGGATTTTAAGCTCCTGAGAGAGAAAGATAACTAAGAAGACTTTTATCAGGTCAAGGGCCAAGTCAAAAGTTATTAATACAAAAGCCTTCTGAGAATAACGGGACATTTTGAAAGACCCCAAATGTGATTTGCCCTGATTTAGAGAGATTAATATGCTGATTTGAGAAAGTAGCTTGCAACCTACAACTAACACCACCCCCACCCCCATACACACACCCCAGCTTTGCAAGTCAGGGAGCTGGAAGGCACCCCAGAGGCCAACACTTCCTGTCAGGCTCAACTCAAGGCCTGAATTCCCAGAGAGGGTCCCTCCCGAAGGGCGGAGGGGCCCCAGTAGGGGAGGGAGTGCAAACGGCCATGTTACAAGGAGCAGGACTGTGGCTTCCTCAAGTGTCTGAGACAGCATAAGCGCGCATTCAGTCATTCAAGCACAAAACTGACGTGATCCCAGTAGAATTTGAGAAGAAGAAAACCACCGGGTTAGAAATGCGAGAGAAGCTCCAGGGAGGGTTCACAGAAAGAAATCAAAGGTGGCCAACTCCTTTAACCCTGTCCCCCACGCCGGCTCCCTGCTGTCGGCAAAGACCCTTCCTGAATATATGAAGCTCTGTCTGGGACTTGGATCTTTTGCCTTCACCAGTAACCAGGCTACCCAGATGAGAAAAAGCAATGGGAAAGTGAAAGACAAGACTACTTTAGGGAAGCCGGTCCCAACAGGTCCCTTTATGTCAGTTTCAGGGATCAGAGCCCTCCGGGAGTGAGATTCCTGGGAATCTGAGCGTTCTCTTTTTATTACTCTCTCCCAGGGGAAAACAAATATAGAAGCAGCATTTCCTCCCGCAGGTTTGGCGGAGACCGGTCCAGCAAAAGAGAAGGCAAGAGGCTTTTCCAAAGGGAAGGGGTCTGCAGGAGGATGGGGGAGGGGGGAGCGCCCGCAGGGTTCCTCTTAAGGGGCAACTCCCTGTACTCCCTTTTCAAAAGAACCGCAATCGAGACTTGTAGACCAGCTCCGAGGCTCCGAGTGTGGGTGCTAAGCTGGGCGTCCGGCGCACCCGGGACGGCCCGCCCACCGGGGTTTGGCGGAGATCCTGGCCCCCGCCAAACCCAAAGCTCGCCCAGCTGCGCACTGAGCTAAGCCCTCGGGTCCGGACGCCTCCAGGAGCTCCACCTGCCGGGCACTCCATTCGGCCCCCGACCCTCGCATCCCTCCTTTCTTGGTGTGGGGGAGCAAAGAAGGGCTTGGAGAGAAACGATGACCCGAACGGCAGGACGTTTGGGGAGGCCCCACCTAGCCCGGGGAGGGTCTGCGCGCCCACTCCACTGCCCAAGCGCTTTGCCGGGAGCAGGAAGCCCCTAGCCCGGCGGGCGCCCGGGAGAAAGGACTCAACAGCCCGACCCTTTGCCCCCAGCAGCTCAGCACGGTTCCCACCTTCTTCGGGGCTTCCTCGGCCCCAGGCATCTTTCCTGTGCGGCGGGACTGAGGGTGGAGTGGGGTGCCGGGCTCACCCTCTCTCCTGCAACAGGTGAGAAGCCCCGCCACGCCCCCCACTGACGACCCCCTCCTTCCGCGCCCGGGAGGATCAAAGGGCTCGGGCCGCAGCAGCCACCTAGGAGCCCACCCGCCCAGTCCGCGGCGCCGCTGTCGCCCCCTCTTAGGCCCAGGTCCGGGCTGGGTGGGGGCAGTGGGCTCTGCTTATCCCGAGTCCTGGCAAGACGAGTCCTAGCCCTGCCCTCCGCGTCGCTGGGCGAAAGGGAGTGGGTGTGCGCCGCGCGAGGAACCCGCGCCCTCACCTTTGTACCGCTCCATCGGGGCCACGGAGTGCGCTCCTCGCGGCTCGGCTTCTGCGCTGCTCTCCCGGCGCTCGGCTCAGCGCCCAGGCCGCCGCGCTGGCCCCTCCCCGTGAGGTCACGCTCGCGGCCGGACCTCCTGGCGGGGCCGCCGCGCCCAGGGTCCTCGGACCTGGCCCCCGCCAGGGCTCGCCCCCAGCGCCCCTGTCCCAGCGCCCCTGTCCCAGCGCCGGAGAACTCCGGCCCGCCGAGGCTGACAGTCGGCTCTTGAGTCGGTGCGCGCCCGCGGCCCCGCTCGCCGCCCCCGGCCGCCTTGGCACTCCCTTCACGTCTTGACTCCGGGGGCGTCGAGAGGGAACGAGACTGGGACGTTCCCAAACTCTGGGGGAGGCTCCGGGAGGCCGGGCTTGGGTGGGCCTCCAAGATTGTTCCCACACCCCTGCCCGCTGCAAACCCAATGCCTGGAGGAGGAGACCGAGGTCCAAGCTAGGAGGTTGAGACTGGCTTAGAGCTCCTCGCGCTTGGCTCCCGAGCCAGCGCGCTTTTGCCCTAGGCCTTCCTGGAGGGGCGAGGAGGGCAGCGGGGCGGGCAACCAAACCTGCTCCGGGTTCTTTGGGGATTGCTCCCACTCTCTTGGAACCTCTCTGGGCAGCCGCTGCCAATCGCGCACACTTCAGGGTGTGTGAAAACATCTGCTTGCTGCTTTCTACCTGAATTTCCAGGGCCAACGCCACAAGTCAGGGAGTGCCGTTTCCGGGGCGCCCAGTAAACCTGACCGCCTTGGAGGGGTGGCGCCGGTTCCATAAGGAAGCTCGGCCATGGCTCTGAATCTCCACCCTGCACTGCCTCCATCCAGAAGTGCCACACTTCCATCCTTTGCCTTTTGCCACCGGTCCTTCCAGGCCCTTAATGCGACCTAGTCTTCTCCGTGCTCCCCCCAGAGATCTATGTGTTCTTTTAAACTTTTTCAGTTTTCACTTTAAAATCTCAGTCACGGTTTGTGCTGGGTGCCTGGTTGGTTACCTAAGTTCCCCAGCTTCCTTGAAGGAACAATTAAGGAAGATTTGGCAGTGGTGGTTTTCTAAAAGACTTCTTAATTCTTCCTTGGAATCGCAGATTTAGTTGTGATGTTTGGAGACCTCCCCCAACCCCTCCCAACAGCATGTAGAAATATTTTTCTTAGTTATACTAGCACCTAATGTGGATGGAGCCCTCCCCACAAGCCAGGCACGGCGCTAAGGGCTGTACATCACTGCCTTTAGTTTCCCCGATATCCCTGTGACATGGGTATTATTATGATCTCTTTCATAGAGGTGAAGAAGCTACGGCTGGGCGCGGTGGCTCACGCCTGTAATCTCAGCACTTTGGGAGGCTGAGGCGGGCGGATCACGAAGTCAGGAGTTCGAGACGAGCCTGGCCAACATGGTGAAACTCCATCTCTACTAAAAAAAAAAAAAAATAGCTGGGCTTGGTGGCAGGGGCCTGTAAACTCAGCTACTTGGGAGGCTGAGGCAGGAGAATCGTTTGAACTTGGGAGATGGAGGTTGCAGTGAGCTGAGATTGCGCACTGCACTCCAGCCTGGGTGACAGTGTGAGACTACGTCTCAAAAAAAAGAAAAGAGGTTAAGCAATTTGCTCAAAGTCACACAGCTAGAAAAGAGCGGAGCAGGCGTTAAACTCGGATCTGTCTGCTTCCAAATGTGTATTTTAATTTTTATTTTTTTAGAGACAAGGTCTTGGTTTGTTGCCTAGGTTGGAGTGCAGTGGCACAATCTTGGTTCACTGCAGCCTCAAACTCGTGGGCTTCACACTGATCATTACAGAAATGCAAATCAAAACTGCAATGAGATACCATACCGTCAGAATGGCTATTATTAAAAAGTCAAAAAATAACAGATGCTGGTGAGGTTGCAGAGAAAATGGAATGCTTATACACTGCTGGTGGAAATGTAAATTAGTTCAACTATTGTGAAAAGTAGTTTGGTGATTTCTTAAAGAACTTAAAACAGAACTACCATTCAACCCAGAAATCCCATTATTGGATATATACCCAAAGGAATATAAATGGTTCTACCATAAAGACATATGCACATGTATGTTTATTGCAGCACTACTCATAATAGCAGAGATATGGAATCAACCTAAATGGTCATCAACAGTAGACTGGATAAACAAAATATGGTGCATATATACCATGGAATACTATGCAGCCATAAAAAAGAACAAGACCATGTCCTTTGCAGCAAGGAAGAATGGAGCTGGGGGTCATTTTCATAAGCAAACTAATGCAAGAACGGATAACCAAATACCACATGTTCTCACTTTTAAGTGGGATCTAAATACTGAGTACACATGGACACACAAAAGGGAACAACAGACACCACAGCCTACTTGAGGGTGGAGGGTGAGAGGAGAGTAGGGATTGAAAAATTACCTATTGAGCACTATGCTTACTACCTGTGTGATTAAATAATCTCCACACCAAACCCCTATGACACACAATTTACCTATATAACAATTTGCACATTTGCCCTGAATCTAAAATAAAAGTTTAAAAAGAAAAAGAAGAATAATCAGAAAATTAAATATTTTTAAAAATATATTTAAGGTAAAACTGGAATGTATTGTGTTAAATGAAATAAAATATTTAGGCCAGGCGTGGTGGCTCATGCCTGTATTTCCCAGCACTTTGGGAGGCCGAGGCGGGCAGATCACCTGAGGTCAGGAGTTCGGGACAGCCTGGCCAACGTGGTGAAACCCAGTCTCTACTAAAAATACAAAAATTAGCCGGGCATGGTGGTGCACACCTGTAATCCCAGCTACCTGGGAGGCTGAGGCATGAGAATTGCTTGAACCCAGGAACTGGAGGTTACAGTGAGCTGAGATCACACCACTGCACTCTAGCCTGAGCAACAGAGCAAGCCTGTCTCAAAAATAAATAAATAAATAAAATCAAAAATTAAAATGAAATAAAATGTTTACAAACAAACCAACAACAATAAAAAAAAACCTCCTGGGCTTCAGTAATCCTCCCGCCTCAGCCTCCCAGGTAGCTAGGACTACAGGCACATACCATGACACTCGCCTAGTTTTGTTGTTGTTGTTGTTAATTTATTATTTATAAAGATGGGGCCTCCAACTCCTAGGCTCAAGTGATCCTTC
The DNA here is from genome assembly GCF_000001405.40 of Homo sapiens. NCBI lineage: Eukaryota > Metazoa > Chordata > Mammalia > Primates > Hominidae > Homo > Homo sapiens. The sequence goes on from NC_000010.11 coordinate 114,407,599, forward strand.
CACCTCGGCCTCCCATAGCGCTTGGATTATATGTGTGAGTCACTCTGCCAGCCCCAAATATTCACAAAACTTCTTGGCACTCATAGGAAGTGCCAGGCTGTTTGTTACCATCTCATGGGGCACACAGACCAGTGAACAACACAGCACAGTGAGGTAGATGCTCTGATAAGACAGAAACACGAGGGATTCTGGGAACACACAAGAGGACACTGAAGCAGCAACGGCTGCACTGAGTTCCATGAATTTGAAGAGTGCGACGAGCTGGCTGAGTGGGATGAGTTCGAGTTAGTGAGGTGACAGGAAAGGTACAGTGAGTGCAGCTTTCCAGGCAGAAAGGACAGTGGGAACAGAGGCAGGGAGATGAGCCTTTTCAGGGTCAAACAGCTCTGTTGCTGTAGCAGAAAGGGAGAAGCCAGGAATGAAGCAAGTGAGGCTGGAAAGGTGGGTGCAGCACTGTTCCAGGGCCTAGAGTGCTGAGCTGAGGTGATTAGACAGCACTGAAGAGTGTTGGTGCCCCGGGGATCCCCCAGGGGCTGAGAGCAGGGGGAGCACAGGAGGCAGTTGTACCCCCCAGGTGAGAAGCTATGGGGTGGTGGAAAAGCCAATGGGGAAGAGAGGACTGATGGCAGCAACCTTCTGGAAGTTGTGCCTGAGCAGAGTGTGAGGGAGGAGAAGAGCTGAGGCCGACTCTGCAGTTTCCAGCAATTTGAGTGGTTAGGTGAACAGCGTCATGCAGCCCTCAGATGTGGGGCCTGCTGTGTGCCAGGTGTCTCCAGGAACTGCAGAGCATGAGCAGGGCAAACAAGTCCTGCTCTCCTGGGCTGCTTTGGGGGTGGGGATGGAGACAATGAGCAGGAAAAGAGTCACACTCAGAAGTGGCTGCAGGTTGGGGAGTTGAAGGGAGAAAGTGAAAGGCCCATGGTGCTCCCAGGGGAGTTAGAACACTGGGTCTGAGCCCTGGAGCTCAGCCCCTTACATCAGCACCCTGTTCCACGTGGGCCTGCTCAGGAGGGCTCAAGAAATAGAAAAGTCAGAGGCTGTGGCAAGAATGCTGACGTCTCATGGATAAGAGGAGAGGGAACAGCGTTCCGCGGGCCTCCATGCAAGCTGGAACTGGAAAGTGGGGCAGGACGGATGGTGTCTTGCCTTTTTGCCTTCTCTTTCTCCTTCCCTTCCTTTCCTCATATTGCAAATGGCCCGGCCTGGCATCCACCCTCTATTCTACCGGTGTCAAGAGACTATTAGCAATGGGTCCTGGTTTCCTTTCAAATTCTCAGGGCGAATCTGATGGTGTAACTCTTCCTTTTGAAGGAAGCCTCAAGTCTCTGTTCCCAGCCCTGGCTGTCAATTGGGGTCAGCAGGGCCAGGTTACAAGGTCCCACTCAGCAGCCGTTTTGCTTGAGTTGACTCTCCCACCAGGGTGGCTAGGAGCAAATTGAGCTATCTCTGTTTCACAAATGAGGAAGCAAAGAAGTTAGGTGACTCACCCAAAGTCTCAAAGGAATCTCTTTCAAAACTAGGACTCAAAAATGAAGTTTCCTGACTCCAATTTCCTGGACTTTACCATGGCCCTTAGTTCAGGCTTTCGAAGGGCTCCAACTGGACAGTTTCACCCCGGCAAACCCTTTGATAGCCATCTCCCTGAACACTTCCTGTAACCGCAGCACCCTCCCTGCAGGCTGGGGACAGCTCGATATCTCCATTTTGCCTGTCCTCTCTCCCCCTTTCCTCTCTTGCCCCAGCCCCTTTAATTACCTCTTCCCTAAATCCTCTCTAGTTTATTGATGGAGACTTGGCAAATCCCAGAGGCTCTAGACAAAACAAAAATCAATCAGAAATGTATGCAGAGTGAATTTAAAATGGGAATTCACCGCCTTTTCCAAGAACAAAACTGAAGGGAAAAAAATAAAAAACCCCACCACTTAAAACCATCAATAGGAATCTTGGGCCTCTGGAAGCTCAGCACTGTCTCCTCCTCTCCAAAACCTGGGTGCAATTTAACCCCTTGTGGCTTTGCAACGTCCACACAGGGTTCATTCACATTCCGATTCAAATTCATTGGGTTTTTGGCCTCAGGAATCAGACGATCTGGTTCCTAGCTCATGCTCAATCCTCTGGGGGTGCTACCACTGACCCCACCCTGGACCACAGGATCAGAAACGATCCATTCCAATGCAGACAGTCCTCAGAGCAGACTGAGTAACGCTGCCCTGCAATCCAGGTAGCGAGTGTTTCCGCTGAGCTCAGATGGGGTAGGAGGGCTCTAGGCCCCCTGGGTGTGTTGGCTGAAAGTGTCCAGAGGAAGAGAACTGAGCTTCAGGATCACCTACTGTCCTAAACCAATTCTCAGCAGCAGAGATGTTCCTTCAAACACCAGGGGCTTCTCCAGCTGAGACAAGAAGGAGGGGGTACCCACCAGAAGGCAGTTGCTTTACAGACTTTATCCTGTTTAATTCTCACAGTGATCTGGACAGCAGATATTATTTCCCCCCATTTCACAGATGGAGACCTTGAGTAACTTGCCCAAGGCCACAGGTGGGCAGGGCACAAGGCAGTCCCACTGAAGCAGTGTCTCTGACCAGACTTCTCACCCAGGCACTCTTTTGTGATCATGTATTGTCAAAAGCCATTCCTGAAACTATTCTCAGCGTCATGCCTACACATTCTGTATCACAGCCAGCTCAAAAGCCACTCCTCTGAGGATGTCCCCCGACCCAAGAAGCCTGCACCCCCTTCTCAGCACAGCCCCACACTCTGGCTCTTCCAGGCAATCTGCCCCTACTCACAGTGCTCTCGTGTATTGCATTAATCCCCTGCTGTTGTGTTTAATATAGCACCTGGCACATAGTAGGTACTCAGTCATGCCTGTTGAATGAAGAAATGAATGATTGTCCCATTTTTTATCCCTCTTGGGGTTTCTGTGAAAAGGAAAATAAAAACTACAAAATGTCTTTTCTAGTTCAGATTGGTGAAACAGATTATTGCTAAAGGGCACATCAGGTCTGGTTGGGCATGGGGTGGGATAAAGCAGGAGGAAGGCTTCATGGAGGAGGTGGCCTTTGAACAAAGCCTTGAAGGGATGAAATAATTTTTTTTCCTTATTGTGGTAAAATATACATAAAATTTACTATCTTAATAATGTTTAGCGTACAGTTCAGTGACATTAAATACATTTAAATTGTTGTGCAGCTATCACCACTATTCATCTCCAGAACTTTTTCATCACCCCAAACCGAAACTGTACCCCATTAAACAGTAACTCCCCATTCTCCTTCTCCCTAGCCCCTGGAAACTACTATTCTACTTTCTATCTCTATGAATTTGATATTCTCGGCACCTTATATAAGTGGAATTATACAGTATTTGTCCTTTTGTGTCTGTCTTGTTTCACTTAGCATGTCTTCAAGGTTCATCCATGTTGTGGCATATATCAGAATTTCATTCTTTCAGGGATGAATAATATTCCATTGTATGTATATACCACATTTTATTTATCCCTTACTTGTCAATGGACACTTGGGTTGCTCCTACCTTTTGGCTATTTTGAATAATACTGTTATGAACATTAGTGTACAGATATCTATTTGAGTCCTTGCTTTCAGTTCTTTTGGGAATATACCTAGGAGTGGAGTTGCTGAGTCATGTGGTAATTCTATGCTTAACTTTTTGAGGAACCACCAAACTGTTTTCCACAGTGGTTGCACCATTTTACATTCCTACCTGTAATGTACAAGAGTTTCAATTTCTCCACATCCTCACCAACAGTTGTTATTTTCCGTTAAAAAAAAATTATACTCGTCGAGTGGGCTTCATTTGTTTTTCAAGACTCTGAAGTCAATGAGGCCTAAAGTTAACATTTCTTAGATCTGAGTGGTTGGTACATGAGAACTTTTTATATTATGCAATGAGGACCACTGTCTGGGGTCCACTCTTCTCATTGTTTTACATTTGAGGAAACTGAGGCTCAGAATCTCAAAACTGGAAGTGTTCACTGAGGATGATTGAGCCTCTCAGCCAATATGTTTGCAATACTCCAGCATTTTTAGAAACAATAAATGTTTGGCTTAAAGCAAGCAAAGGCTGAGAGGGTGAGGAGAGGAGGAGGGTGCGGAGGCTCTAGGAGGGGGATCTCCTGGGTGTCCCTCTGAGTTCGGCTCTGTGCCAGTCCATAGCCAGTGACTTAATAGAGAAAAGAAAGACACATCAGTTCCCCTCTCCAGACTCACGGTGGCTTCACCTCCACATCTCCGCAGACGTGACCTACATAAGCCAGGTGTTACAGGCCTACAAACCGGGGTGAGTAAGATTACTTTTAGCTACACCTCTAGGAAGTATTCAGCTTACAAAAACACCTCTAGTCTATTCTGGTCAATATTCCTATAAAGATTGAGTTTATCTAAAGGGGTCATTGGTTTTTATAAATTTCCTTATTATATTCCTGTGAAGTAGAGTAAACAAAAGGTGACTTTCTAAGGACCCACATAATTGAAGATCAAAGAGCCCAAGAAAGTCAGTTTTGGAAGTGGCAGATGTAGGGCATCTCTATTCTGACCCTGCTTTCATACAGAGGTTGGTGACTCTGAGAACCAGTGTGCTTGCCCATGTCACGCTGTGGTTCAGGGGCTCATGATCCAGAGCCCGGGCCTCCTTTCTGTGGCCTGAGTGTCCTGGGCCCTCCTTGGTCCCTAGGATGTTTGATGAGCAGGCCTGATGGGTTTCTACTCAATGTGCACAAGGTGTATCCTCCTCTGGAGGCTCTGTGGGCGCTAGCTCAGCCTCACTCTTTCCTCTCCCACTCCAGAAAGCACACTGGATGCTTTTGCAAACTACTCCCCCACCCTCCAGATTCTGATATGTCATCCTTCACCCTCCAGAAGAGATCAAGAATTGACCCTCCCTCATCACCTTTCTTACTTTCCTCCTGAAATCACACACCCAACTCTTAGCTAACCTACTCTTAGCTAACAGGTAGGATTCTCAAATTCTCAACAGGGTTTCTTCTCCAGTTGTCAGGTCTGGAGGAAGCAAAAGGACCAATTCTGCAGTTATCGTCCCATCAAAATCAGAGGTTCTGTCACTCAGTGAACAGACACATCCTCAATTGGTCTTTGTCTCCTACCATTTCCCTCTTGTCTTTATCTCATACTCCCTGGCTCACCTGCAGGCCCTTTGCCTCCCATTTCCTACCATGATTTCTAGCCCATGGGTGTAGACTATTTCAGAGCTGTTTGGAAACTTAGAGTCAATACTGAACCCAACCCTGTGGCCTCACATTCAAGATGCGGGAACCCAGGGAGATGCCAGCCCCAGAGCCCAGACACAGTATCCCAGCAAGGGCTCCTTGTCCCTCTGCTTCTCTTCAGGGCTCTGCTGACCTATCTCACTGGGCAGTCCTAACCCCACATCATCCTGAGTAAGTCTCACAGCTTCGCTGAAATTTGCCTGAGTTGTTCTGGTTCCTGGACATTTGCCAAGGTCTTGATCTTGGATTCACTTCCTTGATGATTTTTTTTTCCTCTTTTTTTTGCTGACTCTTCCTGTGATTGCTAAGATCTTCATTTCTCAGATGAGGCTCAAGCAGAAATGCAGCTGGACCAGAATTGGCAGCTCCACGGATTCCTCAGAGTCCCCAGACCAGGGTAGCTCGGAGAGGAATCATTGCTTCACGCCTGGAAGCACTTCCTTATCAGCAGAGCAATGCCTTCCCCTTCTGGAATGCCCTCCCAGACCCAGCCAAGACTTCCTCTTCCATCAAGGCGCCAAGAACTTCTTGAAAGGATTGAAAAGTTGAAAGGATTCTTGCAATCCTGTGATACTTTTAGTCAAGATTCATTTCTTGCTTGATAACAGAAAATAAAGACCATTTTTCTAGGTCTTCTCTCTCCAAATAGACTACAACTGCATGTGAACAGGAACTCAACAGAGGTGCCTTGGAAGCCAGTCAGGGCTGGCAGACCTCGGGTGGTTGGGTTTATAGATTTGTTGGTTGGCAGACCTGCTGCATGCCTACGGCCGCTCACACTGAGTCATCCACTTCTCTGCAGTGGGTGCTTCCTCCAGCACCTCGCTGCCAGCAAGCTCAGCTCCCCAAGGCCTCTTGAGGCTGCCTGGGCACCTCATCAGACCAGAAAAGCTCAGCTTCTGCATCCTTCTTCATTTAGCATGGCTGAGCTTCTTCCACCTCTCTCACTCCTGGGTTTCAGAACACCACTCTCTCCTGGTTTACATGCCTGGCTGCAACCTCTTCCAGCTCCTCAGATCCTGGGTGAACTCTTTATGGACCCCTTTTCCCATGGTTGGATGGATGGATAAAGTAACATTTTCAGTTATCTTTTTTCTTTTATTTATTTATTATTATTATTATTATTATTATTATTATTATTATACTTTAAGTTTTAGGGTACATGTGCACAATGTGCCAGTTAGTTACATATGTATACATGTGCCATGCTGGTGTGCTGCACCCAGTAACTCGTCATTTAGCATTAGGTATACCTCCTAATGCTATCCCTCCCTCCTCCCCCCACCCCACAACAGTCCCCAGAATGTGATGTTCCCCTTCCTGTGTCCATGTGTTCTCATTGTTCGATTCCCATCTATAAGTGAGAATATGCAGTGTTTGGTTTTTTGTCCTTGTGATAGTTTACTGAGAATGATGATTTCCAATTTCATCCATGTCCCTACAAAGGACATGAACTCATCCTTTTTTATGGCTGCATAGTATTCCATGGTGTATATGTGCCACATTTTCTTAATCCAGTCTATCATTGTTGGACATTTGGGTTGGTTCCAAGTCTTTGCTATTGTGAATAGTGCCGCAATAAACATACGTGTGCATGTGTCTTTATAGCAGCATGATTTACAGTCCTTTGGGTATATACCCAGTAATGGGATGGCTGGGTCAAATGGTATTTCTAGTTCTAGATCCCTGAGGAATCACCACACTGACTTCCACAATGGTTGAACTAGTTTACAGTCCCACCAACAGTGTAAAAGTGTTCCTATTTCTCCACATCCTCTCCAGCACCTGTTGTTTCCTGACTTTTTAATGATTGCCATTCTAACTGGTGTGAGATGGTATCTCATTACATTCCATGCTCATGGGTAGGAAGAATCAATATCGTGAAAATGGCCATACTGCCCAAGGTAATTTATAGATTCAATGCCATCCCCATCAAGCTACCAATGACTTTCTTCACAGAATTGGAAAAAACTACTTTAAAGTTCATATGGAACCAAAAAAGAGCCCGCATCGCAAAGTCAGTCCTAAGCCAAAAGAACAAAGCTGGAGGCATCACGCTACCTGACTTCAAACTATACTACAAGGCTACAGTAACCAAAGCAGCATGGTACTGGTACCAAAACAGAGATATAGATCAATGGAACAGAACAGAGCCCTCAGAAATAACGCCGCATATCTACAACTATCTGCTCTTTGACAAACCTGAGAAAAACAAGCAATGGGGAAAGGATTCCCTATTTAATAAATGGTGCTGGGAAAACTGGCTAGCCATATGTAGAAAGCTGAAACTGGATCCCTTCCTTACACCTTATACAAAAATTAATTCAAGATGGATTAAAGACTTAAACGTTAGACCTAAAACCATAAAAACCCTAGAAGAAAACCTAGGCATTACCATTCAGGACATAGGCATGGGCAAGGACTTCATGTCTAAAACACCAAAAGCAATGGCAACAAAAGCCAAAATTGACAAATGGGATCTAATTAAACTAAAGAGCTTCTGCACAGCAAAAGAAACTACCATCAGAGTGAACAGGCAACCTACAAAATGGGAGAAAATTTTCACAACCTACTCATCTGACAAAGGGCTAATATCCAGAATCTACAATGAACTTAAACAAATTTACAAGAAAAAAACAAACAACCCCATCAAAAAGTGGGCAAAGGATACGAACAGACACTTCTCAAAAGAAGACATTTATGCAGCCAAAAGACACATGAAAAAATGCTCATCATCACTGGCCATCAGAGAAATGCAAATCAGTTATCTTTTTTTCTAAAGCCATGGATCTGGGTAATTGGTGGGAACAGGAGAAGAAACTACTTTAGAGATTGTCCCAATCTTGCAGAAACAAGATTTTATTAGTATCCAAGAAAAAGAGGTGGGTAGTGATGAGGCTCTGGCCAAGCAACCCCGTGGGAGATGGGAGTGAAACAGAAGGCAGTCCGGAGGGTATAGGCACGCATCTTTGTATTCCTGCCACGAGATACCTCTCCAATAGGTCCTGTGTGCTACCTGCAGCTCACCAATCTGCCTACCCTTAGACACACAGCTTGTGTTTCCCTTAAAAGTGCCAATTGAATTCCTACCCCTCATCTTCAAGGTTGGAAACAGGGGTGCTGAGAGATGGCATGGCTTACAAGAGCCAAATGAGCAGGTCATGGCGGAGCTACGGCTGGACTCTGTGGTCCTGATTCCCAGCCGCTGTACTGATTGTGAACCCAGGGTAACTGTGGCCTCCATGATAGGAAATGTTGCTGCACCTGGCCAAGGGCCCTGGTCCTGTTCTCCTGCTCAAAGGCAGCCTTTCTAGGGCCCCAAACACCAACCTCCTCACTGTGAGTACAGTCTAGCACATAGTAAATGGCCACAAGTTATTCATGGAATGAGGGAATGAAGGAGCAAGGCATTCTCAGCAGGAGTGATTGTGCCCCCAAGGGGATGAAAATTGGATCTTGGGGGTGAAAAAAAAATTTCACCTACAGTATATAAACGTACACAGAGTCAGAGAGAGAGAGAGAGAGAGAGAGAGAAAGAGAGACAGAGAGAAAAAATATAAACAGATATAGTTTATCTGCAGCATTAAAATTTCATGGGGGAGCAATTAGGACAAAATGTCTAAGAAGACTCCTGGGGGAGGCAATAATGAAATAATGAAAAAGTGGTTGAGAAACACAGGAATATGGGCTCTGGAGTCCAGGTTAGAATCTCCCCTCCATCTCTTTCTAGCTGGCGGACCTTGGACAAGTTACGTCCACTTTTTACCTCAGTTTCTCCCTCAGTCAAATGGGAATGAAAATTCTACTCACCTCAGAGGCTGTTGTGAGGATTCCGTGAGACAATCCATGGAAAAAGTTTAGCTCAGTGTCTGTGTGTAAGTTCACAACTGATATTAGTTGCAATAATGATTAAGGTGGCTGAAAATGAGGAACTCTTCCCACCATTGTGATAATGTCATAGGAAACAGGACTCCCGTGGCAGATAAAACAGAGCTACCAATTGTTCCAATGGCCATCACCCTACAGGCAAAAGAGTCCTGCTCAGTGCTAAGTATTGGAATTGGATCTCTCATTTCAACCACCCGGCTCCCATCCACCACCCACTCAGCTACCACCCTCCACCTCGCTGAGCAAGGTACCAGGCACTTTGTTGGATAAATTGCATGAAGCCCTTAAGGGACTTACAGCCCCAGAGGGAGACAGGAAACTCTATCCTTTTTCCCTTTTCCTTTTTTTTTGAAGTGGGGTCTCGCTTTGCTACCTAGGCTGGAGTGCAGTGGTGCCGTACAGCTCATTGCAGCCTCAACCTCCTGAACTCAAGTGATCCTCTTGCCTCAGCCTCTTGAGTAGCTGGGACTACAGGTACATGCCACCATGCTCTGTAATTTTGTTCACTTCTTGTAAAGATGAGATCTCACTATGTTGCCCATGCTGGTCTTGAACTCCTGGGCTCAAAGTATCCCCCGACCTCAGCCTCCCAAAGTGCTGGGATTACAGGTGTAAGCCACCACACTTGGCCAGAAAGTCTATCCTCACTGGAAAAACAGCCTAATTTAAGCCAGTGATTCTCAAACTTTAACTTGTATAGCAATCACCTGGGGATCGTTTCAAAATTTAGACCTGATTCAGTAGATCTAGGGTTGGAGCGGAGATTTGACACTTCTGACAAGCTCCAGGTGATACCAATGCCAGTGGTTTAAGCTACAGTTTAAGGAGCGAAGTGTTGAAGGAGCTGCTGTTTTCCACAGTTTGCCAAACTGGGGAAATGGTGTTTTTCTTTCTCTGCCGATGGCTGCATATTATTTTGACATCTGATGGGGTCCACAATAAAGTGTCTAAAAAATTTCACGTTGGTAAATTATGGAAGAAAATCTTCAAGGAGAGTTCATCCTGCAACCAGGAGTCACAGTGGGTCCTGAGTATTTTGAACACTGTACTACTGTGAGATCGCTTCAGTGTTCCTGCTGGGTCACACGGCTATACTTGTTTTTCTTTTATGATCAAAATACGTAGGAGGAGGGAGGGGAAAAGAGACAGAGAGAAAGAAAGAGAAGGGGAGGAGAGGGAGAGAGGAGGATCATTATAATACAACTTCCTAACTTCTTTTTGGAAACAGCCTAAGGTAGCCATAATTTCTTCTGGCAGAAATGACTGAGAGAATATAAATGGGAATCTTTTATAGAGGAAGCCCAAGCAGGGCAGAATATTTGAAACCAGGCCAGCATAATCGTACAGTGTCTAGGGATCCCATTCTATCACTAGATTAGAATTTTTATTAGAATTCAAGTAATGTTTATGGAATATCTTAGAATCATTCAGAGCATAAGATTCAGAGAAAAGAACCAGAAGCCCCAAGATGTCAAGAAACAGAATTTTTTTAAAAAATGCATTTAAGAAGCAGTTTCCTCAGAAGAAGCCTAACCTGTTAGTACATGAAGATGTGGCAACTTGGACTGTTCAGAGAATGAAGTTGTGAGTGTGCTTGGCTTGTGGATTTGTTCCTTGATCTGTCCCGACTGACCTGAGAGCTTGCTATGGTTTGAATGTGTCCCTCAAAGTCCATGTGCTGAAAACTTAATCCCCAATGCAACAGAGAATTAAGATGGGACCATTAAGAGCTGATTAGGTCATGAGGGTTCTGTCCTCATGTGTGGGCTAATGATATTATTGAGGGAGTGGTTTCCTGATACAGAGCAAGAGTTCATTCCCCTTTCTGTCTTGCTCTCTCTCACCCTTTCACCTCCGACCATGGGATGAGCAGCATTAAGGCCCTCACCAGATGCCAGTGCCAGGCTCTTGGACTTCCCAGCCACCAGAACTATGAGCCAATTAAATATTTGTTCATTATAAATTACCCAGTCCCTGTGATTCTGTTATAGAAGCATAAGACAAAGACAGGGCTCTTGGAAGATTCCTATCCTACCTCACACAACTATTATTGCTTAATTCAAATGACAACTGGAAGTACCCAAGTGCTGAGTGCATTAGAATCTATGGTCTAGCCAATAGGTGGGCCTCCTTGGCGTGGGGTGTAAAAGTGGGACAGTTGTGGGAATCTGTGAGGAAGGTTTTCTTGAGTGTGGATCATGAATTGATTTAAATGTGACCTTCAGGTTGTAGAGTCAGAGTGCCTTGGGTTAGAAGCAGCACAGGTGCATCATTTATGATCCCTGTGACATTGTCCAGATTTCTTTATCAAATGAAACAAACATATGGGATTACGATAATATCTATTTCATAAACAAGTAAGGATTCTGTAGGATGAAGCACACAAAGAAGTTAGCATAGTATCTGGGACAGAGTGAGTGCTTGAAAATGATAGTGAGCACATTTAGGAAGTGCCCAGGTCGTGGGTAGGTGGGGAGTGGGGGACTAAGCTGGAGGAAAGAGCTAAGAGCTTAAAAAGTTGTTTTTCTTTTAATTTTTTTTTGAAATTATTTATTTATTTTTAGACAGTGTCTTGCTCTGTCACCCAGGCTGGAGTGCAGTGGTACAATCATGGCTCACTGCAGTCTCAACTTCCCTGGGACCAGGTGATCCTCCCACCTCAGCCTCCCAAGTAGCTGGGACCATAGGCATGTGCCACCATGTCCGGTCAATTTTTGTATTTTTTGTAGAGACGGGGTTTCACCGTGTTGCCCAGGCTGGTCTTGAACTCCTGGGCTCAAGCAATCTGCCCGCCTCAGCCTCCCAAAGTGCTAGGATTACAGGCATGAACCACCATGCCGGGCCGCAAGTTGTTTTTCTAGCAGTGCCTTCCTTCCTGCGCAGAGAACCAAATTCAAGCCCTCACTCTTGGCCATAAATAGAGGCGCGAGCCACTGCACAAGCTTCTTGCCCACTTCTCACCTGCCCAGGCTTCCTGCCCACTTCCCATCACAGAAGAAGCCAACATAGCCACTTCTGAGGCTCTCCTGCAAAAGCTCTAGAAATGCATGGCCCTTGCTTTTGAGTTTCACCTTTGCCAGACTCCCAGGATCTCTGTCTTCTCCGAAGTGATTGCATCTTTCTTTACTGTGTAGTTTTTTTGCTTTTTGTTTTTTATAATAAAAACAAAACTTTACATCTTTCCAAATTAATTACTCTTTTTTGTCATTGGATGTGTTTTTAATTGTGCTGAGTTTTACCTTACTGATGGGTCATAATTTTTATAACCATTCTCCCACTGAGGGGTTGCAATATTCTAAATAGAACATATAAGAACATCTTTATGGCCGGGCGCTGTGGCTCACGCCTGTAATCCCAGCACTTTGGGAGGCCGAGGCAGGCGGATCATGAGGTCAGGAGATTGAGACCATCCTGGCTAACACAGTGAAACACCGTCTCTACTAAAAATACAAAAAATTAGCTGGGCGTGGTGGCGGGCACCTGTAATCCCAGCTACTCGGGAGGCTGAGGCAGGACAATGGCGTTGAACCCAGGAGGCAGAGCTTGCAGTGAGCCGAGATCATGCCACTGCACTCCAGCCTGGGCGACAGAGTGAGACTCCGTCTCAAAAAAAAAAAAAAAAAAAAAAGAACATCTTTATGCAGATTATTTATCTTATTTTTTAAAGCAGCATTATTGAGATATAATTGACATACCACACAGTTCATCCATTTAAAATCTACAATTTAGTGGTGTTTAATAGAATAAAGTTTTCCAACTGTCACCACAATTAGTTTTGGTACATCTTCATTACCCTAAAAAGAAACCTCATGCCCATTAATAGCCACTTTATTCTCCCCATCCCCCTCAGCCTTAAGCAACCACTAATTTGTGTTCTGACTCTATAGATATCCCTATTTTTGAAATGTCATAATAAGTGGAATCACACAATATTCCAAAAGGCCATTTCATTTCATGGTCTTTTGTGAGTGGCTTCTTTCACTCAGTAGAATATCTTCAAGGTTCATCCACACTGTAGCAAGTATCAGTACCTCATTTTTTAATATCACCAAATAATATTCCATGGCGTGGACATACCACGTTTCATTTATCCTTTCGTCAGTTGGTGGGCATTCAGTTGCTTCCACTTTGGGACTATTATGAATAATGCTGCTATGAGCATTCATGTACAAGTTTTTGTGTAGATACCTGTTTTCATTTCTGTTGGGTCCACTGCATAGTTCTGTGCTTAATCAGGCATTGCTCTCTGTGGTTTCACACTTGTTCTTTTTTTGCTGGACTCACGATCTCTCACTCCACCCCAAATCTGCTCCTCCTCCAGCGCGCATTGCAGGCTCCACCACCTAGCCTGTTGCCCAAGCCAGAAACTTACAAGTCATCCTTTGCACCTTCCTCAGCTCCTCATCCTCCACCCTGCTGCAGCCCATATTGAGTCCAGTTGCAACTCAAATAGAAGTATTTCCCAGAGAAGCTTTGCTGATAGAATCAATCAGGTCATTCATTCTTTATATGCTTTAACCCCTGTGTTTATGTTTGTGGGGTTATTTGATTAATATCTGTTTGCTCACAGTTTTAGTTCAAGTGCTTAGCATAGTGCCTAGTTTGTTGCAAGGCATGTAACCTTTTCAAGATTGGATATGTATCACACTCCCTTTACAACATCTCACAGCTCCCAATACACTAGCATTGTCAATAAGAGTTTGTTGTCTTAAACTGCTTCTTTTTTCACAATTTTTAAATTGTTATAATTTATGTGCAGTAAAATGCACCTTTTTTAGTGCGTCATTCTGTGTCTTTTGACAAATGCATACAGTCATGTAATCACGACCACAATTAAGATACAGAACAGTTCATCACCTCCAAAATTTCCCTGTGACCCTTTGTGGTCAACCCCTCCCCTCGATCCTATCCCCTGAAAACCCCTGGCTTTTCTTTCACTTAGCATAATGCATTTGCAATTCACCCATGTTGTTGCAAAAGTTTATCCCTTTTTGTTGTTGAGTAATATTCCATTGTATAGATGAACTATAGTTTGTTTATTTATTCCCCAGTTAAAGAATATTTGCAGTTTCCAGTTTTTGGTGATTACGAATAAAGTCAGTATAAACATTCATGTACAGGTTTTTGTGTGAACTAAGGTTTTGGTTTTACTTGAATAAATACATAGGAGTGGAGTCATTGGGTCTTATGTTAGGGGTGTATATCTTTAAAAGAAACTGTCAAACCGTTTTCCAAAATATTGTATCCTTTTGTACTCCCACCATCAGTGTGCGAGTTCCACTTGTTCTGCGTCCTTGCAATACTTTGTACTGAGAGTTCTTTATCTACTTTCTCTGGATTCAAGTCCTTGATCAGATATGTGATTTGAAAATTGCTTTTTCCAATCTCAGACTTGTTTCATTCTCCTTATAACATCTTTTAAAGAGCAGAAGTTCCTGATTTTGATGACCAAGTTATCAATTTCTTTCCTTCTCTGGATCATGCTTTTGGTATCAATTCTAAGAACCCTTTGCCTAAACCAAGGTCATGGAAATTTTCTCCTGTATTTTCTTCAAGAAATTCTATAGTTTTTGGTTTTATAGTTGGGTCTTTGGGCCACCTTTTTTTGCTTTTATTTTGTGAACTTTTTCGTCTGCTTTAAGCCTCAAATCTAGTCTATTAGTTACGTGCCTGTGTTGCCCTTCCAGGCTTCAAGCTCTTTGAGGGCAGAGATTGTTTTATCAGGGTCAGCATTTGCGTAAGCCCTAGAGTGAGCATCGCCTGACATTTGGAGCCTACACACCTCAGTTGCTCCCATAGTCCCAGCCTGTGTTCATGTTCATGTTTTCCACAACACCCCAGCCTCATGCTTCTCACTTTAGATACAGTACAGATGTTCCTGAAATTAAACAATGAGATCTTAGAAAGGCTTTAGGGCTCTGTATGCCATTGAAAATTAAGACAAATTAGGGTAACTAGGAAACATCATTTGTGGTCATTCAAAGGCACTGATTGTATGAGGCACACTTCCCATGCGCAGTCACTTGAATGCCCCCTGCTAGCCCAGACCTCCAGAAAGTTATTTTATTCTACGTTGCCTTCTTCTTCTTTTTTTCTTTCTTTCTTTTTTTTTTTTTTTTTTTTGAGATAGAGTCTCACTCAGTCACCCAGGCTGGAGTGCAGTGGTGCGATCTCGGTTCACTGCAACCTCCACCTCCTGGGCTCAAGCCATTCTCCTGCCTCAGCCTCCAAAGTAGCTGGGATTACAGGTGCGTGCCACCATGCATCTTTTGTATTTTTAGTAGAGACGGGGTTTCACCATGTTGGCCAGGCTGGTCTTAAACTCCTGACCTCAGGTGATCCGTCCGCCTCAGCCTCCCAAAGTGCCAGGAGTACAGGTGTGAGCCACCACGCCCGGCCTCTATGTTGCCTTCTTATAACAGTGTTGCTGAGTTAGATGATTAACCAAAGTGCTCTGATAGTGTATTTTTTAAAATCTGGAACCAAATTCAGGTAGAAAGCAGCAATGGAGACAGGAGTAATGTGTGAGGCCTAAAAATGGAAAGACAACTTTCTATCCTCAGTCGGAGTAGGCCCAGATATGAAACGACAAGGTTCATTATATTCAGGGGCAATTTTTCCCTAGTTGCACTTTTTTCTTCCCAATATGTATGAGTTTTCATGGGACATCCACTTCTTGGGCTGCTTGGAGACAAGGGAAGGAGGCTTTCTCCATTCAAGGGTTGCAGATTCAGAGATTCAAGGAAAAGGCCATTCCATCTGGAAGCTGACTTCCTGACCTGTTTTCAGAACATTTTACAGCAGGTACACCTGCGTCAGCAACAGAGAAAGAGAGGCATCCTTGGACAACAAAGCTACAGATCTAGCAGCATTTGGCTGTCTTTAGAGAAGGACAGACAGCTCTCTCACTTGTGCTAGGTGTGCTAGGAGGTGCTCCCTCGTGCCTCTGCTGATGTGTTTGGGCAAAGAAAAAACAATGGCCAAAGAAGAACAAATTTATTTCTTACCACTGGAAAGGCCTTTAAAAAATTTTTTCTATTAAGAGATAGGGTTTTGCTATGTTGCCCAGGCTGGAGGGCAGTGGCTAGTCACATGCACGATCCCACTACTGATCAGCATGGGAGTTTTGACTTGGTCAATTTCCGATCTGGGCTAGTTTGCCCCTCCTTAGGCAGCTTGGTGGTCCCTCCTTTCTGGAGTTCACCATATTGATGCTGAGCTTAGTATAGACATCCAATCAGCATAGTGGACTGCAGCCCAGAACTCCTGGGTTCAAGCCACCTTCCCGCCTCAGCCTCTTGAGTACCCAGGACTGCAGATGGGTGCCACCATACCCAGCTGGAAAGAGCTTAAAGAACTTCAAAGCTTTGACAGAACTTTTTTTTTTTTGAGACGGAGTCTCACTGTGTTTCCCAAACTGGAGTGCAGTGGTGTGATCTCGGCTCACTGCAACCTCCGCCTCCTGGGTTCAAGCGATTCTCCTGCCTTAGCCTCCTGAGTAGCTGGGATTACAGGCCTGCACCACCACACCTGGCTATTTTTTGTATTTTTAGTAGAGATGGGGTTTCACCATGTTGGCTGGGCTAGTCTTGAACTCCTGACCTCAAACGATCTGCCCACCTCAGCCTCCCAAAGTGCTGGGATTACGGACATGAGCCATCGTGTCCTGTCTTTGACAGAACATTTTGTCCCAGAATGGAAAGGATCCATTTAAATACTGTGTTGTTGTTTTAATTACAAAGATTGAGAAATGGTGAGCGTAAAGCTTAGCGATTTGAACTGAGGCATCTTCTGGGAGCCAGAACAGACTCATTACAATAAACTTTATGAACTTGGCATTTTGTATTGCTTAAAAATAACCAATTACAGAAAATAGAAATGAGATGTCAGGATTTCTATTTTAATTTTAAAGCAAATATAGTCTCTTTCTAGTGATTAATAATCAAACTTACTTCATACTTCAAAGGAACAGCCTAATTTAGGCAGTGTTTTAAAAAATTAATTTTTGAATTGACAAATAATACTTGCATATATTTATGGGATACAACGTGATGTTTTGAAACGTGTCCATTGTGGAATGGCTAAATCAAGCTAATTGATATGTGCTTTACCTCACATACCACTTTTTGTGGTGAGAGAACTTAAAATTTACTGTCTTACTGATTTTCAAGTATATAATATATTGTTATCAATACAATCCCCATGTTGTACAAGAGATCTCTTGAACTTATTCCTCCTACCTAATCTCCTAGTTAAGATTTCATCTTGATTCTTTTTTTTTTTTCAACTTTTATGTTAGATACAGGGGCACATGTGCAGATTTGTTACATGGGAATATTGTGTGGTGTTAAGGTTTGCAGTATGGATCCCGTCACCCAGGTGGTGAGTGTAGTACCCCATAGGTAGTTTTTTAACCCACCTCCCCAACCTTCTAATAGTCCACATACTTATGTCCCTGTGTGCTCGATGTTTACTTTCCACTTGGAAGTGAGAACATGCCGTATTTGGTTTTCTGTTCCTGTGTTAATTTGCTTAGGATTCTGGCCTCCAGCTCCATCCATGTTGCTGCAAACCACATGACTTCATTCTTTTTTTATGGCTGCATAGTATTCTATGTTGTATATGGACCACATTTTCCTGATCCAATCTACCATTGCTGGGCACATGGGTTGATTCCCTGTCTTTGCTATTGTGAATAGCACAGTGAATAGCACACTTGAGTGCATGTGTCTTTTGGTAGAGTTACATCTGCAAAGACCCTTATTCCAAATAAAGTCACATTCCGAGGTTCCAGGTAGACATCTTTTGGGAGACACTATTTCGACCCACTACATATGCACTGATATAAAGGCTCAAAACTAAAAACAGCCACCTTTCTGTAAAAGAAGAGTTTGTAATCACAACTTCTGGCTTGCTTGCTCTTAATCTCCCTCCAGCCAGGCCCTGAGGACAGTCACTAAGTTTCCCTGAAGTGACTGTCTCCACAGAAAACTTAAGACCAGCATTTATTATACTCACCCTCCTAACAATAGAACGAAGAGAACGAGAGTACATTGAAAAGGAAATAAGTTGGTACAATAATAACATTTCTAGGCCATTTTTTTCAATGTTCAGAGGTTTCTCAAGATTGTGAGGGGAGAAAGGGAGAATAGGATACTGGTGGATTGCTTTTCCTTTAAGCAACTGTGCACCTAACTGATTCTCTCATCTCATACTTTTGTATTTTACAAGAGATAATCTCCTTGCAAATAAGGTGACACTTGAGCAGACTGCAGTGGGATGTCCCGGGGGCATTCCGAGCCTTGCCGAGCTGAAGGAAGATGTGGGTGATTTCCCATGGAGGTCTCAGCGAGGGCAGGTTTCCCAGGCCTTGTCTGACTGTGGTCTTGTGAATTAGGGCGACAGTGATAACAAATCCTGGCAAGGGATGCTTGGTTCATCACAGACCAGCTCTGCCACTGACCTGAGATCCTGGGATGTGGGGAAGGGTTCCCAAACTTGGTTGATCATCAGAATTATCTGGAGGCTTTTATATTTTGTTGTAAGATTCAACTTCCCAGCTCCTAACCCAGATCTACCCAATCAAAGCCTCTTTGTGGACTGAAGCCTGAGCTTTGGGGTTAGACTTGGGTCCAGATCTTAGCTCCTTCCCCAAGTCTCCCTTTGAGCTTGGACAAGCCAGGCAGGCTCTCATCTGTGTATCGAAGGGAGCAACATTCACCCAGGTGGCTCGTGAGGATCATAGATCACGTCTGTGCAAGTGGAAGCCATTTGATTGAAAAAATGGTTAATAAATCCGAGCAATTTACTCTTGAGTTGTATGAAGCACCTTGTTTTTATGTAAAGGAGGGGCGTAATAATTGTTTTTTTCAACAGGAGAAGCCAGCTGACCCTTGCTCTTATCTGATGGGAATGTAACTGGCATCAACATTTTCTAACTTTTCATTAAGAAGCATATGTTTTAAGACAATAGCAGGAACGAAAGAACCTATTCTTTCTGTGCCAGCATCCGTCCAGCTTAGAACAAAATGTTATTCATGGCCAGGCTCCACCTTGCTGAGAAAGCCTGGTATTTGTCTTTGTAGGCAATCCTTTTGACATCCTTAGAAGGCCTTGTGGAGACCCCAGAGAGCTGTAATTGCCTTAGGAGGAAGGTGGCATTTGGACTTGATGGGAGGGGGCTAGAATCCTACCCACTTGTCAGTGGAGCTCGCCCAGCCTTGGGTTTGCCCTTCTCAGATTAAACAAAATAATCTACGTAGAGTATTTAGCCCAGCACCTGGCACTTGGAGGCCTGCAAAGAATGTTCGCTGCTGCTGCCATCAGACCCCTCTCTTCTTAGTGCCTGGACTCAGACACCTGGGGGTCTCAACCCGGCTAGATCTGGGGCTAGAAACCCCTGAGGCTCTGCCCTGCCTCCAGCCCCTTCGGGATACTCTGGGAGGGCCTATGGCTAACATATGCTAGGGGCAAAGCAGGAACAGCCTCTGCTCTGAAGGGGAGGTTTCCTAAGCCAACTTTTTTCTTTTTATCTGATGGGAAGGGCTGAGTTAAGAGTGAGCAGCAGGGGACAGCACAAATAAATACAGAAAAACCTCTCCAGGAGCTGTGATTGTGCTCAGCACAATAGCAGGCCCTGGAGAGCAAGTTTTATCCAGTGGAGATTGGAAAGTAAAATAAATGTGGTCCTATTACCCCCTCTTCTGCAGACCCGACTCGCTACAGCCTATCCCTGAGCTCTGCCAGAGTAGAAGGGAAGTGTTTGTTCAGAGTCCTGGTCTCCTGTGGGGAAGAAGGTGCGGAAGTGAGTTCTTAGGGCTGGGGTCGAGATTCCCTGAAGTTTTGGGTGCTATTCTCCCAACCACCCTGGCTTTCTCAAACGCTGACAGCTCCAAGTCCCCGCCCTTCCCAGTGCTTTCCGGCCCACAGTGGGCCACCTCCAGCAGGGTGGGCCTGACAGACACACCCTGGCAATGACCTGTGGGGAAGAGTAGCCTTCTTCCAGCAACGGGCAAGAGGGGCTGGGGAGGATTGGTGGCTTTCTCCCTCAATACTCTCAGGACCAGCAGCTCAACTTTTACAGCCTTTGGTTGCTTTGAAGTGAGTCATACCATTGAAAAGATCTTTCTGGAACAAACACCATCTTTCATGAGAATGAGTCTCAGCTCTTCCACAGGGAGTGTTTCTAAGCACCGCCGGAGTAGGCTAGGACAATCCTCCCAACCCAGGAAAACCCTCTGGAGCAGCTGAGTCCCAACCTGGCACCTCTGAACGCTTCCAGTTTGAGGAGTCTGCCATGCTGGGTGGCCACAGTGCTTTGGGGGCACCTGTGCCCCTCTCGGCATGACACTTGCCCATAGGCAGTGTTTAGGACTGCCTCAGCCTCCCGAGTAGCTGGGACTACAGTCGCCCATCACCACACCTGGCTAATTTTTTGTATTTTGAGTAGAGTCGGGGTTTCACCATGTTAGCCAGGATGGTAGCGATTTCCTGACCTCGTGATGATCCACCCACCTCAGCCTACTCAGCCCCACTACTCAGAGACAGTCTCTCTGGGTCTGTTTCCTTAACTAAAATGGAAGGAACCTAAGGAAGTATATGAAAGAAACCACAGAAATTGTTTAGTTCGGGGCTGGGCAAACAGTACTTATTACATGGCAGCTACTTCATGAATAAAATCCTTTTTTTTTTTTTTTTTTTTTGAGACGGAGTCTTGCTCTGTCACCAGGCTGGGGTGCAGTGGTGTGATCTCAGCTCACTGCAAGCTCCGCCTCCCGGGTTCACGCAATTCTCCTGCCTGAGTAGCTGGGACTACAGGCGCCCGCCACCACACCTGGCTAATTTTTTGTATTTTGAGTAGAGACAGGTTTTCACCATGTTAGCCAGGATGGTCTCGATCTCCTGACCTTGTGATCCGCCCGCCTCAGCCTCCCAAAGTGCTAGGATTACAGGCATGAGCCACCGCGCCGGGCCTGAATAAAAGCCATTTTAAGTGCTCGTTTAGTATCATGCAGGCTCTTGTCCTGCAGGAATTCTCATAATAACCTTTTGTGGTAGGTATCATTATTATTCCTCTTTTATGGACATGGAAATTGAGGCTTAGAGAAGTTAAACAATTTGTTAGTTATACAGATAGCTATTGGTGGAGCTGAAACTCGAACCCAGGCAGCCTGATGCTATACCCTGCACTCGGCTGCTGAGTAATACTTCTGGTTATTATTACTACTAATTAGCACATCTTCAGGGGATCTCTATCTTAGACTATGCTTGGGTGGAGAGAGTGCTGTTGTTGAAGTATGTAAAAGAGGTCGTGGGATTATTTTAATCCTGGAGTATTTATATAAAGACTAGAAGGAGAATCCATGAGGAAGGCCCTGTGAACACAAACAAAATGACTAGAGGGAGGGGTAAAAAGCCCAGAGTGAAAACTAATTCATTCTCAAATGATTATTTAAAATAATACTAGTCCTTATTCAACCACCTAAGTGCTCACGTGCTATAATTTGGCAACAGTCTTTTGATGGATATTATTATCTTGTCCATTCTGCAGATGAACAAATTGAGGCTGAAGAGAGGCTAAACGGGCTCCAAGACACACAGACAGTGAGTAACCCCCAAACTGTTCATAAATGCGCCTTGGTGGTAGTGTTGGGGCTCATGGCCACACTGAAGGGCGCTGGCCGGTCTCACACTAAGAACCCATTCTGTGCAGTGTGCCCTGGGAGATTCAGAATGTGGGACACAGTCCTTGCCCTAAGAAAGTCACAGGGAATGGGATGTGGAGGATAACAGCATGGGATCTGAAAAGGGCAGACCTGGAGAATTCTAGCTCTGCTGCTCACTGGCTGAGTGATTGGGCATGTTTGATTAGACTCTGAGCTTTGGTTTCCTACCTGTATAGTGGAGCTACAATTGTCTACTTTGAAAGGCTCTCACGAGCAATATAGTTATGCCAAGCTAGGGTGCCTGGCGCTCAGCACAGAGATCTCACTACAGTTCAACTGAAGAGCAGAAACCCACGCAGCTAGCAGTTCGAGGCAACACTTGCTAAGTACCGACCTTGAGGTTCAACTAGAGGCATGCAAAGAATTACATGCAGATTGGGCTGGGCCCATTAAGACAGGCTCATAGAGAGGGTGTGAACTTGGACTTGTCTTTAATTTGGAACAAATGGAGCCCATGGGAAATTCACATGGGTAACTCCAAAGAGCTGATGGGTAGCTGTTTTTAAAGAGTCAACATTGATCATTACTTCCTTTCCCTGGGGCCAGGTCCTCTCTGCTCCACCACCTCCTTGAAGAGTTGAGCATCGTAAAGAAGAAATACCTTTGATAAAGCTGCCTGGGAGGGAGCAAGCATGGTATGTCCTGGGAACTTGCAGTGGTTTGGCAAGATCTGAAGGCAGGGTACTGGGGGAGAGGCAGCTGAGCAGTGGGTGAGGCGAGATCCTTCCACTCCCAGCAAAGGCAGTGTGAGATTCGCTGACTAAAGTCTAGCAACTGAAGTGAGGCACGGGTCAACTTCCATTGGAGAGGTGGCCACCAGAGCCAAATCCCACAGAGAGTTCATAAGGACTGGAGATGACCCCTAGCTATGGTAATTATGGACCACAGCAGGGATGCTTTCCCACGGGTGGAGGCAGAGATGAGCAGAACACAGACCTTGAGCTGAGGTCTCCCGGCCTGTTTTCCATGGTGGTGAACTAAAGATGCCAACTGTCTTGAAAACAACCTGCATCCCGCTTCCAGGGGAGGGTCATGTGAATGCCAGTGTGACTGGGTCTTGGGTAGTCTCAGCAGACACAGAGCAGAAGGAAGGCTATCGTTGGAGTGGGCCATCTTGGACATAGATCCTTGTACTTTCTGGCAAGCCTAAAATCTTGGCAGTGATGATAACAAGGAAGTTAACATCTACAATTTCTTCATGTAAAGTTTGATCATGCAGGGGATGCCCAAAATTGGAAGGATGCTTTTCTCCTACTGCATTCTAGCTTCTTACTAAAAAGTGGCCCACACTCATAGTGGCTCAGAAGCTTCAAACCTCCTCAAATCCCCAGCTTTGTCGAAATGATGGGACTATCCCTGCTGTGTCACAAACCAAATCAAACACCTATGACACAGCACAGTGTAATGGCTCTACTAAACATTTCTTTCCTTTGGACAGCTTGGTCAATATGGTCTGGGTTATTGGACACACAGTCCTGGAATATCCTGCTGTTATTTGCTGCATTTTTCCACCTGCATGATAAAAATGTATTCCCACAGCCTTGGGTTCATTCTGATTTTGTTTTGATTATTGGAAGTTGCGTTGGTGCTTTTTAAAATGAGATAGACCTTCAAAGGGAGCCAGGGAACGAGAAATGAAACACAGGTATGGAGGCATCTACGAATAAAGCACACAACTTTATTCACGAAGTTGTGAGTATGACAGTGATGCAGAGTATATGACAAAGGAGTGCAGTGAGTGCTGCTGGCAACAGGAGCGGGGAGCAGGTAGGGATCACAGGCACAGCAGCGCGGAGCCGGCAGGGCCACCTCCTCCTCTACACACAAGCATGTGGCACTTAGCGCGCCAACACACACCTGCTCAGTTTCACAGGGAACACGACACAGCTTTTCAAAAGGAATTCTTCTAAACATTTGCTTTCATATTTCCAAAAGGGGAGGGAGGGCAGGAAGAACCACACACCTTCCAACATTTGAAAAAATTCCATAAACCCAACTTAAAATCAAAGAACTCAGAGAGCTTCAATGCGGAGTCATCAGCAACTCGCAGGAACCACACACATGATTGGACAAGTCTGTACATAAAACCCCAAAAGAACATCAGTTTTGTGGACAATGGTTTCCTCTGCTGTAAAGAAACGTATGCATATATGATCAGTAAGCAGCTCACATCTTTCTGAATGTCAAGGTCTACAGGATTGTCTCTGTCCACCTTTGGTCAATGGGTTCAGGAAGTGACTCATGGGAACTGCACTCTTAGGAGAAACACTTTTGGGAATAATTTTATTGAATAACAACCACCACTCAATTACACTAAGCTTCAGAAATTGTTGGATTTGTTTAATTTTGCTGTGTACCTATACATTGTTTAGAAAGTTTCTTTTGGCTTAAACTGACCATTTCCCCCCTTCTTTTTGAGTTTTCCATGATTAAACTTGCCCAAATAAAAACATAACAATCCATATGCAAAGCATATCTGCCACCACCTCCCACTGCTTCCTGGGCCGCAAACAGAAAAATAAACAGTGATTAAAAAAAAATGCCAAAGTGAAGGTTTCTCTTTCTTCTATCACAACATAGTTGGGTAGTTCCCTTAAAGTACATCATTGCTATAAGTTGGTATCACTGCAAATCTCAAGTCCCAAATAATCTCTTTTTCTGGATAGAAAGTTATTCAAAAGGGAGCACAAAAGAGCAAGCTTTGGGGCATACTGACAAACACTTCATTGGTTAGAAGAGAATAATTGTAAAAATCAAATAAAATTGAGGCTGGCATAGGAAGTACAGATTAAATACAGGTTAAATAGCTACCAGAAACACAGAAGAGGTGGTTAATAAAAACTGAGATTGCTTCAGAGGACACAGGAGGGTTGATGAGACAGTCTATTTTCCTTCCACCATCTTCCATGAGAGTCAGGAAAAGGGTTCTGTGAGCACCCAACCTGGAGCGGTCACCTGTCTCTTCCATACACAGGAGGATGCTAAGACCCAGTTAGCTTTAAATGGTTTTTAGAAAGACTTACCTAGTCAAAAGTGGTTAATTTGAACTTTTCAAACTTGCAAAAGCATATACATTTGATATCATCATCTGAGAAGCAATTCTTAGAAAAAAATGTTTGCTTCAATGTCTAAAGAAATCCAGTGAAAGTTTTAGAAACATTGCCAGCTAGACGTCTCCGAGTTAGAGTTGATTGATATACTGGATTGGGATGGAGAGGATGAGAACTGAAAAAGAACTGCTCCAGCCTCTGCCTCAGAAGAGGAAACTCAGCTTGGAGATGACAGAATTGGGTAGCGGAGTAGATGCTAGAGCCCATGACAGATAGAAAACTACCCCCATTTAAAAAAAAACAACAACTCATTAACTCTATCTCTTTGAGGTTTTGGAGAACAGGAAGTTTATGTGAAGTTATTGAACACGTCATATTAAGAACATTTCATAACTAACCCCAAACCAAAATGTAGATGCATAGCTAGCTGTGCAAGTTTCCCAATGCTCTTCCTATCTCCTAATAAGTCACACAGAAAGACTATGTGATAGCCTGGATTTTCTTGAAGAAATTTTAAAAGAACTGATTTTCCTATCATCATTGAGGCCCCTTTTACTTCATGCCATCATTATGCACTTAAGAGTCCCAAGGAAGTCAAATGTTCCCAAATGTAGCCCTTTACATCGGCACCAGGGAAGCCTGCCATATATACAATCCCCTTCCTAGGGTGAACAAGCTCCACCAGTTTGAGTGTGTTAATAACTGGAATTTTCATGTATAGTACAGGGTAGGGTAAAAGCAGACCAATAGCCATCTTGTGTGCTGTGACCAGGATGGACATTTTGAGGACAAGCATGCTGAGCCCAGTTTAACTAAATGTGCAGGCATTCTAGCCCACACATTCAATCTGGCAGTTAGCAGGAACCAGGTTGCCCCACAACCCATCCCTCCAGCTGGAGCCTTTTGCTGGGAAATGGAGTAGGGGGCCCACTCTGCATTATGGTTTCCAATGACCCCTCCCCAGAGCAGAGCACTACTCTGCTTGCAGATAGGAGGCTACTGGTGCTTTCTGGCAATGCATTTCTGCAAGGTGCAGTTTAAATGAACTCATATGGTACTTGATATGGAAAGAAGCTTTTTTTCTTCTCAAGTTGGATGCAGAACTGAGTTTAAAAGATACAAGGAAAGCAGGGTTTCATTAGTGGGAGCTGATTTAGGGTTCAGTTCTTTATCACTGCAATCTTAGGCAGGCCCCTTAACTCCTAGTCTCTATAAAATAAGGAAGGGGGTTGTCCCAGTTTTCAGTCTAATGTCCCCATTCTATGACAGACCCATGTCTTCTTTATGTAGACCAAGGAAGAGGAATTTTAGCAAAACTACCTGATTATGCCCATGTTTCCCAAATACCTTGATTTTTCTTATATTGACATTTCATCTGCACATGTCTGGGTGATAATTCATTAATCAATGTAAAACGTAGGGACCCTTTATTAGCTCCATAATGAAAAAAATCTCTCCACCAGCCAAGTGCTGGGACCCAGGTGGCCACCATTGTTATTGACAGGTAAGGAAGCACTGGAAATGCACCATCCTCTCCATCCCCACACTTTCCAGAGTAAAGCAAGGATGAGGACACCCAGGCATTGTGCCAAGGCTGCCATTGCAGGAGGGCACAGAGAGAGGATGGGATAGAAAAAGCATGGAATAAGCAAGAAGCCACTGAGACACCAAAGGCTAAACTGCAAACTGCAGTGTGGCTTCCAACCAAGCAAGAGCTGGTCTCATCTGCTCATGGCCACCCTGTCAGAGCCATTTGCTAAACATGTTAGTAGATCCAACACACACACACACACACACACACACACACACACACACACACACACACACGAGAGTAGTCCTCATTCAGTGCATAGCAATGGAAGGCTAGGACAATTTAGATTCCTTAGGTAAGAGCACAGGAGGATGCTATAGAACAGTGACTGTTCATTCCATCCCCCAAATGACAGCGGTGAGCCACGTGTCAGAGGCTGCAACACAGACTCAGAAACTATTCTACTTGCTTTTTTACCACTGGTGTCAGAGAGACAGCTTGTAATCCTAATATTTGGTGCCAGCAGGAAGAACTTCAGAGCTTTTGTTCTTAGTGGCATATGAAGGTAAATTCAAATGTTTTCTTCTTCGGCTTTAAAACAGAGCTTAAATTCTTAAGCACAGCCCCAAAGCATGATAATAAAGTGGCTTACCCTCCTGGGTGTGGAGTTACACAAACTCTCCCTCATCTAACTCACGTCGGGAATCATGATGTGGTTTCATATGCACGCACGTGTTGGGGAAACCCTAGGCTCATATTCGAATCTAGTGTTGCAGAGCCTGAGGGACTCTCGTGAGATGCTCTGACCTCCACATCCCACCTCATCCTTCCTCTGTGGTTCCCAGTCTGATCCTTCCATGAGCTACATCAGCGCCAACACCTTTCCATGAAGGAAGTGATGTTGGGGTCGCAGTTTAGCCTCACTCTTGATCTTTGAGTCACACACACTCGGTGACAATGTCTTTAGAAGCTGCAACACAGCAGGACAAACATTCAAGCAGAAATTAAAAAGCACATGCATGCTCACAAAATTACTCTGGGTGAGTGAAACCAACATGTGCACACACACCCATGAATTCGACAGAGCTGGGCAAGAAGAAAGCTGAAAAGGCCAAATTAAATACGTTCGAAGGAGTCTACTTTGGAGTTGCAGAGATTTAAAAGAGAAAAACATGTCTTTCCTTAGCCTATTATTGAAAGAAACCTTAAAAACCAACAACAGCATGGGCTTGATCTGATTCATAGGATGCCAGAGAGACAGCAGAGGATAACGACTGGAAGAACTAGAGTCAGTAGGACATGGGACTTGTTTTTGTTTTTTGCTTTTTGGTTTTTTTTGGCCATGAATGATATGGCCCCTATGCAAAATCACCTAATGGCATGCCACTGGGCCAATCTGGGGGCAATTTGTGTTTTTCCTTTCTTTGCAAAGGTGGAGCTCCAGACAGCTCCTGTCCTAGGCGGGGAGCAGGAACCAGACCTGCTATGGGAAGCAGAAAGAGTTAAGGGAAGGTTTCCTTTCATTCCTGTTCCTTCTCTTTTGCTTTTGAACAGTTTTTAAATATACTAATAGCTAAGTCATTTGCCAGCCAGGTCCCGGTGAACAGTAGAGAACAAGGAGCTTGCTAAGAATTAATTTTGCTGTTTTTCACCCCATTCAAACAGAGCTGCCCTGTTCCCTGATGGAGTTCCATTCCTGCCAGGGCACGGCTGAGTAACACGAAGCCATTCAAGAAAGGCGGGTGTGAAATCACTGCCACCCCATGGACAGACCCCTCACTCTTCCTTCTTAGCCGCAGCGCTACTTAATAAATATATTTATACTTTGAAATTATGATAACCGATTTTTCCCATGCGGCATCCTAAGGGCACTTGCCAGCTCTTATCCGGACAGTCAGCACTGTTGTTGGACAACAGATAAAGGAAAAGAAAAAGAAGAAAACAACGCAGCTCCTGTTGTATACATAAGGTAATGTGAAAAGCT
This sequence comes from Homo sapiens, assembly GCF_000001405.40. Classification (NCBI taxonomy): domain Eukaryota; kingdom Metazoa; phylum Chordata; class Mammalia; order Primates; family Hominidae; genus Homo; species Homo sapiens. The sequence continues at coordinate 114,436,019 of NC_000010.11, forward strand.
CACATGTGGACACTACTCTGTGTTTCGGAACATAGAAATTTCTACGCCATGCTTCTTGGCAAGTGTTACTGTTGGCTGGCCCGACATTTGACTCATGGTGTTTTAACCAGACTTTCTCTTTTTGGTGTTGCTGAGCGACGGTAGTTTGCAAATTCTCCAATCAAGTTTGGGCCTCAATATGACATCCTATGGGGCACCGCCACTGTCAGTCCTTTCTCTAATTGCCATTCACGAGTGGGACTTAGAAGAGTTTTGCTTTTTTCTTCATGTCGTTGCGTCTCCAAAGAGGTAACCTGTCAAACTCCTGTATGGACATTCCAAAGATTTCCCGAAACACTTCAGGGGCTAAGTGGCGCTGGGAAGAAGAAAAAAAAAAAAGAGCTGCTGTCAGTCCTGATGGCCACACAAATGGCCTTGAGCGTTGCTCTATAGTTTATACAGAGTCATTCTGAAGAACAAGGCAGGAGGACGGGAGAGGAGCCCATCTTTAATGCTTGTGACATCAGTATCCCTTACCTGGTTGGGCCAGGTGAGGAGCCCTTCCCATCAGATAAAAGAGCTGGCAGAGTATTAATGGGGATTATAATAATAACACTGACTGGTGATGGGACACAGAGAGGTGATTTATTACATTGGAGACAACTCCATCCCAGGTCCTTGGAACGTTGAGAAGATGCAGGGAAAATGGACTATCGCAATAGAAAGCCAAAGAAAATGACCTCCAGCGTGGTCCCTGGGGAGCCCCAGGGCTTCCTCCTGGCTGAGGAATAGGGGGTAAGGTGGATGTCTGTTCTACTGAGAAGACTTCCCATCAGTCATTCCCCCCTAGAAAAGTTCCCCCAAGATCCTGCAGCCTTTATTCTCTGTACCTCTACGCCAAGGTACTGCCTTTTGTCAGGAAAAAGTAAGCATTCTTTCGGAGACTGGCAGCCAGGGTTTTTCTTAATTAAAATCATTGGGATGGAAAACTATAATACAAAAATTAGTCTTCCATGTCTAAGGAGATCTTGGGTACATGTACCCAGATAACCCTTCAACAAGGAATGTGGAAACAGCCAAGAAAGAAACTTGTCCAGTATAAATCAGTATAAATGTCTCTCCTGAGAGCCTTTGCCGCTCCCACAGCCTCCCATGAACTCAACCCCAGCTCAGGGGAAGATAAGGATCTGAGACTATCTCAAGAGAAATAGCGACTCCCATTCTGAATTACCAGCCATAATTATGGCAACATCAAGTTTCAAAGAAAATGACTGAAATCATTCTGTGTCTCCTGGGTCATTCTTTTTTTCTTTTTCTTTCTTTCTTTTTTTTTTTTTTTTAGACGGAGTCAGGCTCTGTTGCCCAAGCTGGAGTACAGTGGTGTGATCTTGGCTCATTGCAACCTCCACCTCCTGGATTCAAGCGATTCTCCTGCCTCAGCCTCCCAAGTAGCTGGGACTACAGGCACCTGCCACCATGCCCCGTGAATTTTTGTATTTTTAGTAGAGACAGGGTTTCACCGTGTTGGCCAGGCTGGTCTTGAACTCCTGACCTCAAGTGATCTGCCTACCTCGGCCTCCTAAAGTGTTGGGATTATGGGCGTGAGCCACCATGCCCACCTCCTGGGTCATTCTTCTGGATATTACCAGGCATTTTTATGCTGATCTAAGTGAAAACCTGGATATTTTTTTTCTCCAAAGTTATTTCTTAGTTCTACCTATGACATGAGGGTGATCTTTATAATTTTTTTTTGTTTTCACTGAAGAAATAAAACATTGCTTAGGGGAGAGTTGGGGGAGTGCATAGGGATCTGCAGTTGGGACTGGATTTTTCGGTTTTGTTTTACCTCCAGCCTGGTTCTGTCCACCTCTCTGAGGATTTTGTTTCGCCCTCTGTTGGTCACCATGAGCATTTCATATGGAAATATCTGAGAAGAAAGAAAACACCTCTTCTAGAACACCACAGTCCATTTTATTAACAAGCAGAATCCACCTAAACGCTAGTACTCCCAAGATAGAGCTTCCAAGAGACTGTCATGACAGAATTCGAGTGATGGGTCTTCCTTCTGCAAGGCCAGTGGAAGCTCCAGTTTCCAGGGGACAGGGACAGAATCTTAGACATTCTCAACTTTCCACCAGTGTCTCAGGTAGCACTGAGCCTTAGGGGGGCTTTGTTGAGTGGCAGAACACTAACTTACTATGTATTGGGATGAAGGTAAACATTAGAAGATAATGGAAATTACAGGCACGTGTTTTTTGTTTTTGTTTTTCTTTTTTTGTTTGTAGACAGGGCTTGCTCTGTTGCCCAGGCTGGATGCAGTGGTGTGATCACAGCTCACTGTAGCCTCAACCTATCAGGCCCAGGTGACCCTCCTATCTTACCCTCCCGAGTAGCTGGGACTATAGGCACATGTCGTCATGCCAAGCAATTTTTTTTAAGTTTTAGTAGAGATGGGATTTTGCCATGTTGCTCAGGCTGGTCTTAAATTCCTGAACTCAAGCCATCTACCCGCCTTGGCCTTCCAAAGTGCTTGGATTACAGGCGTAAGCCACTGTGCCCAGCCAATGTGTTACCTTTTATAGGATGCTGTTATAGGGCAGGGTGCATTTGTGCTGGGGTTAACAATCTTGTCCCATGACTAGCTCATGAATCTATGGGGCCAGGCAGGCCCAGAAGCAGTGCTCTGGCAACTGCCATATTGAAATAAGCCCTGGTTATGGTCACCAGGGAGCATGAGCCCTTGGACAACTCTGAAGGTACAGGGTGCTCTGGAGCTAGGGTGGCCAGTCACCCCAGTGTACCCAGGACTGAGGTTCTTGAAATGCAGGGCTTTCAATGGTGAAACAGGGTTGCCTCACCTACATGGTGAGTCTGCAGCCACTCCACTCAGCACCGGATATGCTCTGTAATGCACATGGCAGAGGCCAAGGGAATACCTTGGTCATAGGCAGAGAGGGACTGGCACCTCACTGTAAACACACAGCATCATGCCCAGTAAGGGTTTAACCTGCTGACCTGATGTGGGCAAAACAGCAGAATGGCAAGGTGCATATTCATGACATGGCTCACCTGAACACACCAGCCTACAACACTTTGAGAATGATGAAAAGATAGAACATCAAATCTGTTTAGGGTTACGCCATTCCCATATGAGAGGAAAAAGAACAGCTGCACTTGCCTTTGGTTCCAACATGTTGGGCATAGACACTCCTCGGTCCATTCTCATTGCAGGCATGTGGCCATCTGGGAGTGTCTGCAACAGAAATGCCAGTTCCAGGTGAGGCATGAAATAGTCTAGGAAACTGAAGGGAGTACTCTTGGGCTCCCAATTCCCTGTTGGGTCTCCAATCCTAACCACTATTTTATTTGTGTCATCTAAATGACCATGTATTTTTCAAAATGAGATCCTTGCTGTATAGGAACAGGAATACAGCTCTTTTGCAATCAAGTTGGGGAGAGATCTTGGCTTGATGGTTATGGACAAATTCCTGAATTAGGCTCCATGAATGAAAGCATATAGTACATTTAAAAGATGCCCAAGTCTATTATTGTTAGTTTCTTATCTTTAATCATGATTTTCTATGCATTTTTCTTCTTTTCTTATTCTCCATCACATTTCTTTCTTTCTTTTTTTAACAAGATTGAGGTTCTAGTGAGAAAGGAATGTCATGAGGGCAAACTGCTCTCTCCTATTGGCTAAGACATCAGTGTCTTTTCATTTGAGAACGCGCAGGAAAAGGGTGGCCTAAAGTACTGAGAGATTATAATTAAAAGAAGAAAAACTGTATATGAGCAGACCCTTGATGCTGGTCCACTTCCACCCCAGAGAGGACTCTCCAAGGCCAAAGCAAGAGAGACCCCCTACACCTGGCCTGGTTCATGCAGTGTCCCCAAGGCCTGCAGGGACAGCTTGACCCAGGCACCAGGCATGTCTGCTCTTCACGGCTATAGAGTAATGACTAGAGAGATCAACCACAACAAGCATCTTCTCAACAGAAACTGTTGCCTTGGAGCCAGCAGTCTGGGTTGGAACATGGCTGTTCTATCGGTGTGGCCAATTCAAGAAAGACAAAGTGTTCCATACCTGGTAATCTGAAAAGGAAAGGAAAAGAAAATATCATAAGGGAAAGACCATGGAAAAGCAAGGAACCATTCACAGACTATATTATATTGAAATTCCCAACATATTCGCCCTATAAACCATGTTCTTTTTCTGCTCCCAGACTCTGCACATGTTATCCCATCAGCCTCCCTGAAGCCAAGAAATGCCTGGTCCAGTGTTAGTTAACAGTTAAAACATTTTCCCCTGGAAGCTTTCGCTGACAACCTAAAGGTACTTACTGCTTCCTTCTCTGCATCTCTGATCCCAATGTTCATCACACAGACCTTCTTTCTGCCATATGCATTTTGAGGGCAGGGGCCATGTCTCACTTATTGTTGTACCTCCAGTTACTTTTTTTTTTTTTAAGAGACAGTCTTGCTCCGTCACCCAGGCTGGAGTGCAGTGGCATGAACATAGCTCACTGCAGCCTTGAACTCCTGGGCTTAAGCAATTCTCCTGCCTCAGCCTCCCAAGTAGCTGGGACTACAGGCATGTGCCACCAGCTAATTATTATAATTTGTTGTTGTTGTTTTTGTTGTTGTTGGTAGAGACAGGCCCACTTTGTTGCCCAACCTAGTCTAGAACTCCTGGCTTCAAGTAATCCTTCCGCCTCAGCCTCCCAAAGTGTTGGGATTGCAGGCATGAGCCACCATGCCTGGCCTCTAGGTATCTGATAGAGTGCTCAGCACATAGTATGAGCAATGAATAAATTCTCACAAACTCACTTCTTACAGTTTGATTTCATTAGATATTCTTTGAAATTTTGTAAATAATTGCCCTATTAGCTCACAGAAGACAGATGTGATCCTACTCTAAGGATACAATACAGCATGAACACAGCCAGTATACTTGACTCTCATGAACCTCAGCCTCGAGGGAAGACGTGGCCATGCTCAGCCTGGCCATGGGAGCCTCACCTCGCACTCCCCCGCTGACATCCCCATAGCTGTTATACTGAGCGAAGTCGGTAGAAACAGGCTGAAATGAGGAAAAACAATTATTAGGAAATCTCCATAGTGATCGTTTTGGAGTCAGGTGAAAAGGAAGAAAGAGTTTACAAAATCCTAGGAATTCTTCCCAAGCTAAATGTCAGACCTTCATTTTTTTTTTCCCTATGATTCTTCTACTGCTATGCCATCTCTTTGTCTTTTTTAGTGTACTAATGCCACCACTCAGCAGGCTCTTGGTAAGCAGGGATCTCTTGCTGATAAATAAAAATGCATTGTCCTACATAGTTACATAATTGTATTTGTTCCATCTTTTGTGAGGAGGATGGTTATAACACACATTCTTATATCTTTTTACAGCAAAGATAATGGTTCAAGTAATTACTTTTTGTTTCATTGTAAAAAATATTTGCCATACAGTTTTGCAATTTAGTTTTCCCATAATCATACACAAGCCATTCTTTTATCTAAAGTTAATTTCTTCTTCTCTCAATAGAAACATTTTATTTTGCCTGTAACTCAAATTAATTTACTAGGCAACCAGGGAGGTTAAAATTTTCATTATGTTCCAACACTGAGATCAAGAGTCAGACGTATTCAGGCAATGTGTCAATACTTCAACCAGGGCCGAGGTGGGAGTAAAGGCAGAAACAATGAATCGGGGAGAAATCTTACCCGGTGAAGCCCATTTCTTCCATAGCCAGGGAGAGATGCAGTTTTAGATGATGGAATATGTGAAGCTGAGTAAGAAAAAAGTAAAAAACCAATTGTTAGGAAATCAGAAGGTCCAATCCTTTAATGAAATTGGCAGTATCTTCTACCTCACAGGATAGAAATACCAAAAAAATTCAAATCATATTGGGCTCAAATGTTCAAAAATATGCCATCATATTTGCAAGGAGTGGGTGGACAGTGATATGACTGAGGAGGGAAGGGAAAGTCAAGTCCACGCGGTTGAGTGGGGGCTGAAGCTGGCTGTGCTTCCTATAGCTCTGGCATGGAGCTAAGTGTTCAGCATGCTTTATTTCTTTGAATCTTCAATATAACCCTAATAACACTATGATTATTAGTTCCATATTACAGAAGGAGAAATAGGGGCTAAGAAAAATATCCTGCCAACAGTTACTAAGCTTCTAAACAGCTGAGCAAGGATGTAAATCAGGGATATCTGAATACATTAGCCCATGCCCCAGTTGATAAGGCAGCAGTAACTGAACTGGAAGCCAACCCTGTATGTTATCAAGATCTACCAGCCATCTACAGCTGGCCTCCTGGGAGGCCTGATACAGGGTATCTGTCAATGATATGGAAGCCTGATAAGCTGCTGGGCTTGAGAGGGAGCAGCCCTGGGCTTGAATTCTGGTTCTGCAACTTAATACCTCTGTATCTCCGGACATGGTGTTTAATCTTTCTGAAGTCCTCATTTCTTCATCTATGCAGGTACAATGTTATACATTCTTATAGAGCAGAATCTCAGAATTCCAAGGAACTCTAAAGATTTGTAAACCACCGAATCCAAGATCAATGCCAGTGAGGCATCTATGAAGGGTAGCGGGAATTCCAGGTAAGGGTGTGGGCTCCGGGGTTATAATATGTGGACTTCTAAATCCTAGTCTTGCTAGTTATTGGCGTATCACGCTGGGTATGTTAACTCAATTTCTATACCAGCCTCCTGATTTCTAAAATAGAGATGAAAATGCTGCAGTTGCTAATAACAACCACATCTACTTCACTGGCATGTTGTGAACATTAAATAAAATGTTTAGCAAAAATGCTTGCATGGAGTGAACATTAAATGCATTTTTTTTTTTTGAGACAGAGTCTCACTCTCACCCAGGCTGGAGTGCAGTGGCGCAATCTTGGCTCAATGTAAGCTCAGCTTTCTGGGTTCACGCCATTCTCCTGCCTCAGCCTCCCGAGTAGCCGGGACTGCAGGAGCCCGCCACCACACCTGGCTGATTTTTGTATTTTTTAGTAGAGACGGGGTTTCACTGTGTTAGCCAGGATGGTCTCGATCTCCTGACCTTGTGATCTGCCCGCCTTGGTCTCCCCACTAAATGCATTTTTAAAGGAACTCTTAGAGGAGAAAATTATGCTCTAGCTCAGAATATGAGAGAAGAAATCTTGTGGTTTAAGAGAGAATTGGCTTATGACAAATAGATACAGGGGAAAATACACTGATAGGCTATTTCAGCCCAGTGTATAAGTCATCTTCTTCAAAAGTATCAAAAACACTGTTCATCCTCAGTTCTTGTATTGAAGATTTTTTTTCTTTTTTTTTTTGAGATGGAGTTTCACTCTTGTCGCCCAGGCTGGAGTGCAATGGTGTGATCTCAGCTCACTGCAACCTCCACCTCCCAGGTTCAAGTGATTCTCCTGCCTCAGCCTCCCGAGTAGCTGGGATTACAGGAGCCCACCACCACGCCTGGCTAATGTCTGTATTTTTAGTATAGATGGGGTTTCGCCACGTTGACCAGGCTGGTCTCAAACTCCTGACCTCAGGTGATCCGCCTGCCTTGGCCTCCCAAAGTGCTGGGATTACAGGCATGAGCCACCGCACCCGGCCTCTATTGAAGATATTAATGTAAAATCATAATGCTTAGAAAATGTCTTATTCATGTTATCTAAAAAAAAAAAAAAAAAAAAAGAAGAAGAAGAAAAGCATCATGTTTTTTAGAGGATTTCCTTTTGCTGCTTCCCTTGGAGATGAGTGTTCTAGAAGACAAACCTAGTATATGGGGATTGGCCTTCATGGATTTTGAGAACCTCCAAGGGTTCACCCATTTCCAGAAGAAAGGAAACACACATTTATGGAAGACCCATGACATGCTTATGAGCTCATTTGACATGGAGTGGGTTTCCCACACTTCCTTTCCCGTGGAATACTCTGTAGGTTCCACCACAAGTGAACAGTCAAGGCAGGTGCCTTACAAGCAGGTGGCTGGCTCTCGAATCAGGGAAGGTTGGGGGTTTGCTGCTTACCTGAGTTGATGGGAGAATCGTAGCGACTGGCTAACAGAGATGACCTTTCCCGGCTCTCTTTCTCCATCTCTTCTTTCAAGATCAACTGTCCCAGGCCTGAGTTAAGCTATTCACAGAAAAAAGGAAAAAAAAAAAAAAAAGAAAGCAAAGCTTGCAATTACTTTCATGGAGCTGCAGTTTCTTTGTAGCAGATCCCACAAGAAGTTTCTCTTGCTGGAGGGCCTGAATGCATGTGGCCCCAGAGCCTGGTAGTTCCTGAAGAGGTAGGTCAAGTTTGGGACCCTAAACCCTCTTAGCCCTTTCAGTTTCAAAGCTCCATTTCCCTAAGTCAGGCTCTGTGTTAGAAGAACGTTTTCCTTCCTCTGCTTTCCCTAAAGAGCCAGGAGACCTCAGAAGGCATGTGTGAGTGTGTGTGGATTTTTGATGTGGGAAGGGAAGACTGGGGCTGGTATCCTTTAAAAAGAAATTGCCTTGATTTGTTTAAAAACAAGAAATAAAGGTAATACATGCTAATTTTACAGATTTTGGAAAATCTAGAAGAAAAGAAGAGTAACCCATAATATGTCACTCAGAAATAACACTATCTTTTGATTTATATCTATCTAGTATTTTTGTATACACACATATAAAACTGAGATCATACTATAAATGCAACTTTGTATCCTTTGACTAATATCACGTGCATTTCCTATATGCTTAGAAAACATCATTTGAAAGGATTCAGCAGCCTCTTGACTGATAACAGACTGTCCTTCTGGGCTGCTGCAGGCCCTTGCTACAGGAAGGAGGGTATGAAGAGGACCCCTTCATGGTGGCCATTCCTTTCATTCCTTTTCTCCTGGCCCACATCCTGGGAAAAGACTTGGAGAAATGTTCAATCCCACAGTCATTCCTTCAGCAGAACTGCATGAGGGAAGGAAGGTGTGGCACTACCTGGGTGGATACCACCTTGCTCTGCCTGGCCCTCCAGCAGCCTTTCAACACATGCACTGCACACATGCCCCCATGTGGTCTCTCTTTCCTTCCCACAACAACCCAAACCTTCCACACCCCTCTGACCTCCAGCACCAATGCCATCTCCTCTAGAGCCCAGCAGGTATTCTGCCATATTCTAGTTACTATTAACAGACACCTGTCTTGCCTTGCCTGCCAGATTTCAAGCCCCTTGAAGACTGGGACCACCTCTTGCCTATCTAGATGGTTTATACATAGTAGTCATTCAAAAAATATAGATCTTATGTAACTAGCATTGAAGACAGCAGCAAGGTAGTTTAAGGACAAACCTTCATTAATTGCTCTTCTTGAAGCTGCCGACGTCTCAGAAGTTCCTCATCATCTTCCTCTCTGCCACTAGATCTGCGTTTCATGTCAGGTCCTAATTCCACAGCAAAGACAACTTCTCACATCAGCCCCAAGACAAGGGAATCTTAACGGGCTAGTCCATCTGTGTTCAGTTTGTTAGGCTGGCAAGGTCAGCAACGGTCTTTAACACTTTTAAGTAAACAATACAAGAGAAAACAAAAATGCCTGCCACCAACTCAGCACTACTGGCTGGTTTCTCAAGAAAATGGCCCTGTGTGACAAGCCAGGTCAACGTGCAATGCAAGGAAGGCCTGAATTTAGGCCTCCCTGCTCCATTAGAACTGGGTTTGCAACTTAGTCTAAGTTCACTGGTCAGAGATCACTTTAGTAAATGGAAGGGCATCTCCAGTTGTTATTTTGATGTCTTTGAAGTGAATTTCCTTTTTCCTTTCTTTTTTGAGACAAGGTTTCACTCTGTTGCCCAGGCTGGAGTACAGTGATGCAATCATGGCTCAGTGCAGCCTCGACCTCCAGGCTCAAGCAATCCTCCCACCTCACCCACCTGGGTAGCTGCGACCACAGGTGTATGCCACCATACCCTACTGATTTTTAAATATTTTTTATAGAGACATGGTCTCACTATATTGCCCAGGCTGATCTCAAACTCCAGGGCTCAACTAATCCTCCTGCCTTGGCCTCCAAAAATGCTGGGATTACAGGCGTGAGCCACCACGCCCAGCCTCAATTTTCAAATAGAAAGAAATGCAAATTTATCTACATACCAACAGATAGGTAAGATAGTCATTGTTTTGTGACATGCGTTTAAACCTTGTAGTTTTCTCTTTTTCTGAATATTTAGAATTTCATAATACTATCACTCTGTCTTCTACTCTTAGTAAATTCAATAAAAAGCATACTTTTACTATTTCTTTCGAGAAATGGGTCTCTAAGGTTTTCTTTTTCTCATCCTTTGAAAAATGGTCACAAAAGAGTTTTATACTAATAGGTAAATCAAAAGCATTAATACAGGTACAATTTTACTTTGGAACAATATAGTAAATTGTGTTCAATTTTTTAGCTTTCTGGAAAGGGGAGACAGGGAAAGGAAAGGAGGAATCTGTCTGAATGGTTGAGAGGTTAAGATAATTATTGTTTTCCTAAATTGCTTGGATTAATCTGGCTGTGGGAGGAAACAGGAAAGTTTGCTAATCTAATCAAAATAAACTTTAACTAATAGTCTTAGTTTTCAGCATTTTGATTAATGGACCTGAAATTTTTCCTCCTTTTGGAATCTAAAAGAGCTTTAAACTACTTAGTGATAATAAATTCAACAACAAAAACTTAATTCTCCCTCTTTCCAAAATGTAGCTGCTTTAATGTCCCAGTAAGCAATTTACTAAACTAGCAACCTCAAGGCCTCAAGAACTTCCTGAAGGGCATGGATTGGCATAGAAAAGCTGATGGTTGGTTCTTAGTTCTTACAATTATAAATGTCAGTGTGAAGTTTCTCTCTTTAGTTTACACTAATGAAAATCAATAGGCACAAGTTTGCAAGGACTAGATAAATTTCATTAATATAATGTACACAACACTTGTGAATAATGAACTTAGGAGGTAGATTTTTCCTTAAACTCTTTCTATAAGTATCAATTGATTTAAAATCCACTTGTATTGCTTGTGAAAGATATTCCAAAAATAACTTATTAAAAATAGCACAATGAAGATTAGGACATTTTGGAAAATTGAAGGCCTTTTAGGTTGTTAACAGAAATGTGATAAGATCGTGTCTTTGTAAAGCTGACTCGCTAAATTTTCAGTATTAGCTTCTGGGTTTGCTAATACTTCTTTTTAGGCCGAGTAGGTTCACTACTGATAATATAGTAAAGACACAGACATAATTGGAAAGCATGGAGCAAAGAATGAAACAGCTGAAATATGACATTTTAGCACAGAATTCATGAAAATGGTAGATGTAAAATCACATAACTTCACAGAAGTAATATTTCAGAACACCTACTACTCTGCAATAGCCCTTTTGCATGATGGACAACATGATCTTACAAGAAAAATGAAAGTGCTTCAGTGTTAAGATTGGTTGTTAAGAATTATAACTACAACCCAGAAATAGTCTAAAACAAATTTAACTGAAAGAAGTCATGCTTCTACAAACATTCGGTAAATTCACCCACTAGACTCTAATTATATAGAACAATGTTCTTGCCATAAGGCTTTCACTCAACTATGTTCAACAGAGTTACTGATTCTGCAGTATTAACTCTGAGAGTCCATGCAAACCATTGGTTTTAGACCAGTTCTGGATCCCAGTGGGTTTGGTTAGAACAAGACTCTGGTGGATGTGTTTTTGTAACTTTTAAGCGTTTTGTACAACAAGTTAATACCACGTTAGTTCTTTTCACTATGCTACCTCTTGGTCATACTTTTCTTTAAAATCTTCATAATAGGATACATTTTCTTTCATGTTTTTAAGCATGTCATCTTGAGCTCTCCTAGCAGTTTGTCCCTTTGACTTAGCCGTGACAGTTGCATACCTACGACAGCAAATGAGGGGGGACCAGGCCAGTGGTCCGTCTCAATCTTTGGTGTCTCGCTGGGGTCTGGTGCCTGGGCTGCTGGGAACTTGGAAAACTTGATGATATCTTCTGAGGACTTGCTCTGGGCTGCCAAGGCAGCTGCATCTAGATGGGAATCAGGGGTTGCTTAGCTATTGGTCTGTAAGACAATGGCGGTACAACCCCACTTACATAGTTTTCTTGTTCTCTGGCAAAAGTTTCAGTTCCAGAAAGTTCTGTTTATTACCATTATCCATGGCCCAGTCACTCAGAGGTACCTATTGACAAGTCAACTCATTTTCCTTACTTTACGTCAGAAGCAAAGCTTCATTCTACATGTGTTCTACATCTGAAAAACCCTATTCTAGAGTGCTGCCCAGCACTAGCTAGATGAGGCTATTTAAACAAAAAAAATTAATACAATTAAAATTCTGCTCCTCAGTTTCACTAGCCATATTTCAACTGCTCAGTAGTCACATGTGATTAGTGCCTACTGTCCTGGCCAGTGCAGATATAGAACATTTCCATCCTTATAGAAAGTTCCAGTGGACAACACTCTCCTAGAGTAATTAGTAATCTAAAATTAAAGAGCTAAGTTGAAAGCATGACGCTATCACTTGACTGTAGTTGTTAATCATTAGAGGGTTGGCGGGCTTTGCATCTTTGGGCAAGAAGCCACAAATATGTTGGTCCAGATCATTCTTTTATTATTATTATTATTATTATTATTTGAGACAGAGTCTCACTCTGTCGCCCAGGCTGGAGTGCAGTGGTACAATCTTGGCTCACTGCAACCTCTGTCTCCCAGGTTCAAGGGATTCTCCTGCCTCAGCCTCCCAAGTAGGTGGGATTAAAGGCATGCACCACCATGCCCAGCTGATTTTTGCATTTTTAGTAGAGACAGGGTTTCTCCTGGCCAGGTTGGTCTCGAACTCCTGACCTCAGGTGATTCGCCCACCATGGCCTCCCAAAGTGCTGGGATTACAGGCATGGGCCACCACACCCTGTCTGGTCCACTTCATTCTAATCCTTATATACTAAATACATGTGTCCTTGAGTCCTAGGAGAAATGGAAATTGGAAAATCCACTTTCAGCTTGCAGGAATTTGGCATTGAAACTTATGTTTGCCGTTTCCACTCATTGTTTTGTTCAAAGGTCTGTGCACACAAGTGAGTTATCCAACTTTAAAACAACAAAAGCCAAACTAGCAGCAATATTAGTTCACAAAGTTCTTATTGGCTATGCTTAGAGGAGGAGTCACAGCTTAGAGCCCCAGATCTAACCTACAGAGATGGAGCAAAACAAACCAGGTTAAATGGACAGTCCCTGATTCTGGCTAATTTTGCAAATCGGCCAGGGATGTCACTAAATATTTCAAAATGTATTTATAATGCCTTAAATAACTTTTTTCTTCTGGGCTTACATATTTTAAAATCTGGAAATAACCTTTTGAATCTTCAGCTCTAAGTCCTCCATTTTTCGGGTAACCTTCTGGGTCTCAATTTGCTTAAATAACTCAACCAAGGTCACCCAATACAAAGGGGTAGTCTTTTTTCCCTTCCTTGGAGATAGGGTCTTGCTATGTTGTGCAGGCTGGATTCTAACTCCTGCACTCAAGCAGGTCTCTCATTTCAGCCTCCCAAGTAGCTGAGACTATGGGTGTGGGCCACTGTGCCCAGTTTAGGAGGTAAAGTCTTGGCCAGGCATGAAACAGTGTTCCTCTGAATCTCTAACCTCATGAGAAAACCATTTCAGCTTGGAAAACACTACATAGGAAATCCCCTTCTTAAAGATGGACAAAACATGTTAGCATATAAGAAGTTCTCAGAAGTTCTGCATTATGAAGAACAAATGTGACTTGATTTAAATCTAGCCTTTCTCAAACGCATCAGGGCACAGACACCAGTTTTGGGCATAACAACTATTTCTTTGGCATGGAATGGCTGTTTTGCAAAAACATCCTTTGGAAAGCGCTGCTCTGGCTGGGCTATTTTTAATTAATTATAACAGCCTGAAAGACTTCAGTCAAAGTAAATATTATGAAAAGAAGTCAACTAATTCCTTCCAAACAAATAATCTAACATTATCCAATCTCCTTAAATTTTAATTATTTGATTATTTTTGTTCAGAGAGGAGGACCTAAAGATAGTATTTTTTAAAGCCTGTAAGTTGACAAATCAAATGCTGAGAATTTTATTCTTAAATTAACAACAAAAGGATGACTTCAAACAGTACTTACGCATTAGAATTGGTGAAGTCAGTAGTTAAACATTCACATGTTAATGAGTGTGTGGAAAGACAATAAACCATAAAAAAAAAAAAACAAAAACAATGTTAACAAACTTAAAAAGCAAGCGTATGGTTTAAAACCTCAAAAAAAAAAGATGAGAAAAAAAATCATAGCTCTAGAACCATTACGATACATACATTTCTCTTTGTCTTCCTGATTTTGGTCTAAAATTTTTTTCCTTACGCATTTTCAATGTTATTTGATTTTGATTTTCACATCGTCCTAATTCTTCTTTCTTTCTTTCTTTTTTTTTTTTTTTTTGGCGACAGAGTCTCATTCTGTCGCCCAAGCTGGAGTGCAGTGGTGTGATCTCAGCTCACTGCAATCTCTGCCTCCTGAATTCAAGTGATTCTCCTGCCTCAGCCTCCCATGTGGCTGAGATTACAGGTGTGCGCCACCACGCCCAGCTAACTTTTTTGGTATTTTTAATAGAGGAGACAGGGTTTCGCTACATTGGTTGGGCTGGTCTTGAACTCCTGACCTCAAATGATCCACCTGCCTCGGCCTCCCACAGTGCTGGGATTACAGGTGTGAGCCACTGCACCTGGCCTCATGTTATCCTAATTCTTAAGGACTCATGAATGTCAGCTGAATTCTAAAGGCAGCCTTCAAATTTCCAGGCACAATCTGTGTAGAATTTTCTGAAAACGCCTGAAGACCAGCTTTAGATATCTTTTCACAAAGATTTATGGTCGATATATCTACAGAGACTTAATAATGGTGGAGGAAAATGTGATTTACATAAAGTCATGTGAGTTCCTGAGTTAAAAAAAGGAAAACAGAATTATACATCCACGTTAGTGATTCTTAGTTTGCAGGAAGTTCAGAGACAAACTGATCTAACTAACTGGTTTTTACAGAAGAGAAAACTGAAGCACAGAGAAATGACGTCACAGAGCCATTTAGGGAGAAAGTGGGAGCAGAGCCTTGACCTCTGTGTTAGCCTGTATCCTGTCCACTCCACTGTGCACACATCTTCATGCCCAATAAGAAACTGGAGACCTGGACAGCCAAGTTGATGTAGGCTCAGTCAAATTAGTTTTTCTAGGTGGCTGGTTTTTCACCAGTTTAAATTAGTCTCATCAAAATTATTTTAAAGGGTGACTATATTTGATGGCAAAAAGAAAAAAGACTTGCTAGGATGTTTGTGAGTTGCTGTGTGACCAGTACTTCCCCTTCTCTAGGAACAGAATGATACATGGTTTGATGGGCTCAGCAACAGGTTAGAAGCTTTCTAATCAAGCTAAGTCTCTCCATCCAGGAGAATCAATTTTACAATATTTACATCTTAGTAGACCAGAAAGGCATAATATGCTGGATGCCCCAGTTTTACTCTCAAAAGCAGCAGCAGGAAAAGCCTTTCAGAGGACAGCAAGGAGAAGTTCAGCTGACTTTGCTATTTAAAAGCTACGCGGAGGAAAGCGGGTTTTACCATGCTGTTTGTAGATGGGTGGCTTTCGGTAAATGTTGATTCCTTGATCTGTGGAAATGAAAAGCAAAGGTGTGTGATTATGGGAACCAGTTCAGCGATGGGAAAAACAGATCAACCAAGGGGCAAATCAAACTGAAGATCTTGAACAAAAACAACCCAGAAGGTTAATTTCTGTATTACAAAGATTGAGTTTATTGAAAGAAAAATTATAGAAATGAGTGGCTTACTATAGACAAGTGTTATGGAAGCCTTTGTAATACATCTTAGGATATATAAAGATGTGATTAACTCATGAGCCATTTATTTCAAATACACACTTCATTGAAAGTGGGATTAAAACAGGAAGAAACGCAAGCAGTGGAGGTACTCTTATGGTGAGAAAGACATAACCAGCTTGGGGAAAATGCCCAAATTGCTATTGTCTAGAAATTGAGCCCCCAGTAGATACCAGTGGCTCAATTTACTTTTCAACTAATGAGTGGAACAGTGGAAAGCAATGTAGAAAAATCAAAAGTTTTTTTAAAAAAAACAGAAACTTTTTATGTGCAAGGCTAGCCTGGTGTGCTGATGGGATGTTCAACAAATCCTAATTTATACAGGCCAAATTTTTTAAAAAAAGAATGAATGAAAAAGAAAAGAGATGCTAAACACTATGTATATATTTATACAAGACCCCCTTGGATTATGGAACCATTTTGCTTTAACTATAAATACTCAGGAAATTTCAAAAGGTTTCTGTTTCCCCAGAACCGTGGGCACTGTATCTTGGTGGGGCATTTTTATGTGAAAAATCCCAGATATAGAACATTAATTTTCAAGATTCAATTAAACTTTTTTAGAAAGGACAGTCCCAACTAAGTGATATAAATCTCAGTGAACTTTCCTCTGTTTTATTAGGTAAGTTTAGAAGCAAAAGAAAAAAATGATTATAGATTCTAAATATGTACACTTACATTAATATAGTGGGTAATTTATTAAACTACTTTCAGTAGCTAAACAAAGCAAAAAACAATATACTGCTGGTAGAAATATAGTATTATTACCTCTGATGGCTAATCCTGTCCTTACAAAGTGAGCTGATTCTAAACATTAAGATATTATATTAATGGGCTCTGATTATTTCAGTTTCTGATGTCAAATTACTATTTGCATTATGACAGCAAATGCTTGTGACTACTAGAGCAAAGCTTGCAGCACCAAGCCTAAATTGCAAGATATCTTCACGGGCTATGGAGATGGCTAGTCTGTTATGCGCTGCAGAAAGACCAACCAATTCACCCAATTCTACATCTCTCTGAAAAGTCCTTGGAGAAAGTCTCCACATTAGAGAAAAACAGGAAATATAAAAGTATTCTCTCAGGTGATACTGTGGTTCAGTCTTTAGGATGAGAAGATAACTAGATTGCCATTGCCATAATTAGTCAATGACAGCAAACCACAGAAAGATATCTCAGAAGGCAATGATAAAAAGGTACAATTAAAATTTTAGTAAAAAACAAAACAAAACAACCCAACTGCTTTTACCCATCACCCACACTCTTCAAAAATTATTTTAGAAAACATAAACCTTCAACATAATCCTGGCATTTAACACATAAAACTTTTGAAAGGCCCCCTAGGTCAGATCCTGCAATTTAGGGTTTGTTAACTGTGCATCCCAATTAAAAGAGCATGAGAGATGAGACAAGACGAGGTTACAAGGCTACATTCTACACTGTGACAGGACACCAAGACACAGACTGTGTCAGCTCCTACCTGGAACATGGAAATGTTTAGGGGCCTGAGCGTAAGTTGGAGTTAGAGGGCGGCTGTCTGGCCGGTAAGGGAGAGGGGAGTTCCGGCCGCTGGACGGCTCATTGCCTCCAATGAGAAGAATGGAAAAAACAAAATGAGAGAAGGGAGAGAGAAACAAAGAAAACAAAGCAAGTGTAATAAAAATTCAAAACAACAGACTGGAAGGAGGTTCATCAAAAAGGAGAAACAAAAGAAACAAACTCAATTTATCAACTTGACTTGCAAAGGTGATATCAGGTTTAGTTTTCCGTTGCAGAGATTTGAACTCAGGTGGAGCTGGGTTAGAAGCAGCTAGCGGTCAGGTGCGTCATTCCAATGGCATGCATTGAAAGCTGTGAGCTCGCAGCAAACTGATTAGATGGAGGGGAGATTGGGAGCGATGGAAAGCTGCTTGCTCATGATTCAGGATCAGTTGTCAGGTGGTTAAATCCCAAGCGTGTAAAGGAGCGGGCTAGGCAAACCCAAATACAAATCACTCTCAAGCATGATGGCAGCAGCTGGCAATTAGCAGAGGTTTCTCCGATCTGAAGGTTAAGTCTGGGAACCCGTGTGGTCACCAAGTCCTTCCCCTTAGGAATACAAAGTGCCTTCAATTGCAGCGTGTTTGCATATGTTTCTGTTTTCCTCACTTTGAAATATATAAAATAGAGTCAGACGCGTGTCAGCCAGGTATTTCACGACCATTTATACCTCTCCCCATCTTTCACTTCAAAGATGAGGCTCAACCCAGGCCAATGATTCAATCATTGAAATATTTATTGAACACCTACTATGGCTGGGCACTGAGTACTACTGAGGACAAATAGATGAATGAGATATAGTCCCTGCCCTCAAGGGACTTAGAGGCTATCTAAGGAGACAAACTTAAATGCCATATAATGACATGCAATTGTTTACTCTGAGGTATAAGAAAAATGCTATGAGACTCAGATGAAGGTGACACCAATTCTTCAAGCTAGGTTTGAGCTGGGCATCAAAGAGTAAGCTCACCAGGTGAGAGGGTAGGTGAATGGGAGGGTGGGAAGCCCATATTCCAGACAGCTGGAATGTCATGAGAAAGGAGGGTGTGGAAGGGTGCAGACTGGAGGAGCAACAGGACTGGCCACCTTGTCTGGAAGGCATGGTGCTCTTGGAGGAGAGAAGAGGGACCAGGGCAGAAAAGAGAGCAAAGGGGTGGCTGCAAAAGCTTTAAGTGCCACCATAGCCACCATCACTCCCTTCTGACCAGGAGAATGGCCAAGATAAACTAATTCAGCTTGTGCAAAATTAGAAAGAGATTTGTAACTGGCCTAAATTGTCCTCCTACCCTATGTCTGGGCAAACATCTTGTCTCAAGAAGACACCAGAAGATGCAGGACTATTAAAGCTCAATAAATTAGTAGGGGTAATGACTTTTACTGCTGAGTTGTAAGAGCTCTTTATATATTCTGGATACAAGTCTCTTGTCAGAAATAATATGAACTTGCAAATATTTTCTCCCAGTCTGTAGGTTGTCTTTTCACTTTTTTGGTGGAATTCTTTGAAGCACAAAAGTTTAAAATTTTTGATAAAGTCCAATTTATTTATCTATTAACACTAATAATTTTAAATAAATCATAGATCATCAGAAAATAGAGGTCTGGCCAGTTGCTTCAGGTCAAATTTTTCTAAATCTATCCAGTCAAGTGTGAAAGATGTCAATTGTTACCGTTTGAATATACATTTAAGAGAATTTTAATGTCTCAGCATGTACATTTTTAAGTAACCAGAGTACAGATCTACACTAAATGGGCAGTAAGATATTCCAAATATGGGATCTGTGTCTATTACTGAGTCAAATTTAGATTTCTGGCTTTTGGTTATTGGTGTTCTGAAACTTTTGTCTTTTCTTCTCAAGAGCTGGTTTAGCATCCAGACCCAAATATGTTATAATGTTGACTTTATTATTTAAGTCATATATTAGTTCCTAAAAATTATGAAATATCATCCCAAACTATTGATCTATTAAAAAGCTAATTTATAAAAATGTTATCTCATTTATCCCTCTCCTAAAGAGAAGTAACTAGTTCCTATCGGGAAAAAATGAGTATAAAAAACACAGAGGAAAACAGGGGAAGGAAGATTATAATTTGCATTTAGAAGGAAATAGTGTTTTAAACCTGTTGCTGAATTAAAACTTGGTCTCATTTGTCATCATCAGTGCTCAGGGTATCGCCTGGCCAGGAGTAAGTGCTTAATAAATGTCTGTGAATGAATGATTGAAGGAGGCCAATTAATTACCTCCACAGCTATTTATTGGCCTAATTTAGCAAGCACCATGGCAAGATTCACCATCAATTTTCTCTAAATTAAAGGAAGCCAGATGCTAGTGCAATAAGTCCTCACTTAATATCAACAGGTTACAGGAAACTGCAACTTTTTTTTTTTTTTTTTTGAGACGGAGTCTCGCTCTGTCGCCCAGGCTGGAGTGCAGTGGCGCGATCTTGGCTCACTGCAAGCTCCGCCTCCTGGGTTCACGCCATTCTCCCGCCTCACCCTCCTGAGTAGCTGGGACTACAGGCGCCCGCCACCGCGCCCGGCTAATTTTTTGAATTTTTTTAGTAGAGACGGGGTTTCACCATGTTAGCCAGGATGGTCTCAATCTCCTGACCTCGTGATCCACCCGCCTCGGCCTCCCAAAGTGCTAGGATTACAGGCGTGAGCCACCGCACCCGGCTGGAAACTGCAACTTTAAGCAAAACAACATATAGCAGGTCCTTGAAGAACGTCGTTTATTTCAACCTAGAACACTGATGAGGGGAAAAACTAGTTTTTTTAATATTTCAATTCACTTAAGTCACAGTTTCCAAGTAAATGATGATGATAAGTAAAGACCTGTGTACAGCACTGGGCTCACAACAACACCCCTTTTATAAGTTTCCCATTACAGCTAATCTTTGACAACTCCAATATAAATGTTTCACTGAAGAAAAATGATTTAATCCTATGAACATTAGAAATTAACAAGAGTAATCCATAACTGAAAAACAGAATCATTCTTACGGTCTTTTCTCGAAAGAAGGTATAATGGGTCTCAACTTTTACTACTGCTTCTGAACCCCCCTGCCCCATGCTTTTGTTCTTTCACATAGACCTCCACTGTCCTTGCAGAAAATCAGATGTTTCCAGGAAAGTTCTCGTAGGTTTTGGTTATAATACACAATCAAATGAACCCCCATTAAATCAGTTTTTATCATTATTAGCCAGTGTCACGCACACACAAAAATATCTGCATATGCAGGACACAAACTTTAAGGTTATTAGAATTAGACATTTGTCCAGGGATTAAAATATTTCTATCAACAAGACCCTGTGTTGGCCAGTGCCTGTAGAAGCCCCTCACTTCTTGAATATGGTCAAAGCCTCTCAAAGGTTATGGAGTAGCTGTCTGAATTCCCAAGGACTGGATTCTGGCTGAATGCTGTCACCAGTTGGGTGTGGTTCTATATTAGGCTGGATGTCTTCAGCAAACATTCACCTCTCTAGTTGTTTTTTTTTTAAAAAAAAAAAAAAAACACTACTTTGTTCAAATTTTGTAAGCAGATGTAACTATAATCATTTAAAACTTCCCACAAAGCATTTTTAAAAATCAGGTAAAGAGAGACCCAATAACACACCCATCTCAGCAATTCTGCAGAATGTGCTTTTCACATATCACAACCGCTCATCGGGGAATAAGTTCTTGGAATACATAATGTTGCTAGGTACCAAATTCTTAGCCCTTGAAATACCAAAGGCATGACAAATTTTGGGCATTTTTAAAAGAAAAAGGAAAATTCTCAGGAAGAGGCCTCTTTCCCTTTTCTAAATTAAACACCTTATCTGTATTTATTTTTATTTTTATTTTTTTTTGAGACAGAGTCTTGCTCTGTTGCCCAGGCTGTAGTGCAGTGGTGCAGTCTCGGCTCATTGTAACCTCCGCCTCCCAGGTTCAAGCGATTCTCCTGCCTCAGCCTCCCAAGTAGCTGGGATTACAGACATGCGCCACCACATCCAGCTAGTTTTTGTGTTTTTAGTAGAGACGGGGTTTCATCATGTTGGCCAGGCTGATCTCAAACTCCTGACCTCAAGTGATCTGTGGCGCCTTGGCCTCCCAAAATGCTGGGATTACAGGCGTGAGATACTGCACCTGGCCAATACCCTATTTAAATGATATAACTTTGAACCCAACCCTGGCAGGAAATAACTTATGGGGGCCCTAAGAGGCCATCTGTGCATAGTTCCTTACTTAAACAAAGTAATGTGTGACACACCAGATGAAATATCATATTTGGAAGATATCATTATTTTCATCATCATCGTTGTCATCATCTATCAACCCTGAATAAGATACTGTTTAAAAATAATAGGCCGGGCATGGGCATGATGGCTTATGCCTGAAATCCCAGCACTTTGGGAGGCTGAGGCGGGTGAATTATTTGAGGTCAGGAGTTTGAGACCAGCCTGGCCAACATGGTGAAACCCTGTCTCTTCTAAAAATACAGAAATTAGCCAGGTGTTGGTGGCAGGCATCTGTAATCCCAGCTACTCAGGAGGCTATGGCAGGAGAATTGCTTGAACCCGGGAGGTGGAGATTGCAGTGAGCCGAAATTGCACCACTGCACTCCAGCTGGGGCAACAAAGTGAGATTCTGCCTCAAAACAAAAAACAAAACTACTCTGTGTGTGTGTGTGTGTGTGTGCGCACATAATACAATAGTACATATATATATATATATCACACTCATAGCTATTTTGTTCCTTTAAGTCCTCAGATTGGGCTACCCTAAGTTGTTAGTGTTCTCATCTATTGTAGTGACAAGCTACTATATTTCTATTTATGTTTCTATTTCTATTTCTTGGCCTTCATTTTTACCTCCTTTCCTGTTAGCCTAGTAAGCTAATTTTTTAGACCTCAGGGGAGCATTCACTCACAGGACTCTCACTGTACTTAACACATTTAAATGCCCATCTCCACTTTCATTCTTCTTTTTGGCACCATGAGAGCCCGAGTGACTAATTCTAAGACAAGCGAATAGAGATGGGGGTGTGCGATTCTGCTGTGGGGACCTGTTGGAGCACTGCCTAGCTTTCTGGACTCAGAGTGCTTACATCCCCAAATATAAATGAACATCTTGAGGGAACCTTAAGATAAGTTGGCAGCATCCAGAATTTTGTGACAGTTTTAAGATTGCCGGTTCTTGTCTAAAGCGTCAATAAGAGTTACGGTTTCCTTCAGCAAGTGTCAAATATATATTTACATCATGGCAACTCATATTTATAGCAAAAGAGGAAAGATTCCTTTCAAAGAAACTTAATATATGTAACCCTCCTGCTCAGAAATCCAATTTATACTTCATGGACACAGAATGTCATGTCTAGCAGTATTTCAAAGGGGAAGCAAGAGAAACTTAGCAGACACTTTACAAACGAAGCCCGAAACAAAGCGAAAATGGTTTTTCCAAATCTCTAGGCATAAGGTTGTCCAAATGGCCCAAAGATATACTAAGATAGAATGAGGCTACAAGGAAGTTTGGAGGACAGAAATAAAAATACACCCAACCAACAATGGATGTTATGGAAAATGAATGGGGAAGCCAGTGAAGGAGAGAAACAGTCTGTGCCGTGCATCTCAGCTTTACAACCATGCAGGCGTCCTCAGCTCAGTGAGGCCCCAGGCCTGGGTCACATGCTGCAAAAACAAGGAACAGGAAGTGGACTTGGGCAATGGAAGGCTGGGCTTCTGGCTGCCAGAGTGGCAAAGGGCGCCCCCTGCCTCTGAGATGGACATCCTACCTTAGGTCAAGCTCCCAGCTCACATCCATTAAAAACAAAACAAAACAAACAAACAAACAAACAAAAACTCCCTCAAGTTCCAAGACAAGCTCCAAGATAAAAGTCAATGAAGGGCCACAAAAAACCCTGGAAGACATTGACTTATCTCAAAGATATCTTGGATGTGTTATCAATGGCCATAGGCTCCCCCCATTCAGAAATTTCTAAGTGCTGGAGAGGTCTTCCATGTAAATGGATGCATGTTTTTCAAAATAACTAAGACGTAATTCCTTGGAGAATCCACATTTAGCCAAATACACTAGGCTTTTAAAGCAATATCTTTAATGTACAAAATCTCCACCACATATCTTTTTTTTTTTTTACACTGCTCCCTGTGGAGCAGGACTGCCCAATAGGCAGTGTGCCCAAAGCAGCCAATGATTTATCTTTAAGGTTGGCAAAAAGCTCATATGATTGAAAAACTAAGTATATACTGTTATGTACATTACACTTTGCATCTGAAGCATAAAGACTATTTCATATGAACAAACTATAGGCACACGTCTAGTAAAAAGAAAAAGGGAGAGAGACTATTAGAT
This sequence comes from Homo sapiens, assembly GCF_000001405.40. Taxonomy (NCBI): domain Eukaryota; kingdom Metazoa; phylum Chordata; class Mammalia; order Primates; family Hominidae; genus Homo; species Homo sapiens. The sequence goes on from NC_000010.11 coordinate 114,459,788, forward strand.
GTTTTTAAGTTCAGGGTCACTAATTCCTTTTGGATAATGCTTTTTATCATTTAAATCCAGAACACCTGACGGTGTCAAACACTTCAAATGCAGACTGAAAACAGAAAAGAATGTATATCTACATTTTTAATAAAGCACCATTTAGGAACATAGGGGTGTTATAATTTTTATAACCATTTAATATTTCTATGGAAAAGTAAATATTTCTTAATTTTGTGATCTAAATGACTGAGGATCATTCTTGGTCTAAGAGTCAATAAGAATGCAATTTTCTGGCTAAAAGGGATGAAAAATAAAAGTGTGCTTTAAAAATTATCTTCACACATATTTATACTGAAACGCATGGCCCTCATATGAAGGAGCGTTCCTGGGGAGGAGGGGGCCTGGGTCTAGTCCAGCACTGCCATGTCCTAGTGGTGAGCCCCTGGACAGTTACTTAGCCAGGGCCTCTGTACTTGGTCTCCTCACTGAGCCCATTTCCCAAGAATGCTGTGAAAAGTGAACAGAATGATGGCATCAAAAATGATTTAAGGTCGGGCGCGGTGGCTCACGCCTGTAATCCCAGCACTTTGGGAGCCCCAGGCGGCCAGATCATTTGAGGTCAAGAGTTCGAGACCAGCCTGGTCAACATGGTGAAACCCCGTCTCTACTAAAAATACGAAAATTAGCTAGGCGTGGTGGCGCACGCCTGTAATCCCAGCTACTCAGGAGGCCGAGGCAGAAGAATCGCTTGAAGCTGGGAGGCGGAGGCTGCAGTGAGCTGAGATTGTGCCACTGCATGCCAGCCTGGGCAACACAGTGAGACTCTGTCTCCAAAAAAACAAAAAAAAGCAATTTAAGAGCACCATGCTGACCAAGGTGGGTGTGCCCCACACCAAGACACTTCACCTCGTGATGTAGGAGTCTCATTGTTCTTGATTTATAGAGGAGTCAAGTGACACTCAACAGGATAAATAAGCAACCCAAGGTGATACAGCTAGCAAGTGACGGAGATCATATCTGAACCCAGATTCCAATGCCCATGGGCTTTTCAACTCTCCACATGGCCACTCATGGACATGAAGCAGTATTAGTCATTGACCATTTATGGACACTTTGTGCTGTGTTATTTGGACAAACTGTGTAACTTTATAGGGCCTGTGACACTTTTCTTTCTACAAAAAGTATCTCTCTACAAGTTAAAACATATAATAGCCAAGTGAGGAAGTTTACATTTTAATGAATCAATAATGCATTTTTTCTTAAATATCAGAAATAACCAAAATCTTTGTTTTCTTTCTTTTGTTTTTTTTTTGAGACAGGGTTTTGCTCTGTCACCTAGGCTGGAGTGCAGTGGCTCGATCTCAGCTCACTGCAACCTCCACCTCCTGGGCTCAAGCAATCCTCCTGCTTCAGCCTCTGAGTAGCTGGGACTTCAGGCACGCACCACCATGCCCGGCTAATTTTTTTTTGTATTTTTGGTAGAGATGGGGTTTCGCCATGTTGCCCAAGCTGGTCTTGAACTCCTGGGCTCAAGCAATCTGCCCACCTCAGCAGAAATAACCAAAATCTTAATTTGGCTAATGGCTGTTATATTAAAGTCTCTTTAAAATACACAACTGAAGGGTTTTTTTTTTTTTTTAAGAAAAAAAAACAGCATAATTTCTTTATGATTTTATAAACATTCTCTAAAGTATAATCTTGACATTTTATAAATAAAAATTTTCCCCCAAAATACTAATTAGCACTTATAATTTAAAATAATCTGTCGGCTGAGCATGATAGCTCACGCCTGTAATCCCAGCACGTTAGGAGGTCAAGGCGGGTGGATCACTTGAAGCCAGGAGTTTGAGACCAGCCTGGCCAACATAGTGAAACCCAGTCTCTACCAGAAACACAAAAATTAGCTGGGTGTGGTGGTGCACACCTGTAATCCCAGCTACTCAGGAGGCTGAGGCATAAGAATCGCTTGAGCCTGGGAAGTGGAGGTTGCAGTGAGCCAAGTTTGCACCATTGTACTCCAGCCTGGGTGACAGAGTGAGACTCTGTGTCAAAACAAATAAAAAATAAAAAAATAAAATAAAGTAAAATAATCTGTCAAGAGTTTTAGAGAGTGTTGCACCTATCAAAAAATTTGCTAATGGCAAATGGCACGTGTACCTTAACTCCAGGTATGTGTGTCTTTGATAAGCATGATTGCTTCAATAAGCAATATTATTTTCAAAACATAGAGAATGCTGAAATTAGCAAATTTATAAAATCACTGCATACTGATAAGTACAGTACATGTACCTTTTAGGATTCAGCCGCTCAACAACCAAGTGAGCACAAAGAAAAAGCTTCGGTAGACTGACAACGAAAATTCAGTAAACCAGAACAAGCTCCTCAATGGAAGCATCAGGGCCATGACACATGGAGCAGCACATGGTTAAGAGTCCTTTAGGACTGTTTTAAGACCTGTGATAACATCTGTGCTTGCCTCCTCCTTCCTCCTTCAGCTATTATTATTGGTTTATTTGGTTCAAATCAAGTTCGCACCATTCTGGGAACTCCTACTTAATTTTAAATTATGACCCCTTTGTAGCCTCTTCAGGGTTCTCGGCTCCCCCAGTGTGGAGAGTCCCAACTGAGGACGGCTGCAGAAGCATTGCCGACAATGATGAAAAAGAAGGGATGGGGCAGAAATGTGAGGCAGGAACAGAAAACAGAAGGCAAAGCCTCTCTTCTGCATCATGTGGGAGTTAGGACAAATCAAAAGATGACTGCTCTGAGAGTCGGCTCAAAGAGAAACATTGATGTTGCCATAGATCTTTTAATGCTGCCCAAACATGTTAATATGGTCATGGTTTATCACCGGTAAGACAACTTTTGGATATCTGTTACTAAACACTGTCGTGTTTTGCTGAGACACGTTGCGTATTGAACCCAGGAAAATATTCCAATTATATATATTATATTTTGTTTCGATGCATCCAAAAACAAAATAATAATATATATATATATATTTTCTTTTTTCAAAGTAGTGGATAATAAATCTTATGGTCTTAAACATACTTCCTGCTTCTTCATCTAGAGCCCTTAGAAGTGACATATTTCTCCCAATGAGAGATGCTATGCCCGTTCTAAGACAACTGTTGGGTATAGTCATGACACACGCAGGCATGCTGAGAGCTCAAAAGCTCGGCACTAACTCTTGGAGATACACCTTATTAGCCTTCCCAGGGTGCTAATAAATCTCCACTATGCAGGGTGCTGCCTGGAGAAACCTGCCTCCTTACCTTTGATATGGGGAATGAAGTGGTGTCGGAAAGGGGGGTTGGGGCGGGAGTCGCTGTGGGTGGGGCTGAGGCTGCTGGTGCGCAGGTACGACAACCTCTGCACACCAGGAGACAAAAGCTCTGTGCAGCAAGGAGTCAGGGGCAGGGCACGGTGGAAACAGAAAAGAAGAACAGAAATTAACACAGGAGCAGGGAAAGTGCCATCGTTCCAAGGGAAAACAAAATAAAGAACGTTAATCAGGAGGCTGAAAAGGGAGGAAGGAGAAAGGGTTAAGAGTGCACCTGCTAAGGCTGAGGCAAAGTAGGGGAGAGTTTGCAAAGAGGTTCAGGTGGGTACAGAGTCACTCTCTGAGAATAAATGGCTTTGGTGAGGAGAAATGGTCACCCGGATGGTCTCTGTTCAGCCAGTAGCAGGCACGTCATTTAGACTCAACAACAGCTGTTTTTAAAAAGCACCTGACACAACAGAACCCTCTGAAATGCTTATTAAAAAAAATGACAATCATTGTATTTATATGTAAGGGTCAGGTTTTTTTTTTCTTAAGCAAACATCCCACTGTAAATTTAATTTGATTTTGCCTACATAGAAGGAAAACATGTTTGTGTTCCCTGTGTGGCAAAGAGGTCTATATGATCCCGAGAACTTCAGCAGGAGGACTGGAGGCTGGAAACTCAGTTATCTCAGGAAGAATGGACCATTCAAATTCAACCCAGACCGAGGGGGTTTTAAATCATCATCTGGCATCTAGAACTTGTGGAGTGGACACTTTGGGGTGTTCTATATGGATCACAAGTATGCTATCAGAATCCCTCCAGCTTCACTTTGGAAGGGCAGCCTTCAAAATAATAACTTTAAAGCCTAACAAGTGGCATCAGGCATACATGTAATATATTGTGAAAGGAGAGAAGGAGAAGATTCTAAAGTCTATTGGCATCAGAACCATAATTGGAACAGATGGAAACTTTCTCAGTAAGGACATGAGCTTTTGGGGGAAGGAGTGTTGACTGACCACTCCCCTCACTGTTCAGGGGTCTTTGGAACAACAATGCCCCTATAACCCCACGCCGCTCCGGCAACTCCATGGCTGGGGTCTCAGTGACCTCAGCATATGTACATGAGCAGGGTGGCAGCATAAAGGATTTTTTTTTTTTTTTTTTTGAGATGGAGTCTTGCTCTGTCATCCAGGTTGGAGTGCAATGGCGCCATCTTGGCTCACTGCAACCTTTGCCTCCCAGGTTCCAGCAATTCTCCTGTCTCAGCCTCCCAAGTAGCTGGGACTACAGGCGCATGCCACCATGCCCAGCTAATTTTTGTATTTTTAGTAGAGACAGGGTTTCACCATATTGGTCAGGCTGGTCTTGAACTCTTGACCTCAGGTGATCCACCTGCCTCAGCCTCCTAAAGTGCTGGGATTACAGGCATGAGCCACCACGCCTGGCCCAGCATAAAGGATTTCTTATTACCCAAATGGACAAAGGCTTAAATCGGGACTCACGTCCTGGGCATGAATAAAATGAATATAATAGCCCATGAAATAAAGGAAAAAAAATTCCTGAGAACTTTCATTTAATGTAATTCAATAAATAGCACAAACATTTATCAGTGTAGAGAAAATTATACATTATCAAAGGATCAAATAGTTTGAATTCTCTACGATCATTAAATCTAGGGTCTTAGAAGATTGCAGCTTTTTATCATCCTGTTAATTCTTTTGGTTTCATTTCTTGTACAATTTATTTTTAAAAAGGTAGCATATGGGTTTGCTCTCATCTATGCGTCCAGAAGCAAGAAGCTTAACATGAAGTCTTCACAGACGCGCACTGTCACCATTAAGTTTTATTAGAGGCCAGAATCTTCCTTGTGAATCCATTTCTCAGGGAATCTTGGATCTGTACTGGGATCTCCATTCTTCTCCCACTACACACAGGAGACACCCACTAGTAGCTACAGAGACTAAATTCTCTGCAGATGAAGGTCCACTAAAATCTGCTACTTTGTGGCATTCTCTACTGTAGTGATGCCTAATAATTGTATGTTTTCCAAGTCTGATTGAAAATCTTAGGGTTGGAAATGATTTTGTTTTCCAAGTCTGAGGGAAAATCTTAGGGTTGGAAATGATTTTATGTTTCCTAAGAATGACTGAAAATCTTAGGGTTGGAACGATCTTAAAAGTGATCAAGAACAGCCCTGAGTCCTCTTTCTAGAAAGTGCTTAACCAAGCATGCTTACTAACACCTAGATAAGGGAAACATAATCCAGCTGTTAAAAATGGCTAATACTGAATTTTAGATGATGTTGGTATGCCTAAAAAGCACATCAAAATATTTTCTTTGGGAGATCTCCATTTTAAGTCTCAAAGTGAAGAGATTTTTGTTAATCGTAAAAAAATTTTTAAAAAAACCCCTTGCTTCCAGTAGCTCGCTGTCAAAATATAATTATTTAATAAATCAAAATGAACACAGGCTTAGGATGACTGATGTTTCAAGAAAAGATAGAGCATAAAATATAGTTGGATACCAGTTTTCATTTTGCTCTGGGAGAGGGATGGAAATGTTTAGTCGTTGATTTTTCAATGTGCTATCAATAGTAGGGGAAAAAATCACAGAAACATAGTTTGTTATATAGAGTGAATCCAGGAACAGTCACCCTTACCAGGTCTGTGGAAATGCTGGGGAGAGCGGGACGTGGTTGGAGTGTAGCTGTGGCGGCTGTACACAGGGGAGTTGATGGAGCCCTGGCTCGTGGACCGATGGATCATCCGATCCCGAACATCCTGGTACCCCTGGAAACAAAGTTCAACACATTCAGGCTATCACCATGCCTCAGTAGGAACCACGCTTCACAAACACTGCCAAGGAACCATCATGTCTACTTGTTTATATATATTTGATTAATATATGCACTTATTTTTATGTGCAAATTTTGCAGGTATTTTATATGCAAATAAGCATTCTGTGGCTAATATATTTTGTTCAAAGTCTGCAGTACTTGGGCTTATTACAAAATTTTAAGAGCCAGGTGTGGTGGCTCACACCTGTGATCTCAGCACTTTGGGGGGCCAAGGTGGGAGGATGGCTTGAAGCCAGGAGTTCGAGAACAGCCTGGGCAACACAACGAGACCTTGTCTTTACAAAAAACTGTAAAAAATTAGCCAGGGATGATGGCACATGCCTGCAGTCCCAGCTACTCAGGAGTTCGAGGCTGCAGTAAACTATGATTGTGCCAGTGCACTCCAGCCTGGACGACAGAGTGAGACACTGTTTCTTTAAAAAAAAAAAATTTTAAGGATGAAAACATATAAACCTTAATAGAGATAGGGCTATGGGACAAGAGATAATAATTCCAATGACCATGCTGACATTGTACTTTTCCGTTTCATAAGTATGTTCACATACCTACCAGATCTGCATAACAAGAAAAGGTAGGTCACATACTATCACCTCCCTCCCCCACTAATGTAGAAACATGGTTCCAAGCTGGTAAGAGCCCTGTGTGTAGGCATGTAGTTGGTATGGGCAGAGCCTGCTTCGGAACCAGACTCCTGACTCTAATCTCTTCCTTCGTTCTGACCACCAACCAAACTGTACTGTCTACGACATTGATCTGGTGGCATTTTAAATAAATTCTCCTGAATAACAAGTTGATGGTTGCCATAAAGCCGGTATTTTACTTCTCACTTTGGGAAACATATCCCAAGAAAATAATTTAAAATGCCCTTTAAAAGGAGGAATAATTTATTCAAATACTTTCATAGTACTACTATTCATAAAGGCAAAAATTTGCGTTACATGTTCAACAAATTGGGGCACAATTAAGAAATTATGACATACGGGCCAGGCACAGTGGCTCATGCCTGTAATTTCAGCACTCTGGGAGGCCAAGGTGGGTGGATCACCTGAGGTCAGGAGTTTGCGACCAGCCTGCCCAACATGGTGAAACCCTGTCTCTACTAAACATACATAAATTAGCTGAGCATGGTGGTGTGCACCTGTAATCCCAGCTACTTGGGAGGCTGAGACAGGAGAATCACTAGAACCCAGGAGGCAGAGGTTGCAGTGAGCCAAGATTGTGCCACTACACCCCAGCCTGGGCAACAGAGTGAGACTCTGTCTCAAAAAAAAAGGAAATTATGACATGCGAATTCAATGGAATATCATAGCACCACTAAAATGTCACCTATCTCCAAATCTAGAAAAGGATATATTAGGTAATAAGTACAAAAAACCACATGCACACACACAATATAAAACTGTCTAAAGAGTTGAAAGAGTACAAAGAATATTTTACATTTTAGGAATCTGTTGTCCTATGAAATTTCTACTAGCACAATAAAAGTAAAAAGTTTGAAAGAATGCATTAATAACGACTAAATGAACACCTCAGTAACCATAGCTTTGTGGAATTTGAGAGCAAATGGCAAGGGGAAACTTTGGCTTGATACTAGTTGTCTATAACAATAAATTAAATAAAACAACAACAAAACAAAAAGTCCCCAGATTATGTGCTTCAAGCTTGCACAGTTGGTCAATAGAAATTAATTCTTCATAAATTCAATGCAAATTATTAGAATATAGGTAGAAATTAATAATTCATAGCAGTCATAAACCATGAAAATATTATGGTATTTTTACTACTTTGAATTACAGAGATTCCCTAAAAGTAGTCCAGTTTCATAATATCCAGAAAGTTGCTTGGTTTTAGGATCAGATGATTGATTTCAGACTAAACAGAGTAACCTCCCATCAAGATGGCTCTGCTTATAGAATACGCCATGATGGCTGTTGGCCATTTCAGTATATTAGGGTTCAGAAAAATTAATTATAGATGCGGACAAAGAGCCCCACATTGGGACAAGTGACTTATGTTCCTGCAGACACTTTGCTTCCACTTACAGGCACAGACACAGATTAAAGTGAGGCCATTTTTACTCCCTGGTCTCCAATTTAAGAGAAATATATTGCTGTGTCTTAGAGTCTCCTCTTTCACGGAGGTAATCCCCAAAGCCACCATAACCCCACATGCAGTTTTTCTGTTCTTTTGTATGTTATGTTCTTTTTCAAAAATCCCAGTCTAGGGAAGGGCCAAGCAATTCTCAAATTCCACCCATTAAAATGATAAAAAGAAATGGTACTTACTTCTGCTGATGGAGTAGGAGACAAAGTCCTCGGAGACTAGAAAAATAAAAGAGAATTTAAAGTCACAATGTTTGTTAACTCTTTGCCGTTTTGTTTGTTTGTTTGTTTGTTTGAGATGGAGTCTCGCTCTGTCGCCCAGGCTGGAGTGCAGTGGCGCAATCTCGGTTTACTGCAATCTCCGCCTCCCAGGTTCAAGCGATTCTCCTGCCTCAGCCTCCCAAGTAGCTGGGACTACAGGCGCCGCCACCACCCCCAGCTACTTTTTTTGTATTTTTAGTAGAGATGGGGTTTCACTGCGTTAGTCAGGATGGTCTCTATCTTCTGACCTCATGATCCGCCCCCCTTAGCCTCCCAAAGTTTTGGGATTACAGGCGTGAGCCACCGCGCCTGGCCTCTTTGCCAGTTTTAATTAGAGTTGTTTATCAGAGTCAGCTGTAAATATTAGCCAACATGTACCTGCCAGCATCCCTCCACATCTCCCTGTCTTCTGATCAGGTACAAATGCATCTGCCATGGGGCTCAGACAGGTAGACTCTGACAAAGTTCCGGGGAGATTCTGGTGCACATCTCTGCCTAAGAACCATGAATAGGCCGGGTGCGGTGGCTCACGTCTGTAATCCCAGCACTTTGGGAGGCTGAGGCTGGCGGACCACAAGGTCAGGAGATCGAGACCATCCTGGCTAACATGGTGAAACCCCGTCTCTACTAAAAACTACAAAAAATTAGCCAGGCGCGGTGGCGGGCGCCTGTAGTCCCAGCTACTTGGGAGGCTGAGGCAGGAGAATGGCGTGAACCCGGAAGGCGAAGCTTGCAGTGAGCCGAGATCACGCCACTGCACTCCAGCCTGGGAGACAGAGCGAGACTCTGTCTCAAAAAAAAAAAAAAAAAAAAAAGAACCATGACTAGATATGATTGTGATACATACTTAGGTGATTAAGCTAGACAAGTTGGAACCATTTCCCTTATATATTCAAACTACGCTCATTTTACTATGATGAGTTACAGCATCTACTGAAACATAGGATCTTGTTCACATGGTTGTTGACTAAATTACAACCACAGCAATCACCATAAAATAGTTTGATAACTAAAATAGGACTTTGGTGACCAGGCATGGGGCATCCTGCCTTGGCTGCATCGCCAATCTCACTATCATTCACCTCGCCAATCTCACTATCATTCACCTCTGGCTTCCATCCTCCTAGGCACACAGGCTTCCTTGGGGCCATCAACAGGCCAAGCTTTCTGTCACCTCAGGGCCTTTGCACTTGCTGTCTCTTCTGCTGCCAGTGCTTTTCACCCAGACACCTGCAGGGCTCATTCCCTGTCAGCGCTGATGTCTCTGCTCAAACCCACTGTCACACAGCATCTCCGTGACCATTCTGTCCAGAGGAGCAACCCAGCCCCTGGTACGCTTTCTCTTTACTCTGCTTCATTTCTCCTCAGAGCCCTACCACTCTGTAAAATTATATTACATATCTGTTTCTTTACTGTCTGTCTCCCACGTGATGCCACAAGCTCCATGAGGGCAAGGACTGTTTGTTTACAACTACATATTCCCAGTGATGACAGCAGCTCCTGGGACACAGTAGTTGCTCAAGTATTTTCCAGATGAATAAAATGTTTACAATTAAAATGCAAAAAGCTTTCAAATAGAAATGAAATTCAAACAGAGCTATGGAGAACACAGCCAGGGGTGGACTTCTCAGTTTTAGAATTTGCCCTTTTCCCCACATTCTATAGTAAGTGGGCGGACTGTCTGTATTCTAAGCCTTCACAAGCTCCAGGGTCTCCTCTGCAGCTACAGCCTGTCTCTAGGGGGTCTCAGCTGGGTGAAGGCTGGTCTCAAGGTCAGGGCCCAGGTCTGCACCTGCACTGACAGCAAGGCCCTGGAGGCACCAATGGCTGCACAGAACTAATCTGACTCTTGCAGTGTTTCTTAAATGGCAATATGTATAAAGGCCAGGTGCGGTGGCTCACACCTGTAATCCCAGCACCTTGTGAGGCCAAGGCGGGTGGATCACTTGAGGTCAGGAGTTCACGACCAGCCTGGCCAACATGGAGAAACCCCAACTCTACTGAAAATACAAAAATTAGCCCAGCATGGTGGCACATGCCCGTAGTCTCAGCTACTTGGGAAGCTGAGGCAGCAGAACTGCTTGAACCTGGGAGGCAGAGGTTGCAGTGAGCCAAGATTGCACCACTACACTCCAGCTGGGTGACAGAGTGAGACTCCACCTCAAAAAAAAAAAAAAAAAAAAAAGGCAATATGTATATGAGGTCTATAAAAGAAGTGTGTTAAACTTTAATGGAATAAATAATAGAACAGCTTGTAAATTTCTCTCAGTTGCAAGATGCAAGTATTGGGAAAGAGTTCACTAATATATCTGATTTCTGATCCCAGGGGCACCCTCTATGCATAGAGAAAACCATGGGACATAATTCCAGGTTATGACAGTAAGTATGCTGATTACGAGAGTAGCCAGCATTTTTCTTAAGCACTTATTATGTGCCCAGTACTGTTCTAATGTAAATAGCTCACTTACTCTTTACAGAAAACTTCTAGCATAGGTATTCTTGTTCTCTATCTTGAGTTTGCAGATAAGGAGATTGAGGTATATAATTTCCCCAAAGTTATGTGGTTAGTCAGCATCGGTCTGGTTTTTCTTTTTTTCTTTTTTTGTGGTGGTGGTTTTTGTTTTGTTTGCTTTGTTTTGTTTTTGAGACAGGGTGTCACTCTATCACCCAGGCCGGAGTACAATGGCATGATCATGGCTCAATGCAGCCTCAACCTCCTGGGCTCAAGTGATCCTCCCATCTCAGCCTCCCAAGTTGCTGGGACTACAGGCGTGTGCCATCATTCCTGGCTAATTTTTGTATTTTTTTTCTGTAGAGATGGAATTTTGGTATGTTGTCCAGGCTGGTCTCAAACTCTTGGTCTCAAGCAATCCACCCACCTTGGCCTTGGCCTCCTAAAGTGCTGGTATTACGGACATGAGTCACCATGTCTGGCAGAGTCTGGTTTTAAATGCAGAGATTTTCACCTCAAAGCCCAAACTCTTGAGTGCTTAATGTTTTACTGCCTTGATGGAGCTGCTGGGAAACGCACACAGACACGTACACTGCACACCATGAACCCCAAATCCTTAACACCATTAAAAAAACTCACATCCCCTTGCTTGTATGGGTTAAACATTAGTAAATTCTCATCCACAGGGTCCAAGGCCAATCTCTATGCACTTTGTTCAGGAACTTCCCCTCGCCTCTTATGCCCTACGAAACTCTGTGGGGTTCAATGGCAACTGACAACCCGGGCCAATGCACCTGCGCTTGAGAGCGGCCGCAAGTGCAGCTACAGCTAAGTGACCACTAGGTGGCACTACATGAAAATGGATATCACTTCCTGCCACAGGGACCTTTTCCACGCAGAGCTATGCTCTGGAATAAAACCCAGATTAGAAAGTAAATAAATAAAAGGAACAATATATATAAAATAAAAAATAAACATAAATATAATTATCAAATAATATTATACATCTGGAATTGAGAACAATTAAACAGAATCACATTTTCATGCCTTTTCTTCTCCAAGACCTCAAAGCACTGTGAGATGCTAGATTGTTTATATTCTGTTTTAACCTTTGTTGAATAGCTGATTTGTCAGCTATTTGTTAACATCTTTGTGGACTAAAATCAGTCTACAGATGATTCTAATTCAAAAAATAAAAGAGAAAAAAATGAGAGTGAGCCGATTGGCCAGGGGAAACGGACTTGGGTAGGAAGCGACCACAGAGAACCTTCAACCCTGAGATGGGACCGGGGAGGGGAGGACCCCAAGGGGCTGAGAGGCTCTGGTCCCGCAGCAGATGGGTCTGCAGGCCGAGTATTAACGAGCCCCAAGAGGACAGGTAGCAACAATGGTAGAAATTGCCACATGCTCAGTATTTCCCCCAAGTCTGGCCTCTGATAATTGCTTTACATAGATTAGCTTGCTTAATCCTCACTAACACCCTATGAGGTAGATTCTATCATCACCCTATCTGTTTTACAGATGAAGAAACTAGGACCATTTTTCTTATTTTTTTAATATATATAGATGAGGTCTCAACTATGTTGTCCAGGGTGGTCTTCAACTCCTGGCCTGAAGCAATCCTCCGGCCCTCAGCCTCCCAAAATGTTGGGATTACAGGTATGAGCACTGTACCTGGTCCAGGAAACTAGCAGCAGAATGGCTGTCACATGGTCAAAGTCAAACAATCGGCATGTGGTGATCCCTGGGTTGAGACCAGGTAATTTGATTCCAGAATGCTGGCTCACACTCCTGTGCTAGACTGTTGCCCCATGCGCTCTACTTTATTTTTTCTTTCACATGCTAACTTTCTTAAGTTGCTGAAAACTGTAATTACCAAAATTTAGGGGGTGTGTTCTCTCTCCTCATGATGCCATGAATATACTTAAAGCTTATCACTAGACTAAGACCCCCAGGAGACCCTCACTCCCTTATTTGCTCTGCCCAGCTCACACAATCCCCACCCCCTCCCCACCTCCCGACAGCTTCCATCCCAGCATGCTAATGTTTAGCTGGTCTTCACTGTTGTTTGATGTGCCATTGTTCTGTTCTCCCACTTCTCATGATGGGCTTCTGAATACCTCAAAGCACCTGGTCTAGAAATCTGCAAATACTAGGCAGACAAAAGACCACCTGATTTACCTGAACTCCAAATGGTAGTTATTACAAATGTGACAAAAGGGAAGGTAAATTGTTGTACAACTCACAACCAGTAGGAATGTATTACCTCTCCAAGGCTCTGTCTCTCCTGTTTGTCATCATAGCCCGAAGTGTAGAAAGGCTCATAGGTAATAAGATCTGGACGTTCAATGTCATAAATTGCCTTGACCTTCGGAATGGCTGCTAAATCCTTGTAATCCAGGATCTCATTGTCTACTTTTGCCTGGCAAAGTTAACCAGAAAGAACAATTACCTTGTAGTCTGACTGCTTTAGGAAACTGTAGTTGGCGCATTTCCTGTTGTTTAAAAAGTGAAGGCCTTAAAATAAACAAAAACCAAAACATCTTGCCTAACACAGTTATACTCTTCAGAAGTTGCCCTTTATACCATATATTAATCATGTTTTTTTAAAAAAGTCACTGAACGCTTAGGAAAAAATCTGTGTAGAATTCATGAAATAGATAAATGTGCAAACCTTAAGGATAATTTCCTGAATTTATGATAGTAAAGGAAAAAGCTCAAACAGATGGTCCAATAATCCTCTCAGATGGCTAAAAACAAGAACTGCATAATTAATAAACTAAATATTTAAATATCTTTGTGGTAGAATTTAGGAACACTCAGTATCAGCTTCATAAAATATATATTTAATCCCCAAATATCTATATGCAATTTAGGTGCAAGAATTTTTTTTTTTGAGACGGAGTCTTAGGTGCAAGAATTTTTTAAGTCCCGCAACATATTACTACATTTTACAGGTCGTCTGATCACTCTGTTGATGGTCACATAAATGTAATTACCTAAAGGTAAAAGTGATTGAGGAGACTGTTCTACAAAAATGAAAATCAGGTCTCATAACAAAAATAGAAATCACTTTGAATCAGTTTTTGTTTTGGATTACCCATTCTGCTATTACAATCCACTAATTTACCTGTCCCAGAAATGTCACTTCCAGAAGTAGATACTTACATAGATAGTATGACCTGGTGAGCCAGGAATACTGGAGCCTGGCCTAGAATAAATACTTTCCGAGGATGTCCTGGTAGGCTGTAAAATAAACAGTGACTTGTAAGACTTCGGACCCTGGCTTCAGAATCTAGACTGTCCTGGGCCCTTAAGCTTTACTAAAAACTCAGCTAGTGAAAAAAAGAAACACTTATCACCTTTTTGAATAAGGTAAAATACAACCTAGAAGGAAAGGTAAATGCAAACTAGTTGTACGATCCAGTTTTGAAAAGGCATGGGGAGGCCTTTCTCTGGCCCTTCCTGCTCCTTGTCCCCTACGAGAATTTCTGGTTTACCTTTGAGCACACCTCAAAGCTTCCCATTTCTCTCCCTCTCTACTGCCGTAGTCCCAGCCCCAGTCACCACCTCCATTCATCCAGATTATTGCAATGGCCTCCCTGTGAGTTTTCTGCCTTCTCCCCTCCCTTCTTCAAATCAAATCCACCTGGCAGGCAATGGATAGAGAGACCTTTTTTTTTTTTTTGAGACGGAGTCTCACTCTGTCGCCCAGGCTGGAGTGCAGTGGTGCGATCTTGGCTCACTGCAAGCTCCGCCTCCCAGGTTCACACTTTTCTCCTGCCTCAGCCTCCCGAGTAGCTAGAACTACAGGCACCTGCCACCATGCCCGGCTAATTTTTTGTATTTTTAGTAGAGACAGGGTTTCACCGTGTTAGCCAGGATGGTCTTGATCTCCTGACCTCGTGATCTGCCCGCCTCCACCTCCCCAAGTGCTGGGATTACAGGCGTGAGCCACCGCACTCAGCCGAGAGACCTTTCAAGAACATAATTTGGATGGTCACTACTCTGCTTTTGTCTCCAGCATTGATATAGTTTGGCTGTGTCTCCACCCACGTTTCACCTTGAATTGTAATAATCCCCACGTGTCAAGGATAGGTCCAGGTGGAGATAATTGAATCATGGGGCAGTTTCCCCCATACTATTCTTGTGATAGTGAATAAGTCTCACGAGACTGATGATTTTATAAATGGGAGTTTCCCTGCACAAGCTCTCTTGCCTGCCACCACGTAAGACATGACTTTGTTTCTTATTTGCCTTCTGCCATGATTGTGAGGCCTCCCCAGCCATGTGGAACTGGAGTCCATTAAGCCACTTTCCTTTATAAATTACCCAGTCTTGGGTATATGTCTACTAGCGGCATGAGAACAGACCTAACAGAAGCATCCATTCAGAATAAAATCACAACAACCAGGGCCTCAGGATTCTATCCCTGCCTTCCCCTCCTACCTCGTCTCTCACCTGTCATCACTCACAGAACACAGCGCACAAAGCTGCCTCGGAGTTCTCATCCTCGCTTACTGCTCCCTCTGCCTGAAATGCCCTAGCTCCCAATTTTACTTGGATGATTCTCTTCCTTCAGTCTTGGCTTAAATATCACCTCCTCAGAGAGGACCTCCCTGATTCAATCCAGAGTTGGTTCCCCATGTTGTTTTCTCTCATAGTGTCATTCTTTTTTCCTTCATGAGTAAAATGTGTAATTATATATTTATTGTTTTCCTTGCATCGTGTCTGTCTCCCTCATTAACTTTAGTCATGCTCTCTGCCCTCATAGAGTTTATTTTTTAACCACTGTCTATACCCAATGCTTTCCACAGGTACACAGAAGGCACAAATCCTAGTTGAGGGAATGAGCTAGAATTTATTACTTGTAAACAAATACTTAGTTTGCAGACACTTGACTTATGTTAATTACACGATTTGAGCCTAACTATATAGAGAGTCACTGAGGTAAGGCTGGTGGGTCGGCCTTTGGGAAGGATGAAAGAAACTGGACTTCATAGTATATACCTGAAGAACGTGGAGAGTGAGAGGTGGTTATGTGAGCAGGAAGGAAACTTATGAACTAGGATCAGCTGCCTCCTGCTTCTGTTTAACATATTCTGGAAAGCTCTGCAGAGAAAACTCAAGGCCTCATTTTGGAACACTTCCTCCCCTCTGTTGCAGCCATTTCCTAAAGAGAGTAACTTATAGTTCTACAATAGGAATAAGACCTTGCCTTCTCAGTAGTTTCTATTGGTGTTTAATACCTTGAATGTGGGCACCACTGAGCCAAAGAAACTCCTTCAGACAAGGGTGTTGTCTCACTATGCTGTTCACAGTTGAAGCAATGAAGGCAAACATATCTGGCCAATTCAGGTCAGGCAGTGATTTGACTCATTGCTGGAAGACTGTGATCAGTCTTTTTCAGCCAATGCCCCTGGTATCTTTGAGATGCTAGGGTGGAAGTGGCTGGGAGAAATCACACCACACCCAGGTGGAGGTGCACCAGGTGCATCACTTCTGGGCCTCCTCCCCAGGACCTGCCGTGCACAAGCGCTTTCCTGCTAGAGTTATACCAATCACAGGCATATCTCAATATGAGAAAATTCTACCTCTGAGTATGTTGAAAAAGGAAAGACTCACATAACACTATTCAAGAAATGTGCAGGCTGGGCGCAGTGGCTCACACCTGTAATCCCAGCACTTTGGGAGGCCGAGGCGGGTGGATCACCTGAGGTCAGGAGTTTGAGACCAGCCTGGCCAACATGGTGAAACCCCATCTCTACTAAAAATACAATAAAATTAACTGGGTGTGGTGGCAGGCACCTGTAATCCCAGCTACTTGGGAGGCTGAGGTAGGAGAATCGCTTGAACTTGGGAGGCGGAGGGTGCAGTGAACCGAGATTGTGCCACTGCACTCCAGCCTGGGCAACAAGAGTGAAACTCTGCCTCAAAATAATAATAATAATAATAATAATAATAATAATAAAGTGCAATTTCTAGATCCATTTCCTAATCAAAATATAGAAGTGGCACAATCAAAATGTATTCCTCCTTTACAAGGAGATGCTACCCCCTGAAAAAGCTGAACCTGTATCCATCTCTGTGAGATAATTATTAACCACAGGTAGTCCTTCAGTTTCAAGTGGCCAGGATCTCACATTTTCCAAACTTAATGTCAAAATGAAACCTCTTAAGTAGCAACCCAAGAATATCGATGGCAACGAATGTCTACTGCCCACTTACTACGTGGAAGCCCTGTGCCAAGCACTTCCCAGGCTTAATCTCATGTAATCTTCTCGGTAACCCTAGGAGGTAGCTTCCATTATTATTCCTATTTTACAGATAAGGAAAAAGTATCAGTGCTCCAAGCCACACAGGTAGGAAAGGGATGAAGAGTCAGGATTTGAACTCAGACACTCTAGGTCCACAGCCCAAGCATTTAAGCCCTGCACTAAAATTTTGCTGTATTGCAGGGCAAATGTGATCATTTATTTCCTATCAACATAACTATGGGACAAATGGGGTGAAACTAAAAGAGAAATATTGAGATCAAGTAGCAGAAAAGAATGCTTGCTAACTGAAAATATTTTTGTTGCGCTAGCTCTGTAAGAACACTGCAATAGCTCACTGGGTTGGGGTGGGGAGAGGGTGTGCGGCAGGAGCATCAGATGTCTTCGGTTACTGGGGTTGCTATGACAAAGGCCTGTTTTCATTAACAAGCATCCAGGACATTGTGTGAACAGCCAAAGTGTACACTGGGGCTTTGGGGTCACTCGTATGTTACTCATCCTTATTTTTGCCAAGTGTGGGGCAAGGATACTTTCAGCCTTTGCTGTAATGATGCACCTGGGGATGGCTCTGAATGGTTTTATTTGCTCTTGTACTGCATGTACTGGTAGAAACAGAGCTGAAGAACAACGCACGCACATGTAGGGAAGGGTCTTTAACAGCACCTTCCAGGGATGAAGAGCTTCGTGGGCAGTAAAGGCAGTTCTCTTGGCAGAACTAGCCTATTTCACTTCAGTTTCTCTCTCCCTTCCTTCTCTGAGACAGAGTCTCACTCTGTCGCCCAGCCTGGAGTGCAGTGGCATGATCTTGGCTTCACTGCAACCTCTGCCTCCCAGGTTCAAGCGATTCTACTGCCTCAGCCTCCCAAGTAGCTGGGACTACGGGGACTTGCCACCCACCCAGCTAATTTTTGTATTTTTAGTAGAGATGGGGTTTCACCCCATTGGCCAGGATGGTCTTGAACTCCTGACCTCATGATTTGCCTGCCTCGGCCTCCCAAAGTGCTGGGATTACAGACGTGAGCCATAACGCCTGGCCTCTCCCTTCCTTCTTGACTGGATTAGGGGATCCTGTGAGTTATGCAGGCTTTCTTGGAAACATTTATCTTTTTTTATTTACACTATTAATACTGTTGAGCTAAAGATTTTAAAAGTTATTCAACAATTTGAATTTTTTCAAGACCCATTTGGTTTTTAAAAGTTTTCAGATCCAAATTACCTCCAATTTGAATACACTTACCCCCAAGTTCTCTGATTCAGAAATAAATATTTTAGGTTTTAATAGGCAGTTTTCAAAGTCAGGTGAACTGGTCATCAAATTTGCTGATGTTCTGGCTTGTCTTAGAGCCATCCCTCTGCTACTCGCATCTTCAAACTTTAGTGTTGAGAAATGCCCTGATGTATCTTGGAGATATGGTTTGGCTCTGTGCCCCCACCCAAATCTCATCTTGATTTGTAATATCCATGTGTCCAGGGAGAGAGGTGATTGGATTGTGGGGGTGGTTTTCCCCATGCTGTTCTCATGATAGTGAGAGAAGTCTCACGAGACCTGGTGGTTTTATAAATGGTAGTTTTTACTGCATTCACATGCTCTCTCTTTCCTGACACCATGTGAAGAAGGTCTTTGCTTCCCCTTTGCCTTCTGCCATGATTGTTAAGATTCCTGAGGCCTTCCCAGCCATGCAGAACTGTGGGTCAATTAAACCTCTTTTCTTTATAAATTACCCCGTCTTGGGCAGTTCTTTATAGCAGCGTGAAAATGGACTAATACACTTGGAGATTCGGAAACTGCTTTTTCTTTCACTGAATTTACCACTGTTTGTTTTTGCTTCATTCTGACCTCCTAAGTTTATGGTAAAATTTACTTCCATGGGCATCTTGTTTGCAGGTTGAGTTGCATTCTTGCTTGCTTATTTTCTTACAATGGCCCAATTCTGTTTACCTGTCTATATTGAAATAATGGGATAAAACACATCTATGTATTTTATGTAAGACAGTGTAATACAGTGGACTTAAAAGGCTGGCTTTGGTGCCAAATAACAGTTCAAACCTGGGCTCTACTAGTTGTTTGATGTTACATGAGTTTTTCTTTTTTCTTTTCCATTCTCTTTTTCTTTTAACTTCCTTGAGCTTCAACTTCTTCATGTACAGAACGCAGCAAGGTGTACCAGCATAACTATGTCACAGGGTTAAATGAGAGGATGCATATAAAGCTCCAAGCACCTTACTGGGCACATGGCAAGTAGTCAACATTTTCTAGACACTTGGGATTAGACTAGGTTTCTCAGGCAGTTAATCTCAAATAATGCCTCTGTTTTGCTCTTCATGAATATTCCTTTCATACGTGAGCTACACAGAACTGGGCTTCCCCAGCGTTCTCTACAGCTACCGCACTTGGACTCCTTCCCATCAGAACTCAGATATGTGAAGCAATTCATCACAGTATATGGGGCAGCAGTCCCGCCAGGAGCTGACAGATAGCCTTCCCCTCCTTGAGAACTCTGTGAAGTGATTCCAAATGCTCTTGGAGACAGTGACTGTGTCTCCACTTTGGTAATTAATGCCCTTCCCATGCCGATGACGATGACCTTGCACAGTCTGTCTTATCTGCCAGGACAGTTCCTGGTTTGTTGCCTACTGAACTGTGCTCAAGGCTTAAGTGACACACATGGATTGCCTGCTTTTTGCCACAGTCCCTAATGTCTCTCAGAGTGTATTTGCTCAACTGCGGGAGGTTAGAGGTCTCTCCCTTATGAAGGTCATAAAATTACTTTTTAAAAATTGAATGATTATTTTTGGACTTTTAATCCTAGATACTTAGAATTTTACATTTCAATTTGAAACATCTAGAATTCCAAACATGTTGAATTTCAAATTAACATCTTGTTTATTAAAAGAACCATTTTTATTCTTCCAGCTGTTATTTTTCTTTTCCTAATGAATCCATAATTTGCTGTTATGGCTAAGATATCTTCAAAAGGCTCAGAGCTGTTCTCCAACACATTAACATATATCCACTCAGACAGAAACCATCTCAATCTTGAAAGCACTTAACTTACTGACATGCTGTCCCACTTTCAAATCCCACTGACAGTTTCTTCTTTACCATTAACCCAACCCTATCATCACCTCTTTGGTCATCACAGAATTTTACAGGTGATCGTGACATGTAACTGATGATCCTTACCTGTAGTTATTTAATCTAAATTACCATTTCCACCCATTCAGATGTCCAGGGTAACAACAGTGACCCAATAATTATGAACTGAACTCAATAACCCAATGGGTCAGAAGCCTTGTTTCTGGAATTCTTTATGAGAGTTACAGTAAAAAAAAATTACTCTCTGGTCTATGTTATAAATGCATACAATTTCAAATATTTATCACCAAAGGTAAGCTCACTTCTACAGAATAAAGGAAACAGCAAGGACTTATGGCTAACATACTAAAAGCAGGTACAATTTATTTACTTTCATTTAAGCACCTTTTCCTTGCAGAAAAACCAACTCGAAAGTGCAGTTGGAGAAATTCAGTTCTTCCTTTTGATGCTATCTTTGGCATCTTCTGATGCCATCTTTGGCATGGAGGTGGGGTGAGGTGAGATGAAGAAAGCAGGCAAGGTAGATAGATACAGAATTATATATGGTAGTGATCGCTCAGAGTATTTTGCCAGTAAGATGAGGCAAGTAGGTGAAACCTTATTTTGGCAAAAGGAAGAAAGGAGCCTTCGGTAAGAACCTTCTTGTTGATATGGCTGTTCTCATTCAGTCTGTCATGATGAAGGGGTCCATTTACTCTATAGTTATCTCCCCAGCACACTTTCATGTCTTTACGTTTGATTTCAACAACGATTTTTACTTTCCACACACACACACACAAATAACAAAGAGATGCCTCATTAGAAGACTAGCAGTTCAACAGGAGAGATAAAACATGGCATTTAATTACAAATAAGTAGCCAAATGCTTTAAAAAGCACATCTTTTTGTTTTCTTCATGAAATCTCTTTGAAAAGCCCTCTAAATACCTTTCAGCTATTTTTCCCCTATGCCTTGATTTTGTCCATCTGTCCTACCATTCAGAAGGCACAGTCACAGAACAAAAATTAATTGAAGACATCCTCTTCCGTTTCCATTACAGGTCTTATTATTCTTCAAATACTAACCATTAAAAACACTTACCAGAGCTCTGCCGGTTGAGTAAGTAGATAAATGACATTTTCCATTTACTTTCCATTATGATCCACCATGCACATGGGTCGCCTAGAAGGACAGTGCTGGGAAGCACTTTGTAGCCCCTGCCCTCCCCCCATTCAGCAGGAGCAGGGATGCAACAACTATATTCATCTAATTTGCATTTATCCAAAGCCATGCTCTAAGGAGAGAAACTACAGGCATCTGGCAACTAGATCAGAATGATCTTATGAACACTGATGGGACAACTACTGATATAAGGTGACTGACACCTTATACTAAGTCCTGTTGATGTGGACAGTACCTGCCTTGGGTTTTTGTTGAAGTTCACTAGACAAGGTGGGGATAACAGCTGCAGAAAAAGGAATATTTTAAAACCTGCACATACTGAATGCCCACTGCTAAGCAAAGAAAGAGTGAAATCAACTCCTTTGGAAAAAAGAATTTTGTGTTTGGAGAGGAGGCAGGAGGGTGCTGTGCGCACACACCACTTCTCTGGGGACAGTTTCACAAATGCCATCAGCCGTTATTACATGAAATCTTTCCAGTATAAATCTTTACACCTCTACATTCAGCTGTCTGATGAACTGTAAAGACACACTCAAAAGGATGAAATACTTGGACGAAGTGAAAGCTGGGAGTAAAACAGTATGTATTGTAGTGACATGAACAAAACAAAAATCAAACACCACTAACATTACTTGCTTGTTCTTGACAGACATAAAGCCTCAAATTAGCTCCTTTAAAAATATACACATGGTATTTGTTCGGTATATTATAGATTGACAAGTGCATATGTTATAATTGGTGAATATTAGTTTCAAAGAAAAAAGTCACACCCATTTTGTAGGTCAGTCAATTCATGCTTTAACCTCCAAAGGCATGGCTGAGAAAAACTCCCTTTTAGAATGAAAGCAAGTGACACCCCCCAGATTATTACAGACTTGGTCCTGGGAATACCATGTGCTTTGTGTATAATGAATTACACATGCTCAGTACTGAGTTTTACCTGTAGACAAAATTTGCTATTCATAGAAAACTTCCAAGTGAGTGGAACCAGAATACGTTTTTCTTAGGTAATTCTATTTTCATCATTTTCTTTTACCTGTAATTCAGGCAAAAGGAAAAGATGGAGCTCATTCTCAATATAGATAACAAAAATGACTTTCCTGCTATAGATTTTACTTTCCTCTACAACAAAACCAGGATTTATTTCTGCAGCACAGAGTACTGAATGTCCCTGCAAGGAAGACAGTTTATCTAATAACTAAGGGTACTGAATTTTAAGTGGTGGAAAATGAGCTGCTGTGTAGCCAAAAGTACTTAAAAGATAACATATCTGTGACTTGAGAACTGCATTGCTTTGGAGTTTTCTGGAATCTTAAAGGTACTGGTGAGCCATTCTTCAATCGCCAACGGGTGAAGGGAGACCTTGCCACACAGCCCATTTTCTCTGCCAGGTCCCCAGCTGTTTACAACTTTCTGTGATGGAGCTAAAGTTGACTTCATTGATAGTTACAGCTGGATAATAGGAATCAGATGTCCCTTTTGAACAACAAGATAGGAGGAGAGAAGTTATTGAAAACAGACCTCTCTCGCTCCCTCTCTGTCTCTCAAGATGCTCCAAATCTCTTAAGCTTAAAGGTCTGGGGCAAACTAAAAAATTTCACACTTGATGATGGCATTTTTCTTCAAGTCATGAAAATGTATTACTTGATTGTAGACACAGGCTAACAAAATGTAATACTATTTAACAGTATACTACTGGAAAAAATAAGAAAAAAAAACTATTGAAAAAGTGGCTTCTTGCCAAGTGGAAGCACTTAATTCTGAGCAACACTCATTTAAAGTGGGGACAATCTTTGGCTGTTCCTCTGGATTCATGTGACTTTGACTTCACCGTGTGTGGAAACTCTGCCACTGGAGCTGAAACTTTAACACAGAATGAAGATTGTATGAAAAATACATCATATCATAGGAACCCAGTATCACGGGACAACGCAAGGCACTGAGGCCTGGGGTCAAGAACTGAAGTGTGCAGTTGGCTTGCTGTTTATGACAGCCTGTGCAGTCTCAGACATGCTGCTGTATCTGTCCATTTTTGGTTTTTTTTTGAGACAGGGTCTCACTCTGTTGCCCAGGCTGGAGTGCAGTGGCATGATCTTGGCTCACTGCAGCCTCAACCTCCCCAGGCTCAGGTGATCTTCCCATCTAAGCCTCCTGAGTGGCTAAGAATACAGGCACGCACCACCATCCCTCACTAATTTTTGTATTTTTGGAAGGGTACATATGGGGTTTTGCCATATTGCCCAGGCTGGTCTCAAACTCCTGGGCTCTAGTGATCTGCCCACATTGGCCTCCCGACGTGCTGGGATTACAGGCATGAGCCACCATGTCCAGCCCATCCGACTTCATTCTATCAATGAGGAAACTCAGGGGGTTGACCTCTAAAAGGTTCTCTTCTACTCTAAGCTTCTATACTTCTGTCTTTTCCATCGTGCAAAGAAAGAAGGTGAAGGTTTAACAAAAATAGAAACTCAAACTCTTCTTATCCTTAGCGCAGTTCTGACAGGCACAGAATGTACAGGCACACAGCCCAGCCAAAGTGCTGCAGTGCAACCCTGAATTGTTAGCAGAGCTACAGAACAGGTTTCATCTGGGCTGAGATGAGATTGTAGAAAGTCGCTTCTAGTTTAACAGGCCAAGGTTTCCACTGATTCTCAGAGACCCCTAAAGACGGTCAGGTACACTGTGCATGCAGCATAATCTCCAGCCTGGCTGTTCCTCTGCCGGGCTGGTTGAGTCCTCTCCCTTCCCCTGCAGGATGCCCCGGGCAGGTGGTGCGTCTCTCTTCCTTACACTCCATCAGTGGCCCCCTGACAACAGCCTTAGCCAGTATTTAATGTTCTCCTTCTTCTGCTTCTTTCGGGTTTTTCTCTCACTGTCCCCTTGCAGTATAGCAGGATGAATATGAGTGAAGGGCTCACGGAAACATGGTTTTCAATCCTAGCTCTTCCACTTACCAGTAGAGTAACTCTGGAGAAGTTACCTAACTATGATGGGTCTCAGTCTCCCCATCTGTAAAATGGGAATAAGATTAGCTACCTCGCAGGAATTCTTAGGGAGAGGAAATGAGATTATACGTAAATCCCCCAGTCTCCATAGAGTAGGTGCCTGTTCTCAGTTTCTTCCTTTCCCACTTCACTGTTCTTTTGTTTTTTTTCTTGAGACAGAGTCTTGCTCTGTCATCCCGGCTGGAGTGCAGTGGCGCAATCTTGGCTCACTGCAACCTCTGTCTCCAGGGTTCAAACAATTCTCCTGCCTCAGCCTCCTAAGTAGCTGGGATTACAGGCGCCCACAACCATGCCTGGCTAATTTTTATATTTTTAGTGGAGACGGGGTTTCACCATGTTGGCCAGGGTGGTCTTGAACTCCTGATCTCAAGTGATCTGCCTGCCTCGGTCTCCCAAAGTGCTGGGATTACAGGCGTGAGCCACTGTGCCTGGTCTCACTCTTCCTTTCTTGAGTGAAACCACTCCCTACCCAAGCACTGCCTTTCCCGGCTGCACACTTCACATCTCCTCATCAGGTCCACCACTTTCTCCTCATCCCCTCATGGGCAAATCTCAGCCAGCCTCCAAAAATCAACTCCAAGACCACTTCTCCCAGGAAGCGACCCTGGAAACCTTTTCCTCATCTGACATTCCAAGGAGCATGGCCTACATGAGCCATAGCCTGGGATGGGTTTCTGTACCACTCTTATAATTATTTATCATCTTTTCTTGCCTATGAGGCTGGATCTGCCACATCCAGCCCAGCTCTATACCTGGGTGCTGAGCAGATACTTGTGCAGTGAACAAACGTGGCAACACGGGACCAAAAGATAGCTTCTGATGTGCTTGCTTGAACAGACACAAAGCTTTAGCTGCTGCTCTGAATGAAAACATCCATCCAAGAAGACAACAGCCAGAGTCAGTGTGAGAGGCGCTTGTGGTGTGAGAAAAGCATCTGCTTTCTGCAGGAGCCGAAGAAGTTATGTGAGAAAAGCAGCCCAGGGGAAAAGCAACAGAAGCCTGGGCCCAGGACAGTGGCTTCGAGCCCCAGCCTAGACACAATGCCAACCTGCAGAGACGGAGACCGTCCTGTGCGTCGAATCAGACTTTTGGAATAAAAGAAATCGGATGAAGAACGCCGAATGTTTGGCAGCTGCCATGAAACATGAGAAAAGGGAAGAACGAACACAGAAATAGCCTCAAATCAGAAGAATTATTTTAAAAAATAAAACAAAACAACAACCACCTTAGGTAAAACTAACTTGAGAGTAAACATCAAGTGGGATTCTTTCATTGATGTACATGTGGATTTTTGGGCCCATGTTTAAAAGCATATTAACTGGTCTTCAAGTTACAGTAAATTTATCTAAGCTCCAACCTCCTTCAATTCCTCTCCATTTATTTTGGCTTAGACATTCTTACAATATATAAAGGGTAAGAAAGCCAGTGAAGCCAACTGAGAGCCATCCTTGAGAATCTGTTGTTACAAATGCCCCATGAGTTCTTAAATATAAAAAATGTGGACTACCCAGTGGGTTGCTGAAAGATTCTTAAAACATTTTCATTTTGCTATGGAAACTGCACTAATGTGACATGCAGTGAAAGGCCTGGAAATCTTGGCTCAAGATTTGTGATGTGTAGACACACCCTCAAGAGAGCACAAGATGTATTTCTCTGTTCAAAACGTATTCCCTTTAAACCCTACCAACATCAGTGTGAACCCCGGCTCTGGGTACGTGGGAGCCTCTTCCTCACTTCTGAGCTTTCCAAAGACAGTGACCCAGAGCACTGTCCTGACCTCCCACGTAGTGAATGCTGGGTTTAGGAGAAGAGCTTTAGAATTCTCTGGAAGTCTTACTAAAGGAAGAAAACAATAGCTCCTCTTGGCCAGAATGGGTGGAAGTATTTCACTAGTTGTTTTCATAAGCTTATCCAGAGAGTTTTCCATCAAGATGTTATCAGAGTGTTGTTGGTTTTTAAAAATCATTTTAGTCACATGATTTGCAAACTCAAGCAATCCTGATACAGAAAAGACCCACATTCCACTCAGTCTGGCCTCATTAGCATTCCTCTCTTCATCTCCCAAACGACTTCATCAGAGATGAAGTTAAAATGATTATTAGAAAACCTAAAAGCAACACTGGAGAGAGAGTACAAACTACTATAGCTACTGGGGTGGTTTCTGGGCAGCATCCTCAAGCTATGCTGTGAACTTTACATTCTTACGATAAAAGTCACAATAAGGATGATCATTTATGTTCTCATATTTTATAAAGGTAACTCATTTCCAAAGCATCCATAGTTTCTCAAAAATCCCAGAGTCTAGAGCCCACAACCAGGTGACTACGCCTGTGTGTGACTATCCGGCTGATGGACTTCAGGACTCTGTGTGTCAAAAACAGAGCGCAAAACCACCCTAAGCTTGATGGGCGAATTCCTCTTTGGCTGTTCTTACCTTTATTTAATTATTCAGAGAAAAAGTGTTTTTTTTTCCCCCTCAACTTAAGTATGTTCACAATAATTGTGCATTCTAAAAGCACTGCATTTGTTCAGGGTCACAGGCAAGGGACAAGTTCCTAAAATATCCAAATGGTAAAATGTCTCCCTCTGATTGATGGATGCGAATTGAGGAGGAAAAGAAAAAACAAAAAACAAAGGAAAAATATCTCCTGTGCATACGTGTGGTTCATTCAGAGAATAAAGCAAACACACTAGGAAAATAAGAGCTGTAATTCCCAGGGCGGCAGGCAAAGGGATCTGAAAAAAGGCAGAGCGAATGGGTCTCGTTGATAATCATTGCTCCAAAGCCAAGTCACCCCTTCACAAGTCACACATCAGTGACTAGACCCCATCAGTAAACTGGTCGTGCTGCTGCTGGGGATTGCATACATAGCTTCTGATGCCTGGTAATGGCAGATCGAGAAGAGATTACACTATGCACTAGAATCTGGCCTCCAAAATAAATCCAGGCCATTCTTTTCCCTGAGACAGTAAATAGGGTGAAGTTAAACTCCAGTTTTTCCATGGGTACCACTAAGTTAGGTTAACCCAAGGCACTGGGATTCATTCAGTCTGATTATTGCACTGAAAAATACTTCCTAGCCCGTGTGAAAAATAGGGCATCTGAACAGGACAGAGATTATGATCACAGTTTTACAACTGTGTACAGCGCTTTGCTTCTGAAACATAAAATACTGCCATCTGGAGGTGTTCCGAGAATTGACTAATTTACCTGTCTTGGTTGGTTATTATTTTCCCCAAAGGTTTTATCTGACAAGCCATCAGCTTTTAGAGTCTATTCTGGTGAATTTGGATCCAGTAAATGAGAGACCAGTAAAATGTGCCAATGTAGAGCTGGGGTCAGAGTAGTGCATTATAGACTAAGCACCAAAACAGTCTGGTGAGGTCAGCAGATGCTGCACCTGGAACCTGATGAGTCGTTGTTTTCCCATCTGCATGATTTGACTTTTCTCTTGAATGCTTTTCTAAGAAGCTGACTAGTAAGGCCAAGGCTTACTTTGTCTAACACAAGCATTTGGAATAAAAACCACAGTACGTTTAAGGTAAGAGGGGAACCCTTTCCCTAGCCAAATGGCCTTTGAACTTAGTTTGCTATAAGGGAAAAAGTCAGTAAAAAGTAATTTCACCTAAACCCTAGCCCCAAGAATTAGTGACCACGAGCGTATGGCCTACAAATGCAGCTGGCATCATGTTTTAATTGTGTCCTTACCCGCAGCTTTTCCTCGGTCTTCGTAGATTGCTTACAGTCGGGATGCCAAACGGTGGAGCCTGAGAAGACAGAATGCACTACTAAGAGCCAGGAAAATGGAAAGATACAAAGTCCTCTGAGACAGCACTTCTGAGAATGGCTCCTATCCCTCTTTCCCCATCATAGGAAGGTGTTATTGCTTTATGTCCAAGTGAATCATAACACAAAAATCAGACATGTCCAAAGCCTAAGTGAGTTTTCCTGATCTAGCCCAAGCTTGTTTGATAAAGGTCATAATTCTAGACCACAGAGACCACCAACTGGGCATGAGTCTTTTGATGCAAGAGATATTTAGTTCTTAATCGTGTCTTGTTATTTTTAAACCTTATTATCATCCTTTAAAAGGAATGCCTGAGTGCTTACTACAAGCTGCATTTAATTTAAAAAATAATAGCTATTGTTTATATAACATCAAAACAACCAAGCAGTTTAGTTGACGGGAATAAAGTCAACCAGATAGTCTATGTCCAGAAGCAAGACTTACTGAATTTTTCATTGATTCAATTATACATAGTCACCTACAGAGAAATGAGAAACCAACTAGTAGAAAGGGTGAAAGTTAAATTATAAATCCAAAAATTGCCTTTGGCCTTCAATCTTTTAAGTAATTTTCTAAAAAGTCTTTGCTTTTAAACTAGTGAAGTAACTATTTAGGTGTTATTTTCTGTTCCTGAGTCAACAGTCTCACTTTCTCATATTATGAAGCACTTTAATGCGTGGTACCAGCATCACAGAATTAAACAAAACACTTATCTCCAATAGAAGCTCTTATAAGAATCCAATGCCTGCTCATATGATTTTGTATGACTAGATACATATCAAATATGTCATTTATATGATTATGAGTAAGGCTGATATGTCCATGTAAGGACACATTCAAGTGTGGGGATGGACAGAACTTAAATGAGCACTTAAGAAGACTTAAGAAAATAAAGTTACTATGTTGAAAGCATAAATTACATAAATAAAATTCACAGTATGAATATCAGAGTTTCCACATTTCATGACTTAAATCTTTACCTCATTTTTTTTTCTTTTGAGACAGAGTCTTGCTCTGTCTCCCAGGCTGGAGTGCAAGTGGCACAATCTCAGCTTGCTGCAACCTCTGCCTCTCAGGTTCAAGCGATTCTCCTGCCTCAGCCTCCCAAGTAGCTGGGGTTACAGGCATGCACCACCATGCCTGGGTGATTTTTGTACTTTTAGTAAAGACAGGTTTTCGCCATATTGGCCAGGCTCTTTGGAACTCCTGACCTCAAGCGATCCACCCACCTCGGCCTACCAAAGTGTTGAGATTACAGGCGTGAGCCACCACACCTGGCCAAAATCTTTATCTCTTTTAAGCAACAACCTGTGCATACTTGAAAAGTAACCAAATTAAAATAACTCATGAGTTATTTCACACCACTGAGCTTAACTAATATCAAATTAATGGCAAGAAAAAATACATTTTATATCAGCATAATACTTTAATCCTTATTTAACAATCATTTTTTCCATCTTCTTAACCCAGGGCCAAAATAAACAAACAAAAAATTCAAACAAAAAGCAGACAGACGTATAGGTCCCTTCAGCACTAACTCTGGCTCAAAGGCTAACTACAAAGCACAGGAAATCCTCTGAATGCAGAGGGCCCAGGGGTCAGGTGCAGGCTCAGGAGAAGCATTCGCCGTGAAGGTTCTGCTGAGCAGGAGTCACTGGCCAGGACACCGGGTCTGCGCACAATGGCACTATTGTTCTCCAGAGGTCAGGCACACAAGGAATGTGACTCGGACAGAACATCAGATGCTGAAGAAGATGAAACTGCTCTTTCTTCAAAGATGTGCCGAGAGGGCACACAAAGGCTACGGAAGCACAACTCCAGAAGGTTTAGAGCAATCCCTGGAATTCCAAATGCAGCCTCAACAGATAGCCATTTATTTGTAGCCCGAATGTGCTGCATTTGTGCACTGCTTGAAACCTTCTCTCTCCAGCCTCCAGAACCACTCTGAATTGCAGAGCTGCACCCGGAGCCTCTGAGTCTGTTTCTAGCAGAGACAGGGTTGATTGGCACTCCTGTGTCTTTGCTTTTGAGTGCTAGAATTGACATGCTAAAATCTAAGCCCACAGACCAAATAAAGAATAAATCTGCTTTGTGCTGAGAAATGCAAAGTGACACCTGCCTATTGCCACTGCAGATGTAAGGCCTGTTGTCCTTGGGAAAACGTGTCATATAAATCCCGCATGAGGCCACAGATGCGGGTGCTTGTCACTTGCCTTCATAAGGCCTTTCAAAATTCCGTGATGTTTTTAATCACAGTTTTTCAGAGTGATCATTCTAAAGCCAAAAAGAAGTTTGGGTTGTCAATTTCTCATGTAGCTAGCCTTTTTTAAGGGGAGAGTAGCCAGGCTTTGCTTTAATACTCAAGAATCCTTTCTGTAGACTTTCCTAAGTTGCCTAAAAACAAAATTGAGAGAGCAAAGTGAACAACTCATTACAGGTACACATAGTGCCATGTGCAAAGAGAAATCAAGAAATGACATGCACAGGTAGTTGAGACCCAGTAATTACCACAACGGAACGAGCAATAGCTCTTATGGGTTTTGCTAATTTTATTAATAAACCCTTGTTTGATTAATAACTCTTTTCCAGCTAAAAACAGTAAAATGCTTACACAGATGGTGCTGTTTGACTAGAAGAGAATCCTCTCTCAAAGCCTCTCTGAGAAGTTCCAGAATTTCAGAGAACATAAAAACTGATCATATATATATATATATAATCAGTTTCATAAAAACTATGATCATATATATATGGTCCTTTATATATATATGTATGCTTATTTTTTTTGTCTTTTTTGTTTTTTTTCTTCCTTTTTGTGGAGAACGGGGTCTCGCTATATTGCCCAGGCACGTCTTGAATTCCTCAGCTCAAGCTATCCTCCCGCCTCTGCCTCCCTGAGAGCTGGGATTACAGGTGTGAGCCACCACGCCCGGCATATATATGTGTGTGTGTGTGTGTGTGTGTGTGTGTGTGTGTGTGTATATATATATATGGTCTATTTTATATATATATATAAAATAGAGTTGAGGATTCCCTATGTTGCCCAGGATGGTCTTGAACTCCTCGGTTCAAGCAGTCTTCCCAACTCAGCTTCCCAAAGTGCTGGGATTCCAATGGCTCCCTGGTAAAAAGTACCTCTTTGACACCAGAAATTTCTCTTTCAGAGAGTGGGTTCTCTCTTGTTATCTCCTATTCTCTCTCTGTCTCTCTCTCTCTCAATATAAGAGCTAATCAACTTAATGGGGTGAAACAAGTCTGTGACGTAATTCATCAAATATGAGATTTTCTTTTTGAAAACCCAGAGAACAGCAGCCTGGGAGGCCTCAAAAAGCCCTTCTCACAGGAGAGTAAAAGGAGAAAAAAAGTAGCCATCAAATAAGTAACATTTCTAGAAATTTCTAGAAATTATTTTAATCTTTTGTTTCCTAAGCATATTCCTGGGGAGAGTTGGAGAGGAGATATTGCTGATTTTCACTCTTCCCTCACATCCGAGCCATCAAATGTCGAGTTCCATTCATTTGATTAAGGCAGCATCACAAGTTCATTCGTGAACAGCCTGAGGGGCTCACTGCCAGCATGTCAACTGCTTGGCTGATTAATACTAACTGATGAGGTAACTTTTGGCCATAATCTTCTTGGATTTGGGTAGCCTCACAGCTAATAACATGCCTCCTTCTCTAAAAACAATCAAACAAACATAGCAAGATTTCCTTTCCCCCAGCAAGGAAAACTTCTAGTGTTCTTGAGTCCACCTCACCTTGAAGATACATTTCCTCTCCTTCTGTGAACATCTGGTTGCATCTGCTGCATCGTGCACAGCTGGGGTGGTAATGTTTGTCACCTGCCTGCAAGAGAAAAGGTAGGGAACGTTGAGTCTGCTCCTTGTCATGGATTCCAGAATCTTTTCTGGACTTGATGATTTAGAAGAAAAGAGAGGATGCTGAAAAAGGAAAAATAATTGTCTAATTGACCAAACTTCCTACACCAACAGCCCCGGAAGCTAAAGCCAACTTCACTGAAATCGGGAGGGGCTCCAAGGCCAGCTACTCGTGGCTGCCTGGTGGGGCTGCCTTGCCTCTCGGTGTTTCTGGCTTCTATGTCTCCCTCTTGACCTGGATGGCTGCCACTAACACACCATATGCCTGAGATGAGTCACTCCATCTCCCCAAAACCCCACCTTGTTGGGAGCTAATGCTGTTTCTAACAAACCAACCAAAAATAAATGACCCTTATATTTAGCAGGTTCTTGCTTTCTTGGCTAAACAATCTGAAAATAATAAAATCTACCCCAATGGCATCAAGGTGAGAAAAGCTATAGTAAAATACATCATCCACTGTTTTTATCTCAAGGGGGGCCCTAAGTCTCCTCTATGCAGCTTGCAACAATCTTTTGCCAGTGGCTTACATGAAGAGTTTTCTGGAGAAGGCATTTTACTAAGGTGGCTGTGCATTATTCATGTGCATTTCACATTCCTAAATATGACAGATGCCATCACAGCAGGTGTTGACTTCCCCAAAGCAAAGTGTCACTGGATACAGGGACAATTTTCTAGACAGGTGCCAAATCACATTAGAGTCATGCTCCACATACATGCTTGACAAGAACAAATCCTTTCGTTCACAGCCTAGCAAAAAATCATCACCACCTAAGAACTCTCAGATGGACTCTGATTAAATCATTTCCATCAATCCACCATCAAAACATTTATTCTGCATTAACCATGTACAAGGCAGTGGCCGAGAAAGAGTTAAAAATGACTGTATCCTGCATCAGAACCTGCATGAAACTGCAACAGGAAATCAGATGTCACGTGGTAATTCCTTTCTCATACTTTCCTGTAAAAACTACAAGATCCACTTAGCAACCAGCACGTGAGGTGGTGGTTAGCCCTTTAAGATAATCAGGTGGAAAAAAAAATTGAAGTTATTTAAATTAGAAGTTAGGAATAAAAATCTTTTCAGTGGTGCCTGCCAGAAAATTCCAGAAGTGGTGCTCTTGTCCTCGTCCACATGCTACTTTTTATTTATTTGTAAAATTTTTTACTTTTCTGCAGAAGGAAGGGTAGGGCTGGAGGAGAGTGGCGAGAGAAGGCGGGAAATATCAACACAAAGTAGCTCCTGCCTGTAGGACATCTGAAGTCAAATGTGAGCAGAAAGGAGGAAGAAAGAAGACATTACTCAGTCCTAAGTGCTCAGTTCTAAACCAGGTTCGCTCAGCTAGGATGCCAGTGCTGGGAGGCCCAAGTTAGTCCGGGCAATCTCTGGACTCTTAAGGAAAATGTTAAGTGAAAAAATAAAGGCCCCTTGGCAAGACCATGGTGTCGTCTGCAGTGAAAAGCATACCTCCTGGTAAGCTACAAATAGAAAGAAATGTCTTCAAGCTGATCAAGTGTATTTATCATATTTAGTGGTGAAACGTTCGAGGCATTCTCATTAAAGACAGGAACAAGACAAAGGTGTACACTTTTACCAATATCATTCTACATCATTTTCCTCCTGGCCAATGTGATGTCAAGAAAAATAAGTATAAAGATCACGAATACAAAAATTAAGTCATATGGCTAGATAAAAAATTAACATATAAAAACCATTATTTCCTATTCACTAGCAATAAAAATTAAGTAAATGTAATGGGAAAATGGGATCCCATTTGTAATAACAACTAATAAACCCTCCAATGCAAGATCTACACAAAGCAAATTATGGAACTTAACTGATGAACATAAAAGACCTAAATAAAAATGTATGATATTTCTAGATGGAGAAACTAAATATTGTAAAGATGCTGATTTATCAAAAATGAACCTATTAATGCAACACCCAGTCTAAATACCCACAGGAATTTTCTCTATAGACCTTGACAGGCTGCTTCTGTAAGTTTACGTGACAGAATAAATGCACACACAAAAAATACACTTTTTTGTGAAAGAGAACAGCAATAAGGAAGGATTTTCCCTTCCTGTCATAAAATTTTTTTCTAAGTCTAAAATAATTAAAGTACTTTAGTATGGGCATGGGAGTAGAAAATAAATCAACAGTAGAGAAGAGAGGAACCAGTTGCATAGCCATACATACAAGAGAATTCAGTTTATGATAAAGGTAATGGTTCAAATGAGCCGAAAGAATGGATTAATAAATAGAGAGGACAACTGGTTCTCCACTTAGAGAAAGATAAATCTAGATTCCTAAGTCACAACCTATACAAAAATCAATTCCAGTCTGGGCGTGGTGGCTCATGCCTCTAATCCCAGCACTTTGGGAGACGTAGGCAGGAGGCTCACTTGAGCCCAGGAGTTCAAAACCATCCTGAGCAAAACAGTAAGACCTTGTCTTTACAAATAAAATAAACAAAATTAGCCAGGCATGGTGGCTTACGCCTGTAGTCACAGCTACTTGGAGGCTGAGGTGGGAGGACTGCTTGAGCCTGGGAGGCTGAGGCTGCAGTGAGCTGAGATCATGCCACTGCACTCCAGCCTGGGTGACAGAGCAAGAGTCCATCTCAAAAGCAAACCAAACCAAACAACAACAACAACAACAACAAAACCAGAAAACAACCCCAATAAAGAAGTACTTACAATACTGAATCACATGTAGCCATTACAAGACTGATGTAAACTCATATGTACACACATGGAAACAGTTCAAGCTAATATTACCAAGAGAAAATAATCAAGTGGAAAAATCATGCCTATAAAATAACCACATAAGCTAGTGGCCAAAGCTGTTGAGACACTAGGGTAAGTCTGATTGGATTCAAATCCAGTTTCAGTATTGTGTGATCTTGTGCAGGTGACAATCTCTCTAATCCTCAGCTTCCACATCAATAAAATGGGTAGAAATAATAGAACTTACCCCACGCAGTTGATGAGAGCACTATTAGGAACCTAGTATATTGCCTGGCACCATGTTAAGTGCTTTAAAAGCCTAATTTTCTTCAACCCCCTCATCAATCCTGTAAGGCAGACACTCTTATGATTATTTACATCAACGAGGACACACATGTATATGTATATTGATCTTATATGTGTGCCCTTCTTAGAGAGAAGACAGCGAGAATATACAACTAGTTTGCTGTGGTTACCTTTGGAGCAAGAGGTGAGAGTCAGGAAGAAGTAAAGGAAGGGACCCTCACATTCTCCTTTGCAGCTATATCATCTCAACCCTTTATAACAAAAATATATTTTTGTGTTGCTGTGTAATAAAATAAAGACCAAGAGGAAAAAAAAGTCCATTTCTTTTGGAGCTGTGACACCTGAACTAGAGTGTTTACCCCAGCCCGTACTGGAAATGGGATCTTGGGCAGATCACAAGCTCTTGGAACCTCTATTGTAAAGTAGAGATGATGATGGTGATGATGGTGGTGGTGATGGTGATGATGATAATGATGATGGTGAGTGGTGCTGGGGTGGTAATGATGATGATGATGATGATGATGGTAGTGATGGTGATGGTGATAATGATAGTAGTGGTGATAATGGTGAAGGTGATGGTAATGATGGTGACAGTGATGACAACAATGAAGACAATGATGGTGATGATGATGGTAATGATGATATTGTGGTGACGATGATGTGGTGGTGATGACGGTGCTGCTGCTGCTGCTGCTGCTGACATTGATGGTAGTGCTGGTGATGATACTGTGATTATTCTGTGTCAATTACTCTTTTACGTACTCCATAAACATTTAGTCAATTTGTGTCACAATAACCTAAGAAGGCAGGAAGTATTATTATCCTTATTTTAAAGATGAGGAAGCTGAGGCCTGAAGAGATTTTATAACTCCTTTACAGTCACAGTTAGAACTGGTGGGACCAGGATGCAAACCCAGGCAGTCTGGCTCTGGAGTGAGTGTTCTTACCCAGTACCACCACTAATAACCATACAGTATGTCACTGCTGTAACTACCTCACAATGATACTGGTGTGATGACCAAAAGACATTTTGAAAATGGTGTGACACATTGCACAAAGTAATAACAATAATGATACGAATAACAATGTAATAACTCTCTGCTCAGAGACAGTCCCAAGGTCATTCACAAAAAGAAGGCACATTAGTGTGGTTTGGATGCCAGTAAAAGGCTCTCTGGATGCCCTGGGCAGGCATAGGAGAGTCACTGTGTTCTATTAACTCACAAGATGAAGGGAAATTACATCAACTTATAAGAGTTCTATCAACTCACAAGATGAATGGAAGTTACATCAAGGCCCCATGTGGCAGGACTTCGCTCTATAAATCATTAGTAAAAACACTGCTACATATACACCATGGAATACTATGTAGCCATAAAAAGGAATGAGATCATGTCCTTTGCAGGGACATGGATGAAGCTGGAAGCCATTATCCTCAGCAAACTAACACAGGAACAGAAAACCAAACACTGCATGTTCTCACTTACAAGTGGGAGCTGAACAATGAGAACACACGGACACAGGGAGGGGAACAACACACACTGGAGCCTGTTGGGGGAGGGTGGCGGGGGAAGAGCATTAAGAAAAAGAGCTAAGGCATGCTGGGCTTAATACCTAGGTGATGGGTTGCCAGGTGCAGCAAACCACCATGGCACATGCTTACCTATGTAACAAACCTGCACATCCTGCACATGTACTATGGAACTTAAAAATAAAATAAAATAATTATATAAAAAGAAAACACTGCTAAAAAACCTAACCCTAGCCCATTGTAATGCCAGGGATGTCTTGACCTATGTATTTCCTTCATCCCAAGATGCTGAACATGTCAAGACATTCGGTGAGCCAGAGTCAAAAGGCATTGAGGAGTCGTTCTGTTTTTGCAGCAGTGCAGGCTTGAGAGGCTCCAGGGTCAGATGCTCAAGACAAAGGAGGCCCTCCTTCGCATGTGTGAGACACCCTTCTGTTTCATTTCTCCTTACATAGGCACCCATGATGGTTCACAGAGAAGCCATGTGCACAAGGCCAGGAAAAGTAACAGAGCTGAACACAGACGGCAGTGCATATGCAAATTTACCAAAAATCAGATGTTGCTGAATCAAAATCATTTAAATTGGAGTTATTTTTAGGAGAAGGAGAAGTATTTCAGATCATGAGCAAAATGAAAGACTAAATAGCGCTCATATAAGAAACAGATAATAAGCTTGCAATTCACTGCAGAGAGGATGCTGTTGACTATAAACTTTTAAAGCCCAGCAGGAGCTTTGTTGTGGCAGACAACGGCATGAAGGTTGGTTTACCAGATACCTGGCCCCAGGCACATAACTGGCAGCCGTCCTGCCTGAGCCTGAGTGGCCAGCGGTGCTGCTAGAGAGCTCACCAGAGCGCCATCACTGCTCTTCCCCATCTATCTTTGTACCCTGCTCCTTAAAAAAAATCACGTCCCCATTTCTGGCCGGGCGCGGTGGCTCATGCCTGTAATCCCAACACTTTGGGAGGCCGAGGCGGGCAGATCACGAGGTCAGGAGATCGAGACCATCCTGGTCAACACGGT
Organism: Homo sapiens; assembly: GCF_000001405.40. Lineage (NCBI taxonomy): Eukaryota > Metazoa > Chordata > Mammalia > Primates > Hominidae > Homo > Homo sapiens. The sequence continues at coordinate 114,497,499 of NC_000010.11, forward strand.
GAAACCCCGTTTCTACTAAAAAAAATATTAAATATTAGCCAGGCTTGGTGGCGGGCGCCTATAGTCCCAGCTACTTGGGAGGCTGAGGCAGGAGAATGGCGCGAACCCGGGAGGCGGAGCTTGCAGTAAGCCGAGATCGCACCACTGCACTCCAGCCTGGGCAACAGAGCCGGATTCTGTCTCAAAAAAAAAAAAAAAAAAAAAAAAATCACGTCCCCATTTCTGCATTTTCACATATTCAAAATGCTTTTATAAAAAGACTACACTGTGGCTAGCATGAAACTCTATGAACAACTGACAATTTGCTTATTTAGGTGAGTTTTACAAAGTACCTGCCTACACATTTGAAGTGCAAAAAATTGTTTGCCTTTAATAGTGCTGGTTAAATCAGACATCTGTAGTTATTATTGCTATTTAGTTAATCTCTAAATTGAAGTATGAACTTTAGCATACAAACCAGGATTCTGGGGAAATAACATCTACTCTAATGCAAAATTTAGTGTAAGTCACAACATTTTTTATGAAACCCTTTGTCTGGAAGAGCAGAAAAGAGTTCCGAATTCTTTGTGGACATGAGGTACAGGGAAAGGGCTACAAGCTTTGGAATCAGGAAGTCTGAGAATCATACCTCAATTTACCATCCATAGGGCCTCAAATATGTCACTATTTAACATCTCCAAGCCTCAGGACACACATCTCAAAAATGCAAAGGGCCGGGCTAGACAATTTCAAGTCCTCTTCAGCTGTAAAATTCTATGTTTCGGTGTGAAATCCCATACCCTCTACAAGCTCACATAGTAGTGCTAACAGAAGAGCAATTTTGGTAGAGAAAGAACATTCTTGATGGCAGAAAAATGGAGTTTAACCAATGATTCCTCCGTGTCTGTTACCCAGGAGAAATTCTAATGCCCTAAGCCCTGAGCCCATGTAATATGCTCCTGGGAACAGAAAAAGAGAATTGTAATTCTAGAACCCATCCTTGGACAGAAAATCTGCTCATCTGATAACCTGCTTAGCTCCTGGACTGCTGACAGTCCCTTTTAGTTTCTTTCCTTTACCGCCTCCATTTCTCTAGGAGTGCTCTACTTGTGGCATGAGCCCAGGAGATGGGAAGATGGCCCTGAAGTTCAACCTTAATCCACTTATAACTTATGTTCTGCCTACTTTCAAAAAGGACTGGCTGATTCTTATCAGAGAAGGACATGATTTTAAAACAATTGATCAAGAACCTTAAAATTCAAAAGACCCAAGCTCAGGCAAACATGTTTGTTGTGATGTGAGCTTCTTAGCAGATGAGGGCAAAAGAGGAACTGATAGGCTGCCAAAGTCTCACTGTTTGAAAAAATGGCCACACACACTTGTCACTACAGAAGGTAGGTTTCCTGATTCTAAGTTAATAACAGTCATTGTGGGCTGAAGTTCTATAAGGTCTTGCTTTGTGTAAGGCTTTGTATCAAGACTTTAAATGATTCACAACAACCCTATGAGGTAGGTCGGTGCTATTTTCCAGTCTTGTTCTACAAGCAAGGAAACTAAATTGTTTTACCCAAACCCACCAGTGCTTCCAGAAGACAGAGCTAGGGGTAGAACCCAGGTAGCTGACTCAAGGTCCACACGTTAACCCTGTTAAACTACCTCCTAAAAGCACCAAAGGAATTCTCATACAGGGACCCTCAGTTATGGGACAGAAAAACATCTTCCACAGGAATTTCACTGATGATAGGAAGTATTTAAGTAGTTGTTTCTCATATAGACCCTTGAGAAATACCAAAGACGTAGCACTGAAAGATCACTAAATGAAGTCACTTCCATAGAGGAAGTTAAACTATCGAGGACTATGTGTGTAGTTTTGTTTCTTGTTTTATCTTAAAAGATCTAACTTGATTCAGAGATGGTGCTTAGAATCCCCAAAGGAATAAGCAAATTGTTTTCCAGTCCCTAAGACTCTCCCAAACACAGCTCTGGTGGATGGTGATTTCAGACTAAGGATATACAAACACCTAGAGGCTGGTGGGTTGCTTTAGATCAGGAGTTTTCTAACATTATTGCGCATAAGCAACACCCAAGAAGCCTTTTAAAAATGGGTTCGATGGCCTTAAGGTGGGACCCAGATATGAGTGTCTTTATTTTATAAGCACTGAAATGAGTCTATGCAGATCACCATGAGATGGGAAAACACTGGTCTGGGTGGTACCAAAACCACAAACCTGAGGGTGGATGAAGAGATGAGGAAGCCAAAGGGAGTAACAGAGATGTGCTGCTTACGTGGCAGGTGCATGGGCGGAAGGGAGAGGCAGAATCACGCAAGTTCCCTGTTATGCTCCTGCAGAAAGGCAGTGCAGAGGCTGACTCAGCTTTTTTGCGTCTACTGGTTTTTTCACCCTCAACTGGGAGAGGCTTCCAATGCAACTGGACTGGCTTGATCTCTAAGCTAAACACTCACCTGTTCCAGGAGGCTTTTCTCCTGATGCAGCATCATGAACAGGCAGGATAATGAGGGCGTGCCTTGGCCGTAAATATGTATCCTGGGCAAAGGTGAATAAATCAGTCTGCCCAGGCAGCTTTCACAAAGCCTAGAGGGCTCTATACAAGTCTGTGCAAAGCCAATCTGCACAAATGAGAACATCCTGTAGCCCTACAGCCTTACTAACTGCGAGGCTTCTGAGCTCACAAACACTGCTTTAAACACGTGTGCTATGTCAGAGGAAGGGTCAGCAGCTTATCCTTCTGAGTAAGGGTGCATAAACTAGTTTAGGGAGAAATAAACCATTATACTCTAACTTTCATCATAGAGTAGAAAGACATGGGCTTTGGGAGCAAGAGAACCCAGGGCCTAAATTCTAGACTGAAAATTGGACTTTGGGCACTTTTCTGGACTCATTTCTTCACCTGTAAAAACTAGTATAAGAAAACCTACTATGGCCAAAGTGCGATGGTTTGTGCCTGTAACCCCAGCAGATCACTTGAGCCCAGGAGTTTGAGACCAGCCTGGGCAACATGGAGAAACCCCATCTCTACAAACAACACAAACATTAGCTGGGCATGGTGGTACTTGCCTATAGTCTCAGCAGCTGGGGAGGCTGCGGTGGGAGGATCACTTGAGCCCAGAGGTTGAGGCTGCAGTGAGACATGATTGCACCACTGCACTCCAGCCCAGGTGACAGAGGAAGACCTTGTGTCGAAAGAAAAAAAAAAAAAAAAAAGAAAGAGAAGGGAAGGGAAAGGAAGGGAAAGGAAGGGAAGGGAAGGGAAGGGAAGGGAAGGGAAGGGAAGGGAAGGGAAGGGAAGGGAAGGGAGCCTACTACGTAGGATTGTTATGAAAGTTAAATAAACAAAGGCAAGTTGGTAGCAAAGTAACTGGTGCCAATCAAAGCAGGTGAGCTTTCTTCCTCTCTTTCCCACTAGGTTATAAATTCCCTTAAAGAATTGGGCCACACCTGTATCTTCATAACTCTACACCTCCATGCTTCCCACAAGAAGGTGTTCTAGAAGTGTCCAGTGAATTAATATGCCAACAGAAACCTCTAAATAGATTTGCAACCATTCCCTATACAATTACTTTGGCCAAAAGATGAGTAAAAGATCAACTTCTTCTGTGCCTCAGCTATAGTTTCAGTATTTGCTTGTTTCCAGACACCATGATAGGCACCTCACAAACTTTACCCCACCTGACTCTCCCAGCCACAATGTGAGGTAGGTAATATGCCCATTTCACAGATGAGGAAATCAAAACTTAGAGAGATCAGGAAATCACCCAAGGCTACTCAGTTAGCAAGGGATGGAGCTATGATCTGAATCCAGGTCTGTCCAACTCTAGAGACTGTCCAACAGAGCCAATGTTGTTTTCCCAGGCCTCAGGAGCTCAGTTAATATTGGGAAGGCTCTAGTCAAGATCTGCACTGGCAAAGCAGATCTCCCATGACTTTATATATCCTCTTTCAACTTTTTTAAAGGATACAAATAAAAGTTTATTATATAAAATCGAGCCTTCATATTTCACAGTTTGGCAAGGCTAACGACTAGATCATGTTGTAAGTCCTTAACGAAAATTTTACCCTTCCCATTCCCAACTATTAAAATGGCCTAATCAAAAGTTACAAAAAACGAAGCAAAGTACCACTATAAACAACACCAAGTGCTTTAAAGACAACTATTCCAAATGTATTTTTTAAAATTTAGCAGACTTTGTTAGAGCAGTTTTAGGTTCACTGAAAAATTGGGTGGAACCTGCAGAGAGTTCTCATATATCCCTTCTCCCATACACACAGTCTCCCCCACTAAGAACGTCCCCCAACAGAGTGGTGCATTTGCCACAAATTATGAATCTACATTGATACATCATTATCATCCAAGTCCATAGTTGACACTGGTGTTCACTCTTGGTATTGCACATTCTATGGGTTTAGACAAATTTATAGTGACATGTATCCATCATTATAGTATCATATGGAATAGTTTCACTGCCCTAAAAATCCTCTGTGCTCCACCTATTCATCCCTCAGTATTATTTATTGACATAGGTGACCCCCATGGTATGGGATGCTGTGATCCTGAATTCTTGCAAAGCATCCCTGACAGCTTTGGCCTGTCCATCATTTTCAAATTCAACAACAGCAATGTCATGTCTCCCAGGTACCAAACATACTTTGTTGAAAGCGGGAACTGATATGATAGCATGAAACATCATCCTCTCATTAGTCTCTTCTGGTAAGTTATTCAGGAATACAACACAGTCTGGAGGGTAACCAGGGACCTGAGGATGTGGTGTTGAATTTCCTTGGGAGTTAGCTGAATCTGATGTTCCCTGACCAGGCATTTCCTTTGCACTTGCTACATCCTGTTCTATAGAGTTTTTTCTTTTCTTCACCAGCAAAAAAAAGCCATAAATTTTACATGTTATATCAACTCTCTCTTACAAGGTAGGTAGAAAGTCTGCAATACACCTCCCCCCACCTTCTTTGTAGGGGGAAAGAGGTATGCCTTTTTAATTATTTTATTTTATTTTATTTATTTTTTGAGACAGAGATTCACTCTGTTGCCCAGGTTGGAGTGCAGTGGTGCGATCTTGGCTCACTGCAACCTCCTCCTCCCAGGTTCAAGTGATTCTAGTGCCTCAGCCACCTGAGCAGCTGGGATTACAGGTATGCGCCACCATGCCTGTCTAATTTTTGTATTTTTAGTAGAGACGGGGCTTTGCCATGTAGGCCAGACTGGTCTCGAGCTCCTGGCCTCAAGTGATCCACCCACCTGGCCAAATTTTTAAGTAAAATTATTTATTGCAGTATAGCATTGAGAAAAATGCACAAATTCTAAGTGCACAGCTTCATAAGTTTTCATAAATGCAACATACTCTATAACCAGCACCCAAATTAAAAAAGAAAAGAACATTATCTGCACTAAGAAACCCCCTTGTGTCCTCTTCCAATGATGACTATGCCTTCCAATCACTATGTTGACTTCTAACCCCACATGCTAGCTTTGCCTGTTTTCAGTTTCCATCAATAGAAGCAAATATGTCTGACTTCTTTCACTCAACACTTTGTGAGAATTATCCATGTTAGTGTGTGTAGTCATACTTCACTAAATCTCAATTCCTTTGTGGAAATATACTAGATTTTATTTATCCATTCTACTATTGATGGGCATTTGGGTAACTTAAAAATTTTGGCTGCTTTTCTGGGCATGGTGCCTCATGCCTTGGCAGCAATTTGGGAGGCCGAGGCAGGTGGATCGCTTGAGCCCAGAAGTTCAAGACTGGCCTGGGTAACACGGTAAAACCCCATCTCTATAAAAAATACAAAAATTAGCCAGGCATAATGGTACATGCCTGTAGTCCCAGCTAATTGGTAGGCTGAAGTGAGAGGATTGCTTGAGCCTGGGAGGTCAAGGCTGCAGTGAGCCGTGATCATGCCACCGCCCTCCAGCCTGGAACAGAAAGAGATGTCTCCGAAAAAAAAGAAAAAAAATTGGTTTTGGCTGTACTGAATAGTGTTGCTATGAAAATTCCTGCCCATGTCTTTTGGTAAATTATATACATATTTCAGTTGTATATATATACATATATATGCATGGGAATAGAGAGTATGTGGCAAGGTCATAGGATATGTTTATGTTTCGCTTCAGTAGCTACTGCCAAACCATGGTCCAAAGTGGTTTTTGCTTTGTATTACAATTTTAATCCAAGAGGAATTTAAAGGAATTAAGTAAGAAGAATCATATTAACAGCACTTTGCCAAATGGATTCTCAAAGTGTTTTTCTAACCTCTGTGAAGTGAATGATCTTTATAAAATGGTCTCTAAGTAAAAGCTGTGCAGTTTAATCTCATCAGGTATCCATTATTCTAGGACCTCCAGAGTGCCACTGAACAATTTTCAATCCTCCTTTCATCTTCATCCTTCTGTTGCTGGTATCCTTTGAACTGATGGAGAGACATGGATGGCATGCGAATAACCTCCATATTTAATTCCTAAATTGACCTGATATTAGCAAGCAAGGGTTGACATTGCAATAGTTGGATAACTTTCTGTAAGTGTTTGTCATGAAGCCTCAAAATTGGCTTCTTCTAGTCAGGACCAAGGCTCACTGAAAACACAAAAAAATTGGGTTTAGAAGTTTGAGGACTTTGGCGGTGGTTACCAAACGATCAACTTTTTCCTCTCCTGATTGAGCTTAAATATTTCTTCCCTTATCAATTACTTTTGTTAACAATACCCTTTGTACTTGTTCTGTAGTTGAATGTTTAGAAAGTATGTTCACATTTAATCCATCCAACACTTGGTGGGCGCCTGTTATTCTTATGCCTGTCTGTGGGCTAAGAAAAGTCTCCAAAGTTACAGAGCTAGAGTTCAAATCTAAGGTTTTCTCCTAAGTCCATTCCCCACTCCCCCAACATCCTGCTACATGTTAAGGCTCAGAAGAACTAGAAATTACTTTAGTCGTTTGGACAGTTTAAAGTAAGTATTCTTTTTTTCCTTCCATAAATTATCATGAGGGAATACAGAAGCTAACCGCCTGGTAAGATCCAGTGGATCTTCCTAAGGCCATCCCTTGAAAAATAGCAAGTCACTTTAAGTGATGATAATTTGAAAATGTGGCCAGGAAAACGATTCTGGTCCCTGGGACCAGAAACAATGGTTTGTTTGATTTTTGACGTGTTATAAGGGCTACCCCAGTTTCTGCATGTACATCAAGAATGATAAAAAGGGGGAGGTCTGATCAATCTGTTAGGCTGGACTGAACTTTCAGGATGACTGGATATACCTGGACTTAGCTGTTTATATGCCCCAATGCTATGTACTTTCTGAAAAATCCTCAGACCATGAAAAGCTACATGTTCCATAATGTTAAAAGGGTATAAAGTAGTGGTTCTGCCTAGCTTGCAAGGTTGCTGTGTAGATAAGAGAAATGTTAATTCTTTATAAATTCACTTTGAGTCATATGACATGGAGAGAGGATGAAGTAGGTTGCAAAACACCAGATGACTCTAAGCCATTTTCTTTCCAAACACTTACCTAGAATTCTAAAGGGGTATCTTCAGGAAGTTGGACCCCAGAGGGAGAGACCCCAAATCCAATGGAATGTGACATTGAGCAGGCTATTAAGTCGGCTGGTGCTGCTCAGCGTGTGGTAAAAAATATTAGCATAGTTCCAGGGAAGGAACAATGAGAAATTCATCATGCTTCTGGCTTCAGACAACTGCTTTCCAAACTCAGACACTGCCCTAACACTCAAGGTCAAAGGTTTCACATCCTTTCCTTTCTTAACACCAGAAGATAAATATTTGCCTTCAAGTTCAACACTCTTGAAATCTAACTCCAATTGGATAATTTTTGTCTCTTGTGCAAGGGCAAAAACTTAAGGTTTCTTCTTACTCATGACCTCATTCCTGGCCTCCTTTCCAACACAATAGCATGTTGGAGTCAGGAATGCACAATAACAGCAATCCAAAGAATCGCTCCCATGCCAGCTGCTCTGAGGGAATCAGTTCTCAATACACATCTCCTAGTTGCCAAATAGTACAATTAAGTGCATTTGGTGGGAAGGAATAGGGCAGTATCAGATAACATAACAAGTGCCCTTTATTTAATATCTTAGTCATGACTTTGTAAGTTGCAATAAGCATTCAGAAGCCAGGCTTTTTAAGTTAAAAATGTTTAAACTTGTTTTACAGTATGCAGCAAATGGCTGATCCCAATTCAGTGGGATTCTAGTTTGTCAACTGCTTTTCGTCACCATATTGCTATCTCTAAAGTACATTCCAGCTCTGTGATAGCTCTCCTTCCCCCATGAATTATAAATATTTTCCCATCCCACCCTGCTCTTATTTCCTTCCTCAGTATTTCTATTCTTAAAAAGGTCTTGTTTTCTCTTGACTTTTATTTTAGGTCCAAGGGGTACATGTGCAGGTTTGTCACATAGGTAAATTGCATGTTGCTGAGGTCTGGTGTATGAATGATCCCATCACCCAGGTAGTAAGCATAGTAACTGATGGGTAGTTTTTCAACCCACTTCCCCTGTCACCATCTCCCCTCCAGTAGTCCCTAATGTCTACTGTTCCCACCTTTGTGTCCATGTGTATTCAATGTTTAGCTCCTGCTCATAAGTGAGAACACGAGGTATTTTTCTGTTCCTGTATTAGTTCACCTAGGATAACAGCCTCCAGCAGCATCCATGTTGTTGCGAAGGACATGATTTTGTTCCGTTTTTGGCTGTGTAGTATTCCATGGTGTATAGATACCACATTTTCTTTATCCAGTCCACCATGAATGGGCACCTAGGTTGACTGCATGTCTTTGCTATTGTGAACAGTGCTGCAAAGAACATACAAGTGCATGTGTCTTTTTGATAGAATGATTTATTTTTCTTTGGGTATATACCCAGTAGTGGGATTGCTGGGTCAAATGGTAGCTCTGTTTTAAGTTCTTTAAGGAATCTACATGCTGCTTTCTACAGTGGCTGAGCTAATTTATACTCCCACCAGCAGTGTATAAGCGTTCCCTTTTCTCCTCAACTTCACCAACATCTGTTTTCTGGCTTTTTAATAATAGCCATTCTGACTAGTGTGAGACGGTATCTCAGTGTGGTTTCCATTTGCATTTCTCTAATGATTAGTGATGATGAGCATTTTTTCATATATTTGTTGGCTGCAAATTGGCTTCTTTTGAGAAGTATCTGCCCAGTTTTAAATAGGGTTATTTATTTTTTAATTGTTTAAGTTTCTTACAGATTCTGGATATTAGACCTTTGCCAGATATACAATTTGTGAATATTTTCTCCCATTGTGTAGCTTGTCTGTTTACTCTGTCGATAGTTTCTTTTGCTGTGCAGAAGCTCTTTAATTTAATTAAGTCCCACTTGTCAATTTCTGGTTTGGCTGCAATGGTTCTAAAATAAATCTTAAAGGACTTCATGGGAGCTGGGTAGGAACCGGTGCTCTGTGGGTAGTTGATGCCTTAGCTTTGGAGTCTTGGGTGATCCTTTACAAGTTATTTCCACTAAAACCATTCCTCTGAGTTATCAAGACTGTTTTACAGATGGTTCAGCTCTATAGTACACTATCAGACTAAAAATATTTTTTCTTCCCCAGGGTTAGAGGAGCCTTCAGGGTGGGAATGAATATTGGAGCAGTCAGAAAAACACAGCTTGCTTTTAAAAACATCCTTGTCTGATTTCCTCTCCTATTGTGGCTGGACTTCATCTCCTTTAATAAACAACTATGCCTTCCAGCCTGGAATTTACCTAGCACAAATTCTGTGATTTCACTGGGAACAGTGAGGAGTGGTGTATCTAACAATCATTGAGTAGTGGTTCCAATCATGAAAAGGAAGCAAAAAACCGACTGAAAAATAAATCTGAAGAAGGAACGAAGACATATGAAAGAATTCAGGACCCCCAGGCTTGGCAATGCCCCAAATGAGAATATTTTTAAGGCAAGGCTTACACCTTTGGATGACAACCAAAGAATTTCTGTATCCCACAAAGAAAGAGACACACAATTCACATTCCAGACCTCTACATGCTGGGTGGGTGCCTGCCCTGCCCCAAGTCGTCTGGATTCTTCTGAAAGGGCAGGCCTCAGAGACCTGAGCCAGGATAAGCAGGGAGTGCTGTGCAAACGGGCACCCTGCCAGCCACACCTGCTGTACCAGGCGCCAGTCACAGTCAGGTGACAGGAGGGCCTGTTAGAGGAGATCTAGGGACCGTGCCATGGCTGGACACTGAGACTCAAGGGAGACAGCCCAACCCACTTATATCAACAGGTGATTTGTGAACTGTGGGTTCCACTGTGTACAGTCACATGGCTGTTGGGGTGACCCTCCAAGTGTTAGGCTGTGCAACCTAGGCTGATGAAAAGTCTGTGTTGTCCCTCAAGGCAGCAGACCCCCCTGAGTTCTGGAGTAAAGGCATCCAGGTACTCCAAGGCAAAGTCTGCTGACCTTAGTCTAAGTTAGCTGGTTCCTCTGACAACAGAAAGAAAGAAAAGCCCAGCTTCCCAGCCAAAGCAGCTGCTCTGCAAAGAAATGCTGGGGTACCTCTTGGGCCAGGCTTCCATCCCCGTTGCTCAGCAGTCTGGACTCAGAAACCCTTTACTGAGCCTTAAGGGCATTCAATTGAAATACCAGGCTTTGTTGCATTTCATGACATTACAAAATTTTTTTTCTACCTGAGTGGGACAAACGTATCACAAATTTACCCTGTTTAGGAGATGGCCCCAGTGATAAAGGAAGAACTTTCCAGGTCAAAGAGCCCTAGGATGAAGTCAGGAAACCTGGGTCCTAACTTGTGAAACCTTGGGCTGGGTTAATATCTCCATTTCTCAGGCGCCTTATTTGCAGGAGGAGATGGTTACATTAAAGGACCTTTAAGATACATTCTAGCTCCAAAATTCTATTTTCCTGAAAAAAGATAAAAAATATTGGCCAGATGCAATGGCTCATGCCTGTAATCCCAACAACTTGGGAGGTCGAGGCAGGATGATTGCTTGAGGCCAGGAGCTGGACACCAGCCTGGGCAACACAGCAAAGCCCTGTCACTATAAAAAGTAATTTCAAAATATTAGCCATGTGTGGTTGCGCACTTGCAGTCCTGGCTACTCAGGAGGATTGCTTGAGCCCAGGAGTTCAAGGCTGCAATGAGCCATGATCTCTCCACTGCATTCCAGCCTGGGCAACAAAGTGAGACCTTGACTTTACGTTCCCACAAAAATATTTTTAAAAATAAGAAAGAGTAAAATGGGAATGGTTTAGGACATCTTCATTGGCAGTTACTGTGAATTAAACAAGCCTTATATAGGAAAATACTGCATTGACAGAGTGGTCACCACACAGTGATTAAACTTTGTCCCTGAGCCCTAAACTGTTGTATTTAATTGAAAGTTCTACAAACAGATGAAGATAGCAACAGTCAGTATCTGTGCTATGCTTTTCAGTTTATAAAGTACTTTCACATATCTCTCCTCACTGGATACTCACAACAGATCATGAGATAGGAACATCAAGTTACCATTACTATCCCCATGTTACAGATGAGCAAAGAGAGGCACATAGTTGTCTTTAATGACTGGGAAATTTAGAATGAGAATAAATTCGTATGGAGAATGCGGAGAGCAGCTCAGGAGAGCAGGAGGAAAAGACAACTCTAAACCGCACACCCTGGAGCTACCCAGGCTATGACAACCAGGGTCACATAAGGAGGGCAAACTGCTTGATACAGTCAAGTGCTGGTGAGGAAGCAGCATGGAGAGTGCGGTGTGAGAAAGGACTCCCAGGACGAGTCAGGGTGAGGCGCCAGCAGCCTCCAAGGTACTGGACCCTGGTCTTTGTGGCCATTCGTGTCTTCAAGCAGTCAGGGCTCAGGCAGTATTTGTTGAGGCAACCAAGGAGCTCTTTGCTCCCCTTGTCCCACCAGTCGGTCTCCAGGCTCTTATTATCCTTCCTCCCGTGCTGTTCTTCCCAATCCTTTGAGGTTCCTCTGCCTCGGGGCCTCACTTGGACCACAAGCCACAACCTCTTCCTCTCCCTCCCTCCCAAAGATGTGCATTCTGAACACCAGGCTAATTTTTATTAAATATGATGTAGATCACAATACTCTGGATAAAAAGACCTGAATGTCTTCCCATTGCCTACTGAAAAAAGTTAAGTTTTCTAACCTTGGCATTCAATACCCTCTGCAGTCTGGTCTCAATCTACCTGTCCAGTTTCATTGCCTACCTGGTATCCACACCCTCATCCATGCCTTGGCCATGTGGGCTCTGCGTCAGCCTCAAATATGTTAACCTGCCTGTATTAGTCCGTTCTCACACTGCCAATAAAGACATAGCTGAGACTAGGTCATTTATAAAGGAAAGAGGTTGAATGGACTCACAGTTCCACATGGCTGACACGGGGAGGCCTCACAATCATGGCGGAAGATGAAGAAAGAGCAAAGGGACGTCTTACATGGCGGCCAGCAAGAGAACTTGTGCAGGGGAACTCCCATTTATAAAACCATCAGATTTTGTGAGACTTATTCACTACCACGAGAACAGCATGGAAAAGACCCACCCCCATGATTCAACTACCTTCCACCAGGTCCCTCCCATGACATGTGGGAATTATGGGAGCTACAATTCAAGATGAGATTTGGGTGGGGACACAGCCAAACCATATCACTGCCTATACCTTCCCACATCTTAAATTTCCTGAGAGAAGCTACTCTCAAACTTCTCTGTGCATTAGAATCAACAGGGTAGTTTTAAAAAAGTATAGTTGCCTGGGGCCCCTCTAGAGAAAGTGATTGCAAGGTGTAGCCCAGGTTGAAAACTTCTAGACTGAAATGAGCCTTCTCCAGCTCCCCTGGACTTAGGCATTTTCTTTGATTTGCATGTATTTCTTGACTTGAATATACATTTATATATTCATATAAAGCACATGCCATTTATATAATGCAATGAATTATAACTGCTGGCTACCTAGCAGATTTTTCCCCACTAGACTTTAATTTCTTGGGAACAAGGACATTGTCTCATTCATTTTTTGTATTTCCAGAGTCTAATGGGCGTTGAACACATATTAGGTATTTTTTTGTATAAAATAGTCTATTTCATATAACAAAATACCAATGCTCCAAGCTTCTACTGCTACCTTCTCTAGGGATTTTATTTTTATTTTATTTTATTATTTTTTTTTTTGAGACAAGGTCTCACTCCCATTACCCAGGGTGGAATGCAGTGATGCGATCTTGGTTCACTGTAGCCTTGACTTCCTGGGCTCAGGTGATCCTCCCATCTTAGTCTCTTGAGTAGCTGGGACTATAGGCATGCACCACCATTCCCAGCTAACTTTTTGTATTTTTATTAGAGATGGGGTTTCACCATGTTGCCCAGGCTGGTCTCAAACTCCTGGGCTCAAGGGATCACCCGCCTCAGTCTCCCAAAGTGCTGGGATTACAGGCCTGAGCCATTGTGCCCTGCCACAGGGTCTTTTCAGTCTTAGCTGAGTGTGTTCCCTCCCTCCTCTGTGCTCCTACAGCATTTATTTATTCTGTTAAGGTAGTGCCTTGAACTTATCAATATCTTTGAAGTCTTCCACTAAAGTTTAAGTTCCATTAAGGTAGGGGTTGTCTTTTTATAATCGCACATTATAAGTATAATTATATAATCAGTTAACATAGTACAAGAATGAAATGTTAAATTCTTGTTTATAGAATCAATTATACCTCAAACTAGTATACAAAAAATGTAAGTTTATCACTGAGGAAAATTCTAACGTCACAGAACAATGGCAGAACAAATATTTAAGAGCAAGATGTATTGCTGAATCCACGAGATTTTATTCTATTCTAAGCAATGTTTTTCATTTTAATTTTTTTTATACCCTTCTCACCTCTTTAAAAAAATTTTTTTTTGAGACAGAGTCTTGCTCTGTCACCCAGGCTGGAGTGCAGTGGTGCAGTGTCGGCTCACTGCAACCTCCACCTCCTAGGTTCAAGTGATTCTCATGCCTCAGCCTCCTGAGTAGCTGGGACTACAGGCATGCACCACCACACCCAGCTAATTTTTGTATTTTCAGTAGAGACAGAGTTTCATCATGTTGGCCAGGCTGTCTCAAACTCCTGACCTCAAGTGATCCACCCGCCTCAGCCTCCCTAAGTGCTGGGATTACAGGCGTGAGCCACCACACCTGGCCCCTTCTCATGTCTTTCTAGAAAAGTCCCATTTCCTATCATTTTGTTCCCAGTGTATATTTTGGCAAAGACTTGTTCTAATTCTTTCAGTTTGCATCAAACAGGTCATCTGTAGAGACTAGTCTCAACTCTCAGCAGAAAAGCCAACTGTCCATATTCTCCAGTTTCCCCTTCCAGCTGTTCGGAGCATCATTAAGTTTAAAGACCTCTCTTTCCTGTGGACCCAGAAGGTCTTGCTCTGCAGTTCCCTCAAACTTGAACACGGTGGCATCACTTTCTCATCAACAAACAATCTCAGGTGGACAGATGCTCTCTCAGTGTCTTCCTGGAGCAGAAAGACCTGGATAATCCCCATCCAAGACAAGTCAATTTCCTTCTGTCCAATTAGGACAGTAAAGCTGCTTGGTACCACTTCCTTGCTGCAGGCCAGTCGTGCTGAGCACAAGATGACTCAGGTGAACTTTCCTGGGGGGAAGCTGCTTATTCCAAAAGTAATGGGTCTATTAAAGACAGGAGCCCAAACAAAAGGATGTTTTTTTCCTGTGCGTAAAAAGGGCTGAAATTAGCGAACTGGGGAAAGAAAATGTGTTACAATCCAATGCAATGTGCACTCACGGAGTACCTCTTATTCACTCGTGACATGCTGATTCCTCTGGGGACCAGTCTGCAGAGAAGCCAAAAGGCTTTACGTAGGAACCTTATTCATCTTTGCATTCTCGAAGTGTGCAAATAGTAAGTGGACAATAGACATTCATTGAGTGAAAGATCCTGCTTCTGAATCCAGAGGAAGGGACAATGTCTAACTATAATTCAAGGGGTCAGGCAGGACTTCACGGAAGATATAACTTGTAAATTGGGATTAGAAGGATAGCAGAATCCAGGCCAGGTGTGGTGGCTCACGCCTGTAATCCCAGCACTTTAGGAGGCCGAGGAGGACGGATCACTTGAGGTCAGGAGTTCAAGACCAGCCTGGGCAACATGATGAAACCCTGTCTCTATTACAAATACAAAAATTAGCTGGGTGTGGTGGTGTGCACCCAGAATCCCAGCTACTCAGGAGGCTGAGGCAGGAGAATCGCTTGAACCCAGGAAGTGGAGGTTGCGGTGAGCCGAGATCGTGCCACTGCATTCCAGCCTGGGTGACAGAGTGAGACTCCATCAGATAGAAGGAAGGAAGGAAGGAAGGAAGGAAAGAAGGAAGGAAGGAAGGAAGGAAGGAAGGAAGGAAGGAAGGAAGGAAGGAAGGAAAGAAAGAGAGAAAGAAAGAGAGAAAGCAAGCAAGCAAGCCGAATTTTGCTTTTATTACTTATATACCAAAACTCGAGAGTTTTTTCCTATCACTTACACTATAGTCAAGAAGACAGTCACCTGTACTCTCCATCCATCCTCCTCCATCCATCCTCCCTTTCCCCAGCAAACCAAACCAAACCAGACCCAGAAAACCTAAACCTTTGAGAAACTTACCAGATACTTTCTCACCTAAAGTTACTTTTCTGTGTAATTTTTCAGGTACAACAATCTGCTGAAAATTCATTTCTTACCCCTTGTACATTTAACTGATAAACGTGATGAATTTAGAAAGAAATGTGATGAATTTAGAAAGAAAGCATATCAGTTCTTCATTCAGAAATGCAGCTATCTTAGGAGAAAAATGTGTTTCAAATGTCCGCAAGATATGCTATAATGGCTCAGAACAGGAAGAAATTAGCTTCATTTCAGTAACAGCCAGTATTCTACCACCTCTTAAATCAAGCAAAAACATTTATCACATAAAAGAAAATAAAAAAAAAGAAACCCCACTGGCAAGCAACATCCGGCAGTAACAATTTCACACTCAATTTATCCTGAGCAGGTTAATACCACACTGTGGCAATTTCATCTAGTCGACATGCTTCAGCTCACCCCTTTCTAACCTATTGTAAATGACCAGCAATCAAAGCCCAACTTGGTCTGTGTGCTGGTATGCTCAGGGTCAAGGTGAATTCACCTTGGTGGCGGGTAGGAGCAAAGGGTATCCCTCATAAGCCAGGAATGAAAGAACCACCAAATGAATTCTTAGTGCTTCCTGTCTAGCACAGAGCTAGTAGATACAAGCAATCGATTTTTCCATGAAAGGTGTCGATGCCAACACTACCAAGAAATCTATCTTTTGCCAGAGAGATAGCAAGGATTTAGTGCCCCTGCAAATTCTTATTGACTATTAAGATGTGCCAAGTTTGGGTCATACTGCAAATTTCCAAGATACATATACTCCTGAAAATATCATCCAAGCCTGCAAAGTTTTCACATGACACCATCACTCAATGACTATACTCAAGGAATAACTGCATCTGTCCTACAGGCTCCACAAGCATCACTTTTAGGATCTACAGATTAGTTATCTCAGGTAAGTTTCTCTACTGCTGCTCACCTAAGACTCACAGAATAAAAAAGTTGCTTTCCGATACTAGCTGGAAGCAAACATAATTAAGTGAAATGAGGCCGGGTGCAGTGGCTCACGCCTGTAATCCTAACACTTTGGAAGGCCAAGGTGGGCGGATCACTTGAATGGGAGGGGGAAAGGGGAGCCGGAGATTGCGGTGAGCCAAGATCGCACCACTGCACTCCAGCTGGGTGACAGAGCGAGACTCTGTCTCAAAAAAAAAAAAAAAATAAAGTGAAATGAGCATTCTGAATTATCAGCTGTTTTTGTAATTTCTGCAGTCATTCCTTTGAATTATTGCTTTTGTGAGACAGGGTCTCACTATGTTGCCCAGGCTGGAATGCAGTGGCGTGATCACAGCTCACTGCAGACTCGACCACCCGGGCTCAGTGATCCTCCCACCTCAGCCTCCCAAGTAGTTGGGTCTACAGATGCATGTGCCACCATACCCAACTAATTTAAAAAAATTTTTTTTGTAGAGACAGGGTCTCCCTATGTTTCCCAGGCTGGTCTCAAGCTCCTCGGCTCAAGTGATCCTCCTGCCTTGATCTCCCAAAGTGTTGGGATTACAGGCGTGGCCACCACTCTCAACCTGAATTAATTTTTATAGTTGAAATAAAACTGTCTTTTCTTGCAGACTGCATGAAAACCTATGAAAAGGTATTCAAAGTACAGGAAGCAGGCCTCCCACAGGCCATTTAGCAGAAGTTAAGACTATTTCTACACTACTGTGATTCTTTTTGGAAGTTTAAAAGCTTCAGATTGAAAACTAAAAAAGAGAGGAAAAGCGCCTGTCATTGAGACCTACCCACCATGGTGTCCTTTGAGACTAAAGATTAAATTATTAGTATAGTCACCATGAGTTTCTGCCCAAATGCAAATGCACTGACCTTCCAGAGAAATGAAAAATCTAACACAACTTCTGAGGAGATCTCCCAGAACCTGAAAGCAGTTTAGTCCAGGTCAATGCAGCAGGGGATGGGTGAGAAGGAGCGCGTGCATAAAATCACATTAAAGGTAAGTCATGACAAGGGTCATTTAAGTGACACGTGACTGCAATGCTGCATTCGAATTAGGTTAGTTCTGAGATTCACACAAATTGGGCCAGCTACCCTGAGCTCACAATTCCCGCAGCGGCCATGTCAAGGCTACCCTGCTTTTGGTGTGCGGCAGTGGGATCTTTCCCCAAATCCAGATGTGGAAGCTGCCATTCCCTCCCGTGACCCTCTCCCTGGCCACAGTGAATGGTCTAGAGCTGGAGAGGTGACATTCCGATGGAATCTCTTCCTGGGACTTCAGGATGTGAGCTGGGGGTACAAGAGCCCTTTCCACCATGGTTGAGAATCCCTGAGCTGCAGCCTTATGCTTTTCATGCAGAGTGAGTTCGTGAGTGTGAATGACACACACAGATAAGCAGACAGAGCTGACGGGATGCTAATGACATCTAAGGCCCTGTCCCCTCCAGCGGCTTGGCTATGTGAGCCTCTTTTCTGCTTCAGCTGATGTTACTGGTTGACTTGTGTCCCCCAAAAAGATATGTTCAAGCCCTAACTCCCAATACCTCAGGGTGTGACCTTATTTGGAAATAGGGTTGTTGCAGATGTTAATTAGTTGGAATGAGCTCATACTGGAATAGGTTGGGCTGTTAATCCACTATGACTGATGTCCTTATAAGAACAGAAGAGGGAGGGAGACAGACAAGGAGAACTCTAAGCAAAAACAGAGGCAGAGGTTGGTGTTTTGTTGCCATAAGCAAGGAAGCTGGAAGAGGCCAGAAGCTGGAAGAGGCCAGGGTAAATCTTCCTCTACCGGCTCAGAGAGGACATGGCTCTACCCACACCTTGATTTCACCAGCCTCCAGAGCTGTTGGAAATTAAATTTGTCTTTTTTAAAACATCCAAGTAGTGGTGCTTTGTTATGCTGGCTCCAAAATACAGCTGGTTTGAGGTGAGTTTCTGTCCCTTGCGACCAAAGCCATTGTCTAAGGGAGTGAGGTGAGCAGGTATCAATTTTAAACATTGTCTAAGGGAGTGAGGTGAGCAAGGTATCAATTTTAAACATTGTCTAAGGGAGTGAGGTGAGCAGGTATCAATTTTAAACATTGTCTAAGGGAGTGAGGTGAGCAGGTATCAATTTTAAACATAAAAAATGTTTTGCGGCCAGGTGTGGTGGCTCACACCTGTAATCCCAGCACTTTGGGAGGCCAAGGCAGGCAGATCACTTGAGGCCAGGAGTTTAAGACAAGCCTGGTCAACGTGGCAAAACCCTGTCTCTACTAAAAATACAAAAATTAGCCAACCATGGTAGTGTGTGGCTGTAATCACAGCTACTAGGGAGGCTGAGGCAGGAGAACAGCTTGAACTGGGGAGACAGAGGTTGCAGTGAGCCGAGATCGCATCACTGCACTCCAGCCTGGGTGACAGAGCAAGACTCTGTCTCCAAAAAAAGCCAAAACAACAAAAACTGTTTCGCATCCAAGTACCCTGTGCAACACAAAAAACAGCTGCTTCCTTAAAGAAACTATTGAAAACAGATCACAAACCCAGCCACAATTCTTTATTTTTGCATTAATATAACTTTCTCCTGAGAAATAAAACAAATAGATGGTGTTGGTTTTGTGAGCTTCACACTGGATTCAGTCAACCTTGGAAACTCTTTGAAACAATAATTAATGCCAGTTAATCACAGGGAAAGGCTGCCATTCAGCTAAAACTCTCAGGGCTTACAAAAGCACATTTTTCTTCCTCTGTTTCCTTTCAGTTAGACTATCAGATATGCAAACACTCTTCTCATTAGCCTCTTATTTTGCTGAATTCAGTAAGAAATTTCCTAGAAGACTTGCAGTTCTGGCTGGTGCTTTTCTGGGACCTGCGATTAACTAATAGTAGATGCCATTCCTTGGGACTCCGTTTTTTTTTGTTGTTGCTTTTTATCCTCAAAGAGCAGGGCTGTTGATTACGACAAGAACAAGGCTTTTGCCCCTTTCCTCACCTCCAGGAGGAAAAACCTGAGAGGGAAGAGCAAGCACTCCGATTTTTAGATGGGAGGGCATGGGCTGAGTTGAACTGTGGTCCCCCAAAGATATGTCCAACCTGCTTTGCAGATGTAATTAAGGTAAGGGTGTTGAGAGAAGGCCATCCTGGATTCAGGTGGGCCCTGAATCCAATGACAAGTCTTTACAAAATACAGGACAGGACGGGACCAGACAAGACAAGGAAACTGACCAAGAGGGCAAGCTGGACCCACATGAAGATGAAGGCAGAGACTGGAGCGATGCAGCTCCAAGCCACGCAGCACCAAGGATGCTGCAGCACTGGAAGCCAGGGGACAGGATGAAGCAGACCCTCCAGCAGAGCCCCCAGAAGAACCCCCACTCCACACCGACAACACTTTGATTTCAAACTTCAGGCCTCCAGAAATGTGACAGAATACATTTCTGTCATGTTTGAGCTGCCAAGTTTGTGGTGATCTATGATATCCTTAGGAACGAATTCAAGGCATCAACGACAGCGCATACTTTAAAGGGCGGGGAGGGGGGCCACAGTACAATGTGGGTCTGTACTTTTTTGCGATAAACTGTGTTCACAGCAGGACAAAAAACTTGGGATTTTTAGGATTTCACAGAAATTGCCTCATAATCAACCACAATGTTGAAGCTAAAGTTTGTCTGAAACCTTCCTCATCATGCAAATCTTTTATTAGCTCGTCACCTGTATGTGGTGCTGTGCTGGCAGAAAGTTAGGCTGAAACAAAACCCCCTTTGGAAACATAGTAACGCTGCACGGGCTGACATGGATCCCCGTGGATGTGCCCACCAGACACATGGGACCATGTGAGACGAACAAGACATCATCTGTGTCTGCTGGTAGTTATTTACACACATACTTTTTTTTTTTGGTATTTGTCATGTTTTCTTAGTGTATGGTAAAGGATTTTACCACTATGTGGTCATTAAAAAGAATGTCATCATCCTATAAGCATCAACACTGAGTTACTGCCAAGTGAAGGAAATTGTAGAACAACATGCATAAAACGGTCCTATTTGTATAAAAGAATACATGCCCTCCCACAGGTATCTATGTGCAAGAAACAGGAGCAAAGCAAGATACAGAACTCTACATCCTATATGAAAAAATTTACATGATCCAACCCCGTATTTGTAAGTATCTGCATGCCAGTGACACTATAGACCCAACTCTCAACAATAGCTACCTCTGGGAGTGGGTTTTTTTAAAGTAATGTGAGCTTATTGTAAATAAATAACTGAATAAGTACACTTCTTTGTACTTCTCTGAACCACATGCAATGGGCCAGATAGTACATATTTTCAGCTTTGTGGACTACGCTGTCTCTGTCTCAGCTACTCAAGGCTGGTATGGGCTAAAGCAGACCTAGAGACTATGTAAATGAACAGACGTGGTCCTGTGCCAATAAAGCTTAGGGAGTAAGTGGAGAATGTTTACTTTTTACCTGATACCAAGATTGGCAGCCCATAGGTGAAACCTGGCCCACTACCTGTTTTTTGTAAATAAAGCTTTATTGGAACAGAACCATGTCTGTTCATTTACATAGTCTCTAGGTCTGCTTTAGCCCATACGTAGCTGAGACAGAGACAGCATAGTCCACAAGGCTGAAAATATGTACTATCTGGCCCATTACATGTGATTCAGAGAAGTACAAACAAGTGTACTTACTCAGTTATTCATTTATTTATTTACGATGAGCTCACACTACTTAAAAAAAAAAACTTTTAGAAGTTGTCTGCTCAGACAGTGGCAGGGGATGCCTGGACAATCATCAACAATCTTCCTAGAAGCAGGTGGGAACTTGGGAGTTTTTAGGATGAGACAAGAAAAGCTCCATAGGCATGGGAAAGGGAAGTTGTTTAAAAACAAAGTGAAATAAAGGTTTGAGCAAAAATCTTTTGAATATCTACTCAATCCCCACACACCCTGCCTCCCTGTAATGGCTTTAATATTCCAAAAGACTTTGAAAGATAGCTTTGGTTTGTACAGCAAGCAGAGAAGTAGTTCAAGAGGCAGCCTGGGGGAGGTGCAGAGGGGATAGAGAAGCACTGAGCTGCTCTGAGGTCTACTTTTGCCTTACTAACCAATGGGCTGTGTGTTCCTAGGAAAATCACTCAGGTTTTCTGGGTCTCAGTGTCCTCAACTCTCAGAGGTTTAGACTAGATTAAATCTGTGGAACTTTCCTGCTAATGATATTTCTGGGAGTCCTAAGCAGGTATCACCTTGAACACAGAAAAGGAGGTAGAGAAGAGATCTTCCTGGTTGGTGCAAGGCCAGGTCCGGGAACCAGCCGGCCAGGTTGCAGCCTTTTTTCCCCGCCCAGCACATGTTGGGTGTGAGCGAGTGCAGATTAGGCAAGGCCCCAATTATCCCTCGGCTGGGAGAGGCAAGTGTGAACAATGAATCAGTCAGAAACTCCTTTCCAATATCCTCATCACACAGACAGTTAAATTGCAAACCACAAGACATATTTATTAATGAGTACATCCAAGGCCATCAGGCCATTTAAGAAGTTGTATTAAAAGGGCAAAAATCCCTCCAATCTTGCTCAGGGATGGTTAAAGGGTTCAGGGGTCCCTGCTCTTTGTGATGGATAGAGGAGCCAAATGACACATCAGGGTTCGCCCACAGATCCCTCATACATGCCATGGTTGAGCACTTCTCACTGGTCCTACCCCCAGTGCTGAGGGCCTTTTGAGTTTTTGACATCCATAAATAACCTGTGGGTACTACCTCCCTGCTTAGCTCACCACCAACCCAGGAAAAAAGGAACCAGCTGGGTTACCCCCAAACCTGGGTGAAACTGGATTATGTGCCAAGGAAAGCTTTGACGGACCAGTCTGGCAAGGCTGCAGCCTCTGCCCTGTTGGAGCTGTCATCTGGAGTTGTCCTGTGCTGGAAAATTCAAGCTGTAAGACAACAAGGGACTCCATCCCTAGAGGCCAGCACAGGCTTCAGGCTCATGCCTGAAGACTCCCACTGCAGAGGGTACACCCTCAGCTGCTGAAGCCTCTGGGCAGGGCCATAGTAAACAGTCTCCACCTCAACTCTCTATAGACAGAAGTCTTAATCATTTTAGAATTGGCTCCATGGAGTCACAGCTCCAAGCCAGCTTACAGCATTACATTTATATGTCGACAAGGGCTTCTGATCTTGGCCTTCTGTTCTGCAGTGGAACATCCTGGGGCCAATCAACCTCACAAACACCGGTGTCAAGGCAGGTGATGAACAGCACTTGGTTATATTAAAAATGTAGAAGAACTCTGTCAGGTTTAAAATTCTTAGGCATTTTCCTAGTCTTTTCTGCTTGAAATTGCTACCTACAGTTGTCATGGTGGTTTCCTTGGTGTAAGTTTCATATTCTAGGGGAAATCAGTGCCATCGTGGGAGCTAAAAAAAGGAGAACTCATTCCCAGGGCTGCCAATTGTAACCCTGGATTAAAGTGCCATGTGACTCAGCAGCTGCTTAACTTTTGACTAATAGATTTGTTTACATAAGAAGAATGAGAGGGTTTAAGCAATCAATGACGTCCTATCGGTTAAAAAAAGAAAAAAAAGAAAGAAAGAAAAATGACGTAGGCTGGGTGTGGTGCTTCATGCCTGTAATCCCAGCACTTCAGGAGGCCAAGGCAGGAGGACCACTTGAGGCCAGGAGTTAAGAGAGCAGCCTGGGCAACATAGTGAGACCCTGTCTCTAAAAAATAATAATAAAAAAAAATTAGCTGGGCATGATGGCATGCACCTGTAGTCCCGGGACTCAGGAGACTGAGGCAGGGAATCTCTGGAGCCCAGGAGTTTGAGGCTGCAGTAAGTTATGACTGTGCCACTGTGCTCCAGTCTGGACAACAGAGTGAGACCCTGTTTCTAAAAAAACAATAAAAATAAGTGACTTAAGATACAGCAGCTAGTTATCCTTAGAGATGTCACTGGATTATGAACTGATAGGCTCATGTTTATGTTTATAAATAGTATAAATAATATGTATAAGCTCAAATAATAGGGATGAGAAGGGAGGAGGTGAGGTCTTAGGTTTCATTCATTTGGCAAAAGCCTGTGATGAACCTGTGGGTCAGGCACTGGACACCTGATGAGGAGGAAAGAAAGGCTGTATAATCTGCGCTACCAAGAAGAAATCTGTATTCAATTCCTGGCCCTGCAGTAATCATCTGTACGCCTTTCGGCAACTGCTCTGGGCCTCAGTTTACTTACTTGCAAAACAAAGATGAGAGTCATACTCAAGCCATAGAGTTGATGAAAGGACTTTGATGAAGTATGCTTATAAAGTGCTAAGGCAATAAGAACAAACAATAATTACAACCATAACCACCTTTATTACACATTCCTGTCCTCAAGAGCTTAGTATGCAGAGCTTAGCAAACAGGTGACTGTAACTGGATAAGATGGTTAGTGTAATGTACAAAGTGAGGTGGGTGTGGGGAGAAAATTCTCCAAGGCTACTGTCTTGGGGAGTCAAAGAGGAATCACAGGAGAGAAGCTCTTAGACTTAAAAGAGAGTAGAAATTTACTCGGTAGTCAACCCCCCTCCTTTCCCCGCTCCTTCTTTCCTTCCTTCCCTCTCCTTTTCCCTCCCATTCATCCATCCTTCTATCCATCCACTCATCCTCTTATTGGGCACCAACCTTCTATCAGATGATGTTTTAGTTTCGGGGATATGATAGTACCTGTCATAAGCATACATTCTTGCAATGAGTGACAGATACTAGACATGGATACAAGCAGATAAGAATTCCAGATAGTCGGGGAACAGTGCCATGAAGAACCTAAAACAGAACCAGGGGAGAGAAGATGGCCTAGGGGTTGGGCAGGTGGAAGCAACTTTAGCTAGGTGATTAGAGGATACCTCTCCAAGTCAAAAGAGGCAGGTTGAATAATGAGAAGGAAGCCAAGATCTGGAGGAAGAATGTGCCAGGCTCAGGGAGCAGTGAAAGCCCAGAGATGGACAGTGTCTGTGCTTGAGGGGCAGAAAGAAGGCTAGCAGGGCTGGAATGAAAGAGGAGGGAAGATGTAGGTAATCAGAAACTTAATCTCAGAGGGCTGCATAAGCCAGGAGAAGATATTTCAACAGATTTTCAAAATTCCAAGGTTTAAAGGCAAAACAAAAACCCAGTCGAACACATGTTTTCCTCATGCTTTAGAACTCTTTTCAAACCACAAAGGAAACCTGGCAATCCACCCCACCCCCCACTTATTCCCTAAACTTCGTTATATAAGGGCCAACATCTTCTTTCATCTGTTGCCAGACCAGATACATTTGGCATCCTAAACAAGTTGCCAAAACAAAGCAGAAAGCTCAGCTTAAACTCTGTTAGAGGATGTTCTAAACTTCACAAAACACAATTCTCTATGTTTTCAAGTATGTTTATTTGGACAAGGTATACGGATATGAGCACAGACATAAGGAACCAGCTGCACAGAACCAAGACAATCTAGTAAAAAATTACTATTCAGCAGTAAGGAAAGATAAAAGCAGTCTTAAGTGTAAACAAGTATTTTTGCTTCATCTAGTGTTTATGAGCAACAAATGGCCTCAGTGTGAACCAGCAATGCTGAGAAGGACACAAACACGTATTTGCTAAAAACATTCCAGGCTTGGCGAATAATAAAGCAGCAGGGTTTGTTTCCTCTTTGATGAAGGTCCCCTCCCGTCAAAGGCTGCACCTTAAGCCTCTGCAGCTTAAGGTACAAGAAAGGCTCACGCTTGCTCATTCCCAGGGCTCTGCTTAGAAGCATGTAGCTAGGCCAGGTGCGGTGGCTCACGCCTGTAATCCCAGCACTTTGGGAGGCTGAAGCGGGTGGATCACTTGAGGTCAGGAGTTGAAGACCAGCCTAGCCAACATGGTGAAACCCCATCTCTACTAAAAACACAAAAAATTAGCCGGGCATGGTGGCACACACCTGTAATCCCAGTTACTCGGAGGGTGAGGCAGGAGAATCGCTTGAACCCAGGAGGTGGAGGTTGCAGTGAGCCAAGATTGCACCACTGCACTCCAGCCTGGGTGACAGAGCAAGACTCCATCTCAAAAAACAAAACAAAACAAAAAAATCCATGGAGCTGGGGTTGGTTTGTGAACCAAAGCAAGAGATTGAGAGGATCTTTGGCTTCTCTGTCTCTCACTACGGCATCTTTACATTCTGCACAGTCTGGAAACTTCCAATTTCAAGACATCTGCCCCATCTGCACCCCCCTTGCCCTGATAACCTGGTTCAGAGAACCAGGTAGGTTCTCTGGGCAGCACCACCTGACTCCCCACAGGACACATAGATCAACAAGGGCCGTTTTTTCACCTCTGATCATAAGCTCTTTCAACTGGCGAGTTTTCTTAAAGAGGTGGTAAATACCTTGCCTTTGGGTCAGACCCTATGGTTAGTGTGCTCTTTATCTTATTGAAACCATGAAGAAGCATTAACCTGTGGGGTTTATAATAAGAGCAGAAATTTAATTTCTGGGCCTTATGAAGGCCCAAATTCTACAACCCACAGACCCACTCTTCCTGCATCCTTCAAAGAGTTTTCTGGTAGCCCCTCAGACATTAAAACCTGCTTAGATGGTGACTGGATTTGTCCTCTTTAAAAAATTACAGAAATATGGACACAGGCTGCAGACATGTGGCTTGCTGACCAAGCTCCTGGGTGGTCTTTCCATAGAAATCATTGACATTCATTTGTCTGTTCATCAATGACTGAGCAAATAGTATGAGCAGGCACTGTGCTATATCCTGGGGGCAAATAGACCTAAAATGCTCACATTTGCTGCACTCAGGGATCTTTGGTCTACTGAATGGGGGGAGAGGGTGAATTTTAATTACGAAGAACTGTTACTTAGAGAGCACATGGTGTGTGTCACATTGGTACCTCCAGGTGGAGAGAAATGCAAGATTTGCTTTGCAATCAAAAGCAGAAACCACAGCTCTCTGATAACATTATGGGCCAGTCCAGGTCTGTCACCAAGAATAGACTTCAATAAGTCAAGGTGTTTCCCTATCTGTTCAGCCAATGCTAAGCACCACTAAGCACTATGCAGTGGTACATCTCATCTGGTTTGGGTGGTGGTGGTAGCTCCTGGAAGTCACGGTGCTCAGTGCAATGTACTATATTCTTGGAGAAACACCAAGAAAAAGCAGCACTCGCAGCTTCATGCATTTTGTAATCTGTAAACCTTTGAGAGCAAACAAGCAGTAGCATTAATGCTAAAGGTGTAAGAAAAATTTTAAACGGAAAAAATCCCAGCCATTGACTTCATCGTTATCTGTAAATTGGAAAAAAGCTGTGATTCTTCAATTGCACTCACAAAACAAGGCCCAATTCCTAAAAAAATCAAAACAGTTTGAGACCCACTGGTACAGATGGCGAAAAGAAAAAAGAAATGAAAGCATTCACTTGCAGATTCTAGAAGAAAAAAAAACTAACAGGCATGGCCAGATTTACTAAAAACCCACATTACAAACAAACAAACAACAACAACAACAAAAAACTCTATATTTACAGAAGGGAAAAGTATGGGTAACTATTTGCTTTATAAAATGGATCACTGTATAAGCTTCTTTTTAAAAAAAGACAAAATAGTATATCCCCAGAATGCACTTTAGAATTCAATTGAAAGAAGTTTGACTACTATACCAATCATAGCACTGTATAAAATAAGTCCCACAAGGGCACAGAAGGAAAAGGGGGCAGAAGAATGTATATCCGCAGCAAGTCCTTGAATCTGATACCCCATTCCCAAGATGTGATTTCAGACAAAACCCAAACAAAATAAAAACCAAATGGTCAGGCAAAAACACCTGTCCTGCCACTGTTCCTTGGACCCCGCCAGGCCTCCCTGGGACTCCAGCCTCCTCTCATAGACCCTTCCCCCTCGTTGGCAGCAGTAGGCCCCAAGACAGGTTTCCCTCTAGCAGTGATTCCCAACCAGGGGCATTTTGCCCACAGGGAATATTTAACAGTGTCTGAAGATATCTCTGGTTCTCACAGCTGGGGAGGGAGTGCTACTGTCGCCTGGTGTGTAGAGATCAAGGATGCTACTAGACATCCCATAGACAGTCCCCTGCAACAAACTATAATCCCATCCAAAATGTCAATAATGCTGAGGTTGAGAAACCCTGTTCTACAGGAGCCAAAATCATGACCATCCCTCCAGAAAGTCAGGTTACAAGAACTGAGTAGTTCACTTTCTGTCCTTTTAGGTGAGCTATTGTTTAGTTGAAGAGAAAAATCTGCAGGCTTCTGTTGTCAGGATATAATATTCCCTGAGCTTACTGGATAAGCCACTGATGCGAGGATTAGACTCACTGACACATGAAAATGCTTAGGCAACCGCCTCGAAAACATTGGTCAAAACATTCTAAGTGTTATAAGGGATGCTTGGCAAGGCCTCACGCTTAGTCTTAAAAAGCCTTCTCAAAAGTAATTTATACCAATGAGCCGTGGCAAATTCACCTATTCTATAAGTACGCAGTGACTCAACAAGCCTTTTGATCCATTTATAGAATGGCAACAATTATATTTTAATGAGTTATTTTCACTTACTTGTCAGAACCTGTTTTGGTAATCTAAATAACTTCACATCCTCTTAACATTCCTTATGAGGCTGTCTGAGAGAAAAACAGGCTCAGTTTTCTTTTAAGTCTCCAATCTCAGCTAAGTGACAAATGAAGCTGCTATAGCGACCACACTCCTGCTGGCTTATGGCCAAACTCACGTTTTCTTTTTTTCTTTTCCAACATCATAAATCTATTTTTTTCACAGATGAAATAACTTTCTGGTCCCATTTCTTCTTTCATGCTAGTATAGCACATTTTAAAACACTTTCCCCCCAAAAAAAGTCTTTACAGTATGATTCGATTAATAACTGGGTTTTTAGGAAAACTATTTTCAATATAAAGGCCAGAATCTCTAGATTTCTTTTACTGCATATCAAAGGTGGAAAGAGAGGCAATTGTCAAGCTCTTTCAACCTAGAGCCGCAATAAAACATGAATAACATCTAAACATTTTGTTTCCTTATTTTCATTTATTGGGTATTTCTTAAAGAAAAAAAAATCTCATAATTTACAGTAATAGCTAAATCTACTCATTCCCACGTGCCACTTCCACCACCAAATCCCCCAAACAGGACTCAAATGTAAATTTCACAGAGCTCTACAAACCACAGACAAAACAAAACAACCCCAAAGTCTGAAAACCACAGTCTCCTTTCAATCTTGCGGGTAGCAGCCTAAAAAAACATAAGCCTTGTTTAAAAGGTCAACGCACTACACTTCTCAGTGAAATAAATAACCAGCCTTTCCTGCCCTTCAGTCTAGTTCTGTATCGATGAACAAAAGCTCCTGTCGTTTCTTTTGTATCATCAGGAAAACAAAAAGTTTACATAAATGTATGTCAGGGCAATAAAAGTGACTTCTGTCGCCAGCATCCAGCCACCACATTTGGAGGATCCGAGCGGCCTCCGACCTCACGAAGGAAGCCAGAAATCTCACATCTGCCACGCAAAGCAAAGGACATAGGTCACCTTGTGCAATGTCCGCTTTACCTCAGGCCAGGGTTCCTTTTCTTCTAATTCTGTTCCTTGGCTGTGCTGAGCAGAGAACTCCTCCAGGCTTCAAGTTCAGAACACGGCCAAGAGGCTTTGTAGATGCCAGACCTCAGCCCGACAGACTGAGGCTCCCACCTGCCTGGGTTACATATCAGGCTTCTCTCCGAAGCTCGGCTAAGGCAACGTGCATCCCTCTAGAGACGCACTCCGGAAACCAGCCCCGTGTGCGGCGGGCAGGCACGCTCTCTCACGCCTCCTCTCCTCGCTTTACTTACTAGTTCAACACACCAGCAACCACAATGGGCCAGTCCATGTTCCCAAAAAAGGAGGGGGAGTAGATTTACTTTCTTTCTTTTTTTAAATGCAGGTAGGAAAGTACCATTTCTTTGCATTCACTCACTATTGTCTGCATGTGAAACCGACAGTGATTGTCCCTGAGGCATAAGCTTGTACTGAAACGAGATTCTTAGGCTTTTTGAGTTTCTTTCTCGGATTTGAGATGATGGAAAGGTGCCTAGCTGAGCACAGCCATCACACAGCCTGCAGCCTCCTCGCAAGTCCCTGCTTTTGAGGTACATGTAAGGAACCCCTTATGCAAAAGTATAACAAAACTGAGTTCAACTTTTTATTCCCTTTTGTTACTTCAGAATTTCCATATTATTCTGCAGTACTGTCTGAGACAAATATGATTGGAAAACCTCTTATCAAGCTTTCTTGATTCATATTTTTGGTACATTTTGTATTGTGTGTTTTTAATTGTAGCAGAAAATTACTGGCTAGCTACTGGCTATGTTGCAGGCATTTTATACACACAGCCTCATTTTCAACGAAACCATCCCTGCAGAAATCTCAGGTGAGCCAGTGACTGAGGGGAAGCTGCAGGCTCTCTATGCATGTGAACAGAGAGGAGGAACTGGAAGTTTCTCCAGTGATGGCACAGCCCTTTTAATGTACTCTTTCTTAGGATGATGGAAAGATTTCTGTAACAACTCTTGTCTTTTTTTTTTTTTTTTTTGAGATGGGATCTCTGTCACCCATGCTAGAGTGCAGTGGCACGATCATAGCGCAATCAGCTCACTGCAACCTCCAACTCCTGGGTCCAAGCGATTGTCCCACCTCAGCCTCCTGAGTAGCTGGGATTACAGGTGTGAGCCACCATGCCTGGCTAATTTTTAAAGTTTTTTTTTTTTTTTGAGACGGAGTCTCGCTCTGTTGCCCACGCTAGAGTGCAGTGGCGTGATCTTGGCTCACTGTAACCTCCGCCTCCCAGTTTCAAGCAATTCTCCTGCCTCAGCCTCCTGAGTAGCTGGGACTACAGGTATGCACCACCACACCCAGCTAATTTTTGTATTTTTAGTAGAGATGGGGTTTCACCACATTGGCCAGGATGGTCTCGATCTCTTGACCTTGTGATCCGCCCGCCTCAGCCTCCCAAAGTGCTGGGATTACAGGCGTGAGCCACTGCGCCCGGCAATTTTTAAATTTTTTGTGGAGACAGGATCTCACTATGTTGCCCAGGCTGGTCTTGAATTCCTCACCTCAAGTGATCCTCCTGCCTCAGCCTCCCAAAGTGCTGCAATTATAGGTGTGAGCCACCCTGCCCTGCCACGTTTGTCATTTTTAAGAAGACTAGGATGATTTACGAAATTTTTTAGGGAGATTATTTGCCCACAAAGATCAGGAAATGAAAAGACCCTTTTATATAGACATGTGGAATCTCTCTAAGCTGGTTTGGAAGAAGTCCCAAGCAGTGCTGAGAAAATGTAAGGTTTTAGCAACAAAGCCGTGCTTCTAAAATGAAGAGGAGACTATTGGCTTATACATCATAATAATGACAGGGGTCTCACTAAATTTCTAGTGCATTTTTCTTCTGAGGAGTCAGAAACCTCCATCAATGTGTCCTCACCACACCCTTATAGGGCCAGATCCTCAAAGTGGCATCTGTGGACTTCCCTGTACCAGAATCACCCAGGGCAGGGCTGCATGTTCACATGCAGATTCCCAGGCCTCCTGAATCAGAATGTCTGGGGTGAGGCCTGAGAATCCATACTTCATTATTTTTTAAAAGCATGAATAACTTCATTTTTATTGTGGTAAGAACACAACATGAGATGTACTGTCTTCAATTTTTAAGTGCACAATACAGTATTGTTAATGATAGGCACCATGTTGTGCTGGGAATCCACACTTCAAACAAGATATGCAGGTGATTGTTAGGCATAGTGGTTTTAGAACCTCAGCCTTAGATGGTAAGACCATTTGGGGTTAAGGATGGTACCTTTTACCTCTGTAACCCCTGCACCTCACCTCATGTTTAAGATATTAGCATGCAATGTCTGTCAGAGGAGTGAAGGTGTCCCCCTTTACAAAGGTAAAATGGGACACTTACCCAGGCTTCTAGTCACATGGCAAGAAGTAACTTGAGCGTCAGAATTAGGCTCACTACCCACGAGTCTTCATCCTCTTTTTTTTTTTTTTTTTGAGACAGAGTCTCATTCTGTCGCAAGGCTGGAGTGCAGTGGTGCGATACTGGCTCACTGCAACCTCTGCCTCCCGGGTTCAAGCGATTCTCCTGCCTCAGCCTCCCAAGTAGCTGGGACTACAGGCACATGCCACCATGCCCAGCTAATTTCTGTATTTTTAGTAGAGATGGGGTTTCACCGTGGTGGCCAGGATGGTCTCGATCTCTTGAACTCATGATCGCCTGCCTCAACCTCCCAAAGTGCCGGGATTACAGGTGTGAGCCACTGCGCCCGGCCTCTTCATCCTCTTTCTACTCTCCTATATTTGGATGATCAGTTTCTCTTTTTGGATTTTATTTATTTAAGCATCTCTATGTCTTCTGGGATGGGGTCAAAGAGGATGGGTCATCTTCAGATTTACTGAGCAAATTTCCAAATTCGTGAGTTTCCAGATGAAAAGAGTGAAGAACGCCGTGTGGAGTCAAGAGGTTCAAGTCACCTCCCTAGTTGGGCAGCCCTTGGTGAGCAACCTGAGCCACCTTTCCCATTGGCATGCCTCCTGTGCACATGCATGCACACGATTTGGGGAAAGAACGTGAAGAGGAAATAACCCGAAGGTGGGCTGGGCGTGGTGGCTCACACCTGTATTTCCAGCACTTTGGGAGGCTGAGGCGGGTGGATCACCTGAGGTCAGGAGTTCAAGACCAGCCTTGCCAATATGGTGAAACCCTGTCTCTACTAAAAATACAAAAATTAGCCAGGCATGGTTGCATGCACCTGTAATCCCAGCTACTTGGGAGGCTGAGGCAGGAGAATCCCTTGAACCCGGGAGGCAGAGGTTGCAGTGATCTGAGATCGTGCCATTGCACTCCATTGTGGATGCCAAGAGTGAAACCCCATCTCAAAAAATAATATTTTTAAAAATAATCAAAGGGTGGGCAGAGGGATGTGTTTGAAGTGATGGAAATGTTCTAAAGTAGGATTGTGATGATGGTTGCACAACTCTGTAAATTTACTAAAGGTCATTGAATCATATACTTAACATGGGTGAATTTTCTGGTATGTAATAAAGCCTCAACAAAGCTGCTACTAATCACAGGTGTTGTTGGCTAAAATCTGTTCCAAAGGGACTCAGTGCTAAGGCTCAGGTTCAAGGAGCTGATATAAAAGCCACACTTTGGCAGTCCAGAGAAGTTAAGAGACCTCTTCACCGTCATACTAAATACTGATGAAGGCCCAGTCTGGGTAAATGTGCTGGGTAGTATACAGAGCAGTTAAACAGACAGCACAAATCCTCCAGGAGTTTATACTTAAACAGATTATATCCAGCTAGATGCAATAAAAGAAACATTAACAGAAAAAAATCACTTGGGCCTTTATTTCATATGTGAGTGAAATAAATATTTATTTATTTATTTATTTATTTTGAGACACAGTCTCACTCTGTCATCTAGGCTGGAGTGCAGTAGGGTGATCTCGGCTTACTGCAACCTTCACCTCCTGGGTTCAAGCAATTCTCGTGCCTCAGCCTCCCAAGTAGCTGGGATTACAGGCATCCGCCACCATAGCCGGCTAACTTTTGTATTTTTAGTAGAGACGGGGTTTTGCCTTATTGGCCAGGCTGCTCTCAAACTTCTGAACTTAGGTGATATGCCCACCTCAGCCTCCCAAAGTGCTGGGATTATAGGCGTGAGCCACCACACCCAGCCAGAAATAGGTATTTAGTAAAGGGATGAGAAGTTTAGGCCTAAAGAGTATGTGAAGTCTTTAACATTTTTGGTTAAAGGACATGGCAAAAATTCACCACGGGAAAAATAATCATTTATCCACACACCTTTATTGAGCAGTTTTCAGATGCCTGGTAAAAAAGTAATTAAAAATACACCATGAAACAATGGTAGATTGAATTTATGGGCATAAATGTGTGTGAATGTCTAAAGTTAAGCGATTTAAGAAATTTTCAAACCCAAGCATCAACATGACTGTTAACTTGTGTATCTGAAATAATCCCATATAACTACATCAGAGAGTAAACAGAGATGGGTGAGCCTGACTCCTTCATTCAAACAGGAAGCTGTAAGTTCATTCCAAATATTGGGCTTTTACAAAATCTGTGTTTTATAAATGAAGAAAATGGAAAAAATATTTCTTGAGGCCCGGTATGTGAGGCACTGTCTCAGATGACTCTTACTATCTGTTTGAAGCCTGTACAAGGTAAGTATCATTGCCCACATCGTAATAATAAGAGGATGGGACATCTTCAGATTTACTGAGCAAATATCCAAATTTGTGAGTTTTCAGATGAGAAGGGTCAAGACCTATCCCAGCTTCAGGTGCCGGGACTCAACATGTAAGCAACTTGCTGAGAATTACTCAGCTTCTTTTTTGTTTTGTTTTGTTTTGTGTTGTTTGAGACAGAGTCTTGCTCTGTTGCCCAGGCTGGAGTGCAGTGATGCGATCTCAGCTCACTGCAACCTCCAACTCCCTGGTTCAAGTGATTCTCTTGCCTCAGCCTCCCGAGTAGCTGGGATTACAGGCACATGCCACCACACCCAGCTAATTTTTGTATTTTTAGTAGAGACGGGGTTTCACCATGTTGGCCAGGATGGTCTCGATCTCCTGACCTCGTGATCTGCCTGCCTCGGCCTCCCAAAGTGCTGGGATTACAGGCGTGAGCCACCGCCCTCCACCAGATTATTTAGCTTTAAGTGTGGCTTCTGGGATCAAGTCCTGGTGTGTCTATGCAGTGGTGCCATCTCAGCTCACTGCAACCTCCACCTCCTGGGTTCCAGCAATTCTCGTGTCTCAGCCTCCTGAGTAGCTAGGATTACAGGTGCATACCATCATGCCCAGCTAATTTTTGTATTTTTAGTAGATACGGGGTTTCATGATGTTGGCCAGGCTCGTCTCGAACTCCTGGCCTCAAGTGATCTGCTCACTTTGGCCTCACAAAGTGCTGGGATCACAAGCATGAGCCACGGCACCTGGCCTGTATCAGTTCTTTCTGCTAACCACTCTTCTCTCCCTTCCACCTTACCTATCCAGGCCACATCAAGCTCCAAAATTCCAAACTCTATCCCTGTTTCCAAGGTGCCTGCAGCTTTGTGTTTTGCTATGGAGCCATTAACATAGTTCATGAAGAGTTTTCATTTGCAAGGCCACTCCAAACTTTCCCTTTTTGGGAGGAATTTCTGTACCAGTTCATTTCCGCTGGGCTGGATGGGCACCAGCCCTAACTCCCTCCACTTGACTAGCTGGCAAACTACAAGCAAGTCCATCTGCTGGAATTGGCATCATATCCTCCCCAAGGCGGGAAGCCACGAGGTCCAGGAAGCAAGCACATTCAGGTGTGAAACAGACGAGGAGGCAGCCTGTCCATGGTGGCAGACCCCTCAGCGCAGCATCACTGGATCCAAAGGAACAAAATGCTCCCATTTTCCCTGAAGCACATGCCATCTCCTGGGCCCTGGGGAAAATTTCATATCCTTAGCCTGGTAATACTGTGCCCGGAAGAGAAATTATTCTGCTGACCTTTGGATGGTACCATTTTTCAACATAGACCCCTCCAAGTTAAACATTCATGGAGAGGCCAAGCGTGTGGAATCACAAGGACAAAATCGAGCCAAGGTAGCTTGAGATGCCATCTTTGGTGTGACTTATTATGAACCCAAAAGCTAAAGAAGATTGCTGGAGGTAGTTGCAATGCCCAGCAGAGGCACAACCCAGATTCCAGGAGTCAGGCTGGCTTGGGTGTAGAGACCCACTTGTCTGTTTCTCCACCACCGTCAGCTAGGTCAGCAGATACAAGTGGATTAGTAGGGTCAGTCTTTCAAATGGAGATTAGGTCTGAGTGAACCCAAAAAATTCTGTTTCCCTCATGATTAAGCTAAAATTAGCCTGTAGTAGAAAATATTTTTAAAAAATTTTTAAACTGGCCAGGTGCAGTGGCTCACGCCTGTTATCCCAGCACTTTGGGTGGCTGAGGTGGGTGGATCATTTGAGGTCAGGAGTTCAAGACCAGCCTGACCAACATGGTGAAATCCCATCTCTAGTAAAAAACACAAAAATTAGCCAGGGGTGGTGGTACGCGCCTGTAATCCCAGCTATTTGGGAGGCTGAAGCAGGAGAATTGCTTGAACCTGGGAGGTGGAGGTTGCACTGAGCCAAGATAGTGCCACTGCACTCCAGCCTGGGCAATGGAGGGAGACTCTGTCTCAAAAAAAAATAAAATAAAATTTATAAGCTGACTACTGGTTTGGAATAGAAAAGGACATATTATTATAATCTTGCAATTAAATCAAACAGTACAATCAAATCACATGCTTAAAATCAAAGAAACAAGGTTGGCAAAAAGTGAACAAAGCCATCAGTAACAATAGCAAACAAAGATAAATTTCTCACCTTGACTACCCATTCCTTAAGAACCAAAGTTGACTTCTTTTTAGTAATCACCAAAAATCTCTCTTGAACTCAGGACATTTACTGTGTATGCCCATTACTTGGCCATTTAATACTGTGGGTCCAAAATTATCGTGTTTTTGTTGTTGTTGTTGTTGTTTTGAGACAGAGTCTTGCTCTGTCCCCCAGGCTGGAGTGCAGTGGCGTGTGATCATAGCTCACTGCAGCATTGCAGCTTCGAACACCTGGGCTCTAGCAGTCCCCCTGCTTCAGCCTCCCAAATAGCTGGGACTATAGACCCTCACCAACACATCCAGCTAAGTTTTTAAATTTTTAGTAGAAGTGAGGTCTTACTGTGTTGCCTAGGCTAGTCCTGAACTCTTGTTCTCAAGTGATCCTCCTGCTTTGGCCTCCCAAAGTGCTGGGATTACAAGCATGAGCTACCACATCTGGCCCTGGATTACCTTGTGCACTGAGAGACACCACCAAAGATTAAACTCTTTTTCTGCTCCCCCAAGAGAAGGTCATGAAAATTCCCGTGGAATTCATTGAAGATCACCTCTGTCGGGTAGGTGGGGCACCCTGGAATCAATCATTTAGAAGAAGGGGCATGATCACCCCTTTTATGTCTATAGTGGTAAAAGAAGAGGTAAGCAGAGCCAGGGATGGGAGCTGGGAGGGAACAGCAGGAAGGGGAAGGGTGCTGCTCTGGGTCCCTGAGAAAGCAGATGCAGGAGTCCTTCTGATGCCCTGATGTGCTGGGTTCTGGAGAGGAGAAAGGACTACTCTGGGGACATCATTTTGGTGCCCAGAATAGTGGCCAGTCCAGGAACTATATCCCTTACTGCACTTGGTGGTAACTTGTCTAGGCAGGCTGTGTCTCTCTGCTATTGAATCCCAGCCATTTCTCAACTGCCATATGCCCTGGGTCTCTGAAGAAGCTGCAACGGCCCTGGGCACTCATGATCCCTGAGGCGGGGTGGGGGTGGGGGGTTCCTGGGACACTCCAGGAGGTTTTCAGCTTGGATACTCCATGACTTTTAAAGACGCATGCCTTATCTCTCTGAGAACAAGTCCTAAATCTTACATTTTATTTTGTGACCCACCCGCCGCCGCCACCCCGCCGCATGTGGGGCTCCTAGCACATGCTCAATAATCCTGGTTGACTTCCTGGAAGAGTCTCACTTGACCTGCCGGGTCAGTTACTCCCCTGCTTACACATTTCAGCCAAACTCTCTGAAGTTAAATAATGCTGAAAAAAACAAAACATCCTTTTAACTCAAGATAAATAGAAATTCTTTTCAAACTGTTATTTCCAGATAAGAAAGCCCTTCCATTTGTGCTGACAGGAAATGGGGTGATTTTTCCATAAATATTAAATCTTTACTGCATGGGAATGCAGTCTGCTGGTGCCCTGGCACAACACATTTCCTCCTGTTGTGAAAGTAAGAGAAAGTGGCCAGCTTCAGGTGAATCAGATAGATTTTCCTCAAATCATTCATTCAATCAATGTGCTCTGCCCTACTGGGTCAATTCCCAACCTGATAGCCATGAAGGGGACAAAATATTAGTACCAGGTTGTTCTTCTCCAGTAAAGTGTTGCAAAACCAACTCATCACAAACCATACATTGGATTTCAACTTGAGTCGACTTTCCCAGCACTGGAGAGGTTTTACATTCACTAAGCTACACTCTACAATCAAGGCCATGTCCTGTGCAGTGGTAACCTCTCGCCACACAAAAAAACAAAATTTAGGCTCCCACAGAGGGAAAGAGCCTAGAATAGAATCTTTTTTTTTTCTCCCTGAGATGTTGTCTTGCTCTGTTGCCCAGGCTGGAGTGCAGTTGCATGATCTTGGCTCACCGCAGCCTCTGCCTCCCAGGTTCAAGCGATCCTCCTGCCTCAGCCTCCTGAGTAGCTGGGATTACAGACTTAAGCCACCATGCCCGGCTAATTTTTGTACTTTTAGTAGAGATGGGGTTTCGCCATGTTGGCCAGGCTTGTCTTGAACTCCTGACCTCAGGTGATCTCCCACCTCGGCCTCCCAAAGTGCTGAGATTACAGGCATGAGCCACCGTGCCTGGCCAAGCCTAGCATAGAATCTTGCATTAAGATGTTTATTGACTTGAATGGCCATTCTTGCATAGATAGCTAGATAGGTAGATGTGTGTATGTGAAATTGAGAGATAAATCACATACCATACAATTCACCCTTTTAAAGTATATAATTCAGTAATTTTTAGTATACAGTTGACCCTTGAACAGCGTGGGTTTGAATCACATGGTTCCCTTTCTTTTAGCCAAACGTGGATTGAAAATACAGCATTCAAGGGATGCAAAACCTCTGTACACAGAGGGTTGACTTTTCCTATAAGTCAGTTCCTCAGGACTGACTTTGGGACTTAAGTCTGACAGATTTACCAGGGGGATGGTGGTCCTGGAACCAATCCCCTGCATATACTGAGGGATGACTATACTCATTGAGTTGTGCAGCCGTCACCACTGTCTAATTCTAGAACATTTCATTACTCCAAAAAGAAACCCCATACCCATTAGCAGTCATTCGTTATTTCCCCCTTCCCCCAGCCCCTGGCATTCTCTAACTTACTGCCTGTCTCTGTGGATTTGCCTATTCCACACATTTCATACAAATGGTATTGGACAATTATGGTCTTTTGTGACTGTCTTTTTCCTTCTTTCTTTGTTTTTTTTTTTTTTTTTTTTTTTTTTTTTTTTTTTTTGAGATGGAGTCTCACTCTTGTCGCCCAGGCTGGAGTGCAATGGCATGATCTCAGCTCACTGCAACCTCTGCCTCCTGGGTTCAAGTGATTCTCATGCCTCAGCTTCCTGAGTAGCTGGGATTACAGGTAACTGCCACCACGCCCAGCTAATTTTTGTATTTTTAGTAGAGACGGGGTTTCACCATCCTGGCCAGGCTGGTCTCGAACTCCCGACCTCAGGTGATCTGCCCACCTTGGCCTCCCAAAGTGCTGGGATTACAGGCGTGAGCCACCGCACCTGGCCCTGACTTTTTGTTCACATAACGTTTTCAAGGTTCCTCGAAGTTGTAGTATATATCAGAACTTTGTTCCTTTTTATGGCTGAATAATATTCCGTTTTCTAGATATACCACCTTTTGCTTAATTCATATTTAAAATGAAGCAATTTCTCCAGTTTATTGTCAAGTGATGGTCTGACAATACACAAGGTGACCAGTGTCTCAATACTGACCCTGTTTCACAGGGCCTTCCTGACTGTCCATTGAGCTGCAGAGTCCGAGACCAGAGCTTCATGAAGAAAATATGCTCTCAAACTTGAGACAGCATCATCCATCTACAACATTCTCTAAGGGCAGAGCCAGGTGGCCTGGTGGAGGCTACAGATGCTTCAAGGAGGCCAGACTATGAGGCACAGAAACACAGCAGACTCTATGAGCAAAGTCACTGATTTTCAGTGACATTTTACACTGGTAAAAAGTAAACCAACCAAGCAGTACATGTTTATTGTCCTGAGAATAGGTATAAAAGGGACACTGAGACAGGCCTTTACCATCCACCAGGAATGGTAACTTTTGGTCCTTCAGCAAGTTATATCAAGGGGCAAATTATTTGTTTTCTGTAATGATTATTGTCAGGTAGATAATAAAGTTCAGGCTCACTCTCTCTCTCTGTCTCTATGTGTGTATGTCCCTATCTTCTGAGAATTGAAAGAGACCTATTTTCCTTATTTTTTCTTTTATTGATACATAATATTTTACATATTTATGGGGTTCATATGAGTATTTTTTTACATGCATATAATGTATAATGCTCAAGTCAGGGTATCTGGAGTATTTATCACCTTCAGTATTTATCATCTCTGTCTCCCAGCTACTTTGAAATATACAGTATATTGCTGGTTAACTGTAGTCACCCTAGTCTGCTACTGAACATTGAACTTCTTTGTTCTAACTGCATGTTTGTATCCATTCACCAACCTAAGAGATCTATTTTCTAATCATGGTTCTGTCACACCAATTAGATCCAGAGTCTCGGGCACTCAGTAGCCTCATCTGTAAATGAAGGTGACTAGTAACTAACTGCCCTGACCAGCTTGCAGGCCTGTGGTGAGAATTAAATGTTTATGAGATCACTTGCAGATGTTAAAAATATTATACAAAGTCAGGATACAGTGGTGGCTTACTGTCCACTGGGACAGACCATCTCAACCAATATACTCAGATAACAGGATCAGATAACATGATCCTCAAAAATATTTGGGTCTACAATTAATTAATTGGATGAAAGCATGAATTCCTCTGAGCACAGTGAGAATGAGAAGAATGCAATTAGCCTTCAGCATGGACACGGGTTATTATTTGTTCCTTGCAAGTGTATGATATACACAGAACAAGAAAAGGGGAATTGACATGTCAGCTTCTCTTTTGCAAATTACATCTCTGATGGTGACAAAAAGATTAGATGTCATGCAAGCATCCTAGGATAACCTATGTTTTGCTCACTAGAGAATAGCTTAGCCCAGAACAAGACCTACTCACTGCTTATGATTACTGCCACATAACATACTTAAAATACCTATGCCAAAAAGAAGGAAGGGGACAAAGGCCTCCAATTTATAATGTGAATTCACCTCAGAAACATCATAAACATTTGCCCCTCAGCTTTGTGAAAAAGCAGTTTTTTAATCAGTCCAAAAGCAAAACAAAACAGAGCCACCAGTTTTTAATTCCTCTGAGAGCCAAGGAAAAGGATTTGGCTGAATCCCATTGTGATTCCATTTCCTTCACCCCAGGAGTTCAGCAGGAGGGGTCTAAAAGCGAGTCTAAATCCTGTCCTGCTGTCCACCCTTTCCAAGTTAACAGATAAAGACAGGGGAGGGTGGCCTCGTAGGGCAGAATGGACAGGCATTCCAGGGTCTAGAGGACTTCCCTCGGCTCCATCTGAGGCTCTTTCTTATGTGGTGGGTGTACAGGCTGTCACAGACATCACTGCACGTTCCCAGAGAGCACAGGTAGCACAGTAAATACCACGAGACACAAGGACAGGTGCCACCAGCCCGCCCAGAAAGACTAGATGAACCCAGGCCAACTGATTTCTGGGTGCGGTGATGTGAGGAAAGGGAAATCGTGGGACTCAGAGCCCCGCCCTCTCCCTCTGTGGTCAGAATGCACATAAGACAACTTTCCTTTCAGGGAGGAGAACAAAAGAATGCTCCCGTGCAGCCTGGCAGGTGCCTGCTCAGGGAAGTACCACTCTGCAGTGTGGGACGAGGGCCGAGCGCCTTTGTCCTGAGTGAACCAGTGCAGTGCTCCATGCACACAGGTAGCCCCTGGGGGCATAGGAATTGCATAAGACAGCTTGAGAGGCCAAGAGAAAGTCAAGCCCACCCTTCCTTAGTCTGTTGGTAAAACAGCCCAAGACTAGGGGAAGAACACATGGGACAAAACCTTTTCCTTTACCCTCCAGGCTTCTGTTTTCAGTTTGACTTTTGCTTTTTTTTCCAAACACTTGTCAAGAATAGATTCAACCTCTATCTAATCCAAAGAGGTATGGGGCTGGGCGCAGTGGCTCACGCCTATAATCCCAGCACTTTGGGAGGCCAAGGCGGGCAGATCACCTGAGGTCAGGAGTTCAGGACCAGCCTGGCCAACGTGGTGAAACCCCATCTCTACTAAAAATACAAAAATTAACTGGGCATGGTGGCGTGCACCTGTAATACCAGCTACTTAGGAGGGTGAGACAGGCGAATCACTTGAACCCAGGAGGTGGGGGGTGCAGTGAGCTGAGATCATACCACTGCACTCCAGCCTGGGCAACAAAGCAAGACTCTGTCTCAAACAACAACAACAACAAAAAAGAGGTATAGGAAGTATTACATTAAGAGTGTGGTGTTCCAGAGAAGATTCCATATCTTAAGAAAGCACCATCAAAAACAATCTACTTTTAGCTATGTGCCTAGAGATGGTTATACCTTTGTAAACAGAGACCAAGAAACTCAGTTGCTGTCTTACTTAAATTTAGGGTTGGAGATATGAGACTAACCCCCTTATAAATTTGGGAGTCCTTACTTGATTACACCCACCATGAGCTGCCTTCATTTTGAAACTAGCTGTTGCTGTTGATAATAACAACCATTTTGTTGCTGTTTCTTTTCTTTATGAGGCTAGCAGGTAACCACCTGTACCCTGGAAAGGATGTCTGCTGGAGTGAGAGCTGTCCTAGGGCTATCTACCAAAGATGGGAAGAAATGCATTCCAAAGAGATGCCCCACTCCCCCATGACATTAGTGACCTAGGTCTGAAGTCTCTTCCAGCTTCCTGTTACCATTAGGCTGTTAGGCAGAAAGAAGGTGGGGGCAGGGGAAGGGGGAGGAGGAGGGGAGAAGGAAGCGGGAGAAGTTTGGAGAAAAGACGGAGAGAGCAAACTGGAGTATCTCACACTAATTTGCCCCTGCACTTCTTAATTAGGAGGCAGGTTGTAAATATCTTCAGAACTCTCCTAAATTTATAAGTTAATCAGCAGAAGCATTTGAAGATGTACCATTTATAGCAAGATCCCCCTAAAAAGAGAATCTTGCTGTCGAAAACAAAACTGAAAACAAGTGATGAGAAATCAAGCTACAATTTGAGTGTATGCTCTATGCTGAGTGTTACGTGCTGGTTTCCAGAAAAAAAGAACCATTGGTTCTGTCTGATCCCTTACAGCCAAGACATGAGAATTCTAGAACTCAGATCCTTAGAGCCGAAGGGACTCCGGGAGGTCTAGCAGCCCAAGTCTTGGAATTACACGTATATTTTCAATTCTTGCACTTAAAGAAAAGAAAACTGAGGCTCAAAGAAGTGGCAAGCCTTGCCCAAGGGGCCCCAGCTGGTGAGTACAGATTCAGATTGGCTGCCACCCAGAGCCTTTTCAACTGAGCCGCTGGTGCTCGGGCCCGTCTCCCCACCCGTTCAAGCTGATGTGATTTTCAGGGCTTACAAGGATTAAGGAATGACAGAGACAGAGAGAACTCGAGGGCTGCTGGAGGTTACATGCTAGTCCCTTTACCTGGGAAATGAAGACAGCCCCAAGAGGCTGAACAACCTGCCCCAAGTCACTCAGGAATGAGTGACACAGCCAGACCTGGAGCGTCTCTTCTCTATCATTGTCCAGTGACCTTTCTCTTTCTCAAAGGTCCCTCAGGTGTCTGGTGGCATCTCTGGTGACACCACACCTAGAGAGGCCTTAGGGTCCTCTTAGGGCTCAGTGAGTGTTAAATTAAAACCACACAGGGTCTGCAGGCCTCGCTGGGATGATACGTGCATGATTTCCCAGGCTTACTCAAGCAGCTTGAATGGTGACCCGATCATCACCAAAAGAGACTCCCTATCAATTCCCTGGAACCTGTGAATGCTAGCTTATTTGGGAGAAGAGTCTTTGCAGATGTAATTAAGCAAAGGATCTTGAGATGGTGAGGTCATCTTGGATTATCTGGGTGGGCCCTGAATCCAATGACAAGTGGCTTTACAGGAAAG
Organism: Homo sapiens; assembly: GCF_000001405.40. Lineage (NCBI taxonomy): Eukaryota > Metazoa > Chordata > Mammalia > Primates > Hominidae > Homo > Homo sapiens. The sequence continues at coordinate 114,541,037 of NC_000010.11, forward strand.
AGGCAGAGGGAACTGTAACAGAGAAAAGGAGACAACACGCAAAAGGCGATGTGAAGACAAAGCCAGAGATTGGGAGGCTGCCACAAGTCAAGCAACACACAGAGCCATCGGAAACTGGGAGAGGCGAGGAAAGGCCCTTCACTAGAGCCTTCAGAGACAGCATTGCCTTGCCTGCACCTTGCTTTCAGACGTCTAACCTCAAGAACTGACAGAACTCAGTTTAAGAACTAACCTCAAGAACCTCAAGAACTGTTTAAGCTTGTTGCTTTAAGCCACCACTGCTACAGCTGACACAGAAAACTAATACATTTGTAAAGGGATAAAATAAATTCATCTGTGGATAAAATAAATATAAAAAACCCACAAAACCCCAAGGTTCACAGTATTTACAACAAATCCACCATCACAATATTTCACCACCACCAAGACCCAAGCATGAGAGGCCGAGGGAGGAGTGTGTGGAGACCGTCCTGCTTTGTGTTGGTAACCAAGCCAAACCGACTCACAAGCTGTCACACGTCAGTGTGATAACCCTGCAGGACGTTTTTCTAGCTCACACGCCCATCTAAGGACTACGTCTGCTGGGTGGAGGCTGAACATGGTGCAAACTACTCCCAGACGCCTCAACTCTGAAAGCCCCGCATGGAAAGTCTCCAAGTCTTAGGCCTCACAAAACGGCCTTCACAGAAACCTGAAGCCAATTTGAGAAGAGGTCTCTGCAGCCACAGTGAATGCCAAATGACTCAGGTCTTGAAGCAGAAAACAGAGTAAGCACATGTTTCTTCCAAATGGCATGTTCTTGGATCTAGCTTTATTTTAGATTTTCTTCCCCACAGCTGTTGAGCTAAATCTGAAGGGAATCAACACACACACACACACACACACACTCACACACTCAGACACACACACACACAGAGCCCTTTTCCCTCCCCAGCATGTTTTGGGGGAACACAGCTCCACATGTGGACTAAGAAGACTGCAAACACGGCTGTCACAAATGTGGGGACCACGTTCAGTATTTTCTCGTCTCTCTTTGTACAGCTGGACATCTGGGAAATCATTCTGATGTTCTATTGTTTCTTTTTATGAGGGCCAGGCTTGGTTGCTCATGCCTGTAATCTCAGCACTTTGGGAGGCTGAGGCAGGAGGATTGCCTGAGGCCAGGAGTTAGAGACCAGCCTGGACAATAGAGTGAGACTCCCGTTCTTTACAAAAAATAACAAAATCAGTTGGGTGTGATGGCATGCACCTGTAGTCCCAGCTACTCAGGGGGCTGTGCAGAAAGATAGCTTGAGCCCAGGAGTTCAAAGTTGCAGTGAGGTATGATTGTACCACTGCACTCCAGCCTGGGCAACAGAGCAAAACCTTGTCTCTAAAAAAAAAAAAGAAAGAAAGAAAAAAGAAAAAAAAAAAAGAAAAGAAGAAGATGATGATGAAGAAGGAAGAAAGATGAAAGAAGAAGGAAGAAAGAAGAAATTAGAAGGAAGAAAGGAAGAAGGAGGAGGGAGAAGGGAGGAGGAGGGAAGAGAAGGGAGGAGGACGAGGAGGAGGAGGAAGGAGGAAGAAGAAGAAAAAAGAAAGAGAAAGAAGAAGGAGGAGGAGAAGGAAATTTCCAAGTTGCCCCAACTCAACAGGTTTATTTCAGTCCTCCACAAGAGATCAAACTCAGGAATCCCAAGGGAAATGGCGTCAGGCCCCAATCAGGGCACTTCTGAGAAGAGCTCTCTGGGGAGGGATGAGGGATGGACTCAGGGCCAGGAGGGGAGGCACCAACCTCCTGTGCATCACACTCTGAGCGCTGTGATGGGACCGCTCGGACTCCAAGCTCCCCATCAGGTGGGTCCCATCCACCTTCTCCAACAGCCTTCCTGGGGATATGCTTCTTTCTCCCTGGTCAAGACACTAGTTTTGAAGTGTCCTTGGGTCAATAATTAAAGCTTTATTGGAAAGGCTATGAGAGAACTCTTTCCACCCTTCCTGTGTGTGCGGAGGGTGGGGGCCCATTTCTCAGGCTCCACTCCAGCTAGCACCACCATCATTTTGTGCCCAAAGTTCTGTAGTAGCCTCCTAGCTGGCCTGTCTCCACCCCAACTCCCTTCCCAGCCATTTAAAAAACATCTGAGCTGAAATGCACGTACTATAAAATTAAACATTTTAAAGTGAACAATTCAGTGGCACTTAGTACATTCATTCACAATGCTATGCAACCACCTCCTCTAATTCCAAAATATTTTCATCACCCCAAAAGGAAATCCTGTATCCATAAAGCAGTAATTTCCTATTTCCCCTTCCCCCAGCCTTTGGCAACTACCAATCTGCTTTCTATCTGTATGGATTTACCTATTCTAGATATTTTATATAAATGGCATCATACAATATGTGGCTTTTTGTGGCTGGTTTCTTTTACTTAAAGGCTCATCCTGTGGTTGGCAGCACTGCTTCAAGGCTGGATAATATTCCACTAGTTGGATACACCACATGTTGTTATCCATTCACCTGCTGATGGACATTGGGTTGTTTCTACCTTTCGGCTGATGTGAATAGGGCTGCTGTGAACGCGTGCGTACATAGATTTGAGAACTCTCATACGTTCTTTACACAACAACCTGGTCTAATCACATGACACTCCAGCTACAAGCAGTTCAATGGCTTCCTACCGCTTTTAGGGTAACACCCAAACTCCAGAATATGACTCTTGGGACCCTGCCCACTTCTCCAGCATCATCTGTCACATCGGTGCCCAACTGACGTTTCTTATGTATCCTGTGCTTTTCCTCACCTCTGAGCCTCTGCAGGTATTGCTCCCTCTTCCCAGAACCCTCTTCCTCGGGCTAAGAGGCAACTGCATTTGACCACAACCACACCCTTCTCTCCCAAATGCAATCAGCTGCCCACGTCCCAGCACACATCCAATGCTGGCCCCTCTGTGCTTCATGGAAAGGGTTTACAGTGGGATTTAGGGGGCTACACTGGGCCTTTGCTGTGAAACCCCACGGAAGAGACAGCACAGCCCAGAAACACCATGGTGGCGGGGAGGGGGGCCTCAGATCTGTGTCTGTGTCTCTGAAACGTGCCCTGCTGGGAAGGTGGAACATGGCTCCGTGGATTTAGCAGCCTGGTCCTTGACAAAGCAAGATGACAAGCTGCAGCACCTGTAGTCATCCCCCTAGTTGTGGGGCTTCCTGACCCACCTCTGCTTGGGCCATACTCTCCACGCTGGCAGGTGGGCCACAGATGAGGCAGTCTTACTTCTTCCTTGGACCTGGCTGACACCCCACAGGCCTGGGAGAAGTAGGGTAGCGACTCCTTCTGAACTCTGGCCCCAGAATTCTGTGTCTCACCCCAGAGGAACTGGCTCAGCCCAGAGGCAGAAGCCTGTGTGGCGGCTGCTGAGAAAGCAGGAAGAAAGCTCCCTAGCTGGAGGCGGTTGCACCTGAACTTGACAGGCTTCAGCTCAGCCCCGGCCACAGGGTGCTCTGGGTCACACAGGATGTGGTTTTTGAAGTTTGGGGAAGCCAATGCCTCTACCTTTCCCCCACCCTTCCTTTCTTAGCTTCCATTCTGAGCCTCTGCTCCCTGAATCTGCACACGCCCACAGATGCATGCATAGACATATGCACACATGCACACATGGATGTATACACACATGATTTCACACCCTTTTCATTTACTCTTGTCTAACTTCTAAAAATGAAAATGGTCTAATATAGCCTGTCCTACATAACTCCTACCAGAACCTTTATCATTCTTTTTTTTTTCCTGTGCAAATTCTCCATCATTCTAATTTCCACGTGAGCCTTTGAGGAGAGTGCAGCACCTTAATTCTTGAAAATAGTCACCTGCGACTACTTTCTTTCTCCACAGGTGAAAAAAAGATGGAGGAGGTGGGAAAGGGTCCCCTCTTGTTTGTTTCTGAGGGCCGCTGAGAAAGATGGCGGTAGCTATGAGGGAGCCGGTCTGCCACTTACCTCCAGGACTTTCCCTGTGATAAACTGGTGACACGCCTCACATTTCACCCCAAAGAGTCCCTGGTAGTCCTTTTCACAGTACGGAGCACCATCCCTGCAAGACAAAAACGTGTTCGGCTCCTGAGGAGGTGGCCAGGGGCTGGAGAAGACACCAAAACCACATTTCTCCAAGGCCTTTCCACAGAAGGGCAGGACATATTTCTCCCCTGCCCAGTGTTCACATGCCTGGCAATCCAGTCAGACCTGGCCAGACAGGATCAAAACCACAAACAAAACGATCCAGAGAGCACTCTGCGGCTCTCGGTGCCACACAGGCGAAACAGCCATGTCGCCATATGGTCACCCTTGCCGATTTTTTACTGTCTCAGAGCTAACTAGCAGAAAGCCTGGCAGCATTCTCTCTCCACAGGCCCCCTGGGCACGTAGGAGTACTGAGCCCACTGAGCCCACATAACAATAATTAATAAACCAGAGAAAGAATGGTGTTAATGAACCTGAAGAAGATACTGGCAAATCAATAGGCAATATCACACCTGAAGGCAAAACACTAGCGACAATTTCATTAAAACCACAATAAAGGCAAAGCTATAAAATATTGTTAATGTATATAATACATATAGTTATTAATATGACACTGAGGCCCGGCACGGTGGCTCATGCCTGTAGTCCCAGCACTTTGGGAGGCTGAGGTGGGTGGATCAACTGAGGTCAGGAGTTTGAGACCAGTCTGGCCAACATGGGGAAGCCCTGTTTCTACTTTAAAAAAAATACAAAAATTAGCCAGGTGTGGTGAGGTGTAGCTGTAAGTCCCAGCTACCCAGAAGGCTGAGGCAGGAGAATTGCTTGAACCCAGGAGGTGGAGGTTTCAGTGAGCCAAGATCGCACCATTGCATTCCAGCCTGGGTGACAGCACAAGACCCCATCTCAAAAAAAAAAAACAAAAAAAAAAAACAAGAACACTGAGCCCGTCAGATGTGGGCTCAGCATTCATTCCCCTACAAGGGGCCCACATGCCAGAGTACAGCCTCTGAACAGCCTGCAGACACCACCTCCTCAGCTCTCAGGAGGCCTCCGGAGCCCAGGGCCGCCTCCTTCAGCTCAGTCAACCTCCTTGGAGCACAGGAAAAATATTATATCCTGTGTGTGATTGCATGGAAAAGCTATAGAGTGCCACCCTAGACTGCCAAGTTACCCACCCCCGCATAGCTTGCAATGTTCCGTTAGAAGCCAGGCACCTGTCTTATTTTGTCCATAATGGTCACCTGAAGAGCTTCTTGCCTTTTCTTTTCTTTCTTTTTTTTTTTTTTTGAGACAGAGTCTTGCTCTGTCTCCAGGCTGGAGTACAGTGGTGCGATCTGGGCTCACTGCAACCTCCGCCTCCCAGGTTCAAGCAATTCTCCTGTCTCAGCCTCCCAAGTAGCTGGGGTTGCAGGTGCCCACCACCATGCCCGGCTCAGTTTTTGTATTTTTAGTACAGATGAGGTTTCACCATATTGGCCAGGCTGGTCTCGAACTCTCAACCTCAGGTGATCCGACTGCCTCGGCCTCCCAAAGTACTGGGATTACAGGCATGAGCCACCGCACCCAGCCTTCTTGCCCTTTCAGTGCAGGTGTTTCAGCCTTACCCTGGGCCTGTAGAATTAGATTTCTAGTGGGTGGGGCCCAAGCAACCTTTTGTTTGCTTGTTTGTTTCACTATATTTTTAAACTACATTCATTAATATTTTCGAATAGGTGATTTCATGTGGTTGGGGAAATGCATGAATTAATGAATGAATTTATTTGTTTATTTTTTGAGACAAGGTCTTACTCAGTTGCCCTGGCTGGAGTGCAGTGGTGCGATAATAGTTCACTGCAGCCTTGATCTCCTGGGCTCAAGTGATCCTCCCACCTCAGACTCACAAGTAGCTGGGACTACAGGCATGTGCCACCATGCCTGGCTTGCTTGCTTATTTATTTATTTATATTAGTAGAGATGAGGTCTTGCTATGTTGCTCAGGCTGGTCTCGAACTCCTGAACTCAAGTGATCCTCCCACCTTGGCCTCCCAAGTGTTGAGATTACAGGTGTGAGCCACCACGCCCAGCAGGAAAATTTTTTTTAAGGCATGAAAAGGTATACGGTGGAAAATTTCCCCTCATTGCCAGGCTACATTTAAAAAAAAAAAAGCCTCACTTCCTTAACTGTAGCTATTATCCACTATTATTGAACATGAGCCCATTTCCTGGCAGGCTGTTTTGTGCAGTCCTAAAAGGCCCACAACCTAGGCTTTGTGTGTTTTTGGGGAGCGTCTATGAATGTACTCCAGCCCTGGAAGGAGAACAAAGGCTTACTAGTTCCTCATAGGAGAATGAACAGCAACAGGGAAATTATTAAATGCTTAATTGGTAATGACATACAGTGTAACAGTGTCAGCTTCATTAATTGTTAAATTAGGCAATGATTAACATATCATTAGGTTTATAGTAGCCAAGGCAAAAGAATACAATTCTTTTCAAAAGTTTTATAGCAACAAGTTCATTATGATGGCAGGATGTGAACAATTTCAGCACCATTGATGGGGTGGGGCCCCTGAGACCAGGACCTGCAGAAGAACCACAACGCCCGGTGCCCACTGAAAGGAACGCGTGCCCGCGCCCAGCCTTACTTGCTGATGTACTCCCCGGTGAGGACCTTCCCGCAGGACTTGCATTTAAAGCACCCCAAGTGCCACTGCTTATCCAGCGCCAGCAGCGCCTGCCCATTCTTGATATCTCTTCCGCAGCCGGCACAATCTGAAAAAGAGCAGCCGCCAGTGGTTACTACACATTTCCTTTGCTAAATCCAAGCAGGCAGCCCAATTTCAACCCCACTGTGTGCCCATCACACACTCAATCAATATTTACTCAAGCACCATCTCGGGTCAGTTTCTTTCCCTGCACAAAATCTTTCTTGGTGAAGGCTCACAGGCTGCGTCCTCGGAAGGACACAGAACGGAAGCTTCATGAACCTCCGTGGATCTACGGGGACGGATGTCCTTCACCCATCTGCTTACTTGGGGGTTTTTTAATGTATCCTCTGAGCTACAGATCGCCCAGAGAATATTTAATTATAGTGTCTTGGCTGTGATTTTAAGAAAGTGCGCATAGGCATTTATTAATTGAGGGCACTGTGAACAACTCAGCACTTTATGCTGATGCCTCGCCTAACACTATATACGTGATTACTCCTGGAGGCTGCCCGTAAATCTCATTTTTGTAAATGGGACCCTACTTCCTTATCAATCCAAACCAGCCTTTCAAAGATTTGTGATCATCAATTAAGTGGCTCTTAATTCCTTAGCTCTCAATTCTCCTTGGCAGGCTCCTGGAAGGACAATAAAGGAGAAATTATTTCTTCATGGTAAAGAGTGTGGGCCTGGAATAAGACATCCCAGTGAGGAACCCCAGCTAACTCCTCGTTGGCTAGCTATGTGATCAAAGCAAGTTACACCCTTTTGAAGCCTGGGTTTCTTCTTAGGGAAGTGGGAATGTTATCAGCACCTGGTCTCAGCCCTCTGATGAGGATTCAGTGCATTTAATAGATTTAGCAGTAGATGGCACATTGGAAGTGACTAGAAACATTTGCTGTTATTACAATTGCCATAATTAATCTGATTATCGACTGCTTCATTCTGTTAGGGAAGTTGGGTATTAAAAAGAAACCAGAAGACTGTAAATTGGTGCAACCTTTCTGGAAAGCAACTTCAACAACTACAGACATTCCACATCAATGTACCTGAGAGAATGAAAGCAAGCACGTGTCAAGTTGGCCACGTGTTCCAAGCTGATCAGACAGAACACACACAGAATAAAGCCATGTCCTGGCAAGTCCACTTAGTGGCCAGGTTTGGACCAAGACAGAGTCCACTTGGTACACAAAGTGATGAAACAACCCCCTCTTCTGACCACATCCGTGACTGCCACTGCTTTTTCCTAATGACGCTTCTAGCCCAACTTTAATTCTCTGACCATCCAGAAAACCTTGAGACCCAATCGCTGACCTGGTCCTGCTTCTTGACAACACTTAACCTAGAACTGCTTCTAATCCTTTGAATCCTCTTTAAAATTACCTAGCACGTGGGCTGGGTGCGGTGGCACACACCTGTAATCCCAGAACTTTGGGAGGCCGAGGCGGATGGATCACCTGAGGTCATGAGTTCAAGACCAGCCTGACTAATGTGGTGAAACCCTGTCTCTACAAAATACAAAAAATTAGCCGGGCATGGTGGTGCACGCCTGTAATCCCAGCTACTCAGGAGGCTGAGGCAGGAGAATTGCTTGAACCTGGGAGGCAGAGGTGCAGTGAGCTGAGATCATGCCATTGCACTCCAGCCTGGGCAACAAGAACGAAGCTCCGTCTCAATAAATAAAGTAATTAAATAAATAAATAAAATTACCCAGCATAAGCCCAAATGCTGTGAAAACTCCTCCAAACTGCACCCAGAGTGGGCTCACAGTTCCTCTGGCTTCCCTCTTGCTGCAGCTAGTTTAACCCGTTCTTTTTCTTTTTTTTTAATGACAGGTGTATTTCTGGCGATCTTGGACAGTGGGTGTTCACATAACCTTGAGATCCAGTAATTATTTTATGTCTAAGATTTTATTCTACAAATATATTTGCAAAAGCACATATGTGCATGCATATGTTCCCTACAGCATTTCTCTAATAACAAAAACTGGAAATAGGCTATATGGACCATCAGTGAAGGGCCAGTTAAATAAATTATAGTATAGTTGATAATGGAATACTATGGGCTGTTCAAAAGAACGAGGCAGATTTGTGCTCTGGCATGGAAAGATGTTCAAAATAGATCAAGTAAAAAAAGCAGGCCATAGAACAGTAAGCATAGCATAAGCTCATTCATAAAAAAGTAGTAAAGAAAATGGTGTGTGTGTCCTAGTCCCAGAATAGAACATTTCTGGGGGAAAACATTAAAAATTCTTAAGAAACTTCCCTCTCTGGAGGAGGACTTTACTGTTTAACTTCACATCCTCTGTGTTGTTTGAATTTTTAAACCATGATAATGTAAAAAATTTGACTATTTATAAAATTTAAAAATATAAGTTCTGAATATTGCAAATTAGAATTTCTTAATGTATGGCCCATTATCTAGTACACATATGAGTGTGTATTAGATGGTCATATGCATATGAGTGTATATTAGATGGTCATAAAAGATTAAGCATTTTTTTAAAAGCTGGGGTTTATATGAATTCCAACATCTGACCAAAATTTTTATAAAAGGAATCTCACATCTGGTAGTTTACTATAAAGATAAAAATGGAAGGCCACGATATTAGTTTAAAAATATAATTTTTAAAGTTTAGGAGCACAGTATGGATGTAAGAAAACTGATAGTTTTTTTTAAAAAAAAGACTACTTTTAGAGCAGGTGTAGGTTCACAGCAAAATTGAGCAGAAGGTACGGAGATTTCTGATACAACCCCAGTCCCTCCCCGTGCACAGCCTCCCCCATTAGCAACATCCCCCACCAGAGTGGAACCATTGTTATAATTGATGAACTGACACTGACACATCATGATAGCCCAGAGTCCACAGCTTACATTAGGGTTCAGTCTTGATGTTGGACATTCTGAGTTTGGACAAAGGTAGTAATGACATGTACCCGCTCTTATAGTATCATACAGAGTAGTGTCACTACCCTAAAAACTCTCTGTACCCCATCTATTCATCCCTCCCTCCTCCTAACTCCTGGAAACCACTGATCTTTTCACTGTCTACATAGTTTTGCCTTTTCCAGGATGAAATGGACAATTTTTTAATCCAAGTCTAACTGAAATTTTTCTTTATTCTTCTAATTACATAATTCCCACTAGGTGGCAGCAAAGATTTTAATAATAAGGAAGATGCTGTTCAATAGAATTTTTAAAAGAGAAAATCAACTTTCAGAGATGGCTTTTCATTTCTACAAATGACAATGGATGGGCTCAGGGAGGTTGACAGAGCTGTTTGCAGTCTCTCTGCTGCACCAAAAGTGAGGTCCAGGGAGGTGGATGGTGTGGGGAAGGTAGGAGCAGCATGGGCATTGGTGTCAGGAAGACTCGGGCAAGTTACTCTCTCCGAACCCTCATTTCTTCATCTGTAAAATGCGGACAACAGCCATTGCCTAGGCTGCTATCAGGAAGAAAAGAGATCATGCACTGTAAAGTGTTTTGCATAATACAATGCTTGGTACATGTGAGCCACTCAATAGACTCCCTTTTTCCTCGGTTAGGAGCAGTTAGGTCTTGGGCTCTTTACAACCACCTCAGTGCCCAGACATCCCAGAGCTATGAAATAAGCAAAGACACAATTTGAAAATAAAGACCACTGTTAGGGGATAGAAAGTCTTGAGGGCTTGGCCTGCAGCCAATCAGAGGCTGAAGCGGAGTTACACTCTATACAAATGAAGGACTGGCCCACGGCCAATCAGAGGCTGAAGCGGAGTTACACTCTATACAAATGAAGGACTGGCCCATGGCCAATCAGAGGCTGAAGTGGAGTTACACTCTATATAAATGAAGGACTGGCCCAGGGCCAATCAGAGGCTGAAGTGGAAACTTGACCTGCAAACAATCAGAGACTGAAGTGAAAGATTGGCCCATGACCAACCAGAGGCTGAAGTTTTCCTTTTGATTTAATTCTAAGAAGTCAACTTCAGATTCGCCTTAGGCTCCCAGTCTCTAGACCCTATTTTCCTGCCTCACCACTATGATCATTCTGCACTGAGGGCTTTCTAGAATCAGGTACCACGTGAGGGCTTTGTAAACATGGTACCATTTAGTTTTCACAATCATTCTAGTCAAAGTGCCTTGCAGACTGGAAGCTCTCTGACTTCACAGGTGGTATCTATACCATTGAGCTCCTCCATGCCCTGCACGGTGCCTCATGGGGGACAGCCACTCTACATGTTTTATAGAAAAATATTCACTGAATGCTTACCAGCCAGCTGGTAAGGTTGGGCTGCAAATAAAGGCTAAGGTTAGGCCTCCTTCCTGCCAATCCCTATGATACACATCAAGCAAATCAACAAAGAGCACCTCCTAGATAAGGGAATACCAGCCCACGTGAGAATCCTGACCCGAAGTATTCTGGTATATTTCACAGAGCCTACCCACTCCTGTCTGGACAAAGCCATGGTCTTCACTCAAGCCTGACACTGTGCTGGAGAGAGTGGAAAAGATGCAGAGACAAAAGATTCATGCTGGATTGCTCACTCCTTCCACGCTCACTCCAACTAAGCTCTTTCATAAAGAACAAAATGTCCTACTCTGTATCTTCATGTTTTTCAGCTGTTGAGAAAATTGTTTCCAAATCACTGAAGCAGCTGCTGATAAATATAGAAAGCTGGTGATTGGCATTGGAATTATTGCCAACGTCAGAAGTAGGTGAATATGCAGTGGCATCGAGGAAATAAAACCCATGAGGAACTTGCCAGTGTCCTACCCAGGAAAAATAATGACCTAACATGGAAAAAAAAAAAAAAAAAGAGAAAAGCCTGACCTTAAACACTTGACCCTGAGCCCTTCACTCTTGGCATCAAAAGCCAGAAAAAAGCAGGGATTTGGCTACTCACGTCCAGGTTAAATTAACATCCATCTACATAGCCGCTTCCAAATTGATATCATTTTGTTCAAAGGCAATTAATATCCTTGACAATAGGGATATTGCCTGTCACTCTTAATATATTTTATTTGTTTATTTATATATTTTAGCATAGGGCTATGGACACTTGGGCTGCAAAAGTAAGTTGAAGAAGGGGACACGTTGCTTTCAGGAAAAAAGAGAAGAGATCATGCATGGTAAAGTGTTTTGCATAATACAATGCTTGGTACATGTGAGCCACTCAATAGACTCCCTTTTTCCTTGGTTAGGAGCAGAGTTAGGTCTTGGGTTCTTTACAAGCACTTCAGTGCTCAGACATCCCAGAGCTATGAAAGAAGCAAAGACACAACTTGAAAATAAAGACCACTGTTAGGGGATAGAAAGTTAAGAGAGAAGTCATCTCCTGGGCAGCAATTAAGCTTCTCTCAGCCTGGGCACCTATGTTCTCCTTGAGAACTATTTCCGCCTTCCTGGAATTCTCATTTGAGATGAATAAGGGCCCCAAAGATGTCTTACTCTGTGAAGACGCCTCTCTGGAAAAGAAGGCTGAGGACATGGGGCTAGCTATAAAAAAAGAGAACCATGTGCTAGCTAAACTCCCAGCCACCGCTACCTTCCCAGGCCTGCATGCTTCGAATGTGTAGAGTCATTTACAAAGGTAGTAATTTCCATTCAGAGCAACTACCTAGCCAGGATCAAAACTTCCAGAATACAGAATGGGACTTTTCTTAGTGTCTTGGAATTTTTGGCTAAAACCTCCGAGGTGAGAACGATGGGGAGAAGTATCCCATCTTCCAAGGAAAGGTGCTAGGAATATCCTTGCAGGACTTATCAAAAGATGGTAGACTCTGCCTGATGACTATCAACCCTATGGCCTACCCAACTCTGGAATCAGACATTGGAAAACAGAGAGCTGAGAGTCAGCAGCGAGCTCTTCACACAGCAGGAGAGTGGTGTTCCCCTCTGCTCTGCTGCAAGGGTTACAGGATCCTGTTAGAAGGAGGAACAGCCTCCCACTCTCTGCCTAGATGTTTACTAAGTGGGGAAACTCAGGCCCTACAGCTGCTGTGCCAGCCAAGAGAAGCTTTTGATGTATCCTGGAGCTTAGAAGCATTCATGGACAAAGAGTCTGGAGCCTACTGAATTGGGAAGGCAGGAAGCTGGCTGGAGTCACCCTTGATGGTAGGTGAATGAGAAGACAGAAGTGATGTGGTGTGAATTTCCACTGTTCAGCTCACTGGAGGTACATGAATGTCCCATGGATGGTACCCACATTACTGGGGGTGCATGAATATCACATGGATGGTACCCACACCCCAGCATCTTGATGAGTCCACCTGAGAAAGGTGCCTGCTAAGTAGGGGGACTTCATTAGTAACAAGCTATGAGGAGACCATGAGGAAGTAGGGGCTGATTCTGGGAAATGGAGAAGGGTGGGCTGCAAGAGGTTAATCAGAAATTTTGGTCAAATAACTCAAAATGTATTCCCCATCCCAACTAAAAGTCTCCAGCCAGTGTTAGCAGAAAGAAGCACAATAACGCCAGTTACATAACACCTTGTCCCCTCAACTACTTACTCCCCACCCCCTGTCCAAAACCCCAAAGGAACCCTGAAGGACAGAAAGGAGATAAGAAAGACCAGCCTCATTGCCGGTCTCCAATTTGGGTTGGGCCTGACCTAGGAAATGGTGAAGCTCTGAAATGGATGGGGGAAGAGAATTTTTAATAGGACTGGACTTTGAAGAGCTGAAAGTGACAAGAAAGCTATGTAATCTAAGATATCATCAGACTGGGCACAGTGGCTCACACCTTAAATCTTAACACTTTGAGAAGCCAAGGCAAGAGGATCATAGCTTGAGGCTATGAATTCAAGACCAGCCTAGGCAATATAGTGAGACCCCCGTCTCTACAGAAAATAGAATAGCGAGGCGTGGCAGCGCTAGGACTGCAAGTCCTAGCTACTTTGGAGGCTGAGGTGGGAGGATTGCTTGAGCCCAGGAGCTCAAGGCTGTAGTGAGCTATAATCACGCTATTGCACTTCAGCCTGGGTGACAGAGTGACAGACTGAGACCCTGTCTCTAAAAGATATAATTAAGGTGGAAAAGGCAGCTCTGATAGAGGATAATAAAAGTAGCAATAGGGAAAAATAAGTCTTCACTGTTTTGTCCCCTGTGTGTCTTGGCCTATCCTAGACACTAATTGGGCAACTCACAGCAGTTAAGGATTTTGGAGCTGAAGAGCACTGGAGTCAAATTCCAGCTCTGACACTGAACAGAGGGACCCTGGGCAAACTAGGCAACCACTGGGCTTCAGTTTTTTCATCTGTAAAATGAGTAGGTTAGCAATACCTGCTTTCCCAGGCTGCGTAATATGTGTAATTACCGAGCCGAATTTCAGGCACATACATGTAAACACTTGGTGTCTCTACTGTCCTGATACCTGCGATAATCTAACATAACTTACATTTCCTCTTCCCTTTAAAACATTGTAAATGGCCCACTGTCAGCTTCTGGGGAAGGCATTTTAGATTCTCATTAGTTTCATAATCATCATAAGAAAATTAACATCTTGTGTTCTGAAGTTTGCATGTCTGTTATCTCAGTTTACCTTAGGGCTCCCACTAACCTGGGAGAATAGAGATTATCTGCATTTTACAGACCACAGAATATCTGAGAGCCAGAGGGACTTTATAGACCATCTGATGCAAATGCTTCATTTTACACACCGGAAACTAAGGCCTGGAGTGGGCCCGGGCTTTGCCTGCCCAATTAACCACAGAGGACAAATCTTCTTTTCTCAAATGCCCTTGAACCCAGGCTTTGATGCTTACAGGACTGCTCTCACTTTAAATCTCCGATCATGGGTTTGTTTCTCTGGTTCCTGCCTCCTTCATTGTAAAGGGGCAAAAACAGACACTACAGAACAAGAGCATGAGGTGTTCCTTCAAAGGTAAAGACTACGTAGAGAACTATTGTGAACTGAATGTAAATCATTACATTAAAAAACTAGGGAGAAACTTTATGCATCTAACCAATGCTTGCTGAGACACTGAGATAACTGAGACTTATAAAACGTCCAGAGGGATTTTAAGACAGTTCAGAGCATGCCCTTTACTATAAAAATTTTTAAATAAAACATTTAAAAAATCAATTTTCAGTATTGAAACTGTTGCCCAGGTATGTTCAAGAAAATTCAAGCTTTCCTTGGAATGCTTTTTTACAATAGATCTTAAAAAAAAACAAAAAACCATATTTGTCATAAACAAAAGTACAAAATAAGTTCCTGGCTATACACATGGATAAAAAATAAATAGAAACAAAATCATTTCAGATTTAGGTTGTTATTAATAGAAAGTGGAATAAGACTTTGGAGACCTTATAAAATATCCTTTTAATAGACTGTTAACTACAGTACTTTGTCCCTGGCCAGGACTCAAGCTAAGGAGCTCCAAGAAAAAAAAAAACAAATTTAAGTTCTAGGGTTTGGGTAAGTTGAGGTCCTGAATTTAATGTCATCTATCCTGTCATTCATTTGTTCCTAGAGAACATGGATTTCCCAATCTTGTGTAATAAAATGGTGGAGGTGGAATGTGGGAGAATACTCATTCTATCCGAAAGAGAAAGAAGGGGCACAAGAGAAGGGTGACCTGAACGTGGATCAGATTCTGCTAACAAGCTGCCTTTAACACAAGCCTTCAGCATGTTAGCTCAGCCCCTGACATGTGGATTCCACCACGGGAATCACTGTTTAGAGACACGTGGTGACTGCTCACTTTATACGGGACAGATAGTTCCAGTCGGCAAGGGTTTCCATCCCTCCATAAGTGTGTCAGTTGCCACCTGTTCTCATGCTTGAACTGACCACTTGCAACTGTGTTACTAGCCTGGCCTTCCTAGGACCATGAGTTTGCAACACATGGATTAAAAAACCCAGACTTTCCTTATGTTATTTTTGTATAAGAGTTGGGCAGCAGTTTTGACATCTTTGAGGCAGAAATGATTCAGGCACTTGAAAACCTCTCCTTGACCAAAAAGTCCCCATCATTAGTAGTGATAAGAATGTTGGTCTAGCAAGTGTATATTGTTGAATGTTGACCTTCATCTTCATCCAGGCTGTTCAATGTTGCCAGGTCCCAAATCAGACACCTAGGAGTTGACAAATATTGACTGGCCACAGTCCATGTTTTTTATTTAAAGCAAGTCACTCAAATGAGTCCACAATTTTCTTTTTTAGCATGTCATGGCAAACACCATGCGTATGAGGTCAACATAAGAAAGAATAGAGTACAAAACAGAATGTGAAACCGCAAATTTGTTACGCTAAGCACTTTTCAAGGATTATTTTTAAAAACTACTTTTTAGCTTCTGAAATTCTATGCTGCCATTAGCCAGAAAAGCAATACAAGGTCAGAAGACACATACTGGGTGGGGAAGTCAAAACATTCATGTGGGTGCAAAGTCTTCCCACTCTGGGGAAAAGGGGGTCTCAATACTATACATATTTTACATCTCAGATTTACGAATAATGGCTCGATGATTTTGAAAGGCTTATGTGGAGCCTGAGTATGTAACCTTGAACTAGACCGTGCATAATCACCCATGTCCCTGTAGGTCAGTGGCTCACCTTGCTGTCTTAATGGCCATGCTGGACACACTGAAAGCCAGGGCAAGCCTCTGAAGTGCTATTTTAAGTGAAGGTTCTTGTTGTCTTTGGAAAACAATTACCACACAACAAACAAGTTTTAGCAACAGAGTGGCCCATAATAGCAACAGAGGGTCAGCCTTCATCAGGAAAGCAGAAGGCAGGCAGGGCAGCAGCCATTTTCTAAGTCCTCCACAACCTGGTATTTGGCAATAAATCTTATCTTTCCTCTGTTTTAAGTATATATCATATATACTTAGAGTTTTAGTTACTTTGGTCATAGTTTTCATAAATAGAGGCCATTGCACATTTTGAATTTCTAATTCTTATTTCTAAACCAGTCCCACAGAATTCTGTTAGGAGTGTTCTGGACTTGAAACTGACCCAATAGCTCCATAGTGAGGTGTTTTTTTTTTTTTTTTTTTTTTGGATAAATATAGAAATTGGCCCTTCTGGTCTTAAAGCTTGAGAGTTAGGATAGTTCTTAGCAAACTCCCCTTAAAATGTAACAAGGCCCAAAAATAATTGTTTTATCTGAGTTCCTTTCTCAGAAAAGGACCCTTATGACTCTCAAAAAAAAAAAAAAAAATCAAAGAATTGAAACTCACTAGATCACCCATCCAGACAATGAGATGCCAGACCCCTCATTCATCATGATTGCTTCCTTACCCCCTCCTTAGTTCCTGTTTCATTATACATTGTTACATTTCTTCTGTACTATATAAATCTCTAATTTTGGACAGTCAGGGAGATAGATTTGAAACTGATCTCCCATCTCCTTGGCTGAAGCACCCTATTAAAGCCTTCTTCCTTGGCAATAATTGTTGTCTCAGTCATTGACTTTCTGTGCAGCGAGCAGCGGGACCCAGACCAAACCCCTGGTATTTCGGTAACCAATTCTCAAGGTCAAGAACCCTTCTCCTTTAGCTAGTACTGAGTGTTCCCCCGCCCCCCCATATCCACGACCAGGATGTGAACAGGAAACTAAAAGGAGTCAGGTTGTTTTCCTTTCCTCTGGATTAACTGATTAACTATTCATTACGCAGGAATCCCATGACAAATGCTTCTATGTATGATGGTGAGCACAAAAGAAATAGAAGATAGTCTGTTGTGGACTTAATACCAACTCAGACCCCATTCCCAGAAGTATCAGAATTGAGAGTCCGAGAACTTCTGCTAATGACGTTCGCAGGATGGCTCTGAATGGCCCCCACACCTGCTACTGCAATCAGGGCTGGACTCAATGGCTGATCTGATGAGCCCATGAGGGCTGAATTTCTCAGGGCCTGCTTGGAATAGGGTGAAGGATGCGGGTGCCTTCTAGAGAGCAAGTACTCCAGCTACTTGAGAGTATTCATTTATCAAGCAGAACATGTACTTTGAAAGGCTGTTGAAAACTAGCTAGGAGCTGAGAAATTTAGTATCTGCTTAAAGACAGTGTCTACTGCCTTGGATAAGAATCTCTTAAACTGCCTCTGTTCATTTCTCTGAACAATAAATAGAAATAGTAATAAGCCTGTATTTCCTGGGAATGTAAAAGAGATTCTTTTATGGGAAATAAAAATACTAGCATAAAACATTAAGACTGTTTTGTCACCTCCAATATTTAAGGTTTCAGGTCCTGTCAGGGAGAACTAGTGTGTGTGTCTGTGTGTGTGTGTGTGTGTGTGTATACATGTATGTTTTCAGAACTATAACTAAAAGGAGGGGCTATATGTATAGAATGAACCATCACCCTAATAAATATATTCTTAACTTCAAAATGACCAGGTAACAATTTCAAAAGCCCAGCTGATGGAGGACAGGCCTGGAGCATCATTGCTTTCCAGCCCCTCCTCCATTGGTCTCATGTGGTTGCTCACATCATTTCTGAGGATGTCAATATCATAGGGACTGACCTGAAATCAAAAGAAGGGTTCTCTTTCGCCTGAAAATGCCATTTGCATAGCAAGAGGAAAATGGGAAGTTATCAAAACAAAGCCAAGCACCACTCAATCATGGTATGCTCTCAGAAAAGGCAATGGTCACATGGCAACCTTGAAGATTCTGATTTCTAGTCGGGTGTGGTGGCACATGCCTGTAATCCCAGCTACTCAGGACGCTGAGGTGGGAGGATTACTTGAGCCCAGGAGTTTGAGACCAGCTTGGACAACATAGCAAAAACTCGTCTCTCAAAAAAAAAAAAAAAAAAAAAAAAGAAAGAAAGAAAAAAAGAAAAAAGAAAAAGATACTGACTTCCAACCTTCATGAGTGAAAAGTTCTGGCCATGGCTGTAGTGGACAGGATGTGCTCACCCTGGGGTCTCCCTCGGGGCAGGGCAAGTGACCACCCACCTAGCACATGGCTCTACCAGTGCTTCCCTGTGGGCTTAGAGCAGTTCTCCCTTCTGCTTACAAAATATAATCCAGACATGCCTTGCAAACATTATGTGATCCCTGAGCCACAAAGGACTTTGTATCTTTTTGCAGGGAGACAGAAGTAACATGGCTGAAGCTTGAAGGCTGTGTTCTCAGCACTGTTGATACTCTTTTTTCTGGAGAGTTTAGAAAACCTGAAGTAAATTTCTACCAGCAGGCTAAGCAATGGCCATATGGTCCTCTGCTCAAATTATGGCCAGCAATAGAGCAGAAGAAAAGCAGTAGAGAAAGGGAAGGATCTAAGAGTGGGAGAGAAAGCAAACAAGAGAGGAAGAAAGGCACCCAGATGAACTCTGCTACCTGCCGTCACCTAAGGCCATTCAATGGTGCCCATGCCATAGCCTGCCATGCCATAAACATTAGTGGGCACCAGCCCAGTAATTTCTGGGAGAGCTTAAGAAAACTGGCCACCAATGCTTTCAAGATTTGGGATCATTCTTAGCAAACTCCCCTTAAAATGTACCAAGACCCAAAAGGATTAAAAACAAGTACTCAGACAAATATTCATATGTGAATGTTCATTGCAGAGCTATTCATAATAGCCAAAGATGGAAATGACCTAAATGCCCATTAACAGATGAATGGATAAACAAAATGTGATATAGCCATACAATGTAAACATTATTCAGCCATAAAGAAATGAAGTACAGTCATGCACCACATAATGATGTTTGGGTCAATGACAGACTGCATACATGACGGTAGTCCCATAAGATTGCAACGAAGCTGAAAAATTCCTATCGCCTTGTGACACTGTAGCCTCCGTAACATGAAGCACAATACCTTACCCTTTCTATGTATAGATATGTTTAGACACACAAACACTTATCGTGTTATAACTGCCTACAGTATTCAGTATAGTCACATGCTATACAGGTTTGTAGCCTAGGAGTAATAGGCTATGCCATATAGCCTCGGTGTGTAGTAAGCTATACCATCTAGGTTTGTGTAAGTAGAGGTCACACAATGACAACATCACCTCATGATGCATTTGTCAGCACGTATCCCTGTTGTTGAGCAACACAACCGCACAGACAAATGATACGAACTGGATCAACCTTAAAAATCATGATACTAAATAAAGAAGCCAGACACAAAAGGCTAATAGTGTATAACTCCATTAATATAAAATATCCAGAATAGGTAAGTCCATAGAGACAGAAAGCAGATTGGTAGTTTCTAGAGACTGGGAAAAAGTGGGGGAAGGGGAGTAACTGCCTAATGGGTACAGGAATTTTCTTTTGGGGTGATGAAAATGTTTTGGAACTAGATAGAGGTGATGGTTGTACAAAAGCACATTTGCAGTGAATGCATTAAAGGCCACTGAAACGTTCAATTTAAAATGGTCAATTTTATGCTATGTGAATTTCACCTCAATTAAAACAAATTGTTTCCAGAAAATTTGCTCTTGAGCTGATTTCCCTAATGTAGGTGTAAACTTTAACCTGGCGAAGAGGTTTATGATAAATCTTTAACTGGCTATGTTCACCTAGCATACCCGGGCTCTGGCCAAAGAGGAAATCATACTTGAGTTCTACGTCAGCTTCTCAGATTCATACTCATTAGCAAACCTCAGCTCATTTACCCTATTCCAAGATAGGAAGAAGAAAAGAAGGGGCAGAATGTCACTTTTAGTACTTTCATCACGTGACCTGTCACTTAATACACACATGGCTGAAGGTCACAGCAAGGGCAGGCGTCAGCAAGACTTTGGAATGAATCTTATTTTATTTTGAAAAACGAACATTATTTTATTTTTAATACAGTTTGCTTTTAAATAGGTAAAAACATAGGGTGGGAAATACACTAAAAATCATTTCCCTTCTCTCCCTGTCTCCCAGCCACCCAGTTCTCTCTCTCCCTTCCTAGAGGCAACTACTAATAGCAATTGCTCAAATATCCTTCCAGGAACAATCTGTATAAATATACAATTATAGATACACAAAGCAGTGCTTTTAAACAGCTAAATTTTTACTGTTACTTAAACATTAAAATTAAACTGGGAAATGACTGCTGTTCCAACTACTGAAATTCCAGTTCTACTGATAAGTTTTTAGATGTGGGCTTTATCACATAAGACATATAACTGCTGAAACAAAAACAGCAAATAACAAAATGCCACTAGCTTTCCACCTACTGAAAGCACTTTTAAATTAATCCCTGAGTTGCACCCATTCCCTATAAAGCAGGAATTTTTCTTCCTTTCTTGAAACTTAGATAATCCAGGCTCAGGAGGGAAAAGATGGATCACTCTGGGATCTTGATGTCTGGGTCATAATTGTTACAGATTTCAGTAGGAAAAATCTGAATATTACTGTTCCTCTTTGCACTATACCTTGTCTCTGCAATGAACCTTTGGCTACTATGTAAGATTCCAAAGCCTCTCAACACCTCTCTCAATATCCAGTAGAGCAACATTGAAATTGCCACACCAGGTCACCCCTCCTCCAGGTCAGGGGCTGGCTCCCTATATGTTCAGAAAAGTGTAGCTGCTCTCCAGTGTTGTACTCAAAGTTGAGGAGATCCATTCCCTGACACCTCTACCTCTTCTTAAAAACATGTTTTGGCCAGGCGCGGTGGCTCACGCCTGTAATCCCAGCACTTTGGGAGGCCGAGGCAGGTGGATCACAAGGTCAGGAGATCGAGACCATCCTGGCTAACACGGTGAAACCCCGTCTCTACTAAAAATACAAAAAATTAGCCGGGCGTGGTGGCGGGCACCTGTAGTCCCAGCTACTCGGGAGGCTGAGGCAGGAGAATGGTGTGAATCCAGGAGGCGGAGCTTGCAGTGAGCCAAGATCGCGCCACTGCAGTCCACCTTGGGCAACACAGTGAGACTCCATCTCAAAAACCAAACAAACAAACAAACAAACATGTTTTGATTCTGTTATCAACAAATTTATCAGAAGCAATAACTGCTTCCCCTGTTAAGTAAGGGAAAACACTTGTGAGATGAGAAAATAACAGAGAGTTTAAACATGCCAGTACACCTTACTTCACATGCATGCAAACTGCATCTTCATTCAAACAGCAATCAGACCTCACCATTCAGACCTGGGAGCTGAGATTTACTCCCTCAGAGGCTCTCCTGGGATGGTATCAATTCACTCACTAAATGAACATGTGTGTGCTTGCTAGGTGCACAGTGCTATTCATAAAAGCCAAAAAGAAAAAAACCCCAAACAAACAAAAAAACCAGTCCTTGCCGTTCAGTAGCTGACGGTCTGGTCAGAGAGAGAAATATACCAGGAGGTAACAGGGCTATATGGTAATATGTTCTAATGGAAATCAAAGCACAGCTTTACCAGGACACACGTGAGCTCACCCCATTGCCAAGCAACCCAAGTAAATTTAAGGGTTTCAGCCTTTTGTGTGACACTCAGACAAATAAATGATTTTGGAAAAGAAGACATGCAAACAAAATACTATGGGAAGAAGTTATGTAAAACCGTGTACATGTCTGTAGCACTTAGAGCGATATTCAGAAGAATGTTCACCAAAATGTTAACAGAGGTCACCTCTTAGTGATGGGATTTCGGGTGATCTTTATCCCTTTTGTATGTTTCTGTAATATGTGTGTTGTTTTTCAATGAATACTTAAAATGAGAAGACTGTAATTAGCCCTGTCTAGAGACAGAGAAAGCTTTGATTCAATTTCCGGAACTTTTATCTAGGACTTTAAGTGCTAGGCCTTGTATAAGAAAGACAGACAACAGAGTTGTCTGTCCGTGAGTTTTCATTTTCTTGGTAGTGGACGTGGGCACGCATGTAAACAATTAAAATGCAATTGGTTATGCGCCAATGCGGTTTCTTAGTTGTGACAAATGTATAATAGTAATATAATACGTTAAGTATATAATAAAGAATTTAGACCAGGACTGGTGGCTAATGCCTGTAATCCCAGCACTTTGGGAAGCTGAGGTGGGTCGATCATTTGAGGTCAGGAATTTCAGACTAGCCTGGTCAACACAGTGAAACCCTGTCTCTACAAAAAATACACACGCAAAAAAAAAATTAGCCAGTCGTGGTGACACATGCCTGTAGTCCTGGCTACTTGGGAGGCTGATGTGGGAGAATCACTTGAACCTGGCAGGCGGAAGTCGCAGTGAGCCAAGATTGCACCACTGTACTCCAGCCTGGGTGACAAAGAGAGGCTCCGTCTCAAAAAAAAAAAAAAAAAAAATTAGCTGGTGCCTAGAACAATGCCTGGAACACAGTAGGTGCTCAATGAGATGTTTGTTGAACGAGTGAATGGCATCCTAGATCTTTATAAACATGAGATTTTCATTTACCTTCCTCATCTTTTCCCACAGCCATTATCAGTAATACAATCAATGGTCCCCCCAACCTTGATCCCTGATCCAAAATCAGTGATTTTGCATATGACTCTCTCTACCTTAGTCTTTCTAGAACATTGTTTTCATCTGGTCATCCTCTAGGTTAAAATGATCCTCAGGAACTCTGTGTGGCCAAACTCCTCCAGGCATCCCTGGACCCGGCCTCGTTGCTCTATCTTCCAACTTCACTTCTCAAGACACACAATAACAAAGCCTTTGTTCTGGGTGGGTTTCCTCCTGCGTGGGTTTTTTGTTTGTTTTTTGAGACAAAGTCTTGCTCTGTCACCCAGGCTGGAGTGCAGTGGCATTATCTCGGCTCACTGCAACCTCCGCCTCCCGGGTTCAAGCGATTCTTCTCCCTTAGCCTCCCGAGTAGCTGGGACTACCGGCGCGTGCAAGAACACCTAGCTAATGTTTGTATTTTTTTTTTTTTAATAGAGATGGGGTTTCACCATATTGGCCAGGCTGGTCTCAAACTCCTGACCTCATGATCTGCCCACCTCAGCCTCCCAAAGTGCTGGGATTACAGGTGTGAGCCACTGCGCCCAGCATCCTACATAGGTTTTACAGGTCCCCTCTCCCCATTTAGACCGCCTTTCCATGAAGCGTCTTACTTTGTCATCATAACAACTCTTTGAAGCAGAGATTTTCCAATTTACAGACGAGGGCGCTGAGTTTCTGAGATATCAAATGACTTGCCCAACCCTACATGACTAGGAACAGGTAGGACCAGGATTCAAACCCAGGCACATCTGAAATGCAGAGCCCACACTGTCAACCGTTATACTGTGCTCTTTTCTTTTTTGATTTCTTTTCTGGTCCTGAGTATCTCTAGGCTCAAGTTCCTGGCTCATAATTTCACAACTTCCTTAAAGAATAATGGCCAACACATATGTGCTTCCTATGTGTCACCAATTTTCTAAGCACCCAATTTTTATTAATCTTCACAACTACCTTATGAGAAGGGAACTACTATTGTTTCCCATTGTATAGGCAAAGAAACAGAGATATAGAAAGATTGATTTCTCAAGGTCACATATCCTTTAAGTGCTAGAGCTGGAATTAGAACCAGCCAACAACTTGTCCAGAACCCCTACTCTTCAGCAGTTCCCTGCCAGGCCTCCTCTGCCATTGCATCCTATAGGGAGAATGTGTCTAAAGAAGGAGAGGCAGATCTGTTTTTGGAGATGCTGTCATAAAAACTCATCACTATGAGTCAAACTCCAACAATCCATGTGCTACATGTGTGGATGCATTCCTGCCTTTGTCAGTTTTTATACTGGTAGAAAATATCAAATGAGCAGAGAAAGGCAGCTGTCATGACCAGCAGAGTGACAAAAGCAGAGTCACAAAATGTGGGAACTGTCCTCCAAGAAAATTCAGAAGTCAGTGCCTGAACAGTAAGTTATTGTTTTATAAGTACATAGCATTTTATTTACTCATGTAATCCTACAATGTAGGGATCTATGACCATCCCATTTCACAGATGAGGAAGTGGAGGATGGGGAAGTAAAGAGGTTGCTAGTAAGTGGAAGAGCCAGGACCTGACCCTAGGCACTCGGAAGCCAGGGCAGATCTTTCCTACGCTCCCTTGGCAGACAGTTCTCACTCAACCTGACAATGATTTTTTTTTAGAGAGAACATAAAGATAAAAGAAAGTTATCTTGCATGTATTAAAGGCTACTGGACTAAATAGAAAAGTAAAATAATTGGAAATGTCTGCCTCCCCTTTGGAAACATGCACGCGATGCTTTATCTGAAATGATTTCTTTTTTTTTTTTTTTTTTTTTTTTGAGACAGAGTCTCGATCTGTCGCCCAGGCTGGAGTGCAGTGGTGTGATCTCGGCTCACTGCAAGCTCCGCCTCCTGGGTTCACACCATCCTCCTGCCTCAGCCTCCTGAGTAGCTGGGACTATAGGCGCCCGCCACCATGCCTCGCTAATTTTTTTGTATTTTTAGTAGAGATGGGGTTTCACCGTGTTAGCCAGGATGGTCTCTATCTCCTGACCTTGTGATCCGCCTGCCTCGGCCTCCCAAAGTGCCGGGATTAGAGGCGTGAGCCACCGCGCCCGGTCGAAATGATTTCAATTCAGTCAGACTAGAGCATTTGTCTTGATACCTGTAGGAGTTCCAATTGCAGTTAGAATAATGATGTTGCACACAGAGGAGGGAAAAGAGAAAGATGAGCCTGCATGTGTTTGTGTGGGTGTTCATCTTGTCAATCCCCACAAACCCACACGCCATCAGACACTAGTCAGACACCCTTTGACATGGAAAGGGTGACTGTAGACAGCAGCCCACTCCTGCTCAGATGTCTGAAATACATAGGAGCCCTGTAGGAAATGACAACCCAAACCCGATTCCCTACACTCTCAGTTGCCACACACAGACTTTCTCTCACATCCCTCCTTAACCCATGGGAATCCAGCCCCTCTCTCCATTATTGGTAAATACATGAAGAAGGGAGTGGAATGAAGCTTTCGAAGATTGTACTTAACCTTCTTGTAAAGCATGTCTTCTGGGCATAATATTTTTTTAAAAATATGAATCAGCTAATAAAACAATCTAGTTAATGTTCGTCAAAACCCTGTGTGCTAACTTTCACTACTATCTTGCTTTCACGTAATGTTTATTGCTTATTGGATTCAAATTGCATTAGACTGGATGCAGCAACAGTTTTAAATAATTCAAGGCAATAATCTTTCACTGAAGTTGTTTGCGTCTATGAATAACTTCCTAATGATTTTGGCCGGGCATGGTGGCTCACGCCTGTAATCCCAGCACTTTGGGAGGCTGACGCGGGCAGATCACTTGAGGTCGGGAGTTAGAGACCAGCCTGGCCAACGTGGTGAAACAACATCTCTACTAAAAATACAAAAATTAGCCAGGTGTGGTAGTGCATGCCTGTAATCCCAGCTACTCAGCAGGCTGAGGCAGGAGAATTGCTTGAACCTGGGAGGCAGAGGTTGCAATGAGCCAGGATCACACCACTGCACTCCAGCCTGGGCGACAGAGCGAGACTCTGTCTCAAAAACAAAAACTGTCTGGTGGTTTCCATTCACCAACACTTGGTATAACAGGGAGGCTGCTGTGCCTCCCATGTAGAAAGTGCACAGCTCTTGGAGTCAGGGCACCTGGATAATCTGCAGACAAATGTGCCACTGCTCCAAGGCTCAGCACTCACGTCTTTGAAAATCAGAGAGTGATACCTACATCATCAAAGAAATATCAGGGACCGGAACATGGCATCGGGAGCCAGATCACCTGGGTTTAGATCCCAGCTCTGATACTGTCTATGGAACATTGGGCAAATTATTTAACCTCTATGGACATTTGTTTCTTCTTCTCTGAAAAGGGGATAGTATTAGTGCCAAGCTATAGGATTGTTATGAGGATTAAATGAGTTAATAATGTAAACCAGTTACACAGTACCTGATATATCATAAGTACTATGGGAGTGCTTGATGAGGGAAATAAAACAGATATCAAGGTTAGAAGAGTTACTGCAAGGTGGAGGAAGCACTGAACAGAGCACTCCAGTGGGAGCTCTTCCTAAAGCAGAACAATACAGACATGGCAGCTGCTGAGCAGCTGAAAGAAAAAGGCTGCATCTTTCCTCAATAAGGTCAGAGACTCTTTCATATAAATGTCCACTCCATCCACTTTGCTCGTATTTCTCTACCTATCTGCTGTCTTCCCCTCCTATTTAGAGATGATGGGAAACCAGTCACAGAATGTGAAATAAAACTGTGGTTCAGAAGAGCAAACTCATTTCTGAACAGGATATTTCAAAGGAGAAAGAGGACCTTGGCCTTGGCTTTCTGGTAGATTTCACCAACTCTGTGAACATTATCAAGGGAGAGATTCACATTTAAAAAAGGCTACTTTCGGCCGGGCGCGGTGGCTCACGCCTGTAATCCCAGCACTTTGGGAGGCCGAGGCGGGTGGATCACGAGGTCAGGAGATCGAGACCATCCTGGCTAACAAGGTGAAACCCCGTCTCTACTAAAAATACAAAAAATTAGCCGGGCGCGGTGGCAGGCGCCTGTAGTCCCAGCTACTCGGGAGGCTGAGGCAGGAGAATGGCGTGAACCCGGGAAGCGGAGCTTGCAGTGAGCCGAGATTGCGCCACTGCAGTCCGCAGTCCAGCCTGGGCGACAGAGCAAGACTCCGTCTCAAAAAAAAAAAAAAAAAAAAAAGGCTACTTTCTACTTCCACTTAGGAAGTTTTACTAAGTTTAAAAAGGGAAAAGAGCTAGGGCATGCGGGACTTAATACCTAGGTGATGGGTTGACAGGTGCAGCAAACCACCATGGCACACGTTTACCCATGTAACAAACCTGCACGTCCTGCACATGTACCCTGGAATTTTTAAAAAAACATTAAAAATTTTTAAAAAGTCATAAAAGAGGAACTAAAGTCACACAGGCTAGTTTTAAAGTATAGGGCAATTCTTGAAGAGTCACGAATAGCAAACAAGTGTTTTCTAATTATGCTCCAATGAATTTCTGAAACTTGCCAGAAATTCCCATTGCTCTAATATTTGTGTGCCTGTCTAGTCTGGGTAATTTGCAAGTGTGTATCTATATAAAAGAGCTTTCTTTTTTATAGACACCCACACACACCCCATAAATGCCATTTGAGTACTTATTTAAATAGACAAGTACTTGTTAAAAATAAAGATGTCCTGACCAAAGCAGTTGCATAGAAATGGGATTTCATCCATTGGAAGCAAAGGAGAAAATACAACTTGGCCCAACAATTTGCACATAAGCAATGATGGTTAAATATAATATTAAACATGCAATGGCTTTGAGTTAGATTATATTTTTATGTTTTTAATTTTCATTTACATGTGCATAACATGTATGCCATATAAAAACAAAATATAGATAAAGAAATTTAATAAAAATTAGAATCAACATTTCGGTAGAGCTGTGACTAGGAAACATGTTCCCAAATTACATGGCCAGAGAGGGTTGGAAGCCTTAAAAGATATCATGCTTCTATATCTTAAACCAAACAATGAAGAGTATTAGATTTAAAAAAGAGAGAGAGAGCAAGCAAAAAACCAGGAGCCAAAAGACGTGCATCTGACCCTATCTTATTAGATAGCTTATGTGACCTTAAGTATGCCCGTGGGCCTCAATTTCCCCACCTATCAAAAAACATAGTTGGACTAAAGGACTTCACAATGAGGACACAGCCATTCCCATGATGGGCCTTGTGGACGTGTTCTCTGCTACAGCTATCACCATATTCTGGAACTCATAAAAATCATAAAAGCCTCTTTTTCTTTTTCTTTTTTTTTTTTCTTTGAGATGGAGTTTTGCTCTTGTTGCCCAGGCTGGAGTGCAGTGGCGCGATCTCGGCTCACTGCAACCTCTGCCTTCCGGTTTCAAGGGATTCTCCTGCCTTAGCCTCCCGAGTAGCTGGGATTACAGGTACCCGCCACCACGCTCGGCTAATTTTTGTATTTTTAGTAGCGATGGGGTTTCAACATGTTGGACAGGCTAGTCTTGAACTCCTGACCTCGTGATCTGCCCGTCTCAGCCTCTCAAAGTGCTGGGATTACAGGGCCTCTTTTTCTTAACTGGACAAGAATTCCTTCAAAGTTTTTGGTAATGTACTTTCAAAGCAAGCCCTCCCAAATAATGGGGTGACAATTCCCACTGGAGGTTACCTTCCCAGTGACCAGAGGCTAACTGTATCTCTTGTGTTTGGGGCAGGGTAGCAAGAATGGTGAAGGAGTTGAAACCCTACTAGGGGTCTAGGATGGTGCCTTGCTTTGTAGCTGTCATCCTACCCAAGCTGCTGTTATTTGTCGGAAGGTCACATAAATTCACACGCCAAGGATCCAGTCATGTGTGCTGAATAACATGTGCTAATATGTGTATTTTCTTCTTTCCTCCCAATGGTCAAAAATCCAATTTCTATGCAAATGCTTTAGTCAGAACATTCTTCTTTTTAACAAGTATAACACTTCTCTCTAATAGGAAGATTTGGAATCACTATTATAAATTGCACTGAATTTCTCTGGTGCAGAAGTGGTTTATCTCATCCTTACGTATTAAGACTCACTTAAGGGCTTAAAGAGGTTTATTCCAAATCTCCCAAGGACTGGCAAAAGCCACAGAACCCAAGGCAAACCTCTAGTTCACTTCCTAATGTCCCAGGAAAGAGATGGGAGTAGAGCTTCCTTGCTTGGTGCCCACAGTTCATAATGCATCAACTTCAAATGTGTGTTAACTGACCTACTCGATGTTATTTTCCAGAAGAAATGGTGCAATTGGCCACTCTTTTTATTTGGGGGTAAGTAGGTTCTCTATGGATTCTGACAGGTCAGACAAGACCTTGTAAATAATGACAAGTCCCCAGATATATGTGCAGCTTTTTCCCACACTTTCTTCAAACCTCTCCTTAGGTGTCATATTTGAGAGAAGTCTTCTCTGCCCCATATAAGTGCAGCTCTTTTATTCTGCTTTAATTTTATTCCTACTTTAATTTTTTTCACATATTAGATATTTTTGTGTATGCAAAGGAATTTCTGGGTCACATGGTAGTTCTATTTTTCTGGGTTTTTTTTTTTTTTTTTTTTTTTTTTGAGATGGTCTAGCTTTGTCACACAGGCTGGAGTGCAGTGGTACAATCTCAGCTCACTGCAACCTCAACCTTCGCCTCCCAGGCTCAAGCTATCCTCCCATCTCAGCCTCCCAAGTGGTTGGGACTACAGACGTGCACTATCATACACAGCTACTTTTTGCATTTTTTGTAGAGACGGGATTTTGTCATGTTGCCCAAGCTGTTTTTAAATGAGGCTCAAGCAATCCTCCCGCCTCAGCCTCCCAAAGTGCTGGGATTACAGGCATAAGCCACCACACCTGGCCTATTTTTAATTTCTTTAGGAGCCTCCATGCTGTTTTCCATGATGCCTACGTCAAGAATCTACATTCCTACCAACAGTGTTCAAGGGCTCCCTTTTCTCCACACCTAGGCTGATGCTCGTCATCTCCTGTCTTTTTCATAATAGCTATCTTAACAGGTATAAGTTGGTATCTTATGGTTGTTTTGATTTGCATTTCCCTGATGACTTATAACATTGAGCACCTTTTCATGTACCTGTTGGCCATTTTAATGTCATCTTTGGAGAAATATCTATTCAAGTAGATAGATGACTCTCATTTCCAGCTAACAGCGTTTCTCAAAAAGGAAGGCACCTGCCTGAGCTACCTCTGGACTACATAGGTATTCACGTCAGTGGGTCACCGGGGCACTTACTGCTGGAGAAGGTGGTTTCTTTCGGACTGGACGACATCGGCTGTGCACAGAGTTGACAAAGGCAGTCTCTCCCATTGAATGTGACTCGGTCTCCGGGTGGAAACGGGCGCCTGGAGGCAGAAAGACATCGCCCTCAAGGTTATTGCAGCAATTTCATTCCTTTTCCTTATTCCTTCTGCTTGCTGCCCTCCGGTGCCCATTTATTTCTTGGAGAAGCAGCAGCCAACATGTCTGAAATGCAGTCATAACCAAGCCAGCCAGCTGGAGACAGTCCAAACAAATAAATGTGCCTCATTTTGAGAAGAAAGGGGAATGTACTGGTTCTAAGGGCAACCAGGTAGTAAAATGGAATGATTTACCTCCATTCATTAGTGAAGGGATATTCCAGCAAGTGATCTAGCAGGGCACACAGAACAGTAAGTTTCCAAATGGAAAGTCCTTCATGAAAAAATATTTTAAATACCATGAATTCCCAGTGAAGCTTAAGGCCCTGCCCCAGGAGACCTGGCTACAGGTCAAGCAGTAAGCAGTGGGTCTTTCAGTTCCCTGGGACCGTGCCTAGACCTCTGTGATGATTATGCAGGATTAGACTTTGTGCTGGACACCTACATGGGTGAACGGAACGTTTCATGGTGCTGGAGACCCAGTCCCTTATAAACTGGGAGAAATGGGACAGGCTGTAAATATCTGTTTAAGAATTCATATTAGCTTCTTTTCAGAAAGACAATTTCTCTTCATAGTAGATATTCATCAATAGCAGCACATTTTGCAAAAATATTGCCTTCTGCATGTAGATAATCAGTTTCTTCTCCCAGGTCACCAGGCAGAGAGCCCTTTAAACAAGTCATTAATGAACAGACATATGACAGTTTCCATGCCCACTCACTTGCCCTTGGCCTATGTACCAATAATCTTCATTAAAGTGATTTTTCAAATGTGTGATGCTGCCAATTAGGAAACGTGAAACTCACAAGCTGAACATCACCACAAATCTTAGTTAGAAGCAATTACTTAAGAGCAAGTACCAGCTTTTTGACATTCATTTTTACTTCCACAGCTGCTACATTCCCTTTAAGTTGCCCCTCAGTAGCCTAACAATTGGCAATTAACTGTAATAAACAACATATAGGTAAATTTGGAGTTAACCCCACAAATGTGGCTGGCTCCAGTCATCACAGAGAGTTTTAAATTCTTACACCCTTACATTTTAGAAGTCCCGAGGAGAGGTGGTGTCCTCTCCACTTGTGATGCTGTGTCACTTTCGGCAGTACAGTGAAGGCTCAGAGAGGTGAAGTGACATGCCTGGACTGACCAGCTAGGGAGATCAAGCCATAGGCAGGTGCAGATGGCATCCACCAACTTAGAACTTGTTTTATTTTTAAGAATCAAAAATCACCCTCTGCTGGATGCCAGTAGCCCTACTGCTTCACACTCATTAGCTAAACCTGAACAAGTCTTAAATCTGTTCTGTAAGGAGGGAGTCAGGAAGTTAAGGATCCATTCAACACAACACGCACAGGTTCTTTTGCCTCCGACCAGGCCAGGAGTGGACCCAGACACAGCGTTTAAAGAGGCACTCGTGCTCCGTGGCTGACCCTGCACTTGCAGGACCCTGAGAATAAGTGCCCTTTACCTGTTGCATGCCCAGAGGCACCTCGCTTACCCCACCCAAGCCCAAGCCTTCCTTCCCATCCAAGCTTATTATTTTAGACCCAAGTCCCACACGAATCCTCTATGGGACAAGCCAGAATCCAGTTCTCAACTTGGGCTGGGCCTTCTGAAGGGTGGGTTTTGTTGTTTTGTAAATGGCCCTTTTCAGTAATTTCCTCCCTCCCTATATCCTCTGCCCATACTGGATAACTTCCTTCTTTTATTTGCATGAATGTTTATAATAGAAAGAGACCTGGATTTAGAGTTAGAAAACCTGAGTTCTAACGTTAACTTGGGAATGTCCCTTAAACCGTGAGCCTCAAAGTCACTCATAAATAGAGATATTAACTCCTGGTTCCCTTCAAAGAATTGCTAAGAGGGTGAAATTAACTTCTGTATGAATATAACTTCTCAACTAAAAAGGAGGCCCCAATTCAGACAGAATTATCGTCATTCGGCAGCAGTAGAGGCAGTAGCAGTAAGTGCTCCTTTGCTGGCTCAAATGTCCAGGGACAGGGCCATAGTTAATAAATCGTTTTTTATCATTATACCAACTTCAAAGCAATGACCTCTCAGGGTCAGGATCAGAAGGGCTCTTAGAGTTTACTGGGAACACGGCCTTCCAACCTGGCTGACTGACAACATACATGAGAACCCTCCAGAAACTACTAAATTAGCATGCAGGTTTTGGGGGAAAATAGGCTAGAAATTGATCTTTGTGGAGAGACTCCCATCTCTAGTCCACTCCCACCCATCCAGGAGATTCCAGTGATGAGCGAGGCTTGAAAAATGACTCGCATCTAGTTCACAGCTTCTCATTCTAAGGTGGAGGCAATTGTCTGGAAAAAGCTAAATCACATAGGTCTCAATTCAACCTGGGAAGTAAGACTGGGACTTGGGGCTCCATGCCAGCCCAGGACTCTTAACCAGGCTGTGTGCCACAGCCTGAAAAGGGAAAAATCAGGGCAGAACTTTGCTTTTGATTAAATACAGAAAAATATTCAGTTCATTCATCCAGAATTATTAAATTATGATTTAAAAAAATGAAATAGAGAAATGAGCTAATACATAGCTATAAAGTTATTTAAATAATTTTATTATGAATATTTTGTGTCTTATTATGATTTATCAGTATTATCTTGTTAATTAATTACACAATATTGAATCTTCCCTTCTAGAGCTTACATCTCTCTGGCTTAGAAACATACAATGCTGAAAAACAGACAACACGTCTCCTCTGAATTGGGGTTTTTAGAAAGGCATAGCAAATAGATCTCCACTTGAAAAGGCACTGGATTGCAAAATTGCCAAATTAGAATTGATCAATAAAGCAGCTGACCCTTGGTGGTGAGTCTCCTAGTTACAGGAATCAAACCTATCTTAAGTTTTATAACATGCAGACCTCAAAACACAAAAACCACAAAAAGCCCCACATTTTCCCACTCACACTTCACATAGTTTTCTTGTTCTCTGACTGATCATTTTATTATTTATTTTATTTTATTTTTTTTGAGATGGAGTCTTGCTGTGTCACCCAGATTGGAGTGCAGTGGCACGATCTCGGCTCACTGCAACCTCCGCCTCCCGGGTTCAAGCCATTCTCCTGCCTCAGCCTCCCAAGCAGCTGAGATTACAGGCACCTGCCACCTCGCCTGGCTAATTTTTTTGTATTTTTAGTAGAGACAGGGTTTCACCATGTTGGCCAGGCTGGTCTCAAACTCTTGAGCTCAGGTGATGTACCTGCCTCGGCCTCCCAAAGTGCTGGGATTATAAGGGTGAGCCACCACGCCCAGCCTGACTGATCATTTTAATCAAGCTGGTTTGCACAGTTAAGATACAACCTTGGTAGATGACAGATACATAGAGAACAGGGTTGGCAAATATTTCCCCCCAAAGATGAGATTGTAAATTTTTTAAGACTTTGCGGACCATATGGTCTCTGTCGCAATGACTCAACTCTGTTGTTGCAGCGTGGAAGCAGCTATAGGCCACACACAAGTGGGAGTGGCTGTGTTCCAATAGAACTTTATCCACAAAAACAGGTATCAGGCCTAATTCAGCCCATGGGACACAGTTTGCCACCGCCTATTATAGATGAAAGAGACCATTTTAAACACACACACATGCCTAGGAATTTATACTTCCAAATAAGCTTTATCCTTCTAAGCAGTTATGCCATTTCCCCCTGATGTTTTTATTGCTCCAAAATGTTTTGAGACCCAGAGCTGCTTTCAGAATTAGTTTCAATCTACTAAAAATCAGTCATATTACTTTGTAGAGGACATCACACATACAGTTTCCAACTAATCTACTTTTTTTACTAGGACTGATAGTACAGTAAGAAAGAAATCTAAGGATAAGAGTATGTGCTACTCAAGACAAAAGGTGTATAATCCAACCTTTAACAGCCCAAACCAGCATTTCTCTGTTGGAGGAAGGTGTAGGCTTTGGAAAGATAGGCTCACTTACTTGCAGATAGTACAAGCAAAGCAATTGGGATGGTAGGTCTTGCCCAGAGCAGTCACCACTTCGCCCTCCACGAACTCCCCACAGCCATGGCAGCGTGTCCCGTACATCCGCTGGTAGTCCAGGGTGCAGAGATACTCTCCGTTCTTTATGAAGAAGCCCCCTTGTGCCAGGTCACAGCCACACACTGTAGAGAGACAAGTTCACATCTGGTCATTATCTGCCACACTGCCGGGCAGCACTGCCTTTGAGTGAATACTGACTGGTTGCTCACCCTGTGATCTCAATGGTTTGGGGCTAGGGAGGGGATGGCTACAAAGAGCTATTTATTATTGGGCTCTGACCCTCCCTTTGGGAGCTATGCAATATCTCATACAAGTAAAATCCACTGGCTAGGTCTCAACAGCTTTTGTGATATGTCTAAAATTCTGAGATAATCAAACAGTCTTTGATAGAAAGATACCCTTCATTCAGGCTGTCTCAAATATGAGCAAAGGTGTCCCTGGCAGTGTGCTATTTAGGAAAGGTGCCCACTGCCTGCCCACACAACCACATGGTTTGGGCCAAGATTGTTAGGAGTTGAGTAATAAATTTCCATTATACCAAAGGCAGTAGCTGAAATTTCCGATAGCTGTATTTTTTCACACTCTGGAACTACTTTCCACTGCTACGAAAAATTCAGATGTTTCATTTTTTCTTTGTGCAGTAAATAGAATAAGCCAATTATTTATATATTATAGAGAGATAAAAAACAAACAGGCAAAAGAGGAAAGACCTGTTATTTGGATGCTTTATTGTGTCTGGATTTTGGCATCTCCTTCCGACTGTGCAGCTGTGGATTAGGGAGATGGTGCAAACAGGCAGTGGGAGCTTGGGCCTGGTCTACGTGTTCAGACAAGACCAGAGTAGGTCACAACAATTTGTCTGCAAATAAAGCCTAAAGCAGTCCCTGACAGTAAAGATCTCTCTCTGCCAAATGGCTGAGAAGCAACAGCCAAAGCTGGAAATCTCTGACCCTAACCTTGCTATCCCCAAGGTCAACTGATTCCAATTTATAATTCCTTAGGCAAAGAATCCAGGATTCTTCTTGATTATTTGGTATTCAGTTGGGGTGGGGACAAGGTGAGTTCAATCAGTAAATTGCTTTCCTAAGGACCTGCTCGAATGCTCCCAGGGTTCATCTGCTGAGTTCCCATGACTCCTTAATTCATCTAGATGAACTAGGGCTTCAGTAAGGTTCTGATGAAAGTCACGACTCCCCCACCTTCAGTCAGGACTCTTCACTAACTACAAGCTACGGAAGACGTTCAAGGTGATCCAAAACCCACAAACAAACTTTCCATTGTGGATTCATCAGTCTTTGTTTAGATCAACACTCCACAGCCATGACCTTCTTCTTTGCAATTTACAATTAAGTAACCCAAGATTATGGCCTGAGTCCATCATGCCTGAAACTGACCACCCTATAAATACTCCTGTGATCATATTATCTGGAAAACAGCTCATTCACCACCTGCTGCCTCCTCTCACCTGCCAACCTCTCCTCTGCCCCCACTGTTCTCCCACCTGCTTCTTCTTCCCCAGATGAGTCCTGTGGGTCAGGGGAACCCACGTGTGGATTGGCCTCATTCTGATTGCAAATTCCTTCAGCAACAATAGGCAGTCTGGGGGTAGCGGGTCACAGAACCTTAGAGTGTTTTCTTCAATATCTGTCTATGTGCAGATCTTATTTTTCTACAAGATGGCAAGGTATTTGAGGGGTGAGAGTCTTCTTTTGATTCTTCTTCAGGAACCTAATTGTATCTAATATAAAACAGGAAACACAATGTTTGAAATAAACTGAATCCTGCCTGAAACTTGGCAGGTTCCCACTGATTTCACTCCTCAGTGACATCAAGTTCTGATGACTCAGTTATTTTTCCAAACTTAGGATTTCTCAAAGCCCTGAGAAGTGACACAACAATGCATCCAGACTACTGGTAATTCCCTAAATTCTCTCCTCCAGTCAGCTATGGCTTAAAAATGCAGAGTCGTTATACAAAGATGTGGTGTCAAAAGGGTAATCTGGTGGCAATACACAAAAAATAGATTGAGATAGTTTCAAAGCTAATTCTAAATGTTTTAGAAATTATTTGTATTTACTGCTTTCTTAGGGCACCTGTCTGCAGCCTTTTCCAGATCACATGGTTTTGTGAAATTGACATATAGTATCCTTTATTAATAAAGTCCTAGTTTCTGTGAACATAACATAGCCTTAAAAAATGAATTCTTAACACTACTGAGAGATGCCAAGCTACATTCAAACTGTGCCTTATTATGATTTGATTTGGCTTTTTCCTTAAAGTAGTGCTCAAGGTGGCTTACAAACCATACCATTATTTCTGGTGGTTTATACAAGGAAACCAGTGTTTGATGTGACTCCCAGAGGCAGGTGTTCCTAAAGGCATATGCAACAAGCAGTGAGAAGGGGGGCCTATGATGCCAGTACCTAAAATATACTTAACATTATTACATTTCCTGAAAATGGACCAGCTGTCACATCATTTCAGACTCTTCCCTCTCTTGCCTCCCCAGGCTTTACTTTCCTGTTTCTCCTCCTCTGTCTACTCCTTCTCAGTCTCAGTGGCCAGGCCCCTAAATGCAGGTCACTCCTATGGGTGCCATCTCCTCCCTCTATGATGTAAGGCCTCCCTGGGAACAGATCTCATTCACTCTCACAACCTCAACTATAACTTTATGCGAGGGATGATCAAATTAATGATCTCTCTCTGTGATGTCTTCCCCAAGCTTTAGACCCTGATTTGTAGCTGTGTGCTGGGCACAGGCAGACCGCCATGCCTCTCTCAAACCCAGCATTTTCCAAACACACCCTTTCCTCACAGTTGCTCTGCCATCCCCCATAAAACCTTCTGCTGTTCTTTTTCTATTCCCTTTCTCATCAAAATGGTAGCTGTATCCATTCTCCAACTCTTACATCAACATCAACATTTTCTGTTGTTTTTTTTTTTTTTGAGATGGAGTTTCGCTCTTGCTGTCCAGGGTGGAGTGCAATGGCATGAATTCGGCTCACTACAACCTCCACCTCTCCAGTTCAAGCGATTCTCCTGCCTCAGCCTCCCAAGTAGCTGGGATTACAGGCATGTGCCACCACACCCGGCTAATTTTGTATTTTTAGTAGAGATGGGGTTTCACCATGTTGGTGAGGCTGGTGTTGAACTCGTAACCTCAGGTGATCTGCCCAACTCGGCCTCCCAAAATGCTGGGATTACAGGTATCAGCCACCACGCCCAGCCAACATCAACATCTTCAACTGGACCCAAATCCAACCCATTTCCCCAATGAGGTGTTTCTTTTTCTTTCTTTCTTTCTTTTCTTTTTTTTTTTTTTTTTGAGATGGAGTTTCACTCTTTGTTGCCCAGGCTGGAGTGCAGTGGCATGATCTCAGCTCACTGCAACCTCTGCCTCCTGGGTTCAAGCGATTCTCCTGTCTCAGCCTCCCGAGTAGCTGGGATTACAGGTCCCTGCCACCACGCCTGGCTAATTTTTGTATTTTTAGTAGAGATGGGGTTTCACCACATTGGCCAGGCTGGTCTTGAACTCCTGACCACAGGTGATCTGCCCACCTCAGCCTCCCAAAGTACTGTTATTACAGACGTGAGACACTGCTCCTGGCCCAATGAGGTGTTTCTTTGATCCATTCCCTCCTCTGCCTTCTTGCTATCACTACTCAAAACCTGGCCTTCAGCATGGCTCTGCTGTAGTAAAACAATTTTTTTTAACAACATTTGTATTGGCAGGAAAAGAAAAACAACAGGAAACAATCTAAACTTTCATTAGTAGAAAAATAGTTGAATAAATTATGCTATGTCCAGTCTATGGAGCTGGTATTAAAAAGAATGAATTTAGCCCTCTGGATTGTGGATATTGACAGCCCTCTACGTTGCAGACATTGATCTGTCTGTGATATATTGTTCAGTGAAAAGAACAAATGTCACAGAGTAAACGATTTTAAAAATCCCATTTTTAGATAAGTCATGTTTTTATGAACTAGGTAAAGTGAGTTAACATAAACAGAACCATTAAATTGGTTCTCTCAGGAGGGTAAAGAATTATTAATTTTTTCTTCATATACCCACTTGTCAGTCCATTTTGTAATTTTATTTTTAATTGTGACAAAATGCATATAACAAAAAATTTACCATCTTAATCATTTTTAAGTGTACA
This sequence comes from Homo sapiens, assembly GCF_000001405.40. Taxonomy (NCBI): domain Eukaryota; kingdom Metazoa; phylum Chordata; class Mammalia; order Primates; family Hominidae; genus Homo; species Homo sapiens. The sequence goes on from NC_000010.11 coordinate 114,579,637, forward strand.
GGTCAGTGGCATTAGATACATTCACATTGTTGTGCAACCATCACTGCTATCCATCCACAGAACTCTTTTCATCTTGCAAAACTGAAACTCTGCACCCATTAAAATCCCTATTCCCTCTTCCTCCAGCCCTGGGCAACCCCATTCTACTTTCTATCTCTATGAATTTAACTCCTCTAGGTTCCTCATATAAATAGAAGTTCACCTTTAATCACAGTAATGTTAAGAAAAATTATCCAAAACTTGTAAACAAGGTAAAGGGAAGAAGGCATGTTCTTTAAATGTCATACTGGGGCATTGTTTCACAGATCACATAAGGATTATTTCATTATCCGGGGAGACTAGATCGGTGTTGGACAAGCCCTTTCCTATTGATGAAAGGCCCAGACTTTAGAAGTTAATGTTAACTTTTTTATTCTTGTCCAGTAGAGATGCAGATGACTTCTGTCTGGTTTTATCATCGTGTTGAACCATGAATCAGTTTTACATCTAGCCCAGCCATCTTATTCTGACATTCCTTTTTGAATGCCTTTATAACCCACTCCTTTATTTTAATATTATATATTATATATTATATATATATATATTTTTTAGACAAGGTCTTGCTCTGTTGCCCAGCATGGAGTACAGTGGCATGATCATAACTCACTGCAGCCTTCAACTCCTGGGTGCAAGAAAACCTCCTGCCCTAGCCTCCCAAGTAGCTTAGGACTATAGGCATGTGCCACCAGGCCCAGCTAATTTTTAATTTTTTTGTATACACAGGCTGGTTTCTTGCTATATTACACAGGCTGGTCTTGAACTCTCGGCCTCAAGTGATCTTCCTGCCTTGGCCTCCCAAACTGTTGGGAATATAGGCATGAACCACGGCACCCAGCCAACCCAACTTTATTTCTCCTTGGAACCAACTTTAACATCCTGCTGGTTCTGTCATTAATAAGTTGAATAAATCTTTGATACATGCTCATTCCAGATTTGTATAAGAGTCCTATACTTTTTGAAAATTATACTCTGACAAAGGCATTACTCTTTTTAACCAAAAATATCTAAAGGTGAACATTATTTTTTTTTAACAAAATTTTGGTCTGTTTGATATTAACAACTTAGCAAATACTCTTCACTGGTGGTACAAAGCAAAACTTTCACATCTAAATGATCACAAACATCTCAATTAGTAAAGTCAAACTTCAGTAGGGTATATTTAGATTTTTACTTTGGGTGCTCCATTAGTCGTTAGCTGACAGTTAACATACGCCCAGGGAAAAGCATAGATTCCTTTCATTAAAAAATAGGGCTTCTAGTGAAAGAGATTAATTGCTTTCTTCTGATCAATTATTTAAAACATTCCCCACTCAAGGTGCCAACTAAATCCTGCCCTTTTTTGCCACCACCAAAGCCTGGCTATAAAAAGTCCTGTGCCTTGTGGATGCTATGCTCTGGAATTCATTCTCTAGAAACCACTGAATACAATCAACTACTAAAGAAGAACATGTACATCCAAGAAATTTTATATAAAAGTTGCAAAATTAGTAACAGGCATATTTTAAAAGCTGAAATCTTTTAAAAAAAGTAACAGGAGCTGCCCATGTAGTAAAAATACCATGGAACAGGAGGGGAACAAAGTATGGGGGTGTCCAACAAGGGTGAAAACAGAACAGTATTTTAATGGCATGAACAGGGCTGCAGTAGCAACTATTTCTTCAACCTTCTAAAAACGGTAGTAACATTTTATGTTCCAACAAATTCACTGCAACACTCCATCTGCCTGTTCACTAGTTCATACTGCCAAACATTTAAGAGAATGGGTCATACCTAAAACTCTACCCAATGGTGGGTTTTGGGGGCAAAATGTCAAAGACATTTTCTTCATCCATATCAGTAGACTGAACATCTCTTTCTTGTGCTACTGCTCTCATACAGGTTTTAATCAATTTGTACCAGTAAGAGAGAGGGGGATGCTAAGCAAACATGATCAATGTTTTCAATTCAGTTTTGAGCAACATGAGCATTTTAATTGGGGTGCCAGTAGCCTTGGGTGGGTCCTTTCTTCTCTTTTCTAGGAAAACCCATCTAGCATGCTGCCAGGTGGTCAGCTCTTCTCAGGGAAGAAGGAGCCCTTCTGAATTTGCCCCATGAAAGTTCTGGGACCTGTCTTACACCCTCCTCATTTCCAGTGATGAGGGCCATGTGCTCTAGATGTACTAATTTACCCTTAGGCCAAAATCCTGTTCCACATACTTCAAAATAATAAGAGTTGTCTAAGACAAACTCACAGCCAATATCATACTGAACAGGCAAAAGCTGGAAGCATTTCCATTAAGAACTGGAACAAAACAAGGATGCCAACTCTCACCACTCCATAGAACTGGAAGTCCTAGCCAGAGCAATTAGGCAAGAGAAAGAAAGAAAAGTCATCCAAATAGGAAAAAAAGTCGTCAAACGGTCTCTCTTTGCCGATGATATGATTCTATACCTGGAAAACCCTAAAGACTCCACCAAAAGGCTCCTAGAACTGACACATGATTTCAATAAAGTTTCAGGTACAAAATAAATATACAAAAACCAGTATAATTTCTACACACCAAGAAAGTTCAAGCTGAGAGCCAAGTCAAGAATTCAATCCCATTTACAATAGCCACACACACAAAAACACCGAGGAATCCATCTAACCAAAGAGGTGCAAGATGTCTACAAGGAGAATGAAACACTGCTGAAAGAAATCATAGATGATGCAACAAACAAAAAACACATTCCATGCTCATGGATTGGAAGAACCAAACTTGTTAAAATGGCTATACTGCCCAAAGAAATCTACAGATTCAATGCTATTCTTATGAAACTACCAACATCATTTTTCATAGAATTATAAAAATCTATTCTAAAATTCATATGGAACCAAAAAAGAGCCTGAATAACCAAAGCAATCTTAAGCAAAAGGAACAAAGCTAGCGGCATCACATTATCTGACTTCAAACTATACTACAAGGCTACAGTAACCAAAAGAGCATGGTACTGGTACAAAAAGAAACACATAGACCAATGAAACAGAATAGAGAACCCAGAAATAAAGTTACATACCTACTACCAGCTAATCTTCAACAAAGTAGACAAAAATAAGCAATGGAGGAAAGGACTCTCTATTCAATAAACGGTGCTGGGATAACTGGCTATCCATATGCAGAAGAATGAAACTAGACCCCTACCTATCACCATATACAAAAATTAACTCAAGATAGATTAAAGGCTTAAGGGTAAGACCTAAAACTACAAAAATTCTGGAAGAAAACCTAAGAAATACCCTTCTGGACATCGGCCTTGGCAAAGAATTTATGACTAACTCCTTAAAAGCAATTACAACAAAAACAAAAATTGACAAGTGGGATCTAATTAAACTAAAGAGCTTCTGCACAGCAAAACAAACTATCAACAGAGTAAACAGACAACCTACAGAATGGGAGAAAATATTTGCAAACTGTGCATCCAACAAAAGTCTATTATACAGAATCTATAAGGAATTTAATTCTACAAGCAAAAAACAAATAACTCCATTAAAAAGTGGCCAAAAAACATGTCTTCTTAAAAGAAGATATGCAAGAAGCCAACAGACATATGAAAAAATGCTCAACATCACTAATCATCAGAGAAATGCAAATCAAAACCACAACAAGATACCATATCACATCAGTCCAAACGGCTATTACTAAAAAGTCAAAAAGAGACAACAACAAACAAACAAAAAAACAGATGCTCCAAGGCTGTGGAGAAAAGGGAACACACACACACACACACACACACACACACACACACACACACACACACACACACACACACACACATATATATATATATATATATATATATATATATATATATATATACTGTTGGTGGGAATGTAAATTTGTTAAGTCACTGTGGAAAGCAGTTTGGAGACTTTTCAAAGAACTAAAAATGGAACTGCCATTCAACCCAGCAATACCATCACTGGGGATATAGCCTAAGAAAAATAAATTGTTCCACCAAAAGACACGTGTACTCTTCTGTTCATCACAGCCCTGTTTACAACAGTAAAGACACGGAATCCATCTAAGTGCCTGTCAATGGCAGATTGAATAAGGAAAATGTGGTACATATACACGGTGAATACTATGCAGCCATAAAAGAGAATGAAATCATGTCCTCCGTAGCAACATGGATGTAGCTGGAGTCCCTTATCCTAAGTGAACTAATGCAGAAACAGAAAACCAAATACTGCATGTTCTCACTTATAATTGGGAGCTAAACTGTGGGTACATATGGACATAAAGATGGGAACAATGGACACTGGGGAATGCAAGGGTGGGGAAGCAGGCAGGGAAAGGTAGAAAAGCTACCTATTGGGTACTATGCTTATTACCTGGGTGATGGTTTCAATCATACCCTAAGCCTCAGCACCACACAATACACCCATGTAGCAAACCTGCACATGTACCCACTGAATCTAAAGTAAAAGTCAAAATTAAGAAAAAAGAAAAGAAAAGAAAAGAAAAGAAAGTCCTGTTCCTTTCTGCCTGACTACACCATCCCTGCACCTTCCTAGGCTGTCATGTGCTAGAGCTGGGCTGGAGCAAACGCAGGGTACAGAACTCTCAATCACTTCACCCCAATTAGCACTGCGAATACCAAATGCTTCCCATCTTCTGCCTCTGTCCCCCAACTAAATTTTTTTAAAGTTTTATTTCATCCAAGATGTTAGTCTATTCATCAAACCCTATCTTCCTAGAGAATACAAAAGTAGACTATGACACAATGTCTTCTCAAACCACCAAAAATTCCATTACAGTATGGGATCTGAGTTAATCCATTTTTGCTCTGAAACCCAGAGCAGTGTAGCTGAAAGTACCACACACGGCAGCTCAAAAGTACCATCCACTGTAGCCCAGAGCTCAAAATAGCTGAGCAGAGACTCATCAACAATAATGTGAGGGGGCAGCTTCCCACCAGAAATATCTTTTGCTAATGCATTGTTCTGAAAGCAAATACTAAGCCTCAAAAAACATATTTTAAGAGTGTTTCACATTAACTTCTAAATTCACATCAAAATCAATTATCATTTCTGGGAAAGATGATAGTTACAAGCTCAACCAGATGATAAAACGGGCCCCACAGCCAGGCATTTGAGAGTTTGTATTTAATTCAGAGTTTGAATTTACAATATTAAGTAAAGAGCCCTGATTGGAAAGAAATCATTTTGAAACCTCTATTTATTAATAAAATCTTTGACTGCACAGTAAACTTGTTGTTTAACCTGTTGTAGAACTTCGTGTCCAAACAATATTAATTATAAACAGCTCAAGAAACAATGATATCATACAGAAATAAATATTCTCACTCAGTTTTTTTTTTGCTTTCTAAGATTTGGCCCATAACAGAAAAATAAGTATTAAAGTCTTCTACCATTGCACAGATTACTTTAATATCAGGCATTAGGGCTGAAAATATGCACAAGAAAGAAATGAATGGCTGGCTATTCTTAATAGGAACGACCTTGCTAACCCCAGGGAATTACATTTCAAACTAGGCCACACATTTAAATTTTGGACTCAAAGGTAAGTTTTATTAACGTCTACATTCTCTACTATTCCTTTCCCTTTTTTAGTCTCCAGATACACGACCATACATACATGGATGACAAGATACATAAAAGGTCATGTATCTTTGCCTTTTATAAACTCCAGGCACAAGAGACAGCCCCAGCCATAGCTGTATGTGTGTCTATAAACTGACCTTATAAAAAAACAAAGGCACAAACACCATTTTTTGTCAACAACTACAGGAAATCATTAGCATGGGGTCTATTATCCCTCCTAATGGGCTCTTTTTCTCTAGTTGCTCCCCTGCCCGATCTCCCCTGCTTACCTCTTCCAAATCAATATGGTAAAGACGATGCTTTCATCAACAGGTTTTCCTGCTCTACTTTGCCAAATGCTTTGATCTTGCATGTAAGCCCCCCACATCTTCCAAACATTCATCTGACTCTTCCCAAACACCAGCACTTTACTCCAGTCAATCTCCTCAGCACCCCACTGACATTCTTTTTACCACTATGGTGATGCCAACTTCACCCAGGCTCCCGGCCCCTCTCAGGTTCACCCTCATGGCAAAGCTCACAGCCTCCTCCAGTCCCCCAGGCCTCTGCATCCTTGAGACACAAAACAATGATTGACATCTGGCCTTTAATATGATCTCTTGTGATACTCCATCCACTGTCACTATGATTGTCTCCTCGTCTCGACTGCAAGCTTACTGAAGGCAAAGACCACTTCTTATGCTTTATGTCTTCCACAATACTTACAGAGATGGACAATTATTTTTCTTAACCCCCTATTTCATGCTACTTTAAATCAGGCTGGTGTCTGGACCCTGTGTCCAGAGCCAAGTTCCTCTGGCATAGCATCAGGTAAAGGGCATTTCTGCATGACTTTAAGCCAGTAATTCCATCTTTGCCCCTGAAACTACCTAACTGGCATCAAAATAGTGGTGCCAAGGTAGAAACTTCACTCATCTTCCAACTTCTCTAGTCTCCTAAGGCTCTTCTCAACTCTTTCAGCAACTGAAATTGACCACCACTCAATAACCTAACAGACAATTTCCATTCACATGTGCTGTGTATAGCGCTGGGCTATGCTCTACTTTGTGTTTAGCTATACTAAGAAGGCCCTGATTACAGAGAACAAGACTGTGGCTAGTTAAGTGCACCATGGTTTAAGGTGAATGAGAAGAAACTAGAATGGGATCACAGGGTAACAACAGGAATAATTAAAGGGTTGGGAAGGAGCACTTTAAAAAAGTAGATAGGATTAGACCAAAGAAAAAGAAGTCAGGGTAATGATGGTCTTTAAGTATATCATGGGTTCTTTTAAGGAAATCAATGATCAACTCTTTTCCATCTGAGGACAAAATGGGAAAGCATTTGTTTTACATGTACTAAGAGATGTGGGTTACATAAACTCTAACCTTGAAGGCAATTGCAAATGAGAGCAGGCTCCGGAAGAGAGCTATTCTATCTCTTTGGTTCAGAAATATTTGATAGAATAAATGGCACATCTATCCAGGACAGCCAGCACACTCATCCTTGCGGATATGGACAAGATGATCATGCTATTTTCCTGACCTAAATATCTAGGTGAAATCCCAGGGATTACAAGCAATGAAAGGAAGTCCAAACTCATCATTTTAACTACTTTCCAAAACTCCATTTCAGAAATGATATATAGTTAGTTCTTATACGTTAGGAATTAGATAATACAATTTTTCCTAAAAAAATGAAACATAGAAAACCCTTAATCTGTATCTTCAACTGCCTACCCCCATCTTCATCCACTTTACTCTACAAATATCCATGCACTTTATAAGTTCACATGTCCTACATAGAATGATCCTGACCTGGTAAACATCTTAGCCTAAAATGGCAAAAATGGAAAGTACGATTGGAGATGGGATACTTTTCCCAAGCTTTTCATAGAACACAATCTTTTAAACAGGCTAATTCTTGAAAAATGTATTCCAACTCATTGTTGTAATCTGAATTTTCTAATAGCTTTAGATGAACACTTTTGATATTCATGGGCTGTCTTGATGGATTGAAAATTACAGATAGAGGAGCAAGGGATTAAAGAAGCTATCAAAAGATATCATTTCCCACACCCTCTACACATAGTTAAGACTCACACTGCTAAGTGGTAACAGACTCTATCAAAATATCATTCTATTCTATATAAGGATTTCTGCTGGTGCTACCCTGAAAGAAGAGCTTACATGATCTGATTTTTTTTTAATTTTCCACAGATGCCCAGTGTTCAGAATTCTCTTTAAAATAATATGGCTATAAATAACATATAAAACTACTTCCATTTTTGAAAGGGAATAATGTTATTCTAATTAATGTTTAAAGTGCCATCTTTTCAAGAACAATAGGAGCATCACGGTTCCATTTATTTCTAGTAGAAAGTTTGCTTGTTCAAATTAAGGTAACTGTCAACTCTAGCCACACCTGTGTCCTCACCGCCCACTGTCCTGAACAAGGCAGCCCCCACACCTGACTATGCCTACCATGCTCCCCTCTTTAGTCCTGGGAAGGCTATTCAGTTTTCTGGAGGTTTATGTTCAAATCTTGTTTCCTGCTTGGCAACATCCCCAGACCAATGAGACTGAGCTCTAAGTGGTCTCTGATTCACTGGCACCTGGCATCTGAACCACTCACCTGCACCTGTCCTGCTACCAGCTATGCTTCCACAAGTAAGCACCTTGCTCTCCAGCTCACAGGTTCTTTAGGGGTAGGTACCATGTTATGTATACCTTTCAACCCATCATATTTATATGACCATTTGAATGTCTGATTAATATCCCTATGAAGGCAGAGATCACGTCTGTATATAACTTGATTATGTATAACTTATTTTTGAGTGCCTGAGCACTCAGAATTTATGCTATGCCCCTAGCTTAACCAGGGTTTTCATCATTGATGATCATTTGATTTCAATTTTCAACTTTGAACTTCTGGGTGCAGAAAAATTGTACGATAGGGAGTTTCTCACTCTTGCTCCTTTGCTCCTCCTCAGAATCACAGGGCACACCTGGGTACCAGGACGTTTCCCATCTCCCCATAGCCAGTCAGGTAAGGGTAGAGCATGAGTTCTGTCTATTCTTTAGTTGAGTGTTTCTTACCTACATTCTACATTTAATGAGGCTGTTTTGAAAAAAAAGCCCAATTCCAGGGAATTTCCTAGGCCACAAAGGCCATGATCAGAGAACCTTTATCTAGATGGAACGGAACAGGTAGCTGAAATACTCTCCTTTTTTTCTTTTTCTTTCTTTCTTTTTTTTTTTTTTTTTTTTTTTTTGAGACAGAGTCTTGCTCTGTCTCCCAGGCTGGAGTGCAATGGTGCCATCTCAGCTCACTGCAACCTCTACCTCCACAGTTCAAGCAATTCTCCTTCCTCAGCCTCCTGAGTAGCTGGGACTACAGGCAGGAACCACCATGCCTGGCTAATTTTTTTGTATTTTTAGTAGAGATGTAGAGATGGGGTTTCATCATGTTGGCCAGGCTGGTCTCAAACTCCTGAACTCAAGTGATCCACCAGCCTCGGCCTTCCAAAGTATCGGGATTACAGGCATGAGTCACCGCGTCTGGCCTGAAATACTCTTTCTTTTGTCCTTTTCATGGACCTATATTTTTTCCCCCCTCCATCACCCCACTACCAATTCAAGCTAGAAACTTCCTGCCCTATGTCCAACAAAGCAGTGGTTCTCAACCTTGGAATATTTAATTTATGTACCGCATAATGATATTTCAGTCAACAACAGATTGCCTGTACAATGATGGTCTCATAAGATCATAATGGAGCTGAAAAATTCCTATCACCTAGTGACGACTTGGCCTAGTATAATGTGTACATTTATGTTTTAGTTTAACAAAAAAAGTTCTAAAAGTTTTAAAAACACAAATTTTAAAGATAGAGAAAAGCTTATAGAACAAGGATATTAAAAAAGAAAATTTTTTGTATAGCTGTACGATGCGTGTGTGTGTCTGTGTGTGTGTGTGTGTGTTTTTTTTTTTTTTTAAGAGACAGGGTCTTTGCTGGGCACAGTGGCTTATGCCTATAATCCCAGAACTGTGGGAGGCTGAGGCAGGTAGATCACCTGAGGTCAGAAGTTTGAGACCAGCCTGGCCAGCATGGTGAAACCCGTCTCTCCTAAAAATACAAAAATTAGCTAGGTATGGTGGTGCACACCTGTAATCCCAGCTACTTGGGAGGCTGAAGTATGAGAATTACTTGAACCTGGGAGGCAGAGATTGCAGTGAGCCAAGATCACACCACTGCACTCCAGCCTGGGCAATAGAGTGAGACTCTGTCTCAAAAAAAAAAAAAGAGAGAGAGAGAGAGGGGCTTGGTATGTTGCCCAAGCTGGAGTGCAGTGGCTAATCACAGGTGCGATCATAGTCCATTACAGCCTTGAGCTACTGGGCTCACTTGATCCTCCTGCCTCAGCCTCCTGAGTAGCTGGGACAACAAATGTGTGCCACCATGCCTGGCTCTTTCTTTTTTCTTTTTTTAGAGTTTGTTTTAAGCTAAATGTTTTACAAAAGAGTCAAAAACTTTTTAAAAATAAGGTTTATAAAGTAAAAATTACAGGGAGCTAAGGTTAATTTATTAGTAAAGAAAAACATTATTTATAAATGTAGCATAGTCTATGTGTACAGTGTAGATAAAGTCTACAGTAGTGTACAGTAATGTCCTAGGCCTTCACAGTCACTCCCCACTCACTCACTGACTCACATAGAGCAACTTCAGCCCTGTAAGCTCCATTCGTGGTAAGTGACCTATACTGGTGTACCATTTTTAGTTTTTATACCGTATTTTTACTATACCTGATCTATATTTAGATATGTTTAGATACACAAATACTTACCATTGGGTTACAATTGCCTACAAAATTCTGTCCAGTAACATGCTATACAGCTTCATAGCCTAGGAGTAATAGGCTACACCATATGGCCTAGCTGTACAGTAGGCTATACCAGCTAGGTTTGTGGAGGTAGACTCTATGATGTTCACACACAATGGAATGACCTAATGATGTGTCTCTTAGAACATACCCCCATTGTTGAGTGACATAAGATGTACTTACTTAAGAAGCTGGTTGAAAATGCTAGACCCCAACCACGGAGATGCTGACCGTGAGACTGGAGGTGAGAGGTCAGGAATGTGAACCATTAATCAGCGTCTGGGTCACTCTGAGTTAGGTTCTTCTTGGTCCACACTTTATGAACTCTGCACTAAAGAGTTTTAGAAGTTTAACCCCTTTCCAATTAGCTTTTAAACTGTATACATAGTATTTCCTGATACTTGATATCTACTGAGGTTCTCCGTACTTCTCACTAAAGGTTCTGCTACTTGTAATGTGAATAAGGAGAAACCCAGGGTTTTAGTTAGTTTTAGTTCTGCAGGCATAGCAGAAAGCCTGTCACTGATGCTGAGGTAAGTTGTAAATACTCTCTCCTGGAAGGAAAGTGAGATCCACCCTTTGCCTTGCCCAGGCTTTTCATGGCAGATAGTGGGACATTGGGGACCTACAGGGAAAGGATGAAGAAGTCAATTTGAAGGTACCCCCAAAGGCCACTTCCATCACAGAGAAAGCCTACTCCAAACCCTTCTGCATGGGTTTAATATGGACAAAAAAATTTTAAGGTGCTTATTTCATTTGGTCTTGGTTGATCTTATCAAGGAACCCTCCTTTTGTCCTCTGCCTCCCACTTGGTCTAGAATACCTCTCTAGACACCATCAAAATCCCTTCTCAGATTAAATGAAAGAAAATCATGGCCAACATAGAGTCAACTCTTACATCACACTTTTCAACTACAATACAAATTTCACTAATTCAATCTAATTAGTGGGAGACCAATCTCACCATAATAGTTCAACTGTCTCACTATATTTATGCAAGTGCAGTTTTTCTACTTCTCAATAGATGTCATGGCTATAATATGGTAAAGTTGACTCTGAAGACTACATTGAAAATGACATCATCACTTCAGATGCAAATTCAAGCATGCCATCAGGATGGGTGTTTCTTGGAATTTCCCAGTTTCACTCAGATACTACCTTCACTGTTATTTGCCATAGTTTTTATCTACCTATTTTATTTCCTTAATTTAAAAAAATCAGTTTATGTTTATTAAATATGACTATTTAAAAAGACAAGTATATACCACTGTCATAAGTCAATAGCCAGTTATCATTTCCTCTATATATAATCTGTAGAAACAAATATTAAATGGTATAATTAAATTTGAGCTTTGATACCATTGTCTGATAAAATCCCTGGGCCTGAAAGCTGTTCTATCTTTGTTATAAAGATATTCTGCTTCATGAAATTAGAAGGATAAAAAAAGGATTAAAGAGAGAATACTTTCTCACTGTGTGAAAAAATGCTGCGTCTGGGAACCGCAAAAAAAAATTCTTCTTTCTCATACTTAACAAAAATATCAACTGAAACCAAGTCTTAGCGACCTGGATTTAATAATTTGTAAATAACTATCTATAAATAGTACAGGCTATCCTCTCTTATCTGAAACACCTGAGACCAGAAGTATTTCAAACTTTGGATTTTTTTTCAGATTTTGGAATATCTGCATTATATACTTCCTGGTTGAACATCCTTAATTCAAATATCCGACATCCAAAACACTCTCATGAGCACTTCCTTTGGGTGTCCTGTTAGCCCTCAAAATGTTTTAGAGTTTTGGAGCATTTCAGATTTGAAACTTTTGGATTGGGGATATTCAACCCATATATCACTCAATGATAAACATTTCAATCATTCAAGTCAATAAATATTATTGAGTGTCCCCTATAAGTTTGGCTTTTTTCCTAAGAATTGCTAATACAAACTCCCTGCCCCACTGGTGCCTACATTCTTGTCAGGGGACACAGGCAATACACAAATAAACCATACATAACTTATATAATATATAAATACATATATATGTGCACACACATACACAGTTATGTACACATATACATATCAGATGGTGTCAAGGATGGCCTTATTGATAAGTGACATTTGAGAAGAAACCCAAAGGAGGTATGGGAGAGCACCAAGCACACATATCCAAGTGAAGAGCTTGTCAAGGCAAAGAAATAGTAAGTGCAAAGGTCCTGAGGCTATTTGGTACTTGGTTTGTTTAAGAACGTTCAGGAAGGACAGCAGAATTCAGCAGAGTGAAACAGGAAGAAAATGGTGGGAGATGAGCTCAGAGAGTAACAGTGGGGAGGGGATTTGAAGGTCAAATTGAGGTCTGTGGATTTCATTCCAAAAGATGAGAAGTTCTTGGGAAAGGTGACAGGATCTGACCTTTTTCTAAGGATCATCTTAGCTGTTGCATTGAAAATAAACTGAGGGAAAAGTGGGGTGGGACTGTGGGTAAAGGCAGATGCAGAGAGACCCGCTAAAATTCTTAATCCAGGCAAGAGGTAATGGTGGCTTGGACCAGGGTGCTTATCTTTGGGATAATGATAAATGGTCAGATTTTGTACATACTATGAAGATGGGGCCATCAGGATTTGTTGATGGATTATTTGTGGCACATGAGAGAAAAAGAGAAGTTAAGAATGACTCTAAGGCTCTTAACCTGAGCAAGTGGAAGGAAAGTCTTGATATCTGCTGAAATTAGAAGGCTGAAGAAGAAGGTTGGGGTGGGTATGGGGCTAGTAATCTGGAGAGTTTGGTTTGAGATGTCTACTGGAAATGCTGAGAAGGCTGTTGAAGATACTAGTCTGGAATGCAGAGAAGTACAGACTTGGGAATTGTCAGGGAACAGATGGTGTTTAAACCATGAGACTGGATGAGGTCACTCTGAGTATGGGGTACTCAATGGTTCAGGGCCAGGAGATAAGAAGAACCAGCAATATAAGTTGTGAAACGCTTATTTTAAAAATGATTGATGAAAATTTCAATTTTCTTCCTTCTATAGTACAAACTGTCTCATAACCTTGGTTGTACTAATCGTTTTCTTAGATAATTTGTTCTTCCTTGATAAAGCTGGGTGAACTTCGGCATGCCTTTCCTCAAGAAATAAGCATTCATAGACATGACCTTAGAGTTGTCAAGAACTGTAAAAGAATCTGAGATTTTACCCTACTTGCAAGCTAACAAGTTCACCTGCTCCAATATAATGGATACTGGCAGAAGACATGAAACTCCTGGATCAGAAACAAAAGAATCACAGCACAGCAGGCAGCATGAGTTTTGTATTTGTTACTGGTTTCTCCATGCTCCCCAAATCCCTTGGGGCAACATTAGTAGGCTAGCTGGATGCTGCAGTCTCAGTGGGTTTGTATAAGAGCTGAGGAAACCTGAGCCTAGGAAGCCCCACTCTTGTATAATGAGTTGCAAGAAAACCTGCCCAATACTTCCTCCAGAGGCAGACATTATCTTTATTGTACTAGACAGCAAACAAATCTGCCCTTGACTCTGGAGGGAAAAACTATTTCTATCTTCCAGGGCTGTTTGTTGTGCAAATGACCTTGAAAAGATAATTCAAAACAAAAAGTTATCAGCACCTCAGCTCACAAGAGACTCATGGATAATTATCTGCCAACAAGAGTCAAAATCAGTAAGCAGTGTTATTTTGGAAAGATTACAAGACCTTACCCTGTTCCAGTTTGGAATTCAAAACCTAAATGTTTTAAAAACTAAATTATATTTATTTGACAAGGTAACACTTCAACATGGCAACAAATTCAAAAAATAAAGTACTCAGGATCATCCTTTACTAAACAAAGACAGTATGAAAGTGGGTTCCCACTTGCAGTAAGAAGCGAGCACATTTATATCACACTTATGTTTCTCTCATTTTGGTTAACCTGCCTTTTAATCAGTTTGTGAATGACTAAGATTCTCTAGATAGGTAATAAAAGGATGAGCTCTGCTTTTGGAGAATGCAATAAACTACTTCTATTTTTCTGGTGTTTCATCAGTTTTCTAGTTTTGCCCCAAAATAACCCATATCCAGTCTGTCCCTGTGAGCCCAGATGAGAAAGCTAAGGGTCTAAACCAGAGTGAAACTAAGCAGCAGCAACAGTTTAACCAAGAACTGCCTGAGCATATGTTTCCTTACCTGTGGTATCTGCCAGGCAGGCTTGTAGCTCAGTCATCTGTGATAGATATCTTTACTTGCACTCTTTCTTTTCAGAAGATAATGTTACTGTCTAGTAGCCATTGGAAGACATACATTATAGTAAAGCAATTGATAAATCTTTGTGACTAGCTATGCCATTAAAAACATTTACCAGGCTGGGTGCGGTGGCCCATACCTGTAATCCCAGCCCTTTGGGAGGCAGAGTCAGGTGGATCACCTGAGGTCAGGAGTTTCAGACCAGCCTGGCCAACATGGTGAAACCCCATCTCTACTAAAAATACAAAAATTATCTGGGCATGGTGGCGAGTGCCTGTAATCCCAGCTATTAGGGAGGCTGAGGCAGGGGAATCGTTTGAACCTGGGAGGTGGAGGTTGCAGTGAGCCAAGACTGTGCCACTGCCCTCCAGCCTGGACAACAGAGTGAGACTCTGTCTCAAAACAAAACAAAACAAAACAAATTTATGAATAACCAAGTTCTAAATAAACATATGGTTATTGTTCATTCATTCGTTCACCTTATGAGTACCTGCCATATCAGGCATTGTTCTAGGCACTGGGTTTATAGTAAACAAAACAGACAAAAATCTCTGCCCTCAAAGAGCTTACTCTCTAGTAGGAGGTGAAGATAAATTAATACAATGTATTAAATGATGCAAAAGAAAAAAGATAAGGCAGGGACATGTGATATAGGGAGTAGTTGATTTTATATATGGGACAGCCCAGGAAAGGATCACTGAAAACAGACAATTTGGCTGAACAATCTTGATTCTCTGGGCAGTCTCCTTGGTCCTTGGTCTTTTCTAAATGGTCTAGAAGTTTCTGGCAAAAAAAAAAAAAAATAGATCTTGGTCCTTACCCTGAAAAATGCTCATGATAAATGACAATAGTTATAATGAATTATAGATCAAAATAATGAACAAAATATATAACATGTATACTTAAAATGAACTATAATTCACATTTAAAGAGACATTTAGAAATGCCAGACAGTGCTAATTTGTCCTTTGTTAGAAGCAATTCCCCCAGAGAAGAATCTGCACAAATACCAACACATTCAAATCCAAATAGAGATGAATGCTTCCCTTTTGTTTTCAGGTTTCTTATTCTCTAATACAGCGTAAAATACAACCATGATACAGACAAAGTAAAACATTAAAAACCTATCACTGGAACGATATGACAGAATGAACAGATCACATTAAAACAACTCCTTTAAGTTAGTGGGATGAAGGCTGTAATGGACAAGGATGAAAAACAAAGTGAATACTGAAGATAGAATAGCTCCACTCAGAACCCTGCAGCCATGTTCTACTCCCACTGGGTTATTATAAGAAATACCATAAGCTTTTGGGATCTGCTTTTCATTTAATTACAGAATCCATCCATCAATTAAACCACTTCCTTCATCTAATTACCACCCGGGTACATTTTCTGAGGTGACAAATGGGAATTAGGTTCTCCTTCCTTCAGATGCTGCCATCTTCCAGTATTCAGTTCCTGCCTTTTGCTCTTTCCCAGGGAAATTTCACACACAGTTATATAGCTTCAGCCATTATCCACATGCCAAAGGCTTCCAAATTCTTCTTCCCAACATAGACCACTATTTCAGAGCCCTACTGGACTCTGGATGTACCATGTTACTCAACCTCAATATACCCCAAACTGAACTCATCTTTCTCCAGCACTGCCCTGCAAGGTGCTTCTATATTTTCTTAGTTGGTGGCAACTCCATCTATCTACCCAGGCAGCTCAGCTGGACATGTGGATCCCTCTTCACTCCTCCCATTCAGTCAGTCATCAAATTCTATCAACCCTAACTTTGTCTCTTAAATCTTCTATTTTCTATTGCACCTGCTACTGCCTTACACTATTCCCACCTGTGGCTCTCCCCATCTCCATTCTAACTCCCCTGTGGCCCTCCTGGCCTGCATGCTATGCATCTCTCCATCACAGGACTTATTACTTGGTCTCATAAATGTTGCTTACTTGTACGTCTCTTCTAATACCCCAGGAGTTCCTTGACAACCTGGTATGCTGTCTCTATTATTAGCACTTAGCACAGTGTCCTGCATGGAGTATGTGTTCAATTAACATTTAGTAAATGGGCCTGGCGTGGTGGCACATGCCTGTATTCCCATCTACTCAGGATCACTTGAGCTCAGGAGTTTGAGACCAGCCTGGGCAACACAGCGAGACCCCCCATCACAAAATACAACATGTAGTAAATGGATGAGTAACTCATGAACCATCAGATCCCACAATGTCAGGCATTTTAGAAAGTGAGATGAGTTCACCAACACAATTTCTGCTCACCAATCCCTACCTTGTCACAGCTAAACCTGTGAAGTTATGGGGTCTGAAACTGATCTAAGTTTGTGCTATCAACTCTAACTCCTCCATCGCAACCCTTTCCCACCTTCATATTTGTTTAGCTCTTGTGTAAAATGTTCAGTGTCCCCTTTCTCCTTTTTTTCAAAACCTATTTTTAGCAAAAAGAGTTCATCCTTGCTTTTCATTCCCAAACTCATTTACATCTTTGGCCTTTCTTTCTAGGGGAAATCAACCTCTGCCCCCACTCAAGAAATAGAAGGCTTTGTTGACAAGGTATACATGTGAAGGAGAGGCAGGTGGGAGGGAGGGAAGGGAATTCCAGGGAGAAAGCTTTGCTGGACTCGAGGTCACAGTCAGAACTGGAATGTGCCTCCTGTGCACTCAGCCAGGTCTTGACCAAAAGCCCGGGCTTGTTTTGGCACATGCTCCCCACCCAAAATCCTCTGTCCCAGGACATCAGCTCAGTACCCGAACATCGCCACTCTAGGTGAAACAGGAAGAAAACGAAAATGTTGTTTTAGGACTTGGCTGCAATTGGGTCACTTGGGCTAGGAGGAAGACAGCATTCCTCAGGTAAAAGACTGCTATTGCTGCTGGGACTTATAAAAAGTAAAGACGCTAAGGAAATTCAGAGTGCTGATCTGATTAGGATGGAGAGAGAAGGGTCTTTGGAGAGAGAAGCATCTTTGGAGAGAGAGCAAGCCCTGTCAAGATGGTGCAGATGAGGTTTGGAATAAGTCTGAAAAATGGCCCTGGCTTGTACTTTCTGATCAATTTTCCCATAAACCTAAAACTGCTCTAGAATGAAGGAAAGAAATGAAAGAAGGAAATGAAAGAATGAAAGAAAAGAAAAGAAGGGAAGGGAAGGGAAAGGAAGGAAGGAAAAGGAAAGAAATAGAATGGAATGAGAAGGGAAGAAAAGGAAAGGAAAGGAGGAAAGAAAAGAAAAACAAAAAGAAAAGAAAATAAATGAAAAGAAAAGAAAAGGCTCTAGCTAATGAGAAATGTCTCGTGTCAGAGATGGCCTGAGAATACGAGGGCAGTTGGTGCCTATTCTGTGCTGTGACCTCCCACCATTAGCCTAGACCTTCAGTAAGTCTGCTGAAAACAGCTGCCTTTGGGTAGCGGTACTATGTAAGAGGAGAGAGAGGAAAAACGTGTGGGATGAAGCGATGAAAAAGGCACAGCACTCACAGGAGGAGACGAAGACTTTGACACTGGCAAGAATTTGGAGTGAGGGAACCACAGGAATGCACACCTCGAGGAATCTTTAGAACTGTGCTGTCCAATACAGTAGCCACTAACCACATGTGGCTACTGACCATTTGAAATGTGTCTAGTCCAGGCCAGGCACAGTGGCTCACGCCTGTAATCCCAGCACTTTGGAAGGCCAAGGTGGGCAGATCACCTGAGGTCAAGAGTTCAAGACCAGCCTGGTCAATATGGTAAAACCCCGTGTCTACAAATAATACAAAAAAATTAGCTGGGTGTGGTGGCACAACCCTGTAACCCCAGCTACTTGGGAGGCTGAGATAGGAGAATCGCTTGAACCCGGAAGGCGGAGGTTGCAGCGAGCCAAGATCACTCCACCGCACTCCAGCCTGGGCAACAAGAGTGAAACTCCATCTCAAAAAAAAAAAAAAAAAAAAAGGAAATGTGCGGCCGGGTGCAGTGGTTCATGCCTGTATCCCCATGCTTTGGGAGGCCAAGGCAGGCGGATCACAAGTTCAAGAGATAGAGACCATCCTGGCCAACATGATGAAAACTCGTCTCTACTTAAAAAAATACAAAAATTAGCTGGGTGTGGAGGTGCACACCTGTAGTCCCAGCTACTCAGGAGGCTGAGGCAGGAGAATCCCTTGAACCTGGAAGGCAGAGTTTGCAGTGAGCTGAGATCACGCCATTGCACTCCAGCCTGGCAACAGAGTGAGACTCTGTATCAAACAAACAAAACAAAATAAAAACAAAAACAAACAAAAAAAGAAATGTGTCTAGTCTAAATTGAGATGTGTTAAGGTGGCATGAAAAAAAAGAATGTCAAGTATCTCAATACTTTTTATATTACTTGTTGAAATGATAATATTTTAGATAGGGTTAAATAAAATATTTTAATGAAAATTAACTACACCTTTCCCTTTTAACCTTTTCAATATGGCTATCAGAATATTTAGAATTATACAAGTGGCTTGCATTTTTTTTTTAATTTATTTTTTAAGTTTTGGGGTGCATGTGCAGGATGTGCAGGTTTGTCACACAGGTAAACGTGTGCCAGCTTGCATGATATTTCTACCTGAAGCACTTCACCCTTGCAAGTCTCCCCACAGTTATAGCAGTGATGACAGTGCTGCTCTAGAATCTTGGGAAAAGTCACAGACTCCCTACGGGATAAGGCATGGGGAACCTAAACCACTTTCTTCAGATATTAAAGAAAAGTGTGATTCCAGAATGTTGGGACACAAGATAGTAGCCATTGCCAGATTAAGTGTGAGAAAATATAAATTTATAAGGATAGATGACTCATTTATTTTAGTAACATTTTGTTAAATTGAAAAATAATTCCTACAGATAGCAAGTATTCTTAAAATAGAATTTAATTTAAACAAAAACTCAACTTTTCAAGAACACATTTATAGCATGAAACAAGATATATGATACAACTTTCCAAGATGAGGAATTTACATTTGGTCCATAGAATTAAACTAAAAGAGAAAAAAAGCAAGGAGCTTTCACCCCACAGGGGATAAATGAATGTCTCTTCAAATACCGTGATGTGTTGAACAGTGAGTGCCCAGATCTGAGTCTACTACTTCATACTTTCAAAGTAGAAATATAAAATATATAGAGAGCTTGGTGCAGTGGCTCACGCCTGTAATCCCAGCACTTTGGGAGGCTGAGGCAGGAGAATCCCTTGAGATTAGGAGTCTGAGACCAGCCTGGCCAACATGATGAAACCCCATCTCTGCTGAAAAAAAACCACACACACACACAAAAATTAGCTGGGCACGGTGGCAGGTACCTGTAATCCCAGCTACTTGGGAGGCCAAGCCAGGAGAATTGCTTGAACCTAGGAGGCGGAGGTTGCAGTGAGCTGAGATCACACCACTGCACTCCAGCCTGGCAACAGAGTGAGACTCCATCTCAAATAAATAAATAAATAAATAAATAATAAAATAGAATAAATAAAATAAAAAATATATGTGGCTGCAGTCATTTATGGATTGTATTTATTTCATACCAAATCTATCCTTTGAGCCATGTCTCAATAAATTTATGAGAAAAAATAAAAATACAATGCTGACTCCAAGTTAGCTAAACTGGATATAACTAGAAAACATTTTTTCTCTGACATACCCCCTAAGAAGCTCTAATTGGGTTCTATATTAATATACAATTATCTGGTATATGGAACCTGCAAACTTCAGACCTGGGATGATACAAGTTTCATATGGTCTAGTCTCCTTATTTTACAGATAAGGACACTGAGCCACAGAGAGACAAGTAACTTGTCCACAATCAGACAGCTGCTTAATGGCAAGGCAGGACTCAAGCCACACAACGTGACAGCCCAGCACCCTGGGTGTGACCTTGATATTTCCTCATGGCCATCTTGGGTTGGGTGAAAACTGGGGTTTATCATACTTACTCACAGGGGTTTTCAGGAGGATTAAATAATCCCTCTGAGATGTGGACACAGCATTTGTAACGCTTGTCATGCGCTGAGCATTGAGCTCATTTGAGGGAGTTAAGCTCATGCCCTCCACTCCTTCCACCTTCTTACCCTAGCTACACATGCTAGTGTTCTTTCTCCTGAAAACTTTACTCTCAGTGTAAGGAACAGCTGTGGACTCCAGGAAAGCACTCCCTCCTCCTTTATTCATGTATTTCGTGGTCACTAGGAAGACTGGAACCTACCCAAGAGCCCCCGTGGCCATGGATAGATGGCTTAGGATGACAATGCTAAGTCTTTGTGACGTATGACACTCAAAATGAAACCCAGTTTCCAGAAATGAAGGTGCGTACCACAGGCAGGGCATAGGAATGAGGGTCCTTACCCCGTGCAGGGCACAGAGTAAATCTACAGAGTGCACTCTGAGTCTCGCCTCCCTTCCTTCTCTGACATCCTTGAACCCCATCTTGAGCTACCCAGACATGCCCTCAGCCCAAGTAACCTATTTATCAAACAAACACACAAAACCATTCTTCTTCCTGTTTTTCCCCAGTTGGCCATGCCCTGGCTCTGAAATAACAGGTTGGCATATTTCATACAAAGATGCCAATCTTTGTAAACCCCAAAAGGTAGGCTTGTTAATGGAAATCAACACCAAACTGGTAGCTTCTTGGATGGCAGGTCTTTTTCTGCTTAGAGGTCTCCCAAGTGTTGTTGCTTAATTCTCACATCTCAATACACACACACACACACACACACACACACACACACACACACACACACACACACACACAGAAGCCAGTGACTTGGCACCCAATCTTCCAAGCTTTCCAGGCCTCCTATAACTAATGGGTATTAGGACAAGCTACTTTGTAGTAGGAGTTCTTCACTTCAGAGAAAAAGAAAAAATAAGGCAAAAACCACAGAACTGTATTTTTACTGCTCTTTCTTTCTTTTTTTTTTTTTTTTAAGACGGAGTCTCACTCTTGTTGCTCAGGCTGGAGTGCAATGACACAATCTCAGCTCACTGCAACCTCTGCCTCCCGGGTTCAAGCGATTCTCCTGCCTCAGCCCTCCAGAGTAGCTGGGATTACAGACGCCCACCACTGCACCCAGCTAATTTTTTTATTCTTAGTAGAGACGGGGTTTCACTGTGTTGGCCAGGCTGGTCTCGAACTCTTGACCTCAGGCGATCCACCCGCCTCAGCCTCCCAAAGTGCTGGGATTATAGGCGTGAGCCGGCCTTTTTACTGCTCGTTCTCAGTGTTAGTCCCTTCTTCCAGGAGAAGGGGCCTCAGTGAGCACCCAAAGGCCCACGAATCACTGGTTTTAGCAGGACTCGTTCTCGCCCTAGAGTCTAACTGAATCCCAAACTGGCAGTAAATGATGTCAGGGCTTCTGAGAGCATTCGCTTATCATCCAGTGACCGGATGTGGAGTTAAGGGGATGGGCTGGACCCAAGGCAAGCCCCGACCATGGCATGCCACTGAGCCACGAAGCTGGAGGCACCATACCTTTGCAGGTGAAACACTTGATGTGGAAATGTTTGGTCTGGACCCGAAGCACTTCACCCTTGCAAGGCTCCCCACATTTATGGCAGTGAATGACAGGCTTCTCTGATGGGTGGTGAGGGTCCTGAGGGTGGGCCACTGAAAGAAAATCAACAAAAGATCCAGGTGAGTAGAGAGCATTCCTGCAAAAGGGGTCATCATGGTATCTCTGTAATTTTGGTGTCAAATGAGCCACAGAGATTGATTCGACAGTGTGAACAGAGCAGTCCCTCCAAGTCATAATCCTAGAGACACAAAGACCCATAAGACAGTTGTGGCTTTGACAGTCCCGGGGGGAAAACACCAGGCGTGTTCCTCAATGGAGCCTGCTGTCTTCTCCCTTCTTCCCAAACTTCTCTAGGATGACTTCATTGAACTATTGAATACACAATCTTGCTTAGTTCAATATTTTGTTATGTGGACTTGTAATATGCCTTTATATTGATTTAGAAGGCACCTTCAGAAGGAGTTCACTGTGGACTGTAGGTCCTTGAAGATGGGGACCATTTCTTAAAGTTTATCCTTTTTGTCTCACCAGTTGTATTTCTCCCTCCTTCCCAGCTTCTTGGGACATAGCAGAATGTTCATGTAGCAAAGGTGCTCAGTAAATGTTTCTTTACGTATTAATTAGCAGTGCTGAACAGTTTCTAGCCTGCTTTACCAGAGGGTCATTCCCGATCATAAATGGCAACTCATCTAACCTGTTGCAGGCCTATGATGAGCCTCCCATTATGTGCATAGTGTCTGATACACACACTGCAGGCAGTAAATTTTTAAAAATAAACTAGGAACAACATGGATCTCTCTGAACCTCAGTTTCCTTTCCCATAAAACAAAGGGGATTGGCCCAGGGAATTTATAGGGTCTTTTCAGACCTTAACATCACATGATGGGGCTTACAAGGATACTAAGAGAATACTAAAAGAATACTCTTAGTTTCCAGAGTGTGGCCTTCAGAGACTAGAAGTTATTGTGACTGCCCAGCCCTGGGACTGGGATGTTCAGCCTGCCCTTTACAAAGGCCCAGAGAGAAGGCAGTGAGGGGACACTTGTGGCTTTGAGCTCACCAAGAGTCTTCATTTAACTTGCAGTTTCTCCAGCTAGAGAATGCAGATAGGCAGTGTTTGCTACCAAATTCCTTTTTTGATGTGGGGCCTCAGAAGGAGGAACATGGTGATATATAAAAACATACTCCTTAAGGAATGACATGAGCATTATATGGGACAAGAACATTGAACCTAAAATTAATCAACCAACACAAAGATGATTTTCTCTCCAAAGGTAAAACCAGGTTGAGCAGGGGGTAGATGTGGGCAGATATTGCTGAAACTCAGTTTAGAAAACACCTTACAACAAGGAGCTCGCTGTATACCACAATATAATAGTTCACTGTTTCTCTCAGACCTCAGCAGTGTTCTCATTTTGCCTGGCAAGAGTTTGAACAAGATAGTCCAAATAATCCATTACTAGCTAACTTCTGAGAAACAAGGTTCTTCTTGTGAGATTCTGACTAGGAGCAGGTGTAGTTTCAGGTTGAACACCTGATCTGTGTTCTCTGCAAGGGACCCTGGGAATGGCCACAAAGATACCAAGGTTGCAATTCACCTGCAATTCCTTATCTACCTCCTGGGATCTCTCTTGAAAACCTGTATTTACAACATAACTCAGTTATTATCTAAAGGAATTAAGGAGGGACATGCTCTCAAGATCTGTAAACAATGACTGACTTTTAAAGTGATGTGTATGAAGGCCAAAAAACCTATCCCTTGCACATTAAAAAAAAAAAAAAGAAGAAGAAAAGTTTTCCTTGGCTTGGCACGGTGGCTCACACCTGTAATCCCAGCACTTTGGGAAGCCGAGGTGGGCGGATCACCTGAGGTCAGGACTTCGAGACCAGCCTGGCCAACACGGTGAAACCCCGTCTCTACTAAAAATACAAAATTAGCCTGGCGTGGTGGCACGTGCCTGTAATCCCAGCTACTCAGGGGGCTGAGGCAGGAGAATCGCTTGAACCCAGGAGGCAGAGGTTGCAGTGAGCCGAGATCGCACCATTGCACTCCAGCCTGGGGGACAAGAGTGAGACTTTGTCTCAAAAAAAAAAAAAAAAAAAAGTTTTCCTTAAAAATATCTGCCTTAAGTCCTTGTGTTTTTTAAGTTAATTCCTGCTTCTTATAAGAAAGAAGACAAGTGGTATTTATTGGCATCTACTAAATGCCACACATAGTGCAGGGTGTTTACATAAGCCACTTTATTCTATCCTCACCACCCCTCTCTCTCAGTGAAGTGAGTAATACTGTTCCCATTTGACAGTTGACAGATAAGGAAACAGAGCCGCAGAGCTGAACAACCTGCCCAAGAAGCAGAGGAAGCTGAAAGATCCACGCCCAGGCCTTTCTGACTGCTAAGTTCATGCCCCTTCCATGCTGTTTGTATAAATCAGAAAATTGTTGTAAGTCAAAAATAATTATTTTTATAAGTATTATCATTATGCCTCTAATTTATATGGCAAGTTCAAGTGCCGTTCTAAAAGCAGCAGCTAGGGCTTGGCTTGTAAAGGGGACACACGTAGCAATAAGGTTTTTGATAACTGAGCATGGCACCCAGGTGGTAACACTCAAGGCAACTCTATGGATCCCCCATATCAGAACCTTCTGTACCATGTATTAAAAATGCAGGTTCTTCAGCCCCAATGACTAGGAGTGGGAGTCAGGCATCTACCTTTTTAGTAAACTACTCAAGTGATTCTTACGCATACTCCAATTTAAGAGCTATTTCCCTTTAGAATTCAGACAATATGAATACGCCAGCTATGGAGAAGAGCTAGAATTTCAAAAGTAATTCAAAAGACCATCCTCTTCAGCAACAATATGAGAACACAGTGAATCTCTTGACTACACAGGAGAATGCATTTTTGGATAAGAAAATGCACTGCAGTTTCTCTTGACACTTGAATTTCTTATTGCTAAGCAAGGCAGTCATGCTGAGTAATGATGAGGGAAGGAAAATATCACTTCACTTCTTGGCTTTTCTCTATGTCCGAACAAAGGAGCCACTGCCAATGCTGGCACCAGCTACCAAGCTCAGAACTGGGATCAGCATCTGCATTTTGCATAAGTTTCCCTTTGGAAATATACATTACACCACAAAGTCCCCCATGCCCAGAGATGACTTGCTTTGCCTTCACCCACAGACTAGACTGTGTTTACTTGCCTTTCCTTCACACAACAGCCTAGGCATCTCAGAACAACCTATTTGTAAAGAAATGGGCTGTTCTTACTAGAGAAGGGCAGCATCCAAAGAGCAGAAGATTCAGTTCTTATTTCATCCCAACTCAAGTCAGTGTCAAGAAAGGAATATCTCTCCTTTTCCAAAACGAATAAAGAGGTTAACTTTATATAACTGTCTTTGACAGTCTGGTTGTTACCACATGTATGTTTGTTGACTCGATGCTACAATTTTGAAATATGCTGAGTCATTTCCAATACAGACATGACATTGATTCTGCACTCCCCTTATCTGCCAACTGGTTGTGCTGCAAAATTTACTTGACTGTTCCATCTTTCAAGGCCCAAGCGGTCCCTACTTATTTTACTGATAGGGAAACTGAGGAGCAAAGAGTTTACATTCCTTGCCCAAAGTCATCAGGAGTTACTGGCAGAGGCATACTTAGCACTCAGGCTCCCAGCACTTTCCACTGTACTGACTAGTCAATGATTTACCCTGGAACTTGAGCAGACACAGTTCAAACCTTCCATGGCTCATCAATTTTGTTGCCTAAATAAGGATTGTACAATGAAAAACCAAAAGCATGGCTGCACACTCTCTGAACAATGAGGAAATACCTACAAAGAGCCAAGAGTCTACCTGCCTGAAAAGGTAACGGGATTCCTCCACTGCAGAATACCCAGTTTAGAGGAATTCTCACTACTCAGCTAAAGCAGCCAATTGCATTGCTTACTGAGGAGTTTCACACTGTCTTTCAGAGTCAAGCAAAGCAGATCAGCCATGTCTCTGAACTCCAGTGCAGGACAGAAAGCAAAAATGCCATTTTTGATGTGTTACTTTTGGAATGTCTATTAACGATCTCAGGCAATGAGACTGGGGGAAGGAGACCATTAAAGAAATCCCAGTAATCTTCAGTGCAGTCAAGCAGAGGCCATGGCAGGTCATAAGAGGAAGTCCACAAAGCTAAGCAGAGTCCTTCTTTCCAAATCCAGAACTAGCCTCATCTTGCCCAAGCTACCTCTCTCTGGGGGACAGACTGTGGAACTAGACTGCCAGAAACAGAACATCTGGGAAAGCGTATTTGAAATAAAAATCTCCTTAGCAGTAGCAGGTAAATATCACAAGCCTGTGACAGAGTCCAATTTTTTATTTTATTTTTTATTTTTTGAGACAGAGTCTTGCTCTGTCGCCAGGCTGGAGTGCAGTGGTGCGATGTCAGCTCACTGCAACCTCTGCCTCCTGGGTTCAAGCAATTCTTCTGCCTCAGCCTCCCTAGTGACTGGGACTATAGGCGCACACCTCCATGCCCAGCTAATTTTTGTATTTTTAGTAGAGATGGAGTTTCCCCATGTTGGCCAGGATGGTCTTGATCTCTTGACCTTGTGATCCGCCCGCCGTGGCCTCCCAAAGTGCTGAGATTACAGGCGTAAGGCACCGCACCCAGCCCAGAGTACTCTTAGTTACAGCTTGCTCTGGGTCATCTGAAATACTCAGTATCTTGCAGGTAACATACACATTCTCCCTCTCAAGCCCCCTTCCTTCCCCACTGCACCATCACTCCCTAACCCATAAGCCTTTGGAACAACACGGTGCTTGATGGCTTCCAAAGCCCTTTCCTCTTCTCTATCTCATTTCACTCTCACAGGAGTTCTCAGGTAGGAAGAGCAGGTACTGTCAACCCCTTCTTAGAAATAGACAAACTGAGGCTCAGAGGAATGAAGTGACTCACCCAAGGTGGCGCAGCCAAGAAATAAAGAGTTGGCAGTCACCTAGTGCAGTGACTTCTAATCCAGACCTCTTTATACCAGAATAATCCCCTAATTACCAGTGCTTGAACCTTGATTCTGCCCTCTCCTTCATTTCCCAACAAATTTGTCCACCTTCACATCCCCTGTGCCTCAATCCCTTTTCTCACCCCAGCAGCCCAGGCCCTCAACTCCTTTTTCTCAGATTACTGAAAATTCCCTACGCCCTTGCACCCTTTTTTATTTTTCGAGACTGAGTTTCACTCTGTCACCAGGCTGGAATGCAGTGGTGCGATCTTGGCTCACTGCAATCTCTGCCTCCTGGGTTCAAGAGATTCCTCTGCCTCAGCCTCCCAAGTAGCTGGGACTACAGGTGTGCACCACCACGCTCAGCTAATTTTTGTATTTTAGTGGAGACGGGGTTTCACCATGTTGGCCAGGATGGTCTCCATCACCTGACCTCGTGATCCACCCGGCTCTGCCTCCCGAAGTGTTGGGATTACAGGCGTGAGCCACCGCGCCCGGCCTCTGGCGTTTTTCTCCAGATGCAACCAGCAAAGCGTATTCTACCCAAGGAGGTGCAGCCTAACTCCCCACTCCTTAAGTATGGGCTGTACATAGTGATCTCCTCCCAAAGAGCACAATGTGGATAGGAAGAAAAAAATGACTAACTTTACAATAGAGAAATCTGACAGACAATGCCCCAGCCACATGAGCAAGGTAAACATCAACAGTGATAAGTCACGTTGACAGAATGTACCTTTGATATGATGTGATGAAAATGGGCACTTTGCCTCTGTGGTCTTCCTTCCAAAAACAAAACAAAACAAAACCCATAATCCCTATGAAATCATGAGAAAAATCCCAAATGGAGGGACATTCTACAAAACAAAAACACCTGACAAGTACTCTTCAAAATTGTAAAGATCATAAAAAACAAAGAACATCTGAGAAATGATCACAGCCAAGAGGAGCCTACGGAGATGTGATGACTAAACGTAATGTGGGATCCTGGATGGGATCCCAGAACAGAGAAAGAACATTAGGTAAAAACTACGGAAATCTGAATAGTGTGGACTTTAGTTCATAACAGTGTGCCAATACGGTCCAGTAATTATAACAAGTGTGTTACACCAACGCAAAATGTTACTAACAGGGGAAACCAAGTGTTGAGTATACAGGAAATACCTGTATTATCTTCTCAATTTTTTTTATTCACCTAAAATGGTTTTAAGAAAATAAAGCTTATAGGCCGGGCACCTTGGCTCATGCCTGTAATCCCAGAATTCTGGGAGGCCAAGGTGCGTGGATCATTTGAGGTCAGGAGTTCAAGACCAGCCTGGCCAACATGGTAAGACCCACCTCTACTAAAAATACAAAAATTAGCTGGGCATGGTGGCATGTGCCTGTAGTCCCAGCTACTTGGCAGGCTGAGGCAGGAGAATTGTTTGAACCCAGGAGGTGGAGGTTGCAGTGAGGCGCGATTGCACCATTGCACTCCAGCCTGGGAGACAAGAACAAAAGTCTGTCACCAAAATAAATAAATAAATAAGATGGCCGGGGGCAGTGGCTCATGCCTGTAATCCCAGCACTTTGGGAGGCCGAGGCGGGCGGATCACCTGAGGTTGGGAGTTCGTGATCAGCCTGACCAACATAGAGAAACCCTGTCTCTACTGAAAATACAAAATTAGCTGGGCGTGGTGGCGTATGCCTGTAATCCCAGCTACTCGGGAGGCTGAGGCAGGAGAATCACTTGAACCTGGGAGGCGGAGGTTGTGGTGAGCCGAGATCGTGCCATTGCACTCCATCCTGGGCAACAAGAGTAAAACTCTGTCTCAAAAAATAAATAAATAAACAAACAAACAAACAAAATAAAGCTTATTTTAAAAAGAAAAACAAAGGCTGGGCACGGTGGCTCACACCTGTAATCTCAGCACCTTGGGCGGCCAAGGCGGGTGGATCAACTGAGGTCAGGAGTTCCAGACAAGCCTGGTCAACATGGCAAAACCCTGTCTCTACTAAAAATGCAAAAATTAGCTGGGTGTGGTGGCAGGTGCCTGTTATCCCAGCTACTCAGGAGGCTGAGACAGGAGAATCGCTTGAACACAGGAGATGGAGGGTGCAGTGAGCCGAGATCGTGCCACTGTACTCTAGCCTGGGTGAGACTCTGCCTCAAAAAAAAAAAAAAGTTCCAAATAGCTCTCTCAGTCCCAAATCATCAAGCCTAAAGTTCTCTACCTAACTTCAGAGATCTTCAATAACATGGCTCATGTCAGCTTTTTAGGTGTTTAAGAAACAACTACCTCTGCTGAGTACTTATCCCTGTGCTAAGTGATGTGATCACAGACAGTCTGACTTTGCAGACCAAGCACTAAAATACTCTACTATTTATTTGTATTAATTTAGAAATCTCCCTTGAGCAAGGCCTTCTGACCACTTTCTGGTCTAGCATCTTCATTCTCGCCAGTGCCTTCACTCCCACTGTAACCTCACTTGCTGTGGTTTCTCTTCTCCCCATCTGTCTAAATCAAACTTGACCCATACGGCATAGCCCAGGTCCTGGCGCTTCTCTGAAGCTTTCATGCTGGCTTAGATTGAGAAAATATTTCCTTCTCCTCCATGTCCTCCAGCACTGAATATCTGTACCATCACCAATGTTTCTCTTGGTTTGTGTTTCTTTTGCTTTTATTTCATAATCCTGGCCCTACAAAACTGCAAGCTCAATGGTCAGTTCCTCCAAATGTCTGAAATAGTTCTGATATTGATTTCAAATATCAAATAGCCTGAGTTGTCATCTCTATACTTCTCAGTTCAATGTTTGGATTAGGGAAAATAGGGTTATCCCTAATAACACTATAGGGACATCTCCCATGCGAAGGTCCAGGGTCCTGAACTTCTGACATTTGCAAGAAATCACTCCAGAACACTACTATATTATTATAACAAGTAAAATGCACTGAATACTTAATGATGTTCCAGGCACTATAACAATTAATTGCTACTCACAATCAAAATAACTGCGTCACAATTGCCGTAGGAGGGACTGTTGCACAATTCCTGTTTTGCAGAGGAGGAAACCAAGGCTAAGAAGAGTTAAAAACCTTGTCCAAAAAGGTACAGCTAAGAAGAAACAGTCTTACTTTGGCCACATTTGGAAGCACTGTGTAAGGGATTTCCACAGGAAAAGATTATCTAGCATAGAAGGAAATCAAGCTAGTCTAATGTCCTCACTAGGCCCTGGGTGTATGGCTCAGAACTGGTGAATGCCCACCTGCGTCATCATTCCAAAAGCAACACCTGCTAGTCAATACGCAGATGAGGAACAATGCTTGAAGTACAAACAGAAATTCTTCCAGGCTGCAGCCATTTATGGGAGAAGAACATGTACAGAGTCAGGGTGAGATAGCAAGGAAACACGACACACCATTGGGAGGACCCTCTCGGCCACCTCCAGCCTGAGCAGAGGCCAGGATTGGAAATCTCTCTCTGGTTGAGACTGGTCTGGATTTGCAATCCTAAGATGCTCCTCTGTATGGTAAGGTTGACTTCTGCTTAAAGACAGGAGTCCTATTCTCATGGCAGTCTACGTTTGAGAGAGACTGCTTCATTACCTAGAATATTTTCTCTGCTTCTACCCCATTGGTTCCTACTGAATTGTAAACACATATCACAGAGATGTGCGCTCTCCCACCTCCTACTCCCTTTCTTTGTGCTAGACCGGCACTAGTATGGAGCCCAGAAAACAAGAAACTCAACAGTTTAAATAAATGCATAGAGTGCTTAATTTGCAGTTTACCTAAAGGCCCATTTCCTGCTGTGGCAAGTGGCAGCTACTTGAAGCTACATACACAGTTACCCAGTCATTAGTTGTCCAAAATGATCCTTCTCTTAAACTGGCTTCCACGACCTCATTTTCTTATACCATGTGAGTTCGGTAAACAGAATTATTAGTTGGCACAAACACTCCCGGGGGATGGGCAGTACAATGGTGGGCTTCCCTGCCACTTGTGGCTTTCACCAGTTAAGATACCCTGATACTGGCCGGGTGCGGTGGCTCATGTCTGTAATCCCAGCACTTTGGGAGGCCCAGGCAGGCAGATCACGAGGTCAGGAGTTAGAGACCAGCCTGGCCAACATAGTGAAACCCTGTCTCTACCAAAAATACAAAAGATTAGCCAGGTGTGGTGGCACACACCTGTTATTCCAGCTACTCAGGAGGCTGGGGCAGAAGAACCACTTGAACCTGGGAGGTGGAGGTTGCAGTGAGCTGAGATCGTGCCACCACACTCCAGCCTGGGGACAGAGCAAGACTCCATCTCAAAAAAAAAAAAAAAATAGATACCCTGATACTTGGCTGGGCATGGTAGCTCATGCCTGTAATCCCAACATTTTGGGAGGCCAAGGCGGGTGGATCACCTGATGTCGGGAGTCCGAGAACAGCCTGGCCAACATGGCAAAACCCCTTCTCTACTAAAAATACAAAAGTTAGCCAGGCATGATGGCAGGTGCCTGTACTCTAGATGGCAGCTACTCGAGAGGCTGAGGCAGGAGAATTGCTTGAACCCAGGAGGCAGAGGTTGCTGAGCTGAGATCACACGACTACACACTAGCCTGGGTGACAGGTGAGACTCTGCCTAGAAAAAAAAAAAAAAGATACTCTGATACTTCTGATACTTGATTTGCCTTTTCCGTGGCTACGTGATAGGTCCTTGCTATTCCTCCAAACATAAAAGACGCTGTCAGCAACCGTCAGCTGGACTCCTGATTATAGAAACAGCTTCTGCTCAAATCCAGTTAATCTGATTCCCCCAAGGCAAAGAGGTACTAGGATTATCATAATTCAGCCAGGAAATTTCCTCCTTATAAATCACTTGGCGCACTTGCCCTGATGTGCTGCACCTGCCTTCTCTATGTGAAGGTTAAGCTCAGAAAGGGATTTTAAAATTGGCTTGGTGCCTTTTCCTCCTCCTCCTAAAAGCATGACTCCTTTGACACACTCTTTGACTGAGATGACTCACTGAAATGACACCCTTCTTTGACCTCTCCTAGCCTTTCTCTGACCATGTTCAACCATTTGTATACAACTCCCACCTCTTCTCTCTAATTGTAATTAGAAGGGACCTCAGATTAGGGGACTGGATTCCCAGTCCTGCCTTTCCTGACACATGCCTCAACCTCCCTGAGACTGTAAAAGGGGCCAAGAATACATGCCCGACCTTCTAGGGTGGTAGCGGAGACAATGTGAGGCCATATCCTCCTAGGAGCCTTCTATGGTTTCAATGTCCCCTCCAAAATCATGCTGAAATTTCATTGCCATTGTAAACGTTAAGAGGGGGACCTTTAAGAGGTGATTCAGTCACAAAGGCTCTGCCCTCATGAATGGATTAATGCCATCACAGCAGGAGTGAGTGAATTATCACAGGAGCAGGTTGCTGATAAAAGAATGAAGTTCAGCCCCTATCCTCGCTCTCACACCCTAGTTTGCTCTTCTGCCTCCACCATGGGATAATGCAACAAGAAAGCCCTTACCAGATACAAATGTCTTGACCTTGGATTTCCCAGCCTCAGGAACCATAAGAAATAAATTCTGTTTCTTTATAAATTATCCAATCTGTGATATTCTGTTCTAGCAACACAAAATGGACTAAGACAGAGCCCCCACAGCCTCAGCCTGGCACACAGATGCCCATGTCAGCTGAATGTCAGGAAAGACTGTCACTAACCTGTATGAGCAGGAATTTCTGAAGCATTACAAAAATCCCTTCTGAAATTTGATTGAACCTTTTAAGGTCACCCAGGGATCTCAAACTATCCCTGCACCAGCAATTCTACTTAGAAATGAATCCAGTCTAACAAATGGGCATTGGCTTCAGTCTAAACTCTGCCGGCAGAACATCACATCTTTATGGACAACAAGAGAGCCACATCCATCCTGACTCTGAGAGTAGGAGGGATTGTGGTCCCATCTGAGCCATTTACAGAAATACAAGTTAAGAGAGAGGGTCAGAGTCTATTGTCACATGGCCTAGGGTCTTGAGACAGGGTTTAGCTTAAGCACGGTACCACCATTACCTTCTACTCTCTAATTCCAATTCCAGACACCTCAGAGGAATTTGAAAAACAAAAACCAAAAACCAAAGAACTAAGATATTGATTGAGGTGTCTCTTTGTGGCACAAATCTGTCTGTCTCCAGCACAGGAAGTCTCCCAGCTGTCCTTGCCTTTTCTTTCTGGCTGCTTCTACTTCCAGGACATACTCAGAATCATTAAGTACTTAAAAACAGCATTTCAAACAAACTAATGAAAAAAGCTAATACATGTGTGGCACTTCACAATTTATAAAAGGTATTCAAAGATAATAACTCCTGTGATCCCATCAACCCCAATTATACTGATTCTGCAGATACAGAAATTGTACTTCGAAAATCTTGAGGGGGTTTCTGGGGAGAAGAAAATAAAATTTTAAGGGATTCACCCCTGCAGTGGGGAGCTCTAACCTGCTTGGGAGAGCCGGCTATGCCCAGCCCTTCCCAACTGTATGGTTGACTCCACCTTGGTAGCTTGAAATTGGCTGCAGTGGAAGCATTTATACCATGGAAACTGGCAAACTTTACAGATCAGGGCCTTCCTCTTCCTGCCCTCTGGAGAGCTGGTTGTTAAACATTTACCGGCACACCATTGTGCCAAAGGTTATACTGATTCCAAACTGCAGAGTGAAGCTTTTCATTCAAGTGCTTATAAATTTCAGAAACAAGAATGTGAACCCTTTCTGAAAAGGCACTCTTGCTCTTGCACTGTGAATAAAGACACAAACCTGCCCTCACCTGGGTCTCTCCAGTGTCTGCACACCCACTGGGAGATGAAAGCATGAGACCTGTGTTCACAGCATCCAACTTGCAATGTCAAACATTCTAGAATGCTACACATTCTAGAACTACTCTCTAAACACCTAGGCTCCTGACTCCTCCCAGACCTGAACTTCAGGCTCCTTCAAGCTCTCTTATGACCTAATTTTGCTGGGTGTAACCTCTGCAAGAAAATGCAAACACATATAATCTGTCACCTTGCTAGGTATTCTTCTATTCATCCCGGTGACAAGGGAGCATAACCCTGGTGGTTGATCATTCTCTTATTTACCTTCAGAATGGCCTCTGCTTGAGTGGAGAAGAAAAGATTATCTCCCAAAGTTTAACAAAGCACTTAGTGAAGACTATGGCTTGAAAAGAAAAAACATGTTAAAATCCAACATGGGACTGGGAGGAGAAGGGAGAGGAAGAAAAAATTTTTAAATCCCTCCATGGAACTCCTAAATGTAACCTTCCAACACTTGGAAAGTAGGCCGGGTGCGGTGGCTTACACCTGTACTCCCAGCACGTTGGGAGGCTGAGGCAGGTGGATCACCTGAGGTCAGGAGTTCCAGGACAACCTGGCCAACATGGCGAAACCCAGTCTCTACTAAAAATACAAAAATTAGCCAGGTGTGATGGCACACACCAGTAATCCCAGCTACTGGGGAGGCTGAGACAGGAGAATCGCTTGAACCCGGGAGGCAGAGGTTGCAGTGGGCTGAGATTGCACCTCCTACACCTTATTAATGCATGCCATCCTCCCCACTAAAGTATTAGACATGTTTTTCACCAACACATCCCCACCCCAGCAAATGTCCTCAATATCATTACATCTCTGCTACCTTTTTAGGAAAGAGCCCATAACAAGACAGATATAAAAAAATCTGAACGAGATGCCATCAGATCAATGCCCCACTCACAAGGGAGTTTTCACAAACACAACTTGCCTAGAGGAATGTCAACACCAGTGTCAGCACCAGAGATTTGCCGGAAAATTAGAAACATTAGGATATCCCTATGAGTAATTGATCCCTCACTAAAGTAAGGTGCTAGGAGGGGTTCAGGGCACAGCTATGAAAAACACAAGTGTGGGCTGGGCGTGGTGGCTCACGTCTGTAATCCCAGCACTTTGGGAGGCCAAGGCGGGTGGATCACCCGAGGTTGGGACGAGACCAGTCTGACCAACATGGAGAAACCCCATCTCTACTAAAAATACAAAATTAGCCAGGTGTGGTGGTGCGCACCTGTAATCCCAGCTACTTGAGAGGCTGAAGCAGGAGAATCGCTTGAACCTGGGGGGCAGAGATTGCAGTGAGCCGTGATCATGCCATTGCACTCCAGTCTGGGCAATAAGAGCAAAACTCTGTCTCAAAAAAAAAAAAAGAAAGAAAGAAAGAAAGAAAAACACAAGTGTGTATCTTCAAATAGTGTGGACTGTCAACTCATTTGTTAAATCCCTTTGCCATGCAACAACCAGAATGATCTTTTAAGTGCATAATATAAACAGATTACTCCACTAATCCTTCTTTCACTGCCCTATGGAAGATGCGCTCTGGCCCCACCACCTCTTCCAGCCTCTTCTCACACTCTTTCCACATCCTCCCAAGCTCTGGCTCTTGCTGCTTCAAGATCTCCAGGCATGCTTTTCCCTGCCCAGAAGGCTCTTCCCCAGCTGTTTGCGAGCCCAGCTCCCTCTCCTCCTTCTGGTCACACCCTCAAGCTTCTAGGTCACCTCCTCTGAGACTTCTCCCTGAACTACCTTGTTAAAGGCAGTCTCCCTCCGACCCCCATCTCAGTTTCCTCTCTTTATATTTACCACAGTCTAAACATTCTATTTCTTTTTTCTTTTCCATCTTCTCCATTACAAGGTAACTGCCATTGTATTACCAGGGTCTGGCACCATTGTATGCACAAAGCCAGCACTCTATAAATGCATGTTCAATATGTTCATGTTTTGAATACCAGCCTGGCTTTCTGTCTCTTTTCCAGAGCAACAGTCTTTGGGTGAAACTGAAAGTCAGAAAAATACCTTGGGTTCACCAACAGTGTCTACTATCAGTTAGGTAATTTGAATGATGTCAATACCACTCAACCGATGACAAAAAATAAAAGACTCATTTAAGTCTCTGACTCAGAAAAAAAAAAAAAACAGCTGAAGGAAGGAGCTGATGGACCAGTCTCAAACCAACCCTGGCTAAGCTCTCTGAATGAGAACCACACAACAAAGCACAATTTCCAGCTGACCTGACTTGCAGGGAGGAGTTTGGGTGGCCCCAGAGCCTTGGAAAAGCTAAGTGGCATGTCCCCAGAACAGGACATGATGAGTAGTGTTCTACTCATATTTATTTATTTTTTATCAAAGTTTAGGCTAAGTGTGGGCGGTGGCTCACACGTGTAATCCCAGCATTTTGGGAGTACAAGGCAGTAGGATCACTTGAGCTCAGGAGTTTGAGACCAGCTTGGGAGACATAGCAAGACCCTGTCTCTATAAGAAAAAAAAAGTTTAAAAAACTCAAAGAAACAAATATGCTTATAATGCATGATGGTAATTGCCTGCCCCACTCCTCCCAACCATACCTATAGCCAACAGCCAGCAGGGACTGCTGCAGAGCAGGTGGGCAGCTTCCTCCAGTGGGTGTCCTGAGCACACATGGCTTCCAGCCTCAAACACTTTACAACTGTTCATATGATGCCATCATGTTCCCGCATCAAAGCATCATTAGCCACCTCATTTCATTCCACAACAAAAAGAGCAGTCTCATTAGCTTGCTTGCCCAAAGGATCTGGGCACTGAAAATCCAACAGGTCCAGTTCCTTGGTGAATTTCTATCACTGAACAGTAGAGCTTACTGGCCACAGGAAGCCACTGATGTGGTCCTGGAGTACTGTGGCATGACAAAGGTGACAAAGCGTTGTTCTACTTAGGCAAGCTGGAAGACACTGTCCAGTGGAAAGGAGTGGACCCTCCTGGGTTCCTTGACTCAGCTATCTCAGCTCTACTTACTTTCCAGGATCCTCAAACTAATCTGTTACTAAACTCCATCTCATTGGACACATTGTCCTGATTTTACTCAGTCGAAAGGAATGACAGTAGTAACAGAAGGAATAGCAATTACTGAGCTACGTGCCAGGAGGCAATGGGTGACCAGGCGTTGTTTTAAATGCTTTATGTGGATTAATTGATTCAATTTTCAAAATTACCCTATTAATTGGTACTATTATTGTCCTTATTTTCTGATGAGGAAACTGAGGCAACAGGAGGTTAAGGGACTTGCCCAAGGTGGCACAATTAGTAAACAGGCAAGCTGGATTCAAACCCATGAAGACTGGTTGCAGAGCTCTCATTTATAAACACGACTTACTTTTTAGGCAAACCTATGAAATCCTGAAGCTTTAGGGAATAATTTTACAAAGCCACCAAGGCAACTGAAGGACAGCTGTACCACAAGGGGCAAGTGAGAAAGAGAAGGATATATACTATAGTGAAGGGCGTTCAGCCTCTGAAAAATCCTGGCCGAAGGCAGTTGAACACTGTCTCTCTTTCTGGTTACAAATTTAATTCTTCTCACTACCTACTTTTTTTTTTTTTTTTTTTTTTGAGATGGAGTTTTGCTCTTGTTGCCCAGGCTGGAGTGCAATGGCGCGATCTTGGCTCACTGCAACCTCTGCCTCCTGTGTTCAAGCGATTCTCCTGCCTCAGCCTCCCGAGTAGCTGGGATTACAGGTGCGTGCCAACACGTTTGGCTAATTTTTTTTTTTGTATTTTTAGTAGAGATGGGGTTTCGCCACATTGGCCAGGCTGGTCTCAAACTCTTGATCTCAGGTAATCCACCCGCCTCGCCCTCCCAAAGTGCTGGGATTACAGGCATGAGCCACTGTGCCCAGCTTCTCACCACCTACTTCTTAGTCCTGTTTTATCTGCAAGGGACCTCGGGCCATTCCTTTGGCTCTGGGCTGTGCTTCTACTCTGATGCTTAAAGAAACTCCACAGACCAACTGACTTTCATTAACATTTATTGAGCACATGGCACAGGCCACATTTGAAATTTTCGCACACTATTTCACTTAAATTAACCCTAACAATAAAGATATGGAGTGGGAAGTATGGGTTTTTTACCCCATATTTATTTATTTTTTATCAAAGTTTAGGCTAAGTGTGGGCGGTGGCTCACATGTGTAATCCCAGCTTTTGGGAGTACAAGGCAGTAGGATCGCTTGAGCTCAGGAGTTTGAGACCAGCTTGGGCGACATAGCAAGACCCTGTCTCTATAAGAAAGAAAAAGTTTAAAAAACCCAAAGAAACAAATATGCTTATAATGCATGATGGTAATTGCCTGCCCCACTCCTCCCAACCCCTATAGGCAAATGTGCTCAACTTTTGGTGTTTTTTCTTAACACTATGCTTATATCAACTCAGTCATTAGCTACTGACATCCTGTTTCTGCAGGTGAAGATTCGGCTCTTACCAATAGGCCTACACCACAAATTTTGGTTAAACCCATGGTCACTGTTTTACACTTTGCGAATGTAATTATTGTTCTACTAGACTCTGTAGTGCCTCCTAGGAATAGATTCCCTTTCTTGTACAATGGTTTTTGTTCTCTTAGATTTAATCGTTTCCCTTTCTCCCACTTGCCTAGCTCCTGATGAATAATCCATCATGTTTTCTACCTATTTTGTTGTGATCTACTAATAATTTTTTCCAATGCTCAAACTCACCAGATAACTTATCAAACCTCCTGATGTGGAGAGAAAATTGGGTGTTCTCAGTATTGTTTTAACTGAAAAAAACCCTGACTCTGAGACAGGTTAGGAGCTTGGCTCTATGTCCTCCAGGAAGTGGTAGAGACGTGATTTGCCCACTACCAACTGCAGCACCAGCTCCCTGGAAGCACACTGCCCCTGGGTAAAGATGTGCAGGCTGTGGCTGCACAACTCCAGAGGGTGCTGCCCCCAACTCAGATGAGAACAGTGCCCTGGAGAGGCAAGGCACAGGCCCTGTCAACAAGGTGCCTTCCAATCTCGTCTCCAATGCTGCTCCTGGTCATCTTGCACCACGCTAGCCCCCAACCTGAAAGTACTGTGTTGACTGCCGACTCTCTGGCTGGCCTTGCTTGCCTGATTCATGTTTAGTAGTTGGCATCTTTGCCTACTTATTATGCAAAACTACCATATTAGTGTTGCCTCACTGTGGTCGTGTGGTTTTCATGGCAGGGATGGCCTTTCCCTGGGGGTGTCTCCATCATATCAACTCTCTCCAATGGCAAGAAGCCACTCCTGGGCTCTTGTTGCAAAAGTCCAAGTGCTTTTTGAATCCTGTTGTATATTGCAAGGGTGCTTTCAAGTCAAGATAGGGGTGATGACAGACATGCCCTGCACCCAAGGAATGGTTAAACCTTTCCTGCTGCATGGAAGGCCTGCTGACAACTCACCTTTTGGACATTCCTGAGGGAGGGGTGAACTCTCTCCAAAGCCCTTAAATTATATTTTTTCTTTTTTTTTTCTTTCTCTTTCTTTCTTTTCTTTTTTTTTTTGAGACAGTGTCTTGCTCTGTCACCCAGGCTGGAGCGCAGTGGCACGATCTTAGCTCACTGCAACGTCCACCTCCCAGGTTCAAGCAATTCTCCTGCCTCAGCCTCCCGAGCAGCTGGGATTACAGGCATGCACCACCATGCCTGGCTAATTTTTTTATTTTTAGTAGAGACGAGGTTTCACTATGTTGCCCAGGCTGGTCTCGAACTCCTGACCTCAAACAATTCACCTGCCTTGGCCTCCCAAAGTGCTAGGATTACAGGCGTGAGCCACTGTGCCTGGCTGAAATGATATTTTTTTTCTGGAAAAGCTCTTACACATCAAAAATGAATGCTATCCAGCATGTAATGCTCGACAATGTAGATGAACAGCTGGTCACTGAGGGATGGGACGATGCATGGCAGATAGTCCTGGTCCTGATCTTGCTCCTCCCTCCCTGGCTGTGATACAAAAGCAAGGAAACAAGGTAAGCGTGGTGAACACAAAGAGGAGAGGCAGACTCATAGGGAAAAGTGATCCCAACTGAAAAAGCAATTCCAGAAATACCAGGCTTGAAAGCTGACATGGGCTCTACGAGTGTTTTCTTTGGACTTCCAGCTGGAATTCAAACAGTATTTTACTCTGAATTTAACAGTTGGGTTAGTTCTTAATTGTATCAAGCACCCAAGACAGATGACACCAAATTCCGGCCAACTTCTGTTAAGGATAAAGTGGCAAATGAAAGATTCAGACATTCTTTTGTCAAAACCTGTCCCGTTGCAAGTGAAGAAACCCAACGTAACCCAAACATACCTATTATCACAATAACAGGAGTACTCAGAATGGAAACATGGTTGCCCACAGAAGTACCTTATTCTGTTTCATCAATAAAAGTTTAATTAGTTAGTGTAGAGGGTCTAAGCCAATGCTTTTCAAACTTTGGGTCTTGAACCACTGGAACATAAAATAAGTTTAATGGATCATCACCGGCATACTTAAAAAGTAGAAAAGAAACTAGCAGAGAGTAAAGGTAAGTATTGCTTCATGTGAGTTTTATTTCAGCCATTTATATGCATGTGTATATGAATCCTGGGTCTTGCTGTGTAAAAGTGTGTTTCTTCCTGGGGTAGGCATGGTGGACAGGTCATTAAACTCCAAACCATAATCGAGAGGCCCTTTGACTGAGTCCTACCCACAGACATGTTTTGTTTGGCCCACACAATATTTTTTTTTCTTCAGAAGAAGTCTCACTCTATCGCCCAGGCTGGAGTGCAGTGGCGTGATCTTGGCTCACTGCAACCTCCACCTCCTGGGTTCAAGCGATTCTTCTGCCTCAGCCTCCCGAGTAGCTGGAATTACAGTTATGCACCATCAGGCCCAGCTAATTTTTTTGTATTTTTAGTAGAGACGGGGTTTCACCATGTTGCCCAGGCTGGTCTTGAACTCCTGACCTCAAGTGATCCGCCCACCTCAGCCTCCCAAAGTGTTGGAATTACAGGCATGAGCCACTGTGCCTGGCCACACACAATATTTTTTAAAGAGAAAGTGAAATCATTTGCCAATATTTAAACATCTGGAGATTTTACATAAAAATCCCTATTTCCAGCTGCTCTTGAAAACTGCAAGGCCTGGCAACTTGACCTGCATCCCTCCGTGGAACCTAGGATGAAGGACAAAGTAACTCTTCCCTTTAGGGAGGGCCATGCTCTGTAGTTTGCCCCAGGCTCCACTCAGGTCACCTGCCTGATTCTCGGGGCATCCATACGTCTGACCCCAGTTCTAATCATCCTTAGCTCAATGTGACCCACAAAACCCCCCTACTTACCTCTCCTTATGTCCATTGCTGTATGATGTGGCCAAAATGCTAAACTGAGCTGCTTGCATCTCCTCAGACAGGAGGCATACTTTATTGCTTCTGTTTTACCCACTTGAGTCCCTTTCTCGCCATCCTCTTTTTATCCACTATTGCATTCCTGTTCATCCTTCAAAGCCCAATCTTCCATGACCATCCAATAGCATTCATCACTTTCTGTCCTGCAGTCCCATATTACTTTCATAGTTCCCCTTTGAGTACATTTCACATTGTATCATAATGACTTATCTATGTGTGTCTGTTTCTTGCTAGAAAGTGAGTGCTTTCAGGTCAAGAACTGCATTTTATGTGTTGCTATATCTAGATGGCTTATCTCATATTAGAGTCTAAAAAAAATTTCCCAAATAAGAATAACCATCTCCCCGACCCATACACCTCATTCATTCACTTATTAGTTCATTCAACATTCACTGAGTGCTTACTATGGAGCAGACACTGTGTAATGAATATAGGTTGAATCAAACACCATCCCCAACATTAAGAAACCTACAGAACTCCTCAAATACCAATCTTAAATGCCCCCTTTTCCATAAAGCCTTTTCTGATTCCCTTGGGACTATAGCTCTTCCTTCCTTAGAACCCCCATAGAAGATTGTTCACCCCCATTCTATCACCTGGTGTCCCCTCCATTTTGCATTCTCCATCAGCATCCCTCTCAACACCTGCTAACCCATTCATCCACTAAATGTAGGATCTTTCCAGTGTGTCGAGTTATTCTCGAAGTGCCTCACAGATAAGAGACCTCAAGAAAATTGTAATGTGATCAGGCCGCTACTAGAAGCCCTTCGCTATGGCTCATTGCTATTTCTGAGTTTTAGGCTAGGACCTCTACACATGCCAGAAGTGGTAGCATTTTCCAGGTAAGCAGGGACAGAGGGGCATCCAATCCTTCTTTAGTGCTCAGCATAACTGGGCTCTCGTCCTGCGGACTCCAATCCCCATCAGTCCTAAAACTGCTCCTTGATGGCCATTCAGAAGGTGTCCCTCAAGTGGCACATGGCAGCAGTCCAGTAGACACCCACCTAGCTCATGTGTCACTATGAGATGGTCCATGGACCCAGGCACCCATAGCCCCTATCATTTTTCCAGGAAGGGAGTACTCAGCCTTCTCTCCCATTCCCCATCAGATACTCCAATGAGGAACAACCTTGCCACCTTTTCCTATCATCCACTTTTCTTTTTCTTTTTTTTTTTTTTTTTGAGACAGGGTCTCACTCTATTGCCCGGGCTGGAGTGCAATGGCACGTTCATGGCTCATCGCATCCTCGACCTCCAGGCTCAGATGATCCTCCCACCACTGCAGCCTCTTAAGTAGCTGGGACTACAGGCACACACCACCATGCATGGCTAAATTTTTGTCGGGGGATGGGGGGAATTTTGTTTTTTGGAGAGACAGGGTCTCACACTTCCGAGCTCAAGTGATCTGCCTGCTTTAGCCTCCCAAATTGCTGGTATTATAGGTATAAGCCACTGTGCCTGACCCACTTTTCTTAATTCTTCTTAAACTTTTCCCTTCTCATGTTTCAAATAGAGAACAACAGAAATAAACAGAAGAAAAAATACAGACTACTAGAACATAGACAGAATGCAGTTGACTCTTGAACAACACGGGTTTGAACTGCACAGATCCCCTTGCACACAGATTTTCTTCTACCTCTGCCACCCCTGAGACAGCAAGACCAAACCCTCCTCTTCTTCCTTCTCCTCACCTGCTCAGCATAAAGACAAGGAGGATAAAGGCCTTTATGATGATCTACTTCCACCAAATGAACAGTAAATATTGTACAGTGGTAGTAAATGAAACACTCCAAGCCTAAACAACATATTTCAATTCCTCAAAGATTAAAGAGGGAGTGGTAGCCTTTGTGAGCCAAGATAGCTGATTAACTCTTTTCCCTTTTTTTCGTTTGTTTTCTGAGACAAGGTCTGGCTCTATTGCTCAGGCTGGAGTGCATGGCGATCTCAGCTCACTGCAACCTCTGCCTCCTAGGCTCAAGCCATCCTCCCACCTCAGCTTCCTGAGTAGCTGAGACTACAGGCATGCATCACCATGCCTGGCTAATTTTTGTATTGTTAATGAACTTTTACCCAAAAATTCCAAATAGCTCTATGATTCCAGGTAAACATGCTCATCTAAGTCTTGGAAACATAGGAGTGATGCCTGCAGAATAT
Source organism: Homo sapiens (assembly GCF_000001405.40). Lineage (NCBI taxonomy): Eukaryota > Metazoa > Chordata > Mammalia > Primates > Hominidae > Homo > Homo sapiens. The sequence goes on from NC_000010.11 coordinate 114,623,237, forward strand.
GCACACCTGTGCCTTCATTCTGAATTAATGTTGCCTTCTCCAAGTCACGCTGAGCCCCAACTCGCCCCCATGAAAAAGTAACTTAAACTTCCTGCCAACCTTTGCTCCCAGTATCATATACTGACAGCAGTTTCTTGGCCACTGGGATCTCACAGGTCTGCTTCATTATGAAACATGGCTTTGTTTCATCCTGCTGGAGAGCCAGAGTGACAGTGATGTTCTTTACCTTCTTTTTGCCATCTGTGCATGGTGAGCCAGATGATATTTGCAAAAGGGAATGAAGAAGCTACTTCTATAAAAATTTTGACTTACCCACCTGTAGGGCTGGTCATTTTACCCACAGAAACGACAGATTACCTGCACAGTGTCAAAATGTGGTCCCTGAATCAAGAACATCAACATTATCTGGGAAGTGTTAGAAATGCAAAATCTCAGGCCTTCTCCCAGACCTACTGAATCAGAAACTCTGAGGGCAGGGCCCAGAAATCTGTGTTTTCACAAGCCTTCCAGATGATTCTGATCCCAGTTGAAATTTGAGAAGCACTGTCCTAGACAGTAATTTCCTTAGAAGTATTAAAAAAGCCAGGATCTTCATAGTTAAATGCAAGTATTCAAACAAGCCAGCCTGTTTGATTGCAACAGGGACACACAAACTCACCCCTGTTCCACCCCCAGGGGACACTGGACCATAATAACATTAATTATGTCAGTCTGAGCACAAATACAATGTTTCAGAGAAAAGAGGTCATGCATAACAAATTTTCGCTCTCCCCACTGTTAACAAAATTTGCCCTTGAATACACAGCTCCTGCCAGTTTGGGATAAACATACCTCTCGGTATGAGTCACCATCAGACAAACACACAATGAAATAGGAAGCTGGGCTGGTTTTTACTGTGGTGCACCCAGATCAAACTCAACCACAATGGGAAGAAATCCTGCACCACTCACTGATCACTGAACCTTCTGAAAAGTTCTCTGGCTCTTTAATGCTGGCTCAGGAAAACACTCAGCACTTTGACTTTGGCATAGGAGAAGCCAACAATACCAGGATCCTCTTTCTTGACCCCTAGGGCTGTGAATGCGATGGCAAAGAGGGCCACCTCCTCAAAATGAATCAAATGCCAAGATATGCTTCTTGGTGGGGTGAGTCTCTTGCAGTACATCTTCTGCAGGAATTTGGAAAAGTCAATTTGTCGTTCTTTAAAAGAAACTCTCTGTGATGCAACACAAGTTGTTCATCCTTCCTGGTCATTTGGCCTGGCATGGGAAAGGCAAGAAGCAATACCACCTCCAAAGTCTGACAGTAGCTAACAGTAGATGAGGCCCAACCTCCATTTCAGATGCCCACTGTCTACATATTCTTGACTTCATTCCTGTCATCAAAAATTGCCCTCAAGAGCCTTGAACACATTCAAGTCAATGTATTCCTTCTCTCATATTTATTTATATCGTAGAAATGACATCTTTTTCTCTCTGGATAAACATTTTTTAGACATCAATTAGTTGGTGTTAGAGGGCAGGAGATTTGTTAAGATTTTTTTTTTTTTTAAACATGTGAAATCCTTTCCTTTAGCTTTGGAAATCCCATTATTCAGACAGTACTTCTGGAGTGAAGCAGAGCCACACTTCCTGGTAAGAGTAACACTTTCATTTATAAAATAGTACAAGCAATTCACACTTGGGTTGCTTTCTCTCAAGCAGAATATGATGACAAAAACTGGAGCACCCCTCCCCACAAAGATGGGAAATTCACAGTTGAGTAGTGTGAATGTCACTGATCAAGAACAATTTATTTTGAAACTTGTAGCCTTGTAGTGTCTCCTTTAATCTATCACTTCCCTTTAGACCTTACTTAGGAAATGACCTTGTTGGTGGTGTCCCCTTTAAAAGACTGGGGCTTTTGAAGTTAAGACAAATCCAAGGGCAGGTAGGGGTGAGGCATTAAACTTCAACCCGTGGCTAGGAGTGGCTAGCATATGTGAAAGAAGATGCCTGGATAGTGACTCAATAGTCATCGCACACATGAGGAATTATTACACCACAGTGAAAAACCTACTGTTCTTAGCCTTTCCTGAGGATGGAATAGAAGTGGGTATTGACTACACCAGGCAGCGTGCATGCATCTGAGTGGGTGGTGTCTGTGTGGGTGTGTGTTTTGGGAAGACAGACAGCATTAGAGGCAGCAACACTTCACAGCTCCTAAGGTTGTTTTACAAGACTGCATATGAAGTCCAATACTTGAGAAAAAGAGCACTGTCCTAAGTTGCACAGGTAACAACTGTTGTTTATCTGGTGTTTACTTAGGTGCACAGAGTAATTCTAGAAGAATTCGCAGAAGGGATGCGCCTTCAAGGAGCTCTATAAGGAAGCCAAACTTGAGTTAGATCTTTGATAAATACATAAAAGGGGGGGGTACAGTATGTCTCACAAGGCAGGTAGACAGTATGACTGAGGTTAGAGCAGAAAATACCACCCCTGTGGTCATTCAAAAGGTAAAAGGGCTCAGGGTGGACATTAGCACTGGTTTTGGAGCCAGATAGGCAGAAAAATGGATAGAAAATTTAGCTTTTCTACATGCTAGCTAAGTGATCTCTGACCTCCTGTGAGTCTCCTTTCCCTCACCTATTAGGGGGAAGATACTACTTACCTTGATGGGTTCGAAGATTAAAGACATTGTATATGAAGCTCTGCCATTTAGTATGTGTTCAATCACTGACAGATTTAATAATAACATTAAAATGAAAATAAAATAAGATTGGCTTAGAAGAACATTTTTTTAGAAGTAAGCAGGGAGGAGGTATTTTAAGGACTTGAGGAGAACCCCGCATGACAAGCAGGAAGCTTTGAACCTTACCTTGTCATTTATTTGGGTTTTTGAGCTGGGAAATGATTCAGTGTTCTAAAAGGATTACTTTGGTGCCAGGGTGTAGGTCACATTTGAGACATAGTACATCACTGTCCTCAGGAGCTGCCAAGAACAAGGCTGCAGTGGCTTTTGGATGTGGCAGGAAGGGGCTACTATCAAACCATAAAGGGTGCTGGACCCAGCAGCTTGAGGCAGAAAGGTGTGGTGTTGGCTTCCCTGTTGATGCCTAACATCTGAATGCCTCCTGTTATTCCAAAGGGAAAGCAAGGCCTGTTTCTAATGTTATCTTCCTTAAGGTAGATTGTAGCAAGTTTGTACAAATCGGCCAAGAAATCTCAGAGTCTGCCTAAGAGGTATGAACTGGACTACTCACTTCTGATCACTCCCCAGTCCTTTATCCCCAACACTGGCTTAAGGTCTATAAAACTGAGCTCATCTCCTTCCTCCCACCGACCTCCTCCCTTCCTCTTCACCACTAGAAACTCTCTCCCATCCACATCCGATTCCACTCTGCTCCTCTTCAGTTCTCCTTCCCAAGCCTAGCCACATCTAACACTGATGCCTGCGTGTAATGGGTTGGACTGCATCACCCTCCAAACTCATCTATTGAAGTCCGAACCCCCAGTATCTCAGAATGTGGCCCTATTTGGAGATAGGGTCTTTACAGTGGTGACCAAGTTAAAATGAGATCATTAGGGTGGGCCTTAATCCACTGGGACTGGTGTCCTTTTAAAAAGGGGAAACATGGAGTCAGATAGGCACACAGGGAGAATGCCCTGTGAACATGAAGGCAGTTGCTTCTATAAGCCAAGGAACACCAAAGATTACCAGCAAACCTCCAGAAGCCAGGGAGAAGCATAGGACAGATTCTCCTGACAGCCCTCAGAAGGAACCATCTCAGCCAACACCTTGACCTCAGGCTTGTAGCTTCCAGAACAGTGAGACAATACATTTCTGTGGTTTAAGCCGCTCAGTCTGTGGTACTTTGTTGCAGTGCCACTAGCAAACTGATACCTGAGCTACTTGGACTCAAAACTTTAAGATCATTTGTTCTGAATCCTTCTCATTACAATCACCCAACCTGTTGTCAGGTCCCATCAATTTTAATATGGTGGCTTCTCTCAAATCTACCATTCTCTTTTCATTTCAATTTATTATATGTCCACATATCCCCAATCTTTAAAGCCTCAGTTTAAGAGCTGCCTGCTTCAGGGAGTCTTTCCTGATCGGCATACTTGGAAGCTAAGTCTCCCACCTTTGACCTGCCAGAGCACTGTACCAATGCCTCTTTAAACATCTACATAATATTAGTTATTTGTGAGCTTATTTACTTCCTCGACAGGTGGTAAAGAAGCAAAGGGCAGCTGTTGTATCTTCTAAACCCTTGAGAGCTTTCTGAGTACCCAGCACTTTGCCTAACACAGAAAGGGCAAGCAGGAGATGATAACGGAATAGGGAAGTTTCCTGACCAAAATGGGGCTTACAGAATCCTAAAGGAAAAGAAAGAACTAAGCTAGAACATCTCTGTAGACATATCTACTTTGATGAAGAGGATTCTTCCATTTTCAACAACTGAAATGAGCTGGGAAATAAGGCCCATAAATAAGGAGGAAGGCCTTTATTAGTCCTTCTGTAGCTTTATTATTTGAAGCATCTGTTTCTGCCAAAAGCTAAATGGCATCAAGGAGGAGCTGTGGTGGTCTGATTGACTTTCCATACAAATTGTTCACATCTTAGCCTGGGAACGGTGGCTCTTGCCTGTAATCCCAGCACTTTGGGAGGCCGAGGCGGGTGGATCACCTGATGTCAGCAGTTCGAGACCAGCCTGGCCAACATGGTGAAACCCCATCTCTAATAAAAATACAAAATTAGCCGGGCGTGGTGGTGCATGCCTGTAATCCCAGCCACTCAGGAGGCTGAGGCAGGAGAATCACTTGAACCTGGGAGGCAGAGGTTGCAGTGAGCTGAGACAGGGCCATTGCATGCCAGCCTGGGCAACAAGAGTGAAACTCTGTTTCAAAAAAAAAAAAAGACAAATTGTTCACATCTGTCACCCTCTGTGCTCAAGGGAATCCATTGATCTAAACCTTAAAGAGAACTGTGACCAAGGTGTCTTAGCACCCCACTGCTCTCTACAGCTGTAGTTCTCAAACTGGAGCAATCCTGCTCGCCAAAGGGCATTTGCTAATGTCTGGAGACATATTTGATTGTCATGAGTAAGAAGTCAGTGCTGCTGGTATGTAGAGGTCAGGATTGCTGCTCAACATCATACAATGCACAAGACAGAATCACGAAGAATTATCTCTCAAAATATCAGTAATGCTGAGGTTGAAAAACCTTGCTCTAGAAAAAGTACTTGCCTTGTGGGTATGTGTATGTGTGCGTCCCTACACACATGAATGTCAGGTGGAAGGTGAACATCCTTCCACTTAGACACTGGAATGAGTTTCACTGGGTCCCGCTCTATCCCAAAAGCAAGTTGGGCCATCCAACAATGTCAGAAAACTTCCAGGAAACCAAACAACACAAACAAAAAATGATGTGCCTAAACGTAAAATTCTATTTACCTTGAAGTTTGTCTTGTGACTAAATTCTTAGTCTTTTCACATGGTTCCCAAACCATAAGCATTCTTTATTACTTAAAATGAGTGTTTATAGAGCTTAATCTCTAATATTTGCTTATTTTTATTTTCTGTAACAAAAATAAATAATAAATCCCTTTTGTATTCTTAAAACTTGCACTATAACACCCATTAGCTAGACATTACAGCTTTTTAAATGAGTATAGTGGGCCTCTGGAGTATAGGTTGACGAGCGTGTATTTAGGAAGGCAGTTATTGACAGATTAACCTGCAGAAATCTCCTGTGCTTCTTTGTTACAGGATACAGCAAGGGTAAGGTACCCTTGAAGACATAAGAGAAATAACCATTTCATCAAGATTCCGGAATCAATAAGTGTCTGCAGCTGGAAGTGAATGGGTGCCTGGTCAGGAGAACAAAAGATAATAAGGTCAAAGGATGTCAGCAAATGCCACTCCACACTAGTGGAGGCAACCAGCCAGCGTGCTTTCTCTCCTGCCCATGTCAGCCCCGAACCAGGTATTTTATCCTAGAGAGAAAACTATGAGGCAAGCCAGTGTGAGCTCTAAGTGGCAAGCACAACAGGGAGTCTATGCCACTCCTCCTTGGGCCGGCCATGTTCCTCGGGATGGACATTGCCAGGACCCGAGCCTCCTCGAGTTGATTCCTGACAGCTCCACAGGGAAGGAAGGAGCTAGGCTTTTCTGAGAACAAGAATAAATGGAGAGGATTGGAGAAGTTTCTGAATCAAGAAGGCACAGGTTCCTGTTCCTGCTCTGACAACGGGCCAACCTGTTTTGGTTGTTTGAAGATCTACAGTGGGGGAAACACTAACCTATGCACTGGAAAGTTAAAGATGGAGACACAGTGCCACTTCTGAAAGGCTCACCATCTTGTGACAGAGATAGCAGCTGTCAACACACTGGCAATTGTGGTCTCTCATCCACTACATGGTGTGACGAGACACAGAGAATGAGTACTTTGTCCACAATCTGCTGTGTGACCTTCAGCAACCTACTTACCCTTTCTGATCCCCAGTTTTCTCATCTCTAGGATGAATGCCTGGACTAAACGATCCCCAGTGCCCTTCTCACTTTAAGGGCTATGAAGAAGTTCCCTTTTTCCTATGGAAACCCTTGTGTACCTACCAAAAACAAACAAACAAACAAACAAAAATGAAACGAAACGAAACAAACCTGCCTTTCTCTGTTGATGGCTGAGGTCAGTGCAATCAGAAAGCAGTGGTGTGGACTGGCACAGACCTCAAAATAAAACAGAACAGCCTTTAATCAGTGTCTAAGGGTTAAGATAATACTAGTATGTGACCTCTTGGTGGCCTGTCCAAAGTGTTCCAGTTAGAAGGTGGCCAGTGACTTGTAGAGCAATGTGAACCCAGGCAATCTAAGCTTTGGGAAGTCTCCAAGACTTAGAAAAAGAGCTGCTATGTGAGGACTACTGATCTATAATATATACCATATATAGCAAGGCTAGGTCTTCCAAGAGTCCCGCAAGAATGGAATGAAGAAATGGCTTTGTAATTCCCTTTCCCATCACTCATAAATTACTCATATCAGGGAAACAAACTCAAATCCATTAGCAACAGAGAGGAGTGCCATGTCATAGTTGGGTGGGAGCTACAAATGAAGAGATCTGAACTGCAGTAAATGTCAACATCTGTGTTTGGTACTGAGGGTTCCTGGAAGCACCCCCAAAAGAGTGGAAATATTATTAGAAGCACCTTTATTCACACCGAATCATTTCACTCAATTACCATTTACCCACTGAAAAACCAAAGCTACAGCATGTGATTACTAAAGATCTATAGGAGCAGAGTGAATAGAGCAGAATCATGTTTCTCTTTTGTCCTGAGGTGCAGCCTTTACACTGTTAAGCTCTCAGGATCCTGTATGTCAATCCATTCATTAATATAATAGAATCAAACTGAGTTTCAAGCAACAAGGATCATCTTGAGTTCAGCATTTTCATCTTAAATCTATTCCCTATAGTAGCTTTAAGATAAAGTAAACACAGGTAAGTCATTGAAATGGTTCAAGAACGCCCTGAAAGAGTAGATGTCCGTGTTTGGGGAGGAAAGAATGTCCCCACGGTAAGAAAATGTGACAATAAATCTAAGTGTACTAGACAGCAAAATTAAAGAGTGGTTATTTACATTATAAAATCATTTGGTGAAGGTCCCTAAGACATAATAAAAGAGAAAAAAATAAGTTACAGAAAAATGATCATAGAATGATTCAATTTTTATATTCATATGTGTCTGTCTCTAATTCTGGTCTAGAAGGGTCTAGCAAGATACACAGTAACTGTTAACAATTTTATCTCTAGAGAGGAGAGGGGAATTGAAGCTGACAAGGCAGGAGTGAGGGGCTTTCACTTTCCCTCCCTATCCTCCTGCAACATTTTACTTTCTTAAGACAAGGTGTGTTTATATATTACTTGAATCACTCAAAACAAGCACTGTGGTGTTCTTTCACATTTCCCGGAGAAACAAATCATTTCAACTATCATTCAATTCTGAAAAATGTACCTTCCATTTCAGGACCACGCCTAGTGCATAAATGATGTACACCTGTTCAGGCCACACCTGTCCTCTCCCTTTTAACACTCTCCTTGTGATATGATGTGGTTTCCTTAGCCATGTGCAGCATCCTTTAAGAAGGTGTTTGGAGGAGTGATTAGGGATAATAGTGAAATGACAGGTTATACACGCAGAGCACCTGAAGCCTTTAAAACAACCCAGCTTCTCCTTTCAGCCGGATCTAGCGAGGCCTGGGCATGTCCCAGCACCACACAGCCCAGCCGTGGCAGGAAGGGCCCTTTCATGACACATCTTAATTAACTTATTGATTGGTGGGGCGTGGTGGTAAGAGAGGAAGAGAATGATGGCTGGGATGGGGGGCAAGACGGCGAGTCTCAAACACAACAAAAAATTCAAAATGCAATAGCAATCAAAAGAGACATACACCCCAGAGCTCAGCTGTGCTCCAGAAAACAGGATGTGCTCCCGATGCGGTGGTGAAATTAAAGATTCTGAACGAAGTCTGGGTTCGATGGAAACCCAGACTTCACAATACGGAGCTTCTCACACCGAGAACATGTCCGCCCGGCTTTCGATTGATCATTCCCCGTTAGGTGGCCGAGCCCTGCGGTGCCATTCCAACTTCTGCAACCATGCACAGTGATCGATATTTATAATTACCTTTTTCCTTCACCATGGCAACCGGGTCCTCCGACGAGCAGGACTGAAGAAGGAACGAGGAATAAACTCTGGGAGTGGAAGCGCGCCTCGGCAGACAGATCCGCGGGCGCTGGGGCAGCCAGGAGAAGCCCCGGCATCCGCTTGTGAGGTCCGGGGCTGTGGTCTCGAGTCCCGCCCCGCCTCGGCGGGCCCCGCTCCCATGCCCGCCCCGCTATCGCCCCCGCGCTCTTCTCCGCCCGCCCGCCGAGCTGCAGCCGCGCCCAGCTCGGGGACTCTGCCCTGCGGCTGAAACCACTCGCTACAGCTGCTGCTGTAACAAATGCAAAATTCTACTGTCCTAATCTCTGGTCACTGACACCACCTTGTATTCCTCGCACCGAGGACGGGCTATGAAAAGCTCCCGAACGCTGGCCCCCTCCCACAGTCTGATAAATGATTGCCAGGAAGAGGAGGACCGAGCACCAGCTAGAGACGGTTCCAATAAGTAAAACTAGTCAATGGTTAGCTTATTGGCTCCCTGTTACAGTCGCTTTCAATTTTTACTACGGCTTCTTTCAGGCAAACTGGATAAATAAAATTGGCCTTAATGTAAAACAAAAACAGAATAATGATGCTAATGGCAATTTCAAGTTCACTTTCTTATGAAAAATGAATAATGACATTTGGTTTGCACGGCTGCTCCCCGCTATAATTTACCTGAATGGGGCTGGGGGAAGGTAGAGACTGAGAGACAGCCGGGGAAGAGGATCTTTCAGGATTCTATTCCTTATCCAGGATCCAATTCAGGATCAAAGTTAAAATCTGATTTATCCATGTAGGGGGGATTTTGACTTCCCCCTTCTCCCTCTGTTTCATCGGAGTTTTTAGACAAGCCCCTTGGATGTGCATATACCAGGGAGGAACTCCAGTCACAATTAAGGGACAAACAGCCTCATCTAGTTCGGTCCACCACCAGGATCAGCCTAAGCCTGACCCCACAGCAGCAACTCCTCAGGAGGCTTTTGATTTCTGACCCACAGGGTCACGGGCTGTCCTGTGACCTGTCCTGCTGTCCTGTGAGCTGAGGACTTCTGGTTCACAAAGCCAACACCCACCTGACTCCAGCCTCTGTCTCCCAAATCCAGCTTACCGGGTCCCGACCGCATGCCATATACATCCACCATGTGTGAGAAATGGGATGAGCAAGAGACAAAAAGACAGACATCACAAGGCAGGGAGAGCAGCAGATGGCTAACACATCTTTCAGAACCAGAATGCACAGCCAGTATTAGACGGTATTTACTGCAAATATTGTAACATGTTGAGTCTAAGAGAGCCAGGGGAACCGAAAGGAATGAAGTCAATCAACCTGCCTCCTCTTTGACTCAGAGGGTGTGTATGGCTGAAATAAACTACATTTGGTGGGTCTGGGGAGAAGCGGGAAAAATGCCCATTTCTTCACATTCATCTTGGGCAGGTCTTCATTGCTGGTTTTCTGATGTGTAACAGTAGCACAGCTCAGGCAGCTGTGACATTCCTACATCTGTGACTCAGGGCTTTACTATTAATAGCTTGGGTGTCTCAGGCTGTAAGTAAGAGCTAAGTCCCCTCCAGCCCCTGGGTTGTCTTTTCTATGACAACATACTTCGCCCACACCACTCCCCGCACCCATGGCAGCCCCATAAGGTCATGTTTTTCCTAAGTCAGCAGCCAGCTGGAGTGTAAGCACTGAAGAGCGTTTAAGCGACTTCTCTAACCTCCATTCATAAATATGAGCCAAGCACGAGAGCAGCTCGACTTCCAGTCCAGAGGGATGGCAGAGTTCAAGAGCATCCAGGAAACAAGCCCTTCACGTTCCCCAATTTTCATGGCTAAAACTGCACTTGTCTACTTTCCCACTCCTAATCACCCTCAGAGCCTTTAAGGAGATGCTGACAAGCAAAATTAACTGCAGAGAGCTGAAATTAGGCTGTGTTGTGAGCCTAGCAGGTGAATCTATTTTATTATATTTTTGCTGCTTAGGTACATGGGCATCTCACTTAAGCACCTGTCTCCAAAGCTCTCATGTTATTCAGCCCAAAGCTAAGGAAGCAGCTTTCTTTCTCTTTCCTTCCCCCACACCAGCCCCCATTCCTCCTCACCCCTTCCTTGCTACTATAATGTGACAGTAAAACACCATTGGTTTCTAGAGCAAACCCGATCATATGTAAGTGTTCCAGATATCGTAAATGCCATTAGCTCAATTTTTCTTTTTTTTTTTTTTTTTTTTTGAGACGGAGTCTTGCTCTGTCGCCCAGGCTGGAGTGCAGTGGCGCGATCTCGGCTCACTGCAAGCTCCGCCTCCCGGGTTCACGCCATTCTCCTGCCTCAGCCTCCCGAGTAGCTGGGACTACAGGCGCCCGCTACCACGCCCGGCTAATTTTTTGTATTTTTAGTAGAGACGGGGTTTCACCTTGTTAGCCAGGATGGTCTCGATCTCCTGACCTCGTGATCCGCCCGCCTCGGCCTCCCAAAGTGCTGGGATTACAGGCGTGAGCCACCGCGCCCGGCCTCAATTTTTCTTTTACTTGGGATGGCAGTTTAAAACTCTGAGATTTAAGTTTACTAACCAAATTGGTCTCTTATTACAGTTCTGAACCTACCTGTATACCTTGGTGGATAAATCACACAGAAACAGAATTTGGAAAGGCTCTCTGGCAGCTTTGGAGACTAAGTTGGCAGAGTAACAGCTGGTGCCTATTCATTTTCAGAGAAGCCTTTTCTAAAGGAAAATACTACATAGTGGTTCAGAGAGATTTTCCCCCCGCCTGTGTTTTCCATGGAAAGAATTTTTCTGTGCCACAGTCAAAGTGAATGAGTCACCAGCATCTAGTTGCTAAGTAATAGTCACACGGCAAAAGTCCCCCCGCCAATCAGACGCTGCTACTTTGGGATAAAAGTATCCACTCTGCACTTTTAAGATAACCAAAGAGTGTATTACTAAAGTTATTTTTGGAATGTGGGAGAGTAAAACAAATTGTTTTTGCCTCTTTGCCTCAGGGCAGAATTGCTAAAGAGCTTTAAGAACAGAAGCAAAGCATAGACATTTTCTACTTTACAGCTAAAGCTGCAAGAAGTGCAGCAAACTACATCAAGAATAAAAATGAAATTTATAGTTCATAAGAAAGAACTTTTTATTCTTATATCTTGAGATGATTTCCAAAGAACTTATCTCAATCTCATTCCACTCAGATGACATAAGTCTTCATAATACGGACACCAACCCACGGTTTTATTTGTTGTTTTCTGCCCCATCAGACTGACCCATTGCCTCCTTCTCATTCACTTACACATAAAGCAAGGGTTGTCCACAAGTGACCAAAGGACAGAAACCATTTTGTTGGAGAGAAAAGCTTATTAGCACACAGTCACTCTTGGCAAAAATTCAAGCGTACATCATTTCAGTAGCGATGCCAATTAGGAGGGAAATGTTACAGCTAGAAACAAGCAACCCGGCAGAGTCCACTTCCTCATAGCTTATTCTCCTCTACAGAGCCATGGGTCACTTACTGTACGTGCACCTGTAGTGCAGGAATTTCAGGATCCCTCCGTGGGACTGGAACATCAGGTGTCCAGTTGCTAACCCTCAACACCACTGGACTCATTTTTGTTGTTGTTGTTTTGAGACGGAGTCTCACTCTGTCACCCAGGCTGGAGTGCAGTGGCACATCTCAGGTCACTGCAACCTCCGCCTCCTAGGTTTCAAGCGGTTCTCCTGCTTCAGCCTCCCGAGTAGCTGGGATTGCAGTGCGCCACCACGCCTGGCTAATTTTAGTATTTTTAGTAGAGACAGGGTTTCACCACGTTGGCCAGGCTGGTTTCGAACTCCTGAACTCAGGTGATCTGCCTGCCTTGGCCTCTCAAGGTGCTGGGATTACAGGCGTGAGCCACTGCACCCAGCCCCCACTGGACTCTTTAGCTAAAAGCATGCTCAGAATCCTTTCTAGCAGAATTCAGCCAAAAGAAACCTGGAGAATGAGTTCCTATTTGCTTTCTACTTAGTGTTGGCATCAATCAATCTCATTTCAGAGATTTATGGGACACCTGCTGCGTGCCAGGTACTGGGCTGGGTATACAAAAGCAAGAAGAGAGAAACCACTGCCCAGGAGGTGCTCACCATCTAGCGGAGGAGATATATGCACACACATATTCTCAATGAAATGAGGAAGGTATTAAGACAGGAGTAGGCACGGGGTGCAGGGCAGTGCTGAGTCCAACCTGGGAAGTCAGGAGGGGCTTCCAGGAAGAGTAAGGAGGTACGTAATGACGGGTCAAGTGCAGAAAGAGGGAAAGTCATTCCAAGTGGAGGTAATAGGGCAAGAAGGCATCCAGTAGTTCACTATTGGTGAGGAGCAGGGAGAGGCTCAAGATGAGGCTGGGTGACAGGTGACAGAGGGCCCTCAATGCCACTCTAAAGAATGGACCTTAGAAATGTTGTGGTTAAAGTCTCAAACCTAAGCTATCTATTTCTTTCTAAATGGAGTTCAAAGGCTCTGGCTGCATTTCAAGGTACAGCATGATCTGTTTCCAACCATATTGCCTCCTGCCTCCATTTGGATTGTGTTGGTGTGTGCATTTCTGGTGTTTAGCAGACAGCTTGACATGGAATGGATGCATAGGAAGTGTCTATCCATTTATTTAAACATTTCCCAGGTCAACAGAATAAAAAGCCATACATGTCTCACACACACAGTATTTTAAGAAGTACAAGGCATCTGGGATTGGCTTATCCCTTCTATTGTAATGGCTTCAAGTTCACAACTAGGTTGTAAGCTCTCTGAAGGCAAGGAGGGTTTCATTCACACTAGGCTGATAAGAGTGTGGTTTGCAAGGCTCGGCGCAGTGGTGCATACCTGTAATCCCAGCACTTTGGGAGGTTGAGGTGGATGGATCACTTGAGGTCACGAGTTTGAGACCAGCCTGGCCAACACGGTGAAACCCCATCTCTTCCAAAAATACAAAAACTAGCCAGAGGTGGTGGCGTGCACCTGTAATCTCAAATACTTGGGAGGCTGAGGCAGGAGAATCGCTTGAACCCAGGAGGCAGAGGTTGCAGTGAGCCGAAATTTCACCACTGCACTCCAGCCGGGGCAACAGAGTGAGACGCTGTCTCTTTAAAAAAAAAAAAAAAAAAAAAAAGAGTGTGGAGGTTTGCAGATCACCAGGGATAGAAATGCAAGGGGTACTTCAAATGCAGACACCTGGTCCCCACCTCAGGTCTGACTGATAACTCAGATTCTCTGGGAAGGAGGCCTGAGTGGCAGTCAGCTTCTCCGGTGACTAAGGACCCTTGCTAATAAGCTGGCTTGCAAAGCACGAGGATAGACTGAGATTTACAAACAGCTATATACCATGCCATCAGATCTGAAAAACAATCCTTATACTCTCTGTTGGCCAAAATAACAATCAGCTGGACATTCACTGCAATCTTAATGAGAATTTATTAGAAGTGGTGATTCCAAAGTTTCCTACAGTCTAGGACAAATTCCTAAATATCTGATCCCTCTTGATCCTACTCACTCTCATGTCCTTAAATGACAATTCTCAGGATTTTTTCCATATGAATCTCATAGAATCAATGCCCGGCAAAGTTCTTTTCCTTGAGTTCTTAAAGTAGAACTATTTTATGGTTGTATCCAAACTTCTCCATGGTCTTTTTCAAAAGCCAGTTCTGAGTTTGGACCCAAGCAATAGGTTGCACCTCAAGAAAAATCGTGAAAATTACTACGGTATATTTAAAGTTCCCTCTAAACAAATCACTAAGGATATAAATGACAGAGTGAACAAAAAATAAATCATTTTCCTACAAGAGCAGCAAAAGCTATTACTAGAATTCTAAGGATCTTGGGATAGTAAAGAGTTTCAGAGATTTTAGCCTAACTTCAGACTCACGAGTACACAAGTACAAAAATAGTTCTCTGAATTATTTGGGAAAAGGCCATTTTTAAAAACAGTTTACTACCAGCTTTCTCTTTTATTGTAATATTTTCTAGATAGAAATCCAGTTATTGGGATATAAAAATGGTTGCTTTCTATCAGGTAGAATTGCAATGCCTTCCCTGACAACACTCCCCTCTTTCTGGTACTTACCACCACCAAGTGCTCTGAAGTTGACTATGTTGTAATGAAGGATGGACATATCTATTTTTGCAAAAGGTTGTGGGCTCTCTGAGGGAAAGGGTCACATGTTATTGTATCTGTGCTGTATTCACATAGTAATACACAAAGGCACAAAGTAGGAATGCAATATTTGATGAATAAATAAATATTCCTTTTCATACAAATAGACTGATTTCAAAATCTAACTCAAATAAATTAAGAGTAAATTCAGTCTCTTAGATAAAAATAAATTTAATAATTGCTTCAAAGTATTTGCCAAGATACAAACCAATAATTACTTTGGAGAGAAAGTAGGCCAAAGAGGAACTTCATCAGGCAGTCATTTTACAAAGTCCCCTTTATAACCTACCCTCACAGCTACTTCGGTCACCATTAGAGGCCAGTATGTGTCAGCCACCATTCTAGTCTCTACATGTATCACCTCATCTTGTCCTCATAACAACTGGATGAAGTACATATTATTATACTTTATATGTGAGAAAAGAGGTTGGTGAGAGGCCAAAGCCATGGGCCCTCTCTTTGGGTTACTGGGCCTTCCCTTCTGCAGAGGTTGTTAAAGAGCCTCTCGTCCCATGCCCTGCCTACACACACACACACACACACACACACACACACACACACACACACACAAGCATTTCTGTAGGCAAGGTGCACTCAATGTACATCAACAGGCATTTCTAAAAGGCCTGGCCTGATAGCAATGATGCTGCCCTTTGCCTTGCCTGTGTAAAGCAATCCTTTTTCCAGATACCTTATCCTTCATCGGTTCTTGGACTTCATATGGAAGGACCTGTCAGGTGAATAGCATCATAACCTTGGTCTGTGGCACTCACCGTTGGCTGCACAGGGGAAGATAATGTACCCAGACCCACATAGCAAGACTTCAAAAGTGCAGTGTAATCATCCACCCTGTCTAATCATTCTTAAGGAATGGCATTTCTGTGGTTTATGTAGACAGCAAGTTAAAATTAAAAACAATTTTTTTGCAAGGTTTACAAAGCCTACATTTGTTCCCCTACCTCATCTGGCCTTATAATAAATTCTCCTAATTATGCCCTGGAACAGTCCCAGAAAATAACCTCTCTCTCATACTCTTGGATTTGTCAGTCATCATCGGAGGAACTAGCCAAGTAAAACATGCAACACACACAACCATTACTGCATTTGCTACCACAGGAATGGCAGCTTTGTCATCTAACACATCTCAGCAAGTTTCTCTAGTTCTTAGTACAGAGAAGAGACCATGCAACCCACACCCTGGTTTGTGGAAATCTATAACTTGTATTCATAAATAGGCACTAATTAAGATAAAAGCAGAAGTCCTAAAGCAGACGTGTCCATGGTTACACAATTACTTAGAAATGGGTCAAAACCCCTCACATCCTGCCGCCTACCCAGTGGTTATTCTATCATGCCACACCGGCCACACAGGCCGCCTGATTAAACACAGGCTGGGTTTGAATTCTAGCTCCACCACATGCTGAGTGACCCTGGGCACATTGTTTTCTCTGTCTGGGTTTCAGCAGTCTCAGCTGTGAATGGTATGAGACGTTCCACTTGTGAGGTTGTGGTGAGGACAGCGGCAGCTTCATGGCATGTAACCTGCAGCGTTGCATAGGTTCAGAAGATGTTCATGCTCAGAAGATGTCTCTATTTGGTTTAATGCTTTGCTATTGCCATCCTGACATTTGTAATAATTTAGTCTTTGAACTTGTGTTTTGTAAGTGAAGTCTGATGGGAGAGCGGAGCACACATGTGAACAGATGAGATGCGTGCAGTTTGTGTGTTTGCTATTCCTGCTGCCCGTGCACACAGAGTGTTTGCAACACCCCGTGAGCACAGGATTCCACTGCAGTCACAATGTGTAGGAATTCAGGGAGACTCAAAGTGAGGACAAGGTGTGTTATATCCATAACTGAGTCACATTCCACTCAAACCAGGATGCTTGCTTTGAATGCACGGAGAAGGCAATGATGTTCTAGGAAATACAAACAACCAAGAAATCTTATTATATTCCTTCCTATCCATGTTAGTTCCCTATATTAGCCAACCACTCACACCAAAAATGATGACATAGAAGGAAAGGGAAAGACAGGGCAACTAGCGCTGTCTTCCTTTTAGCCCTTCCTTATTCATCAATAAGTCAAAGGTAGAGAACATTGGTAAAATGTGCACGTATCAAGAAGTGAAATGAAAACAGTTGAGGGCTGGGCACGGTGGCTCACGCCTATAATCCCAGCACTTTGGGAGGCCGAGGTGGGAGGATCATCTGAGGCCAGGAGTTCGAGACCAGCCTGGCCAACATGGCGAAACCTCGTCTCTACTAAAAATACAAAAATTAGCTGGGCATGGTGACGGGTACCTGTAGTCCCAGCTACTTGGAAGGCTGGGGCAGGAGAATCGCTTGAACCCAGTAGGCGGAGGCTGCAGTGAGCCGAGATCGCGCCACTGCACTCCAGCCTGGATGACAGAGCAAGACACCATCTCAAAACAAACAAACCAACAACAACAACAACAACAACAACAAAAAACAGTTGAGTCAGATTTGTGTACGTATTGTGTATTTCTACTGTTCTAAAAAGAATAAAGTACATAACATCTATGACCCGTGTAATACAAATTGTGTAATTTCAGTGATTCCATTGAGTTAAAAGTTGTTGTATTTGCACTTAAAATTGGCTTTGCACAATAAAAGGTAAAATTCACATTAATAATTTAAAATTTTAATTTTACTTTATTTAGGATGACATTAAATAGAAAATAAGAACTACTGAGTTGAGAGAATCTGGGGAATAAAGAAAAAAGCTTTATATTTGAGTACCACTAATGGCACTTTCTCCTGCATTTTAAACAAGGGGTCCCACCTTTTCCTTTTGCACTGGGCCTGAAAATTATGTATCCTGTGTTGGGTGAGAATAACAGGTGTTCTATCCCAAAAGAAAGTACCTAGCACTAAGAAGGAACGCAGTTAAGGGTAATAACTATTGTTATTTCATTTCTCACTGCCTCATCAATTCACAATAAAACAGGATAAGCTTGAAAACTGAAATTCAAGTTTTCAAAAGCACTTGAAGGTATAAGGAGACTTTTAATAATATCGAAGCTGGGGGATTTAACCTGTAACATCTTAAAGAATTTAGACCCCCTCCTGATATTTTGTTATATGACCTCTGCTGCCAAATGAGAAAGTCACTGTGAAGCCAATCATAAAAAAAAAAAAAAAAAAAAAAAAAAAAGTGGACTTCGATGTTAGCAAATCTTCCCAGGAAGACATGGTTGTTATCTTCAACCTATTCATTCATGCAACACATATTTATCAAGTGTTTCCTAAGTGTCAGGAACTGTTCTAGGTGTTGGGATATCACAGCAAAGAAAACAGACAAAAATCCTTGCCATGAAGGAGCTATGTCCTAGTTGGGAAGGTTGAAGTTGACATAATAAACTACATGAGTAATGTATACATATATACAAATCTGTATGATTATATATTAGAAAGCGGTAAGTACTATGAAGAAAAGCAAGGCCAGGGACAGAGACTGCTAGGGGGAGAAGCTGTGGTTTTAAGTAGAGTAGTAGAGGAAGGCCTCTTTGAGGACGTGCTATGTGAGTAAGTACCTGAAGAAGGGAAGAGAATAAGCCGTGTAGATTCTGAGGAAAAACCACCCCAGACAGAGTAAGCAGTAAGTGCAAACGTCCTGAGACGGGAGCCCACCTGGTATGTTCAAGGCAGTGGAGAGGCTGGTGAGATCAGGAGGCAGACAGCAGGAGGCATGAAGTTAGTGAGGTGGAGGAGTTAGGGCCTGCAGGTCATTGTAAAGGGCCTTGGCTTTTCCCCTAAGTTGTTTTGTTTTGTTTTGTTTTGAGACAAGGTATCACTCTGTTACCCAGGCCAGAGTGCAGTGGCATGATCATAGCTCACTGCAGCCTCAACCTCCAAGGCTCAAGTGGCCCTCCCACGTCAGCCTCCCAAGTAGCTGGGACTACAGGTGTGCACCACCATACCTGGCTGATTTTTAATTTTTAATTTTTTTTTTTTGTAGTGACAGGGTCTTGCTATTGCACAGGCTGGTCTCGAGCTCCTGGCCTCAAGTGATCCTCCAGCCTTGGCTTCCAAAAATGGTGGGATTACAGATGTGAGCCCACTGCACCCAGTGCCACTGCAGGAGTTGAGCAGAGAAAGTGGCATGATCTGATCGTCAGCTCCATGGGATCCTCTGCTGCTCTATGGAAACTAGAGTTAAGGAGAGTGAGCACAGATGCAGAGTGCTGAATTACTGCATGAAATAAAAAAGAGCTCAAGGATGAAATGGTGACACAACAGGACTAGATGAAAAAGGTTAGAGAAATTAAGAAATAAAAACCAAGGACAAAGATAATTTCAATAGTAAGAATGGAAATATCAAAGAACAAAACAAACACTGATAAAATATCTAATTCCTAGCATAGAGAAAACTTTGAAATGATTTCAATGAATGCAGAAGAAAGAGCCTCAAACAATGAGAGAAAACAATAGATGTGCAAGATGAAGAAAGATTTTTTTAAATGTATATCCTAGAAGTAGAGAACCTAAGAAGCAGATGTATTCAAAGATTAAATACACAAGAATACCTCTGAAATGAAGAGACAGCTGAATTCACAGATTTAAAGAGTATAGATATAATATATTTTGGCAAAATTTGATACAGAATGCTGACTCCAAGTCCTAGACTAAGGCTTCGAACTCCAAAAGATATCATTCTCCATATGTCCAGGCAGAAAACCCCTACTGCTCACAAAAAGAGAAAAACTCAGGCTAGCCTCAGACTTCTCAACAGCAACACTGATACTTAGAAGATGATGAAGCAATACCTGGATGTCTTGAGGGAAAGAAAGAAACTTACACCTGCCAAAATGTCCGAGAACCTGCCAAAAGAACCAAGAAACTTACACCTGCCAAAACGTCGTTCAGAGATAAGGGCAATGGGCAAACCACCACAAACAGAAAGGTGTTCAGGAAGCACAACACCGTGAACCCTTCTTGGGAAAACTGCTGGAAAACAACATCCAGCCAATTAAGAGATGAATTAAAATAAACTCAGGAATGCAAACACTACTAAAAGTGCTAGCAGTGAGCAGTGAATTCAATTAAATAGGAAACTGACACCACAATTACCTGATTATGGTTAGAGAGGAATATGGAAATGTTTTGAGCAAAGGGAAATGTGAAAACAACATTACAACTAACAAAAATCGGAGGTGAGTAGGAGACAACTATGAGAGTGCTGTTGTTCTCGTGTACACAGTAGGGAGGTAATGACTGGCACCAGACTGTACAAGATTCTTCATCTAAGCATCTCACAGAAGCAACCTCAGATCACATCACACAATCACTTCATCTTTGCTTAGAGATTATATAAAATCTCATCACTGTGTTTATACCCCAGTTCCTGTTTCTTGGACTTGGTAAGGCAAAGGGTATCATAAGGCAAATATATCTTCAGGATTTTTTAAGAAAAGGGAGATGACATAGCTTTAACTTTTTACTGATTATATCCAGATTCTTTTTTTTTTTTTTTTGAGATAGTGTCTCACTCTGTCACACAGGCTGGAGTCCAGTGGCAAGATCATGGCTCACTGCAACCTCAAATCCTGGGCTCAAGTGATCCTCCCACCCCAGCCTCCTGAGTAGCTGGGACCACAGACATGCATCATTATATCCAGCTAATTTTTAAATTTTTTTAGAGAGGGAGTCTCACTACATTGCCCAGGCTAGGTTTAAACTTCTGGGCTCAAGCAATCCTCCTGCTTCAGCCTCCCAAAGTGCTGGGATTACAGGTGCGAGTCACTGACCCTAGCCTATATCCAGATTCTTAGTGCAAGAACCAAAATTGTTTCTAATTCATTAACATTTAAGATTTCTACAGCATGTTTCTTTCGGACAGACTGATGAATAAATAATTTTTAAAAAATACCATGGTTCTGGCCAGGCACAGTGGCTCATATCTGTAATCCCAGCACTTTGGGAGGCCGAGGCGGGCAGATCACAAGGTCAGGAGATAGAGACCACCCTGGCTAACATGGTGAAACCCCGTCTCTACTAAAAATACAAAAAATTAGCTGGGCATGGTGGCGGGCACCTGTAGTCCCAGCTACTCGGGAGGCTGAGGCAGGAGAATGGCATGAACCCGGGAGGCGGAGCTTGCAGTGAGCCGAGATCACACCACAGCACTCCAGCCTGGGTGACAGAGTGAGACTCCATCTCAAAAAAAAAAAAAAAAAAAAAAAAAAATATATATATATATATATATATATGTGTATATATTGTATATATACATATATATATACACACACACATTGGTTCTAAGGATAATCACATGGGGTTTTATTTCATATTTCCTGTTATTTAACCTGTATATTCATGAAAATGCCATGGAATTCTCAGGACAAGATTTTCATTCAATATGGAATCATTGCCTAGGTGTAATGATCTTTCTTGACGGACCTTGTCGCATTCATTGCTCGTCTGTCCCTGCTCTACCCATCTTGTGAGTAGGCACTGAGCCGTATGACTCCTCCCCTTGCCTATGGATGACTAGGTTGTTAGCAGACACTGGATCAGAGAGAGGCCCATACATCAGCTGGCCAACAGCTTTTTATCCAGTTTTGAAAAAGATGAACTGGGCCAATTAGATTTTTACTCCTAAGAATCTGAAGTTAGAGAAACATATAAAAGTCCCAGTCAGTGATGGATATTCACCTTAAAAGATAAAGTTAGGCCAGGCCAGGTGCAGGCATCACAGAACCATGTGTAGACCAAAGTCCCAAGGGACAGAGTGTCAGAGGAAGCCAGACGGGCGGGAAGAGAATAGGGCCTCCCCTCAAACTAAACTGCTGGTCCTGGAGCAGCCTGGAATTCTGTACTTCCTGAGGCCTGGCTGTCCAGCATTTCCTGGGTTCCTATCCCCCATCTCTCTACCTATTTTGATTGGGTTATTGAAAAGTATAAGTGGATTTCTGTTCTTCAGAAACAAAAGATCCTCCATTAGAATGGAGAGGGAATGTTTACCAAAATAATATCTCAGTTGGGATCATTTGCAATGGAATCTGTCAGCGCCCTACCCATACCTCCGTGGCACTCGCCTCTACAAGTCAGATGTGATTACTAGAAGCATCAAAATGCGTGAGTTAATGTACCTGAAAGCAGCTATCAAACAATGGTGATGGGGAGGTGGTAGATAAATACCCCAGCTTCCTCACCCCTTGGCTGGGATATCTCTGCAGCACATCCCACACTACCTCTTAGACTTCCCAATGGATTGAGAATTGCTGCCCACACTGGTAACTGGCTTGATATTGCACCTTTTATTAGCCTCACTCCTCTACCAGTGATTCCTAGGATCACCTTCCAAATAAATTACTTGCTTTTAAGTTTTCCTCGCAGAGTCTCTTTTTTTTTTGGCAGGGAGTTCTAAACAAAAGAGAATCTAAGATCCATATTTTTATGCTAAAAAAAATTTTGTCTTGAGTCACTGATCACTTTCATCTAAAGATAACAGAGACAGATTCTAAATAGAACAATGTCCTGAAAAGACCAAGCATGTTCATCAGACAGAATATATTTTTTTCTCAAGAAAATCAATCATTAATTGGATCACCTTATTATACAAACACAAAGGAACTTGTATGCACACAGACTACGCCAAAGTACTTCTTCCTTTAAAATATGTAAAGGAGACAACTTAGATTAACTCTGGTAGCAGAGGTCAGAACTACCAACTGCCTCATAAATAAATATGCCCCCAAAATGTCCTTTTGGCCTGTGTTTATGTTTTAGGCAGAAGGATGTGACTTATGACATTTACCAAGCTCTATAAAAATGAGTCATTTTATAACATTTACACATATATTACATGGGCTCTCTTTTTACCATTTTAAACAGCTGCATATTGCTACAATTCAACCAAAGATTGTGCTAGTACTACATGCCATATGCCAAGTTGGCTGTACATTCGAAAGAGATACAGAAGGTAGGTCTCTTCCTTTCCTTTCTCTCACTATCTCTAGCAAGATGAAAACACTCCGCATATGTATTGTATTTGTTGGGATTTGGAGGAGATTAGAGGGTGGACAGGAAGGAAAATATTTAGAACTTAAATTCTTCTTGGTTTTGGA
Organism: Homo sapiens; assembly: GCF_000001405.40. NCBI lineage: Eukaryota > Metazoa > Chordata > Mammalia > Primates > Hominidae > Homo > Homo sapiens. The sequence goes on from NC_000010.11 coordinate 114,646,191, forward strand.
TCTGGATTACACAATATTTCCTCTTCCTGAATAACGTATACTAAGAGCACTGAGCATTTACCAATATGCTTCATTGGCCATTAAATTTGCACACAGGAAAAAAAGCAACTAAGCCACAAGATGAGCATTCAGCCATAGCATCCACAATTGAGAACTAGGTGGGCAAAAATCAAAGGAAAAAATGAAGAGAAACAAATGAATGTTGACCCATTAATGAGGCTAACAATATTTACTGAGCATCTGCAATATGCGAAGTATCACCTTCAAGGAGCCACAAGTGGTATAGAGATCAAAGATACCTAAACTAAGCCCTCAACAACCTTACATCTAAGTAGACCAAACAGCACAAGGACCTAAATAACTCTAAAACAAGGCAGAAAGGGATTGGAATCAGAGATACCGACCAAACGGTATGAAGATTCAAAGGAAGGAATGCTTGCCGCTCAGCAAGAGAGATAAGGTGAGCTTCAAGTCTAATGTGGTCCTCACGACTACAGGAGGAGTTACAGGAGGTTGGCTGGGCTCAACATCTTTTCAGCAGCTGCTGCCACATATAGAAAAATGAACTGGATCACTCTTGGTATGTAGATATAGAAGTTAACCAGGAAATGTGTTGGATCCTGTTTGCATCTTCTTTAAACTCTTAAAATAGACCAATTGAACCACGATCTATGTGAAATCAAGTTCAGTTGAAGTATTACTAAACAATTAACTTCACTTAGTATTCCCATCATGGATAGCACTGGACCAATTGGTGACCTCAAAGATTAGACAGTTTTTTAAATTAATTAATAAATTAATTAATATTTATTTATTTATTTTTGAGACAGGGTCTCACTCTGTCACCCAGGCTGGAGTGCAGTGGCACGATCTTGGCTCACTGCAACCCCTGCCTCCTGGGTTCAAGCAATTATTGTGCCTCAGCCTCCCAAGTAGTTGGGATTACAGGTGTGTACCACCATGCCCAGCTCATTTTTTTGTATTTTTAGCAGGGACAGGGTTTCACCATGTTGGGCCAGACTGGTCTTGAACTGCTGACCTCAGGTGATCCGCCTGCCTCGGCCTCCCAAAGTACTGAGATTACAGGCGTGAGCCACCGTGCCCAGCCTAGGCAGTTATTAAGTAGCCACTGCCCCTATAATGCCACTGGCTACCAAGTGAAGATAGAGTCTGTGCCCTTTAGGGAAAAGAGCCCAAGGAAAGGATAACAGAACATATCCAGCTACACACTAGAATCACATGATAGCACTTCAGGGAAAAGACCAATATGAAACAGAACTGGGAATTGTCCCACAAGGACAGCAAATATTAAACACCCCAGAATATTCTAGTGATGTCAAAAATGACCTTACAAAATGATCCAGGTCATGATGGACAGAAAGGGAGCTGGCTGAGCGCTAGCTGTGGCCCTAGCTATTTGACTTTTCTTCCCCAGCTCATCTTTATCCCAGGAGATCCTACTCTATGGCATGAGAATTCTCCCTCTCCACTTGGGCTGCAGACAAACCTTTGTGAGCTAGATTTTTCTGGGCTCTGTGAGTCATAATGTCTCTGATGTCCTCTGATTAATTTTGGTTGTTATCTATGGCCACAGAACTTGGATGAGGAAAGACTTCTAAACAGCAAACAAACAAAACTTGGGGGGCCACAGTAAGTCACTTACAGAAAGTGAATTTACAAGCCAGCTAAATGATTTCTCAAAGTAAAGGCCCTACCTTTCTTTATATAATGTTTGCAGACCTTTATGTTGTAAAGATAAAAGCAGTTTTGAAGATTAAGATATAGGATGTAAATAGAATGTACATATAGGATTTGTGTACATATGGGAAAACTGGTTATTTCACTTTGAGGGAATAGCTTTAATTTAATTTGAAATTGTATTAAGTGGTGGGAATGTAAAATGGTATAGCCACTGTAGAAAACGGTTTGACAGTTTCTCAAAAAGTTAAACAGAGAATTATCGTATGACCCAGGATTTCCACTCCTCGGTATATACCCAAGGGGACTGAAAACACGTTCACACAAAAACATGTAACAAGTGTTCATAGCAGCATTATTCATAATAGCCAGAAAGCAGGAACAACACAAATGACCATCGGCTGACGAAAAGATAAAGAAAATGTGATATATCCCTACAATGGGATACTATTCAGCCATAAGAAGGAATACGGTATTGATAAATGCTACCGCCTCGATGAGCCTTAAAAACATTATACTAAGTAAAAGAAGCTAGACACAAAAATCACAGGTTACATGATTCCAATCAGATGAAATGTCTGGAATAGGAAAACCCACAAACACCTAAAGGAGATAAGTCGTTGCCAGCAGCTGAGGAATGTGAGTCATCAGGGATGTTTTCTAACGGGCACAAGGTTTCTTTCTGGGCTGATAAAAATGCTCTGGAATTAGATAGTGGGATGGTTGCACAACTTCGTGGTTCTACTAAAATGCACAGGCTCGTAAATGTTAAAGTGGTGAATGTTATGGTGTACTACATTACATCTCCATTTTAAAATGTATGAAGTACCTTTACTTACCAAGCACTGCGTTATAGTCTGAAGAAACCACGGAAACAACTGTCCTGCCACTAAGGCACTTACTACCTGGTAGGGAGACACGCAAACAAACAGATACAAATAGCCAAGCATAGAGGTGCTTGGATGGGCATTTGTGTGGTACACAGCAGAGCCCAAAAGAGGAGAGGTCTGGAGAGACTCCACAGGAAAGTTTCACCCGAGCTGAATCTCCAACTGAACTTAAAAAAAAAAATTAATAATCCTTTGGTCTTCTCATGTAATATCAAACAGGGAGAGAGGAGAGCTAGGGTCTTAATCTAACACTACCCTCTGATTATACCATAGACCTTAGGAAAGTCATTTACTTCTCTGGACCTCAGTCTCTTACTTCCTACAAAAGTAAGGTGTTGGCTGGGCACGGTGGCTCACACCTATAACCCCAGTGCTTTGGGAGGCCGAGGCGGGCAGGTCATTTGAGGTCAGGAGTTCAAGACCAGCTTTGGCCAACATGGTGAAACCCCATCTCTACTAAAAATACAAAAATATTAGCCAGGCATGGTGGTGCATGCCTGTAATCCTAGCCACCCAGAAGGCGGAGGCACAGAGAATCGCTGGAACCCGGGAGGCAGAGGCTGCAGTGAGCCAAGATCACACCAGTGTGCTCCAGCCTGGGTGACAGAGCAAGACTCTGTCAAAATAAATAAATAAATAAATAAATAAATAAATAAATAAATAAATAAATAAATAAAGGTGTTGATATCAAAGGTTTATTTCTACCTTTGAGAAATATCTAGAATCCTCGTGCATATCATATCATAGTCTATCTAAAATCCTGACATACTTAAATCCTGATTCTGCAAAGGGTTTCTCTAGTGTATTCTGGGTGTGCTGCTTTCTGAGATTGAGAAAGGAATCTTCCTGCTGGCTACCTCTACACGCCCTAACAAACAGCACACAGACTATGCTTCCTTCCTGTTGGCAGCCTTCATCTTCCACCCCAGGGACAGAATCACCCATCTGCTGACCACGTATTCACCTTATATTACCTTCCTACTGGTAGCCTTCGTCTTGTAGTCCATAGACAAATCAAGCCTGTGCTGGCCACCTGTCCACCCCAATGAGTAACACACAATCCATATCCCCCCTCTTTTTTTTCTTTTTTTTTTTGAGACAAAGTCTCACTTTGTTGTCCAGGCTGGAGTGCAGTAGTGCTATCTCGGCTCACTGCAACCTCTGCCTCCCAGGTTCAAGCAATTTCCCAGCCTCAGCCTCCTGAGTAGCTGGGACTACAGGCGCCCACCACCATGCCAGGCTAATTTTTGTATTTTTTAGTAGAGACGGGGTTTCACTATGTTGGCCAGGCTGGTCTCGACCTCCTGACCTCGTGATTCACCCATCTCGGCCTCCCAAAGTGCTGGGATTACAGGCGTGAGCCACTGTGCCCAGCCTCCACACAATCCATATTCCCTTTCTGTTAGCAGCTTTGTCTTGTACCCATGGCCGTCACAGGTCCATGGCTGATTTGCCAAGTTAACAGGAGTCCATCCATAATAATCAGCACTGGGTCATGCCCCAGAATCATTAGGATCAAAGGATGGGAAATCAGGGATTTCTTTGAAAGTAAGCCACTCTTAGTAAGATTCAAATTTGTTTAAAGCCTGGATTAAAACAATGCCAAACAATAAACTTAAACAGACTGCTTTACCCTCTGACTTTAAATAAGATTAGTTTTTAAGTACATTTAATTAAAACGAATGGGGCATTGCAGCATATTTACTCACTCAAGGAAGTAATTTACATGGGAACATTTCATGTGAAAATAGTTACTTGCCCACATTCCTAGGACTAAAAATAAAATAAACAAAACAAAAAGCAACCATCAATAAAACAAAAAAAAAGCTGGACCAAGTAGATTCAGCCAGTGGAACTAGGTGAAAAGTGTCTTACTTCTACCTTTTTCTTTCCACTCTCAGATCATTGGGCTATTTTCCTTTTACTCGTATTTTGGGTAAATCATATCTATTTTACAGCTCAAATCGCAAATCCTACTTTCTCTTTCCCTTCAGTGATATTTCTTTCCTTTGAAAACTAATTGTATTTGTTATCTAGACAATTATTCAACTTCTCACACATTTGGGTGAGAAGAAGAGGGGGAAGTATTTATCGAGCTCCAACTAAATGCCAGCATTTCTAAAATACGTATTTTCTCTTAGGGCTCATAATACCGCTGCAATGTGGGTAGTATTATCCACATTTTATATACGAGAAAACTAAGGCTCGGACATATTAAGTCACTTGCCCAGGTCACAGAACTGCAAAGAGCAGAGCTGGACTTTGAACTTGGCAGCGAGGTCTGACCCCATAACCCTGAATTTGCAACCAGTTTGCTTTGCAGCTTCTCCTGGCCTCAGCTACTTGAAGGCAGGGGGACAATTTAATGCCGAATTGTATTCTTCGAACATAGTGATTTGATTTCTGCGAACATTCACTCATTCATTTACTCATCACTCACAGCTTTTTTTCCATGCCAGGTACTATAATGGAATAAAAATAAGAGCACAGCTCTCTCCTTGCCCTCAGAGAGGACCTCAGTGTATGAAAAGGGAGAAGCTTATAAACAGGCAACTTGAACAAAGATGTGCAGAGGATGCTATGAAAACACAGAGGAGGACGAGGCAAGAGGTAAGATCAGGCCGGCCCAGAGGAGGAAAAGCTTAACCTGCAGCCTGCTGGGCCTCAGAGAAACTGGGGAGACTGTGCCAGGCAGCAGAATTGCACATACAAAGAGAGGCCCAACGTGAAAGCATCCTTCAAACATCTGTGACAAAGAAGACTGATGCGGGTGTTTGGGGGTTAAGAGTGGGACGTGATAGAAAGGCTTAACCGTCAAGAGCTTGAAACGTATGATTCTGGGAAATATGATTAAACTAATGGAATGAGAAGCCTAGGGAATTGAAAAGGGGTTATTGGTAACTATAAATAAAAAAAAAATGCAAACTATCTAATGCTTTCCCAAATAGCTGAAACCTCAAATCCCTCTCCATTCATGCCCTTGCAAGATGTAGAAGTAACTGGCCACCACCTATCATCTCCATCCTCAGGAGAACAAAAGTTAAAGTAAGACTGCTGTTTGGGGGGAACCATATCCCATCAACAAACCGGATGAGGCCCTGGGGACCCAGCATGCTGGAGGAACAGGAGGCCACAACACAGTGTGTCTCCTTGCCAGCAGCAGATGCCGGTCACTACTTTGCCTCTCAAAGTAGCCTAGTCAAAGCCATCAGTCAGGAGAGCGGGTCTGAGGGCAGGAACCACATGCTGGTCCTTCTTACCAACTTTCCCAGGATGTATTTTTTATGGCTAGCTCAAACACTTCTCTCAAATGTAATAGAGGGCCTTCACAGCTGAGTTTCAGGGTTTGGAGAGAATTAAAACCTTTTCCCTGACACAGACTCTCAATGTTACCAGGAAGATGCTATAGAAAAGCTCCACAGCATCTTGAAGAATATGCTGTCTTTTTGACAACAAAGCCATTTGTGGCCTATGGCCTACTATACCCAAGACGCTTCCCCTAGCCCTCTGACATACAGGTCTGGGGTTGCGGATTAGTGAATGGGGTAAGAAGGGCACACTAAAAGAAAAATATTATAGTGTTATATGTTCTACTTAGTTTGAAAACAGGTTGGTATTGCTTTAAGAAACAATAATGTACCCAAGAGGTTCTCTCACTTACGTGATACCCTGAGTATCTGGGTCTTGGGAAACCATTCCGAGTGAAGACAACACCTGGTGTGCTGCATGTAACAGAAAGGTCTCAGCAGGTGCCTGAATCAGACATGAACCACCTTTCTCTCTTCTGGGATATGAACTGCTTTTCCAGGGAGGGGACTGCCAAGTCTACTTTGGTCCCTGCTCTCCAGTCCAGAACATTCTGCTTTGGGATTTGGACTCAGCTGACAACATAATCACTGAATCCTCTCCAGATATCCTTGGGGCTTTTGATAATAGTGCCAGTCTCTTGTTTGTTTGTCAAGAAGGTAATCGCCCTAAATATGTTCTTTCGTTTGTATGAGACCCAAAAGCTCCAAAGGACAGAAAGAAACACAGGTTCAAAAACTTCACTCTAATTTCCTACAGGAGAGTAAGGGAACATTCCATACAGACAGCTTGTATTTACGAGCTAGAGGAAGGAAATCTTTGCTAATTTTCCTGGCAACAGCAATATACTTTATGGGAGTCTTCAAATTTGAGTTGCTGAAGTACGTAATTAGCAATATTATTTACAAACTTTAGGTGTGCCAGTGTTCAGCGTACCTCATGAATGACCCACTCTTATGCTCCTCAGGCTGAGGCAGAGTGACATCATGGTTGAGACCACGAACCTGGGTGTCAGGCAGACCTAAGCCCAAATCTAGTACTTATGTGACCTTTGGCAGGTCTCTTAACTGCATATGCCCCAGTTTCCTTCTCTGTAAAATGAGATAAAAGTAATTCCTGCTTTGTTGAGTCATTGAGAATATCAAACATGGAAAAATCATGAAACACTTGGCACAGGCGAGGTATGGTGGCTTGCGCCTGTAATCTCAACACTTTGGGAAGCCAAAGCAGGAGGACTGTTGGAGGTCAGGAGTTTTAAACCAGCCTGGGCAACAAAGTGAGACCCTGTCTCTAAAAAAAAAATCAAAGAATTAGCCAGGCCTGGTAGCATGCGCCTGTGGTTCCAGCTACATGGGAGGCTGAGGCAAGAAGATCACTTGAGCTCAAGAGGTGAAGGCTGAAGTGAGCCCTGTTCTCACCACTGCACTCCAGCCTCAGAGACAGAGGGAGGCCCTGTCTCAGAAACAAAACCAAACAAAAAAAGACACTTATCACAATGTTTGAGATATAGTAGGCCCTCAATGAATGACAGCCGTTCTTCAAGAACAGTACTACATCTACAGTCAGAAGCTGCAGAGGCTGTTTCGTACGTTTACTGATCTATTTCATTGATATATGCTCACTGATATATTTTTGCAGAAGCTATTTTGTATATTCACAGATCTATTTCACTGATATATGCCCACTGATATATTTTTGCGGAAGCTATTTTGTATGTTCACTGATATATTTGTTTTGCCCACTTTTCCCATCTTCTTGCTAACTCATTGCTGTTGTTAAGTGGGGGAAAACAATTTCTTCCCTTGCAACATCCAAGGGTTGTTTTGAGCTTTACAAAGGACACATATGCATGGGGACACTTGGAAAATCATGGAGTCCAGCACAACTCAAAGCAGGGATTGAGCACCAGACAATAACAGGAAGCTGCAGCATCGTGAGATCTTTCTGGCAGCTGGAGGAGGCCTTTGCCAAATATTCCCAAGCACCCTGCCAGGAGCTGCTCCTGAACACTCTGGGGCTTCGTAGCACAGGAACATGCATGGCTGCAGGAGGGCGCACTTCCTCCAAGCACCTGTCCTAAACAGGATGCTCTGAACACACAGTGGCTTTCTGGGAATCCCACGTCCTGTGCAGCATCTATAGTTCTGGGCCTCTATTGTTTCACAGCATGGAAGGCAAACAATAGAAATTATTTTTAACAATAATAAACAATTTTTTCTTATTTTATTATTTTAATTCAGCCTCCATAGAGACTGTCAAAAATGACTAATGCTGACTATATTGCAATTCTATTATTATTACTGAAATTAACATTTAGTGGATGCTTTTGTGTGCCACTATACCAAACACTTTGATATGCACGTTCTCATTCTTTAAATTTATTTTTATCTTTTTTTACAATTTTTAAAATTGAGATAGGGTCTTGCAAGTTTGCCCAGGCTGGTCTTGAACTCCTAGGCCCAAGTGATCCTCCTGCCTCAGCCTCTCAAGTAGCTGGTACTATAGGCCCACACCACCATGCCCAGCCAGGTTCTCATTTAGTTCTCATAATCAATACTGCCCTTAGACACACGCAAGCAGGGCCCCTGCCCTAACCCCATTCCTTCCTCAAAAATGTCTAAGTGCGCTCTGGTACCTGGGATCGCTGGGGCCAGCAGTGCTGTCTGGATGGGGAATCTGAGCCTCCTCTTCACAGATCTCTCTAGTGATCCTCTGCATCTCTCCCATACTGTGCAAGGGGTTGGCCAGATGCCCCAAGGAGCCCCAGGAGTCATGCCAATGGGTTTCTTGGGGCCCTGGAGCTGGCTCCATTCTAGGGGACAAGCCTAGCAAGCAATCACTTCCTCAGGCTGGTGTGGCATTTCTTTCCCAAGACTGAAACAGATTGAGCTGTTGACACACTGCTTTGGGTGACTCAAATTGTTTATATAGACAGGAGCCCTACAAAAAAAATCTGCCCAGGGCCCCATCTACTCTAGGGATAGGCCTGCTCAAAGCAATCCTATAAGGTATGCATTCCCTGCCTACCTTAGGGACAGAGAAACGCACTTGGAATCACTAACTTCCCAAAGTAACACATTTAGTGAGTAGAAGAGCTGGGAGTCAAATTCTGGAATGTCCAACCTCAAAGCCACACTTAACTAATCTCCCAGATTTCCTTATCTGCCTCCACTAAGATATGGATATCCCAATGATGATTACCTTTCCTGTATCCAGAACTCTCTCGGATACTGTTAATTCTCTTGTTCCCAAGTGAGGGAATCTGCTGATAAGTCATTATCCAGCATGCTTTCATTAAACTACAGCTTACCTGGCTTCCCCTTGCCTTCCTGCCTTCTCCTCCCAACAGATCTTATCTCTTTCAAGAGCAACAGTGGCTCATTCCAAAAATATCTGATTTGAGTCTGTTTGAGTAGAAACATTCCATAGAAGCATCGAAGTCATTCAGAATAAAGTGTTAGCTCCAGCAGAAATCTACATGTTTCATTTTTATTCCTATTTGTGGAATAAAACATTTTTTCCTCAATAAAGGGATTCTAGGTATCCCCTAGTATGTGGATCTGATTTTTGAGGGAGGTGTCATTTGCTACAATAGGCATACTCAGCTGGTTCTGAACAAAGTCTTCTTAGCAGAGCTTGTAAGGGGACTGGGCAGAAGGCATGGCTTCTTCATCCCCGCTCCCTGCTCCCCTAAAAAGGAATGTGCCTGGAATCATGAAGAGAAGACTGTTAAGAGTAAGAGACAAGGAGCTGTTACCATCAGCAGCTGTCGAAGTCGGTATCCTGTCTTGCCTGAGCACTGATCTGCTTGTCAGCCCTCTCTGTCCCAGCCAAAGCTCTGTATAGGCACAGTGAGATACCGCTTCACACCCACTAGGATGGCTAGAATAAAAAAGTCAGATAAGGCCGGGCGCGGTGGCTCATGCCTATAATCCCACCACTTTGGGAGGTGGAGGCAGGCAGGTCACCTGAGGTCAGGAGTTCCAGACCAGCCTGGCCAACATGGTGAAACCCCATCTCTACTAAAAATACAAAATTAGCCAGGTGTGGTGGCACATGCCGGTAATCCAAACTACTTGGGAGGCTGAGGCAGGAGAATCATTTGAACTCAGGAGGCAGAGGTTGCAGTGAGCCGAGATCACGCCATTACACTCTAGCCTGGGCAACAAAGCAAAACTCCGTCTCAAAAAAAAAAAAAAAAAAAAAAAGGCAGATAATAGCAAGTGTTAGCAAGGATGTGGAGAAACTGGGACCTTAATATGCTGCTGGTGGGAATGTAAAATGGAGTAACTGCTTTGTGAAATAATCTAGAAGTCCTTCAGAAGGTTAGACATAGTTATTATATGACCCAGAAATTCCACACCTAGGTATACACCCAAGAGCCCTGAACATATCATATGTCCACATAAAAACCTGTATATGATGATCCTTTTGATGTGTTCACACACGCGTGTGTGAGGTGAGCCACCCTCGAACCTTGTTATGACATTGGCACATTACCCATCTGACACGAAAAAAGAAAAAAAAACCTTGTATATGGATATGCATAGAGGCATTATTCATAAAATCCAAAAGTTGGAAACATCCCAAATGTCCATCAGCTGGTGTAAGCAGAAACAAATTGTGGAATATCTATACGGTGAAATAGTATTTGGCCATAACAAGGAATAAAGTACTGACACGTGCTACAACATGGGTAAACCCTGAAAACATGCTAAGTGAAAGAAGCCATAAACGAAAGACCACAGATTATAAATTCCATTCACATGAAATATCCAGAATAGGGAAATCTAAGAGGCAGAAAGTAGATTTTGATTTCTTAAGGCTGAGAGATGGGGATGAAGAGGTTGGGGTGGGGAGGCGATAGCTAAAGGGTACAGGGTTTCTTTTTGAGGCAATGAAAATATATATGTAACATATCAGTTGCATACTAAAACTCGCTGAACTATAGACTTTAAATGGATGAATTTTACAGCATATGAATTATAACTCAATAAAGCTGTTGAAAGCTGATTGCAACAAAACAGAACATCTTAACTCCAGTACTTCAGCTAAACTGAATCCAATTCAACTCTGGCTGTCCAAGAATGACGAGGAATGCGTTATGCTTCCTGGCTTATTTGACTTAACTTCATACATTCGTAGGGACCATGGTTAATTGCCTTCTGCTTCCTGTACCAATTCTAGGTCTGACTTTGACAAGGTGTGAGCAGTTGGGTAGGTATCATCTTCATTAACAAAGGCACCATGATAACTTCAAAGTCTGAAAACTCCCAAGTGCAATAACTCTATCCTCAGAGTGGGCCTTCTCCACCTCTTTCCCAGGCAGAGGGATGAGTGACACGTTTTAATGAGCTTCACTGAAAAGAAGCCTCAACAAGTTCTCTCAATATTAAAACACTTTCTTTTTATTTTATTTCTTTTTTAGAACATTTCACAAGACGAGCCCTCCCTACACAGTGACACAATTTGGACCTCAACTTTACTTATCTTTTGCTAGCCTCCATCTCCCCCCTTGAATATTTCCTTTCCATTCATCCTTTGTCATATGAAATAATAACATCTACAGATAGAGATCTTTCTTTTCCATCATACTTCCTATTACTGACAATTATTCATACCAAGTTTGGAAAGAGATACATTTGTTACTGAAGATCATAAAATCCTGGACAAAAATATCCTTGGGATTTAGCTCCGTAGCTACACTTATGTTACATTCTCCATCTCTCCCACCCTCACCCCCATTAATTATATATTAAGGATAGTGTTTCCTTTGAAGAACACATTACAGAAGAATGATCTGGATAGTACTCTCTTAATTACGCCAATCACAAAACACAAAACCATGTCCAGAGAGGGTTATTTTACTTACCAAAAGGATCAACGCTGTTACATACACGCCCACGTGGGCAGTAGTCCTTGGGACAGAGATACAGCAAATGAGTGATAGTGGCACGCCTATGAGCGGTGAAGGAGGTCCCAGAGACCCTCCGGTCCTCAACAATCAGTCTCTTTCTGTTCGAGCCCCTGGCACTGGTTCTCTCAGATGAGGTGACTTTGCTTTTCTCAGAGCTGCACAATTTCCCCAGACACTTTAGACCAAGGAAGGCAGGCATCTTGGCATGGATTTCCAAGCAATGAGAAATGGGGAGTGGGGACCCAAGGAGCGGTGCTGCCCCACAATTCTCTCTGTTCCCCTGGCTCCTTACTGTCTCCTTTTCTCACTGCCCAGCAAAGAAGATTAAGGGAGATGTATTTAAGTGATTACCCTCAAGAGCTTAGGGCACCATATTCTCAGTCAGATGACTAGGTATAAAAACAGCCACTACCAGGAACTCGAGACTTTCAGTCTCAGACATGAATGCATATTTGAAAATCAGATTAATATCCAGAATAAGAGAAAGAATATAACTGCAATATCTAAAAGAATTCTCCTGCAAATACTCCTAGAATATTCAGTATCATCTGGTAAGAGTACTGAGAATAGGGCTAGGGATATATACACATATTTTATATAATCTAAAAATGTCTATCAGAAAAATCCCAGGGTAATAATTCCAAGTTTTCCAGTATTTCAGATCTCACAGGTGGAGGTGGGGAAGGCTCGATAAAGATCCTCAGCTTCAATTCGTGACAAATCCAGCTCTCAGCCATAGTAAACGATCATTTCCTTTCCATTTTCTAGAAGGGGACCCCTCCCCTCAGTACCAGGAAAATCCTTCTGCCTCATTCCATTAAGCCAATGTTTACTGTCGTAATGTTTCATGGGTTTTCTGTGATGGCAGAATCATATGATGGAGACAGAATTAACATGTAGGTAGCTTCAGCTTTACACAAAGTTACAAGCTAGAAGGACCTTCATGGAATTAGTGTATTGATATAAAAAGGACAACCCCAGTAATTATCATTTACTCTTTAACATCCACACAGTAAGATGCAGTACAAAATGTGACCGTCTACAACCATACAAAAGTCCCAAGTCAAAATGAATAAACTCACACTCCTTCTCCTGTCATTGGGCTATTATGTTCTAATATAAATTCCTTTTCATTAAAACCCTAGAATAGAATTATAGAGCTGACAAGGCCATCAAAGGTAATCTAGTCCAGTAGTTCCCAAATATTGCTGTGCATAAGAACCATCTGCAGGTGCGGTTGCTCACGTCTGTAATCCTAGCACTTTGGGAGGCTGAGGTGGGAGGATTGCTTGAGGCCACTTCGAGACCAGCCCTGGCAACATAGCAAGACTCTGTCTCTACAGAAAAAAAAAAAAAAATTAAAACATTGGCCAAGTGTGGTGTCATGCATCTGTAGTCCCAGCTACTCGGGAGGCTGAGGCAGGAGGATTGGTTGAGTCCAGGAGTTTGAGGTTACAGTGAGCTATGATTGTGCCACTGTACTCCTAGGTGACCGGGCAAGACTCTGTCTCAAAACAAAAAATCTGTAGAACTTTTGAAAAATACAAAATATATATATACGGGATTCTTGCACGTAAAGGTCAGGAACTTACATTTCTTTTCTTTTTTTATACTTTAAGTTCTAGGATACATGTGCACAATGTGCAGGTACATATGCATACATGTGCCATGTTGGTGTGCTGCACCCATTAACTCATCATTTACATTTCTAAACATTCTCCCAGACTAGTGCCAGCACTCAGGAAGCACTGATCTACGCCAGCCTTTAAGATGAGGAAGGTGAGTCTCAGAGAAGATGTGACTTTCTCAGGACAATGCAGAGAGCCTAGGGTGGAGCCGGGTCTTCTGCCTCCCATGCTGACTCTTCCTATCCAATAGTCGGGTCCTTCCACAAAGGCCCCAGGCAGATGAAGCAGAGAAAGGAAATTCTTGCTTCTTTTGTTACAAGTTCCTAATCTATTGGCAACACAATTCAAGAACCTGAGAATTCCAATTTGCTAGAATTATTCTATGCCAATGTGAAGCACGGTGGGAATGGAAGAAACAGACGCTGTCTAGAGGCACTCAGACTGAGGTGGACTTGGGGAAAGTGGGAACATGGGACTTCTACCACTACTGAAGTCACACCTCAAAATTTCTGCTCCAAAATTCTGGGAATTAAGCCCAACACCAACCTCCAAAGTCTTCCTCTAAAAACAGTTTACAAAGCAGGTCAAACAATCTGTATGTGTTCTTTTCCCTGTTTGCCTATTTTGAGGAACCTTCAGATATACAATGTAAGATGTTCTATCAATGTTTCTCAAAATGAGGGTAAGGGATAAAAGACTAAACATTAGGTGCAGTGTACACTGCTAGGGTGATGGGTGCACCAAAATCTCAGAAAGCACCACTACAGAACTTACCCATGTCATCAAACATCACCTGATCCCTCCAAAACTATTGAAATTTAAAAAAAGAAAAGAAAAGAAATACAACTGGAAAAAAAAAAAGTGGCATTCATCCATCAAAAAAAAAACCGTATTTCCCAAAATGTGATTTCTGGGCCAATTTGTTTAAGATGGAGATCCCCGAGGGCCACCTCAGCCCTACCAGGTTCTTCTAGAGTGTTTTGTAATAAACATCGTAGTGTGGGAACCCCTGCCTTTCATTGTTAATTCTTTCTTGCTGGGTTTCCTGGAGCTCTGCTCTTTGCAAACTGAGAACCTGAGCAGCTACTTGCTTATATGTGCTTACATGGTCTTTTTGTGAAATATAGATGTGTTTATATAGAGGAACATGATACAGCCACTTTGAAGGCAGGCTCTGGAACACAGTAACAATGCACAAACACAGACTTTGGACAGAAAAGAGACTATTTCCTTCAAACCCAGCATCTTCCTGACCTGGAAAAAAGGTAACTCTTCCATAACAAAGCTGTTCGGCTTTCTTGGTCCCTAAACTCATCAAGCATTGCCCACAAAAACTATTTCCACTGCATTAACTCTACCTCAGTGCTTAGCCATTGTAGCTGCAGAGCATGCACAGAACACTCCTAAATTTTTTTTTTTACAAGTTTACAGATCCATATATTTAGTTCAAGATGCAACTGTCTTCTAAGAGACTGCGAAAAGGAAAAGAAAATAAATTCTTATTCAATAACGGAATTATACGTAAGAATTTTGATACTTTTTTAGGTCAAGATGCAAAGCAAACTACATATGGATCATGAAGACGGCTAATGAGAAAAACAAATGGTTGCTTGCTTTTAAAGACAACCGAACTACATATAAATGTGAGGGGGCTGACTCCATTCTCAGGCAGTGGAGAGGGATGAGAGTTCAGATGCTGGCAGCAGTGACTGCAGACACCTGTGAACTAAGTTCCACTCCCCAAGTGCTCAGAGCTTTTCACTTACCCTCCTCCACATGGCTCCAGTTAAATACCTAGCAGAGGCCAAGCCTCCAGTCTTAAAAATAGACTTGCAGTGGTATCTGCCTGACAGCAACCTCTTCACCCAGGAAAGCACAGTTGGGGAAGACCCTAAAGAAGCACCAGTGGATTCAGGTCTTTCACTGCTGCCTTCTGCCACAGCCCACATAAAACTACAGTCACAGCAATCACAAAGGAGTGCAGTGGGTTTTGTGACCGTTTCTATGGTTCTATGATATGATATCACAATGCACCACATTACAAAGCTAATGATAATTACAAATGTTGAACTTCTGCCCAAGATTTTGCTGGCCTGTGTATCTTATCAGATAGGAAATTCCTAATCTTTCTAGAAGCAGTTCCACTGTACCTACTCAAGCTCTTCTATGATAGACTATGAAAATGAACCATCAGTGGGAAAATTCACCAAGGGGCACTGAGGACACCCAGCCTTTGCATGCTGTAGGAGCTCAATAAACACCTGATGTGATGAGCCCCAGCCCAAAGCCAGGTGTTTTGGGGCTACACAGTGCTCGGCGAACAGATGCCTCAATTACTGCTCTTTCTTCATCAGTCACAGTGATTCTCCACAAATGAACATGGACTTTATTCTATATAGTGATTTAAGTCTTTTTTCTCAGACAAGTATCCCCTCCCTGCTTAAATCATCTGCTAGGATCTACTTGCTTCTCACTAAAGAATAAAATTTTCTCAGAGAGCAAATTGCCACCTTACGATGCCAATATTTCTGGAATTTAGTTTGCTAAGGAAATGTTCTGCAGTTAGCCTGTGGCCTCATCAGTGATAATGGGGTTACTTTTCATTTTTGTTGTTGTTTTTTAATCAAAATGAAAGAACAAAAAGAGCTCAGCATGCCTTCCAAAAACACCTGCAGTTGCTCACAAGTCAGGATGATCTTTGCTGCTAAACAGAACAGATTCAGTGGGAAGGCTGTGAAAAAGGGGTGCAATTGGACTTCCAGACAGTGACGACTCGGCCCATTTGAGGTTCTCCTGCTCAGCAGCGGCTATCCCTGCTCCCTGCTCCCCGTAAGTCCTAAAGTTCAGTCCTTCTGCATGGTCAGCCCTGGGCATCTTCTCTGCAAAGCCCAATGTTTAAAGGGTCTTACCCATCCCTCCAAAGCAGGCTGTGATTTTCTGAGCATACTGGCATATGCTCCGGTCTGGGCAGGTCTCCTCTGAAAGGCCTGCTTCCTCCATCCCTCTGCATGCAGCTGCTTCTCTTCCCGTAATGCCACTTGCCCAAGACCTGCTCAAAATGGAACAAGCAGCCAAACACCCTCTTCCATATCTTCTCCATTAATAATTCAGATACTACATAAAATCTGCTGAGCATTCAGGATTGAGAGCACCATGGCACTCTGAGGACTGAAGCGTAATTAGTTTAACAGGCACCAAGTGTCTCAAATTACTCTCTGACAATACACTGCATAGGCAACGTTCCCAAAGAGGAATGAGAGGCAGGCTTGGAATGACTTCAAGGAAGCAGCCACAGATGAAGATCAGCTCAGAGTGGGGTCACAGGCACCCCCTGAGCTCAAACTCCATATGTTAGACAAGACTCTCCCATGAATCTCCTCCGTAGAATCAGAGCACTAAGTTGCTGCCCACACATCACAATCCACCAGGCTGCAGTCTTTGTCAGCGGCCAAACCTTCTCTATGCCCTCAACACATCTCTTCATCCTTCCCCTGCTTCTTTTGCTTTTCCTGAAATTCCTCAACCTCCTTCCCATTGGAACTTTCTGAAAATCCACCTGTGCTTAAAAATGCAGCTCAAACATTACCTCCTCCATACAGGCTTCCAGAATCACTCTGGCTAGAATCAATTTCTTCCTATCTTGTCCCCAGATAGCAGCTCTCCCATGGTATTTGTAATCCTGCCTTGCAATAAGGTTATCTATAGACTGTCTTATTTCCCCTGCCAGCTGCTAAGCTGCTGGAGTGCAGGAGCCTTGCCTTTGTCACCCTGTTTCCTTTACATGAGGCTCTGTACATACTTGGTGCTCAATGCCTTGTAAATAACATTTGGTAATTCTCTATAAGTCACTGTGAAAAGAGTAGCCAATACTTGAAAAGGCAGATATCAAAGACAAAACACACTCTGGCCATTATTAATGCTCTGCTAGGAGAGGAAAATGTTCACATTCTATACCATGGTGTCTAAGAACTTCTATACCACATATACAGCTGCAAGATATAATTATCATTCCTCCTGGTTAGAGCATAGCTAAGTGCCACTGAACTGGAAGGCACTAAGTGGCAGGCACATGCCCGAGAGGCCCTGGCCAGCTGTGGACATAGGAAGCTGTCCCAGTGGTTGGTAATTAGGAGACAGGCTGTCCTTGCTGGTGGGATAAATAGCTGAGCGTAGAACCAGAAACACCAGCATCAGCATTTCTCTGCACCTCCCCTGACGGAGTTGCTGACCTTGGAGCAGGTACACGGTGCCTGCCTGCTCCAGGTTCCCCACCGTGGCTCTCCCAGGAGGAAAAATGCAGAGAGAAGCGTTTCTAATGGCACCGTTTGAAGTATTTATAATTCGTCTCTCTCAACACTGAAAAGCTCTGACTCACTCTGGCAAACCTCATGTTCACTGTCAATTTACTAGGAAATCTCCAATACCCCAGATAATCTATTTTCTGACTATGCTATTATCAGGGCTTCTCGCTCACTGGCTTCCTTTTTTGAGATGTTTCACCTGTGGAGTTCAGCTTTAGCTTCACAGAACTCCTGTAGTTTATGGTCACAAGAAATGTAAGCTAGATAAGGAATAGAACAGGAGACTGGTTTAAAATCAGTGCCAGGCCCTTCTCTACTCTTTGAGACTGTGAGCTAACTAAAACATTCATTAAGTGCCTACAAAAGGATGGGCCAGGTGTCAGCAGCCTTAATGATGAATAATGTAGGGGCCCACAAACAGCACACGAATTAGCAGGAAACCAGGCGTGGGTGTGCCTAACTACAGTGCAACTTGGTAAATACCATGCCACTGTATCGTTACAGCAGTAAAAGTTTGGGGGTTTGGCTTAGAGTTTGGGGATATGGTTAATGATCTCTTTTAATTTTCTGTCTTTTTAAATTTTTTTAACGTTTCTCTTTTTTAAAAAATGTTATTTTATTTTATTTTTTTTTGAGAAGGAATCTCGCTGTCACCCAGGCTGGAGAGCAGTGGTGCGATCTTGGCTCACTGCAACCTCTGCCTCCTGGGTTCAAGCAACTCTCCTGCCTCAGCCTCCCAAGTGGCTGAGATTACAGGTGTATGCCACCATGCTTGGCTAATTTTTGTATTTTTAGTAGAGATGGGGTTTCACCATGTTGGCCAGGCTGGTCTCGAACTCCTGGCCTCAGGTGATCCGCTCGCCTCAGCCTCCCAAAGTGTTGGGATTACAGGTGTGAGCCACGGCCTAATGTTTCTTTCATAATAAAAGAAAATGTTCCACACTTTGGGAGGCCGAGGCGGGCGGATCACGAGGTCAGGAAATCCAGACCAGCCTGGCTAACAAGGTGAAACCCCATCTCTACTAAAAATACAAAAAATTAGCCGGGTGCGGTGGCAGGTGCTTGTAGTCCCAGCTATTCGGGAGCTGAGGCAGGAGAATGGCGTGAACCCGGGAGGTGGAGCTTGCAGTGAGCCGAGATAGCGCCACTGCACTCCGGCCTCGGCGAAAGAGCGAGACTCCGTCTCAAAAAAAAAAAAAAGTTCCAGAACAGAGATGTGGTGTATGTTTCACATTTTACATGAACAACTTTATGTATTTCTATTGCATTCCCAATGATGACATGCACACACACAAGGCTTTCAGTCCACAAGGGGTGTGTCAAATGTGCTCCCTTGCATTCCCTCCATGCTGCACTCTGATTTTTTGAAAGAGCATGACAGGGAAAGATTAAGTCACCCTGGCACTGCCAGGATTGTGAAGATACTGGTGTTCCATCTGGGCCTTGAAGACAAACTAAGGGAATAAAGAGGTTAGAGGAGGGCAGAAAAGAACATTCCAAACAGAGGATGCTCCAGAAAAAAAGCTTCACTCAGATCACACAAGTTGATGGGAAGGACGTCAAAGGACATGGAGAAGCTCTTAGAAAGAAAAACCTATCCTTCCACATATAAACAACTCTATTTAGAGAGATAACATGGCATGACCTTTGAGCAGGCACAAAGCAAGCCTTTAAAAGCATACTCAATTGTCATTCTTTCTTTAGAGTACCAGAATTCTGGGAAAACTGTTGGCATGGATCCACAAATACATTTCACACTGATTCAATATTAACAGCCTCTCTCAGCGCTTGTTTTTTCCAAGTACTTAAAACCACAAATTTGTTAATCATAGCAGAAGTCCTGTGAGATGGAGCCCCCACATCTCAGACTGAGAAACTGAGACCCGGGAGAGTACTGCTTTTCTCTGCATTAAATCCACAGTCAAAATTAGATGTTTGTAAAGAACCTAAGCTTCCCAAAAGGGAATCCCAGGCCTTAATAGGAATAAAAGATGCCTTTGGCTATTTTGGAGTTCACAGTTATAGAAGGTTTTAGAATACAGTCTTTTAAATGTGGCTACAGAGAGACAATACCTTTTCTAACAATGGAGAACTTTCTGCTGTCTTCCCATAGCGTGGGCAAATCAGGTGACCTTTTTCCTGAATCCTTTATCTAGAAAGGACAATGTATTGGACACAAAATTGGCAGTCTCTGATATGAAAATGCTTTTGGGCAGAATCATTGTCCAGGCATCACTGAATCTATTGGCTGCCAAGACAGGGTATGCAATACCTACAACATAATTTTCTGCAGTGTGGAGAGAAAATTCTGGATTTCATATATTTATTCTTATTCTTTAAGACTTTACCTATATGTTTAAAAGTGTAGATAATGGTAATATAGCACAAGTTTATTATTTACCAATAAATAATATACATATATATTATGCATTGTTTTTCTTTTTTACTGCTAGGGATGCAAAATCAATAGAGTTTGGAGACCAGGGATTACTCTACCAAAATAAATCACAAAGAAACTAATCAGAACTCAACCAGAGGTAAGTACTAAATTTTTACTCGACGATAGATGAAACTAAAGTTAAAAGTAAAAAAACAAACAACAACATGGTCAGTAAATCTGTAGGCTCTGGAAGTAAGAATAACCTAGTTCAAATCTTGGTTTTGCTACTTGCTGCTCAGCAACCTCAGGTGGGTTCTTATTGAAGCTTGGTTACTTCATCTGTAAAACAGATACAAGAATATCTCCCTCATGTATATATCAAATAGTTCCTGATATCCTTGATAGTTCCTGGTACATAGAAAGGGCTTCATAAATGTTAATCCAGAGGTTGCAAATTAAAATAGGACTGAAAGTAGAATTTTTTAAATGGAGGCAGTAGATTGGTCCTGAGATAACTGTGAATGGTGGCATATATATAAAGTAAATTATATCTTAACTTTATAAAAGGAGGAGCCAGTACTCAGATCCAAGCAATTATTGCTGTTTTAGAATCCAAGCCAGCCAGGTATTGCCAGATGTTCACATTTTTATAGGAAATTTCCCAAGTTTCAAACATTTGCAACTCATAAAAAGAAAAAAGCACCACTGTCCACGTCTCCACCCTCCAGCAAAACAGAACAAAACATGTTCACAGGCCTACCATGGCCTTTAGGCTATCAGTCTGGGATCCACATATTAGTTATTATAAAAGCTGTGATTTAAACCCTCCTACTCACCAAGTTTAAACCAAACAGTTGTGATTTATTTTGGGTACCGGGGGAAGGTAGCGGGGTGCAAGATTTTTAGAAGCATTGGAAGTTTCCACAGAGAAAACCTATACCTTCCCATTTCTAAAATCAGATTTTAATCTGCTGTGAACCACTGCAAAAGTGACCATGTAGTCCCAAAAACAGTGTATGATATTAACTAGTAGCACTTCCAAAGCAAATGTTTCCTAATAACAAATACAAGAGCATGTCTGCTCCTCTCCCTATTATATTATTTTGTTTATTCCTACACATACAGTCTTTTCTCTTTAACCACTAGTAGGATACTATTACACATTTTACTCTACAATTTTTCCCCTTGAATTAATTTTTTGTTTCTTTGATTAAATTAAGGTATAATTTACATACTGCAAAAAGCATAGATCTTAAGTATACAATTTGATGAGTTTTAACAAATGCTTTCACCTATGTAAACCACATGTCTGTCAAGATATAGAACACTTCCAGAACTGCAGAAAGTTCCTCTGTGCTCCTTCCCAGTCAATCCCTGCCCTCACACCATAGCCACTGTTCCCATTTCTATCATTTTTTGCACATTCCAGAACTTCATATAAATAGAACCATCCAGTATGTGCCCTTTCACCCCAGCTTCTTTCACTCAGCATGTTTTTGAGACTCATCCATATTCCCCCATTGAGTTTTACCTCTAGCATGTACCCCAATGCAAAAATAATCACTTCTCTCCAGTGTGTTAGAAATCATCATCTGGGTGCTATTACTTTGCAGTAAACATCCATTCCATGAGATTTTGGAAATGAGAACAAATGCAATGTCTACCTTTGGAGCCCCAAAGCATGCCAGTGTTGACACCATGTCATTGACTGGGAGGGGGTGTGGTTGGGGGGTCCTTCGAGGTAGGCAGTACTAGGGGATGGGCAGACTTCAGGTTGCATGAAATTGAAAGGGGGCAGTGCTTGGGGGAGGGAATCCATTGGAAGAGCTGTTTCTACAAATACTGAATAAAAAAATTGTACATGGGGAAGTAGTCAACTATCCATCAGCATTTGAGAGGAGGAAGAAAGGAAAGAACACCCAGCCTGGGAGGAGGTGGGAGGAGAGATGGATAAGTTTGATGACCAAGGGACAAGTGGAGTGAGACAGGGATATTAGTAGATAAGGAAAACAAGATCTAAGATTGTCTCACAAATAGTACCCACTGGGCCATTCCTTTCTTACATGGGTTCATATTCCCAGCCAAACTGAGGATGGGCACTATTTATAGGAGACAGCCCTAATAGAAAAATGGCCAGAAGAAAAAGGACATGGATACTTGATAAGGGGGAAATCAATCTTTCTTTCTTTCGTTTATTTATTTAGTTTTTAAGAGATGGGGTCTTGCTATGTTGCCCAGGCTGGACTCAAACTCTAGAGCTCACGGAATCCTCCCACCTAAGCCGTATAGGTAGCTAGGACTACAGGTACACACTGCCATGCCCAGCTTGAAATCAACCTTCAATGTAAGGGGAGGCATCAAAAAGAATCCCAAAGATTAGAGACTGCAAAAAAGTAGAGCCATTTAGATAAGAAACACAGGAAAGACAATGAGATTTGGTGGAAAGAGGTAACAATGAGCTAATTTCAGATGTAATAAGAAGCTTAAGAGGTCATCAGAACATCCATGAAGTGGTGTCCAGCTGGCAGCTGAGAATGCTGCTCTAGGTCTCACGGAAAGTCAGAGCAGGAGGGATAGCTTTCGTAGTATCCATCCACCCGGAGGTGAGAGCTGAGCCACAGGCATAGATGAAAGAGAAAAGGAATCACTGAACTGTGAACTTCTTAAAAGCAAAGCTAGTCTTCCTCATTTCTATGTCTGTTTCAGGAGAACTGCTTTCCCAAACATTTATGAACTTTGGACATTAAAATGAATCTTTCATTTAGGTTATCTTGGAAAAAATATGAAAACTGCCCATCTAGGCTCAAATTTACTCAAATTGATCCTGTGCACATAAATGCTTGAGCCTCTTATCTCATTGCATTAACTAAATGATCTAACTCAGCAGTACTTCCTAGCATCCTCATTAAAGACAGGTACATTTTATTGATTAAAATTTCCAGTAACACAGCATAATGCTATTACTTACCCTGTCAAGGAAAGGGAGAGAAGCAGTTTGAAAACAAAACAAACAAAACAAAACAAACAGCACTCACAGAAGGCTTCCAGCCATCCTTGGATACCACAGAGAATTTGAAAATTTGGTAATTAACCTCACCTAAGAGGATGCAGATTTGCAAAAAACAGCTCCAGAAAATATTGGATTCCAGGGAATATTACCCCTTTCATAATCCATTTTATGATTATAAATGTGCAATCATCAGTAAAAATGTGCACAGAAAAATCTAAAATGTGGCACAGACCATGATCTGCATCAAGGCAATTCAATCAGCATTTATTGAGCATTTCTTTGTGCACAGCCCTGCAATAGGTATGAAACAGGAGAACAAAGTGCTTTGCTTTTCATTTTCTGATGGAAACCAATGTATTCTTTAAAGCTTACAATATAGGAATTTTCAAGACAAAGCTAACAAAAATAGCCTGCCTCAGGATGAAGTGGGTGGTAGATATCTTCAATAGGACAGATGGATCATCTGGAGCTCCGTGTGTGTGTTGTGGCGGGAGGGAAGGGGGATCTGGGGATCTGGGGTTATTTATTTATTTTTGGGGAGGAGAGAATGGCTTGGCACAATTAATTTTTAAACTCACTTTGGCATATGGTGCAGCCGGGAAGAAAAGGCAGCCTCAAAATAGAGAACAGAGCAAATGGTAATGCCTAAAAATGTAGAAGGCTAGGAAAAGAGCTTGTTAAGGATACAAATCATAAATGGTTTCAAATCACCATGTTAAAGTGTAAGAAAAAGCTAGTACCTCCTTGAAGGCCCACAGAAGGGACTGCAGAACTCATGAACTAGATGGAAACAAAGTCAGACCAGCATAGGCTGAAGAACGCGGGCCAAAGGAAACATCACACAAGGTTCCTTGACCATCCCCCATTCCTGCTTTCATTCATATCCTTCCCAAAATGCTGTTCCAGTTCCCCTTCAGGTCTACCCCTCTGTGATGCCTTCTAAATTTGCCCATCCCTGAATTGCTATTTCACCCCTAAAATTTCAAACTTGATTTACAATTCCCTGAAATTATGTCAAAATCAACTCAGTGATTGTTTCTCCCATTTCAATTTTTCTGATATGGAAATAAGATACATATATTAGAGAAAACTTAAAAAACACTGAAATCTATTGAGAAATGGAAATACAATCCCTCCATCCAGAAACCACTATTAATTATTCAGCCAATTTTCTTTTTTTGTTTTTTGTCTGTTTCAGACAGGGTCTTGCTCCCTCATCCAGGAGTGCAGCAACTCGATCTTGGCTCACTGCAACCTCCGACTCCCGGCTCAAGAAATCCTCCCACCTCAGCCTCCCGAGTAGCTGATACTACAGGCATGTGCCACCACGCCCAGCTAATTTTTGTATTTTTTTGTAGACATGGAGTTTCACCATATTACCCAGGCTGGTCTTGAACTCCTGGGCCCAAGCGATGAGAAGTTCAAGTCAATCTCGAAGTGTTGGGATTATAGGCGTAAGCCTCTGTGCCCAGCCTTTCCACAGATTTTTTTCCATGAATTTTTAATGGAGTTCAGATCACATTACATATGCAATTTGTAACTTTGCTTTTTTGAAACTTTCCCCCATTTATTCAAATCTATTGTAATATTTTTAACGTTAAATTTTTTATTGAAATATATATCTTACCTACAAAGTTCACAAATCTCCAGTATATGACTCAGTGAATTTTTACATGTGTGTACAACTGTATAACCACTTCCCAAGTCAGATCAAGATCTAGAACATACCTAACACCCCAGAAGGTTTCCTTACACCCTTTTCCAGTCAATACTGCATCCCCATCCCTCCAGATAGCTACTATTCTGACTTAATCTCATGAAAGATTAGTTTTGCTAGTTTTGAACTTCATGCATGATTCATGTGACAGTATGTTCTCTTCCATGTTTAGCTCCTTTGGCTCAACATAATGCCTATGTGACTCATCCATGCAGTTGTGTGTATCTGCAGTTTATTCTTTTTTATTTCTGGATAATATTCCATTGAAAGAATATACCACAATTCATTTGTCCATTCTCCTGTTTGGGGACATTTGGGTTTTTCTAGTTTGGGGCTATTCTGGATAAAGCTGCTATGAATATCACTGTACATGTCCATTGGTGGACATTCATGCTATAGATGTATAGTGTATAGGTTTATGTTTATGCACACACACGGATGTATCATACAGGTGTATATAGATGTATAGAAGATGCATGTTTTTCTTCTGAAGGTGATGCCAAACACTTTTCCAAAGTGAGTTGTTCAGTTTATACTCCCACCAGCAATGTAGGAGAATTGCAGTTGTTTCACATCCTTGACGATACTTAGTATTGTCAGACCTTCTAATTTTACCCATGCTGATAGACATATAAAAGTTTGTAAATAAAGTTTTATTGAAATGGTGTCTCATTGAGGTTTTAATTTGCATTTCACTGATGACTAATGAAAGTGAGACTTTTTTCATATGCTTATTGACCATTCTGGATATGCTGTTTTGTGAAGTATACACCTATGTGAAGTATGGCTTATCTG
Source organism: Homo sapiens (assembly GCF_000001405.40). Classification (NCBI taxonomy): domain Eukaryota; kingdom Metazoa; phylum Chordata; class Mammalia; order Primates; family Hominidae; genus Homo; species Homo sapiens. The sequence continues at coordinate 114,671,833 of NC_000010.11, forward strand.
CCTTTTTCTTATTGATTTGTAGGAGTTCCTTTTTCATATTTTTTTTTAGAGACAGGTTCTCTCTCTGCCACTCAGGCTGGAGTGCAGTGGCACGATCATAGCTCAATGCAGCCTCCAACTCCTGGGCTCAAACAATCCTCCCACCTCAGCCTTCAGAGTAGCTGAGACTACAGATGAGTGCCACCACACCCAGCTAATTTTGTTTTATTTATTTATTTTTAATTTTTTAGGATAGGATCTGGCTATGTTGCCCGGGCTGGTCTTGAACTCCTGGCCTCAAGTAATCCTCCCATCTTGGCTTCCCAAGGATCTGGATTACAAGTATGAGCCACAACACCTAGCCAGGAGTTATTTATTTATTTATTTATTTTTATTTTTTATTTTTTTAGATGGAGTCTCACTCTGTTGCCCAGGCTGGAGTGCAGTGGTGTAATTTCTGTTCACTGCAACCTCCGCCGCCCAGGTTCAAGCAATCCTCCCACTTCAGCCTGCCAAGTAGATGGGACTACAGGCATGTGCCACCATGCCCAGCTAATTTTTGTATTTTTAGTAGAGATGGGGTTTTACCATGTTGGCCAGAGTGGTCTCGAGCTCCTGACCTCAGGTGATCCACCTGCCTCAGCCTCCCAAAGTGCTGGGATTACAGGCATGAGCCACCCACGCCTGGCCAGTTCTTTTTATATATTGGATATGAGTATGTTTTCAGAAAAACATAATGTAACTATCTTCTCCTAGATGATAGCTGGCCTATTCATGTTCTTAATGATGTCCTTTGATGAACAACTCCTAATGTTAATGTAATTCAATTAGTATTTTTTGTCTTTTATGGCTAGTGTTTGGGTTTGGTCCTGTTTAAAACATCTTTGTTTAATCCATGGTTTTGAAGGTATTCTATGCTTTATTCCAGAAGCTTGTTTTAGCTTTTATGTTCCATCTCAAATTAAATTTAATAAATAGTATAAGATAGTGATCAAGGTTCATTTTTCCCCCACATAGATATCTCGTGCTCCAGCATCATTTACTGAAAAATCCATTCTTTCTGCACTGAATTGTAGTGGCACCTGTGTTGTAAATAAGATGACCATATGTGAGTGGTATTGTTTATGGATTCTACTCTCTTCCATTTTAATATTTTAAAAAATCAGCCGGGCTCAGTGGCTCATGCCTGTAATTCCAGCACTTTGGGAGGCTGAGGCAGGTGGATCACCTGAGGTCAGGAGTTCCAGACCAGCCTGACAAACATGGAGAAGCCCCATCTCTACTAAAAATACAAAAATTAGCCAGTCGTGGTGGTGCATGCCTGCAATCCCAGCTACTTAGGAGGCTGAGGCAGGAGAATCACTTGAACCTGGGAGGTGGAGGTTGCAGTGAGCCGAGATCATGCCACTACACTCCAGCCTGGGTGACAGAGCAAGACTCCAGCTAAAAAAAAAAAAAACAAAAAAAAAACAAAACTCTTTCCACCAACACCACACTGCCATTCAAGTTTACTTGTAATCATTTTTTATAATAGTTAAGATATCTTTACCCCATTAATTTGTATAGCAATGAGCAATGCTAATCCAAAACCCTTACTATGGTATGCAATCACAGGCAGGCCCTTGTTCATGTCTTCATCCTCATCTCTGAAGCCTTCCTCCTCATTCACTAAGCTGCAGTCACAGTGGCCATCATTCATTCCACATGGCACAGACCTCAGACACACTCTTCCCTCTGCAGGCAGTCTCTGTGGCTCCCAACCCCACCACACACACTCTTATTTATCAGCCAGGCCTCCGCTTCAGTGTCAGCTCCTTGGAGAGGTCTTCCTGGATGCCCCAACTAAATTAGATTCTCTTATTATCCTATATATTTTCTCATGGTACCACAATTTATAATTATGCAGTTGTCTGACTTCTCAAAAGCCTGCAAGGAGCATCACATGAGGAGGGACCATATTTATTATATGACCAATTATTTGGACACGATGACGGGCTTCAGTAGTTGTTCAATTACTGATCTGAATCTTTTTTGTTTTCAATAAAGATGAAATCCCTAGAGTGACTTAAAAAAATAAAAGACTATTGAGAAGAGAGACATTAAGGGCAAAATTCAGGCAAATGTAATCAGAGGAAAAAAAAGTGGGGAGAACCAGGTTATCTAGTTAGCAAAATAGAGTTTAAGAGGGACCATCTGGTCCCAGTGTGGTGGCTCATGCCTGTAATCTCAGAACTTTGGGAGGCCGAGGCAGGCAGGTCACTTGAGGTCAAGAGTTCGAGACCAGCCTGGCCAACATGGCGAAACCCCATCTATACTAGAAACACAAAAATCAGCCAGGTGTGGTGGCATGCGCCTGTAGTCCCAGCTACTCAGGAGGCTGAGGCACCAGAATTGCTTGAACCTGGGAGGTGAAGGTTACAGTGAGCCAAGATCATGCCACTGCATTCCAGCCTGGGCCACAGAGCGAGACTCTGTCACAAAAAAAAAAAAAAAAAATTAATTAATTAAAAAGAAGAGAGACCTTTTGTACACACCTTTGGTCTCAATTCCTAAGAATCAGTTTAGCAGTTATTATTTTAAATGTACATCGTAACTGTAAAAATGTTTCATATTCTCAGCCACTTGGTGTTCAGGAATTCAGAAGGTAGTGAGACATAAGTTCTGCAGTCAGAGTTGGGTTCAAGCTCTGGCTCCGCTATTTACCACGAAGTTGGGCAAGATTTACCACGAAGTTGGGAAAATGTTTTGTAAGTAACAGTTTCCTCACCTCCTTCCTAGAACTGTTAAGGCAATTAAATGAGATTTAAATTAGATAATACAATATGTAAAGACATAGCACAGTGCCTGCCACAGAGTGAGGACTCAAAAGATCTGAGCTATCTTAATAATTGTTATTCTTTTTTTTTTTTTTTTGAGATGGAGTCTTGCTCCATCTCAAAAGTGGAAGTGAAGTGAAGGGACACTGTTAAACCTTCAAAATCAGAAATTTATAAGAATGCTCTGAGAGTCATGAAGAGACTAGAAAAATATTTTCTTCTTCATAAAGATGGAAAATCTTTAAAGATGAAAGTTTGTGGGAGGCTGGATCTCAGGCAGTTTCTGCCCAGAATTCCCTGACCTAATCTTTCTCCTTAGAACCTCTCTTGGCTCTCTTGCTATATGAGCACACGGCTCTTTCCATGGCCATCATATAATGGTAGAAAGTCCTCTGTATCAGCGTGGTTATAACCAAATGCTCCCTATGTCCTGAGATGGAATATCTTGCCCATCCCTATGTCCCAGATGTTCCCTATGTTCCCTATGTTCCATTCACCCTATGTCGCCAAGTATCCACAATCATTGAAGAGCTGTCATCATTGGGTAGAGAGCCCCATGTTGATGACTCCCAAGCTGAAGCCTACATTACAATAAGATGACAAGTATGTACCAGCTGATATGGTTTGGCTGTGTCCCCATCCAAATCTCATCTTGAACTGTAGCTCCCACAAATCCCCACATGTTACTGGAGGGACCCAGTGGGAGGTAACTGAATCATGGGGGTGGGTCTTTTCCATGCTATTCTTGTGATAGTGAATAAGTCTCACAAGATCTGATGGTTTTATAAAGGGCAGTTCTCCTGAACATGGTCTCTTGCCTGCCTCCATGTAAGAGGTGACTTTGCTCCTCCTTCGCCTTCTGCCGTGATTGTGAGGCCTCCTCAGCCATGTGGAAATGTGAGTCCATTAAACCTCTTTCCTTTATAAATTACCCAGTCTCAGGTATGTCCTTATAGCAGTGTGAGAACAGACTAATACACCAGCCACTAGCCTTTGCGTGTATTTACATATACAACTCCTGTCATGCTTACCAGGACCTTATGCATTAGCTAAGATGTACTAGTTTTCTGGGGCTTCTATTACAAAGTATCGTAGACTGGGTGGCTTACACAACAGAAACTGTCTCACAGTTCTGGAGACTAGAAATTCAAAGTCAAAGAGTGCAGAGTCGGTTCCTTCTGAGGGCTGTGAGGGAGAATCTGTTCCATTCCTCTCTGCTACTCTCTGGTAGGTTCAGGCCTTTCTTGGTTTGGAGATGGTTCTCTTGTGTCTTTATGCCATTTTTACCTATGCATGTCCATCTCTGCATCCAAATTTCCCTTTTTTTAACGACATCTCATGTTAGGTTAAAGCCTACCCTCATGACCTCATCTTAACTTGATGGTCTGTTAAGGTGATCCAAATAAGGTCACAGTCACAGGTACTGGCGATTAGGACTTCAGCGTCCTTTGTGAGGACACAATTCAATGCATAACCAGAAGAAAGGAAATTACCTGACAGTGGGGCAAGACGACTTCTCAAGAAAAGAAGGAAACACAACTGGTATAACAACAAATGAAAAGAAAATGTGACTGGGCGCGATGGCTCACGCCTCTAATCACAGCACTTTGGGAGGCCGAGGTGGGTGAATCACGAGGTCAGTAGATTGAGAGCAGCCTGGCCAACATGGCAAAATACCGTCTCTACTAAAAATACAAAAATTAGCTGGGTGTGGTGGTGCGTGACTGTAATCCCAGCTACTCGGGAGGCTGAGGCAGGAGAATGGCTTGAACCCGGGAAGCGGAGATTGCAGTGAACCGAGATCGCGACACTGCACTCCAGCCTGGCGACAGAGCTAGACTCCATCTCAAAAAAGACTCTGTCTCAAAAAAACAAAAAAAAAGAAAATGTAAGAGAACAATCAGTAACCATGAGACTGGATTTATACGATTATGTTTCTTGGGGAAATGGTATTCCCAAGAAACTCGGGGGATTTCAGATTATTGTGTTCTCAAAACCCCTCAAGAATTCCTTTAAATTTTATTGCCAATCTCAGGCTTAATGACTAGGAATGGAGACTCCTAAGTCCTTTCACTGTGCGGTTTTATTTTAATCATATGTATATAAAATCAGTATGAAGCTTTTTTCTTTGAGATGGAGTCTCTGTCACCCAGGCTGGAGTGCAGTGGCATGATCTCGACTCACTGCAACGTCTACCTCCTGGGTTCAAGCGATTCTCCTGCCTCAGCCTCCTGAGTAGCTGGGAGTACAGGCGTGCACCAGCATGCCTGGCTAACTTTTGTATTTTTAGTACAGACGGGGTTTCTCCATGTTGGCCAGGCTGGTCCCAAACTCCTAACCTCAGGTGATCTGCCCTGCCTTGGCCTCCCAAAGTGCTGGGATTACAGGCATGAGCCACCGTGCCTGGCCAAGTTTATCTACCTCAAGAAAAATCCCTCTTACTTCTGAAAAGCCTGGTTCCCTCCCTCTGGGGGACCCTCCTGGAACCCCTGGCATGCTATGGTCCACTTGTTTGCCACTGCTGCTGGCCTATGAGCTCCACAAAGGGAAGACTCATAGCCACCTTTCTCATGACTGTATCCCCAGGTCCTAGCATGGTGACTGTCACATAGTAGGAGCTCAGTATATAATAGTGAAATGAATGAAATAAAACAATCCCCCTCACGCCCCTTCTTCTGTGTGTATTATGACATTGCTGTCAGGACAAAAAACCCAGAAATACCTGAGAAAAGTATAAAGCCTGAGAAAAATATTGATAGCATTAAGCCTCTTATCCAAGGAGCATTCTGCCTTCCCACCTTTCCTAAAGCTACACTCCAAACTCTTCTGTATCTGGGTTTAATCAGCAGAAATCTGGCTAACTGGCTAGGTATAGTGGCTCACGCCTGTAATCCCAGCCCTTTGGGAGGCCGAGGTGGGAGGATCACTTGAGGCCAGGTGTTTAAGACCATCCTGGCCAACATGGTAAAACCCCGTCTCTACCAAAAGATACAAAAAATGAGCCATGTGTGGTGGCATGCGCCTGTAATTCCACCTACTTGGGAGGCTGAAGCAGGAGAACCACTTGAACTTGGGAGGTGGAGGTTGCAGTGAGCCAAGATTGCGCCACTGCACTCCAGCCTGGGCAACAGCCAGACTCTGCCTCAAAAAAATAAAAATAAAAAAGAAATCATCTAACTACAGGTTCCCAACTACAAGCTGACTGTAATTGAGTAAACTGGTATTAAAGATTTCTAGCAAAAAACTGTTCATTTTGTAACAGTATTCCAGGCTTCATTCTATCTCCAAACATGGAGAGGAAACACATGAAAGTTGGTGAGTAAAATCTAGGTGAAATACAACTGACAATAGAAAAATACTCACTTGAATTTGCATGGTTTCCTGATGGTTAAAAATCAACCATTCTTTTTTAATTCCTTTAGTTCCTTTACACACATCTAGGTCATATCAATCAAATAAATGTTTTAAAGTGGCATAAAATCAAATCACTTTAATTAGGTATTTCTTTCATTTTATTTCTAATCCTTTTTTTTTTCCTCATTCTCCAGCTAAGCAAAAACATGAACGTTCTTAGCAAACAGGTTTTCAAACAGGGTTTTAGAGCAGAAATAATTAGTACCAAGTAATATTTTGAAAGAATGATGAGTTTTCATTATTGTTTTCATTCTGACTGAACTAACTACATTAACCTGTTGGCAAATTTATTGAACAATCATATAATTGTTTTCTGACTTCATTTCTAAAGCATGTCTCGTTAAGCTAAACTAATCTTTATCGCCTTTGAAACCACGGATTCTTTTTCAAGAAGTCTTCCACAGCTGACTCTTTCTTATTTCTTTCAGTAGTCTAGGGCAGTGGTCTGTAAACTAATGCCTGCTGCCTGTGTTTGTAAATGAAGTTCTGTTGAAAGCAGCCATGTCCATTTATTTATGTATTGTCTACGGCTGCTTTTGTGCTACAATCTCAGACTTGAGTAGTTGCAGCAGAGACCATTTGGCTCACAAAGACTCAAATATTTACTATTGTGCCCTTCACAGAAAAAGTATGCTTTAGGCTAATCACACAAAGCATTCAAATCTTGTATTTCTTAGCTGTTTGCTCTATAAACATCTTATTCATTGGTTTCATCTGTGTACCATTTCCTTGAGTTTGTTAGAAAGTTCCCTAGGGTTAGATTGTCTTTTTATTTTCTTTTTTAAACCAAGAATAAAGTATTTCAGGTTAACTGAGCATAATAATTTTATTTCACTGAGTCTCAGTGCATGTCTATTCATGCCAATACCACTGGTACTGCATAGAAGCTATGGTGGATTATATCATTGGCTGAATTTATCACCCCTCCTTATATCCATGCCCTTTGCCATGTAACTTTGAATGCCCTCTCACTTTGAGACTGGAATTGATGATGTGACTCATCTGGCTTATAGAATAAAGAAGTGACAGTGTGCCAGTTATGAACTTAGCCGTCAAGAGGTCACGCATATTTCTACATGCTGTCTTGCCCTTCTGTGTCAGCATGATGAAAAAGAAAGAAAGAAGGAAAGAAAGAAAGAGAAAGAAAGCAGCATGACACCAACCATATGTCTCATCAAACCTAAAATCTTACTATCTGGCTCTTTACAGAAAAAGTGTGCTGCCTGCTCTTCTGAGGGCTTGCCAGACCCCTGTTGTTTGCTATTAATTTTCTCCCCACCAAACAGGCCAAGTTAGAAATATCTTAAACCTTGCCGGGAGTGGTGGCTCATGTCTGTAATCCCAGCACTCTGGGAGGCCTAGGCGGGTGGATCACCTGAGGTCGGGAGTTTGAGACCAGCCTGACCAACATGGAGAAACCTTGTCTCTACTAAAAATTACAAAATTAGCCGGGCGTGGTGGCGTGTGCCTGTGGTCCCAGCTACTCAGGAGGCTGAGGCAGGAGAATTGCTGGAACCCTGGAGGTGGAGGTTGCAGTGAGCCGAGATCCTGCCATTGCACTCCAGCCTGGGTAACAAGAACAAAACTCCGTCTCAAAAAAAAAAAAAAAAAAGAAATATCTTAAACCTTTTAATAAATTGCATGTTTATTCAACCATGAAACATAAAAATGCAAAATGTCTCATTGGGAAATGCCACATTCTGGAACAGAAATGCCCCAGTTTTCGTCATCCTAAGAAGTCAGGCCAGAAAAACTCTATACTCTTTGGCTCTCTCATTCCTTTGTCTCCCATTCATGCGAGAAGACACTATCTGCCTTTTAAAACTAGGAATATGGATTACTTTGATGAAAATAAAATAGATAAATAAAACAGCTAATAGTTGTTATCCCCTAATTTTGGGCAGCGGTCAAAGGGAGCTTTTGCCTCTCATGTAGTGTTTGAAATTTTTACAATGAAAGCCTATTCTTACATGATTTTTATAATTAAAAATAAGCAAAACACACAGACATAAAACTAAAATAAAATTACCAAACTAGAATCAAGGCCTTGGATTCATAGCACTGTTCAACGTTATAAATAATTTGCAAGAATCTGAATCTCCCAGATGGAACTCTAATTGCCAATTATATAACCCATTCATTATTACGCGGGAGGCACTGTGCCATGAGTCTTATAGATATTCTCACTTCATCCTCACAATCTTATAAAGCAGACAGTATTGTTATCTCTATTTTACAGATGTGGAAACTGAGGCTTAGAGAAGTTGAGAAATTTGGCCAAGATTACACAGCTAGTAGGTGTCCAAGCTGCCATCTGACCAAATCTCTCTGCTTCTAGAGCTCAAGCACTTCACCAGTGCATCATGCTCAAAAGGAGCATGCTTTCCTTCTACAAGTCCATAGTTATGCATTTATATTTGTTAAAATCACTTTGAAATTTACCAAAGAACAATCATGTTAGCAAGGGGAAAATAAATCCCCAATCCTCTGTGGCTCTGGCAGTGTGGAAGGGGCAGAAATGGTTTCTGAGGACAAGAGGCACCCTTCCTTCATACTGGAGCCATGGTGACCCATGCTCAGATCTGCCCCTTCTAACCAGCGAGGTCATCTATATCCCGAAGGATCCCCCGGGCCTTCCCTAGCCAGCTTTCTAACATCTTTAGATGATGACATCCTCTCACATCATTTATCCCAACACTTGCATTCTCCACTCTTGCTCAGGTCATTACATAATGTCTCATGTTGGTTAGTTGCCCATATATGCCAGTGGACCTTCCAGGATTATCATTCTAAATGACAGAGATTTATTCTGAACAGTCCCTAGCATGGTGCCTGCCACCTGTTGAAAAGTGCTTGTAAATTAATTACAGCAGAATGTTACTTAACAGCTCCAATGCCAAGTATAGGGATGGCTCTATGACTCACCAGGAGACCCTCCCTGATGAAGCTACCAATTAGAGACAGACTATTACAGTGACAGTCACTCTAAATGTAAAAAAATAAAGATGTGGGTGGGGCCAAGAGCCACAATCAGTGAAGTGGCTGATTAATCCATGAATCTGCAGGTACATTTAGCTAGTCATACAACCAGCATTACCTTATATATGGAAAATGGGGCTACCAGACCATTTTAGCCATTTTATATATTTTTTATTTTAATTTTTATATTGAGAGAGAGAGTTTTGCTCTTTTTGCCCAGGCTTGAGTGCAGTGGCACGATCTCAGCTCAACGCAACCTCCGCCTCTTGGGTTCAAGTGATTCTCCTGCCTCAGCCTCCTGAGTAGCTGGGATTACAGGCGTGTGTCACCATGCCTGGCTAATTTTGTATTTTTAGTAGAAATGAGGTTTCACCACGTTGGCCAGTCTGGTCTCGAACTTCTGACCTCAAGTGATCTGCCCGCCTCAGCCTCCCAAAGTGCTGGGATTATAGGCATGAGCCATCACGCCTGGCCTAAACCATTTAAAAATAGTCACCAGGGATGTGCTTCCCACAAAATAATGCCACCCCATGAACATGCTGGCATTTTCCCAAGAGCACTGTGTATACTACATCCCCTTCTAACTCTCTACGCCACTTCAATTCACATGACAGCAGGACATATGTTTCCCAGGCAAAATATTACAAAGAAGAGTGATAGCAGGCTTGGGGAGTTCCTGTTCCAGGAAGATATTCAAGGTACCCTGGTGTGGTCACAAGCCTGGGGAGCCTATGACTCAGACAGAAGCTCCTAAGACTCAGTCTATTGCTGACTGTTTTATGGAAATCCAGTGCCCAATTCTCCGAGCATGCTGCCTGCTCCCACTCCTGGGGCACGTTCCTGGCAATGTCATGCTCTGATTGACCCACTGGTCACCGACTGTGGCAGCGCTCATTTGCAGTGGCAGCTGTGACTGCCTTTGGAAGCAGGAAAACCTGTCTGGCATTTCCATTCTCTCATATGAAACCTAAAAGTAGTGCTAATCGGCACGATGCATTTTCCCTCTTTTTGGAAATGAATGACATTTAGTGATAAGTCTTGTAAAATCCCAATATTCTGAATTGCTATCCTGGCTACCACCCCAATATTTAAACTATGTTAACGATGGAGACATACATGTCAGCAGTCAGATTTTAATATAAAATTAACGGCTGACTATCTCAAAGTCCTAAATTACTATTAATTGTAAACAAACACTAGCTCTAAGTATATCCTTTAGAGCAGAAGGTTGTAAGTCACTGTATCAAAGTCTTAAATCAGCAGCCACCTAACTAGCTAATGCTTTCAAGCTGTGCCAGGAGAGAAAGGACAGGATGATCTTCTCTTACTAAAGAGAGATGGATGAACAGCTGCAAGCTTTGCTGTTGTTTTAAAACATCCGGGAACCAGCTACTGAGAATAATAAATAAAATGTAAGCAGGGTCAGACTTATTTATTACATATCCTTTCAAAATATCCTTTTGTTTAAAAAAAGCTAATTAAAAGTATTGCCCATATTCCCTATAGAGAGTACATTTAAAACAATGCAGAGTAGCAAAACCCCTTATGTTCCAAACATAAGGTGTGCCTGTTTTTAAGTCTTGGAATAATTTGCCAACTTCCAATTTAATTATGACTGAGCTTCAAGTCAACTGCTGAGTGTTCTAGAGATACGGTTTCTGTAGATTCCAGCTGGTAGCAAGTGGAAAGACTCCAAATACCTTAAAAATATGCCACGGAGTAGAAGGGAGGAGAGTAGTTAAAAAACAAGGAAGAGAAAGAACGTTGTTCTTTCTGGCTTGACCACTAAAAATATAATTAGATGTATCACTTACTCTGTTTACTTACAGTCTCTCTGCGTGTAAGATTTCTTCCAAAACCTGCCCTATCTTTCTGGAAAGCCAAACTAAAATCCACTCTTTGTACAGTACAAGAAAAACAGAGGACTTTAAATTCATTTAAATAAAGACATCTAGACATCTTGAGATATTCTAATTTTATCACTAGGACCCCATTCAGTTGGAAAAGACATAGCATCATAGTTTTCCACTCTAAATGTATCAGGAATACACGAATGCATTCTAATTAATATGCATAGTGTCCTTATTAAAATTCAAATTCTATATTTGAGGAAAGTCCAGAATGTCAAAGAATCTTGTGTAAACCTGAGGTGACGTTATCCTTTAGAAAGAACAGGGGAGGGCTGTTCTTGGCTGACCACCCACGTGGGGCCATCGTCCACTTTAAGTTTTCCTATTCTAATGTTTGTCAACTTTCGTCTTTCCAGTAAACGTCCAAGGCAGGTCAGTGAGGAATAGGAAACCACATTACTGGACTTTTAAATCAGCATAGTCTTTCAAAATCATGCTCATTTACAGGAGAAAACTGTGTGGCATAAAAAGCCACCATGAATTATTCATCAGTTACAGCGTGTGCCAACCTCAGATTCCTTTGTACCTCGTAACAAGTGTATACATGTGAAGTGTAGCAGACCCGGCTCCCCAGTCCTACCAGTCCTGGGTACAAAGGCAAACCCAAGCTCACCGGAGGTCCTGCGAAACAGAGAAGAGTGGCGAGATTGGAAGTGAAGGAGGGAGGGGGCCCAGCCTACCTGCCGTATCTGGAATTACCCACGAGTCTACTCTCCAGGAACCAAAATAAGTTACACTCTCTTATCTTAAGGGGTCCAGTATCAAAGGAATCAGCAACCGATCGCCACAGTCCCTAGGTTTCAATGGAGCAGCCTGTGAGACTGCGTGGGGCCACCCTCTGCAGTTCTGTTGGACGTGGTGTTGGCTGTCGGCCCCTGGGGATGCTGAGCAGGACCAGCCGGGGCACTCCTGAAGCCAGCCAGCCTCACCACGGAACAAACTCTCCCATCAAACACAACTGTAGGGAAAGCATCCTAGAGATGACATCCAAACTCAAACAAAATGCCCAGAAATAGGATCACAGGTGTTTGCCCACAGTCACTGAAGATGCCTTTTAATGTGCCCAAAGGACCAACCTACTGTTGGTTGAGTTGAGCTGGGCTACTGCTACAAAAGAGTCATGTCGATTTTAACATCCTGTTATATTAAGAATATATGTAAATATGTTGACAAATAAGATGTGCATTTTATACAGATATGTACTATCACAGAAATAGATTGTAAAACAATCTTTTACTTATTATCATAAGTGTAAAACAATTTTATCAAATGGAAAAGCCCTGCATCTTTCCTCATCTTTAAAGACACGGTCGACCCCAGACAGAATATATGCTGACTTTACAAAATGGACGGTCTAACCTTTGTAGTCTCCCATGGTGTGATGAGGGTCCGTGAGCTCAGTCATTTCCAAGGTCATTAACATGCACAAAGCTCCAGGGTTTCAGCTTTTCTTCACTAGGCATCTGGCACACAGAAAGGCTGCAACACTCCTCAAAGGAGAGGCTGGGGCCCTGGCTCTCCTCCCAGGAGTCTGTGGGCTGAACTGGACCCGAGGGAGGGGTGTGCCACCGGTGGGTGTGCCACAGCCAGCGCAGGAAGAATGAGGAGTTTCCTGAGTGACTCTGGCTCCTTCCTCATGTACAGATTCTGCATCCCCTTCTTCTCTCGACCCTGCCCCTACCACTTCTAAAGAGACCCCTTGCAAAAGCACATCAGCTCAATGACGCCACACCCACTGAAAACACTCGTTTCTGGGAAGCCACTATTAGAACACGCCAAGAATGTTCCTAGGATTTTCCTGCATTCTGCACAATCCAGAATCCAGATTTTGATCACTATCATTTCACAATAACTGAAACACATGAAATAAAGAAAGAAAAGGATCGATTATTCCCCAGCCTTCTGCCTCCTCTTTTTCCTTAATGAATTACTATCTCAACCAGATGGGCTTTTAATTATTTTCTTCACTACTAGAATTTTTAAAAAATGCTATAACTTGGAGAGGCTTCTTTTACTAACAGCCTGATTATTCATTATGGCTTTGGAAACAGTTCCCTGACAAACTCCTGGTATGAGACGAGCCGTGGACTTTGAGCCTTTTTATATTAGGTATACAAGCTGTCTGAAAACAATGACCTCATCCGGAAAGACTCAGGAAAGAGGCATTTTTTTCCTTTCGTCAGTAATGCCCTGATGTTGGGCTGGATTATCCACCACCCACAATCCAACTTTTCTCACAGTTATTTTTGAACACCGGGAATTTTGCATATTGGAAAAGTTATGAAGACAGTTTAAATGGAAAAAGACCCTTAGGACAAATATCCTTGGCATCAGATACACACATTGGCTAAGAAATAGGAGGAAACTGGCATAATTGCTTTAAATGTGAGGGTAAAACATTTAATTCCTCCAATAAAGATGTAACCAGCAGCACCCGTTGTGAGATATTAATTTAATGTAAGGCCTATAATCAATCCACTGGAAAACAAGACTATTTGAAACACATTGGCCAAATGCAAAGTTTGATTAATTGAAGAGTCCTGGCTTACTCTCTTCCCCAGCTAAGTGGCTTTTTTATTTTGTTTTGAAATGACTCGGGTAGACAGCCATCCTCATGGGTCACCCTATGTGCCCTTCCCCTGGTCCAGGCTACTGCCTGGAACTTGGTGCCTCTGATAACGTCCTCCTGACTTGGCTGTAGCACCAGGCGCCAGACAAAGAATCACAACTGGATTGCTCGTTGATAAAATGCTTGCCATTTGCAGAGCTGTCATGTGTCAGCTGCTGCCAAAGGCCAGTCGCATCAACTGAAATCTTCTGATTACACCTAATGCCTTGCATTCTCATGATAGTGATTCCATATTTTAGCCTAATGTGTTTTTTGTTAGTGTCTTGGGATTTTTACCATAAGGATGGAAGTCTTTCATCGTTGCATTCTTTATTCTTGTTAGCCTGCATTTAAAATGTAATGGAGGCTAGTTTTTCCTACTCCTTTAAATCTCGAAGTATTATTCCTACTTGATATTAAATGAGAGAAGAAACCAAGTACAGAGCTACAGCTATTTTCAGGGGCTAAAATAGGGTGCTAGTTTAAAAATAACCTGCATTGCATTGGTTCCTTGCCTTTTACAAGGCAGGACAGGGGCAAAGTGGGGGAGCAGGCAATCCAATATTGAAACTTTGATTTTTTTGAATGTTAAGCAATAAAGTGATTCTTTCCTAATCATAGTCCTCCAAATTTGACTTGTGTTAGTTGAACCACAATTTGGTTGATGATTTATTATAGTCAAGAAACTGGCCAGGTGTGGTGACTCATGCCTGTAATCCCAGCAGTTTGGGAGGCCGAGATGGGAGGATAGTTTGAGCTCTGGAATTTCAGACCAGCCTGGAAAGTATTGCAGGACCTTGTCTCTACTAAAAATTAAAAAAAAAATTAGGCAGGCATGGCGGCCTGCACCTATAGTCCTAGCTACTCAGGAGGCTGAGGCAGGAGGATTGCTTGAGCCCAGAAGATTGGGGCTGCAGTGAGCCATGATCACACCACTGCATGCCATCCTGGGTGACAGGGTGAGACCCCGTCTCAAAAAAAAAAACAAAAACAAAAGAGGTGAAACCAACTGCCTAGAAACTTGTTTAAAATGCACAATTTTCTTTCTCTCTTCCTTCCTCTTTTCCTTTCTCCCTTCCTTCTTCTCTCTTTATCTCTCTTTCTTTCTGAGATAGAGTCTCACTCTGTCACCTAGGCTGGATTGCATTGGCACAATCACAGCTCACTGCAGCTTTGACCTCCTAGGTTCAAGTGATTCTCCTGCTTCAGCCTCCCGAGTAGCTGGGACTACAGGCATGTGCCACCATGCCCGGCTATTTTTTTTTTTTAATAGAGACAGAGTCTCCCTATATTGCCCAGGCTGGTCTCAAACTCCCAGACTCAAATAATCCTCTCGCCTCAGCCTCCCAAAGTGCTGCGATTACAGGCATGAGCCACAGTGCCCGGCCTCAAACAACCACTTTCTAATTAAATAGCAATGGAGCTTATACCATGTCATTTTGAAATCAGAGACACGGTTGTGTGTTCCTTATCTTAAAAACACAGAGCAGAAATCTTTCCCAACCACGCTTCTAGAACCCTTCACAGGAAAGTGACCGTCACTTAGCAAAACAAATACAAATGCTTAAAATTGCATCTTCACCTGTATTTGAGAAATGCTTAATTAAATATTGTTAAACAGTTTTCTTAACCATGGACTTACTATGTATTAATATGCAAGTGTGCCTGTAACTAAGAGATAAATAAGATAAGAAGCATTTCCTGAATTTATTCAACCAGAGAACCCCCAACCCAGTACAACTATGAACTTTTCACAAAACAGAGCTTGGAAAACATTTCTCTGAGGAAGGAGAGGGCTAGAAAGGGTTTTAGAGATAATTTCCATCACAGTTTCAAAGATAAGAAGTTTCAAAGCCAAAAATTTAGGGACTTGCCCAAGGCCAGCAGAGGATATATAAGGAGAACAATTCTCTTCTGCCTTGCAACATTTTGAATGGCTACAATAGGCCAACATGTTTGGCTCTGTTTGCAATTAAGGTATGACCGATAGTGATGCTGTCGTACCCTGGTAACACAGATGCTGCTGTGTTCTTAGGCAAACAGGATACCTTACAACAGATTATGTTAAAAGACCTCGCCTAGGCCTGCTTTGCAATTACAGAATAGGAGACAAAGCTTACCACCATGTAATTTATGACAGGGCTGAGAGTGAAAAATAGCAGATATCAGTAACAAAACATTCAGAGGGCCTTGGCCTCATCTTTTAAACTAAGCAGAAGAGACAGAAACTTGAAGCAAATTGAATTCCACATGAAAAATGATTCCTTTGGGAAAGATAAAAACTAAATTTCTTAAAAGGTCAGATTCAATAAGGAAGAAGAAACTTCTAGACTTTATCTAGAAAGGCACAGGAAAAAAGTAATGATTTGGCATTTTCCCTGAACTTGTCTTCCAATTATATTCAATTATAAGCCCAAATCATTGGTCCCATCCCAAGCTCAGCTATACAACTTTGTTGGAGAGCAGTTTCCAGAACTATTAGGTTGGGGCAAAAGTCATTGTGGTTTTTGCCGTTGAAAGTAATGGCAAAAAATGCAGTGACTTTTGTCCCAACCTAATAAAAGGAGTGTGCAGTTCACCACACACTTAAACAGAAAGCTTAACCTAGAAATGGTCCTTATAGCACACAACTACGTCCTCCGTGCTAATATTCATTCCAATTTCTGCTTATAATTTCCAGGTGGGTCCCATGAAATTATTTTTGTGACTGGAAATGAAACTTCATGAGCTTTTCTGTTATCAACCCCTATTACATACGGTCCCTAAGTGCATTCCGCTTCTAATTATTCTTTTTATATGAAAAAACTCATGTAATCAAGAAACGTCTAGACTTTATCTAGAAAGGCACAGGAAAAAAGTAATGTTTGTCATTTTCCTGAACTTGTACGCCAATCATATTCAATTATAAGCCCAAATCATTGGTCCTATAAACTTCATAAACTGCAAAGCTTCATAAACTGCAAAGACAATGGCCTCATTATTGTTCATAGCTCACATTGACCGAGGGCTCACTCTCTGTAGGCATTGAACAAAGATTCCCTCATTGATTTCTTATAACCCTCTAGGACAGGGACCATCATCGTCTCCATTTTAAAGATGAGGCAATTAAAGAAAAGTTGAGAAGTTAAAGAAATTGCCCAAAGTCACTCCGCTAACAAGGAGTACAGTTGGGATTTGGACATAAGCAGCTAGAATCAGAGACTGTGCCCAGGATGCTAAAACTATTCTCAAGAATATTAAAACAGCTCTGGATGAATCAGTAATCAGAGAAGATGCCAAAGCCATTTTCATGCCTGAAGTAATGGTAGGGTGATATAAAAGACAAGTTCAGCAGTCCAAAAATTTAGCGTATACCCAAAGGCTGTTTATGCTTTTTCCAAAAAGTCTGAATACTCAAAGACTGTATGTGTGCAGGGAGGGGTTCTTATTATTGACGTCAGAAGAATCATTTTTCTGAGTCACATTCTGCTTTCAAGAGATTTTCCTGAATTAATCTCTTTCACAAAGACGGCTGATGGGTAGTCCCTGTCTCTACGGAGGCTGCAGAGAGGGAGGCCATCGTAGCAGGCTGCTTCTCTCACCTCATGGCTACTGTACAGGGCAGTTTATCAAGTTCAGGCAGAAATTGCCATCCAGCATGTGCCAGACCAGGAAGAGGCAGAAGACCCAGCTTCGTGTCCTGGTCCTATCATCAGCTCACCAATGATCCTAGGCAAATCACCTGTCTTCCAAATCTGTAAAATGGGCCAATAATACCCATCCTATCTACCTTAGAATAAATGAAGATGACAGAGTTCACCCACCATTTTTGTTTTTTGTATATTGGTTTTTTTTTTTTTTTTTGACAGAGTCTTACTCTGTTGCCCAGGCTGGAGTGCAGTGGCTCGATCTCGGCTCACTGCAACCTCCACCTCCCGGGTTCAAGCCATTCTCATGCCTCAGCCTCCCGAGTAGCTGGGATTACAGGTGTGCACCACCACTCCCAGCTAATTTTTGTATTTTTATTAGCGACGGGGTTTCGCCATGTTAGCCAGGCTGGTCTTGAACTCCTGGTCTCAAGTGATCCACCTATCGTGGCCTCCCAAAGTGCTGGGATTATAGGTATGAGCCACCGCACCTGGCCGCACTTTTTCTGTTAATTCTTTTTCTTTTCCTTTCCTTGCCTCCTTCCTTTCCTTTTTTTTTTCTCTTTATGATCAGTATCTTTCAAAAAAAGATTCGAGATGAAATTTCTAGCACACAGAAAACTGGACTCTCTACATTCAACAATAAGCTGGACAGGGAAGAGTAGTGAGTACATGGGAATCCATTTCCTGACTTGATGCTTATCCTAATCACTGCTTGATGCTGCCCCTTAGCATCTGCCACCACCACCCCAAAATGGGGCTAACTTTTTATAGTTATTTAGTTTTAATTTCATAATCATAAACTTAACTCAACTCTTCAATTCAGCTAGGCATAGGGAACAAGGAAAACATGGAACCCAAAGGGAACTGCAGCAAGAGCACAAAGATTCTAGGATACTGCAAGCAAATGGGGTGGAGGGTGCTCTCCTGAGCTACAAAAGGAAGGGTCTGGTGGTTAAGATAAAACACAAGTCAAACTTATTCAAGTTGTCCACAGTCAGCAATGGTGATTTTCTTGCTGGTCTTTCCATTCCTGGACCCAAAGCGCCCCGTGGCCTCCACAATATTTATGCCTTCTTTCATCTTGCCAAAGACCACATGCTTGCCATCCAACCACTCACTCTTGGCAGTGCAGATGAAAAACTGGGAACCGTTTGTGTTGGGTCCAGCATTTGCCATGGACAAGATGCCAGGACCTGTATGCTTTAGGATGAAGTTCTCATCATCAAATTTCTCCCCATAGATGGACTTGCCACCAGTGCCATTATGGCGTGTGAAGTCACCACCCTGACACATAAACCCTGGAATAATTCTGTGAAAGCGGGAGCCCTTACAACCAAATCCTTTCTCTCCCATGCCCAGAACACGAAGGTTTTCTGCTGTCTTTGGAAACTTGTCTGCAAACAGCTCAAAGGAGATGCAGCCCAAGGGCTCACCATTGATGGCAATGTTGAAGAACACCGTGGGATTGACTATGGCTGATACTACAGGGCTCCTGGTGGCGGCAGCGTCTGCAAAAGCCTATTTTTTTTTTTGAGATGGAGTCTTGCTTTGTTGCCCAAGCTGGAGTGCAGTGGTGCGATCTCAGCTCCCTGCAACCTCTGCCTCCCAGGTTCAAGTGATTCTCCCACCTCAGCCTCCCAAGGAGCTGAGACTACAGACATGCAACACTACACTCAGCTAATTTTTGTATTTTTAATAGAGACTGGGTTTCGCCATGTTGGCCAGGCTGGTCTCGAACTCCTGACCTCAACTGATCCTCCTGCCTTGGTCTCTCAAAGTACTGCAATTACAGGTGCGAGCCACCTCGCCAGGCCCTGGCTAATATTTTTCAAATAGTTATTCTGACTATAGTAAACATTTCTGACATGCATCTTTCAATTGTTCCTTCTAACAACCTTAGGAGATAAGGACAATTATGAATCCCTCTTTAAAAGATGAGAAAACTAAGCCTAAAGACAGTAATTTTTTTCAGAGTCACATCTTGTATGCAGAAGAGCACAGATTTGAACTCGGATCTCTATGTCTTGATCTCTGTGCTATTATGAGACGTGATCAATGGCTCCACCTCAACATTCTCACAGCTTCTTCTTGTAGCTCTGCTGAAAGAATACACGTGGATGCCAATTAATTAATATCAATGCTGTTATTTGCATGAATTTTTTTCATATAAACGAATAACTAGAAGCGGAATGCACTTAGTGGTATCCATAAAACAGTTTTTACATTTGCATACACAGCTAAGAAGTTGCAGTGATGGACTTTCTATGTCTCTCTCCTCTCCCTTTTATCCATTTCGTTCTGCCTCTCACTCCCTCCCAGTCTGCTATGTTAGAGAGGATTAAAATGCATGCTGTATTCCCTGCAAAAACAACAGGCATTTCTCTTTGGTGACTCATTTGATGCAAATAAGTTGCAGGAATCAGGGGATTCCACTCTTGGTGCCTTTGAAAAAGTTGTAATGATAAAGTCTAAAAGGAAACAAATTACTGCAGAACAAGGAGATTCTATGTTCTTTCATTGTAAACAGATGAAGCATTGGGTTAAATCATAATGACTTACTTTAGTGTGGATTTTTTATAACTTCCACATTCATTACCATTTTCATTTGGCACATGAGTGATACATGACCACAGCAATTGCAAAATATTCCACACATAGCTTCACCCCCAGAGAATGAAAGAGGATATTTATCAACTGTGCTATACCCAGAAGGCTACATTTAATACAGATTTTTGCTGTTGTGAAAGGGTAGGAAAACAGAATAAACACCTAGAAGACACATACCTGCCCAAGAAATGTTACTACATCATTGTCTCTCTCCTGCACTGTTCACTCAGTGTGTATTACTTCTAAGCTGTTCCACCACCTTCTCCATGGAAGCTTCATTCAAAGTCAGTGGGAAGAGAAAATATGCCATATTCTACTAAGAATAAGAATGCTACTCCAGATCATTGACTTCAATTCAGCTCTCCAGTTTAATTTGGGAGACTTCAAATTTATTTAACATTCTGTATTACCCTCTCTAGTTAACAATTCTGCTGACAGTAAGACATTCATACCCAGTCACCAATGAAAGCAAGCATTTTATTGATGGTCTCAAGTGAACTAATTATTCCAAAGACTTTCAAAAAGACTTTCAAAGATTTCAAAGATTTCTGAAACTCTTCATGTCTTGTGTCTGCCTCCTTTCAACTTTTGTCTCTTCCAAGATTATTGCGTCAGCAAAGGAAGATAGGCTAGTCTGCTCAATACACATCACAACATTATAGAGCTTGTCAAAAACAAACAAACAAACAAAACCTTTCTACTCTGTTCCTTGCAATGATCTTCCATATTTCCCCAAAAAACCTTTCCCCCCATCATCTCCAAAACAAGAAACTTCCAGTCACAAAAGTCTAAATTCAAAAGGATAAAGTATTTTTAATAATAGAGTAAAAAAACGGGTCAGGAGTGGTGGCTCATGGCTGTAATCCCAGCACTTTGGGAGGCCAAGGCGGGCAGATCACAAGGTCAAGAGTTTGAGACCAGCCTGGCCAATATGGTGAAACCTCGTCTCTACTAAAAATAAAAAAATTAGCCGGGCGTGGTGGCGGGTACCTGTAGTCCCAGCTATTCAGGAGGCTGAGGCAGGAGAATTGCTTGAACCCGGGAGACAGAGATTGCAGTGAGCTGAGGTGGTGCCACTGCATTCCTGCCTGGGCAACAGAGCAAGACTCCATCTCACACACACACAAAAAAAATGCATTTAAACCTTGCAAAATAAATAAGTCAACACCAAGGACACCTTGCTGAATCATTTTAGGGTTTATAATAACCAGCCACTGGAGTTAGAAACAAAACTGCCTTTAGCAAATACTCCTCCCTAACACTGGCTTTCTGAAACCCCATGTTTTATTCCTTTGAGTGCACAGGCACAGTGTGGAGGCTAAAGGGAGGCTTCCTATTATCTAGGCCAGCTGTTTTCTAGCTAACAGAAGAAGGAGGCTGTGTTGGGATCGGTGAGGGATGCAGCGCGGGGAAGGCAGAGAGTTGGTTCTGGGTCCGACTTCCACCAAAGAAAATTCAGCTCTTATGCTTTATTTTCTGGGCTTCCAGGTGAGCCTTCATCTGAAGAAAGGGTTCCATAGCTAAAAATAAACACACATGTTGAAAAATCCCCAACCTACCCAATCCTTTCATTTTAAAAAGGAGGAAAATGAAGGCCTGTGAGTGTAAGTGACTACAGCAAGTGAGAGAATGAGTAGCCAAGGCAGGAGTGGACCAGCCACAGGCTCTGAGCAACATGCTCTCATGCGTGCACTCTCTCCAGATCGCCAAGTACATTGCCCCTACAGGACGTGTCCCTGTCATCCATCATAGGGTTCAGGTCTATCCCCTGCAGCTCTTCCTCGCACAGCGCACAGCCATATAAGCGCAGGCTTGCAGGTAGGGTGTTGTTGCTGATATAATTTTAAGCGTTTTTTCTTTCTTTCTTTTTATTTCTTTTTTTTTTTCTTTCAGAAACAGGGTCTTGCTCTGTCACTCAGGCTGGAGTGCAGTTGCATGATCATAGCTCACTGTAACCTTGAACTCCCAGGCTCAAGTGATCCTCCCACCTCAGCCTCCCAAACAGCTAGGACACAGGCACATGCTACCATGCCTGGCTGATTTTAAAAAAACTTTTTTTTTTTTTTTTGTAGAGATTGGGTTATTGCTGTGTTGCTCAGGCTGGTCTCGAGCTCCTGGCCTCAAGCCATCCTCCCGCCTTGCCCTCCCAAAGTGCTGGGATTACAGGCATCAGCCACCATGCCCAGTCTATTTTAATCATTTTTAAAGTACTAGACACAGAGGCCACAGGCAGAATAGTAGCAAAAGCCCTGCCTATGTAAGATGAAAAATAAAAATATTCTGAAGTTTTCAGAAGTCAGTACTCCAGAAGTAAATCAATAGAAAATAATATTCGGTTGATAAAAATTGAATTTATACTCAAATTGTGAAAGAAGCAGGTGGAAAGGATGTGAACACACCCTACAGGATCTGTCTGCTGGCTGTGACCTTCATTCTTACAGCCTTCACTCATAAGGTAGCAAACCACAGCTGAGCTGTGTGGGTTCTGGCCCGGGTGCCACTCTGAGAAAACATCACGGACTTCCTAGACTCTGCAGTCACTTGGGGTTGCATTCTGGATGAATGCCACAGTTGCTGGCTCCTGGAAGGGAGGCTCTACATTTTCTAAAATGTGACAAAAACCTAAAGGGGCATAACAAAAACTGGTAAGGGGGGTGCACTATGCCAGCTATCCCTGGGGATTCTCATTTACAAAAGGGCTCCTTTAAATAAACTCTTAAAATAGTCCTGGTTTACCACTCACTAGTTGGGTGATTTAGCAAGTTATTTTATCTATACGTATCTCCATATTCTCACCTGTAAGATGGGGATAATTATGATACCTACCTCATGGGATGTTGTGAAAATTTAAGGAAACAGTTCCTGATTCCTGACAAATATTAGTCATTATTGTTATTATTCTTTAAACAAGAAAAAAAAAGACATTAAGTACTAAATAGAGAGGCCAGGGGCAGGAAAGTAGCAAGAGCTGGGGAATTTGACATGAAAAGTCAAAATGAAATGTTTCTGAAGCTTAATGTAAGTTGATAGACAATAATAATTGGTTGATAAAAAGTGGAACTTACAGATTGGGATCATAGCTAGCTCTACCATCTTCTCTGGGACCTCGCCGCTCAAAACCCGGACATTGAGCCGCAGCAGCGCCCTCACCTGGGAACTTCTTAGAAATGCAGAATGTCAGCACCCAACCCGGACTCTCCAGGTACTGAATCAGAATTCGCATTTCAACAAGATTTCCGGGGAATTTATGTGCATGTTACAGTTAGAGGAAGCCTGCTTGATGGTATGTACTGAGAGTTTAGCATGTAGGTCAAAGGAACAAGACCTCATTCTCTAGTTACATCTCCATACATTATCCTAAATCTTACACTGCTTTCCATTAGCTAAATGGTCAACTAACCATCTGTTAAGCAGATGCCCCTTTAAGGGACAGCATAATACTTAAGTATCTAAAGCAACTAACTCACCTTTTGTTAGTAATTTCAATAATTTTAAAATATCATCATCAAGTGCTAACATTTATAGAGCCCTTAAAACATGCAGGAATCAACATAAGGTGCTCTCCATATGTTCTCATTTAATACTCACACCCCCCACTGGAGTAACCATTACTATCCCCATTTTATAGAGGAGAGAACTGAGGCTCAGAGAGGCTACATCATTTTCTCAAGACCAAATTAAATGGGGGAAAGAAGGCCTTTTTGAAATCCATTCTCTTTCTACAAATTCAAACCCCACTCCCACAACATCAAAATAATGTATCTGTGCACTGGGGAGCAGCAATAATTATCCCCCTTTTCAGATAAGGAAAACTGAGACACAGAGAGCCAATGAATTATACAAAGTCACTGACCTGAAACTTAGGTTAGAACTGGGTCCATTACAATTCAACAACTTTTTCAAATTAAAGAATTCTGCTGCTAGAAATGGCAATGATAATGCAATGGCATTGGAGACAATGCCATGGCATTTTATTTCTGTTGGAAATAAAACACATCCAACAGAAAGAAGGATTTCCATGTATGAAGCTTTGTACAACCAAACCAAGGCACCTCAAATTTTGATCTCTGATCGTAAGAGATTATGAGGATGTCAGTTTCTTTGGGAAAACAGAGTTTCCAGACTCTTATTGCCATCGCCCCATCAATGTGGCAACTGATGCTTATCCACACATCTCAGCTAGCATCCTACATGACATTACTTCTGCATGCCTGTGAAATTCTCCTAACTACAGCCTCCCTGATTTCCTCACTAGGTCTTTACCCAAGTTTGATATCCAAATAGTTTAGAACTTGGCAAGATGAGTCAAAAATCTTTCCTTGATAGCCCCAGTGTCTATGGAAAATCAGAGACACAGGTTTTAGGATCCAGTGATGAGGGCTCCTTGCCCAGGCTCCACCCAGGGAATGCCTCCCTCCTCCATCCCTGGAGAGGGCAGCAGGGAACAAAGCAGGATTTCTTGGCTAAAAATGCTATATTAGTTGCTAAGATGACAACAACAAAATACCACAGGCTATAGAAGTCCAAGACCAAAATGATGGCAGGTTTTGTTTCTTCTAAGCCCTCTCTTCTTGCTTGCAGATGACAGCCCTCTTGCTGTGACCTCACATGGATGAGCTTCATTGCACAGATGTGTCTGGTCTCTCTGTCTCTGTGCCCAGATTTCCTCTTCTTATAAGGACACCATTTGATATGGTTTGGCTGTGTTCCCACCCAAATCTCATCTTGAATTGTAGCTCCCATAATTCTCATGTGTTGTGGGAGGGACACAGTGGGAAATAATTGAATCATGGGGCAGTTTCCCCCATACTGTTCTCATGGTAGTGAATAAGTCTCATGGGATCTGATGGTTTTATAAGGGGTTTCTCCTTTTGCTTGGCTCTCATTCTCTCTTGCCTGCCACCATGTAAGACATGCCTTTCACCTTCTGCCATGATTGTGAGGCCTCCCCAGTCACATGGAACTGTGAGTCCATTAAACCTCTTTTCCTTTATAAATTACCCAGTCTCGGGTATGTCTTTATCAGCAGTGTGAAAATGAACTAATATACCATTCATACTGGATTAGGCTATTTTAACTACATTACCTCTTTATAGAGCCTGTCTCCAAATATAGGCACATCCTGAGATACTGGGAGTTAGGGCTGCAACATAGAAATTTGGAGGAGACATAATTCAACTCATAACAGATGCTGAATGGATCACTAAGTCCTAGGGCTATGCTGAGGCCTTCTGGTCCATTCTGGGTTCAATAAGAACTAGAATTCACAGTAATCTGAATCTCTCGGCCTCATGACTCAGGGCACTCTGGGGGAGGAAGGAAGAGAACAAAATTCCAGGTCAGACACAAAACACGCCCCTTCCCTTCTCATTTCTGCTCCATGGGATCAGAGAAAAACAATTCTCAGCCTCACTGTCCACCAACCCAACCCACCTTCCTTCCCACACTCCGCTCATCACAGCTTAAGTAAGGCCACTCTGGTTTTTTGAGAATTTAAGTGGCACTCATAAAACAGTCTGAGTCAGAGACACAACCAGTTACTCAAAAGTACAAACTAAAGAACTCAGATCTGGCAGCCTGCAAGGCTTCTCCTGCCCTGGGGCAAGTGGTGATCAGCCCTCAGGAGCTGGCACGCGGTTTTCGAAGCAGCTGATCTGCCCAGCAGTAGGGGCTGGGGACCAGAGCCAGCCTCCGGGCCAGCCCACTCAGCCCGGGGCAGTGGCACCGTAAATGCCAGCGAGTAGGAGGGAGGAAAACCTGCACAGCGTGAACCTGTCAGGAGGTGCTCACTTCACACAGGGTGTGTGCCAATGGCTTCTAAAAACAAATTAGGTATTTGGGGTTTATAGGTATCCAAATCATGACACAATAGAAACAGAACAAGAGTGATATTTGCTGTTAAAAAGAAAACCTATGCCCATCAATAAATCCATTAACTTAGATAGCCCTAATTTTCAATTTTAGTAATCCAGCTATTCCTCATATCATCAAGTTTTAAGCTTGGTTCTCAAAACCTTCTCATATTAATATAAAATTATATCATCTTCCTTAGGGTTTTAAAAGATCATTTTGCCATTTCATTTGGTATGTGATAAATAAGTGCTTTAAAGTAATGATTTTAAATCAATATATTATTGAATATACTGAAGATTACATTTTAGAGATCTCTTGTGGTTGCAAACTAATACAACTATAGAGGAAAATTACACCAGCAAAAAGACAGGAGGAAACATTAATCCCCCACATAGAAATCTCTGTATTAATCCCCCTATTAGTTAATTAACATATACCAAAAAAAAGAATCACTAAGACATTTAAGGAAAACAAAAGCACAAAATTGGACCAAGATGAATACACAAACACATGATTCTAGAGAAAATAGATAATTTAAGCAACAGAAGAAAAGAACTAAATAAAAATTCAAATTGATATCCTCTAAGGCATTTGAGAACAAACTGTATCCATGAAGCTAATCTGGGAAAAAATTAAAAGAGCAATCACAGAAAAAGAGAGTTTACAGAAATAAAAAAATAACAATTATGAAAATAAAAAGAAATGCAACAGACAGGCTAGAAAACAAAATGTCAAGAAACCCTCCCATAAAGTAGAGCAAAATAAAGGAGATTAAAAATGTAAAAAAAAAAAAAAAGAATTAAGAGATATGGAAGAGGTCCAATATCTATTGAATAGGAGTTCCAAAAAGAGAGGACAAAGAAAGTAAAGGAGAGAAACTGAAAAAAACAGAATTCTCCAGTCCTGAAGGAAGACACAAGTTTCAGAATGAAAGAACAAACTAAGTGCTGGACAGGATGAAGAAAAATGACAAAATAGCTAGACATACACTGGTGTAATTTTAGAACTCTGAACATACAGAGAACACCCTAAAAGCTATCAGATACCAGTTCAGGTTACCAAGAAGGGAAAAGGACTCAGACTACCATGAGGCTTGGCAGTCACTGTGAAGTCAGAAGAAAACAATTCAGCATGTGGAGAAAATAAGAAATTTTCAGACAGGGAAGGATTCCACTTACCTCTTATGCACCCTTACTGAAAAAAATTACTTGAAGACTGACTCACACAGGAGAAAAAACTAATTCCCAAAAAGAAAACTGCAGATTCCAAGAAAATGTGGAATTCATTTAGAAATAAAATGGGATTAGGGGGAATCCCACAGTGACAGCTATATAACAGATCTAGAAGCCAGTGAGTCCAAATTAGAAGATAGAGTCTCCAAGAAAACATCTTCAAGAAAGTAGATTTCATTCAACAAGTTATGATTCAGAGCCTGGACGATCTTAGTAATGCTATTAATAAATTCATTTTGCTTAGCAAAAAAAAAAAAAAAAGAATTGGAATTAAAAGCTTTATGTAAATTAAAAATCTGTATAAAAAACCATAATCTAAATATGAAGCAAACTAAAGAGTCATAAAATTTTGAGAAAAAAAAAGGAGGTTGTTGGAAAAGGGCCCTTGGATGATGCTTTAATAATGCTTAAACATGTACTTTGAGCAAGACAGATTTAATGCTCAGAATAATTCCTTCTCTAAGGGTCCAGTCACAGTGTCTGCTTCTGCAGTGAAGAATATTTGCATAATTTTAATGTTACAGATAATTTATATTGGTTTTCAGCTCTAAAAATCAACTTATAATAAAAAAGAAAGCATAAAAGTTAGATTTAAAATATATAAACCTTGACAATGTAAAAGTAAGGTGTCTTCTGACAGCAGTCAGAAGACAGAAAGTGTGGGTAGGAGAAGAGAAGTGAGGTGGAAGGGTGATAATGTCCTCATTCTACCTAATAGGGGTAAGAAGGTATTATGTAGAGTCAGATAAAAAATAGCAGTATATTATTTAGAGTTATAAAATGGCTCTATATCAATGGTAGATTTAAAACTAATAAAACTCTGGAAGTGAACATTAAAACCAATTGAGAGACATTGTTGAAATAAATATAAATCCAAACATATTATTTAGAATTATAGTATTACCATCCAGAAGTAAAAAGTAAACTTTTATAAACAGTTATGTCTGCTATAAAAGGGCAGCCCAAAGGATCCTTGTGGTGATGAAACTGTTGTATATCTTGACTGAATTGGTGTCAATATACTGGTTGTGATATTATACCACAGTATTGCAAGATGTTGCCCCAATCCATGAGAGAATTAAGCAAAAAGTTATTTTAATGATTCTATTCTTTGTTTTTTTTCAGATGGGGTCTCACTATGTTGTCCAAGCTGGTCTTTGAACTCCTGGACTCAAGCAATCCTCCCACCTCAGCCTCCCAAGTTGCTGGGATTATAGGCACAAGTCACCACATCCAACCTGTGACTCTACTCTTGATTCTACCAAAGAAGTCTAACAAGCTAATACATTTCCAGATGCATAAGCAATAAGTTAATTCATTACATATGAAGGATGCATTCGAGCATTATGGATTACTTCTCTTGTAAAACCTCACTGAGAGAGAATGATCTACATAGAACACTACAAATAATCACTGAGGTAAATTAAAGAAAACCTAAATTAGTAAAGATATATATCATGTCTATGGATTATAAGGTTCAATATATAAGATCCTTATTTCTCTGAAATTAATTCATGAATTCAATGTAACCCTAATAATATTCTCAGCAGGTGTTTTAGATAAAAGTTGACAAACTGGTTTTAAAATAGACATGAAAATGTAAAGGGCCTAGGATTGCCAAAAACAATTAAAACACACACACACACACACACACACACATACACTCAAAGATGGAGAACTTACTCTACATGGCATAATTAAGATGATGTAGTATTGCCATAATGAAAGACAAATTAATCATTGAAACAGAATAGGAATTCCAGAAACAGATCTACACTTATAAATGATTGACTGGTTCTTTGCAAAGGCCCCAGTGCAATTCAATGAGGAAGGGAATCTTTTCAACAAATGAGGCTGGAACAATTATATATCCCTGTGAAAAAAAAAAATTAACCTCAACCCCTACCTCACACCATATACAAAAATTATTTTGAGAGGAATCATAGATGTAAACTTAAAATCTAAATCTCTAATAGTGTCATAAAAATATAGAATACCTTTGATATCCTGGGATTAGGCAAAAACTCCTTGGATAGGATAATAAAATCACAAAAATGTATAAAAATTGATACATTAAACTTCACCAAAATTAAACACTCCATTCATCAAAAGACACTATTAAGAAAATAAACAGGCAAACCTCAGGCTGGGAGAAAAGTATGTGCAAAACATAAAGCAGACATATAACCTGTATTTAGAATACATTTTAAAAAAAACTCCTACAACTCAATAAGAAAAATAATGCAGGTTAAAAACAGAGGGGTAGAGAGACTTGAATAGATACTTCACAAGGTTAGATATGCAAATGACCATTATCCACATTAAAAAGTTCTCAAATAATTAGCCATGAGGTAAATGCAAAGTAAAAATCACAACAAGATACCACTATGCCAAATTAAAATACCAAATATTGGTGAGGATGTGAGACAATTGTAACTCTAATACATTTCTAGTGAGAATATAAAATGGTTACAACAGTTTTTGAAAAATGTTTGACAATTTTTCTTATTATAAATATACACCTACCCTCCGACCTAGCAATTCCACATCTAGATCTTTTACCAAGAGAAATGAAAACATAAATCCACAAAAAAGACTTTTCCAAGAATGTTCACAGCAGCTTTATTCATATTAGTAAATAGCTATAAACAACAAGAATGTCCATCAATAGAATGGATAATCAAATTGTGATATACCTATATAATGGAATATTACTCAGCAATAAAAAGGAATGAACTACTCCCATACACAACAAAATGGAGGCATCACACAGACCTTACACTGAGTGGAAAAAGCCTTACACAAAACAGTGCGTAGTATATGAGTCAATTTATGTGAAGTTCTAGAAAAGGCTAATCTAATTAGGACCTTGATTGTCTGGGAGTGAGAGGATTCACTGACAAAGAACACAAGAGAATTTCTGGAGATATGAAAATATTCAATATTGTGATAGAGGTCTATGGGTGACATAGGTGTATCTATCTGTAAAACTTCTATAGCCAAGATTCTTACATTTCAATGTATGTCAATTATGCCTTAAAAACAACTGTTAAAAATAAGAGAGGATGTAGAAATTTAGAAAAAATAAGAATGGCAGAGTGTTGAAGCTGGGCGATGGGTACTTGAGGTTCATTATACTATTTTTTTATTGTTTATCATAGAAATATTCAAACATATGCAAAGTAAAAAATGTACACTGAATTTTAACTATGCATTACAGCAACATGACAAGATGTTTAGAATTCTAATAGTTTGGGCTTAAAAAATTCAGCTGGTTGATTTTCATTACTTTAAGTCTTTATGAATAGTAAGCTAAAACATAAGATTTCAGTTGTCTATTTGCAAATATTTTCTCTGTAAATACCACATTGCAAGTGAAAGCCTATATTGCTAATAACGAAAAAGACAATCATTAATACATGATCTTTAAAAAATGTTGGCTTTTGAAATACTACAGATATTCTAATGAGTTACAGAATTTTAATGAGATGAATGAAACATACAAATCTGGAGAAGATCAACTTGAGAATAAGAATTTGCAGAATTAAAATAATTTCAACGATAAAAGTGATTCATTTGTATTTTAACATCAGTGTTTTTTTGTTTCTTGTCATTAATCACTGGTCTATCATGATTATACACTGAACAATATATAAGTAAGAACACTTTTTTTTTTTTTTTTTTTGAGATGGAGTCTCGCTCTGTCTCCCAGGCTGGAGTGCAGTGGCGCGATCTCGGCTCACTGCAAGCTCCGCCTCCCGGGTTCACGCCATTCTCTTGCCTCAGCCTCCCGAGTAGCTGGGACTACAGGCGCCCGCCACCACGCCCGGCTAATTTTTTGTATTTTAGTAGAGACGGGGTTTCACCGTAGTCTCGATCTCCTGACCTCGTGATCTGCCCTCCTCAGCCTCCCAAAGTGCTGGGATTACAAGCGTGAGCCAATATTTTTTAATGACATAACACATCATAGCTAGAATTATTCATATAAATAATAAATCAACTCCACCAATCATAATATACTTTCCCTCGCTAGACATTTAGAAGCTCTCAAATGTTCTTAAAAAGAAAAATATTTAAATAATTATTTTATTTGTTGATGTTTTCAAATAGAAAGTATATTAGAAACCACTGTCCCTTTTAAATACATAAACTTTGGGAGTACCTAGATGAATTAACTCAGACATTTGGAAACCTCTTAATAGGAAAATTCTACACTACATATAATTTTTGCTGAATGAAACTTAATAGTTTTGATACATGGAATCGCCTTTGTAAAATACTCTGAGTTTTACAGCCTTAGACATAAATAAACAAAATGAAACTGTCTATGTTCCTTCAGTTTGGAATGCCCTTCATACTCTTACAGACATCCTCTCCATCCATTGATCAAAAGAATTTTAGTTACCTTCAACACTCATCTCAAAGGTTACTTTTTCCTTGAATCCCTTCTAATTACTAGTCTGAATGCATCACCCTACTCTGCTGCCACAGCAGCTTATCTAACCTTGACTATGGCATGTTCGTCTTACGGGAGTATTTGTCTGTGTGTGTGCCTTCCAGCAGGTCCCTGTTTTTAGTTTAGTAGAGGTGAAGCAAATGGTAGGCATAATTGTACCCATTTTACAGATGAGAAACCAGAGACTGAAAAAGGTGAAATAACTTCCTCTAAGATCACTTCACCTACAGTGGCAGCACCAGGATCCCAGTACAAGGTGCCCACCTCTCCAGCCCATTCTCTTAAAGACTACAAGTGGCACTGCCTTCAGGAACACCTCAGGAGGTCAGCATTCAGTCATCTTCAACGCCTCCAATGCACCTGGTCTGTGCTCCACACATTACATGCTCTATAAATGCTTTTTGGCCTTTGTTTACATTATGTACTGTGAGAATAAGATATTCAATTAAAATAGTTTATCAGTTCATTCATCTGAACAGAGCCCAGAAGGGTCGCAGATAGAGGCTGGGGGCACAGAACACTACCACCCTCTACTGGAGAATCAGTTTCTTACAGGAAACATTCACGTTTCTCACTACACGTGAGCTTCACTCCTTTTCAGCATCAATGTAAAGGAGTGAATGTACTCACTAAATCTTTATCCCTGGAAAAATGTGTGGATTCTCTTTGTGGAAATAATATGCAAAGTGTAAACTGACATGCCCAGGAGTGCCAGAAATAAAGATACTGGACTTACACTCTCATGAAACAGGAATCACTTTTTATTTTCTTTATTTTCTTTTCATTGGTGTGGTTAGATCAACATGGAGTGACTTTTGAATAATACAGAGAACCTATGTCTAAATTCAGCTGGCCACCTGCCAACATAATTTATTTGGCATTTGTGTGATTAGGCTTTTCTAGTTAGTGACTCGAACAATCTCTCTCTCTCTCTCTGACACTCTATCTCTCTCTCGCTCTCTCTCTCTCTCTCTCTCTCTCTCTCTCTATATATATATATATATATATATATATATATATTGCGCGCGTTACATCTGTGAGGTATCTTGGAATAACAAGAGCCTAAATTGTTACCACATAAACTATTAAAATGTAACTGCACAGTGGTCTCAGTAGAACATTTTCATAAATGGGGATTATCTATAAATCTGCTTTGGCCGGCTACTAAGCCAGAATTTAGTAAGAGTATTACATATTGGCAGAGATTTCCCAATGCCCAGTTTCAAGCTTTCCTTAAATTGGTTATAGCTCATTTATGCTTCATATCACTTTCTATAAAGTGATTCGCAGCCAAAGCCTGCCTTTGGTCATTCTAAGGGGGGTGGGGGTGGGGAGAAAGAGAAAACGGGCAGAGAAAATGTCTCTCCCTTCCTGGGAGGCTGTGGGGTCCAAGGCCTTTTCTCTGGCATGCATGGGAGTGTGTAAGTCCTCTCTGTTATAGGGTATTGCTACAAAGAGAATCCACAGATTGTTTCCAAGGATAAAGATTTAGTGGATCATTGACTCTAATAAGGCGTCAAGCCCAACTTCAGCGCATTCTGATTCTCAAAGACAAACTCATGAATAGTTCATCAGCTTAAGGAGAAAGACTACTTTAGAATTCCCTTCATGTATACCAGTCTTAAGACGTTTTCAAAGGATTCGGTAGTCATGCCCCAAATTTCCAAACCCATGGCTGTGCCTTGACATGGTGAGGTTTAAGAAAGGGAAGTTCAAGTTCTTTTTTTTTTCATTAGCATCAGGTCTGGTTCTTAGACTAAGCAAGTGTGGAGTCAGCTCCAAGAGGGGCCTGAGAAGTATCTGTTCAAGCTCCAACCCCAGGTAAAAGTGTACTTAAACTATCTTAGATATTAGGATATTTAAGACTTCTAGGGAAGAGCATAGGTCATTTTTAAATGCTAAAACACAAGAAGTACGAAGAATTCTGACTTGACTAGAACCAACCAGTGTGAGGCATATTTTAAAGCAGTTACTAAAATAAAGTTTATTGATAAAGACTTGAGGTTAGGATACAAAACCCATAATAGTTGCTGGGCATCATTCCATATCCTAAAGTGAAACATGGGCACCCACAGGGATCTTGCCATGGCTCATGAGGGGATAGGTCACCAGTGGGCAGGATGCAAATGAAGAGGGCAAGGCGAAGACCTCAAACAGTGGAATCTGGAGGGGATGTTCTGAAAGCCACAGTTTGCAGAGGCTTGACATAACGAGTAAGGATGAAGGAAACGGGAAATGGAGATGGTTTGGGGATGGGCAAACACAGGAGACTGACAGAAAATACAAGAAGTCATTCATTCAACAAAAATCTACTCAGACCCTTGGTGAGAAAGGCTGGGCACCATGATAGGCACAAAAACTAAAGCAGTCTCTCTAAAATTCAGTGCAATGCCAAAGCAGAAAAGGTTAAGAAACTGTATCCCTACCTTCCAAAGGAAGTTATGTAAGATATTTTCATCAACAAAGACAACTTCAATAGAGAAAATCATAACAAAAAATTTGAAATTTGATGATATATCTTGTTTTATGTGGAGAAGACTACAGTGCAAGGACAGAGTAGCGAAGTGGGAGTATGGATCAAATTACTTGTTAATACATTTCACCAGGTGAATTCCCAAGACAAATAGGCAACAGATCAGGTTTATCCTGAAACCTCTAATACAAGGCAGTCATCATTCTTACCCTAAAGAACTGGATCCTTTGAAAAATCACCAAGTCAAACTCAGATCTTTAAACCTCAATCTCAAGTGCAAGAAAGACTACAATCCTTCTTGATGACAATCTCAGAATCTGACAACCATGCAAGAAGAATCTGTTGAGTATCTGCTGTGTAAAAAACAGTAAGATATAATTAGAGAAGGAGAAGGGAAAACTACATACAAATCAGTATAGCAAAGGCCAAGTGTTGGGAAAACTTTGGGAGTTCAACTGATTTAGGCACAAGTCCTCTTCCTAGGACAGACTTTGTAGCATTGTTTCACGACGTTCATTTTATCACCCAAGTTATATAAACGATATTGAATTAACAGGAGTAGTACCAGCTCATCATCAGCTGATTGTCAAAGTTTTGTGGAATACGCTTATCAATAAATAAATCCTAAACTATGAGTTATTCTCACAAATGTCTGCTGGCAATGATGATACCAAAATTGACCCTGAGAAACAAATTAATGCACAGTCCACATGCTGGAAGCACAAACAATAAACAACTATAAATCCCAGCACCAAATTTTTCCCTGGAGGCGGATGCCAGGTATGATTTAAGAGTCTGAAGGAGGAGAGAGAACCACATATTTCTCTCTCTCCACACCAATGTAATGAAGCCTGAGGCTAAAGACGTCCACAGCAACTGCTGAATTATAATCTGTGGAAGCAGGGTTACAAGAGATAACCTTTCAGGGCAATATTTTCCTAAAAGCTGAGAACTTGTTTTGTTGTTTTTGTTACATCCCCCAAGGGGTTTCATAATCCTAATACTCATTTCTTATAATGAGAACGGCCTGCTACTGTGATTCATTATGTTTCAGTTTTCTTCTACTTTAAAAAAAAAAAAATTCAGCCCTGCCCAGTCCTAAAGAACATGAAAACAACCTCTCCCGAAACTTACAGGGAGCCTGGAAGGCATCATTAATACACTTTCAGGCATACAGAATGGTGTATTGTAGACCAGCACTGTCAATGGAAATAGAATGTGATATACAAATAATGTAATTTAAATTTGTCTAGTAACTACATTAGAAAGGTAAAAAGAAACAGGTAAAATTAATTTTAAGATTTTTAAGATTTTTATTTAACCTAATATATCAAAAATACTGTCATTTCAAACGTGGTCAATGACCACATGTGATGAGTGACTACCATACATACAGTGCAATTAGAGACCATCATATCCCAAAGTTCTCCAGTAAGGGTTCAGTTTTTTGCTGTTGTTGCTGTTGATGGAGTCTCGCACTGTCACCCAAGATGGAGTGCAGTGGTGCAGTCTCAGCTCACTGCAATCTCTGCCTCCCAGGTTCAAGCGATTCTCCAGCCTCAGCCTTCCGAGTAGCTGGAACTACAGGCGCACACCACCACACTCAGCTAATTTTAAAATTTTTAGTAGAGACGAAGTTCACCATGTTGGCCAGGCTGGTCTTGAATTCCTGACCTCAAGTGATATGCCTGCCTTGGCCTCCCAAAGTGCTGGGATTACAGGCGTAAGCCACCACACCTGGCCCAGTTTTGTTTTAATGACAAATTTGCTAAACCATCAATCCTGCTGCCCCTGGCTTCCTGAGTACTAGTCATAAAAAACTAATTACCGGCCGGGCACGGTGGCTCACACTTATAATCCCAACACTTTGGGAGGCCGTGGTGGGCGGATCACTTAAGGCCAGGAGTTCGAGACCAACCTGGACAACATGGTGAAAACACGGTCTCTACTAAAAATACAAAAATTAGCCAGGCGTGGTGGCGGGTGCCTGTCATCCCAGCTACTCGGCAGGCTGAGGCAGGAGAATCACTTGAACATGGGAGACAGAGGTTGCAGTGAGCGGAGATTGCACCATTGCACTCTAGCCTGGGCGACAAGAGCAAAACTCCGTCTCAAAACAAACAAACAAACAAACAACAACAACAACAAAAAACCTAATTACCAACAGTTTTCAATTTTGTACTAAGCCTTTATGCTAACCGCTGTTTTTCAAAGCCTGTCCTGGTGGCAGGTCTTTTATTTGTTTACATGTGGTGCTGCAGACAAAACAGGTGCAACTCAACGGTCTTGATGATGGAAAACCTTGTTAAAACCAACCTTAGTCACTAAGGAGAAGAGCGTTTAAAAAAGGAGCCCCCATGAGAATGATGGCAAGCG
Source organism: Homo sapiens (assembly GCF_000001405.40). Classification (NCBI taxonomy): domain Eukaryota; kingdom Metazoa; phylum Chordata; class Mammalia; order Primates; family Hominidae; genus Homo; species Homo sapiens. Next base: position 114,708,165 of record NC_000010.11, read on the forward strand.
TGAAATGCATGCCGAGCTACCTCCAGACAAAGTGATCCAGCTTCTGGTACATTCTGAAACAAAACGACCTCAACAGGCACCATTCCAAGGCTGTAATTATGATGGCAACATAGCTACACCCTCTGAAGGCCATTATGAATCTCTTGGTCTAAGAAAAACAGCCGCTGTTTCCCTGAAAGAGCTTCCTCCAGTCCTCTCCAGGCTCCTTCTGCCACAGAAAAAGGAGTGTCCCAGTTCCCTCCTCCCTGCTTGGCAAGGAGCATGGAGGAAGGGACAGGGACCCTCCTTCCCTGGGACCCCAAAACTACATGGGGATGGTAACTGGAGGTAGACATGACACCCATTAAAGTAAGTTGTGTATTTCTGGCAAAAGAAAGGAGCAAGAGGGGGTACAGGGGAAAACATGGGGAGAATAAGAAGACAACAAAAGGAAAGCAAATGAACTGAGTACTTTTTAAAGGAGCTGCTATTCTCCATCTATATTTGGGGGATAAAAGCAAAGTTAAGAAAGAGGAAAGAAGAGCAGAGAAAATAACCAACTGACTAATAAAATCTACATATCCTAAAAGTCAATTCTAGGTGATAAAATCTGGGGTCAGTTTTTTAATGCTTGATAAACTTTGCACCAAGCTGATCATACTTAATGTTCAGGGACCACCTTCAAAGTCCTCATCTTTATCCACATGGCCACAGGTTTGTAAAATCTGTACCAAAAAGTGATATTTTAATCACCATCTTTTAAGATTACCATGTCTTTCCATTTTGACCTCCCCTCTTCCAGGTCAGCATTGGAATGGCACTGGTATTGGTACTTTTCGAGAAGCATTTTTTAAGAACTTGGCTAAGGGGAAGTTGATTAGGGCTATATTTAGTTTTAGGTTTCATGGACCACATGTATGGCTGTATGGTCACTTCCCTGCATAGTTAAGTTACTGCTAGCTATTACTGCAAATTGTGGAAATGATTTCTAGAAACTTTTACTGTTTACTATGGTGACTCATCTAGAGTCATGATATGGAAATGCAAGACCAGAAGCCATGCCGTGATAGGAATGTGTTCCTTAGCACCCAACACTGGAGTTAGATGGGAATGCGTTCCTTAGCACCCAACACTGGAGTTTGTTACGTAGTGGAAGAGAAACAAGGTTTGAATCGTATAAAGCAGAAAGCTGGTTTATAGAAAAATCTTCCAGCCATCAGACCTGTAATATTAGGAGCAGAGAATCTTGTTTTCATCAACATAGAGTCAAAACAGAAGTTCTCTCCTGTCATAAATATGCTTAAAACAGTTATAATTATAAATGCACCATATACATTTTTAATGGCCACTATGTGAAATGGAGATGATCAAAATTCCTATATTTATTGATCTAAAACTGTAGCAGTGAGTACATTTGTGTATGAGATTGTTTTATGTAAACCAGCTACCAAAAATAAAAGATAAATTTCAATAAACTACGCTAGAGGAAAGGCGAAAGGTTCTTTTCTCTACATAGAAAAAACTACAAAGTTATTGTCATATGAAAAGGCAATCAAGGAATATGCTGTCAAAAATGTAGCAGGGAAAATATTATACAGGTACGTCAGAACATGTTTATTAATCAGCTGCTTGTTAGTTTTCTGTATTTTATGATATTTAGGAATTACCACTTTTGAAATGTTGTCATTTGTTGTGACTTTTTTCCCTTCCTAAATATTCACTTTGATGTTTAACTTTGTGTTCATAATTTTTTATGCTTTTTCTAAACAGGGTTCTCAAACTTACATAAGCCTCAGGGTCCATAAAACCTTGACTTTCCCCTAATCTGTGATAATAACTACATATACCACCACTCCCACCATGTGCACACATGTGTACACACACATATTTACTTGGGCAAGAGTTGTCATGCAACTAAAATCTCCTATTCTTTGAAGTAAATGGTTACTCAGGTCCAAGATTTCCACTGGACTTGCTATCCACTTCTTTTACAGCTCAACTGCCCAACAGATCCAGAGTTAGAGTGACTCAGTAGGGCTTTGGCAACTATCAGAATTGTATTACAGTGCAATCTTTACCAGCCTCGGCAACATGGTGAAATCCCATTGTATTAATCTGTTCTCACACTGCTAATAAAGACATACCCAAAATTGGGTAATTTTAAAGGAAAGAGGTTTAATTGACTCACAGTTCGATAGGGCTAGGGAAGCCTCACAATCATGGCAGAAAAGCAAGGGATATCTTACATGGTGGCAGGCAAGACAGAATGAGAGACAAGCAAAAGGGGAAACCCCTTATAAAACCATCAGATCTCATGAGACTTATTCACTACCACGAGAACAGTATGGGAGAAACCATCCCCATATTAAATTATCTCCCACCAGGTTCCTCCCACAACATGTGCAAATTATGGGAGCTACAATTCAAGATGAGATTTGGGTGGGAACGCAGCCAAACCATATCACCCATCTCTACTAAAAACATAAAAATTAAACAGGCTTAGTGGCTTGCACTTGTAGTCCCAGCTACTTGGGAGCTGGGGTGGGAGGATTGCTTGAGCACAGGAGGTCAAGGCTGCAATGAGCCATGATGGTGCCACTGCACTCCAGCCTGGGCGACAGAGCCCACTGTGTCTCAAAAAATAAATAAAAATAAAATAAAGCAATCTTCACAGAACACATATTTTGGCTTTCCAGAAAGAAACACAAGGGACCATATTTGCACACTAAGTATTTGTGTTCCATTCGATCAGTAGAAAAGGCAAGGCTTTGGAGCATTTGCTTATCCCTCACGCATTCCAAAATCCCAAAGACATCTGATGGGTTCCACTCAAAGATGACCTATAAGCTCATGCCGGTTTATATGTGGGCCTAAGAAGGCCACTCCATGACTAGGACAATGTTCAGGATATTCCTACTCTTTTGAAGAATCTGTTGTCCCTGTATGTCTTCTGTTTCTGTCTGAAGATCTATGTTTTCCCCTATCAATCACAAGAACAAAAGTAGCAAAAGTCATCTTATTTCTGGTTGTTACACGTAAGGAACGGAATGGCTTCTGCTTTCCAGGCTCCCATTAGAAATTGTGTTTCACTAGGGGTTTGCATCATTTTCTTTTGCCATTTGTCTGCAGTCATCCCACTTCAACTTACCAAGAGCCCTCCTGTTGCTATACAATGGCTTTTATAGGGTACTGGGTATGTCTCAGAGCCTCTTCATCCATAACCTTCCCTTGTCTTTTGATGTTCAGTTTCCATGGTGACAGTGTTAAGACCATTGAGAAGCCAACTGTAAAGCTTATGATAGACCCAAATCTCACAGTCACAGACACCACTCTAACACCAGGCGTGCCAGCCCCCACGCTAAACCTGCATATCAGCCAGAGTCTTGGCAGGTGACAGATGTTACAATCAAACTGGAGAACTTGAAAAAGGTTTAACAAAGGGGATATTTACAAAGGTGTGGTCAGGGTTCAGGTAAACCCACAAGGGGCATGCACTACCCTGAGCCAGCAACAGTGGGGAGCTGTTGCTTACCCCTAGGCCTAAAGAGGCAAGGGGTGGAGTCGATGCTAGAACCTGAAGTGAGTAGCTGAGTGGAGAGGGAGGGGGGCTTGTCAGGACCTGTGGCCTTTCATAGACAGACAACCAACAGTGACCTGGTAGAGAAGGAGTCCAGGGAATAAATACCCCAACCACACTCTCCTCCCACCCTCAGATATCCTGCTAAGTGCCCCCCGCACCAACTGGGCCCAACTTGAAGCAGAAGTCAAGGGAGCCGTTGCTGTAGCCATCGGGGTTAGTCTCTAGGAGCACAGCAGGGCAAAGGGTGGAGAATGGAATCGGAGGAGCATGTGGAAAATATTCAGCATATCCTGCCTGGGGGTCTCCAGGGTGACAGGGAAAAGATTTTCATTACAAAGTACATTAATGGCTGGGCTCGGTGACTCACACCTGTAATCCCAGCACGTTGGGAGGCCAAGGTGGTTGGATCATTTGAGGTCTGGAGTTCAAGACCAGTCTGGCCAACATGGTGAAACCTGATCTCTACTGAAAATACAAAAATTAGCCAGGCATGGTGGTGGGCACCTGTAATCCTAGCTACTCGTGAGGCTGAGGCAGGAGAATCACTTGAACCCGGGAGGCAGGGGCTGCAATGAGCCGAGATCACGCCACTGCACTCCAGCCTGGGTGACAGAGCGAGACTCCGTCTCGAAAAAAAAAAAAAAAAAAAAAAAAGTACATGAATGCTATAATTAAAAGCCATAGTAGTTCCTTCATAAGACCTGAAAATTACAATATAGAGATAAAAGATGGTTTTCAAGCCAACATAATAAATGCATAAGAAGAAATTTAGGAACAAAAAAGACAACAGCCTATTATGGGCTACCCTCAGTTACATTAGCTGTATTTATCCAAGGTCACCTCCTATTTACCCAGCTCCCCGAAGCCATGCTGGCTTTCTTGGTTTGGTTTTCCTCTTCGTTGTCACCATATTGTGAGACATGCCTGCTAAGTGGATGGAAGAATTAGATGACAGTCTGAGGCTACTAGTGAAAACTTTCAGTGGTATATAGAACAACTCTGGTACAAAATGATCTATGACACGGGAATATTTGGAGTTTCTTCAAGTAATGTTGAACCTGCTCAGCAAAACTGTCAATGATTTTCTATAATTACTTCTTATTGATTACAAATAAAACCGTAGGGCAATGGATTGCCCCGACTTAGAGCTCCATCCATTAATGAAACACGCATCTTCATGGCCAGGCACAGTGGCTCACACATGTAGTCCTAGCTACTCAGGAGGACAAGATGGGAGGATCCCTTGAGCCCAGGAGTTCAAAGTTGCAGTAGCTATGATCATACTACTATACTCCAGCCTGACAGACAGAGCAAGACCCTGTCTCTTAAAAAAAGGAAAGAATATACATATTCTTGCCCGGTTATTTCTATAACATAGCTGGGCAGAATATGTTGATACGTGGTTCATGATTTAACAAGGAAGAGAGGAGCAGCTAAAGAGACATTATCCTGGTATGAGAAAATGCCTGGGAAGAAGGAATTCAATTGCTACTGTATTGTCCTCTTCCTAGAGCACATGGGTTATTTACCAAGGAAGCAGAAGAGCAGGAGGGAGGTCTTTGCTCTGGAACCAGGATAAATGGAATGGCAAAGATCCCACTTCTCATAAAATCCTTGCATTTAAGGGGAGCTATGTCCCTAAGAGACAGTGGAGCTGGGGTGGCAAATAGCATAGTTTTTAAGTTCACAGTAGTAAGATCCAACAATAAACTATACAACCCAGAGAAATCAAAACCAAGTGCAAGATGAAGAGAAAGGGAAAATCAAAAACAGGGATAGTCCGGAAGCTATCCCTCAGTGTTTTTCTTACCCAGTGAAGGGAATAAAAAGGCTTCTAACCTACCATTTCCTACCACTGGTATTTACTTAGAGAAAGCATAACATTTTCATTTGTGTTGGTCTTTTTTTAGTAGCACTAAAGAACTTTCAGGGAGTTACGGGCTGCTCCCCATTTCAATCAGCCAATTTCATTCAGTAGGATTGTTTCCCATCAGGAGGCAGCCTTAAAGAACACTTCACTCCTTTCGGTTACAGAATAATAAAAACAGTGAGGAATTCACATACATCTTTCTCTAAATGCAAACAATAGTAAGAGCTAAATATCACAGTTGTAGAGAACATCGTGCCTCCTCACTCAAAAAATTTACACAACAGATTGAATGGCAACGAAGAGGGAACCAAGTGAGACAAAAACGGGAAGCTGACTCCAACCCTGTCTGTGTTAACTGCATTCTGTACTGGGAAGGTGTTGAATTCACAGGGTCTACACACCAACCTGGACTTGAAAAATCATCTCCCAGAAATACCTAGAGAGAAACAGCCATGAAAATAATCAGTCCTCCCAAATATTTTACTTTGTAGAACATCCTTCCCAAAAGAACACTGTCTGAAGTGGCCCTTCTATGTTGTTTAGCCTGGAATTGAATGCCTTCTCTTCCTGTTTATTAATCGCAAGGCTGGAGCTGGTTTTTTAATTAACTTCATTTAGGTCATGAAATCATCCATTGGGGACCTCAGACTGAACATCTCATTTTACAGATGAGAAAACTAAAGTTCACAGAGGTTAAGTGACCTGCTGCAGATCAGGCAGCTAATCAAATTGAGAGCAGAGCACAGGTCTATGGACATGGAGTGTAGAGCTTTTTCAGCCATGGCACTCCTGGGTCACCAGCCAAACACAGCCATTTAAAAAGAGGCTGTCAACAAGCAGCGCTGAAAGAAGCCAGTGATCCTGACATCTTAAGTTGAAAGCCGCACTTGAGAAAGATTTGGGAACTCTGGGCATGTGATGCCATTGTGACTGAGGTTACCAACAGATTCCCACATCAGAGCTGGATGTGTCCAATATCCATGTGCTACCAATGCTGTGCTATTCTTCAGCCTGTAACCGGAGCAGGCAAACTCCACAGAGGAATGCAAAATGCCGTTTGTTTACCTTGGGATGATACATACACTCAGAAGGGTTGGTTTGGCTTGGTTTCAAGCAGGCTGCACGGAAGTCAATAGCAGATTATGGTATATAAACTACAGATTCAGAAAACTAAGAGAAAGCCTTTAGAAGACAATTATGCAGTTGCTGTAACAAGAAGTAAAGAAATTGACCCTACATATATTCTTATAATATATCTAGACGAGGGATTGTTATTTTTTTAAAAAATCAACTTCTGATTATCCCTCTCTGTCTCCCTTCTTCTCTCCCTTGTCCCATTCCATCTCCCTATTATGCCATGAAGGCAAGAGTGACTCCAATGTCAACTTCTAAGCACTCTCAAAGGAAGAAGGAGAGAAGGAAAGAAAAATAAAAGGAAGAAAAGTAAAACCCCCAAATCAAAGCAGAAAGTACATCTAAAATTTCAATAGGCTGAAAAGTTACTCATTTTTAATATAATATTATCCTTAATAAACTCACTAACTTTCATGTAAGTACAGAGTTTCTTCTTTGATGCAGGGAAAAAAGGCAAAAAGATTTCCCAGACAGGCTAAGGGCCAAAGGAATTAAAAGAGCGAGCCAAGAATGAAAATTCCAGTCATCTTAGTTGCTCTGCTTAGAGAATGTTACCCTTTCCTCCTAATTAGCTAGCCAAACACCATTAATTTTTACAAACACACCAAAGATCAGTATCCGAGCCCCTTCCTTCAATTCTTTCCAAGTAAAATCAGTTGCTAGAAAAGAACAAGCCTGGAAGTTTGGGAATCTCCTGCTCTTTCCTTAGTAAGAACCCATTTAGTGAAACCAAACAAAAACAAATTACACTTCTTAAAAGACACGTATTTCCTAAAAATGCCTCCTCCCTGATAAGCGATCCAGGCTAACGTTGCAGCTCAGATTACCCTCCCTTGGCACAGTGGGTAAAACTGCCTGGCTGCTCACACACAAAGTCAGGTCGCCAAGGAAAAGAAGGTGCAGAGGGAACCAGCAAGCAGTTCAAAGAGGTCAACAACGTTCTTCCTGACCTCAGCCCTCACCGTGACTTTTCCTTTTCATAAGAAACATACAGCAATATACTTAATACATAGAGCGTTTGGCTATTGAAAGTTAAAAATTGAAGTACATATATCTAAAAAAAAATTTCTTCTGAACACTGATTTTTCATTTGCAATCAAAGATTATACTTCCATTTGCAAGAATTATTTCATTTGCATAAGGAAAATGTTACTAGAAGTATACACAGAAATAAACCTAAAAAACATCAACATGTTATACACTGCCCTAGACATTTGTCCTAAGAGTTAGGGACACAGGTCAGCACAATCAGATTCCACTAGGCCATCGTAGGGATCCAGGTCGCAGAAATTCTGTCTGTCTCTACCTTCTCCCGCTATTTGCTAACCCAAACAATCAAGTGTTTCCACAAAATGGTATTGTGAGAATAGGGAAGGAAATCTCTCTGGCACTCTGAGAAACACACTTTCCACCCATCCCAAGAGCTGACATTATATGTCTCAGACAATGATCTGGAGTCCTCCAGGCCAGGGAAGTAACTATCCAATAAGAAGTGGAGAAAATACAGAAGCTTTTGTCATCATCTGGCATGTTCCTCCATATAAGGAAAATTCTATCTTTTGCGGCCAGTGTTTCTGCAGCTCTGGTTGCCACTCTTCTGCTATATTAGCTAAGTAAGGTAGGTAGATGCATGAGAGGTATAAGAGTTTTTCACAGTTAGTGTTCTCAAATTGGTAGAGAGAAACACACACACACACACACACACACACACACACACCCCTCCCCACAGCCTCAAAGAGAAAAAAAAGAAAACGAGTGTTAAGGTAGAACTTTTCCTCTGATTTGTCTTATGTGGGGACCACTATCTCCTGAACTTACAACGGATGTTTTCTTAAGGGTAGTAAGTTTTCTTCCACTTGATATACTTCATCTGAACACACATGCTAACTGTTAAGATCAGTACACTTTTCAAGTTAGAATCATCTGGTCTAAATAATACCACCAAAGATTTGGGAATCTGAGGCAAAAGTGAGTCCTTTAAAACTCCAAGAACAAACAACACTCTACTTGAGAGGTTTCGTGCAGGTCTTCAATATTGAGTTCATGCTAGCTGCTTCTGCAGATGCCAATTATGTATAAATTTTACTATAATTGCTTGCACTGCCTGGAACTGTTAAAAAAAAAAAAAAAAAAAGCAGAAGAGCAGGAAAACACAGGAGAAACAGTTAGCTCCATTAATGAGAGCTGCCACATGAACACAGAGCTGACATGGAACTTATATTTACCATAAAGTCAAGTGTACATGTGTGCCAAATTTCTGCTCAGATCACTGCCCTAAGTCCATCCCACTGATGCCAAAGCATCATGGTATCTCATTCATTCATTCATTCATTCATTCAACCAATGTCTACTGAGCCCCTAGTACTGCCTGGGGCTGGGGAACCTACAGCAAATAAGACAGGCCTCCTCTGTGAATGATTCACCAGTGAAGTAATTTTACCATTATCATTTTTTAGGAGCAAGTGAACTGCTCTGTGCTGATGTCTTTGCTTCTACTCGTGGGAAGAAATTCTGAGAATCTTACAGCTGGACGGAAAGTCTATGGTCTTAGGAAATATTTCAGCATTATAATAAATTACTTGTGGTCATTCCTGTCTATCACCCAAATACAAAAACAATAAGACTGAAATCATGTAGGGAGAACACTGGACTAACCTGTCAGCTAGGATTCTTCAATTGCAGCACTTTTGACATTTGGGGCTGGATAATATCTTGTTTTGGGGTGCTATCATGCACATTGTAGGGTCTTTAGCAACATCCCTGGGCCTCTACCTAGTAGATGCCAGTAGCACCCCTCTCCCAGTTGTGATAAAAACATCTTCAGTCATTGTCAAATGTCCCCTGAGGGGACAAAACTGCCTCCAAATAAGTAAATAGGTGAAAGTACTCATTGAAATAGATGATCAGCAGGGCACAGTGGCTCATGCCTGTAATCCCAGCACTTTGGGAGGCTGAAGCGGGTGGATCACGTGAGCCCAGGAGTTCAAGATCAGCCTGGGTAACATGGCAAAACCCTGTCTCTACAAAAAATAAAAAATAGTCAGGCATGGTGGTGCACACCTATAGTCCCAGCTACTCAAGAGGCTGAGGCAGGAGGATCGCTTAAGCCTGGGAGGTTGAGGCTGCCATCAGCCATGTTGCATCATGGCACTCCAGCCTGGGTGACAGAGAAAGACCCTGTCAAAAGGAGAGGAGAGAAGGGGGGGAAGGGGAGGGGAGGGGAGGGGGAAAGAGAGAAAGAAGGGAAAGAGAAAGAAAGAAAGAAAGGAAGGAAGGAAGGAAGGAAGGAAGGAAGGAAGGAAGGAGAAAGAGAAAGAGAAAGAAAGAAAGAAAGAAAGGAAGAAAGGAAGGAAGGAAGGAAGGAAGGAAAAGAAAAAGAAAAAGAAAGAAAGAAAAAGAAAGAAAAGAAAGAAAGAAAGAGAAAAAAAGAAAAAGAAAGAAAGGCAGGCACTAATGCCTCTTTAAGCTAGGATTCTGTAATATTAAAAATGGCAGGTAACTAACTAGATGGTGGAAAAATAAGTATGTAGAGTGTCCCTTCAAATAAAACTTCCAAACTATCAGCAGCCAGCCCCAAAGAGTTAAGTGATTTACTGCTCTCTCCATAGCCCACCCACCCCCACACACACGTTTTCTCTACTGTATAGTAGTAAGCCCAATACATAAACACCTTCCTAATCACCTGCTGTATATTCTGAAAAGAATCATATGTGGTTCCATTTTGTTCAAAAATTTTCCTTCTCCAAAAACTATTGGTAATGAGGACAAAGAATAGAGCATTCTCTCCTGATTCAGGCGGGGTGATTAATTACCTCTGTAGAACAGCAATGCAGCAGCTGTGTCTGCCAAGTGTCCCTGGGACCCATAATTAACCCAGAAGGTCTTCCGGGGGGAATCAGACTAGAAGCCAAAGGAATATAATTAAATCCCTTGCAGTTTTAAAGGTGCTCAAGTCCTAGATTCTTAAACAAATTCATTTTTTGCATTGAACCAACAATGCTCCCATTTTTGCCCAAGACCTTCCAAATAATCTGGCTTCGTATCACTCAATATTAATTTAATATAAATTCCACAACAACAACAAAAAGCAAGGTGCAGAAGAGTATGTATGGTTGCTTTCATGTATGAAATGAATAAGATAAATATGCGTATACATGTGGGAAAAGTTACTAGAAGGTTTCCGAAACCAAAGAAACTATTAACAGTGGCTACCTCCAGGAGTATAAGTGGGGCCTATAGTCAGAGGATGCCCTCATTGAAGAGTCTTTTATGCAGTTTGATTTTTGTTCATGTATGTACGTTATTATATAATAATGACCAACCGTCATAGGGTAAACCTGGCAAGAATGGCCTGGGTTACAGTGAAAAGTAGGGAGGATAATGTGAAGCCAATGGATTAAAAACAAAACCAAACAAAAAAAACACCATTGATCTCTCTGCCTTAAATGATAAAATTAATATTGGCTATAGTTTCATAAGAGTCTGAAAATTAAATATCTAAGATTTCTCTGTAAAATGTGAAATAAGCATTTTTTGACTGCCTGCTGTGGCCAAGATACTGTCCTAGTCCTAGGCAGTTTACACAGATGATCTCAGCTGAATTTTGAACAGCCCTGAGAAGGAGGATCTCTATTCACCTACGAACTGAAGGACCTTGTCCAGGGTTACTTAGTTGTTTAAACAGCCACACAAAGGCTTGGGCTGGATGCCAAATCCTATCCTTACACTTCACCACATTTCCAGAGTGCTAGGTGAAAGTACGCTATCAAGGTCACTGACCTCACCCTCTTCAGAATATTTGGGAAAGATTCGTGACCTTTGGATGGCTGGTGTCAGGCATACACTATACAGTTCTAGATATTGCAGTTATAAGGGCATCTCTCTCTGTGCCCAGGTTTAGATGTCACACAGCTGACCTTAGGAAACAGAAAGGCTGATGTCTGTGCTTTGCTGGATGATCCCAGCAGCTTTGTGCTGGGTGTTCTGGCTGAAGTCAGGCTCCCTGCTTTAGCATTCTGGTGGCCTCTGTGAAAAATCCCGTCTTCCCAGGGCTAATTAAACATTTTCAGAATCCCCTCTCTTTAATCAAATATGCCTGCCTTTTCCTCCATTCCTTCAGAATAATTCTCAATAATTTATCTTATAAAACTAAGCCATGAAGAAGTGTCTATGAGCATAAACAATCCAATTAACCTTTCTTAAGAAAATGTGTGCCACAGTGGTTTGCTGCACTTATCAACCCATCACCTAGGTATTAAGCCCAGCATGTATTAGCTATTTTTCCTGATGCTCTCCCTTCCCTCACCCCATGACAGGCCCCAGTGTGTGTTGTTTCCCTCCCTGTGTCCCTGTGCTCTCATTTTTCAGCTCCCATTTATAAGTGAAAACATGCGGTATTTGGTTTTCTGTTCCTGCATCAGTTTGCTAAGGATAATGGCTTCCAGCTCTATCCATGTCCCTGCAAATGACATGATCTCATTCCTTTTTATGGCTGCATAGTATTCCATAGTGTATATGTACCACATTTTCTTTATCCAGTCTATCATTGATGGGCACTTGGGTTGATTCCATGTCTTTGCTATTGTGGATAGTGTTGCTATGAACATACATGTACATGTATCTTTATAACAGAATGATTTATATTCCTTTGGGTATTTATCCAGTAATGGGATTGTTGAGTCAAATGGTATTTCTGGTTCTAGGTCTTTGAGGAATCACCACACTGTCTTCCACAATGGTTGAACTAATTTACTTTCCCAACAACAGTGTAAAAGAGTTCCTATTTCTCAGCAGCCTCGCCAGCATCTGTTGGAGAAACATATTTTCACAGGACCCCTAGGAGATCCACAGGCTGCTTCAGCCAATGAGAAAACACAGAGAGAGATCTTTGGGAAGGAATGACTTCCAGTATCCTTTGAATCATAATCCTGAAACCTCCTTGTTGACGATTTTTAGCCTGGATCAACTATGGGAGTAACAAGACAGGGAAAAATGCATTGAAATAAAAAAAAAAAGCAAGCATAAAAACAATCTTAAAGAAGACAACCAAACCTGGTTTCTGCACAACATGAACCACCAAACACGGTCCTTATGTTCAATGTCAGACATTTGCCTGCCACTTACTTTCAGTCTTCACCACTCCAACTGTGCAAATAAACAAGCAAGAATAACTACTGGTGTCTAAATAAAGAAGTTATTCCCAGCAGTGGCTTAGAACCAAACCCAGAAGGTCTGAGACCCCAGTCCCTACTTTGCTCTCAAAGATCCTAAGCCAGGGTCAGCACACCTGGTAAATCTGGCTAACATCAAATGTCACTGATTACTACATAAACGCCTGACCTGGAAACTAGTTGGCACTTGTGCTCAGTTGAGATAAGGAGGGCTGCCACACTATTAATAGATTGAGTAGCTTTACAAAGTCTGGTTTGGTGGCACTGGAGGATTAACTGTGTTTTTTTTCCAAACACGTTACTGGCGTGATCCCTTTGGGGGCAGCTTCCCTAGTTAGCAGTAACTCCCTGACAGGTGAGCTTCACCTCTGGGAGTGGAGGCAGCACAAGGAAATCTTGGCCTCAGGATTTCACAGCTCGTGGGTGATGGCTTATGGACTCAGCCTGGCCAGCAGGACCCCATTGAGCATGTATGTCTAAGGAGGTGCCCAGGTGATCGCTCCCTGCTGTTCCCAGACATATCAGTCTGGAGGGGCATCCTTGGTGAATGGCCAAGCAGGCCCTGAGAATAGCTAAATGCCCTGAGCAGATAATTTTTTTTTTTGAGACAGTCTCCCTCTGTCACACAGGCTGGGGTGCAGTGGCAGGATCTCGGCTCACTGCAACCTCTGCCTCCCAGGTTCAAATGATTCTCCTGCCTCAGCCTCCCGAGTAGCTGAGATTACAGGCATGCACCACTACGTCTGGCTAATTTTTGTATTTTTAGTAGAGACGGGGTTTCACCATGTTGGCCCTTGAACTCCTGGTCTTGAACTCCCGACCTCAGGTAATCCACCTGCCTCAGCCTCCCAAAGTGCTGGGATTACAGGAATGAGCTACCACGCCCGGCCAAGCAGATAATTTTTAAGCCTTATAATCAAAGTTCCATGTTGGATTAGTCTGTTGTTGCCCTGCTGTAAAGAAATACCTGAAAGGCTTTTTTTGGGCACCAGTGGGATTCCTATAAGCAAAGGCTTGGGGAAAAAGAAACACCAGGAAAACAAATTTTCTTCCTCACCTTGTCCCTTAAAATGTGTGCATGTATGTGTGTTTGCATGTGTATATGTGAATATGACATGGAAACTGGGTAAATGAAGACAATTTTACTTCTTAATTAAGGTTAATGGCTTGATTTAGAAGTTCAGATCTCTGGAATTTTATTTTAAAATCTGACTAGACATGTGATATAGTTTATAAGGAAAGTTTATAATGATAATTTATAATGAAAAGAGGTTTAGTTGGCTCATGGTTCCATAGGTTTCCATAGGTTGTACAGGAAGCATGGCTGGGGAGGCCTCAGGAAACTTACAATTATGGTGGAAGGCAAAGGGGAAGCAGGTACGTTTTCACATGGTCAGAGCAGGAGGAAGAGAAGGGGGAGGTGCTGCACACTTTTAAACAACCAGATCTCGTGAGAACTCACTCACTATCACGAGAACAGCCAGGAAGAAATCTGCCCCCATGATCCAATCACCTCCCACCAGGCCCCTCCTTCAGCATTCAGGATTACAATTTGAAATGAGATTTGGGTGGAAACACAAATCCAACTATATCACATGTCTAGTCATATTTTAAAATAAAATGCTAGAGATCCAAACTTCTAAATCAAGCCATTGTCTTCATTTGCCCTGTTTCCATTTCATATTTACATGTACACACACAAACACACATAAATGAACACATTGTAAGGGACAAGGTGAGGAAGAAAATTTGTTTTCCTGGTATTTCTTTTTCCCCAAGCATTTGCTTATAGGAATCCCACTGGTGCCCAAAATAGTCACTCTAAGCAGGTAATGCTTTGTCCTTGCCTGGGCAGATGCAGAGCCATGAGTGCTGCTAGCTGGAGAGGAAGGAGGACCCAGTACCTGGATAGTTCTTTTCCCTTTTTCCCTTCTTTTCTGGCAAAATCCCATTTATGCTTCCAGACCAGCTCAATGACATTTTAGGCTAGATAATTTTTTTTTTAACCCAGCTCAAGCTGAGCTACTCCTTCCTTCTGTAATCATGGCTGGATGTGTATATAGCTCGCTTGCAGACTGAGCACATTGTACCATAATGATTATTTACATGTCTGTTTCACCAGTAAACCAGGAATTCCTTCCTGAGCTATTGTACCTCCAGCACCTAGCTCAGTGCGCAGCCACAGAGCAGCACAACACATATCCACTGAATAAATGAATGCATACCAGAATGTGGATTTGCTTATTCAATCCTTTCTAAGTGCCTGACCAGATTTTGGTGAGGGAGAGAAACTGACAGAACCAAAGCACAGGAGTACCCAGGAGAGGCCGACTTAGGTGAGGACCAGAATCTCAATGTGCAGTGGTCAGAGGACAGCTATGGGTGCTGGAGGGGCATACCGTGTTAGAGGGACATGCCCCTGTAAATTTCCTCAGGTTATCTGAGAGAGGAATCTGTAACCTGGCCAAAGTCTGGGTTCTTTGGAAATGGAATAAAGGGGCAGGGAGATTTTAATGGCTGAAAAGGGAATAAATAAAAGCATGGGCTACTACCTTGGAGGACAAATTTAGGTGGGATTATACTGGAGGCACTGAGCCAGGCCAGCATAAAAGGGCTGAGGGGAAAGGGCAGAATGCACCTTGAACTTGACAAAACCTTGCAAAATGTCACCAACCTATTATTGGCTGACTCTTGCCCATCCTCCTCCTCTCCACCACCTAACATGCAGGCAGCTTTCACTGCTTTTGCAGCCCGCCTGACATGCCTACATAAATTGAGTAGAAATAATTTGTGTTTCAGTGGAAAAGTATGCTTTGTCTACACAGCACACACTTGAGGGTTATCTGATTCTAGCCCTGTTCATTGTCTGTGAGCTCTTTTGTACCTCTTTATATTGTAGGTAACTAACTGATAAATATGCAATCTTTGTCTTGCCTGGTAGAGATTCAATTATCTTTCCTCCTACCCTGTGGAAAAATCAGTTTGCCTCCATTTACATATTCATTTCAATATTGTGATCTAGAAATGTATGTTTTTCAATTCTCTTCTGAACTGGTTATAACATCTGCGTGGTTCCTTCATTGGTGGAGTAAAATAAAATCTTTGACCTATATTCATTTTGATATCTGCAGGAGAGTCATGATTTTATTTATTTATGAAAACCCTTTTAACAATTGTGATTGCCTCTACTCCAAAATTTTGGTTGCTTTATTAAAAAGAAGCTTCCTCATTTTGTATCTGGAAAGTGATTGATGATATTTACATTGCACATTCATTATTATTGTGCAACAGAAAAAGCCTGTAACAAGAGACTCACAGGGGTCCTCAGTTCTGCCACTTACTAGGTGTTGGTCCTTGAGTAAGTTGCTTAATTTTGGGGGGCCTCAGTTTCTCCATCTGTGAAATGTGGCCACTGCGAGGATCAAGAGAGAATATAGATGAAAGTATGAGCAAGACTACAAAGGCTCTCAAATGAGAGCTATCCTCACTGTCATTACCACCTTTATGGAAGTAAGGAATTCCTGAAATTAGGTAAACTCGGCCTCTCCTGTTTCTGCCTCAGGCCATGAAACAGGCAAAGTTGTCTTTGGCAATGGACATTCCCTTGCACAAGGCCTGCCCTGAGAGTCACCCTGTCTTGCCCAACCTGCTCTCTCCCTCATCCCATCTCCTTCCCATCATTCCCTAGAGGCTCTACTGAAAGGTATTTATTTTGTAATTAATTCTTTCAAGGCCTTCCAAGGTGAAGATGGTCCCACCCTAATAAAGGCCAGGAGAGCTCTGAGAAGTCCTGCCTTCCTCTCACGAGAACAGCAGGCACCTTTCACAAAGACTTTCCAAGGGCCAGGCCCTCACCTGGACTGTCCGGCCCTAAGGAGAGACTCAAAGAAGGCTATGAGGCCAGGGGACAGCTTATGTAGTTTCCCCACCCAGGGGAAACAGGTGAGTTGGCTGCAGGGTGCTCCTTGACCACACCAGGCAGAGCCACCAGATGCCCAATGTCTGCCTTGCTTCAGGCAGTAAATAGGCCTGCTTATTCTCTTACAGCCACGTGCAGTACATTCAATTAAAAGAATTAATTTAAACAAGTAAAATGATGTTTCTCTTTTCTCTTTTCTCCCTCCATCCCCAGCCACACAAAATAATTTAATACCATGTTTACAAAGGGAAAGGAAATCTTCCTCAACAAGCATCGGGCCCTCACTCCAAAACTAGCATTTAAGAGTGTATTTTTAAAACCTCCAATTTTAAAATTGATCAATATCCCTCCGAATTTAAAGAGCCCATAATTTGTGAACTAACAAATTCCACAACTAGCAATTTACCTGGTGGATATACCAGCAAAAACAGGCCAAAGATGTATGTACAAGGATGTTTCCTACAGCACAATTTGTAAACACCAAAACCAAACAAGCAACAGAGACAAAGACAAAATCCTAGAAACACTGAAATATCCATTAGCAGGAAATGTGGAGCTGGGTTTTATAAAATGTAGACCATCTATACAATAAATTCATATTTATGAACAAGGAGCCAGCATACCTGTATGTGCCAATGTGACAAAACCCCAAGGGAGATTATCAAATTTAAAAAACAAAGCACAAAATGGTGCGTAGAGTATGGTCGCTTTTGGGAAATGAAGTGTATTTCTTCTGGAAGAACACAAGAACATGAAGAAACTGTTTTTGAGGAGATGCACTGGGAGTTAGGAAAGGAGGAAGTCTCTGCAAGAACCATTCAGATGGGAGCTATGTAGGTATCAGGTTGGTGCAAAACTAATTGCGGTTTCTACCGTTCACTATATATAATATATATATTTACATATGATATATATAAAATGTGTGTGTGTGTGTGTGTGTGTGTGTGTGTGTGTGTACTTGCTCTGTCATCCAGGCAGGGCTCAGTGGTGCAATCACAGCTCACCGTAGCCTCAACCTCTCAGACTCAAGCGATTCTCCTACCTCAGCCTCTCAGAGCAGCTGGAACTACAGGTGCACACCACCATGCACAGCTAATTGTTTTCTGTTTTTTGTAGAGATGGGGTCTCGCTATTTGGCCTGGGCTGGTCTTGAACCCCTGGGCTCAAGTGATCTTCCCGCTTTTGCCTTTGAAAGTGGTGGGATTACAGGCATGAGCCACCATGCCTGGCCTTGTGTGACTTGAGTTCAAAATAATTTTTAAAAGCGTTTCCATATTTTTAAGAAACTAATAATTATTTTTAATACCTCCAAAAGATATGAGTGTGTGACTTGTAAAAAGTTTTAGGGAATAGGTTTAGAAATTTGTTGTTGTTGTTACAAAATGAACCTGAGTAAGTAGAAAGTAATTTTCACCAAAATGTTCAATTTTGCCAGTAGGCAAAAAGGTTTTGTGAGTTTGTTAGGCTATTCTTGCATTGCTACAAAGAAACATTCGAGACTGGGTAATTGATAAAGAAAAAATATTAGTTGGCCCACGGTTCTACAGGCTATACAGGAAGCATAGCGGCATCTGCTTCTGGGGACACTTCAGGAAGCTTCCAATCATGGTATAAGGCAAAGGGGGAAGGAACAGGCACATCACATGGCAAAAGCAGGAGAAAGGGAGACTGGGGGGAGATTTTAAACAACCAGAGATCACAATAGTTCACTCACCACTATCACAAGAACAGCACCCAGTGGATCACCTGAGGTCAGGAGTCCCAGACCAGCCTGACCAACATGGTGAAACCCCGTCTCCACTAAAAATACAAAAAATTAGCTGAGCGTGGTGGCGGGCAACTGTAATTCCAGCTATTCGGGAGGCTGAGGCAGGAGAATCCCTTGAACTGGGAGACAGAGGTTGCAGGGAGTGGAGATAGCACCACTGCACTCCAGCCTGGTCAGTAGAGTGAGACTCCGTCTCAAAAAAACACACAAAAAAAGAACAGCACCCAGGGGATGGCGCTAAAGCATTCATGAGAAATCCGCCCCCATGATCCAGTCACCTCCCACCAGGCCCCACCTCCAACAATGGGGGCTACATTTCAACCTGACATTTGGGTAGGGACATACATTTAAACCATATCAGTGAGTTAGAGCAATTCAACTTGGTCTACCTTGCAGAAACAATGTTCAGTGTGAACCCATGCAAAGAATAGCAATAAAGCAAGCCAAAGAATTCTACAGAATCTCAAAATGTCGTCATCAAAACCTTTACCTTCCTTTGGAAATTGACATGCACCAAAGTATAAACAAATCAACAGGCTCATTTAATCTCCCTGCCACCTTTTCTGAAGTGAGTCTGCTGGCATACCAAGATAAATGTATGGTGTCACCTGCCAAAACAAACAAATGCTTAAAAAGCCTTCACCCAGAAAGAATAGTTTCACCTTAGGAACTATTCTTAATAGTTAACAAGATAAAATTTCAAGTGACAATTCAAAACTTTCTGTTTGTGTCTTGATACAATATCAAAAGAGTATAATGCGATATCTAGGAAGATGTGAAACAAATGCAAAAAAGTATTTCTCAGTCATCCAAGAATTGAGAATTTTCCCAATGTTAAAGTGGTCTCTTATCAATGGATTGCCCATGTCATAGAAAAAAGGCTGGATAACCACTTTACAATATACAAACAAATAAATTCCAAATGCATTAAAAATCATAATAGGAAAAGTCAAACTGAAACTTTTAGAAGAGAATACAGAATAGCTTTAATGAATTCATAGCAAGAAAGAATTTCTTAAACGGGTCAAAAAACTCAAATCATAAAGAAAATATTTAATAAAATTGGCTATATTAAAATTTAAAATTTCTGGCTGGATGTGATGGCCCACGCCTGTAATCCAGCACTTTGGGAGGCCAAGGTGGGCAGATCACTTGAGCCCAGGGGTTTGAGACCAGCCTGGGCAACATGGAGAAGCCCCATCTCTACAAAAAATACAAAAGTTAGCCAGGCATGGTGGCTCATGCCTGTATTCCTAGCTACCCGGGAAGTCAAGGCTACAGTGAGCCATGATCATGCCACATTGCACTCCAGCCTGGGCAACAGAGCAAGACCTTTTCTCAAAAATAAATAAATAAAATTTCTGTTCAAAAACAGCCACCATAAAAACAAACTGGGAGATGTGTAAAATATACAACAAAGAATGAACATCCAGAATTTACAAACAACACCTACAAGTCAATTTTAAAAAGACAGAGTAATCTATTGGAAAATGGATAAAGATACTAATAGTCGGTTCACAACTGAGGAAAAGCAAATGACTGTAATCATATGAAAATGTGTTATTCAGACTCATTAGTAATCAGGAAAAGGAAAATTAAAACTAAAGTAAGATTTTGCATACTCAAACTTGACAATGGCAAGTGTTGACAAATTTGTGGAGAAACGGGAACGCTTTTATACTGCTGGTAATATAAACCCACACAGGCACTCTGAAGAGGAAAATTTTAATATCTAATAAAGCAAAGGTGCACAAATCCGAAACCCCAATAGTTCCTCTCTGTTTATGCACGCTGCATCAGGAAGACACATGTAAGCATGTTCATTGCATCATTATTGTAATGGCAAGACATTGAAGGGAGGGAGTATCTAAATATCCATCAACATTAAGAATGGGTAAATAATGACATAGTCATAAAATACGATAAGGCAGTAAAAAAAAAAAAAAAAAGAGTGAGCTATAGCAACATGTACCAACATGAATTAATCTGAAAGACAAAATGGAGAGCCAAAAAAAAAAAAAATAGAAAAAACAAAAAGCAAGCTGTGGATGCTTTTATATTAAGGGTAAAAATGTGCAAAGCTGTGATGTGTATTGTTCGTCTACATATATATGTGAGAATACTCTAAAAGCATGATAGTGAGAACACCAAATTCAATTACCTCTGGGCAGAGGAGATTTAAGTGATCTGGGAGGGGCCTGTAGGAGAATTCAGCTGTATTTGTAACATTTTATTTCTTAAAACAATCTGAAGTATGGCAAAACTGTAACATTCTATATAGCAGGGTGCATATCATGCTTTTTCTGTTCTTTTCTGTATGTTCCAAACACTTTTTATTTTAAAGTGCTCATGAAGTAATGTTTTCCAATATGCAGTTAAGGAGTCCATCCATGCATTCATTCATTCATTCAAATATACTGAGCATAAGCAGGCACCTTTCTAGGTACTGCAACAGTAACATTTACTCTGCGTAGCCAAGTTACAGGCCTGTGCTAAGCATCTTACATGCTTTAGCTCTTTTAATCCTAATTTCATCCTCATGCTCTCATGAGGAAAGTGAGGCCTAGGGAAAGTACTTGACCAAGGTCTCACAGTGAGCAAGTAGCAGAACTAAGATATGACCCAGAAGGACTCCAAAGCCAATGTTCTCCACCATGACGCTCCACATCCAGAGGCTTAAATGCATGGATACACCCTGAGCTCCAAAACATGCTGGCCCTTCCACTCAGCCTGGCAGCACCACCCTGTTCTCACGCTGACCACACCATCAAACTCTAAGGCTCCAGGGAAATGAGGACTCTATTTTAAAAAGATTAAGGGCTTCTGGTCTCTCATGACCAGAGCTAATTATCTCTAGTATAAAAATACCCCAAGGGCCAAATCTGGAAGTAATTTGCACAGTCCAATTCCCAAATTGAAACAGAAGCTACTGAATGAGTGTTTAAGTTCTTTGATTGTGAATGACCATGACTGCCCTAAGGACACAGGACATAGGAAACTGTGTGGCTTGGGTAAGGAATGGAATCTGGACACAAATCCAAGGTGTTTCTGAAACCCACGACTGAGAAAATGAGACCATACAACCATATTTTGAGAAATAGGGAAAAGGCAATATTCTGATGGTACTGAAGTTTGCTAGGCAAAACTCCTTTCTAATGGTTTTGCCTGTGGTCTACTGCTCTGCTAATAAAAAGCCATGTTATTCAGCTTGGCCAGTACAATTACTGGGTAAAAAATAAGCCAATGAAAAAACAACAGTTTTCTCACTCTTTAAGCCACTTCACTAGAATACAAACGTTTTGAGAACAGGGGCATTATTATGTCAGTTAACTTTCATTTCATTCAAATAAGTCAACCTAATTCAGTGGCTTTCTATTCTTCATCCAAAAACTCCTTTACTTTTCATACAAACGGTTGTATTTCTTTTCTGAAATAATGTGAACACAAAGAATTTATTCCGTAAAAGGAAAATGTAGAATATAAGTAGCTGGAATGCTGTTTCCTATAATGAAGTACAGAATTCTACTTAGGAGCTGGGTGTGGTGGCTCACGCCTGTGATCCCTGCACTTTGGGAGGCCAAAGCAGGTGGATCCCTTGAGGTCAGGAGTTCCAGACCAGCCTGGGAAACATGGTGAAACCCCATCTCTACTAAAAATACAAAAATTAGCCAGGTGTGGCGATGCACGCCTATAATCCCAGCTACTCAGGAGGCTGAGGCAGAAGAATCGCTTGAACCTAAGAAGCAGAGGTTGCAGTGAGCCGAGATCGTGCCACTGCACTCCAGTCTGGTCAACAGTGTGAAACTCCATCTCAAAAAAAAAAAAAAAAAAAAAAGAATTCCACGTAGAGAAGGGCTGAGTAAGCACTATGATCAGTCACCAAGAGAAATCTGGAGCCACTGGACTTAATGAAACTATTGATGGATTATGTAACTGATCCCTAAATTACACAAATTAGAGCTAAGTTCATAGCCAACCAATGGCAAGTATATGGATCTTTAAAGAATAATACTGGTTTTATTCATAAATCAATTAAATATCTATATGATTTTTTCAACTTTCTCATCGACTTTGTTTTTGAGATACAACGTACATATCAACTCACCCTTTTAAAGTGTACAATTTAGTGGTTTTTGGTATATTCAAGCAGTTGTGCAACCATCACTACTACCTAATTCTGTAATATTTCATCACACCAAAATAAAACCTTGTGTCCATTTGCAGTCACTCCTCATTCCCCCTCCTCCAGGCCATGGCAACCACTAGTCTACTTTTTGTCCCTAGACATTTACCTATTCTGGATATTTCATGTAAATAGAATCACACAATATCTGATCTTTGGTGCTGGTCTCTTTCACTTAGTGTGTTTTCAAGGTCCATCCATATTATAGCATGCATGAGCTCTACTTAATTCCTTTTCACTGTTGAATAATATACCATTGTACGGATACACCACATTTTGTTTATCTATTCACCAGTTGATGTATATTTGAGTTGTTTGCAATTTTGGCTATTATGAATAATGGGCTGTACACATTTGTGTACAAGTTTTTGCATAGATTGTTTGTTTGTTTGAGCTGGAGTCTCACTCTGTCGCCCAGGCTGGAGTGCAGTGGCATGATCTTGGCTCACTGCAACCTCCGCCTCCCGGGTTCAAGCAATTCTCCTGGCTCAGCCTTGCGAGTAGCTGAGATTACAGGTGCCTGCCACCACACCCAGATAATTTTTTTTATTTTTAGTAGAAACAGGGTTTCACCATGTTGCCCAGGCTAGTCTTGAACTCCTGACCTCAGGTGATCTGCGTGCCTCGGCCTCCCAAAGTGCCAGGACTATGGGCATGAGCCACCATGCCTAGACATGTTTGTTTGTTTGTTTGTTTGTTTGTTCATTTTTTGGAGATGGAGTCTCACTCTGTCGCCCACACTGGAGTGCAGTGGCATGACCTTGGCTCACTGCAACCTCCACCTCCTAGGTTCAAACCTTGGCTCACTGCAAACTCCACCTCCTAGGTTCAAACCTTGGCTCACTGCAACCTCCACCTCCTAGGTTCAAACCTTGGCTCACTGCAAACTCCACCTCCTAGGTTCAAACCTTGGCTCACTGCAACCTCCACCTCCTAGGTTCAAGCGATTCTCCTGCCTCAGCCTCCCAAGTAGCTAGGATTACAGGCGGGTGCCACCACACCCAGCTAATTTTTGTATTTTCAGTAGAGACAGGGTTTCACCATGTTGGCCAGGCTGGTCTTGAACCCCTGGCCTCAAATGATCCACCTGCCTCGGCCTCCCAAAGTGCTGGGATTACAGGCGTGAGCCACCACGCCTAGTGCATAATGTTTTCAGTCCTCTTGGTTATACAGCTTGGAGTGGAATTGCTAGGTCACATAGTAACTCTATATTTAACTTTTTGAGGAACTGCCAAATTGTTCTCTAAAGTGGCACACTATTTTACATTCTCACCAGCAATGTATTAGTGTTCCAATTTCTCTATATTCTCATCAACACTTGTATTCTCTGTCTTTTTTTTATTACAACCATCCTATTGAGTGTGAAGTGATATCTTTTGGGTTTGATTTGCATTTTTCTTTTCTTTTCTTTTCTTTTTTTTTTTTTTTTTTTTTGAGACAGAGTCTCGCTCAGTCACCCAGGCTAGAGTGCAGTGGCGCCACCTCGGCTCACTGCAACCTCCACCTCCCAGATTCAAGCGATTCTCCTCGATTTGCATTTTTCTAATGGCTAATGATGTCGAACATCTTTTCATGTGCTAGTTGGTCATTTCTATGTCTCTTTGTAGAAAGGTCTATTCAAGTCCCTTGCAAATTTTAAAATTAGGTTATCTGTGGGTTTTTTGGTTGAGTTATAACAGTTCTTTATATATTCTGAAAAATAGACCCTTATCAGATATATGATTTGCAAATATTTTTTCCCATTCTGTAGGTTGCAATTTTGCTTTCTCAATAATGTCATTTAAAGCACAAAAGATTATGATTTTGATGAAATCTATTCCATTTATTTTTTCCTTGGTTGCTTGTGCTAAGAAATCGTTGCCTAGTCCAAAGTCATAAAGATTTATACCTATGTTTTTTTCTATCTCACTTACTTTTAGTTATGCTACCATGGTATCTTTTATACATCATTATAAACTGCCTTAAATTATTTCTAGAAAAAAGGAAAAGATTAATAAATTAATTTTGAAGCCATAGTCACTGAAAAGGCCAACTATATAAATTACTTTAATACATGGAAATATCTATGACAAATAATCCTTAAACACAAAACTAAAGAAGATAAAACTCAAAATGTAGAAGTGAATTTTTTGCATTGACTCATGCTCCAACTGAACTTCAGGTGATATAAACCTCATTTAATGTTCAGATTCTCTCATCTATATTATTATGTCCATCTAGCGTAAATATAATAATTAAGAATGTGCTGGAATCACTGATTCCATATTATGAATCCTAAAAGTGGCTCAATTATGTTGTGGAGAGCCATGAGTGTAGTTACAGAATTTGGACTTTGCTCTGTAAGCAAAACTGCTTAGAAGGGTTTTCAGCAAGGAAGTGACACAATCTCATTGGTAAGTTAGAAAGATTGGGTGGGATGCCAGGTACAGTGTGAATCAGGTACTAGTAGGTGATAGGTGATTGATAGGTCCAGGGTGGAAGAACAGAGGGAACAGAGTCCTAATCAAAGACCACAGGGAAAACAGCAACTATTCTGAATCCTTTGAATTTTTATGCAATACAAAGTAGGACCAAAAAAATTGCCCTTTAGAACAAAATAACCTAATGCTCATGGGGCTTGAGCATATGTAATTCAGCTACTGTAATGCTGTACCCCGAGCAAAAACATGCCCTTTGAAGATTTAAAGTTTAGTCTCTGAAATTAATTTAATCAGACATGCTAAACAATGTAAAAGTCAGCCTTCTTGTAGCATGCTGAGCTAAAGTTATTTATTTATGTTCTGAACTGGACCCTACTGAGATAAATCCTTCAAGATGTCACACCCCATTTTCTTCAGTACCCAGGAACACAGGTAGTGCCTGGGGAAATCAATTAATAACATCCAGATTCAGTATTCTTATAATTAGATAAAGGATGTGTTTGCTCCCAATAAGTCGCAGACCAGGTACATCTGCCAGATACCACCTGTATCAGAAACATACGCCTCCATTGCTGATTTGTTCTATAAAAATGTTTCTGGCATTTCATTCTTCTTTTATATTTTAACCAACAACTCCAGATTTGAGAACCTTGCAACTTTATTTTTTTTTAATTATTATTATTTTTTGAGATGAAGTCTCACTCTGTCACCCAGGCTGGATAGAATACAGTGGCACAATCTTGGCTCACTGCAATCTCTGCCTCCCAGATTCAAGCAATTCTCCTGCCTCAGCCTGCCAAATAGCTAGGATTACAGGCGTGTGCCACCATGCCCGGCTGATTTTTGTTTTTTAGTAGAGATGGGGTTTCGCCATGTTGGTCAGGCTGGTCTCAAACTTCTGACCTCAGGTGATCCGCCCACCTCAGCCTCCCAAAGTGCTGGGATTATAGGCATGAACCATCACGCTTGGCCATGACCTTGCAACTTTAATAGCTGGATTCAGTAACTCTAACTGGTCTTCCTGCCTTTGTTCCCTGCCCCAGCTCCTTGTCACCTAATCTAATTCACCCTATAACTGGTTCTCCACCAAATCTCCCTAAAATACCACTTAGATGATGGCACTCCCTTGCTCAAAACCTTCAAAATGCCTTTCTGTTTACACAGCTAAATCCATAACCTCACATTCGTGCCCTCCATAATGTGGTCCTAACCCAGGTTTCCAACCTTACTCCAATGACACTCTCCCAAAGTCTCCATTCTAGCCAAATTGGTTTCCTTCAGTTTCTCCCAGACAATTCTTCAACACAACACCCCCGCAACTCTCGCACCTTGTTCCCCCAATCCTCCTTCTCTGGAAGGCCCACCTCACCCTCTGTTTTCCAAATCCTTTGCAATGATCTGCAAATATTTTCTCAGCTCAACTCCTTGGGAGAGGAAGACTTCCCAGACCACTGGGCACATAATAAGGTTGTGTGCTTTCCTGCCCGTGACATGACTTATCCTGGCACCAAATCCTCATCTGATAATTTTACATGGATTATTGAATTTTCAAAAGGGATAAATCCTCTTCACAACCAAACGGGAGGTTTCCTGAGGGTTGGGTTTCTTTGGTATGTATCTCACACTGCCCAACAGAATGCCCTTCATCTAGCGATAACTTAGTAAATAACTAATAAGTAAACATACGCAAAATAGGCTTACTAAATAGCTAATAATTAAGTAAACGTAGGAAAGTTCTTGGCTGGAAGAGCTTTAAAGTGAGAACATGCTACCTACACTGGTTCCAGCATGGACTTAAAGGGGCTTATGTGACTACATAAAATGCAGCAAGTTAGCAAGTACAGCCTTGGAATTCTTTTCTTTTTCTCTACCATGTACAAAATGCAATTCTAGGCACTTCAAAGGTTTACAAAGACAAGATAGATTCTTGAGTCCCTGACCTCAAGAAGTCCCCAGTTGAGTAGGCTAGCACAAGCCCCTGATTACTTACTGTAATATGTTTCAGACACTGGAATAACATGAAGAGAGGAAGGCAGGCAGATGCCTGGGCTAATGATGAAGAGTCTCAGTCTAAACAGCAATGGTTTCCTCAGGTATCTAAGATTATTATTTTGTAGCACAATCGAGTACAGATAGGCCTCTAGTGAAATGTCCTTTATTTCTTTGAACACAGAAAAACAACAATAAAAAAATTCTAATTTCTGTATGTTAGAGGGATTTGGGAGCCAACTGGGAGCCAATCCCATGGTTTTTTTGTTTTAGGTTAATAAATGTGCTGGGTTTTGCTGTTGTTGTTGTTTTGAGACGGAGTCTCGCTCTGTCACCAGGCTGGAGTGCAGTGGCGCGATCTCGGCTCACTGCAACCTCTGCCTCCCAGGTTCAAGCGATTCTCCTGCCTCAGTCTCCTGAGTAGCTGGGACTACAGGCACACGCTACCACGCCCAGCTAATTTTTGTATTGTTAGTACAGACAGGGTTTCACCATGTTGGTCAGGATGGTCTCGATCTTTTGACCTCGTGATCTGCCCCCCTCGGCCTCCCACAGTGCTGGGATTACAGGCGTGAGCCACCATGCCCGGCCAATGTGTTGGTCTTATCATGAAAAATGTTTCAGTCAAACTGTTGTTGTGGTCAAGTCAAAGTTATATTTATTATACAAAGCTGGAACAGGAATACAATAGTCAAAGAAATATTACAACATAGCATGTGTGCCTCTGTCACTAAAGAGACTAGGTGAAAGAATATGAATATGTGATCACAAATTTCTGTATTATTCTCAAAATATCTGACCAAATATCCTTTGAAGGGCCAGTAGATCTCCCCACATCACCATTTGTGGAGCAATATGACATCTAAATATGCTGGCAAGGCAATGATTTTATGTAATGTACCCCCAAAAGAGAGCTAAACTTCCTGCAGAAGAGATTTAGACAGGTGGTGATGTTTTTCTAGAATCATTTCCATAACCTTAAAGTGCCCCCCAGGAACCAGAAGGCATTGGTTTTGAAGTCCACTATTATACCATCTGTCACCTGTAAAGAATAGCCTGGCCCTAGAATGTGAAATTTAACACAGATACTGCTTGCATTAAGCAAAGACCTCATAAATAAGAATGTAATAAAATGGGCCATAGTGACTTAATTTTCACTGCCATTCTTGGTTTGATTATCAAGCCAATCCAAACAGGGACAAAGAATTAGATGAGTATATTGGCTGACTGGGTTGGATATTAAAAAACAACAACGCTAAGCTACCATTTCAGTCCCTACTTAAAAAGCAATAAAAGCAATGATTATACATATTCATTTACCATTGTTTAAAAATAACAAAGGAGATATTTATGCTGGGAAAAATATAAATGGTACATCCAGTGACAGCTATCTAAACATGAATCCAGGGACAACATTGAGATCAGCAGTACACATGACAGGGTAGTCTGAAAATATAAAATGCCCTGAAATCTAGTGACCAACATATAGAGAGAAATATTACTTCATATATTTCTGCTTTTAAAACCCGATGTAATGCAATGATGCTTTAAATTATATCTATCTGAAATAGTTTGCAAGTATATGTTGCTGAACATCCTACTAACTCTGGAAGAAGAGGGCACACCTGCACAGCCTAGATTCATCTGTGGGGCGGTGGCAGTTAACATCAGCAGGAAATAAAAAACAGGGACAGAAAACAGACAGGCTATGATCAGAATTTGGGAGAATTGGCCCAGCGCGGTGGCTCAAGCCTATAATCTCAGCTCTTTGGAAGGCTGAGGCAGGCGGATCACTTGAGGCCAGGAGTTCAAGACCAGCCTGGCCAACATGGGAAAACCCCATCTCTACTAAAAATATAAAAATTAGCTGGGTGTAATAGCATGTGCCTGTAACCCCAGCTACTCAAAAGGCTGAGGCAGGCAGATCACTTGAGGCCAGGAGTTCAAGACCAGCCTGGCCAACATGGGAAAACTCCATCTCTACTAAAAACACAAAAATTAGCTGGGTGTAATAGCATGCGCCTGTAACCCCAGCTACTCCAAAGGCTGAGACACGAGAATCTCTTGAAACCAGGAGGCAGAGATTGCAGTGAGCACTCCAGCCTGGGCAACACAGCAAGACCCTGTCTCAAAAGCAAAACAAAACAAAAGGAAAAACAAACAAAGAATTTTGGAGAACCACTTTTTCAAATCATCTGGCCTGCTGAACTCAAGGCCTTTTCCGACCTTGACCTTTGAGACGACATCACCCTCAGTGCTTCCTGACTCCTCGGTTTCAACACAATGGCAGCTCTAATTCCAAATCCCTCCCAACCTGCACCTTGCTCTCCTCCAGACCCCAAGTCCTGATCCTGTAAATGGGCCTGCTCATGTCCTGCCAAGTTCTTACCCCAACTGAAGCAAGATTCTAATGTTGTGTGATCAACAGGTACAAATATCACTAAATTTTTTTCAAGAATTTTTATCTCACACCTCAAGATGATGTACTAAAGGAACTAAGAACAGAGCATGTTCAAAGCTACCTAGTAAAGAAATCTCTTAATCTGTTGCTACCTAACACAGAAAACATTCAAAGAGTTTCAAATGATTATGGTCTCAGGAGATAGTGGCCAAAATAGGAATGATTTCTCTCTTGCAGATTCACACAGGAAATTAATGTTTCACCAGCATCAGTTCAGCCTCAGAACCACTCTAGTAAAAAAGGCACTACTATAACTGTTCATTCTGGATGATGGATATATGGATGTTCACTCTACTACTACTTTTGTGAATATTAAAAAACTTTTACTAAAAAAATTTACTAAAACCCATCAAATTGTATGCTTTAAAGGTTGAAATTTAAAGGGTGAAATTTGTGATATATAAATTATTATTATTATTATGTATTATTTTAACAGGGCCTCACTCTGTCGCCCAGACTGGAGTGCAGTGGCGCGATCTTGGCTCACAGCAATGTCCGCCTCCCAGGTTCAAGTGATTCTCATGCTTCAGCCTCCCAAGTAGCTGGGACTACAGGCACGTGCCACCGTGTCTGACTAATTTTTTGTATTTTTAGTAGAGATGGGGCTTTGCCATGTTGGCCAGGCTGGTCTCGAACTCCTGGCTTCAAGTGATCCACCCACCTTGGCCTCCCAAAGTGCTGGAATTACAGGTGTGAGCCACTGTGCCCAGCAGATATGTGAATTATATCTCAATAATCAAAAAATGATGCTTTCCAAAGAAGGGATGAGAGAAATTCAGGCATCTAGAGAAACAAAGTAACTTGTCCTAAGCCAAGTAGGACATTCATGGGAAAATGTACAAATGTGCACAAGATCTAAAGCAGCACTTTATACTCTCTAGTCATTCAATTAAGGAGAAAAAATAATGACAAAATCCACTTACTCTCATGCTTTAAAAAGAAAAACTGCAGAGACTACCAAAACAGAGCTCAAGAGATAGGCCACAGCTTTTGGTGATTTAGTTCAAGTAGAAATGGGTCTTTGCTAGCTCACTTATGCTTTAATAGATAGTTTTACTGTGCCTCAAAACCGAAACAAATAAAATGGCAGCTTCATTCATAAACTCCTTGTTGGATCTATAACAGATGGAAACTGAGGCACGATAAAAAAAAAAAAGTAGGGAGTGCTAGTTGGTTAGAGGAAGGAAAGATAGACTTCTTGTTTTTCTAGAGTGGTCAGGATGCACAAGGACATGCTCTATTTAAGACAAATAAGGGAAATGATTCCCTTCAAATGATAGCACAATTAAGATGCTAAAATGTCTTAGTAATGGGGGTGAAAGTATTGTTTCTTCTCAGGTACACAAAAAGAAAGGCACTTAAAATCTCCAGAATAGGCAGAGAAGTAGAAGAAAGTCATTAACTGAATAGAAACAAATGAAAAGGTGGTGATTTTAAGTAACTGGAATGTAACAAAAGAAAATCCATTGGATTTTAATGCTTTGAACAGTCTCTTTTAAAAACTACAGGTTTGAACACACAGAATTGCATTTCTTTCTCTAGTTTCCGATGTTTACAAATTAGTCTACAGACAAAGCAAGACAAGCTTAATTATAACATGAAAATGTAAATGTCAAATTTTGATTGTGTAAAAGTAGTGACAGAACTGATGGAGCTCAAGAGGTGGAGTGAGAGAAGCTGGGAATAATTAGGGACATTCTTCATCTTACATCCTGGCGAGTCCATAGAGTCCAGGGTTGATAGAACAAGAAGGCAGGACAGGGTTGGGAGAGGTAGAAGTAGAGGAAGTATGCTAATCTTTATCTTTCACCATAAGGAGTCTGAAGTTAATCAATGAAAAAAGAACAATGTAGATTTTTAGGTGTTACCATTTAGAACAAAAGCATTGTTTGAAAGTATTAATTCTGGTATGTAGAACCATTGAGGCTGGATTTTTTTTTAACTTAATATCATCCAGTATTTTTTTAAAAAAATTTCCCATCATATATGCATTGCTTTTATCATGATTTCTTGATTTTTTTTAAATCACAGAATCCAGAAAACAAAATAATTGCATAACAAATGAACACATTAAACACATCTTTCTGCCATCAAAAACATGAATCCATTGGATATAGCAATTTCCCACTTCCATTCAGATGGTTAAATGCCAACTTGACTAGCATTCAGGCAGTGTTACATCTTTGCTTCAATGCTAGAAAATAAACTGAAAACAGCCCAAACGGATTAAAGGAAGCTCAACCAAGCTCTTTTCTTGTTAGGGCATATTTCTATTAATAAAACTAAAGTAAAAAGAAGCAATAAATATCCTGGCCTTGAGTATACTAGATGGATTCCCTATTTTCAGCAAGAACAGAGATAGCCATTTCTTAAATAACAGCAAACCTGTTGGCATCAATTTTTAAGTCTTAATTTGAACATACAATGTGCAATTATAAGACGCAGAGAAAGAATGTTCGCCAGAAGTATCTAAGAGTGTGTCTAGGCTATACATGGAGAGTCTCTTACAATACAGCAGATGATAGTTTAACATGCATTGACCTGATTCTTAACTAAGACTGGGAAATGCTAGTATGTGCCTCAAGATTTTAAGAGGACCCATATTTGTTAATTATAAGAAGGACTTTAAAGAATAGGCATTTTAAGCTTTTCCTACTCGTAGCATATGCTACATACAAGCAAAGCAGGCGCACTAACACAAATGGACAGTTACAGATTTGAAGCTGAACTTTCTTCCCCCTTCCCTACCTTCTCTTCGGGAATTTTTTTTTTTTAATTTTGCTTGGGACTGTGTAGGGGACTTCCACCACTTCCCTCGGAAATCTTTCTTACTCTACCGAGGAGGAAATCTGGGCATTATTAAATCCTGACTCCTTCACATCCTCCTAGGGGACTCAAAATGGAAAATGTTTGAGTATGGAAGGAAGTGGCTGCAGCCTAAAATTTAAATTTACAGGAAAATTAGTACTATACTGATTAGATACAGTAACTTGAGACAGTAACTTGGATACTATTAGATACAGTAATTTCAATAGTATATATATACTATATTAGATATAGTAACTTGGGATAGCAACTTGGACAGAGCCTATATGAAAGCAGTCTTTAGAAATAATAAAAAGTTGGCTGGGCGTGGTGGCTCATGCCTGTAATCCCAGCACTTTGGGAGGCTGAGGCAGGAGGATCACTTGAGGTCAGGAGTTCGAGACTAGCCTAGCCAACATGGTGAAGCCCCATATCTACTAAAAATACAAAACTTAGCTGGGTATAGTGGTGTGCACCACTCTCAGGAGGATGAGGCAGGAGAATAGCTTGAACCTAGGAAGCGGGGGTTGCAGTGAGCTGAGATCACACCACTGCACTCCAACCTGGGTGACACAGCGAGATCCTGTCTCAAAAAAAAAAAAGAATAAAGAAATAATAAAAAGTTGTGTTTCTGCTTCTCTGGGGTGATACATAGACTGAAAATCAGGGAAGATACTGTCTTAAGTACTTCGGAAACCATTTACCATAGTGGTATAGTATTTACAAGTCACCCTAAAGATTCTGCTTGATAACACCTTGATAGGACTATTCTTCTTTTTTTTTTTTTTTTTTTTTTTTTTTGAGATGGAGTTTCGCTTTGTCGCCCAGGCTGGAGTGCAGTGGCGCCATCTCAGCTCACTGCAAGCTCCGCCTCTCAGGTTCATGCCATTCTCCTGCCTCAGCCTCCCGAGGAGCTGGGACTATGGACGCCTGCCACCAGGCCTGGCTAATTTTTTGTATTTTTAGTAGAGATGGGGTTTCACCGTGTTAGCCAGGATGGTCTCGATCTTCTGACCTCGTGATCCGCCCGCCTCAGCCTCCCAAAGTGCTGGGATTACAGGCGTGAGCCACCTCGCCTGGCCAGCCTATTCTTAATATGAATCCTTGAAGGTAATGAAAGAGCACTAGATCTAAAATCAAAAGAACTTCCAATAACTGAGAAGAAATATGTACACCATATGTTAGAAAAAATGGTTAATATCTTTAGGAAGAGAAAGGAGGAACATTCCCTGATCCCTCTACCCCTCCTCAAAATAATCAAGGAGTTCACAAAATAAGTATATGGATAAAGGTTAGATTTATGACTAATCAAAATCCTGCTAGTTCAAATAATAAGATTCTTTTTGTTCACCACAAGTAACTGACAGAGATTGTTTGTTGTTAAGTTAAAATCCAGAAGTAGTGAAGGCACCATTACACATTGCTAGTGGAAAACAAGTTGGCAATGCCTTTGAATTATGGTATATTCACTCATTGGAATGTTATGCAGTCATAAAAAGCATCCTGTAGAAGTTTCTAGAGACGTGGAGAGCTGTTTAAGGAAAACCATAACAAAACATAAGTACAGAATAATTACCTTTTTGTCAATTACATGAAACAAAATCCATAACTTATGGACTTCGATACTTAAGAATTTTTAGGGTAAAGCAAACCTTAATTCTCATAGATTTTGCTAACCTTGGCAGAAAGCTAGCTTTGACTCTCAAAGCTGACTTCCTTTTAATGAAATATGAATGCTCTAAGATAAATAAAAAACTACTCTTTTGCGATTTTGCATTATAAAATAAAGGCTCCATTAAGTATCCCTTGAAAGACCCTGGATATTTTTAATTGCTACGTGTTAATTTCACTGTAAACATTATAAAAGCAGTTAGCTAACTGCAAAATGCCAAAGTCTCTCTAAGGACTAAAAATGGCCAAAAGTACACTTTGGATACTCCATCTACAAAAAAAGAGGGAAGATGCAATTGATCTTTGTGCCCCATCACTGCATTATTTGAGTTCATTTCCAACAATTTATAAGCAAAACAAAGATGAAAACATTCTCATCTGCACTCCTCATATCACCTACTTTCACAGGCAGAATACCCAGACCAGCAACTTGAATAAGAAAACAAATCTCTTCCTGATGCAGTGACTTGACTTAACTTTAGTGTGCCGCAGTTTTCTCATCAGTCAAATGGAGTAATAATATTATCTACCTCAGCCAGGCACAGTGGCTCATGCTTGTAATCCCAGCACTTTGGGAGGCTGAGGCAGGCAGATCACTTGAATCCAGAAGTTTGAGACCAGCCTGGCAAACCTCGAGAAACCCTGTCTCTACCAAAAATACAAAAATTAGCTGGCTGTGGTGGCACACGCCTATAGTCCCAGCTACTCAGGAGGCTGAGGCACGAGAATCGCTTGAACCTGGGAGGTTGTAGTGCGCCAAGATTGTGCCATTGCACTCCAGCCTGGGTGACAGAGCAAGACTCTGTCTCAAAAAAATAAAAAAATAAAAATCTACCTCAAGGACAGATGTGAGGATTAAATTAGTTAATCTGTGTAAAAGTCTTAGAACATTGCTTGGCACATTGTATCTCAAAAAATGTTAGTTTGTTTTTGTAATTATTACCATTACTACTACTACTAATAAGTAGTATACGTTTAAAATTAATATGGTTATATTTGAGGGTATAAGTAGTAGCATTAATACGGTTAAAGCAAATTGCAACTAGGAAAAGCAACTTCAAGGTAATTTGCCTAAAAGTGAAGATTTAGAATAGCTTCTAGAATTAATGGTTTATATTCTACTGGTGTTGATTCTGGGGCAATGAGGTTAGATATTATTAGGGTTCTGGACAGTGTGCCCTCAGTAAATGGAAGAACTCTCAGAGTAAGTAACTCAATTAGCTATTAAAGGTGTCATATATTTTGGAACTCAGAAACATTAAAGGTCACTAGTAGAACCACTTGTACTTTTTGGAGTTCAAACTGCCAGATTCAGACACACTGCCAGATTTCTTGCATAAATTAGATATAACCATCTTGGATCTTTCTGTGGAGTAATTTGTTTTTTAAACTCAATTTTAAATCAGTCCAAGTGGTAGATAATAAATATTTTAGTTATTTGTCTTCTCTATTTTTTTCCTTCTCTCAAGCATGAGGAGTTCTTGAACCTCTAAAAATCAAATCATTCCTCTTTCAAAACTTTTCTGGGGAAGTTACTGTGTTAGTCAATAGTATATTTCAAAAACGAAAACCTCAAAGTTGTGTTAAAGATCCAGCCTGGCTGAGCGAGACTGTCAGCTGTGGCTGCCTCCTGTTCTCCATCACAGCTCTTCTGTTGTAAGGGTTGATATGCAGGGGAGAGGATGGCTCTGGTTTTCAGCCTTGCCACATGAACAAGGTCTAACCTTCATAAAAAGATGGGCTAATGTAAAAGAAAAAAAAAGCTGCCTTCTGGAGGGACTTTCCAAAACATACAAAACATAAAGCACACGTAGGGCTTCCCTGGGAACCCAAGACAAAGTGAGACAAGAAGTTGGGGAGAAGAGTCTCATTTCTGTATGAACCACCAGGAATGCAGCCTGTAATGGCAGCCTAAGTTGGCCTCTTGGGAGACCATGAGATGTGGCGTGGGCGTAGAAGCAGAAGTTTCGTGATGGGACCACAGTTCTGTTGGTGTTATATCACAGGCCTCATTCTGGGAACACTCTCTAGGGAGAAGGCAATATAAAATTGCAGTGAAGCACCTGTGCTTTGGAGGTAGACTCAAACTTAGTTAGATTGGATTCAAGTACAAGGAAAATCAAGGTTTTCCTGCTATCTCACTGGCCATTTATTCTCAGGCTCTATTCTATCTCTTCTTCCCCTGATCAACCTCTAAACTTTACAGCAGTGTTTCTCAACCATCTGGGGAGAAGAACCCAGGCACTGCTTTAATTTCCAATCCACCGCAGACTGATACGACCGGAAAAATGCAACAAAGAAACAAGTTATCAAGACAATGAAATCAAAGGCATACAAAATTAAAGTGATCATTTGCTGTAATTGCTATAAAAGTTTCTAAATGTTAGCTGAGCATGGTGGCATGCGCCTGGTGTCCCAGGGACACAGGAGGCTGAGGCAGGAGGATTGCTTGAGTCCACAAAGTTGAGGCTGCAGTGAACCATGTTCATGCCACTGCACTCCAGCCTGGATGAGAGAGTAAGACCCTGTCTCAAAGAAAATAAATAAATAAAAGTAATAAAGTTTCTAATACTTATTCTCGATTTCTGTTTTTATCATATTGGATGGGAGCAGGCAGGGCATGAAGCAACACCAGGCTCTGGGCCATTTTTGGGTAGCATCATTCTTTTAGAGAATGTGTCCCATCTACATGCTCTTCCTAGCTGACAAATTCCCAATTGAAAGCTCCCACCTTGACCCTGCCCTGACATAAGGACTCGGGTGTCCAGTTGCTGGCCTGACCACCCCCTTGGATGTCTCAGAGGCATCTCAAACTGGCATGTGCAAACAGAACTCTTGATGTTATTTGCACTCCAAAACCTGTTCTCTCAATTGCCCCTCTCCCCAGATAGGGAGAAACAGCACCACAACCCCCGCTTCCCTCTCCCAGGTGCTCTCTCTCTCCTTCAGTCTCTATCCACTCCACCAGCAATTCTTGTCAATCCCCCCTCCAAAATATGCCACTAATTGGTCTGCTTGTCCTCCTCCACTGCCCCACCCTCTCCTCCAAGCCACAATCCTACTTCCTCTACATCACTGAAAAAGAGTCTATTCTCTTAACTACAATGCTATCCTGCCTGACACGTAGTAAGGACTCCACAAATGGTTAACTTAAAAATATTTCCTGGCCAGGTGCAGTGGCTCACGCCTGTAATCCTAGCACTTTGGGAGGCCAAGGCGGGCAGATCACCTGAGGTCAGGAGTTCAAGACCAGCCTGGCCAAAATGGTGAAACCCTGTCTGTACTAAAAATACAAAAATTAGCCAGGCATGGTGGCATGTGCCTGTAATCCCAGCTACCCAGGAGGCTGAGGCAGGATAATCGCTGGAACCTGGGAGGCAGAGGCCCCAGTGAGCCAAGATCACGCCACTGGCATTTCAGCCTGGGTGACAGAGCAAGACTCTGTCTCTAACATATATAAAATATTTCCTAATTGGCCGGGCACAGTGGCTCATGCCATTAATCCCAGGACTTTGAGAGGCCAAGGTGGGCAGATCACCTGAGGTCAGGAGTTCAAGACCAGCCTGGCCAACATGGTGAAACCCTGTGGTGGTGGCTTACGCCTGCAATCCCAGCTACTTGGGAGGCTGAGGTAGGAGAATCGCTTGAACCCAGGAGGTGGAGGTTGCAGTGAGCTGAGATTGCGCCATTGCTCTCCAGCCTGGGGAACAAGAGCAAGACTGTGTCTAAAAAAAAAATTCCTAAGCACCAGAAATACAATGAAAACATGACGTCAATCTCTATAATGCAAGGAAGATTATTACTGAATATTAGAGGCTCCAAAACAGCAGAGGAGTTCTCTCAAAATAAGAGAAAGGTCTTCTAGATATAGACAAATCATGTTTGTATATGTTTATTGGGTACTATGTGGTGTTACAAATTTGAATACAGTGTGGAAAGATTAAATTAAGCTATTAACATATATATCACCTCAATATTTAACTTGATAAGAACATTAGAAATGTACTGTCCTGGCAATATTGAAATGTACAGAACTCAATTATTAGCTATATTCACATGCTCCGCCACTGATCTAAAAAAAAATCCAACTGAGGCTTTGTACCCTTTGACTACTATCATCTCCCCATTCCTCTTACCCTACCCCAGCCTCAGTAACCACCATTCTACTCTCTGCTTCTATGAGTTCAATTATTTTAGATTCCACATATAAGCAGGAACGTGTGGTACTTGCCTTTCAGTGTCTGGCTTATTTCACTTAGCATTGTGTTCTCCAATTCCATCCATATTGTTGCATATGACAGAATTTCTTCCTTTTATAAGGGTGAATAGTATTCTATTATGTACGTATACCACGTCTTTATTCATCCATCCCTTGATGAACACTTAGGTTGATTCCATAACTTGGCTATTGTGAATAGTGCAGCAATGATCATGGGAGTGAGGCTATTTCTTTGACATAGCGATTTCAAATCTTTTTGGTTCATATGGTAATTTTATTTTTAGTTTCTGGAGGAACCTCCATACTGTTTTCTATAATGGTTGTACTAATTTACATTCCCACCAACAGCTTACAAGAAAGGGTTTTCACCACATCCTCACCAACGCTCATCTTCTGTCTTTTTGATAACAGCTATTCTAACAGGTGTGAGGTGATATTTCATTGTAGTTATAATCTGCATCTCCCTAATGAGTAGTGATGTTGGGCATTTTGCATCTGTTAGTCATTTGTATGTCTTCTTTTGAGCAATGTCTATTCATATCCTTTACCGATTTCTTAATTGGATTATTTCTT
This sequence comes from Homo sapiens, assembly GCF_000001405.40. NCBI lineage: Eukaryota > Metazoa > Chordata > Mammalia > Primates > Hominidae > Homo > Homo sapiens. The sequence continues at coordinate 114,746,906 of NC_000010.11, forward strand.
TTCTGCTTATAGAGTTATTTGAGGTCCTTATATATTTTGGATATTAAACTCTTATTAAGGGTATTAATAAACCCTTATTTTGGATATTAAGCCCTTTGTATGACTTGCAAATATTTTCTCCCAAACCATAGATTGTTTCTTCACTCTGCTAATTGTTTTCTTTGATGTGTAGAAGGAAAAGTCTTCATAGCATATCAAATGATCCTTAAAAAACAGACACCATTTTTTCACAAATTGGTGAAGAAAAGGGCATTCCAGGTGGAAACAGAATCAAAAGCACAGTTTGGGAAAGATGAACAGTCTAGCTTGACTTAAGCAAATATTCCAAAGACAGAAAAGTGAAGTGGGCCATCCAGGCCATGAAGATCCCCAAATGCTGAGATTGAGGAATCTGGAGGCAGCTCCACAGACCACGGGGACATGGAAGCTTTCTGCATGGGAGAGCCAGGCAGCCATGGCCAAGCTGTAGGAAGGTCGTATCTGCTGTGTGTGCCTGTCTCTCCGCTCTGCTCTATGTGTATACGTGCCCAAAGAGTTCATCTCTTCCCTCCTGGTACACATCACAAAAAAGCCCTGAATGCCAGAGTAGAAGAATCTGCAGCTAATTCCAGAGGCAATGGGGAGTTGTAGAAGCTTTTTTATGTAGGGGAGTCACATGGTCAAGGCCAAGCTGTCGAAAATGGATTTGATAGTTATACACAGAATAGACTAGAAAGGGAAGAGACAGGTGATATTGATAACAGTTGTGCAAGTATACAAATGATCCAGTTTACAATTCTAATTGCTTTCTTTATATGTCCTCAAAGTCTACAAAGAGCATTACATGAAGTTAATTATTTAAAAGCCATTGAAGCCTGGGCACGATGGCTCACGCCTGTAATCCCAGCACTTTGGGAGGCCAAGGTGGGTGGATCACTTGAGGTCAGGAGTTCCAGACCAGCCTAGCCAATATGGTGAAACCCTGTCTCTATTAAAAATACAAAAATTAGCTGGGCGTGTTGGTATGTGCCTGTAATCCCAGCTACTTGGGAGGCTGAGGCACGAGAATCGCTTGAACTCGGGAGGCAGAGGTTGCAATGAGCCAAGATGGGGCCATCGCACTCCAGCCTGGGTGATAGAGCGATACTTCATCTCAAAATAAAATAAAATAAAGTCACTGAAAACAATAGCATATAACATCTGAATTACTGAACCACCAAATGGATGGGAAAAAAATCACAAACCATAAGAACCCCTGTGTTTGAATAATTCTCTTTTTTTTTTCCTTGCTGTCTTCAGGAAAAAGAATAATTCTCATTTTAATAGGACTCATGAAGTAAGTTTGGAGAAGTAGGCTGACTAGATTTATCTCTAATATTTTTGAGTTCTTAAAAAGCATACATAATGGTAAACAGACATGAAATTAGATACCATCTGCGGTTGGCCAGCTTATAATCTGCAATCTATACAAAAGTGACCCAGAAGGAAGAGAGCAGTTCAATTTTGCAAGTATGCTTCTACTGTCAGACACACAGAGCCTGACACAAAGACAACAATGAAAATGTTATCTGTGCCTGTTTTAATATAGCCCTGAGTCTTCAGAAGGCTTATCTGCTGTGTGTGCCTGTCTGTCTGCTCTGTTTGATGTGTATGCATGTCCAATAAGTTCATTTCTCCCCTCCATTTTGCCTGTTTCAAAAAAAAAAAAAAGTAAAACATCCCAGAGCATAACACAAAATACCATGCAAGGACAGCAACAGAAGTTTTTTTTTTTCTTTTTTTTTTTTTTAGTGATGAGGTCTTTCTTTATCACCCAGACTGGAGTGCAGTGACATGATCATAGCTCAGTGCAGCCTCAAACTCCTAGGCTCTAGCAACCCTCCTGTCTCAGCCTCCTTAGTAGCTGGGACTACAGACATTCACCACCACACCCAGCTAATTTTATTTTTTAATGTTTTTTGTAGAGACGGGGGTCTCCCTATGTTGCTATGTTGCCCAGGCTGGCCTCAAACTCCTGGCTTCAAGCGATCCTTCTGCCTTGGCCTCCCAAAGTGCTGGGATTATAGCCATGAGCCATCTCACCCAGCAAGCGGCTGAGATTTTTGACAGCAGACATACCTGCACGTAATCTCTGTCCCAGGGGATTTATGTCTAGCTCAAATAACGTGCTAGAATTAAGAATGCCTAACAATTTAATCTATATACCATTCCAAAATTCATGCGTATACTGAAAACATAATGATTTATGGTCAGACACCTTGCTTTCTAAACTTAGTCACATACTTCACAGGGTGGTTATCTCACTTCGCAGCTTTTCCTTTCTGAGGCCAGAAAAGGAAGGGGTTTGCCTTCCTCTAGTATTTATTCTTCTGGACTACATCAAGTACTCTAAGCCTGATGTTAGGCAATAACTGCCCATTAGCCATTGGCTACATTTGCCTCTTTCTTGTTCCAACAATATTAGTGATCTGTGGTACAGGACACATTCTTTGTTTGCTAGCTACAAATTCTAACAAAGCTAAGTTTTATTCATGTAGTTATTCACAAATTAAAACAACACACACACCACACACACACACACACACACACACACACACACACCACAAAACCCAGAGATCACCAAATACTATATAAATAAACAAGCCCAAAGTCACAGATCAGGGGTACTCGTGATTTCTTTAAGGAGATACTCTCTTCAGGTCAACATTTAACCAAGTGGATTCCTCTGCTCAACACCCTTGAGTGGTTGTCGTTTCACTCAGTAAAAGCCAAAGTCCTCAAGGTGGTTCACAAGATAGCACATGACTGCTCCCCCACGCCCCACCATCTCTCTGCCCTCCCCTCCTACTGGCCTCGCTGTGCCCTAAACACTCCAAGCACATTCCCAACTCAGGGCCTTTGCAATTGCTCTTCCCTCTGCCTAGAATACTCTCACTCCAGATACTCCCATAGCTCGCTTTCTCCGCTCCTTCTCTTTGTTTAAATGTCACCTTCTCCATGAAGCCTTCCCTGATCATGCCCATCCCAGACCCTCCATCCCCGATCCCTGCTTTGTTTTCTCCATAGCACCCATCACTATCTGATATGCTATGTATTTTACCTACTTATATTTCATAAATATAACTGTTACATAAATAAAATAAAGTAACTCCAAACATAAGCTGCCTAGAAACTTCCACTGGCAAGGATTTTTTTTTAAAAATCTGTTGTGTGCACTGCTACAGCTACTGCTCCTAAAACAGCAGGTGCTTAATAAATATTTGTGGAATGAATGTAGTAGGTGGTAGGCATACAGAGATGACTAAAATAATACTGTTCCTACTATTCAGATGGTAACAGTATCCACAAATATTGTTCCCTAAATAAAATCAAGCCTGTCAAATTATCTCCACTATGGTCTTTGACAGTCTGGTGATACAGTTAACTTGACTGAATCGTTACCAACCCTTCTTTAGAGAAATAAATTTAAACACTTTCCATAATCTCCATAACAAGTATTCATATAAGAATAATCTAGTTTAAGCAGAATACAAAACCCAAGAAACACTAGGAAATAGATTTGATAAGGACAGCTTAGGAAAGTAAAAAGGTTGTTGATAATATTCTCAACTGGGCTGAAGGTGGATAGAATATATCCTTTCTGCCATAGCTCTATTTGTCAATGTTCATAACCTCCAAAAGCAAACTACTGAATTTTAAAAGTATATTACATATGACAACAATTCCCTATAAAACATCTTTCTCCCAGCATTTTAACAAATGAAATATGTGTCCACTCAATGCCATCCCTTTTTTATGACCTAGTCAAACAGTAAGATAGTAAAAATATTTTTTCCAAAGAAATTGTCCTAACAGGCATTAAAGTCTTATTTTATAGATTTCATTTAACATCTCACATCAAAATATTCATAAAGAACATTTTTCCTGCAATGAATAATACAAAAGTAGAAATCACTGTGTTTATTATAGAACAGCCAATAAGTGTGTAAGAGCATTTTCCCCTGAGTTCTCTATTAATAATTCCTTTTCTTAATTGAGTAGGATGTTGTATAATTTGCCTATCAGGATTCTGAAGACTGAAGTGCTTAATGAAGAATCTGCCTTAACTAACAAATTTATCAAAAGGAAGAGAAAGAAAAAATATTCAGTCGCTGATGCTTTACTGCAAAGTCAAAAAACTATAAACAAGTGCTGCTTGGAATGTGAATGAATACCCAAAGAGGTAATCCTCACTTCCAAAATTCTCATTTTTGCCATTTTCTCATTGCTCTTTGCCAAAAAACATTGGGGAGTTGTTTGTACCAGAAACGTTAGGAGGCATGGGAAGAAAAAGAGAAGATACTGACATTTTTCTAGTCCTTTCTACTCCATACAAAAGATGTAAGTCTGAGAAAAAGAAAGAAAAATAAATAAATAAAAGATATAATTTAAATTATTTTATAAATTACACACGATAGTCTTATATTAAGTCTCATCGGCCAATGCTTCTAAATAAATTCATTCAATAAACTTAATGAATATCAAACAACACTCTCCAAGAGAAAATTGGCCCTCTGTTAGTTTTAAGTTTGGACTCCCTAACTAGAATATGTCACAAGCACCATTAAAAATGGCATACAACACTTTGGGAGGCTGAGGCGGCAGATCACGATGCCAAGAGATTGAGACCATCCTGGCCAACATGGTGAAACCCCGTCTCTACTAAAAATACAAAAATTAGCTGGGCATGGTGGCGCACACATGTAGTCCCAGCTACTCGGGAGGCTGAGGCAGTTGAGTCACCTGAACCCAGGAAGTGGAGGTTGCAGTGAGCCAAGATTACACCACTGCACTCCAGCCTGGTGAAAGAGTCAGACTCTGTCTCAAAAAAAAAAAAAAAGGAAAGAAAAAAAAAGGCGTACAACAAACGAACTCATGCACAGGGGGGAAATGGAAAGACCATGATTACAAGTGCTCCCTTTCACTAACAAACTTTTCATTTCATGGGCTTGAGAATACCAAATCCATCGCAAGCTACTTGGAAATTGCATCAACTCTCCTAGTAAATCAGGAGTGCATTTAATCACACAGCAGAAATGTAGCCCAAAACCTTCGAGCCATGAATTAGGATGGAGCCAGCACCTTCCCCAACCCTTTGCTCAAGTAACATTACATAAGAGGCTGCCAGTCTCTCTCCTGTCTACTGGAACTCCAGCCAAGATGATGCATTACAGGAATTGAGTCAAAGTAAAATTGAGTCATCTGATCTGGAAATTCATTTTTAGTTTCAGGTCTTGTAAGTGGAAGAGTCTTCTGAGGTCATCTAAGGAATAGAGGGGACTAGGGATGGGGAATGGAGGTCCCGGAGGGCACTCTGTTGTATGGTGTGTCCATGACCACACAGCTGGAAGAGAAGAGCTCAAGCTAGAATTCAAGTCTCCTAACTCCTTGTCCAACTCTTTCCACTAGAACGTACTGTCCCCTGTTGAGTATGTGCCATTTTGATTATTTTTAAGTAGGGACCTTTGGACGCAACCTTAAAAAGAATGAATTCTCAGGTTTCATTTATTTTTATTTTTATTTTAAGTTCCGGGGTAAACGTTCAGGATGTGCAGGTTTGTTACATAGGTAAACGTGCTCCACAGTGGTTTGCTGCACCTATCGACCCATCACCTAGGTGTTAAGCCCAGCATGCATTAGCTATTTTTCCTAAAGCTCTTCCTCCCCCAACCCCACCTGCCAACAGGCCCCAGTGTGTGTTGTTCCCTTCCCTGTGTCTATGTGTTCTCATTGTTCAGCTCCCACTTGTAAGTGAGAACATGCAGTATTTGGTTTTCTGTTCCTGAGTTAGTTTGCTGAGGATAATGGCTTCCAGCTCCATCCATGTCCCTGAAAAGGACATGATCTCATTCCTTTTTATGGCTGCATAGTATTCCATGGTGTATATGTACCACATTGTCTTTATCCAGTCTATCATTGATGGGCATTTGGGTTGATTCCATGTCTTTGCTATTGTGAATAGTGCTGCAATGAATATATGCGTGCAACAGATTTCATTTTTTAACTGAGGGTAACAAGTGGCTGTGAATAAGAATAAATAATCCAGCCTTTGGGAAATATATCAGCATCAGCCTATATTGTGATTGTTTTGACCTAAAAGCCGTAGATCTCTCGCTGTCCATCATTCTGGAAAAAATTAATCCTGTAACAGGCAATGAGGTTGGCTTTAAATGAAGTGAGGGGGAGTCAATATTCTTTTTTCTCTGGTATAGAAATGGTCTCCCCCTTGGTAGAAACAAAGGAATCATCTATAATATTTTATAGTGCTGGAGAAATAAGCTGTTCCCAGCAAGGCAGAGACTACTTGGGAGCAAAACAGGAGATGGTACACGAAGAGAGCATAGGGCAAGACAGCCACAGAGGGGCGTTTGAGGAATTCTGTGCACCATGCTCTCTTTCCGTTATTTCTGAATCACCAGTAAAGCTCATTAAAAGTTACAGACTAATACTTTCGGCTATGCTCTAAAAACCTCAAGATATATACACAAAGACATTCAGTGCAGCATTGTCTATAAAAACAAATGAGCAAAGATTCTATCAATAAGGGACTATTAAATCAGGTATGCTACAGCCATATGATTGAACGTTATGCAGTCATAAAACATGAGCAATGTCTGTACATACTAATACAGAAAGATCTCAACATATATGTGAAAAGGCAAAGCAGCTTTTTTTTCTTTTCAGTAGGGGGGTTAGGAGATAGTAGTTTTATAGATAGTTAAATGGATTCATTTTCTACTTACATTGTATATTCATAACTTTTCTGTACATGGAATCTCCAGAAACTTTTTAACAGTGCTTATTATAAATTTCTACTTGGATAAAGAACCCAGCCCACCAACGAACACAATGAACAAGGTTAGAAACTGCATTGTCCAAGCTGAAAAAACACAACTGTTTCTCTGGTCAGTTTGTTTTTTTGTTTGTTTGTTTTGTTTTTTGAGATGAGATGGAGTCATGCTCTGTCGCCCAGGCTGGATTGCAATGGCACAATCTTGGCTCACTGCAACCTCCACCTCCCAGGTTCAAGTGATTCTCCTGCCTCAGCCTCCCAAGTAGCTGGGACTACAGGCACATGCCACTAGACCTGGCTAATTTTTTTGTATTTTTAGTAGAGACGGCGTTTCACCGTTGGCCAGGCTGGTCTCAAACTCCTGACCTCAAGTGATCTGCCTGCCTTGGCCTCCCAAAGTGCTGGGATTACAGGTGTGAGCCACTGCGCCCAGCCCTCTGGTCAGGTTTAAGAGAACAAACCTATAAGGAAATGAACTTCTAGGTCATGTCTAACTTAGTAGAATTCAACTGAAAGGACAGAGAAATTTGTAGACTGTACCTTCTATTTTACCCCCTTCACCCTTTGCATAAATCTTTCTACTCCAGCAAACCGTGAATTTCTTAGATGGCAACGTTTCTCCTCCCAATTCTTTCAATAATTGCTTATTAAATATCTACTCCACTTCAGGACAAGGATCTGGAAATACACATGTAATATTTGGTCCCTGGCTTCACAGAATGCAGTCTAGACGTGGCTGGGGCCACCTAGACAGATGTCTCCCTACAGTTCAGTGTGTTGGATGCTAACATGAAAAAGTTTGGGTGGGAAGAAATTTAGTTATCAGAGGAAGAACAGAGTCCAATGACCAAGTTCAAAGTGTGTTTATTAGCAATGAATCAGGGGGAAAGGTTGCCTCCAAAGCAAGGCTCTGATGTAATCAAAGGAATTCAGAGAACCAGGGCAGGCTAATCTCCAAGAAACACTAATAAAAATGCTCACTTAAATCAAATGTTCTGAACACGGCACATAAATACCCTTCTCTTAGTGTTTATCACTGTAGGCAGCTTTGCTATGAAAAGAGAAAAGGTTGAGATAAACGAGTTAATTAAGCTGCCAGGCCTAGTCCAGCCCCGAGAGATTCTTTATCCTCCTTTCTGGCAGGCAGTCCATCTCAAGTTTCCAGGAGCAGAGCACACTCACTGCATCCCCTTTTTTTCCTGTGGTAAAGGTGTGACAGTGTCATTCCTGAGTGGTGACAGCAAATGACTAAGAACTGCTCATTATTCCTACAACTATCCAAAAACCTCAGGCCAGACTACCCTAAGGAGTATGAATGTTCTAGAACAGGGGTCCCCAGCCTCTGGGCCACCGACTGGTGCCAGTCCATAGCCTGAGGAACGGAGCCGCACAGCAGGACGTGAGCAGCAGGCAAGCGAGCATTACCACCTGAACGCCACCTCCTGTCAGATCAGCGGCAACAGATTCTCATGGGAACGCAAACCCTACCGTGAACTGTGCATGCGAAGGATATAAGTTGGGCTCCCTATGAACATCTAATGCCTGATGATCTTCTGAGGCGGGACAGTTTCATCCTGAAACCATTCCTCCCCAACCACAGTGCATGGAAAAACTGTCTTCCACGAAACCAGTCCCTGGTGCCAAAAAGGTTGGGGACTGATGTTCTAGAAGGCAGGAGAAAAACAGGAGTGACTATGGCCTTCCAATTCTGAATATTTCAGATACCAAGTGGAGGTCCAATATGGACTCTCTGAGGCGGGGACTATACCTTACTCATTCCTGTGCTTCATGCATGTGGTGCTAAAAGCTCTCCCGTTTGTGGAATGAAAAATAATAAGAAAAGCTCTACGCGTTTGTGGCATGAATGAGTGAACACCACCCTCAGTACTTGTCTAGCCGGCTTTGTACAGAGAGTAAAACTTCAGTGAGGTCCTCAGGTAAGCCATGACATTATCGGTCCAATTATCTGCCAAGCTTTCTGAAGGCACTTTAGTCGTATCCCACACCTGCCTCTGGCTCCGCTCTGTTATTTGCTGACTTAACTGTCCTGGGGCAGGTGGCCAGGTTCAAGCCAGCTCTGCTGGGGCCTTGTGAGAATCACAAGCCAGAATGCTGAATATGGTATTTTTTAACCACATAGAAGTCTTATTTTTGCATAGTTAGATGTATCTACTTTTTATTTCATGACTTTCAGGCTTTGTATCCTGTTTAGAAGGTCGAGACACTCTCAGTTATAAATTCACCCATGTTTTTTTCTAGGATTTCTATTTTTTCACTTATTATACTTAATTATTTAATCCATAGGATTAAATCCATTTATTAAATACTTAATTATTTAATCCATAGGAATTGTGAGTGTGTTTGTGAGTGTGTGTGTGTGTGTGTGTGTTCTAAAAGAAGTAAGAAAAGGATGTAGATTTATCTTTTCTAAATAGTTAGCTAGTTGCTCCAACATCGATTACTGGGGATCTTTCTTCTCACACTGATCTTTAAATGCTACCTTTACTATAAATAAATCCTATGCACATTTGTTCACTATACTATAACTAGACATTACTCTGTCTAATTTTTTCCAACACTAAACTCTTTTAATTAATATAGTTTCATATTGCTTTTTAAGATCTGATAGGGCTAATCTCCCTTAATTACACTTTATTTGTTTTTGGATTTCATATATTTCATTTTGCAAAATGAACAATAGTATCATTTTGCCATGTCCCTAAAACAGACCTTGTTGCCATTTTAACTGCAATTTTATTTCTTTTATGCCGAGATTTAGGGGAGATGAACATTTTTATAATATTGTGTCTTATCATCCAAGAGCCTAGTATGTCTCTCCAATGACTTAAATATTTTATGTTTCTCAGTAGAGTTTAAAATTTTTCCTCATATTGTGTCTGCATGTTACATTTAACTTCAGATGTTTTATTCTTAATGTTTAATATATTTAATTACCATTTGTAAATTCTAAAATTTCCAAGCACCATTTCCTGTGCTTAGAATGCTTTTCAACCACTTCTCCATTTGGCAAATTCCACTTGTTCTTCAAGGCCCTATTTAAATATCACTTGCTTTGTAAAGTCTTCCTTGGCCCCATATCCAATCAGGATGCACTGGTATCCTTCCTCTGTTCTCCTGAACATCTTGTATGTAACGCCATCGTGCCACTGGACACGTTGTAGTGCAACTTCTGCAGACAGGTCTCTCACCTTCATCACTCTGGAACTCTATAAGGAAAGGAGCTAGGATCCCCTGAGCCTGGCTCATACCAAGCACTCAGTGCCAAATCATAGAGCATGCATCTTCATATTTCAATAGTGTTTTTGCAGTGCTAACAATGATAATGTTGATAAATGGCATAATTTGGAATAATGTGATTATGGTTTATTTTTTCTTCCTTAAACATAAGCCATGTTTAAAAATGCAGAAAATTATCCCATAATGAGAAACCATAAATAATTAAGAAATGAAAAATAGATAGATTCTTTTCCTGGTATATTGCAGCTGAATGTAAAGAGGCAGCATTGTAACAGTAAATAGAGCATCCTCTGGCACGAACAAGACCTGAATTTAAATCCTGAGTCAACCACTTATTAGCTAGATGATGATCTCAGGCAAGTTTCTTCATTTCTCTATGTCTCATTTTCTCTAACTGTAAAATAGGAATAATAAATATTTTCATAGAAGGCTGACTAAGAAACATTTCAAATGTCCAAAATACTTGATCTCCTCCCCAAATCTGCCCCTTCTATACTCTTCCTCATTGCAAGAAATGACATGCTATCCTCCCAGTTGCTGAAAGAATTGGAGAGATCTAAGATTCCCCTCTTTCTTCTACTTCATGTTGCCAACTCATCAGCAAGTTCTCTAAGCAATTCTTTAGAAACATTTCCAGAATCCAATAATTTCTCAGCACCTGCTCTCCTCCCATTTGGTCCAAGCCACCATCTTCTCTTATCTTGACCATTACGGTAGCCTCCTAACTGTTCTTCTTGCTTCCACCCTTGCCTTACCATCTACATGTTGACTGAATGATCCTTTTAAACTACATCAAATCATGTCACAACTCTGCTCAGAACTTTCACCTAACTCACTTAATCTAACTCAGGGAAGAACTCAAATCATAACAGCAGTCTCAAGGACCAACTAGACACCCTCCTTCCCCCAACTACCTCTCTGACTTCATCTCCATCCCTCTCCCGTACTCTCTGATCCAGCCACACAAGCCTGCCTCCTGGTCCTGACAGCTCTCAGGGCCTTGGAATTGCTCATCTCACTGCCTAAAAAACTCTTTACCAGATATCTTCATGACCCCTCACTTCCTTCAGGTCTCTGCTGAAATGTCGCTTTATCAAAGAGGCCTTCCATTATCGCCCCATATGCAATAGCACCTTCCCCACACTCTCACCTCTCTAATATTCTCCATTCTTCTTTTTTAAATTTTTTTCACAGTACTTTACACCACCTATCATATGTTTATATGGTAAGTGGTTGTCACACTCCAAAACCTAGACCACTTAGTAGGTGTTCAACTCATACTTATGGAATAACTGAAGAAATGAATACATTCTTGCCAACTACAATTCTACAGTTTATATAAAGCATCTAACCACAGAATAGATTCTCCTAAAATAAGTAGTCACAAGGAACTGGTGAAAAAAACTCACCCATCCCTGATGCCCATGCTCATTACTCACTCAATGCTTAAGTGATTCAAAATAAAGATTCCTTTGTTTTACACCAGAACAACAAGAACAAAAAAATTCTCCCTGGAATCCATTAGAGATTGCCAACCCCAAACCTCTTTTCTACATTTTTTTGACTTTTAAAAATTATGGCTCTGTCCCCTCCCTCCTTCCCCCAGACTCTGGGACTCCTCTCCTTCTGTTCATTCCTATTTGGAGCTGAAAGCCAGAAATAGCTGTTTACCTCATTGTCCTCGTTTCCCTTCATTGTTACCATTCAGTTCTCTGGTGGCTTCCCTGTGGTGGATGTTTTTTAAATGAATTCCCAATAAGTTGAGAAAGAAAAGTATCAGTAAAGACCCTGGACACAGCCTAAAGTAAAAATATATTATGTGATATTTTCTTTAGGAAAAACTATTTAAAAATTGACCCTAACACAGGTAAAGTTTCTTCATTTATACATATATCATCTAATATTATTCTCAAAAGTAATAATGTTAAAGAGCTGGAGAAAGAACACACCATACAGAAGAAAGGACTAATTGTGTTTATTTAAAATATGAATAATAATAATTATGCATGTTCAGCTCTTCCTCCTACAAGCAAGCCTATAAAAATTATCTAACAAAGGACTAAAACAACATGATCGCCAATCAATCAGCAAATCATTTTTGCATGCTCGACCCACAACTCCTGCTTTCATGTTTATTTTAATGCAGGGTTCAATAATACAAAGGCTTTTATAGGTTCATCAACTAAATAAGGATATACCATCCAAAACTAATTTTTTAACGGGCAATTTCCTTATAGTGGTAAATGCAAATTAGATAATTTTCCCATTAAAATCATACAATATGCTGGAAAAGATAAATCTCTAGCACATTGGCATAAAATCAAGTAGGTTGTGAGTCCAAAGATAACCACAGGTAAACCAAACTATACATTTTAAAGCTTATGTGAAACTATATTAACCGGAAAAAATAGAGCCTTTCCCATGATAATGAAGGTCCCAAAGGCACTAAGCATTTCCTTCCCATGATAATTGTATCTGGATAATTTAACCCAATAGAATAAAATCATCATGTGAATTACCTAAGAAATAAAAAACAAATATTCTAAAATTTTATTTTGATTTGACTTTATGCTAAACGCTGTTAGTCTCTGATAGTAATTATACCTCAGCACACCAACTTGCCATTTGGGAAAATAGCCCAAAAATGTGCTGGATTGAAGGGGAGGAAATAGGCAGCCTAAGATTTAAGTTTAAATTTTGAGGTAGATAATCTACAAAGTAGCTAATACTACAGGCAGATATTCAGCTATTGATCAAAAGTCGATCTTTTAAGGCCAAGGAATACACCGACACCATAAGGCATGCTGGCTAGAAACACTACCAGTTAGAAAGGCCACAGTCTCAATTTTCCTAGGATAGCCCCAGTATACACCTATTGTCCCAGTATCTCAGCAGGTTTAACATTTGTCCTAGATAGAAGCATCCCAGGTGGAATTATAACTTATATAGTATATGTAAATATATACTTAAATGTGAGCCATAAATGTCGATCAGCCCATTTGTCCCAACCTTAACCACAAATTCTAATGTCCTTTAATCTTTTTCCACCCAAAAACCATGACAATCTTTACTGCAGAGGGCTCAATAACTATTTGTTAAATGACTACATTAATTAGTATATTAGCATCCTCAGCCCAGGAATAGACAGGATTTGAAATTAGTCTGGATGCTGCAGGAGAGAGGTTCAATAAATACTAGCTGATTGAATCTCGGTGAGAAAGGGTGACAGATTAAGAGTTCAACACTGTCTATTATATTGTCTTGCTTGCTGTTAAGATATTTTCAGATATATGGTTGCCAGTTCTGTTTTGGGGAGGAGGGAAGAGAAAAAGCATATCTTTTCTTAATTGTTGAATCCCTTTTATATCTAACATAAATTACAACCCCACTGACTTCTATTCCATTCTCAGCAAGAAGAAAATTTCTCCTTCACACACACACACACACACACACACACACACACACACACACACACACACTGACTTAGTGCTTATAGCTCAAGAACTGATCTAAGGATTGATTTTACTACAAATTCAAGGACACATATATCAAATGTATAAGAATAGTTGCCTATGGCAAAAAGGTAATGAAATTAAATAATGGAGATAAAATAATCAATATATTAGACCACAGCAGGTCCTGATGGACTGACAATGATAGTAAACCATTACCTGAGAAGTGTGATTAACTCAAGCTTGTCTACACAAGTTCCCAAAAATTAAAAAACAAAACAAAACATAATGCAGTTCACAGATACAATGTGGGAACAATTCAACCTTCTGAAAATCTTTGCTGAAACATATGACACTCCCACATGTGAGATATTGATGTCCAAAATGATCTCTCTCATGTAAAAAAGAAATCTGTTTATTGAATCAGAACCATTTATTTTAAATGCAAAAAAGAACTTCCAGGAAATGTAGTGTTTTGCTGTTTTGATATTAAATACTAAATCTAATAATGGCTAAACTTGGCTTTCAAAGATAGTTTCTCCTTTCCTTGATTTAATAAACTGCTTGGGAGCCCTGTAACTCAAAGAGAGGAGAAACTGTAGTTGATACAGGCCAGAAACATGGCCCCCATATCACACCAAATAAGAACTCTTAGTGCACTAATCTTTACAACATCACCATGAAAGAAACCGATAAAGCTAGAGTGATGCTTGGGACAAGAGGCCCAGAGTGGTGGGCAGAAGTAAGAGAGAAGAAAGATGAAATGAAGAAGTCTCCCATTTATCAACTAGCAGATACATTTTAGGCTCTGCTATAGGCATCAAAGCTCAAGAAATCGGCAAAAAAAAAAAAAGTGTGGTTCTGATTCCTATTGTCCCTCCGCCCACATTCTAACCTTGGCCCCAACCCCATGAACAAGCCATGCTTAGCAGACAGCTTTGCTGCTACTCGAGGAAGCAGATGGCAGCCCCTATCACCTCTCTGCCCCAGCTTGCTACTGCCCAGGCTCTCGGCTCAGTCTGCAACCAAATTCCTCATGCCAAAGTTAGGACATTTCAAACTTGTCATGCGCAACCATCTCTCTCATTTCTGCAGTCTCAGCCATGGGAAGAACAGAGCCCTCCTCTCCCTTCTCATCCCTTTCTGCCCTGTTTCTTCCTTCCCACTGCACATCTCTCACCACTGACAACCTTCCACTGTGCTCTGGAACTGCAAGCCCTTGTCAGTGAAAAACCCTACATCCTCAGCCTTTCCCCAAAGTGCCCTCTCCATCTCCCAACTCCACTGAGATCTGGTTCTCCTCTCCCTGAAAAATATGTCATCTGGCAGCAACAGGCTTCCTAGGTTCAGTACTCACCATGCCACTTCTTTTCATGCCCTTTTCCTTGGAAAGGCCTTCCCTCCATCCTATTCTTTTTTACCTGGCTAAGTCCAACTCATTCTTCAAGAAAACAACTCTACTTTCTTTAAGAAGCCTCACCTGATATGGTTGTCATGCCCACAGCTAACTCAATGCCACTCTTTGGTATTACCATAATTCTCACTCTATCCCATATGCTCTCTCTCTCTCTCTCTCTCTCTCTCACTCGCTCTCTCTTTCTCCACTCAGGATATCCTTTTTTTTTGAGATGGAGTCTCACTTTGTCGCCCAGGCTGGAGGGCAGTGGCGCATCTCTGCTCACTGCAAGCTGCACCTCCCAGGTTCACACCATTCTTCTGCCTCAGCCTCCCACATAGCTGAGACTACAGGCGCCCGCCACCACGCCCAGCTAATTTTTTTTATTTTTTAGTAGAGATGGGGTTTCACTGTGTTGGCCAGGATGGTCTCAATCTCCTGACCTTGTGATCCACCTGCCTCAGACTCCCAAAGTGCTGGGATTACAGGCGTGAGCCACTGTGCCCGGCCAGGATATCCTTTTATAAATATGTGTGTATTTGTCTTCCCCATAAAACTGTGAGCTCCTTGAGGGTACATACTGAGCCCTATTAACTAATTGCTGGCATGTAACAATTATTCAATAAATGTTCATCAGATAAATCAATAAAAATCTATGTCCCTGACTCCAATAAGTGAAATGAATGAGTAGGGATTAAGTGGACATTTTTCCTTTATTGGATTTTTCTCTCAATCTATTAAAGCTGTTCTTACTTACTACCAAACAACATAAAGATATAGCCAAAGAAAAGCCAACCACCTTCCCTCCTCACCCTTACCTTTGAGGTAGCCACTGCTAAATGCTTGTTATGTACTGTTCTATGATTTTTTCTCTGCTTGTGGAACACACACATATGCACACATAGGGATTTTTCTCAATTTACAAAACTAGGGTCATTTATGACATAGATTTTATTCTAAAACACACTCTTTTCACTTAACAATGTATCATGGCCATCCCTCCAGACCAGTGCATATGGGTCTCACTCACTCTTTCCAATAACTGTGTAATAGTCCACATGTATGCGCCACAATCTGGTCACTCATTCCCCCAATGGATGAGCAGTTAGGTTGCTTCCAGTTTTGTGGAAGTTCCGAAAACAACGTTAGCAAAACTGGTCTAAGATTTCGACAGCACACATGAGTTATTTCCCTGCCAGTGCAATGGAATCTATCCACACACACCTGGGCCTTTTTCCTCATGACTCAAGCTTCTGAAAAGCCAGCAGTTTCACTGAGTGATTGCTTCTTTGTAAAGTGTTTGTTTTCTGCATGTGTCTTGCATGGTGTATGTATTTACTATTTATTGAATTGGACCGAAAGCTAACCAGATAGAAAATTGTCTGGAAGGGTTTATGGGATGCACTGTTTGCCATTAATTCTGAGGTTTTGATAGGAAGGGAGAAAATAGGAGATTTTCATTTTTAACTTTGTATAATTCCAGCCTGTTTGAATTTAAACATACTGTATTAATTTATAATTTAATATTTTAATGTATTATATAGGTATGTTAACATAGTTTTGTTGTATTAATACATTGATAGTGATTTTTTTTTGAGACTGTTGACCAGGCTGGAGTGCAGTGACATGATCTTGGCTCACTGCAACCTCCACATCCCAGGTTCAAGCAATTCTCCTGCCTCAGCCCCCGAGTAGCTGGGACTACAGGTGCACAACGCCATGCCCACCTAAGTTTTGTACTTTTTTTTTAGTAGAGACGGGGTTTCACCATGTTGGCCAGGTGGGTCTTGAACCCCTGACCTCATGCTGCCTTGGCCTCCCAAAGTGCTGGGATCAGAGGCATGAGCCACTGCACCCAACCTGATTTTAATATATTACTTTTATAACTTAAAAATAACTTTTTTGAAAGCTTGCAGGATGATCCAGACCCGGCATTAGAGAAAATAAGCTCTAATTCAATGGCTCCCAAGTCTGCCTGTACATAAGAAATAACTGGGGCTTATTAAAAATGCAGATGCCCAGGCCTAACCTGAATATTCTGATTTAGTAGCTCTGAAGAAGAGGCTTTGTATCAGTACCTTTGATAAACACTCCAGTTGACTCTTATGATCCTGCCATAATGGGACACCACTGTAATCTAGTGGTCCTTAGAATCACTTTTCACATGTTTTGGGACTCTATCTTTAGTGTTTAGAAACCATTAGATCTGGAATGAGGCCTGGGAATCTATATTTTTAAAAGGTTGCCTAGACAATTCTCCCCAGGTATGGAAACTCTATTCCAAGTGTTATAATTTCCTCTAGCTGGTAATTCAAAAATCAAAATATAATGGATCCGTTTTGGTCTCTAGTGGAAAAATACAACACCAAGTTACAAGTCTTTGATGAGAGTATCCTAAAATACCACAAGATGGGAATGTCTTAGCTTGCTCTATCATAAAATTAAAGAATGCTTTTAATTGTTAGCTTGAATAGAGAACTGGATTTTAATACTTTTCTCTTAAAATTTTAAAAATAAAGTTGCTTTTCTTATGAGATTAAATTGATTTATTTGTTTGTTTGTTTTTTTGAGATAGAGTCTCAGTCTGTCACCCAAGCTGGAGTGCAAAGTCGCAATATCAGCGATTCTCATGCCTCAGCCTCCCGAGTAGCTGGGATTACAGGCGTGTGCCACCATGCCCGGCTAATTTTTGTATTTTTAAGAGTGATGGGGTTTCACCATGTTGGCCAGGCTGGTCTTAAACTCCTGGCCTCAAGTGATCCATCCGCCTCAGCCTCCCAACGTGCTGGGATTACAGGCGTGAGCCACCGCACCCGGCCAATTGATTTCATTGTTTTCTTTTCCTTTTTTTAAACCAACCAGGGACATTTAATTTAAAAAAATACAAGCAAGTTATCCAGGACCTAATCTGCTAAGCAGTGTTCTCCCCAAGAGGATGAAGCCCTGCTGGCTGGCTCTGACATTCAATTCAGACTGAAAACACAGTAACTCCTCTGGCCCTTGCTGGGAAATGTCCTGCGCAGGCCATGGGCAGCACTCCAGTGCAGCTGACCTCCCACAAGGCCCCCAAACACATGATCCCACCAAAGGCTTGAACAGGGGAACCTCACAAGCAGGCAGAGAGCACACCTGAGACACAAGGACAAGTAAGTCAAGCAAATGGGACTGAGGTAAGCAGCCCCAGCCCCTGTCTCCATTGTGTGCCCCCTTAAGGGGGGCTGTTTTCTACTTTTTTCTTTTCTTTTCTTTTCTTTTTTTTGGAGATGGAGTCTCGCTCTGTCTGGCACAATCTCGGCTCACTGCAACCTCTGCCCCCTGGGTTCAAGCTATTCTCCTGCCTCAGTCTCTCGAGTAGCTGGGACTACAGGCATGCGCCACCATGCCCAGCTAATTTTTGTATTTTTAGTAGAGATGGGGTTTCACCATATTGGCCAGGCTGGTCTCAAACTCCTAACCTCATGTTCCACCCACCTCAGCCTCCCAAAGTGACAGGATTACATACAGGTGTGAGCCACTGCGCCCGGCCATTTTCAACTATAAAAAAAAAAAATATTCTATTATTCCTACCATAATCTACAAGCCTAGATATTAGAAATAAGTAGAGATCATTTTAAAAATCAAGAGCATTTATCTTTTCAAGGATCTAAAGGACTTCCTATTGATAAGTTAGGTACTTAAGTAGACACATTAAGCTTCTGGTCCTATAAGCTTATTTCCCCTTTCAGGAGTACAGACAAGAGCAGATGACTGAATTGAAACACCATAGTGAAGCCCACAGTTTTGAAATCTTTTAAAAAATTAATGACAAAAATATACACATTTCTAGACAAACTCAACTCCGTAACTACTAAGCACTCTACTAATCTTTTAGAATTTTTTTTCAAATTCACATAAATAAAAGTGCTGCATAAAAAGATACGTAAAATCCTCAGTCTTTGGTAATGTCTAGGAAATTCTGGTTCTCAACACTGAAATAGGAAGAAAAAACTAGGAATATCAAATTAACAACATCTAGTATCAGCGGCCTTGTTTTCCACACTTTGTCATTACCAAATGCCTACCAAGATGTTTCTAAATGTATTGGAAATTCCAAGTTACTTATCAAGGCTATTTCCTTTCAATGCCATGTCTAAGCCATTCTCTCTCTCTTCTTAGCAAATCAATGATTGTGATGTCTATTACAATATTTGAAGGACTAATAACAGAAGTAGTAAAACAAAGTGGATGTGATCAGAATCAGACAGATTTGGGTAGAAATCAGGATCTGCCATTTACCAAGCTTAGCTCAGGCAAATTTTATAATCTCTCAAAACCTCAATTCCTTCATCTGTAAAATGGGGAGGTAATAACAATAGCTACTTGATTGAGTCATTGTGAGGATTAAATAATGTAACACATGTAAAGTACCTGACACCTAATAAACATACAATAACTGATATTTATTATTATAGATATTTTTCCCTCTACAAGATTAGTCAGACTTCAAACTGTTAAATGCAAGATGACCAACATGAAGTTTGAAGGGGAAATAAGACAACTGAATGAAATGTCTATAGCTGACTCCAAACCATCCTGCTTGAAACTGGGTTGAAGAAGAAATGTTTGAGAACTCAGTCCCATTCCAGGGCTTAGAGCCCCTTAGAATCTCTGGGGCCATCTTCATTTCACATCCTCAGATAAACCCGAGACCCTGGAATAGGAGGGGCCAGAGACTAAATGAAATTGTGTGACGGCCTAACAAACTTGATGCTTCCTAGGGCATACCGAGATTCCACATAGTTACTTGGCCCCTACAGTGTGCAAGGTTCTGCACTAACAGGTTTGGGTGCTGTAAAGCTGAATCAGAAGTGGACTCTGACCTCAGAGAGATTTACAACTTATAAGAGATATTCTCCATATGTTCCTTGTGGTACTTAGGACAGCGGTCAGCACTCAAAGCCTCAGTCTAAGAACATAGTTCAGAGATTGTTATGACTCCATCCATATACACACCAAGTCCCTTATGGTGTTATCTGTTCCATGCTCTTTTTTCGTTCTCTAATATACGTGAATAATTAGGCATGAATAGGCAGGTAGTATCTCAGAGCCCTATGTCACCTCTGCATCCTGGTATCTACAATATAAATTCTGTCATTCCACCAAGTCCTTTCCACCCCATTTCTAGGTACAGATCCAACCAACCATATCGCCAAAGCAATCATCAACAAAGATCAGAGTGCTTGAAAAGGAATTAAAACACTCTGGATAGAGATTACTCTATTCATTATATGCCCCAGGATGAACTCTGAAAAGCAGCGCTTAATTATCCAACACGTTATCAAATTCCTAAACTCCTTCCAAAAAGCAGGATTAAAGCTTCGGAGTTTAAAATAAAAAATAAAAAAACAACTCCGCAACTCCTCTTACAGGTTGCCTTCAGGGTATCAAAAGGGGTGGCACTTACTGCTTTGCAAATACACTTTCTAAAAATAATCAATATTTTCTTTAAATGCTTACGGCAAAGCAACCAATTCACTTCATTTTAATTGCTCGCAAGCTGCAGAATGACTTGATCTCTTTAATATTTCACTCATACTAGCAGCCACTGAGCTATGACTAACCCACTCTCCCCAGCATCGTCGCTGGCTCCAGATGGCAAGAAATACATTCCCTTTATTCTTGCCTGAAAAGCAATTCTGATTTTTTTTTCTTCCACCCATTTCACCTGCAGTAATTGTTTTACTCCAGAAAGAAAATGGGTGGGGAGTGGAAGGGGAGATTCATGCAGAGGGGAGTACAGGTGGGGAATTTACTTTTTTTTTTTTTAATGGGGTGTAAGCACTGCAGCTTTAAATCGTGCTGCCTCAAGCCCTGGATTTCTTCCATAGCCGAGCTGCAAAATGGTAACTAGAAAGGAGGAAAAAATACCTCTTCCTCCCTCCTGGCCAGCCCTTCCACAGCTCCCGGCAGGGCAGCCAGCGCGAGCCCATCCCCCACGCCTCCCAGCCCAGACGCGCGGCGGGCACAGGTGAGCGGGGCGCCGACTTTGGCCCTTAGGCTCGCCCACATCCGGGGATCAAGGTCAAGGGCGAGGGCTTCCTTCCCCTGCCCCCGGCCCCCGGCAGCCCCGAGCCCGGGGATCCGCTGCCAAAGTTTCAGGCCGGGCTGGGGCCGGCGCGGCTGTCGCAGCCCCCCCGCCCTCCCGCACCTGTTCGGCCCGCCGGGGTCAGTGGACGGTGCCCACCTGGTCCCCACTCACCTCTGGCGGACATGGTGCAGGCAGCGGGAGCCGGAGCTGGAAGGCGTTGGACAGCCCCGCAGGGCGCGGGGAAGAAGGCAGCCCCGGAGCGCCCGCCCGGCCCCGGCCCCCTCCGGCTCCCGGTGCGGGGACGCCGCCCGCAGGACACCTGGCCGCCCGCTCCGCGCAGCAAGGCCGACGGGCGGGGACGCAGCGGCCGCAGGGACCCGCCGGGCGCGGCAGCGCTGACACCCGCGGCCGCGCTGGGCGGGGCGCGCCTCCCCCGCCCCGAGCCGCCGGGGCCCACCCGGGTCCAGCAGCCGCTCTGCCGCGGCGCCGGGCGGGGCTCTGTCCCCGAGGAACGAGGGTCTGCGTCCTCCCCTCTCCCCGCCCGTCTTCTTAATAAGAAGAAAAATAACGTGGGTGCTCCGAATGGCTCTCCAGCTCTCTGGTCCCAGAGAGAGAAAGCAAGAAAGGGCCGTTCGTTCCTTCCCCTAAGTGATGCCCTTGACAGGAGAGCGAAGACCACGGTCGCCTGAGGGGGCTCAGCCCGCAGTCCACACGCGGGGACCGACCCACCAGCCCCTCCGAGTCGGCCAGGCTCTCGGAAAGCCTATGGGCGGGGTGGGATGGGGCGGGACTTTTCCTCCAGCGACCCTCGAGTCAGCGGGGGGCGTCAGGGTCCCCCCACCCAGCACCCGGTCTTGAGCCAACAGACACTCAAGGGAGGTCTGTGCATACACTTGATTTACTGCATCAACTCTGAAGAGTCGGGGCTGGGCCGGGCTGGTGACCACTCTGAACAAATCCCCTTTTTCTATATGTCAGGATAAAAAGGAGAAAATACAACAAAAACCTCTTAGTGCCCTGGAGGTTTATCAACTAGCGCTTGATGCTAATAAGCAACATAATAAAAAGCCACCAGATCTAGAAATTCTAACTAAAAAGGTGGGATTCCACTCTCACGCCCTGTCCTCTCTTCCTCTGTGCACTCTCAAAACAGATGTTCTATGGCCGGGTGTGGTGGCTCACTCATGTAATCCCAGCACTTTGGGAGGCTGAGGTGGACGGATCACTTGAGGTCAGGAGTTCAAAACCAGCTTGGCCAACATGGTGAAACACTGTCTTCAATGAAAAAAAAAAAAAAAAAAAAAAAAGCAAATTAGCAGGCCTTGGTGACCGGTGCTTGTAATCCCAGCTACTCGGGAGGTTGAGGTATGAGAATCGCTTGAGGTGGAGGATGCAGTGAGCCGAGATCACGGCACTGCACTCCAGCCTGGGTGACAGAGCAAGACTCCATCGAGATAAGAAAGAAAGAAAAAGAAAGAAAGAGAGAAAGAGACAGACAAGAAAGAAAGAAAAGAAAGAAAGAAAGAAAAGAAGGAAAGAAAGAAAGAAAGAAAGAAAGAAAGAAAGAAAGAAAGAAAGAAAGAAAGAAAGAGAAAGAAAGAAAGGGAAGGAAGAGAGAGAAGGAAGGAAGGGAAGGAGAAAAGAAAGGAAGGAAGGAAGAAAGAAAGAGAAGGGAAGAAAGAAAGAAAGAAAAGAAAGAGATGTTCTAGTTGTTTTCTATGTTGGCACTGCCCAAATCCATCCTGATGTGATGGGAATTGTATGGAATTGTATAATAGTTCTGACAATTCAGAAATATTAAAAAATAGGTGAACGTAATTCTTTCAGAAAAAATAATTGATGGATAATTGAGCATTGTTGAAAAAAACCCAACCAAATGATCATGTGGGAAAGGAAATACTAGAAAAAAGATTTGTAATGGGAATAGAAATTCTCAGATTCAAATGCCAACTACAAAAATCAACTCATTATTTATCCATCTTGACAACATCCCTTTCACTGTCTTTTAGGCAGAAAACTTGCCAGTGAATCACAATTCAGTTGCTTCAATCTCAAAACAACTCTCCTCTCCCACTATCCTCATTCCACTCTTAACCTTTCTCACCTAAAGCATGATCACAGGAATAGCCTGGTTGCCCTGCCTACATTCAGCCTCCAGCCTCCACTGCCTCCCTACCACCCACCCCCCAGGTTTATTTTGCCCATTACCTTGAGAATAATTTTTCTATTTATAACATGACTAGTTCATGTTCTACTATGAGGTTATTAGTGGGTCCTCACTGATCTCCAGATACAGACTGAACATTTCAAACTGTCTTCATCCAAGCAATTAATTCATCCAGCAAAATTTTATTGAACACATATTATGTACCAGTCTCTAGGGTAGATACTAGGGTTACAATGGTGAACAAGATAGACATGATCTATGCCCACACAAAGCTTAGAGTCCACTGAAATTTTAAGGTCCTTCATAATCTGTGCTTTCCTACCTTGCCAGTGCCATCTCTAGCTACTCCCTACTCAAACATTTTACTGTAGACAGACTATTTTTCCCTCTGTTTCTCAACAAGATAATATGTTTCCTGTCTCCCTGCCTTTACTCATTCTCATTTTTCTTCCCCAGTGTCCTCCTCCCCACCCAAGTTAACTCATATAACATCTTATGAAAGGTTCTCCTTCTACCTTAACCCACAGTGATCTCGTTCAATCAACTTCTGTGGCATTTACTTTCAGAATCACCTGTTTTTACTTAACACACTGCTTTCTGCTGCTGTTTAATGGTTTTGTTGTAAGTCTTTTCTATCTCCCCAAATCTCCTTGAAATCAGGGACTTGGCCAGTCTTGTCGAATTGAATTTGTTCTGGAAGTATACAGAACATATGTTATATCAGATATCATACTAGTAAGATAGAGAGGTCCCAGAACTGTGTGCCTTCTTTTTAATATTTATTTATTTATTTGAGACAGAGTCTCGCTCTATCACCCAGGTTGGAGTGCAGTGACACCTCTTGGCTTACTGCAACCTCCACCTCCCGTGCTCAAGTGATTCTCATGCCTCAGCCTCCTGAGTAGCTGGGATCACAGGCACGTGCCACCACACCTGGCTAATTTTTGTATTTTTAGTAGAGACGGGGTTTTACCATGTTGGCCAGGCTGGTCTCGAACTCCAGGCCTCAGGCAAACTGCCCGCCTCGGCTTCCCACAGTGCTGGGATTACAGGCATGAGCCACCGCACCCGGCCTATTCTTTTAAGTAATATCTAGTCTTTTTCTCTAACTGCCACAATAGTTCTGGTTCTTATAACCTCATAGCAGAATTACAGATACAGTGGCAAATTCCTAATAATGAACAGATCTTACTCTTGTCCTTAAGATGCTTGTAATAGACTACACAGATGATTATAAAATTCACTCCTAGATGTAAGTCTCAAATAAGGCACCTTTCCCAATACTGTTAGGCACATAGCAAGTACTCCGTGCCTGCCTGACTGGCAGGTTGCAAAATGGTAAGTTTGCTATCAAAGGTCATCTTTAGCTAAAAAGAGGTTTCCCTATGTATTTAGCTTTAGTCTTCTTCAGGTTAAGTATATATTTTAAAATATATGTGATTTTCTTACATTTTGGAGTTGTGATATATGGAAATGACATTTTAGGGCCACTCACATCATCTCAGAATCTCTTTCTATAATCTCAGAAATCTGAAACCAATTCTTCCAATCATACAGCAACCAAGTTTGTTAATGGCTTGAATCTCCTAACAAATGTCTCATCTGAAATAACTGAGAATACTTTAGAAATCATTGTAAAAGCAAATTGTAAAGTGCAAGGAATTTTAGGAGACATAGTAAATGCCACTTTTTAAAGTCAGGAAATAAAGTACAATCTATTGGTTGAAACCAGAGGAAAAATTTATATAGACCAAAGGGATGAAACACATTCCAGTCTGTGTTTGAAAAAAAGAGGTTCCTATTTGACTCTTGCCAAAAATGCTCTTTTAATTTCTAATGGAAGGAAAGGTAATGTACATTATTAACATTTTTTCTTTATTGATTTTTTAAATAATTGAATATTGAGTCTTACTCCCACAGCTTTTCAGCTGCCAACTCATCATCACTTCTCATTCTGAACCTAAGCTTCTCATGAGTAGCATGAGAATAATTCTTCTTTCTGCATAACTTCAAGCTTAAAGGCACACTGAACTACTCAATGGTTTTTAATCAAATACCTTTATAATACCTACTATGTAATAGGCAATGAGGAAGTCCTGGCAAACAAGTTAGAAAAGCAGTATACAAGGTGGAGAAGCTAAGCCTGAGAGTCTTCATTAAGCCAGGCCACTAAAGGGGGATAAAATGACCTCAGATTAGTCATATCCCTGGCTCCCGAGAGAAGCAAACTAAAATTCTTTTTAAATACTTCTTTTTTAGTAAAAGCATCCAACAGTGGCTCATGCCTGTAATCCCAGCACTATGGGAGGCCAAGGTGGAAGAATCATGTGAGCCCAGGAGTTTGAGACCAGCCTGGACAACATGGCAAAACCCTAACTCTACCAAAAAAAAAAAATTTAAATTAGCCAGGTGTGGTGGCTTGTGCCTGTAGTCCCAGCTATTTGGGAGTCTGAGGTGGGAGGATCACTGGAGCCCAGGAGATTGAGGCTGCGGTGAGCTATGATTGCATCACTGCACTCCAGCCTGGGTGACAGAGTGAGACCCTGTCTCAAAAAAACACAAAAACCTTCATCAGTGTAGACCCCAAGGATTCCACAAATAAAGATCAAGCAAACATGAGGTCATAATAAAAGATGCCAAAATACACAGGAAAAGAAGCCATGCTGAGTGAGAGTCAGCAGAAACAACAAATAGATACTAAGTAGTTTGGGTATTATAATTCCCAGATAATACATATAAAACAAGAGATAAAATATATATAAAGTAACAAAAAAATAACAAAAGATACACATCACAAAACTAAGCCAACACCAGACTATCAAAAATGACCAAGTAAATTTCAAAAAGAACCAAATAGAAATAACAACTATCAACTATAGAAATTTTAAAACTCATTGGATAGATAAAACAGACAAACAGAACCAAAGATTTAGTGAATTGGAAAGTAGATATTAAAAAGCCACTAGAAATACAGCTCCAAAATATTGGGAGATGAATAATGCAAAATAGAGGTTAAGATATATTGACAATAGGATAAGAAGATCTAATTTATAAATAATAGGAGTCCTAAGAAACAATTTTAAAATGGAGAAAAGACTACATTTGAAGGAAAAACAACTAAGAATATTATAAAATACATATATCAATAAAGGAAATACAATATATACCAGGTTGGATGAATAAAAAGAAATCTAGACCTAGACACACTGATATTGAAACTGAACAACACTAAAAACAAAGATAAGATCTAAAAAGCAGTCAAAGAGAAAGGACATAGCCTAGGAACAAAACAGATTGATAACAGACTCAAGGGAAAGGATAAAAGCCATGAGACAACAGAATTCTGATTAGCCTATAATTGTTCATTTAAAATTTCACGAATAGGCCAGGCGCGGTGGCTCATGTCTGTAATCTCAGCACTTTGGGAGGCCAAGGTGGGTGGATCACTTGAGGTCAGGAGTTCAAAACCAGCCCAGCCAACACGGTGAAACCCTGTCTCTACTAAAAATTTAAAAATTAGCTGGACATGGTGGTGCATGCCTGTAATCCCAGCTACTCAGGAGGCTGAGGCAGGAGAATAGCTTGAACTCAGAAGGCGGAGGATGCAGTGAGCTGAGATTGCGCCACTGCACTCCAGCCTGGGCTACAGAGAGAGACTCCGTCTCAAAAACAAACAAACAAAACAAAAAAATTGCATGAACAGCAAAAATATCTTTCAAAAATGAGGGCAAGATAGATATTTTAAGACAGATATTGAGTGTACCACTAATAAAATTTCTGTATCATTTATATATAAATATATATGTAAATATATAAATATATTTATGTAGAGTAAAATGACCACCATTAAAAAGTATGAGATAGAAGCAAGAATGAGGAAAAAAGAAATTTGTTTACATAGAAATAAATCCAACTAAATATCAATACATTTGAAATGAAGAACTAGGATAAAATGTGGTTCTTTGAAAAGAATTAACAAAATGAATGACCTTTAGTGAAACTAAGAAAAAAAAGAAAGAATAAATAAAGAGTATTAGAAAGACACCCTTAACTACAGTTAGAAGAGAGATTTAAATGAGATTATAAACTGGAATTCTGCTTTTGGCCATGATGAAGTAATAATTAGACTTGTCTTCCCAAATCAAACAACAAAACTGAAAAAAATACATGAAACAACTATTTTTAGTTATTGGACAACAGGCAGCCCAGGACAGTGGTTCTTGAGAAAACAGAAGCAAATAAAGTGAGTCCTATGAATGCCATGGCTTCTGACTAGAGGAAACTCCCAGGCTACAGGTGGAGGGAGGAGAAACCCAGACAGAGCTCAGTGGTCTCACTGAGTTTAGGAGAAAACAAGCATGGTCCCGAGAGGCCATGGTGGATGGAAGTTGTGGGATAAGTGCCCAGAGGAAACTATGTGGAGAAAGAGCTACAGGAATCTACAGAAGAGTGTTCTTGAGACCTTACTGATTCCTAAGCTGCACATATACCGGGTGAAGTTCCACGAGGATAGGTAAAATGAACAAATATTTGAAAGCTGCCCATTGGTAGGGCTCCTACAACTGAGAAAAAAGTTGGACTGAAAAACAAGAGACAGAGTTAAACAGAGTAATAAGTAATCTAGTCCAAAGCCAGGGCAGAATGTGAAACTTGGAAGGACCTCTAACCTAGACATGAGGGCTAGGGGCAGCATTTGGTAGAGCAGAGCAGAGATGTTAAATATTTTAGATGTAGGCTCTGTCATAAAGGAAATCAGTACAAGGGAACCAAGGCGGAGATAAGAATGAATTCTAGTCCCTAGCAGAAGCCAGGGGAAAAAAAGTACTAGATGTCCAAAGATGCCCATGCCAGGAACTAGTTTCCTGAAACAAAACAAAAAACACAGGTGTATTGTCCGTTCTCACACTGCTATAACGATACTACCTGAGTCTGGGTAGTTTATAAAGGAAACAGGTTTAATTGACTCACATTTTGGATGACTGGGGAGGCCTCAGGAGACTTACAATCATGGAGGAAGGTGAAGAGGAAGCAAAGACCCTCTTCACATGGTGGCAGGAGAGGGAAAAATGCAAGCAGGGGAAATGCCAGACACTTATAAAACCATCAGATCTCATGAGAACTCACTATCACATGAACAGCATGGGGAAACCGCCCCCATGATCCAATCACCTCCCTCCCTCAAAATGTGGGGATTACAGGTCCCTCCCTCCACACGTGGGGATTACAATTCGAGATGAGATTTGGGTGGGGACACAGAACCAAACCATATCAATAGGGTATTTGAGCAGTTTGAGAATTAGATATGTGGGAGTTCAATGGAATATTTGAGGGATCAGGAGATGCAACTGGTTTATCCTAATCATCAAGGATTATTCCTCTGTTGCTGGATGGTGTCTCTTTAGTTCCAAGAGAGAGGTGAGGCATATTTTAGAAAATGACTGGATTATCATTCTGAATACCATAGATAGACCAGGAAGAGCACATTAGCCACAGTAAGTTCTCAGTGTTCTGCAGATGAATCTATGGGATTATTGAAGACACACGTTTTACAAGCCTTCTCAGTCATTTAGATACATCAAATCATAGTGAATGGAACCTACAACCTAGTGATGGCACTGATTCTTATATTATTGAACTGCTTCATTTAAATTCTTAAGTGACAAGCAGGATATATCATTTGTGACTGAACTCCAAATCTAACATTTGTAAGGCATGAAACATTTTTCTAACCACTAGGACATCAACACTATTTTACCCAAAAAAATCAGAAAAGAAGCATCTAATACAAATTATGTTCCTAATATATAGGCAGAGGGCTGTTGCTAATAGTCAATGGAATGCCAAACTCCTGATGGGATTACATTAACATTTTGATTTGATTGCAGATTAAAGCCAGTGAATAAAACTAAAGGTCACTTTAAAGGAGTATAAAGCTACAGTGGACATAACGTGGCATAGGTGATCTTGACACCACAGAACTGTGAAGCCTGCAATCCTACAATATAGAGGGGTATGAGGAAGACATCTCAGGATACTGAAGAGTGTTGCAGAGGACCCACAAATAGTCCTGAGCATGAGATGGTGGACAACAAACCCATTTTTGGTGTGGGTAAAATCATTAGCGACATCTTTTTCTTTTTTTTTTTTTCAGCAGTTTGAAGATGTGTCATTCCATTTATTTTTTCATAATTTCTGTTAAAAAGACTGCAGCTGCCCTTACTGTTGTACCTTTGAAGGTAAAGCATATTTTTTCCTTTGTTAAAAAACGTAGTTTTGGGCCGGGCGTGGTGGCTCATGCCTGTAATCCCAGCACTTTGGGAGGCTGAGGCAGGCAGATCACAAGGTCAGGGGTTTGAGACCAGCCTGCCCAACTTGGTGAAACCTCATCTCTACTAAAAATACAAAAATTAGCCGGGTGTGGTGGCACGTGCCTGTAGCCGCAGCTACTCGGGAGGCTGAGGCAGGAGAATCGCCTGAACCCAGGAGGCAGAGGTTGCAGTGAGCCTAGACTGTGCCACTGCACTCCAGCCTGGGCAATAGAGCAAGACTTAGTCTCAAAAAAAAAATAAAATGGATTTTTATAATACAGTCACGTTCTCCCTCTTTCATCCAGGCTGGAATGCAGTGGTGTGATCATAGCTCACTGGAACTTCACTCTCCTGAGCTCCCGCCTCAGCCTCCCAAGTAGCTTGGACTACAAGAATGCCAGCTATGGGATGCTCAACTAATTTTCCTTTTCCCTGTAGAGGCAGGGTCCAACTATGTTGCCTAGACTGATTTTGAACTTCTGACCTCAAATGATCCTGCCACCTTGGCCTCCCAAAGTGCTGGGATTACAGGTGTGAGCCATCACACCCAGCCTAAAATGTTTTTTAATTTTTGGTTTTCATCAGTTTGACTATGATATACCTATGTATAAGTTTCTTTTATTCTACTTAGGTTGCACTTGTCTTTTAAATCTTTTAAATATTTTTTCTGCCCCGTTCTCTATCCCCACCCTCTCCAATTATAAATATGTTAGACTGCTTGTCTATGCCCCACATGTCTCTTTTGCCCCATTTTTTTCTTCCATGATTTTTTCTGTTTCAATTTGGATCATTTTTATTGACCTGTCCTCAAATAGATTAACTCTTTCTTTGCTGTGTTCTGCCTGTAAAACTCACCCAAAGTGTTCTTAATTTCAGATAGTGTCCTTTTCATTTCTAAAATGTGTTTTTGATTCTTTCTAGTAGATTCTACCTCTGTTGAATTTCTCTCTCTTTTCATGTTTTTCCATATTTTTTCTATTTTGTTTAACTTATTAATCATAATTATTCTTAGAGTCCTTGTCAGTTAACTCAAGTATATCAACCATCTGTGGCTTTGCTCATATTGTCTGCTTTTTCTCTTGGTTATTGGCCATATTTTCCTGCCCCTTCACAAATTTTGTAATTTTAATTGCATGCCAAACATTGTATATAAAATAATTGAGGGTAACTGGCCATGTATTTATGGCAGGATGCCTCCTCCTAGTGGGACTTTGTCTCTTAAGTACCATGAAATTGGGATATTTCACTCTGCCTCTCTGGCCAAGTCTCCCAGCCTCCTGCATCACCCAAGCATCAGCATATGCTCCTGTGTGTTCAGTTCTACACTAGTTTATAATCTGTCAAGCCAGCCCCACGCAAGCACCAAGAGTCCCTCTAGTCAAGCATGATTCTTAGTCTTCACTCAGAACTGACAAAAATCCCCAGGGAGGAAAATGGCCAGAGATTGTCAGCTCCCTTAGGAAGTACTCCCCTCTCTCTGCAATGTTAGTTCATATGGTGTTCATTGTTTCCACAGCTCTCTCACTAAGGTCTCTCACTAAATCTTTTGCACTATGATTTTGGTAACTTATCCTTCTTTTTCTTAGGTGTTGCAGCAAGAGCGCTGGCCTGCCATGATCTGCTACATTCTACCTGGAAATACAAGTCAGAAGTCAGCCTGTCATATTTTTTCAAAAGGTGACTTGTCAAAATGAGACTTCTTTCATAAAATCAGTCTGGTTGGGCATGGTGGCTCACGCCTGTAATCCTAGCACTTTGGGAGGCTGAAGTAGGTGGATGGCTTGAGCCCAGGAGTTTGAGACCAGCCTGGGCAACATGGCAAAATCCCATCTCTACAAAAAATACAAAAATTAGCCGGGCATAGTGTCACACACCTGTGGTCCCAGCTACTCAGGAGACTGAGATGGGAGGATCACCTGAGCCCGGGAGGTTAAGGCTGCAGTGAGCCAGGATTGGGCCACTGCACTACAGCATGGGTGACAGAGTGAAATGCTGTCTCAAAAAACAACAACAAAAAATCTCTCAATCTGTCCAAATAGTTAGATTGTCTTCAGTAATCTTTCCATCGCGATCTTGCTTTGTTTCTACTACTACTCTGATGCTACATAATTAAGGTCACCAATCGTTGTCACTGTCTTTCCAAACCTGTTGTTCCTTACTTCCTCCGGCCATTCTTCCTTGTCCCCCTCCCATTCATCATCCAGACACACACACACACACACACACACACACACACACACACACACACATACATTTTAACAATACCAAACTCCTTGTAGTTCCCCTAAATGAATCATGTTGTTTCCCTTACCTGAAATGCCCAATCCCTTTTTTATTTTCATTGCTAACTCCTCTCATCTTTCCAGAGTGTTCACGTCTACCAGGAGTGTTCTTGTCCCTCCCATTCCTTTCTACTCTAGCTCCACTCACAGTTCTGTGTAATCCCATCTTGTGGACTAACCCGTGTTAAAAAGATTTGTTTGCTGATTTGATTCTTCCCTCCACTACACCCCCCCATAACACAAAATGAGTCCCTTAAAAGCAGAAATGTTGCCTCACTGGTCTCCAGCACCCAGTGGAGTATTTGGTATGAATGTCGGTCGAACTGTACTCTCTCCAGTGTGCATTTTGTTCCAGGAAGACTAGGTAATAGCAGGAGCATTAGAAGCCTCATCTTCAGGGCTGTTTGACATTGATTTTTTAAAAAATACATTTCCTGAGGTCTCACTAGTGCCAGAATATGAAAAAAATAATCATTCTTCTCTGACTAAAGTGGAATCACCAGTGATTTATTCTCTCCTTAATCAGTAATACTAGCTAACATTTATATAGCCCTCACTAGGTCCCAAGCACTTTGAACATATCATCTTATTTCATGTCTATAACCACCTTCAGGTAGGCACTGTTGTTACCCTCCAATTTACAAAGGAGGAAACTGAAGTGCAGGGAGGTTAAGTAAGTGGCAAGCTAGAATCTGGATACAGGTTGTCTGGTTCCAGGGACCAGGCAGTTAGCCATTATGCTATGCGGCATGATTTCTTGCTTTCCTTGCCCTTTTTTCTTAAATGTTTAATTACATAAGTAGCATATCAATACATTTAAATTGTCAAAAATTCAGAAACAAAGCAAAAACTCACTACTATTTGATGGGTATCTTTCAAGATCTTTTTCTTTGTTTACATACATATATACATTATGTGTGTGTACATATACACAAAGAAATATGTATTTTTATGTAACTGGATTATGCCTTATTTTTCTATAGATTTGTTTTCATTTAACAATTTGTCTTAAAGGTCTTTTCATATCGATGCATATTGATCTATTTTATTCTTTGAATGTTGCATAGTATGGATATATTCCATAGAATGGGTGTAATATAGTTTAGGTAACCATTTTTCTTTTGCGAGTCATTTATGTTGTTTCTGATTTCACTGTTACAAACCAGGCTGCACTGAGTATCCTTGAACATGTCTCTTCACATTCATGCAACTATACGTCTAGGAAAGATCCTCAGAAATAAAATTGTTGGGATGAAGTTTGTGTTGACTTTTTTTTTTTTAATGGTGACTCACATCCTGCCTTCCAGGGAGGCTGTGGCTTTTATTGTTTCATCATTCACATATTAAAAGGGTTGTGTACACTTGGTTGAATTTATGGCAGAGTAAAAAATCATAATAAAATAAATAAAAGGGCTGTGGCTGGAGGTTTTCCAGGAAATCAACTCTCTATAAAAGCACTGCTCACACCCTAACATGCCAAGGAAAGCAAAGGCCTTCTCTCTTCTCCACCTCATCTTTAGGAAAAAGGAATTTTGGCCTGAGTTGCAGAATAAACAGTGTCCTTGAGAGCATACAGTGGGATTCCTGAAAAAGAAGGTGGCAGGCAAGAGGAAGGTGAAACTTTCTGTGGGAAGAAATCAAGTGGCTCTGTCAAAAGACAAAATTACAACCCATTTAGTTAAAGATCTTAATAGGCTTTTATCGGTGACTCTTGAATCAGGCAACAACTCAATCTGTAAATGAGCTGAACAGAGAAGTTTGGCTTTATAGACAAAAAGGGCTGGGGAAGCAGACATAGAGAACAAAAAGTGGATTAGTCATTTTGAAGTTGCTTTCTTCCTAAAGGTTAAAGCAGAGGGGACTTCCTTATCATGCCGGGTAAAACTGGCCTGTTTGGGGATTTGGCTCTCTCTCTCTCCCTGCCACCCCCAACCCCCTGATTCCTTGGAAGTTCAGATAAACACCTTGGTTTTGGTTTGGTGGTGTGAAACTTCAGCAGGAATTATTCCATTTTGCTTTGGTCTGTTGGGCCCAGTGCAGGAGCTCAGTACAAACCAACGGCCTCCTATCAATTTTCCTTCACAGGTCAAAGCTTTCTTACTTCTCTTAGGTTGTTCTTTTCTATGTTTTTTGACTGCATGGTAAAACAAGGCCTAGGAGTTTGAGCCCTTACCCCTGAAAGACCACAGTGGACAGGGCAGGTTCAAGGTTAAAAGATCATGGAGTTCAGGAAAATTTTGTTCTAAGTCCTTAAGGGAGACCAAGAGACTGGAGAGGGTGAGACTACAGGTTTGGGAAGAAGTAGAAAGCAATTGCCTGGAGGGGGCTCCTTGAGCAGAAATCCTCAAGGCTACAAAAAGGTCACTCTGGTAGCCCCGTGGTTGTTAGGGGCAACAGAATCACTTCTCCTGAGAAACAACCAACAAGTATTTGAATAAATGTCTTGCCTTTAATGGTTTTAAAATTTGATGCCAGTACTAATGTTATATAAGTTGTGTATTGTTTGTGTGTACTCTTCTTAGTATTGTAAAGTGATGCTACTCCCTAAATCACCCCCACTTAAAAAAATATAATGGGCCGGGTGCAGTGGCTTAAGTCTGTAATCCCAGCATTTTGGGAGGCCTAGCTGGGCATATCGCTTAAGCTCAGGACTTAAAGACCAGCCTGGGCAACATGGTGAAACCCCATCTCTACCAAAAATACAAAAATTAGCTGGGCGTGGTGGTGCACGTCTGTGATCCTAGCTACCTGGGAAGCTAAGGCAGGAGGATCACTTGAGCCTGGGAGGTGGAGGTTGCAGTGAGCCGAGATCATGCCACTGCACCCCAGCCTGGGTGATGGAGTGAGACCCTGTCTCAAAAAAAGAAAAAAAAAGAAAAATATGTGTGTGTATATATATCTATATATGTGTGTGTGTGTGTGTATGTATATGTGTGTGTGAATATGTGTGTATATATGTATATATGTGTGTGTATATACATATATATGCACGTGTGTGTGTGTATATATATATGCGTGTATATATATATATATATATATATAATTAATGCACCATCCTTCTACTTGCCCTAGGTGCTCTAATGATTGAAAAGGTTTATTTTTAATAAAGATTAAAGTTGCAGAACTCTCTGATATCAAACTGACTAAATTTAGAAGCATATAACAAGAGCCTTATTAGTATCACAGTCTGACCAATTAAATTGCCAAAATCTAAACATGCTCTTTCTGTATCTGTTTGATCAGGAAAAACAAAAGGCACTGTGGTCTGATAGTTTTATTAGTGCTCTTGTCTTTTATCCTATTTGGATCTCCATAAATGTTTCAATTCCTACCAGCAAGATTCACTCCTTTCTTTACTAGTATATTCTTAATAAACCAAAGCATAAAAACTAGGGATGTTCTGCTTAAATCAGGTTACCCATCTGTGATACTAGGAAGTGAGAATATCCTGAGCTTTAACACAGCCACCTTCCAGACACAAGTCTTCATTTAGGAACTACAGAATGCTATAAATTAAATTAAAGTGAAAAATAGTAGCAAAAAAAATTCTGATTTAACATATACCCTGCACCAGGCCTCATGCTAAGAACTTTTTAATACTTTTTCATTATTTATTCCTATTAGATAAATCCTTAGGAATCTTATAGATTCATTTATTCATTCAATCAGGAAATAAACAAGGGGCTGGAATAAAGAACAACAGAAAAGGCAGATTTAAATTGATTGGGTAATTAAGGGAACACAAGGAACTACCCACAGAAAGAGCAAGGAAAAGATCATTTCAGACTAGGGGTGTACATTCAAAAGCTATACGTGAGATGGAGGGCAAGCCTGACACGTTCAGAGACTGGAAAGCCAAAGGCTTGAACAGAACATACATGAGCTTAAATAATCACACTTCAAAAGTTGGAGAGATAAGCAGAGACCAGTTCGAAAACCTGAAATTTGTTTTTTAAACTAAATGTAATGAAAGATCATTTAAAGACTTTAAGCAGACAAATGGTGTGATCTCCACATTTTATGATCAATTTTTACTGCTACATGGAGAATGGATTCGAGGGGAAGAAGAATTGAAGTTCAGAGATTAGTTTGGAGCTGTTACAGTAATTGGGCTGAAAGATGATGGTAGCCCAAAATGTGATGGGAATAAAGCTGAAGAAAAAAAATAAGAAGAATAAGATATTTTGGAGGTAGAATTGACAGGATTTGCCGATGGATTAGACATGAGGCTGAGGAATAGGGAAGAACCATGGATGATGCTTAGGTTTCCGGCTTCAGTGATCAAGTATATTGCAGTTCCGTTTCCTGAAATGGAGGATGCTGGGATGGGGAAGATAAGAAAGGGAAAGGTTTGGCCAGGCACGGTGGCTCACGCCTGTAATCCCAGAACTTTGGGAGGCCGAGGCAGATGGATCACTTGATGTCAGGTGTTCAAGACCAGCCTGGCCAACATAGTGAAACCCTGTCTCTACTACAAATACAAAAATTAGCTGGGTGTGGTGGTGGGTGCCTGTAATCCCAGCTACTTGGAAGGCTGAGGCAGGAGAATTGCTTGAACCTGGGAGGCAGAGGTTGCAGTGAGCCAAGATTGCACCCCAGCCTGGGCAACAGAGTGAGACTCCGTCTCAAAAATAAATAAATAAATAAATAAACATAAAAACTAAAAAAAATAAAAGAGAGAGAAAAAGAAAGGGAAAGGTTTTATGGAACTAAGTTTTGTCAGTGAGTTTGAGATGTCTGCTGTAAGATACCCAGTACAAGTTTAAATGAGTTGTTCCGTGTTTGAGTTTGAATCTTAGAGAGGTCTGGGCTACAGATACAAATCCAAAATTGATCCACATAGTGGTAGTATTTAAATCCATGGAAATTAGTGAGATCATTTATGGAGCTAGCGCATGAAAGGAAGAAGAAAAAGAAGAATGCTAACATGTAACGGTGGGATAGGGGAGTTAAGATAGAAAGAAAACCAGGAGTGGGTGGTATTGAATAAACAACAAAAATAGCATCTTGTGAAGGGAAAAGTGGTCACTTATCTCTCTCGGTGTGCAGGTAAATGTTTAGTATGTGGCTGTCAGGAAAAAAGGCCCTGATTTGTAGCATTTGCTGATTTTTGTGGTGTAAATACTGTCACTGTGGCTAATAATTTCAAGCTACCAACACTCCTTCACTGAACTTGGAAAGAAATGTTTGCAATAAGCTGTCCAGTATCACTCCTGCAGCGTGCCAGGGCAACACAGCTGCTGAGAGGGAGCATAAAATAAAGAAGGAAAATGTGCACTGAACTTGGCAACACGGAAGCTGTTAGTGACCTTCATGAGAGTCGTTTCTGGACAATGGGGACAGAAGCCAGATTGCAGTAGGTAGAGGAATGGAATGAGGGTAAGAAAGGACAATGCACACTTTTCTAAAGAAACGGATGGGCCGGGCGCAGTGGCTCACATCTGTAATCCCAGCACTTTGGGAGGCTGAGGGGGGCGGATCACAAGGTCAGGAGTTCTAGACAAGCCTGGCCAACATGGCAAAACCCCATCTCTACTAAAAATACAAAAATTAGCCAGGCTCGGTGGTGCGCACCTGTAGTCCCAGCTACTCCAGAGGCTGAGGCAGAAGAATTGCTTGAACCTGGGAGGCGGAAGTTGCAGTGAGCCGAGATCGTGCCACTGCACTCCAGCCTGGGCAACAGAGCAAGACTCTGTCTCAAAAAAAGAAAGAAAGAAAGAAAGAAAGAAAGAAATGGGCCGGGCATGGTAGCTCACGCCTGTAATCCTAGCACTTTGGGAGGCCAAGGTGGGTGGATCACTTGAGGTCAGGAGTTCAAAATCAGGCTGGTCAACATGGTGAAATCCCATCTCTACTACAAATACAAAAAAATGAGCTGGGCGTGGTGGCGGGCGCCTGTAATCCCAGCTATTCGGGAGGCTGAGGCAGGAGAATTGCTTGAACCCGGGAGGCAGAGGTTGCAGTGAGCTGAGATCCAGCCACTGCACTCCAGCCTGGGCAACAGAGGGAGACTCACCTCAAAAAAAAAAAAAAAAAAGAAAAAGAAAAAAAAAAAAAAATGGATGGTAGCTGGAGAAGGAAGACAAGTCAAAATTTGAAATAAACTCAGTGAGATTAAGAGGTTTACTGCAACGTGCACTGAATAAGTGGAGAGGGTAGAATCTGAACCCAGATTTGTTTGATTCCAAAACATATGCCTTATTATGACTTTCCTGGACCATAAAGGAAAAAAAATGTCATAAGCTACCTAAACATTGAATTGCAGATGATTTTTCTATTTACCCTTTTCTGTGTTTTCTAATTTTTTCATTGAGACTAATTTACTTTCATATTCATAAAATGATTAATAGATCTTATACTTGCAGAGTAAGTACCAGAATAGAGCAAAGTATAAGGAAACATTACTTAGTCAATTTCAAAAGAAATAGCATATTGCCAAACAGTGCCACCTCGTACAAAGTTTATTTTTCAGATTAATATTTAAACTTCCATCCTATTTTACAGTTTATAAATCAACACACATTAAAATATCTGTGAACTAAAACACCTAAAGGTGCTACCTTCGAAACTCATGTTCATAGATTCTAACTCCTAGGTGGCTTCTCAACATCAGATGTGGGAAGGCACTGTGTCCTGTGTTTTGTGTAGTACTGAGTACACTGTCACAGCTCAAAAGACAATGAATAATGGTATGAAGTGATGTAACTTTCTTTTAAAAGATTGAAGTCTCTTGTATTGAAATTCAAAAGGAATTATAGTTATTCTTTTTAGAATCCAGTATGTAATAATGGAATAAGTTACTTAAAGACTTTATTGGATCTCATGGGGATGTTTTTTTCCTTTGGCTTTGTAAGAAAACAAATCTGTGATAAGAATAGCATTCTTAGTATAATGGGTAGGGGGGCATGGGTGTAGATGAAATAGATAATTGAGGTCCTATTTTTACATAATTCTATATTATTCATGTATAAATACAACTATAAGGTTACAATTATCTTTTTGGATTATAATTTTATATTATTATAATAGTTTTGAGTGAATATAAAATCTCATACTAATGGAAACAGTTTTTGTTTGTTTGTTTGTTTTGTTTTTGTTTTGAGACCGATTCTCGCTCTGTTGCCCAGGCTAGAGTGCAGTGGCACGATCTCAGCTCACTGCAACCTCCACCTCTTGGGTTCAAGCCATTCTCCTGCCTCAGCTTTGCGAGTAGCTGGGATTACAGGTGCATGCCACCACACCCGGCTGATTTTTGTATTTTTAGTAGAGATGAGGTTTCACCGTGTTGGCCAGGCTGGACTTGAACTCCTAATCTCAGGTGATCCACCCGCCTTAGCCTCCCAAAGTGCTGGGATTACAGGCATGAGCCACCGCACCTGGCCAGAAATAGTTTTATAAGAGTATCAATATAATTATTTCTTTTTATTCTTAATACCTGCATCTAGCAGAATTACATTCAGTTTTTTAAAAGAGATTTATTGCTATTTGAAAAAGAGAGAAAAGTAAATTATTTGCAGATCATTTAATTGTCTACTGGAAAATCCAAGAGTATTTATGGTAATACTATTTGAACTAACAGAGTATGGTCTGAAACAAAAACATACAAAAATCAATAGCTACTTACACAGCAAAAGTAGTCTGTTAGAAAATATGAGGGGAAAAGACCCCATTTACAATATCATGAAAAGCTACAAAATACCTCAAAATATCCATAAAGTATAAAAGCACTGTACTTCACTAGAATGAGCTATCTAGATTTGAATATTCGATAGTAAGTTGTATAAAAGATGAGGACTGAATTATATTTAGTTTTGAGCACCTTCAAATTTATTTTTATTTTATGTAAACATTTATATAATTTTAAGAGCCTTATTAATAGATGGATTAAACAGTATTAAACTTGTACAGCACAATATTAAACACATTTGTCATAGGTCTCTTGAAATTATTTGATAAGACTGCCACCTACAGGTGGCAAGAAAAGCAGAGGGGCACTGAAATGTATTTACCACTGACCATGTATCATCATCAGGCATTACATTAAGAAATCTGGTTGGCCAGGCTGGTCTCCAGCTCCTAACCGCGAGTGATCCGCCAGCCTCCGCCTCCCGAGGTGCCGGGATTGCAGATGGAGTCTCCTTCACTCAGTGCTCAATGGTGCCCAGGCTGGAGTGCAGTGGCGTGATCTCGGCTCGCTACAACATCCACCTCCCAGCAGCCTGCCTTGGCCTCCCAAAGTGTGGAGATTGCAGCCTCTGCCCGGCGGCCACCCCGTCTGGGAAGTGAGGAGCGTCTCTGCCTGGCCGCCCATCGTCTGGGATGTGAGGAGCCCCTCTGCCTGGCTGCCCAGTCTGGAAAGTGAGGAGCGTCTCTGCCCAGCCGCCATCCCATCTAGGAAGTGAGGAGCGCCTCTTCCCTGCCGCCATCCCATCTAGGAAGTGAGGAGCGTCTCTGCCCGGCTGCCCATCGTCTGAGATGTGGGGAGCGCCTCTGCCCTGTCGCCCCGTCCGGGATGTGAGGAGCGTCTCTGCCCGGCCGCCCCGTCTGAGAAGTGAGGAGACCCTCTGCCTGGCAACCGCCCTGTCTGAGAAGCGAGGAGCCTCTCCGCCTGGCAACCGCCCTGTCTGAGAAGTGAGGAGCCTCTCTGCCCAGCAGCCGCCCCGTCTGAGAAGTGAGGAGCCCCTCCGCCCGGCAGCCACCCCGTCTGGGAAGTGAGGAGCGTCTCCACCCGGCAGCCACCCCGTCCGGGAGGGAGATGGGGGGGTCAGCCCCCCGCCCGGCCAGCCGCCCCATCCGGGAGGTGAGGGGCGCCTCTGCCCAGCCGCCCCTACTGGGAAGTGAGGAGCCCCTCTGCCCGGCCAGCCGCCCTGTCCGGGAGGGAGGTGTGGGGGTCAGCCCCCCGCCCGGCCAGCCACCCCGTCCGGGAGGGAGGTGGGGGGTCAGCCCCCCGCCCGGCCAGCCGCCCCGTCCGGGAGGTGAGGGGTGCCTCTGCCCGGCCGCCCCTACTGGGAAGTGAGGAGCCCCTCTGCCCGGCCAGCCACCCCGTCCGGGAGGGAGGTGGGGGGGTCAGCCCCCCGCCCGGCCAGCCGCCCCGTCCGGGAGGTGAGGGGAGCCTCTGCCCTGCCGCCCCTACTGGGAAGTGAGGAGCCCCTCTGCCCGGCCACGACCCCGTCTGGGAGGTTTACCCAACAGCTCATTGAGAACGGGCCATGATGACAATGGCAGTTTTGTGGAATAGAAAGGGGGGAAAGGTGGGGAAAAGATTGAGAAATCGGATGGTTGCCGTGTCTGTGTAGAAAGAGGTAGACATGGGAGACTTTTCATTTTGTTCTGTACTAAGAAAAATTCTTCTGCCTTGGGATCCTGTTGATCTGTGACCTTACCCCCAACCCTGTGCTCTCTGAAACATGTGCTGTGTCCACTCAGGGTTAAATGGATTAAGGGCGGTGCAAGATGTGCTTTGTTAAACAGACACTTGAAGGCAGCATGCTCGTTAAGAGTCATCACCACTCCCTAATCTCAAGTACCCAGGGACACAAACACTGCGGAAGGCTGCAGGGTCCTCTGCCTAGGAAAACCAGAGACCTTTGTTCACTTGTTTATCTGCTGACCTTCCCTCCACTATTGTCCTGTGACCCTGCCAAATCCCCCTCTGCGAGAAACACCCAAGAATGATCAATAAAAAAATAAAAAAAAAAAAAATAAATAAATAAATAAATAACTCAACCCAAGTTACACAGCTAGTAGCAGAGCTGTGAGTCAACTCCAAAAAAAAAAAAAAAGAAAGAAATCTAGTAGGGACTGGGCAAGGAGGCTCACGCCTGTAATCCCAGCACTTTTGGAAGCTGAGGGGGACGGATCACCTGAGGTCAGGAGTTTGAGACCAGCCTGACCAATATGGTGAAACCCCGTCTCTACTAAAAATACAAAAATTAGCTGGGCGTGGTGGCGTGTGCCTGTAATCCCAGCTACTACAAAGGCTGAGGCAGGAGAATCGCTAGAACCTGGGAGGTGGAGGTTGCAGTGAGCCGAGATTGCCCCACCGCACTCCAGCCTGGGTGACAGAGTGGGACTCCGTCTCAAAAAACAAACAAACAAACAAACAAAACAAAACAAAACCTCATAGGCTTGCCAGATAAAATACAGGAGGCTCACGTAAAGTTGAATTTCAGTTAACAACTAATACTTCTTAGGTAAGTATGTACCAAATATTGCATAGAATACACCAGTACCAAAAAATTATTCATTGTTTATCTGAAATTCAAATTTAACTGGGCATTCTGTAGTTTTATTTGCTAAATCTGGCAACCCTTAAAAATGAAGATAATGGCCAGGCACAGTGACTCATGCCTGTAATCCCAGCCCTTTGGGAGGCCGAGGTGGGCGGATCACGAGGTCAGGAGCTCAAAACCAGCCTGGTCAATATGGTGAAACCCCACCTCTACTAAAAATACAAAAATTAGCCGGGAGTGATGGCACGTGCCTGTAGTCCCAGCTACTTGGGAGGCTGAGGCAGAAGAATCGCTTGAACCTGGGAGATGGAGGTTGCAGTGAGCCGAGATCATACCACTGCACTCCAGCCTGGGCGACGGAACAAGACTCCGTCTCAAAAAAAATAAAAAAGAAGAGAAAAAAGAAAAAAATGCAGATAATGATGTTGACCATACTCTGCTAATTAAAACCTTTCGATGGTCTCTA
The DNA here is from genome assembly GCF_000001405.40 of Homo sapiens. NCBI lineage: Eukaryota > Metazoa > Chordata > Mammalia > Primates > Hominidae > Homo > Homo sapiens. The sequence continues at coordinate 114,789,345 of NC_000010.11, forward strand.
TGGCCTCAGGAGAGGGTCCAAGCATCTTAATAGGCATGTACGACCATTCATGTCTCTGCTACCATCTTGCTCCTTATTGCCTTAGTGTGAGCTTCCCATTGACATCAAAATCTTTTTTTATAACTTTTACTTTAGACTTGGGGTACATGTACAGGATTGTTACATAGGTAAACTCGTGAACTAATTTACACTCCCACCAGAAGTGTATAAATGTTCCCTTTTCTCTGCAACCTCATCAGCATCTGTTATTTTTTGACTTTTTAACAGCCATTCTGACTGGTGTGAGACGGTATCTCATTGTAGTTTTGATTTACATTGCTCCAATGATTAGTGATATTGAGCATTTTTTCATATGCTTGTTGGCCACATGTATATCTTCTTTTGAAAAGTGTCTGTCCATGTCCTATGCCCACTTTTTAATCGGGTTGTTTTTTGCATGTATATTTGTTTTTTTTTTTTTTTGGATACAGAGTCTCACTCTATCCCCCAGGCTGAAGTGCAGTGGCATGATGATCTCAGCTCATTGCAACCTTCACTTCCTGGGTTCAAGCGATTCTCCTGCCTCAGCCTCTGGAGTAGCTGGATTTACAGGTGCATGCCACCACGCCCAGCTAATTTTTGTATTTTTAGTAGAGATGGCGTTTCGCCATGTTGGCCAGGCTGGTCTAGAACTCCTGACTTCAGGCAATCCACCTGCCTTGGCCTCCCAAAGTGTGGGGATTACAGGCGTGAGCCACTGGCCCGGCCTCAAGTTTCTTGCATATTCTGGATATTTGACCTTTGTTAGATGTATAGTTTGCAAATATTTTCTACTAACATCAAAATCTTTCTTTTGCTTAGGTAGTTTGGCCTGGAATATAGAGGTTCCTATATGTCTATCTTTTAATATTGTTTAAGATAATTTTAATACCTAATCACATCTTCCCTTTGGAGTTTTAAAGTGAATGTCAAAATTATAAGAGCAGATTGTGATTAATTAATACATTACCTCAAGAAGAAAAAACTAGTGAGAACACACAACTTATATAAAAACATTATCTTTAAAAGACATTGGAAATTGTATTTCCTGTTTACTTTGTGTTCTTGTTTAAATGTCAAAGAGAGAAAAACCCTAGTGAATTTAAATTGTGTGTCTATGTGTTTCTTTGGCTATATAATTTTCAAGGCCCTATGGAATACAAAAATAAGAAGCGTCTTGCTCAAAAATTACTAAAAATTTCAACATGGTAACAGAACAGCATTAACCTAGGTGTGGACCCTTCTGAGTGCAGGGCCCTGAGTGCACAGGTCACATTTCCCATGAATCATTTTATTTTTCTCTCCAACTTAATTGGTTCAGAATTGAGGTTTCTCTAAGGGAAATTCCTTTTTGTTTACACTAGAAGCATGTGAATGACTTAAAATTCATGATGTGTTGAGATTTTGCTAAATGGACCTACTAAATAATAAGAAAATAAAGCTTATAAGAACGTGGACTTTGCAGTCAATTCAAAATCTGACTTCATGGTTGCCTTGGAAGACTCAAGGGTTGGCTTCAAGGACACACAAATGCCCTAAAATTGTAATTAAAATTACATGTATTTGTAAATGCATTTTTCAGGGAAGAACTTTTATCTGATTCTCAAAGGGATCAGTAACCCCAAAAAGCTTTAAAAACACTGTTCTATGAAATTATTTATCCTTTTTAAAAAAAAATCTGCCAAATCATGATCTGCTTTAATTTTATTTATTCATTTATTTATTTTACAGATGGGGTCTCACTCTGTCTCCCAGGCTGGAGTGTACTGGAGCGATCATAGCGATCATAGCTCATGGCAGCCTCGAACTCCTGGGCTAAACTGATCCCGCCACATAAGCCTCCTGAGTAGCTAAGACTACAGGCCTGTGTCACTACACAGGGCTACTTAAAAAACAAAAAATTGTTTGTAGAGACAGGGTCTTGCTTTGTTGCCCAGGCTCATCGTCTGCTTTTAAAGGCCTCTGCTGGTGGCTGGTTTAAAAACTTTAAATATGGCAGGGCGCGGTGGCTCATGCCTGTAATCCCAGCACTTTGGGAGGCCAAAGCCGGCGGATCACGAGGTCAGGAGATCGAGACCATCCTGGCTAACATGGTGAAACCCCGTCTCTACTAAAAATACAAAAAATTAGACGGGCGTGGTGGTGGACGCCTGTAGTCCCAGCTACTCGGGAGGCTGAGGCAGGAGAATGGCGTGAACCTGGGAGGGGGAGCTTGCAGTGAGCCAAGATTGCGCCACTGCACTCCAGCCTGGACGACAGAGCAAGATTCCGTCTCAAAAAAAAAAACAAAAACAAGAAAACAAAACAACAACAACAAAACTTCAAATACAAGGAGTTGTGCAGATTTTTTAAATTACTCTTATTTCAATATATAAAAAGGAAAAACCATGAAAAGAGAAATACAGAATACATGAAGACCCCAATCAGAGAAATGAAATCTAAAAGGAACCCTTACACTCTAGCTGCTACCATCAGAAAACTTGAGAGATAGTAAAATTGACCTTTCATTGCAGTATGCCTTATGTAATAATATGTAACATGTATTAAGCACTTACCATGTGCCTGGCACTGTCTCAATAATCATTTACAACTCTTAACTTACTTAATCCTCTTAGCAATTCTATAATCCCCAATGTGGAAATGAGGAAACGGAAGCAAATAGAGGTTAAGAATCTTGGCTGGGTACAGTGGCTCACACCTGTAATCCCAACATTTTGGGAGGCCAAGGCGGACGGATTGCTTGAGTTCAGGAGTTCAAGACCAGACTGGGCAACAAGGTGGGACCTCATCTCTACAAAAAAGACAAAAATCAGCTGGGTGTGGTGGCACATGCCTGTAGTCCCAACTATTTAGGAGGCTGAGGTGGGAGGATGGCTTGAGCCTGGGAGGGAGAGGTTGCAGTGAGCCAAGATCACACCACTGCATTCTAGCCTGGGTGACAGAGCCAGACCCTGTCACACACAAAAAAGAATCTTGCCCAAGGACACAGAGTGAATGGTGGACACAGGTTTTGAATTGGTCACAAAGTCAGTATTCTTATAAGCTTTATTTCCTTCTTGATTATTTAGTAGGCCCACTTAGCAAGATACTGATACATCAGATAACTTTCATTTAATAGATATCAAGAATAAAGAAGTAGAATAAGGAACAGAGAATTTATCCTTTCAGACAACTTTTTCCTTTGGCTTCCTGGACACCACTGCTTTGTGGTTCCCCTACCTCCTGCTGGCTGCTCCTTCTTCTTTCTGTGGGATTCTCCTCTTCTCCTTCTCAGGTCTTGATCCTCTTCTTCCCTCCATCCATGAGGCTCCTTGGGTAAACCAATCCAATCCCATGACTGTTAATACTGTTCATATGTTGATGATTTTCAAATTTATATTTCCAGCTTGGACCTTTCCCTTGAACCCAGATTCTATATTCAGCTGCTTTATCAATGTCTCTATGTGGAGATCTGATATAATTTGGATCTGTGTCACCACCCAAATCTCATGTTGAAATGTAATCCCCAGCTGGGTGCAGTGGCTCATGCCTGTAATCCCAGCACTTTGGGAGGCAGAAGTGGGAAGATCACCTGAGGTCTGGAGTTCGAGACAAGCCTAGCCAACATGGTGAAATCCCATCTCTACTGAAAATACAAAAATTAGCCAGGAATGGTGGCACATGCCTGTAATCCCAGCTACTCAGGAGGCTGAGGTATGAGAATCACTTGAACCTGGGAGGCAGAGGTTGCAGTAAGCCGAGATCGCGCCTCTGCCCTCCAGCCTGGGCGACAGAGTGAGACACCATCTCAAAAAAAATAAAAAGAAAAAAAGAAATGCAATCCCCAATGTTGGAGGTGGGGCCTGGTGGGAGGTAACTGGATCAGGAGGGCAGATTTCTCATGAATGGTTTAGCACCATCCTCTTGGTGCTGTCCTTGTGATAGTGAGTGAATCCTCATGAGATCTGGTTGTCTGAAAGTGCGTGGCACCTTCCCTCACTCTCTTGCCTTGGCCATGTGACGTGCCTGCTCCCCCTTTGCCTTCCACCATGACTGTAAGTTTCCTGAGGCCTCCCCACAACCAAGCAGATGCCAGCACCATGCTTCCTGTACAGCCTGCAGAACCATGAGCCAATTAAACCTCTTTTCTTTATAAATTACCCAGCCTCAGGTATTTATAAAAGCAGTGCAGCTTTATGCTGCACTTTATGCTGATAGTGCAGCATAATTGACAGTGGCCCCAGCTCCTGCACCTGAAATCTTGATCCCTGTGTTCTTGCTGAGGCTGGGTGTCCCAAAGGCTACTCCCAGCTAATGACTTGAGTGTGGCAGGAACACAGGAGCAGGCCCATTACTGGGAGATGGGAGACTCCTCTGATGGGTAGTTTGGGCTCAAGGACTCCCTACTGGCCTTGCCAAACTTTCACAGAGCTGTACTGTAGTCTCCAAGTCTCCCGTCCATCCTTTTGCCCTCCCTCTGTCTATTACCAGGGTCAGACCTGCATTGCAGTCTGAAAGCTCTCAAACCCTATTCTGGCACCCTCTCCATCTCCCCTCACAGGTGTTCCTCTTAATAAATCTCTTGCACATCTTCTAGTTAGTTGGACTGCTTCTGCAGTTACAGTCCTGTAGTCTCTTCACGCAGCAGCCAGAAGTGATCAAGCTAAAACCAAATTCCTTTCCATCTCCTGTAGGCACCATGCAGTCTGGCCGCTGCTTCTCCATGGATCCCATCTCCTCTTGGACTCTGCTGTGGCTACACAAGTCTCCTGGATGTGTCTGGACCTACTAGGTTTGGTTAACTTGCCTTTGCACTAGTCTTCCTCTCCGGAATATTTCTGTCCCAGATACATACATAGCTTGACCCCTCTACTTATTCGTGTTCGCTATCCTCTTACCCTGCTTCATTTTCTCTTCACTACATTTAGTCACCATTTGATATATTATATCTCTTTTGTTTATTGATTCTCATCCCCAATTACAATGCAAGTGCCATGAAAACATAGACTTCGTATGTCTTATTTATTCCCATATGCCCAACAACCAAAAAATGTACCTGGCACATAATAAGTACTCAGTAAGTTTTGCTGAATGAATGAATGAATTTTTACTAAGAACCATTTATAGGTTCATTTAAAAAATCAAAGGAATTTACAAATGTAAGTTTGATTATGAACATCTGAGGTTTCTGAAAAATGAGATACAACTAGAAAAATGAGTAACATCAGTAATTGAGGATACATATTTGTGTTTTTTGGGGTTTCTTGATGCTGATGTTTTTTAATGCTGAAATTTTGTAAAATAAAATTCAAACTACATACTAATCACTAACCTTTTTAATATAAAATAGTACTTTATCTAAAGCAAGCTTGACCCACAGTTAATTAGCTGGATCATAGCCAGGAAAGTGCTAAAATGTCAAGGAAGTGAAAATTGTCTTTCTTTGACTCTCAGGAGTACAAGTAAAACCAGGGAATAGCTGGCAAATCTATTTTTTTCAAGTATAGTGAGAAAAAATACAGGAAAACATTCAAGAATCTCCCTAATGCTGAGAATATATGACAGCAAATTAACTTCCTGGCTGTAATGAGGAATAATTGGACATACATCTGAATTTTTATGAGATTTAAGGAAATTGAAAGCTTGAACACACTTGAGATTAATTTTTTAAAAAACTCCATGTTCTAATGAAACTTAAACCAACCCTCTCACTTTTCTAGTTCTATTTTTAAGGAAGAAAAAAATAAAAATATCATATAATCACATTTTTTAAAAACTGAGACCCAGATTATAAATCAAAGGGTCACACAAACATTCTTTGACCTAATAGTCATGCGCATACAAATGGTAGCGTCTATGGCATGCAAATAGAAGACACAAAGTGCCTTTCTGGCAGTCTGCCCTTCTCTGAATATTACATTTAGAGGGAATAGGCAGAATGCAGACACTAGACCCTGTCACTCATTCACCGCACAAAAAGGTCAGACTTACATTGAAGTGCTTAAGTGGGATAACTAATACCAGGTCCACTATGCCATCCTTGTCAAGTGGTCAAAAGAAGCCTAGTAGAAATTACACTTCTGGGCTGGGTGCAGTAGCCCACACCTGTAATCTCCGCACTTTGGGAGGCCGAAGTGGGCGGATCACCTGAGGTCAGGAGTTTGAGACCAGCCTGGCCAAAATGGTGAAACCCTGTCTCTACTAAAAATATTAAAAAACTAGCCAGGCGTGGTGGCACGAGCCTGTAGTATCAGCCACTTGGGAGGCTGAGGCAGGAGAATTGCTTGAACACGGGAGGCAAAGGTTGCAGTGAGCTGAGATCACACCATTGTACTCCAGTCTGGGCAACAAGAGCGAGACTCCATCTCAAAAAAAAAAAAAAAGAAATTACATTTCTGGTTTTACCACTCAGTGGTCGCACAAACCTGAATTAATCCTCTCAATTCTTCCAGAAATTGTGGCAAAAAGATATAAGCCTGCCTTAGAAATACTTGCATATTACTATATGGTAGGGATGTAAAATTACTTATCATACTAAATATTATTCCATATTCCATGAGAAAGCATGTCCTTGTTTTTATTTTATTTTGCCTATAAAAAAGCCAAACTATGACCTATTCAGTATTTTCAGGTAGTTATTACCACCTCCTGAATTTATGGGCATCCACTACAAAAGGAGGCCAAGATATCCTCAGATATGTGTGATCTTACAGAACCTTGACTTGAGAGGCAGGAGCCCTGTGTTCTCACTTCATGTTGGCCACTAACTAGCTTTGTGACTTTGGGTAAGCTTCAAAATTTTTCAGTATTATTTATCTATTGCTGCTTAACAAATTACCCCAAGCATAGAGGCTTAAAACAACAAACATATTATCTCACAGTTTCTGTGGGTTGGGAATTCAGGAGTGGCGTAACAGGTCCCACAGGGCTCAGGGATTCTCAAGAGGTTGCGATAAAGATGTCAGCTGGAACTGCTGTCATCTGAAGGCTTGACTGGAGCTGGGGGATCTACTTCTAAGCTCACTCACATGGTTGCTGGCAAGAGGCTTCAGTTCCTTGCCATGTGGGTCTCTCCAGGGTTGTTTGTGATATGTCAGTTGGCTTTCCCCAGAGTGAAGACCCAAGAGCAAGAGGGCAACTAGACAAGAGTGAACACTAGCCTTTAAACCTAATCTCAGACATAACATACTTCTGCTGTATTCTACCCTTCACATAAACTGACCCTGGTACACTGCAGGAGGGTACTACACAAGGGTGTGAATACCATAAAGTGGGGCTCACTGGGGAATATCTTGGAGGCTGGCTACCACTCTCTGACCCCAGTTTCCTTATCTATAGAAGTCTTTGAACTACATGATCTTTAAGGTTGGTAATCTCCTCCCTCCCCACTGCTACTCCCAGACCTTGCTTTTCCACTGTCATGTCAAAATTCCTACTCCTTTTAGCTTTAAGCCATTTGGCTATACCAACCTCCACCCCACCTTGTTGCTGTTACTTGTAGACTTCTGGGCCATGGGACAGTTGTTCTCCTCACTCCAAGTCCTGCCATCATCTTACGACCTGCATATCCTCATGGGTGACCCATCCCAAACCGTGAACTTTCAGCTTCTTGACCTCATCATCTCTAATGCCTTTCCCATACACTCCATTTCAATACCCATCCTCCACATCAACATCCTAAATTTGCCATCAACAAAACTGTCCAACTTCATAAACAATAAATCCAATCATCTCACTCTCTCACCGTAACTTCCTATTCTTCCAATTATCTCATCAACTATTCCCAAGAGATGGGTCCCCAGACGTTGTTGGAACCTCCAAAAAATTGTCACATCTACTTTCTCCATATCAACTCCCTCCTGTTTTCATTTCCACTTCATATTAGATTTTAAGTTCCATCACTTGAGCCACTTTCTGAATAGATTCTTCAACTCCTTTAACTCATAGTCCCTTCTTCATACCTGAATGGAAAAACCTTATTTCTGATTGATTTCAAATGACTATCTTTCTATTACCTACAACCAGGTTACCAAAGGTTGCTGGAGAAAATCACATAACAGTATAGATTGGATACATAGTCATCAAATTCCAAAGCTGCCCACTAGTTCCACAGTCAATGTTTCCCTAGGTAGCACTCTTACACACACTTAGTGTCTCTCTCATTCAATGGGCTCAAAATTCCATTCCCTTGTATCTTCTCAGAAACTCTGATTTTTTTAACCCAGTGCAATCTCACTTCCACCTTCCTGTCTTTCCTGCAGTAATCCCTTCCTTATTTTATTCCTCTATTGATTTCCTCCTTTGAAAAAAACTATGCTATTCAATATGGTAGCCACTAGCCACATGTGGCTATTGAGCACTTGAAATACAGGAAGTCTCAACTGATAAATACTCAGCAAGTTTCAAAGACTTAATATAAAAAGGTAGATTAGCTCATTACATGTTGATTTATGGCCTTCTGGGGCTAAAGTGGGACAGGACAGTTAGATTGGCCTATAATTCCTAAATATTCCACTCTGTGACCTGGTATTATGAAGTTATCTTATCTACTTTATCTGAGTAACATAACACATTTTTGTCCATATATACACAAGGTTAAATTTCTCACAAAGTTGAACTGACTATAAAAAAACTGTCATTATTTGTGAAGTAAAATAAATTACTTATTTGCTATTTTACTATTAACTATGTCCACAAAGCAGGTAACTGTATAATGACTATGTTACTATGTTTTTATCCAACGAAGTTAAGTGCAACTAATTTGCCTTATATATTTTTTATATAATAATGTGCTATTGGCCGGGCGCGGTGGCTCATGCCTGTAATCCCAGCACTTTGGGAGGCTGAGGCAGGCAGATCACCTGAGGTCAGGAGTTCGAGACCAGCCTGGCCAACATGGCGAAACCCCATCTCTACTAAAAATACAAAAATTAGCTGGGTGTGGTGGTGCGCGCCTGTAGTCCCAGCTACTTACTCAGAGGCTGAGGCAGAAGAATCATTTGAACCCAGGAGGCAGAGGTTGCAGTGAGCCAAGATTGCACCACTTCACTCCAGACTGGGCGACAAAGCAAGACTCTGTTTTAAAAAAAAAAACAACATGGTAGTACAGGCTGGGCACAGTGGCTCACACCTGTAATCCCAGCACTTTGGGAAGCTGAGGCAGGAGGATTGCTTGAGCCCAGGAGTTCAAGACCAGCCTGGGCAAGATGATGAGACCCCCCCCCCATGTCTACAAAAATTTAAAAAAAAAATTAGCCAGGCATGGTGGTGCACATCTATAGTCCCAGCTACTTGGGAAGCCGAGGTGGGAGGATCACTTGAGCCTGGAGTTCGAGGATGCTGTGAGCTATGCTCATGCCACTGCACTCCAGCCTGGGTGACAAAGCAAGACCCTGTCTCTATAAAAAACAAACAAACCAAAAGATAGTAGTAGTACAGTATATATGTATTTTTTTTAATTAATTTTTTTTTTTGAGACGGAGTCTCGCTCTGTCGCCAGGCTGGAGTGCAGTGGCGCGATCTCAGCTCACTGTAACCTCCACCTTCTGGATTCAAGCGATTCTCCTGCCTCAGCCTCCCAAGTAGCTGGGACTACAGGTGCGTGCCACCAAGCCCAGCTAGTTTTTTTATTTTTAGTAGAGATGGGGTGGGTCTCACCATATTGGCCAGGATGGTCTCAATCTTTTGACCTCATGATCTGCCCACCTCAGCCTCCCAAAGTGTTGGGATTACACGCATGAGCCACTGTGTCCAGCCAGTACAGTATACATTAAGTGCTTAAAATAGGCTCGGCACTAGCAATTATTATTGTATTACAGTCAGAAAACATAGTGCAGGTCAATGTTACTCTCCTATGCTGGCATCTCTGCCAATTCCCAGCCTCCAAATCTTGGAGTACCTCTGGGTCATTCCTTGAACCTCTTCTCTTCCTATGAAGGAATGTGATCACCTCTTCACTCCCTTGGTGATGGCATCCAGTTCATGTAGTTAAAATTCCATTTAGGTCCTGACTACTTTCTCATTTATATTTCCACACTGACCTCTCCCATGAGCCCTAGGCTGGTATATCCAACTGCCTCTTCAGCATCTCCATCTGGATATCTAATAGGCATCTGACAGATTGAAAACAGAACTCTTGATCCCCCCCTCCAAAAATCCACTCCTTACCAGTATTTTCCACCATTCACAGTTGTTCAGGCCAAAAATCTTAGCATCATCCTTTGCCTTGCTCTTTCCTCATTCATATCCAATTTTTCAGCAACTCCCACCTGTTCTACCTTTGAAATATATCCAGAGTCCAACTGCCTATCACCACTTCCTCCACTAGTCAAGCCACCATCACTTCTTACTGAAATAATGTGAGCCCCCTATCTGGACTCCCTGCTTCCATTCTTGCCTTTCCCACAGTCTATTTGCCACATGGCATCATCTGGAATGATTTTTTTTTTGAGACAGGGTCTCACTCTGTTGTCCAAGCTGGAGTGCATGCAGTTGCATCATCTTGGCTCACTGCAACCTCTGCTTCCCAGGCTCAAGTGATTCTCCAGGCTCAGCCTCCTGAGTAGCTGGGAATACAGGCATCAGCCACCACACCAGACTAATCTTCGTATTTTTGTAGAGATGGGGTTTTGCCATTTTGCCCAGGCTGGTCTCGAACCCCTGAGCTCAAAGCAATCCACCTGCCTCAGCCTACCAAAGTGCTGAGATTACAGGTGTGAGTCACCGCAGCCAGCCCAGAATAATGTTTTTAATGTAAAAAAAATTGAGTGTGTTTGTTCAAAACCCTCAAATGGCTTCTAGTTTCACTCAAAATAATATCCAAAATTCCTATGCCCTTACCTGATGGTAAGATCCTGTGACAGTCTTAATGGAGAGGATACTGCCATATCCTAGGAGATGTTTTGGAAATTTGTGGAGGACTATAGGATTCAGGAGACAGTATTCGACATCCTGTAATATACAGGAAAGTCCTATAAAAGTAAGAATTCTCTCTTGTCCTATATAACTTTTACATCTCTGGCAGGATATCCATGTAGGTGAAGAAACCATTTACTATTAGGTGAGTATTTAATATGCAATACAATTTCCAGGAATGCACCATTCTGTAAATTAAGGGGAAATGGTACATTATTTTTTGGAATATTACCAAAAGTTGCTCACTACTTTGGAAAATAATATTATTTTTGGCAACACCACTCTTATTATTTGCATCACCAGTATAACATACCTGAATACAGTTGACCCGTGAACAACATGGGGGTTAAGGGACAGTTGAAAATCCACATATAAGGCTGGGCATGGTGGCTAATACCTGTAATCCCAGCACTCTGGGAGGCCAAGGTGGGCTGATCATTTGAGATTAGTAGTTTGAGACTAGCCTGGCAACATGGTGAAGCCCCATCTCTACTAAAAATACAAAAATTAGCCAGGCATGGCGCATGCCTGTAATCCCAGCTACTTGGAAGGCTAAGACAGGAGAATTGCTTGAACCAGAAAGTGGAGGTTGTAATCAGCCGAGATCATGCCATTGCACTCCAGCCTGGGTGACAAGAGCAAGACTCCAACTCAATAAATAAAAAACAAAAAAAAAGAAAAGAAAAGAAAAAGAGAATCCACATAAAACTTTTGACTGCCCTGAAACTTAACTACTAATAGCCTACTGTTGACTAGAAGCCTTACCAATAATACAAACAGTTGATTAACACACATTTTGTATGGTATATATACATTACATACTGCATTCTTATAATAAAGTAAGCCAGAGAAAAGGAAATATCATTTAGAAAATGATGCCAGGGGTAGTGGTTCATGTTTGTAATCCCAGCAGTTTGGGAAGCTGAGGCGGGAGGATCACTTGACAACAAGAGTCCTAGACCAGCCTGGACAACATAGCAAAACCCTGTCTCTATTAAAAAAAAAATTTAAAACCAAGATCATCATAAGGAAAAGAAAATATATTTACCATGTATTAAATGGAAGTGGATCATCACAAAGGTCCTTGTCATCTTTACATTGAGTACGCGGAGGAAGAGAAGGGGTTGGTCTTGCTATCTCAGGAGAGGCAGAGGCAGAAAAAAATCCACATAAAAGTGGGCCCACACAGTTCAAACCCATGTTGTTTAACGGCCAACCGTATTTATAGCTGCCCCACCTATAGACATGCTGACTCCACATATAAACATCTGTTTCACCACATCCTTTACTGTAACTGAGTCTCTGTAGTTATGTGTTAAAACACTCATAATTGTATTCCACCAGCTCTAAATCCACCCTTGTAAATTCTGCTTTGTGGTCCGGGTCTGGGAGCCTGCAAACTGTTCCTTTTTTGCCAGGTAGTTCTCTGTTTGGTTCTGCCCATAGCGGGTGCTAGAGTAGAAGGCAGAAGCCGGGACTGCCTCTCCTGCTCTATGCTGTTCCCATCAGTGTTACCTCAGCAACAGCACTTTCCTCTGTGCAGTGTTGGCTCTAGTCTCTCACTTTTTTTGGCACTTCCAAAATTAGCTTTAAGGTGCCCCCTCTGAGGTACCAGTACCAGCAGGGCAGGACCTCTTCCTCAGGGATCTAAGTCCCGGCTCTGTGGGACCCTCCGCCGAGCCTCTAGTTTCTAAAAAACACAAACTTCTCTTCTTCCCTTTGTTCCCCTGGAAGTTTATGATTTCTGGACCTTGATGTCTGCCTGTCACTTTTTTTAAGCAAAAATCCCATGGAACTCTTTTTTTTTTTTTTTTTTTTTTTTTGAGATGGGGTCTCACTCTGTCACCCAGGCTGCAGTGCAGTGGCACTGCAACTTCTGCCTCCTGGGCTCAGGTGATCCTCTGCCTCAACCTCCTGAGTTGCTGGGACCACAGGTGCAAGCCACCATATCCAGCTAATTTCTTTGTGTGTGTGTGAGTGTGTAAAATAAAAATACATTTTGCCATGTTGGCCAGGCTGGTCTCAAACTCCTGACCTCAAGTGATCCACCTGCCTCGGCCTCCTAAAGTGCTGGAATTACAGGCATGAGCCACCGCGCTCAGCCCATAACACATTTCTTATATTAAATTCTCTCTGCTGAAATGACTAGTGTGGTTTCTGTTTCCTGAGTACACCCTAACCAATGTGGTACCTGGTGATAGAGTACTCCCAGGAAATAAACTCTCAAAAAATGGGATTTAGGATTGTTTGGTTATGTCTTCAACTTTGAAAGCAGTACTGAACTCTTTGTTAATTGGAAATTGGAAATTGGAATCTAATGGTCTGCAGATATGCAGGGCATATGAGGAACTAAATTATCACCTGTAGTGGTTTGTGTGAAGTTTCTACTGAAACAAGTGGCTTGAAAGACCAAGTGGCTATGGCACTTGATGGCTATGGTAGTAATAAAGACTGTAAGAATCATGGGGTGGATTCGCTGCTTCTGACTACACTAAAGAGAATACAGAAAAAAAAATAACACAATCAGGGTTAGTGTTTTTTGTTTTGTTTTGTTTTGCTTTTTGTTGTTGTTTTTTTTTAATGGAGTCTTGCAACGTTGTCCAGGCTGGCCTCAAACTCCTGTGCTCAGGGGATCCTTCCACCTCAGCCCCCTGAGTAGCTGAGATTACAGGTGTACAGCACTGCACCCAGCTTAAAACCAGGATTTTAAAGATTCATCTCAGGCTAGGCATGGTGGCTCACACCTGTAATCCCAGCACTTTTGGAGGCCGAGGCAGGTGGATCACTTGAGGTCAGGAGTTTGAGAGCAGCCTGGACAACATGGCGAAACCCCATCTCTTCTAAAAATACAAGAATTAGCCAGGTGTGGTGGCAGGTGCCTGTAATCCCAGCTGTTTGGGAGGCTGATGCAAGAAATCACTTGAACCAGGAGGTGGAGGTTGCAGTGAACCAAGATCAGGCCACTGCACTCCAGCCTGGGCAACAGGATGACACTCTGTCTCAAAAAAAAAAAGATTCATCTCAAATCACAAAGAACTACAGAGGATCCATGGTGGCCCTAAGATAATCTACTATCTTTTTTTATAGCTATAGAGTCAAACTTACTGAAAATCAGACTCAAAATTTAGTCGTCTGGGTTGCAAAATGATAACTTCAGTTGAATTCACAGACTTGTCATAAGACATGCTGTCTTATGTTATACTTATGACATTCAGAGGGAGTAGACCAGAGATTTGGAATGGGGTCCTCTTGGTGTAACTGAACAAAGTTGAAAATCTTTAACTCCCAAGTCTCTCCAAGCCTCTCTTGCAGGAAGAAACAGTCTAACCTCCTGCCGGACGCGGTGGCTCACACTTGTAATCCCGGCACTTTGGGAGGCCGAGGTGGGTAGATTATGAGGTAAAGAGATCGAGACCATCCTGGCTAACACGGTGAAACCCCGTCTCTACTAAAAAATACAAAAAATCATTTGGGCGTGATGGTGGGCACCTGCAGTCCCAGCTACTCGGGAGGCTGAGGCAGGAGAATGGCGGGAACCTGGGAGGCGGAGCTTGCAGTGAGCCGAGATCGCCCCACTGCACTCCAGCCTGGGCAACAGAGCAAGACTTGTGGGGTGGGGGGAGGGGGGAGGGATAGCATTAGGAGATATACCTAATGCTAAATGACGAGTTAATGGGTGCAGCACACCAACATGGCACATGTATACATATGTAACAAACCTGCACATTGTGCACATGTACCCTAAAACTTAAAGTATAATAAAATAAAAGAAAAAGAAAAAGAAACAGTCTACCCTCCTGTGTGTCTGAGGAGAAGAGGTTTCCTTAAAGATCCTGTATAGCTTAGGGAAGACGCCTTGCAAAGAGATGCCTATCCTTCTCAAGACCCCCCCTGACCACCCCTGAATGACTCTAGACTCATAACTGGAGTCAAATATCAGGATCCTCTAAGGAGATGAGTGTTAAGTTTAACCCAGGAAGACATAGCTTATATGCTGAAAGAATTTCCAGATTTTTCTAATATGTAGAGAGACTGGGAATTATGTAGAGAAAACCTAGGAAATATGTTAGAAATGAAGTTGACAAGTGTACTCGAAAAGGAAAGACATAAAATTAGATCATATCAAATGTACTCACATGAATGCATTTACAAGAGATTCTGGGTTTAAGGTGCGTGAACTAGCACAGCTGGAAGCGGCTCTAACACTTTGCTTGGTTGACTGATTGAACTTTGGGCTCAACGTTCTAAAAGTTGACCTGTTAGAATGTCCTTGGCATAGACATGGAGGAGTGTACCCACAGATCAGAGGAACAGAATGCGAAACTCGTTTATCATTTGCAACATGCATATCCATCCCCCATTATATCCTTCTGGAAGGCTAAGAAGGCACTCTGTTCATTTGCCATAAGAAATGCATTAATGAAGTGAGAGCAAGCATCCTTGAAAAGCTCCATGATGGTGAGATGATAGTAGGACAGGCTGCCAATGAGAGAGTGGAAACGATGGGATTCAGAAGAGATACAGGCCAAGTGGAAGCACTTAACTAACAGAAACATGGTAGAGGAAATAACTGTAATGACAGCAGAAAGTACTGGAATATAATCAAAATGTCTTAATCTAGCAGACTATGGATCATGATACATCTAGGAATGAAATAAATGGTCAGCCTACTGAAGTATCACTTGATCAATACAACAGTAAGAACTCTAGATCTGGTGGCTAGAAATCTGAGTCAAATTACATTAAAGTCTTGGCCTCTTACCAAGTTTCTAGATGTTAGGCAGCTCTTGAATCCAGGGTCTCTTGAGTGATGGGGAGGCTAGGTCCTCTTGAGGAAAGACTGTACAAAAATGTCAAAGGAATATACTATACACCTTCCTCCAAGTCATTCCCAAAGGGGCCTGTGGACATTTTTCTAAGGTTACCATACACTAGAGAAAGAACACCCCAGTCTTTTGAGAAATTCTAGACACTAGCCCTAAACTGATACCATTTCTTGAAGATCCATAATAATACTGTATTCCACCAAAGTGGTGAACTTACAATGTTCATGTAATAAATAGTATTTTGGCCTAAGTTCATCTACATGCCCATCCTATGGTGATTTCCCCAGTCTCTGGCTGTATAATTAGAATAGACATCCTTGGCAACAGGCAGAATCCCTGCAATGGTTCCTTGACTGGTGAAGTAAAGACTGTTATGGTAGGAAGGTTGACGTGGAAGCCCTTGAAACTTTTTCTTCCCATCAAAATCATAAACCAAAAGCAAAACTGCATCCCTGAAGGTAACTGCAGAGATTTATGCAAAAATTAAAGATGTGATACAGGTCTGGTGATTACTATTATATTCCCATTTATTTCACTGTCTGGCCTATACAGAAGGTAAATAGGTCTTGGAAAATGACTGTGAATAATCATATACTTAATCAAGTGGTAACTCCAACCTCAATTGTTGTTCTACTCTGTTTTCTTTATTGAAGCAAATCAACAGAGTCCCAGCACCTGGCATGTAGCTATTGCTCTGGCAAGTGCTTTTTATTCTCTATTACCAATTTGCGAGGACCACTAGAAGAAATACGGTTTTTAGGGGCATCTTATGATTTTATCTTAGGGCTATGCCAACTTTCCTGCTGTCAGCATTTTTTTTTTTTTTTTTTGAGACAGGCTAGAGTGCAGTTGCATGATCTCAACTCACTATAACCTCTGCCTCCCGGGTTCAAACGATTCTCCTGCCTCAGCCTCCCAGGTAGCTGGGTCTACAGGCATGAGCCACCATGCCTGGCTAATTTTTGTATTTTTAGTAGAGACAGGGTTTCACCGTGTTGGCCAGGCTGGTCTTGAACTCCTGACCTCAAGTGATCCACCCGCCTCAGCCTCCCAAAGTGCTGGGATTTACGGGTGTGAGCCACTTTGCCCAGCCTCCTGCTGTCAGCTTTAATCTCGTCTGCAGAAATTTCGATCATCTTGACACTCTATAGAACGTCACAATGATCTACTGCATTATGCTAATTTTACCTAATAAGCAAAGTGATGGCATTATTCTGATTGGACTTAATAAGCAGAAAGTAGCAAACACCTTAGATGTCTTATTAAGGCACACTAGAGACAGAGGGTTGAAGGAAACCTCCATGGGTATTCCAAGGCCTACGCTGAATTTCTAGGGATTCAGTGGTTTGGAACACGTCAGGATATCTCCTTCAAAATGAAATATAAGTTACTATACCTCGTATTGTGTATTACTAAAAAGAAGACACAATGATTTGAGGGCTTTCTTGAATTTTTGGAGATATTATGTGCTATTATTGTACGCCACTCCAACCCATTTTCCCAGTTGCCTATAAGGCTGTTGGTTCTGAGTAGAGAATAGAGCAAAAGAAGGTTATGGAGTAGATCCAGGATGTAATGCAGGCTGCCTTGCCCATTGGGCTTGATGACTCAACAGAGCCAGTGATGCTCAGTGTCTGTGGCATACAGGGATGTTATATGGAGTCTATGACAAACCCCAGTAGGAAGGTCCACAGGTCTCTGGAGCAAAGCCACACCCTCTTCTACTATAATGATTCCTATTTTGAGAAAAAGCTCCTGTATTACCACTAGGCCTAAATATGGGACATTAAGTAATCGTGCAACCCAAGCTGCCATCATGAACACTGGTATCTGACCCACCAAAGCATAATGTTGAATATGGATAACAGCAATCCTTCATTCAGTGGAAACAGCATATAAGAAATTAGGCTCAAGTAGGTTCAGAATGTACAAGTTGCATGAGCAAGTGACTCAATATCTTACAACACTTACTCCTGAGGTCTTGCTGCCTCTCCTTCAGTCCATGCCTATGGTCTCATGAGAGGATTCTTCTTCATCAGCTAAGAGGAAAAAAACTAAGGCCTGGTTTACAGATACTGCTTCATGACATGCTGGCACCAACCAGAAGAGGACTCCTGCAACGTTTCAACACCAAGGAGTGTCCTTAAAAAAGAAGAGAGAAATAAAATCCTCCCAGTGGGCAAAACATCAAACAGTACATTTGGTTGTTTTGCTTTTTCTGGGCCAAGAGATGGTCACAGATATGGATCTATAGTGATTCATGAAGAGTATGAAATAAGACTGGAATGTCTTCTGCCAGAAAGCAAGAAAATGCTCAAAGAAGGATGGTGACATGTGAAAAAAAAAAGCCAGCCATCCTGGAGGGACTCCCACTGGCTAAAATTTGAATATCAAATAATAACATGAAGACAAAGAAGAGGAAGAGTGCAGTGGCTCACGCCTGGAATCCCAGCACCTTGAGAGGCTGAGGCAGGCAGATCACTTGAGGTCAGGAGTTTGAGACCAGCCTGGACAATATGGTGAAACCCCATCTCTACTAAAAATACAAAAAAAAAATTAGCCAGGTGTGGTGACATGCACCTGTAATTCCAGCTACTAGGGAGGCTGAGGCAGGAGAATTGCTTGAACCTAGGAGGCAGAGTTTGCAGTGAGCTGAGATTGAGCCATTGCCCTCTAGCCTGGGTGACATAGAGAGACTCCATCTCCAAAAAAAAAAAAAAAAAATGACAAAGAAGAAAAAATAATAGTAACGGTTTATAACCCCTTGATTAAAACAAGAAACTGTAAGTCCGTAGTGATAGAATTAAATTGAAAGTTTGACAAAGGACAGGATACTTACATACATAGGAAAAGTGTAATTTAACAGTGGAGAAGTCTGGCGGTCTCCACTTTAACCAAGATATCAAATTGAAAATAGGTGGCCAGGTGTGGTGGCTCACGACTGTAATCCCAGCACTTTGGGAGGCCAATGAGGGCAGATCACTTGAGGTCAGGAGTTTGAGACCAGCCTGACCAACATGGTGAAACCCCATCTCTACTAAAAATTAAAAAAAAAAAATTTAAAAATTAGCCAGGTGTGGTGACACATACCTGTAATCCCACCTATTTGGGAGGCTGATTGAGAAGAATCGCTCAAATGCAGGAGACAGAGGTTGCAGTGAGCTGAGATCATGCCATTGCACTCCAGCCTGGGTGACAAGAGCAAAACTCCATCTCAAAAAAAGAAAGAAAGAAGGAAAGAAAATAGGTGCCACCTGATGGGATGTACAGGAAGAAAATGTTTCTCTCTGATAGGCCTTCCAGGAATGCACATCTGAATCTAATTATGAGAAAACACTGGGAACCTAAATTAAAGGCCATTTGACAAAATAACCAGCCTATAATCTTCAAGAATGTCAAGTCATGAAAGTCAAGGAAAGACCAAGAAACTGTTCCAGACTGAAGGACACTAAAGAGGCATGACAACTAAATATACCATGGGATTCTGAACTGGATCCTTTTACTATAAAGGATATTGAAACAACTGGTGAAATATGAAGTGGGGTCTGCAGATCAGATAACAGCAATTTCAACATTGATACTGATTTCAATACACAGATGCTGGTTATTGTAGTGCGTTGAATGGTGGCCCCCGAAAAGATATGTGTTCATCTTAATCTCTGAAACCTGTGACCTCATTTGAAAAAAGTATCTTTGCAGATGTAATTAACTTAAGAATCTTGAGATGAGATCATTCTGGATTATCTAGGTGAGCTGTAAATCCAGTGACAAGTGTCCTTATAAGAGACACACAGAGAAGAGAAGACGCAAGATGAGAATGCCACGTGAAGAGGGGGGCAGAAATTAGAGCGATGCAGCCACAAGCCAAGGAGTGCTTGGAGCTACCAAAAGCTGGAATGGGCAAGGAAGGATCCTCCCCTGGAGCCTTGGGGCTTAGGGGAGGCACAGCCCTGCTGACACCTTCATTTCAGATTTCTGGCCTCCAGACTATGAGAAAATAAATTTCTGTTTTTTTAAGCCATCAGGTTTGTGGTAATTTGTTATGATGGCCCCAGGAAACTAATATAATTGCATTGCGGTTACGTCAAAGAATGTTCTTGTTTGCAGGAAATACACACTAAAGTACATAGGAGTGATAGACATAATGTCAGCAGCTTACCCTCAAACAGTTCAGGTGTTTTGAACTGTATTTACACCTCTATTATAATTTTTAAATTGTTTTGAAATTTTAAAACTATTTTAAAACATTACTAGAGCAGTTGCCAGATCATGGAGGTTAGCAAGATTGCAATTTCCCAAGACCACTCCAAGCCATGCCTTGGTGATGGCCCAGACTCCAAAGGATATGGGAATCACAGAGTATAAATAAAGAGTAATAAATCAAGTGTTGGAGTTTGCCTTCCAATATGTGTCTGCAATTCTAGACTATGCAAAAATTTATTCAAGCCATCCTAAGAAACCTCCTCTCGAGGGAGATAATGTGAGACTAGTGACCCAGTGTTGCGAAGACCTATTTCTCCCCCCAAGACATTCTTTACCAGATATTACTTTTGGCAGCCAATTCTCCATGGCATTTCAACTTACCCTGGACTAGCTTTACGAGGATGTGTGTGTAGCATAGTGTCTCTTTCCAGGTCAGAGGGCCGATGTGTTTCCTGACCAGGATAGTAGAGATAGAGACACCCAGAGACATTCCAGGATAGAAAAGTTTCCTTCTCCTCAGGCAAGATGTGCTTACATTCCAGAATACTTAAAGATAATGTCTCTCTCCAGAGAGGAGGATGGGCAGGTTTGCTAGCAGCCCCCTTATAAGACTGGAGGATTCCTATGCTTAGTGTTTCTCAGTTGTGACACAAACTTGTGTATGTGGCATCTACCTGAGGTTGATCCACACTGACTCCTGTGGGACTTGAGTGCACAGGAAACTGATGGAAGCATGAAGCCTGTTTTAGTCTGTTTTGTGTTGTTACAACAGAATACCACAGACTGGGTAATTAATTAAAAAGAAATTTATTTCTCATAGTTCTGGAGGCTGGGAAGTTCAATATGAAGACAATAGCATGTGGCGAGGGCCTTCTTGCTGCATCGTCCCATGGCAGAAGGTGGGAGGGCAAGAGAGCATGAGAGTGTGAGAGAAAGGGCTGAACTCCAAATCCTTTTTTTTTTTTTTTTTTTTTGAGGCAGAGTCTAGGTCTGTCACCCAGGCTGGAGTGCAGTGGCACGATCTCAGCTCACTGCAACCTCTGCCTCCTGGGTTCAACCAATTCTCCTGTCTCAGCCTCCTGAGTAGCTGGGAAACCACAGGTGCGTGTCACCACGCCAAGATAATTTTTGCATTTTTAGTAGAGACAGGGTTTCACCGTGTTGGCCAGGCTGGTCTCGAACTCCTGGCCTCAGTGATCCGCCCGCCTCAGCCTCCCGAAGTGCTGAGATTACAGGCGTGAGCCACCGCACCTGGCCTGAACTCCCTTTTATAATAATCTCACTTTGACAATAACCTACTTCTGCAATAATGACATGAATCCATTCATGAGGACAGAGCCCTCATGACCTAATCATCTCTTATTAGGCCCCACCTCCCAACACTGTTGCACTGGGGATTAAGTTTGCAACACATGAACTTTGGGGGCACACATGCAAACCAGAGGAAAGCTCATACTTCCTGCTGTGACCCAAGTAATAAAGTTTCTAATTCCCCCTTGGACTTGTTTCCTTCCCAGCCACATCTATGGAAGTATGACAAGCAAACCTATCAGCCTCCCAACACCCTGCTGCTTAGGAACCGCCTGACTTCTTAACCATTACAAGATGGAAAAATCAAACCCCTTTATTTATTGATTAAGCCATATGCAGAACCTAGATTGTTACCTGACAGATACTGCTTAATAGCTCCAAACTACAGACTGAAGTCCTCACTTTAAAAGGGATCATTCTGAAGATCAGTTTCACAGCTAAGGGTCAGTGCTGCTAGTAGCACACCTACTACTCCTGTTATCTGTACCATAGCTCCTTAAACAGTGACAGCATCAATTCGAAAGTTCACAGTATAGATTTCACTTTCACAGTCCACACCTGTGAAGTCACTTCCTGCAACAATGGCAGTTCAAAACTGTTCTCATTAAGCCAATGGCAGTTCAAAACTGTTCTCATTAAGCCACCTAATATTGGGACCCAAAAATTCTTATCACCATCAACATAGTTTCAGGATAAAATGCAATGGATGACTCAAATCCATTTGAAAAGAAAATTCAATAAAATACAATGATAAGTACTCTACCACATGTAAAAACTATGGTCTCACCTTGATGCATTTCAGGGTAATAAAATGAAGGACGCTAGATCTCCTCAAGCTGTATCTTAGAAAACTTAAACGTAACTGCCAAAACCTATGACACTGGTTTTATAGGGTATGAGTGGAAAAAAAAAAACAGAAGGAATAATGGAAGGAAAAAATCACACTTCCCTAAATACAATTTTACCATTTTGTATAGGTCTATGTTAGTCAATATTCAATTAGAGATTCAGAACTATTAGGACCACACATGTGCAGGTGGATTTATTACCGGGATTTGACCACACGCAGTAATGGGGGCTGATAAAGTCTAGAAGGCTGTTGCCTTCATATCTAATGCTGCAGCTTGAAGTCTGCAGGGCAGGCAGTTGGGAAGAAGGCTGTCAGGGGGTGCAAAGCAGCAAGGACAAGATGGAACCCATCTCAGGCTCTCTCTGTCTCCAACCTTCATGATGTGGGTATCCTGCAGGAGAACCCGGTGCTCTTTGTCACAGAGATAAACACACATCTGGTTGAGGATACACAGTCAGATGAGGAGTCAGTGAAGCTGAGGGAAGACCCAGCGAAAGATGGAACAGCTGCAGCCTGCTTCCTGCCCCACACCAAGGAGATAAGCCAGCAGATAAAATAACAATATGCATGGGCCACAAAAGCACCTGGAGACCTTTCCCCAGCCTCTGAGCACAAAAAACAATACTCTTGATATAGTTGCTCCTCCACTCTGTCCTCCAAATCTCACACAAGTACATCTCTTGTGGCACACCCTTAACTGGAAACATAGGGAAGGGAATTATGGGAAATGTAGTTCAGCCTAATCAGATCAACACATTACAAAACCTCCACAGTCCAGCATTTGTCATCTTGGCATGTATCACTTTAAATCACAATTTCCATATGAAGACAATTCAAAATTTGGGCTTCTACTTAACAGAGTACAACTATCTTGTGTACAATTAACAACACATCAACTGTTTTTCCAAAAGAGGCTATAAAATCTCTCTCTTGGTCTTTGGGTGTTCTTTGAGCTAATTCATACTCTCCCTTTGATATTTTGTAGTTTAAATACTGAGAAGATAGGGAAATAAGAGTGGGAAGAAAACAAGTTTTTGAAAAAAATACAATGACAACTACTCTACCACATGTAAAAACTATGGTCTAGCTTTGATGCATTTCAGGGTAATGAAATGGAGCATTCTAGATCATTGCAAGTTTCTACATACAAACAGGCCAAGCATGGTGGCTCATGTCTGTAATATCAGCACTTTAGGCAGCTGAGGTGGGAGGATCACTTGAGCCCAAGAGTTCAGAACCAGCCAGGGCAACATAGTGAGATACCATCTCTACAAAAAATTAAAAATTAAAAAAAGTATATATACAAACATATCCATATCAAAATAAGGAAGAAATACAACTGCACTAGCTCTCATTTCTACAACTGGTCATGTGGTCATATGGTCATAGCTAGTATATACCACCTTCCTTTTTTTTTTAATTCTTTTTTTTTTTTTTTTGAGATGGAGTTTCACTCTTGTTGTCCAGGTTGGAGTGCAATGGCACAATCTTGGCTCACCGCAACCTCTGCCTCCCAGGTTCAAGCGATTCTCCTGCCTCAGCCTCCCGAGTAGCTGGGATTACAGGCATGCACCACCATGCCCGGCTAATTTTGTATTTTTGGTAGAGACGGGGTTTCTTCATGTTGGTGAGGCTGGTCTCGAACTCCCAACCTCAGGTGATCTGCCCGCCTCAGCCTCCCAAAGTGCTGGGATTACAGGCGTGAACCACCGTGCCTGGTCCATATACACCATCTTCTATCACTCATTCCACATCCCTTTGCCCTCAGCGAGCACTCAGCAGGCTGTGATTCCTTGGACCCAAACCATTAGGAGAAAAGCTTGAATTGCATTGTTATCATAAAAGGGACACACATACATAAGAATAAACAGGTCAATCCACCAGGAAGAGACCAAAAGTCAAAATCTGAACATACACATAACATAGCTTCAAAATATTAACATATAAAGCAAAAATCAGCATAACTAAAAGTAGAAAAAGTCACAATAGTGGCTCCACCAGAGTGGGAGCCAATCACACGTCTCAAAAGCTGATAGAACAGGCAGACGAATAATCATTAAGGATACAGAAGATCAGAACCACAATATTAATAAACTTGACTCTGAGAACTTTGCCTCCGACAATGACAAAATACATACCATATGATCCCATTTATATAAAGTTCAAAACAAGGCTGGGCGTGGTGGCTCACACCTTCAATCCCTGCACTTTGGGAGGCTGAGGCAGGCGGACTACTTGAGGCCAGGAGTTCGAGACCAGCCTGGCCAACATGGCGAAACCCCGTCTCTACTAAAAATACGAAAATTAGCCGGGCGTGGTGGTGCATGCCTTTAAACCCAGCTACTGGGGAGGCCGAGGCATGAGAATTGCTTGAACCTGGGAGGCAGAGGTCACAGTGAGCTGAGATCGTGCTACTATACTTCAGCCTAGGCAACAGACTGAGACTCTGTCTTGAAAAATAATAATAATAATAATAATAATAATAATGAGATATAACAGATGAGGCAAATTAATCTATGGTGTTAGAAGTCAGAATATCCAGGTGAGATGTGGCACAAAAAGAGAAAAAATAATAAAATCAAAAAATAAAAAATAGGGCTGGGCACAATGGCTCACACCTGTAATCCCAACACTTTCGGAGGCTGAGGTGGGCGGGTCACCTGAGGTCAGGAGTTGGAGACCAGCCTGGCCAACATGATGAAACCCCATCTCTACTAAAAATACAAAAATAAAAATAAAAAATAAAGAAGTCAGAATAGTGGTAACCCATGGCAAGCGTAATTGACCAGGAAGGGGCACAAAGAGGCTTCTAAGGTTGTGGTATCCTCTCTTTCTTGATCTGGGTGCTGAGTGCCCAGGTGGTTCACTTTGTAAAAATTCATAAAGCTGTACATATATGAATCTGTGTATTTTGTTACACTTCCATTGATATTTTTACATTAAGAAAAGGGGACTTTTGGATAGCATTGAGAATAAACTGCTCTACATGATCTGACATGGCTTACTCTCTACCCGTATATTCAACTAATTTTTCTCCTCAATCACTTATCTACTCCAGCCACACTGGCCTTCCTAAGACATGTCAAACTCTTTCCTATCTCAAGACACTTGCACTCACTCTTCTTCTGTCAGAAATGCTCATCTCTTTCCTATTCACACAGCTAATGTCCTAGCTTCATTCAGATAGCACCTCTTCAGAGAAGACTTACCTGTCCACCTAATTTAAAATAACACTTCCCCAAATCATCTTCTATCCCCTTATTCTATTCTCTTCATAGCATTTATCACTACATGCAATTTTGTGTTTGTTATTGATTTTTCCCACTAGGATATAACTTCCATTTGTGTGGGCAGGTGTATGTTTCGCTCAATTAATTTTGTTAAAAAAATGAATGTGTTTTTAGAATTTCCTTAGGTTTCCTTTGTGGCTTGATACATAATCAAACTTTGTAAATATTCCCTGTATGCTTGAAAATGTGATTTCTTTGATGTGTATAAATTTCTCCATAATGTCTACTTTGAGTTTATTACTCATGTTATTCAAGTAACCCACATTTTTGCTTTTTTCCTGAGTTTGATCTGTCTGATTATATGAGGGGTGAATTAAAAACTCTAAAAATAATAGTTTATTCATCTATTTCCCTCTGCAGTTCTGTCAGTTATTGCTTTATAAATTTTGCATTTATATTAGTAAACATGTTTATGACCATAAACATTACGTCTTCTTGATCTATTATTATTTTACTAGTATGCTATATCTGTCTTTATCCCTTGTGATGTTTTACATCTTCAACTCTATTTTGTCTGATGTAATTGTTATTCTAGTTTTTCTTTGATTATAGTTCTCTGTATATCTTTTTTGATTTATTGATTTCAGCCTTTCTCTTCCCTTTTAAATGTGTCTCTTCTAGAAAATGTCATTTTAAAAATCTAATGTATGTATCTCTGCCTTTTAATTGATGAGTTAAGCTCATTTACATTTATTATATTAGAAAGACCTATTTTGTGTTTATTTTCCAGGCTTCTTTTTTTAGAAATAGAGATGGGGCCTCACTATGTTGCCCAGACTGGTCTTGAACTCCTGGGCTCAAGCGATCCTCCTGCCTCGGCCTCCAAAGTGCTGGGATTACAGGTGTGAGCCACCATGCCTAGCATCAGGCTTCTTTTTCTAGTATCTTTTTTATCTTCTTTATTATAGTACATTGGATTGAGTAAAAATTTTTGTACTAAATTTGAAAGTTATACTATGTATTTTTTATTTTTCTGGTGGTTACATAGAATTAAACATTTCATCTCCCAGCTTTCTTTTTTAACCATGATGTATGATTACATAAGTTCTGACCAATGAAATGTAAGCAGAAGTGTAGAACTTTCAGAATGGATTTGTTCAAAGGAAGAAGGTAATTCCTCCTTTGTCTCCTTCCTCCTACTACTGCCCTAAAAGTGGTAACTAGAGCTCTAGCACCTACATGGGACCATGAAGTGATCCTGAGTGTGACAGCACTGGACGGTGGTGCAGAAAGCTAAGAGTGTGGCTCTGTGATGATCTCATGGATTTGTCACACTATAGTCATGACTACTTACAAGGCAAACTTCTTTTATTTGAAAAAGAAACTTCCTTAAGCCACTGTTATTTGGGATTTTTCTGATATGCAGCACTGCTCATTTCCAGGAGATGCTTCCTTTATTGTAATTTCCTAGCCTGTGGTGGGGGCAGGGGGCAGTGCTGGTGTATCTTCCTTAGCCTATATCCAATTTGTGGCACTCAGCCTTTCCCTCTAAGTTTCTCCCACTCCAACTCCCATACATAGTGGGTTTTCTCAAAATTGGAGCCTAAGACAAAGACTCAACTGTAGGAAGTTCACTGCAGATCACAGAGTGAGGAAGTAAGGAGAATGAGAGCAAAGGAGAAAAAGCGTACGAGGTCACCATTGTGGTCAGTGGGTACTGATCCCACAGGACCTCCTGAAGAGTATTCCGGACACTTTCTAGATTTGCTTCCCACAATTGCCCACCAGGAAGACAGGGCACTGCAGTGTTTATCCATCAGATTCCATCCCCTATTGGCTAAGAATTGCCCCTACAGGATGTGCATGGTAGCTCACACCTGTAATCCCAGCATTTTCGGAGGCTGAGGCAGGTGGATCACAAAGTCAGGAGTTCGAGATTAGTCTGGCCAATATGGTGAAACCCTGTCTCTATCGAAAATACAAAAATTAGCCGGGCATGGTGGCACACACTTGTAATCCCAGATACTTGGGAGGCTGAGGCAGGAGAATCGCTTGAACCCGGGAGGCGGAGGTTGCAGTGAGTAGAGATTACACTACTGCACTCCAGCCTGGGTGACAGAGTGACACTCTATCTCAAAAAAAAAAAAAAAAAGAAAAAAGAAAAAAGAATTGCCCCTGCAGTGCTAACTCCATTGTGCTTTTGGAAAGAGCAGGCTTGTCTATACAGAGAATTTCCAGTGGCAAAAATTCTACAAAGGGATCATGGGATTAAGGTGAGACACTGTCACCATGAGGTGGGTCTGAACATGCACAGAACACACCAAGAAAATATGACACTGAACACCAGGGTTGTCACGGTTTTTATGAAAGGTTCTGAGATCCACCAGCTTCCCTTTTGTTTCTGTGGCAACTGCAGAACTGAGCTAATTTATCATCATACCTTGAACCAGCCTCTCAATTTTTGAAACTCACTTCTCCCTGAACTTCTTTACTATATGTTTTCCTATCTCTGACTGCTGTTTCTAAATGAGCTCTTCTTTCATTTCCTACTCTTTAAATGCAGGGAGTCCTCAAGTTTGCATCCATTCTGTCTTTTTCCTTCAACCACACCATCTCACTAAACTTACCTCATTTTTTTCTTATATCTCCATTACCATGTTTAAGAAATGATCCTCCAGCCGGGCGCGGTGGCTCACGCCTGTAATCCCAGCACTTTGGGAGGCTGAAGCAGGCGGATCATGAGGTCAGGAGGTCGAAACCATCCTGGCTAATACGGTAAAACCCTGTCTCTACTAAAAATACAAAAAATTAGCCGGGCAGGGTGGCGGGCGCCTGTAGTCCCAGCTACTCGGGAGGCTGGGGCAGGAGAATCGCTTGAACCTGGGAGGCAGAGGTTGCAGTGAGCCGGGATCGCGCCACTGCACTCCAGCCTGGGCGACACAGTGAGACTCCATCTCAAAAAAAAAAAAAGAAAGAAAGAAATGATCCTCCAATCTTTATTATCAGCCCAGATCTCTCTCTTTACTTCCTAATTCAAACTCATCACCCAATACTCTATGTCTCCACATAGATGTAATTGTATAGATAATCAAATTCTAACATATTAAAAAATCCATCTCATCACCTTTCTACATCTCCATGGTCCCTATTCCAATTAATGGCATCTTCAACTAACTTCTTCCAAGCTAGAAACTCCAGCAACATCTTTCACTTCACCAAATCACTCCTTTTATCACTTGGAAAATTTGGTTGATCACATCTCATCTATCAAGACTACCATCTCCTTCCTATTTCTACAGGGATGAACCCTTATAATCCTTGTCTAAACTTACACAAAAGCATCAGAAATGGTTTCCTGCTCCTAGTTTCTCCCCTTGACAAACAAACTTTGTGTTACACCAGCATAGGGTTTAGTTAAGAGGTTTTACAAGGTGTGTTATGAAAGCTTCTGTCCTTCCTCCCAAACTCTCAATCTCCTGTTCCACAGAGGCAACCTCTTTCAAGACTTTTGAAAATATTTTGGGAAAAAATTGTATCTGTACTGAACATGTACAGGTTTTTTCTTGTCATTATTCCCTAAACAATAAAGTATATCAATTATTTACATAGCATTTGTTGTATTAGGTATTATAGAAACCTAGAGACAATTTAAAGTATATTGGAGATTGATGCCTAGGTTATATGCAAATACCACACCATTTTACATTAGGGACTTGAGCATCCTCAGGCTTTGGTACCCTTGGGAGGTCCTGGAACAAAGCCTCCATGGAGGATACCAAGGGATGACTTTTGATTCCTGGCTTTCTTCATTGTTGGCTTAGGATTCAGCTTTCTTAGGTCGGCCACATCAGAGTTAACCCATCTTATGGCTACTTTCTAATTCTGAAAATGCTATTGCTGTTCTCTCCTAACTTATCCTTTTGGGCATATGCTTTGGAAAATCTCTTTACTGTCATTTTAGCGGGATTTGAGGAGGGAATGTTGCTAACAATTGATGTGTTCAACTCACAAATTCCAGAAGTCTGCCAAAATTTGGAAGCAGGTATCATCTAACTCTATTTCTCTTTCTTTTTTAAACTTTTATTTTAGGTTCAGGGAGACATGCGCAGGTTTGTTATATAGGTAAAACTCATGTCATCGGTGTTTATTGTACAGAGTAAACAGACAACCTACAGAATGGGAGAAAATATTTGCAAACTATGCATCTAACAAAGGTCTAATATCCCAGGATCTATAAGGAATTTAAACACATTTATAAGAAAAAAACACAAACAACCCCATTAAAAAGTGCACAAAGGACATGAACAGACATTTTTTAAAAGAAAACATATATGTGGCCAACAAGCATATGAAAAAAAGCTCAATATCACTGATTAGAGAAATGCAAATAAAAACCACAATGAGATATCATCTCACACCAGTCAGAATGACTATTATTAAAAAGTTAAAAAAAGATTTATTTTTATCTCTTTTCTCAACACCATCCCAACTGGGTTCCAATTTTCTAGATTTTTCTGTGTCTTCACTAATTAAACTTCATTTTAGAAAAGGATTTAACAAATTCATTCCCCCTGAAGTCTAATGAATGACAGAGTTTGATGTGTTACATCTCCCAAGAGTATTTTCATTTTAACAAGGACTAAGTTTCTTATTTGGCTTAAGCCAAAGGGATAAAGGCATTAAGTTCTAACTGAGAAATTTCAGGTACCCACACCTAAGTGGTTTGGAGGCTAGGGGAAGGTTTTCTTGTGTTTTCTCAAATCACAGGCTTTGGGGCAGGTCCGACTGTGCCCATGTATTGAGCTAATTGATGATGTCAGAGTCACAGCAGGCATTCTAGGATGACAATCAGAAATAGGAATATCTGCTCAGTTACAATTCTAGTCCAACTTGTGTGTCTTGAAACCTAGACAGCAGGTAGATGAATCACCATCCTAAATATTGATATTAATCTAGAGCAAAACATATATTTTATTGTGTTTATAATAAGTACACAAAGATAGACATCATCAAATACACACAACTCTAACTAAGACCTCCTCATACAATTAGTGGTTGTAAGGCATTTTGGAACTACAAAATGCCATATAAATGCATGATAATTAGATCATGAAACTAATTATGGTTAATAATATGACTAACCATCTTAAACTGTGTATGAATATAATAACAATAAGCATACATACATGCTCTCAGTTGAAGCAGACACGGCCAGAATTTGGTAAGGGGCACAAAACAACAGAGGATGCCTCCAGCATTCTGGGGGTAGTACGTAGAAAATTAAGGTCGTATTTATCTGCCAAGGAGCACCGCAGGGATATAAACCACAAAAACAGGAGGGAAAAGAAGCCCAGTTAAGATCTCCTCCTTAATTCCTGATTTCTGGCCCTATTATTTTGCTAAATACCACTACCACAACTCAGAACAAGTATAAGTGTCTGTGCATCTCTTACTAGGGACTGGGCACTGTTAAAGTGTTTTACATATATTAATTAATTCCCACAACAACCTCAAGAGGTAGGTACTGTTCTCCCCTTTTGACATATAAGCAAATTAAAACACAAAGAAGTTAAATAACTTTCCACTGTGGGTGGCAGAGCTGGGACTTAGGCTACCCAGCCCCAGAGCCTGGCCAGTTACCACCACTCCATATGACAGCCACCTTTTCTCTGTTCCATGAATCAATTACAGATATATATACGTGTGTGTGTGTATACATGTATATATACGTATGTGTATATATACGTTTGTGTATGTATAAACGTATGTGTGTGTATACATGTATGTGTGTGTGTGTGTGTGTGTGTGTGTGTGTGTGTGTGTATTTTTTTTTTTTTTTTTGAGATGGAGTTTTGCTCTTGTTGTCCAGGCTGGAGCGCAATGGCGCAACCTTGGCTCACTGCAACTTCCGCCTCCCGAGTTCAAGGATTCTCCTGCCTCAGCCTCCCAAGTAGCTGGGATTACAAGCATGTAATCCCATTACACCACCACGTTCGGCTAATTTTTTTTTTTTTTTTTTTTTTGTATTTTTAATAGAGACGGAGTTTCACCATGTTGGCCAGGCTGGTCTCGAACTCCTGGCCTCAAGTGATCCTCCCGCCTTTGCCTCCCAGAGTGCTGAGATTACAGGCGTGAGCCACCGCGCCTGGGCCAGATACGTATTTTCAGCACTGGTTGTGCAAAACTCACTCCCCACCTCATCTTAAGAACTTAATGAACCTTTTGGTAAAACGCCAATACCAGCATAAAACAAATTTCTTCAGGATACAAATATTTTCATAATTTGTATTAACTCAACCTAAACTTTACCAGCCTGAACTGCTTCTTCAAGGCTTGACTAATACACTGTTAGGGAGTATTTTAAGCAGCCTCCACCCAAGTGCTTACCTTGTAGCTCTATTTATCTGCCTTAGGCATTTACTGGACTCCTTTCAGATTCTTTCCCTCGCTAATGTTTTCCGGTATCATCTGATAACTGAATAGAAAATGCTGTTCTGAATCACTACACCTCACTATCAACCATATCACAAATAAATTATGTTATATATTATATATAAATATTATAATGGGCTATTTAAACTAAGCCAGCCGTCTTACCATGTGCTCATGTGGGATTTCCTGTTTCAATGTTGAATAATAATATATTTTAAAGTTAGCAAAGCCATTTCACCTGCAGTCGTTGATTTCTTCAAAATCTGAGCATTTAAATCCATTGCCAATGTTTGCTTAAAGAACACTGTTTTCTTAACGAGTCTTCCAAATCGGTCCTTACAGGAAGAACCTCTGAATGCTATACGCATATATGGACGGCTGCGTGTCCCTACAAAGTCAGCCTGTTACTTCCACTGGAGAAACAAAACTCTTGAGAATCGCTGAGCTGTAAAAATGTTAGAAAGCCGGTGTCCCAGGCGCCCTGAGAAAGCCGGGAGAGGGCGGTGGCTGCCCACAGGCCGCCTCCAGCCCCGCGCGAGGCCGAGGCCTCAGCGCGCCCCCCGCCCCCGCGGCGCCTAGCGGCCCCGCCGCAGGGCAGGCCTGGCCGGGCCTCCCCGGGCTGCGGCGGCGCCCCCTGCAGGCCGCGGCGGGCAGAGCGGGGGGAAGGAACCCGAGCCGGGCTGCCACCGTGTCCCAACCGGTGCCGCCGCCGGAGCTTCTCCGGGCCCCGAGTCCTCGCCGAACGCCCTCCTCGCCGCCCGCCGCGTCCCGGCGCCCTCCGGAGCCGCCGAGCCGCCCGCGCACACCTGAAGCGGCCGGGCCAGGCCCTGCCTCGATCCTCAGCTCGTCCTCCCCGCCCCGCACCGGCCTTCACTCTGGAGCGGCCCCGGCAGCCGCAGCAGGGGCGGCGGCGGCGGATCGAGGAGCTCTCCAGGTCGTCCCGGGAGAGGCTGCTGCAGTCCCGGGACAGGATGTTCTCCAAGTTCACCTCCATCCTGCAGCACGCCGTGGAGGCGGTAAGGCCGCGGGCTGCGGGCGCACGGCAGGCCGGGGATGGCGGCGGCCTACGCTCCCCGGCGGCCTCGGGGACAAGCCGGGCGGCCTTGGCCCGGCCCTCGGCGGCCCTGTCCCCGGTTGGGGTGAGGCCCCAGGCGGGCGCCCTGGGCGGCCGCCGGGTCGTGGGGGCGCCCGGGGCCTCGGGCCTGGCTCTGCGGGGGTCCCGTCGGTCCCTGGCTGCCCCAGGCCGGCAGTCCCTGCCCTCCTCCAGGAGCCGGGGCGGGGGTGCCGGGGAGGACCTGGCCGCCCAACGCCGCTCGGTGGTCGCCTCATTCCTCTGATGGGGCCGGGGGTTCGGGGAGCACCTGGCGGGGTCGCAGAGAGCTCCCCCGGGCTCCCTTAACGTTAACCTTCTCCGGAAAAAAAGTGGTCAGCGTTGAGCAAGACAAAAGAAACGAGCAAGCACCGCTTGGGCTTGGTTCTGTTTTGTTTTGGTTTTCGGGGGTAGAGGTGGGAGAGGCATGGTCTCGCTGTGGGGCGTCCCTGGCGAGGGAGCCGCCGACCAGCCCCCGGGTTGCTGGCTTTTGCTTTCTTGGGCCTGGAGGCCGAACTCAGCTGAACCTTATGTATTGATCTGAAATAGGAGTTTGGAGGGTCCAGTCGAGTTTGCTTTCGACAGCTTCCAAGCTCACCGAGCCCAGAGACCATCTGTTTCCTTTCTTGTCTAGTTCTCTTCCTGGACACTCTTCGTTTATCCTGCAATTGTACTCTCCTTTGAGGGTTTTAGACACCAGCATAGAGACAGTATTCAAGTATCCTAGTAGACTAATAAGTGAAAAGAAACTAAAAAGAAAATGCCTTGTCACTGTTCTAGTAAGAATGCTAGTTGCTTCACTTGTTTACTTTATTCTGGGAGAACTGCCCAAATTGAAAAATGCATTCTGTGCAGAAACAATTACTTTGCTAATTTTTAACATGACATTCTCTTCCTATGTTCATATTATGTGATAGGACACTTTAAAATGTACACTTTAAAAATGTCAGATACAACAATGATTTTTTATGGGCAGGCAAAAATGGAGTTTTTGCCTTCAGTAATAAAAACAAACTTTAGTACAATTGTTATTTAAGTGATACATGAGAAGCGTTAAAAAATTTAGCTCTAGGGCAAGCTCTTGGGAAAATGTATCAAACAGGAAAAACAGGGTTTCATAAATGTAGAGCAGTATTACACGGAGGGAAATGACAGTGGTAGACTTCAAGACAACTTTTAGTTTTTACTTGCTTATACACACTCTACTTTTGTTGAAAGAATTTAACTGCAGTTTATTAAAACATTTAAATTTTGTTTTCTTTAAAAATACCAAGAATCATTTAATTTTATTTATTTATTTATTTATTTATTTTTTGAGACCGAATCTCATTCTGTCACCCAGGTTGGAGTGCAGGGGTGTGATCTCAGGTCACTGCAACCTCCGCCTCCCGGATTCAAGCGATTCTCCTGCCTCAGCCTCCCTAGTAGCTGGGATTACAGGCACCCGCCACCACACACGGCTAATTTTTTTTTTTTTTTTTAGTAGAGATGGGGTTTCACCATGTTAGCCAGGCTGCTCTCGAACTCCTGACCTCAAGTGATCGCCCGCCTTGGCCTCCCAAAGTGCTGGGATTACAGGTGTGAGCCACCACACCCGGCCCGAATCATTTTAACCTTGAATATATGAAATACTTGGGAACACTTAATGAGATACTTGGTAATCAAAATTTACTATATTGCAGTCAGCTGTCTTATCCGTAGGCTCTGCACCTGTGATTTAACCAAACTCAAGTAAAAAAATATTTGAGGGGGAAAAAAATTCTGCAGAGTTCCAAAAAGCAAAACTTGAATTTGCCATATTCAAGTACTGCCTTGAATCCATGTGAATGAAGTGATGTGTAGGCATTGTATTAGGTATTAGAAGCAATCTAGAGATGATTTAAAGAATACAGGTATGCATAGGTTATATGAAAATATGCCATTTTATAACAGGGACTTGAACATCCTCAGATCTTAGGGGT
Source organism: Homo sapiens (assembly GCF_000001405.40). NCBI lineage: Eukaryota > Metazoa > Chordata > Mammalia > Primates > Hominidae > Homo > Homo sapiens. The sequence continues at coordinate 114,824,159 of NC_000010.11, forward strand.
AGGAAGAGATGTCCTGGAACTAGTCCCCTACAGATACCAACTATATTTATATCCTTTACCCATCAGGCTAGTATTTACAGAAATAAGTACTTAGAAAAAGAAAGACGGCTTTCCTGCTCTCCTAGTAAAGGCTCATTTTTATCCGGAGGCCTGTGTTTTCTTGTCCTCGTTATCTTTTTATAATTGTATATATTAGCATCTGCCAAATTATCTGGCTCCTGCTCTGTAATATCCTTAGCCTACTTTGCTGAGGTTAGTGAGAAAAAGTTAGAGTGGCTTGTGTTCACCTAGTCCTGAAATTAATGCATTGCATTTAGAAGTGTAATGTTTTCATTTGCTTAGACCTAATGTTTTCATTTGTGGCACCACCCATCTTATCTTGATAGGAGGTTAAATCTCATGAAAAATGTTTGATGTTCTATACTAACCTTTTTTTCCCCCCTTTTAACATTCTCTCTTGGGAATGAACTCATGTGCAATGATGAATAAGCCATCCTTGTGTATTTGGATAGTTTTTTCGTAGCCCAAGGTTAGTTTCCAGTTATTCAGTTCTGTTTATTAATTTGCTTGATATTTTCCTCTATGAACCAATCTTACCATTCCTCAGTTCATTTCATTAGCTCTTCTGTGTGTTCCTGTTCATGTGTACGTCCAATTAGCATTTCCTGATGCAGTATTCCAATTAACATAGTTATCAGGATTATACAGAGACAGAAAATACCTGGATGCTGACATGAGCTTTTTTCATTATTTTGTTGGATCAGTCTGTGGAGTAATGCTTTTCCAACCATTTTGGTATGATTACTTTCCAGGTTTCCTTATTTAATTGATAAGCCTTCAAATGGGTTTTTAATTTTTAATTAACTATTTACTTATTTTTCGAGACAGGGTCTCTGTCACCCAGGCTAGAGTGCAGTGACATGATCATGGCTCACTGCAGCCTCAACCTCCAGGGCTCAAACGATTCTCCTGCCTCAGCCTCCTGAGTAGCTGAGACTATAGGCCAGCACCACCACACTCAATTTTTAAAAAAATTTTTTGTAGACACTGGGCCTCACAATGTAGACACTGTGCCCAGGTTGGTCTCACATTTTTGGGCTTGAGTGAGCCTCCCACCTCCATCTCCTAAAGTGCCAGGATTATAGGGATGGAGCCATCATACCTGGCCCAAATAGTTTTTTTAGTGTTGACTGGATGTATTCATTTAAGTGAGGCTTAAACATAGAGTTTATCTTACTGTTTAATTAATGGTTTCTCCTCACTCCCTGGCAACTACTTATAACGTGAAAAATATGACTAAGATATTTTCCAAAATTAATATTTGAAAATGTGTTGTTAAGCTGATAGACTGCATTTTGAGTATGGAAGATAAGTTCACACCTTCTTGATTAAAAACAAGAACTGTAATGTAACTCCTGCCTCCCTTTTTAGAAATGACAGTCTTCTCTCAGTACAGAAATGATTGGCCAGTAAGAGTCTTATGAAATGAATCTGTTAGCCAGTTGCCGCATGTCACAAGTCTGAATTCAGGCCTTTCTTGTAGTTAGTTCCGGGGTTAGATTGGATTGTTTTAACACAACTTCTTCAAAAGATAGATAAAACACTTTCCATGTAGTACAATTTGGTATTTGTTGAGAGCCTAGTCCTCACTAGGGAATGTGCCAAGGGCATGTTCCTCTTAAATTCCAACCAGTTCCACCCTTGCGGGCAGATTTATTCCAGAGAGGATAAAGGACAGTGTCAGGGAAGAGTTTTATCATTTTAGCTAATTCCTTTAATGGAAGTCATCTTTCAGAATGTAAGTGCAATGTTTTCTTTTCAAATTATAGTTAAGAGTTCATGATGATTGTTGAGACTAGCAATTCCTTAAAAATCTCCTGTGCCCTGGAAATTCAAACCACAAATCAAATGTATCTCATGTTTTCTCAGGCATATTCTTTTCCAACAAGTGATCTCTAGGTTCAGTCCTTCACTCATTCAGCACATGTCTTCTGAGTCACCACGAAAGCCTGGCTCCAAGTGAGGGAAACAAGGTGGACTTGGTGTGCTTGTGTCCTTGGTCACAATGCTTACAGTCTCATATGGGAAACAAAACAAATATACAAGTTAGATTACAGAATAAGGAATGCCTAAGAATGTGTTCTAGCCCATAGAGCCAGACAGAATCATGTTCCATTCCTGCCTCTGTCCCTTCCTTCTACACTTGGACAAGTTACTTGATATGTATACATTTCCATTTCTTCATTATAAAGGGAAATAATTAAACCTATCATAGAATTGTTGTGAAGATTAAAATGAGATAATGTACATGAAGTGCTTAGTGCAGTGCCTGGCACATAAAAAGTGCTCAGTAAAAGTCAACCATTATTGTCATTTGGATGATTGGTTTAGCCAGTGAACTCTATAGGAGAAGGGAGCAAGCATTTAGGATTGGAGTTGTTATAGAAGGCTCTCTGGAAGGAAGTGAGCAAGACTTTAGAGAGGCAGAGAAGATGGGGAAGGTCACTAGGAAAGCCAGGGGCAGAAAGAAGCATTTAAAAAATCTGGGAGTGGCATCAGGCACAGTGGCTCACACCTGTAATGCCAGCACTTTGGGAGGCCGAGGCGGACGGATCACCTGAGGTCAGGAGTTCGAGACCAGCCTGACCAATATGATGAAACCCCATCTTTACTAAAAATACAAAAATTAGCCAGATGCGGTAGCATGCGCCTGTAATCCCAGCTACTTGGGAGGCTGAGACAGGAGAATCGCTTGAATCCGGGAGGCAGAGGTTGCAATGAGCCGAGATCACGCCATTGCACTCCAGCCAGGGCAACAAGAGCAAAACTCTGTCTCAAAAATCAAATAAAATCTGGGAGTGGAATGTTGATGATACATGAGACACAGTAAAAGCAGAGGTGGCTTTTAGAACACTAGTTTTCATCTGAATTATCCATCTAGATACTTTTGTGTGATGGGTATATTGGACACAGTCAAGACTCCCAGTTGAAGGCAGTGTTTCCTTGGGTAAGTCAGTTAACCAATTTTGAGTCTTCAGAGTTTGAGCAAAATAGGTTTATCACAAGAGTTTAAGATCATACAGTATGTGCAAAATTTGCAGTATTACACCTGGCACATAACTACTCATTAAAAGGCAGTGACTTCTGTGTTATTTATGCATTTATATATATTATCAAATACTTAACTCTGTGTCATGCCTGAGTTGGAAACCAGAGATTGAGTGATGAAAAAGATGATACAGTTCCAGCCCTCATAGAGCTGACAATCTAGTGGAAGAGATGAATAATTAAACAATGACAAAAGTGGGATATGGGATAAAAGAGAGCAAGCCAGCTGGTAAAGAGTATCAAGGCATAGGCCGGGCCCGGTGGCTCACGCCTGTAATCCCAGCACTTTGGGAGGCCAAGGCGGGCGGATCATGAGGTCAGGAGATCGAGACCATCCTGGCTAACACGGTGAAACCCTGTCTCTACTAAAAATACAAAAAATTAGCTGGGCGTGGTAGCAGGCGCCTGTAGTCCCAGCTACTCGGGAGGCTGAGGCAGGAGAATGGTGTGAACCCGGGAGGCGGAGCTTGCAGTGAGCCGAGATCACGCCACTGCACTCCAGCCTGGGTGACAGAGCGAGACTCCATCTCAAAAAAAAAAAAAAAAAAAGAGTATCAAGGCATATATAGGGACTCCATCCTAGGCAGGAAGAGCCTGGTCAAGCTTTGCAGAGAAAGCGAAGTCTAGTTAAGGGTTTCATGTCAACTTGGGGTTGAGATAGTCATTGCATGAATTTTTTAAAATTTAATTCTCTGTGTTGTAAAAAATTAAATTGGAATCTCTTGATACTGATTCACACTTTTTTTTTTTTAACTCAGAGCATCAATATTTTTATGCAGTGATAAAACAGGTAATTTGCATGTTAGAATTAGTAATGAAAGTTTACCAGAAAGTTTTACATAAATAAGGACATTTATTCATGTTTGAACAAGATTATTACTAATCTAAGTTATTAGCAATTGAGAACTGTTTAACTCTCTAGTTAAATAGGTTTCTTATTTAAATCTAACTCCTGGAGGGAGGTATTCACAAAGTAACACCATTCTGCTTTGAATTTGACTGTAACCTACAACAAGGGTCCTGACACAAATGCACTAAGACTTCTCTGTCTGGTGACCAGAGAATACAGTTTCAATTCCCTTGAAATACAGTTAAATCCCACTCCTGAAATAATCTGGAAAAAGGATACTGTAACTCCTCATATACCCAGGAGGTTGCCTTGGAAAAATTTAACAAATCATAGCATTTACACTTAAGAAATTAGGTACAGTTCCTGAAACAACAAATTTCATTTGGGTTTGTCCCACTCGTGAATGCACTTAACTGTATAAAGGTAGTCTATAGAAGTCAGGTCCAAAAAAATTAGGAAGAGGTTTTATTATTTTGAGAACATTCTAAAAACAAGTGGCTGATTAAAACTTTTTTTTATCTAAACATTTTAGGAAGATGATACTGTTTTCCCAAGTTAATACTTTGATTCTTAATTTTCTTCCTTATTTTTTCCCTCAATCTCCCGTAAGTTTTTTTCTCCCCATGTTCTCCTTGAAGTTAAAGTACTCCCAAAGATTTTAACTCCTTTCTTGCAGTCTTTTTTATTTTTATTTTCTTGAAAATAAGGTGAATATTTTATTCTCTTAACACAGTACGATTTACAGTGGAAGATACTGATAATTGTTGAAATATTTTCAGGTCTATTTTATTCCATAAATACATTTCATCTTCTTGATTGAAACACTTAAGGTGTTTATGACCAATATTTCTAATTTGGACAATAGTTCGGAAATTGTTTCGACAGGGTTGCCAGCTCTGAGGTGGATGCTCAGGACACCAAGAAATCAAAATGGTACCAGTAGAAGTGCAAGAATAACATGACCTCTTTTAGGTCATCTGTTTAGAGGAAGTCTATGAAAATGGACTCTGGAGAAGTAAAGAAACAAAAGAATGGGTACTCCATAGGCAGGGCAGCCCCAAGAGCTACTAGTTGGCTATTTTTCTAGTTATTAATTGATCATATGCTAAACAAGGGATGGCTTATTCATGAACTTTCTGGGGAAAGGGGTGGGCCATTCTCGGCCTTGAGGGTTCCTCCCCTTTTTAGACTATATAGGGATGGCTTATTCATGAACTTTCTGGGGAAAGGGGTGGGCCATTCTCAGCCTTGAGGGTTCCTCCCCTTTTTAGACTATATAAGGATGGCATCTTTCAGACATTGCCATGGCATTTGAAGGCTGTCATGGCACTAGTGGGAGTGGCTCTTAGCATGCTAATGCATTACAATTAGTGTATAATGAGCAGTAAAGATAACTGGAGGTCACTTTTGTGACCATCTTGGTTTTGGTGAGTTTTGGCCAGCTTCTTTACCGAATGCTGTTTATCAGCAGGGTCTTTATGACCTGTATCTTGTGATATCGGACCTGTGACCTCCAGTCTCATCGTGTGACTAAGAATGCCTAACCTCCTGGGAATGCAGCCCAGCAGGTCTTAGCCTCATTTTACCCAGCTCCTGTTCAAGATGGAGTTGCTGTGGTTCAAAGGCCTCTGACAACACTAGGACTAGGGGAGCTCTCACTCTCTTTCACTCTTTAAGGAAAAGAAATGTAGAAAGTGTATGCAAATCTTTTTCTATCCATTTAACACACACTTGAAATACTTGTAGGTTTGCTATAAGATGGCTGAGGGGATATAATTTTGGGCATAAAACTTCTGAAGTAAGTTTTAGAGCTAAAATGTTGAGCATTTTTGACTTTGTGGAATTTAAATTGTTAGTATCTTGTTCAAGTAGTTATTTTGCTAAAAATATGCACTGCCTAATCCAAGCTTAAAAAAGAAAAGATTTACATTTGTATGTCACTGAATGTAGGGTACAGTTTTAATCTGATTACGAAGTTGACTTTGGTATATGTTTTAGTAGTGATGATGTGGAACTAATTACATAGCAGCTTTTTACTGTTTTGCATTTCAAAGTCCTAGGTACAAAGATTCCTGGCTATTAGTAATTTCATTTACTGATATGTCAGTAATAGAATATTGTTTCGTTTTCATTTAATATACCTCTGAAACCTACTTTTTTTTTTTTTTTTTTTTGAGATAGAATCTCGTTCTGTCATCCAGGCTGGAGTGCAGTGGCGCAATCTTGGCTCACTGAAACCTCCACCTCCCAGGTTCAAGCGATTCTCCTGTCTCAGCCTCCCCAGAAGCTGGGACTACAGGCGCACGGCACCACGCCTGGCTAATTTTTGTATTTTTAGTAGAGATGGGGTTTCACCACGTTGCCCGGCTGGTCTTGAACTCCTGACCTCAAGTGATTCACCTACCTCAGCCTCCCAGAGTGCTGGGATTAGGGGTGTGAGCCACTGCCCCCAGCCTGAAACCTACTTTTAAAAAAGTGTCAGGGGAGGAAAAAAAAGCTTGATACTGTAGTTTAATAATAATGTTGATAAATATGTTTTTCCTCTTCTTGATAACTCATTTTTACTTTCTTGGATTTGACTTATTTTGTTTCTCTTTAATATCTGACATATAAAAACAAAGTTCACCCCTTATTTTTATGCTACCTTTGCATTGTAATAGATAAATACAGAGTTATAAGTTATGGGAAATTTTCAATGCCATTTTCTTAATTGTTGTGGTCTTTTGTTTGTGTAGCTTGCACCTTCTCTTCCTTTACAAGAAGATTTTGTTTATCACTGGAAGGCAATTACCCATTACTACATAGAGACTTCAGGTAAGGAACAATGCTGATATTAACTGAAAATTTGTGAAAGTTAAACAGAAAATTTGTGAAATACTAAAATATTTTTAAGTAAGTCTCCAAAGTTATTTTATATTTAAGTTTATAGACAATCTTATCTTTGTCTTTAAGATTCAGTCACTCATTTAAAAATATACCTGTTGAGCACCTACTACTGTGTGTCAGGCATTGTTGAGGCACTGGGGGATAGAACAGTCAGTCAAACAGACAACACTGCTGTCCTCACAGAGTTTATGTATTGATTGGGAGGAGGCAGACAGTATATAGACAAATATGTATAGTGTGTCAGATGATAAGCGTCAAGGGAAAATGAAGCAGGCTAAAGAGTACGTTGGGGTGGTGGGAGTGGACAGTTGGCTATTTTAGGTTAGAGAAAACCTCATTGCCCAATATGACTTGTGAGCTGAAATCTAAAGGATAAAGGAACCAAGCCTGCTAGATATCTGGGGGAAGGATGTCTCGGGAATGAGACCTAATTCACAAACCCTCAGGCCAGAGCATGTGGCACGCTTGGCACATCCCAGGAACTTTAAGGAAGCCAGTGTGGATAGAGCTTGAACATTCATTCTTTCTTGGAGCGTTTGTGTATATAAAGGCTACAATTATGGGGAAAACACATTTTTAAAAAGTAAATTACAAGTAAGCTTACAAATCGTCTTTTACTAGTGCTAGGCTACTCATTTTAGAATATGAAATGAGACATAACATTTCTTGAATTCTTTGTGCTAAGGACTGAGCTTTATTATTTCATTGAATTCATATAACAGTACTCACTAGTGTTTATTAGTTCCATTTTATAGTTGTTGGTGACTGATGCTTACATAGTTTGCACCAGTTCATCCAGCTGAAAGTGACAGAGCCAAGATTTGAATCCAAGTTGTCTAACTCCAGGGCCCATGCTTTTAACAACTGTCCCATACCATATCAAACTTGATACATATGTCCTCCTGAAAACAAAGGTGACCCTTCTCTATCCATTGTTTTCTCCATAAGGCTTAGTGTTATGGTTTTCTGTGTTAGTATACATACAGACAAAGCAGCATATCAGTACATAGCATACCAGAATTGTGTTGTTCAAACTATAGAAGTACAAAGTAAATGAAAATAGAGACATAAGTAAAGAATTTGGCACTTCCTAATGTATTTTGTATTTAAATGTTCTATAAAACTTCACATTTTTAAGAGTAATTTAACCTTAGTATAATAAGGATGGGTTGATAAAACCATGGGATGTTTGAGTCTAACTGTGATATGTTAAAAAATATCACTAAATTTTTATTTTATTATAAGAAATCAATAATATTTAATAAAAATTCTCCTGAGAAGCAACTTTGAAAAACAGATTTTGGAAAACAGCTATACGTTAATGAGAGATGTCAGTAATTTTAATAGAGGGTTTTCCTTTTGGCTTCTCATTGTAATAGAAGAAAATGAATTAAGGACATTAAGTGACAGATTTCCCAATCCTACAAAGTAACGTAGTAGCAATCCAAAACAGAATCTGTCCTCTTCATATATCCCAGGTTATTTGCCTTCATGTTCAAGGCCAACCTATTTCTATTTAAAGAGACTTAAAGTTCAGATCTTCTGAACTGGCTAAGTGAAAAAAAAATATTTTAATTATAAATACACATAGAACATTTTTGATGTGACATGTATTTTTCCTGGTCATGTTCCCATTTCCCACATAAATAGCTCTTATTTCTGAATTACTGTGGATAGATGAATGTTAGCTTATGGAATATATTTGAGATTTTTTTTTTTTTTTTTTTGAGATGGTGTCCCTCTCTGTCGCCCAGGCTGACGTTCAGTGGTGCGATCTCTGCTCACTGCAGCCTCCACCTCCCAGGTTCAAGAGATTCTCCTGCCTCAGCCTCCTGAGTGGCTGGAATCACAGGCGCCTGCCACCACACACGGCTAATTTTTTTGTATTTTTAGTAGAGAGGAGGTTTCACTGTGTTGAACAGGCTGGTCTTGGATTCCTGACCTCAGGTGATCCACCTGCCTCGGCCTCCCAAAGTGCTGGAATTACAGGTGTGAGCCACCGTGCCTAGCCATATTTCAGAATATTGATTCAGTTTTAGGGTAAGAATATGACAAAATGCATCATCTAAATTCTAGCAGAGATAATCATACTGTGTTTATAAACCTCACTTAAGTGTGTAGTTCAGATTTTTCTCAGTTTGAATAGGAAAAGGGAAATACAGAGTATTTTAGGTGCAAATATGCAGTTTAAAAATGTTTAAATATTTGATGAATGTTTTTTATTGTTTAGATGATAAAGCCCCAGTGACCGATACAAATATTCCATCGCATCTGGAACAGATGTTAGATATACTGGTTCAAGAAGAAAATGAACGGGAATCTGGAGAGACAGGGCCATGTATGGAATATTTGCTTCATCACAAGATCTTGGAAACATTATATACCTTGGGGAAAGCTGATGTAAGTTCCTGATCCACACCATGTTCTTGGGCATTAGTACATGCATTAATGTCTTACGAATAAAGAAGCTGCCAAATACTTGATTATAAAGGTACATATTGAACATGGCAGGATTCAAGTTAAGATTGTAGAAAAAAGAAAATTGTGTAGCCTATACAAATATGTCCATAGAGATAGAAAGATTCCAAACACTCTAGACAACAACTTGTACTTGGCTGCTTAGAATTCCAATGTAAACATTTATGAAAATAAACTCAAGTACGTGAGCTCAGAATAAAAAAAAGAGATAGAAGGAAGTCAGTTAAAATAGGATTGAAAAATAGGAATTATTTGTCATAGTCCTGGAAGAGAATGTCACTGATGATTTTGACACTAACTAAACTGTTAAGTGGAGCCAATTTATATTTTTTAGGCCTGATGAATTTTGAAAAATCTTTACAAAGCTGAAATTGTGATATCAATAATATTTTATATTCCAAAACCTTCAAATTACTTATAGAGACAAGTTTTCCAGCCGTGTGGCCGAGTAAGGGAACGGGAGAGCCTTGGGTTCAGATTAGGGGGCCAGGCTTCCAGTCCTGACATCATTATTCACACACTGTGACCATTGTAAGTCTCTTTGGTTAATCTTCCTCCTCTTTAAAATCCAGGAAGTGTTTGCTAAGGGGCCTCCCCAGCCCTAAAAGTCTATATAGTTCTGTGAATTTCTATGATATATGTGAAAAAAATTAGGCTAAAACAAAAGAAACCTGTAGACACATTTTTATGACAGAGAGATATGAATAGTAGCATGCAAGATGATTTCCTTTTGTCTGTCTGTAATACTCTAATTTACTTTTAAGTTAAATTCACTCAATTTATGTTTTTTAGGCAACACACCTGCTCTCTAATATTCTGCAACTCATTCTCCTCCTCCTTTTTCCTGTCCTTTGGAGAGAAGGATTGTTAATAATAAATTGATTAATTGATTTTTGAGCAGAAGTTAGTAATTGTACGTCTAGTAAATTTATTTTAATACAGGTGATTGTAAATATAATTTAGTGGTTTATCTAAATAATGTAAAGTATTTGCTAGCTTAAAAATATTGTGCATAAGATTATAGTTTATACTATTTCCAGATAACATGTCTATGATGATGCTTTGGAAATACTTATTTTGTAACTGTATTTGAAATGTGAAGCAGTATAAGCAGCTTAATTAAGGAAGTTAACCTTGTTAATTCATACTCTCTTAATCTGCAGTGTGAGTGATCATTGGGTTTACCTACTTTTCAGCAAATACTTAAAACAACTGGCATGTTACAAAAACTAATTTATTAAACATTCTTTGCCTATTATAATCATAATGTAAATAATTTGATTTATATTATGATTATAATAGGCAAAGAATATTTACAGTTGACCCTTGAACAACATGGGTTTGAACTGTGTAGGTCCACATATAGGCAGAATTTTTGCAACCAAACATGGATGAAAAATATAGTATTTCCAGGATGCAAAACCTGTCTATGCAAAGGGCTGAATTTTCACATATGTGGGTTCCACAGGGCTGACTACCAGAACTGAGTGAGTGCAGATTTGGGTATAATCGTGTATACCGAGGCACAGCTCTAATTTAAAATGATGTTAGGATAAAATCACAACAGTTTACACCATAGGTTTCCTTTTATTTACATGTGTGTTAGGAGGCTTTATTTACTCCTACATATATATGATGGAAAGTTGATGACATGTCTGTCATTAGTGTAAGTAACAAGATTTTGCCTTTGTTCCAGCGGGGTGTTAACTATTACAGTTTCATGTTACCCCAGCATTTAGAATATAAACAGGTTGACATTGACTGCACCAAGCTCTAATCTCAACAACATATTATTACCGTGCTGTTTGTAACTACATGAGCCTGTGGTCTCACATGCTGTGTTATGGTCTCAGATATACAATATTATTTCTAGAATACCTGTCATTAATATTTGATTGAAAATTTTATTCTGACAGTTATTAACTGGCCAGTTGCATTGTCTTTTCAAGGTGGAATACATTCATATACATTGTCTCTCCAATTTTTTAAGCTTTTCAGTAAATGTGTTTGCATTGTCTGTTGTTTTCCTGTTGGCTTCCTTTTTTCCTATACCCAGTGTCCTCCGGGAATGAAACAGCAGGTTTTGGTTTTCTATACGAAACTTCTGGGAAGAATCCGGCAGCCACTACTTCCACACATTAACGTGCACAGGCCAGTGCAGGTATTTTGTTCCCCCTACATAAAATCATTTTGTTTGATTTCTTTTAATGTTGAAATAATTTTATATTATTTTTCTGAGAGTAAAAATAATGAAATTATTCCAAAATTAACATGCAAGTTAGCAAATACTTGAGCTTTCTTTATGCATCACATAGCATTAAGTGTATTTACAGTGTACTTACAGTCTTTCTGATTCTCTTTAAAATTTTATACATGAATTTTCCTTGGATTTTACTTCCATGACATCTGAAGGAGAATTTATTATATAACTCGTTAATTATTTATGGTAATGAACTTGAAAATTTTACCACTAGTAAGTTTATTTTGATATAGATAATTATAAATATCATTAGTGTTCTGATTAATGCAGGATATTTGCATTATATGAAAAATTTAAATATCCTTAAGGTAAATGAATGGTTATTTTACAAATTTGTAAAAAGTAGCCTAAGTTTAAAAAGTTAAAAACAATTGTTTTCACAGAAATTAATTAGACTCTGTGGTGAAGTCCTAGCAACACCAACAGAAAATGAAGAGATTCAGTTTCTTTGCATTGTGTGTGCGAAGCTGAAACAGGACCCCTACCTGGTTAACTTTTTCCTAGAGGTATGATACACTTTTTATCAACTTTCAAACTGTAGTTATATTAAGATCATTATGAAAATTGAATTATGTGAATAATATTAGAAGGAGCTCTGTTTTGCAGGTTATTAGCTTGTTTTACTTCCCAGAATTATTTTTCCTTTAATATCACTATTTTATTCTCCTGGGAGAAAAGAATTTCAAAGAATGCAGTTGAGCCAGATATATGAGGTGGTACAGGGACTGGACAGATACAAAGTCATGGCTTAAAAGAGGACAGCTTGAAGGTTGAATCAGAGATAGACAAGTCACAGAAGTTGATATGCTATCATATTTTCAGCCAAGCTTGCCCTAGTATGTAACATGGGAAATCTGGCCTGGGATAAGGATGGCATGTGCAGATTTGGACAAGATGGAAAAAAGCACGAGTTATCTCTCCATCCTCATAGCAGTTGGGATTGCTGTAGTATTTTGTACTGTTTTGATAGCCATAGTCACCAAATCATAGTTTATTTAAATCAAGTGATATTTTGGATTTTACTCCTAGATTTAAAGTAAAAAATATATTTTTGTACTTTTTGCCTTCATTCACTTCTTTTTTTCAGCAGTGAAGTCATTTTGGAATATTTTAGAAAAAATGATTATGTTGTTTTTGTCCTTGTTTGTAATTTATTTTTATTTTTATTTTTACTTTTTTGAGGCAGGGTCTTGCTTTGTAGCCCAGGCTGGAGTATGGGGGCGTGACCATTGGTCACTGCAGCCTTAACCTCTCTGGTTCAAGTGATCCTCTTACCTTAGCCTACCAAGTAGCTGGGACTACAGGTGTGCACCACCACACCTGGCTAATTTTTTAAGTTTTTTTGTAGAGACAGTGTCTCCCTGTGTTGTCCGGGCTGGTCTGGAACTCCTGAGCTCAAGTGATCCTCCTGCCTCGGCCTCCCAAAGTTCTGGTATTATAGGTGTGAGCCACCACACCTGGCCTTCTTTTGTTTTTTAAAAAATATTTTTCTGGCCAGGCGCGATGGCTCACACCTGTAATCCCAGCATTTTGGGAGGCTGGTGCAGGTGGATCAGTTGAGGTCAGGAGTTCGAGATCAGCCTGACCAACATCGTGAAACCCCGTCTCTGCTAAAAATACAAACCTTAGCTGGGTGTGGTAGTGCACGCCTGGAATCCCACTTATTTGAGAGGCTGAGGCAGGAGAATCCCTTGAACCCGGGAGGTGGAGGTTGCAGTGAGCCAAGATTGCAACACTGCACTCCAGCCTGGGCAACAGTGTGAGACTCCGTCTCAAATAATACAAAATACATAAATAAATTTTTCTTTTTCTTTTTTTGGATTAAGATATAAGTTACATACAATAGAATTCACTCGTTTCAGTCTGCATTCTGTGAGCTTGATGAACACAGTTGTGTTACCACCACAATCAAGATGTGCAACAGCTCTGTCACACTACCCCATGATCCTCTGTAGTCATCCCTTCTCCACCCCTACGCCCTAGCAGTCACTGATCTATTTTCCATCCCAATAGTTTTCTCTTTCCCAAAAAGTCATAGCAATGTAATTAGCCTTTTGATTCTGGCTTTTAAAATTAGCTTATTGCATTTGAGATTCATCCATGATTTTGTTCCTTTATGTTGTTGAGTACTATACCATTGTATGGATGTACCACAGTTGTTTATCCATACACCAGTGAGGGACTTCTGGGTTGTTTCTAGTTTTTTACAATTGTTAATGAAACCACTAAGAACATCACACACAGATTTTTGCGTGGATTTAGGTTTTCATGTCACTTGGATAAATACCTAGGGTAGGATCACCAGATCATATGGTAAGTGTGTATTTATTTTCATAAGAAACCGCCAAACTGTTTCCCAAGTGGCTTTGTCATTTTGCATCCCATCAACAGTGTACGTGAGCTCCTGTTGCTCCGTGTTGTCGTCAGCACTGGATGTTGTTAGGTCTTTGTTTGTTTTGTTATTTTTAAATGTTAACCACTCCAATAGATGGGTTTGTTTTCTATTTTACATTACTAAGTAAATTAGGATTCTATTCTGGACTCTTAACTCGAATTAGGTAAGCAGTTAAGCTGTAAAATTTCATGAATTTAAATTTCTAGGTGGTGGTAAGGACTACGCATGCCCTTAACACTCATCATGCGCATCGTGTGTTGTTCGTGATGTGCGTTATATTTTGTATCATCTTTTGCAAATTTGCTTCAAAAGGGCTGGAACAGTCTTATGATTTTGGATTTCTAAAGATTTATAATGATATTAGAATTTTTTTTTTAGTTGTTTGTGTACTTATGAGAAATATCTCAGTTTTGCTGAGATTTTTCTTCTCAAGGTTCATTTTTGCTAAAGCTTTCTTAGATAACCTTAGTGTACTTGGAATGCATGTATTTTTTTCCCCAAACTTAAGCCTGGAGAATTTCTTTCTCAAAAATTTCTGAAACTTGTTTTCTAAGTGCATAGCATAGATCAGAAGCAGACGAAATATGTAGGCTTATGTATGTTCATGGTGAGGTACACTGTATGTACCTGTCTTCGGAAAAACATTTACATTTAAACCTCACTACAGAGAACACCCCTCAGAATTAGTGACACATCTGCTTTGTGCAGTGTTTTTATGACATATTTCTCCAAAGCCTGAGGTGGTAGGTGTCTGCATTTTTTTAACGAATAGGACTATTCATATGTGTTTAATGTCAGTTACTACAGTCCCCCAGCACTGGTTATTTAAGTGCATTTTATTTTCTCCTGCTAGTCAGTATGTTCCTTGAGGACAAGGATTCTGTCTCATTAATCTTGGGTCCCCACAGCTTCTCTAGAATCTAGCATAATGCATAGGAACTGCTCAGTTAACACTAAATGAATGAATCTTTAGGGAGACGCAGCGTTTTGTTTTTGTTTTTCCTTTTTTTTTGAGATAGTCTGACTGTGTCACCCAGGCCGTAGTGCAGTGGTGCAATCTCGGCTCACTGCAGCCTCTGCCTCCCAGTTCAAACGATTCTCATGCTTCAGCCTCCCAAGTAGCTGGGATTACAGGTGCGCACCACCACGCCCGGCTAATTTTTGTATTTTTAGTAGAGATGGGGTTTCACCATGTTGGCCAGGCTGGTCTCAAACTCCCAACCTCAGGTGATCCACCCACCTCAGCCTCCCAAAGTGCCAGGATTATAGGCATTAGCCACCATGGCCAGCCAGAAATGCAGTTTTATTACTTATAAGTATAGATAAGAACAAAAGTGCTTTGCAGTTCTCAAGCATGTATTCCCTGAAATGTCATCTTTCTCTATTCATTACTGTCAGCCAATATTTGCATCTACTATTGGTTAAATATATATGGTAGATGAGTTAGAAACAGTCTTTGCCGGCCGGGCGCGGTGGCTCATGCCTGTAATCCCAGCACTTTGGTAGGCTGAGGCGGGCAGATCATAAGGTCAGGAGATCAATCAAGATCATCCTGGCTAACACAGTGAAACCCCTTCTCTACTAAAAATACAAAAAATCAGTCGGGCTTGGTGGCCCATGCCTATAGTCCCAGCTACTCAGGAGGCTGAGGCAGGAGAATTGCTTGAACCCAGGAGGCAGAGGTAGCAGTAAGCCAAGATCACGCCACTGCACTTCAGCCTGGGCGACAGAGCGAGACTCTGTCTCAAAAAAAAAAAAAAAAAAAAGAAAAGAAACAGTCTTTGTCCTAAAGGAGTTTACAGTCTGGTGAAGACAGTAAATGAATGTTCAGATACTGTAATCTAAAGTAGAGTAAGGTGAGAATCAAAGGAAAGATACAAAGTAAATTCCTTAAGTACTTACAGGATGGAGAGATTCATCAGCTCTAGGTCATCAAGAAAGTCTTCCTGGAAGAGGTCATCTTTGAAATGAGGCTGGGCGCGGTGATTCACACCTGTAATCCTAGCACTTTGGGAGGCTGAGGCAAGCAGATTGCTTGAGCCCAGGAGTTCGAGATCAGCCTGAGCAACATAGCAAGACCTCATCTCTATAAAAAATAAATAAATACAGACAAATGAGCCTTGACATGTTTAGAGTGGGTGAACATAAGGAATGAAGATGTAAAAGTTTGTGGTGTGTTCAGGAAACAGTATAATTAAGATGTGTGGCAAGAAGCACCTGAACAGATAGACTAAGTATTGTCAAAGGCTTTGAATGACAAGGTGAAGAGTTTATTCTTACTTGTAGATACTGGGGAGCCATTAACTATTTTTGAGCAGGGATGTTATTATGTGATGGTATCTGTGCCTTAAGTTAAATTGGCAGCAGCCTTTTATATGGCAGATTCTTTGAGAGGAGAGATAAAATCAGGGAAACTAATTTGGAAACTGATGGAGTAACCCAGGCAAGAAGTAACAAGGACTACGACCAAGTTGGAAGCAGTGGGTTGGAATGAAATGCGTAACTTCAGACTAGAGGTAGGCTCTATATGGCCTTGTAACTGCTCAGATGCAGAAGCTGGGAAAGGATGATTTGAATGCTGGAATTCCTGAACCAATAAGGCTGCTGCTAGTAGAAAAACAGGGGCCCCAAGGGAGCTGATTTTGAGGGGAAGATGATAATTTTGGTTCCGGATGCTTTGAGTCATCATGATTTCCTGATGGAGATAATTAGCAGGTATTCGGTATTGCAAATCTTTGATTTGGGAGGGAAGTTTAAGTTTAAGAGATTTAGAAGCTATGTGTGTGACTATGTTGTGGGTACTGATGAGATCCCTAAAACAGAAGGGGAACAGTTTTAGTAGGAACCAAAGTGTTAAAGCCACAGTTCCTCATCACCTAGGAAATTTTTCTAAAATGCACATTCCTTGGCTCCACCTCCAGATATTCAACAGGTCCGGATGGGACCCAGGAATCTGCATTTTTATCAAGCCCCACAGAAGACCAGGATACCAACAATCTTGAGTCTTACTTTGAGAAACATTGATTGAAGGACAGAGTGCTATACTAACATCCTTCCTCTTGCTGTTCTTATTTGAGACGCCTCTCCCAACAATATTACTAGTATTTTAAATTGAATGAAATGTTTTACTTTCATAAAGAGTATGATATGCCATTGGTTTTTTTTTTTTTTTTTTGAGGTGGAGTCTTGCTCTGTTGCCCAGGCTGGAGTGCAGTGGCATGATCTCGGCTCACTGCAACCTCTGCCTCCCAGATTCAAGTGATTATTCTGCCTCAGCCTCCCTGGTAGCTGGGATTGCAGGCACATGCCACCACGCCCAGCTAATTTTTGTATTTTTAGTAGAGACAGGGTTTACCATGTTGGCCAGGCTGGTCTCGAACTCCTGACCTCAAGTGATCCGCCTGCCTCAGCCTCTCAAAGTGCTGGGATGTGAGCCACTGCACCCGGCCAATATGCCATTGATTTTGTTGGAAATTGGCAAATTGTTTGGAGTATTCATTGAGTCCCATAGAGTTGTTTGCTTTTAATAAATATGTTCTGTGAACTCAATTTCTCAAGAAGATTGGTCTAACCTATACTTTTAACAGCAATAAAAGTGATTTATAATTAGTATAATATAACTTTGGAAGTAGAACCCTGAATTCATTCAGCCTTTAATATGTTTCTATGATGATAGGCCCTGGGAGAAGTTAGTTTATGGTGAATTTTAACCTACTTGTGTAATCTGATTTCTGCTCTTATGTTCAAATGGAAAGCAAGATACTTTTGCCTTGAAGCTAACAATTTGCTAATTTGCTTCAGTTAAGAGTCTTTTTGTGTTTTGGTATGTGGATTGGGGGAGGGAGCACCAGCATTTCAAGCAAATCTTATTTCTATCCTAAAGACACTGGTAAAAATGTCCCCTGAGTAGTTTCTTGGGTTCTCTTTTTTTAAATTTTTTTGAGACAGGGTCTTGCTCTGTGCCCAGGCTGGAGTGCAGTGGCATGATCACAGCTCACCACAGCTTCAACCTCCCAGGCTCAAGCAATATTCCTGCCTCACTCAGCCTCCCAAGGCCTAGGACCATAGGTGCAAGCCACCACACCCAGCTTATTTTATTTTATTTTTTTAGTAGAGACATGATCTCACTATGTTGCCCCATCTAGTCTCGAATTCCTGGGCTCAAGTGATCCTCCTGCCCCGGCCTCCCAAAGTGCTGGTATTACAGGCATGGGTCACTGTGCCCAGCTTCTTGCGTTCTTATAGAGTAGAGGTTTAAGGAAAAACTTAGAAAAGATGCTTATATATTTGAGAGAATTTGGGGGCTTTTGTGGAAACCTTCAGTCTAATGCTGGTAACTTTTGAACTTTAAAATATTTTTATTTGTAAGTTTGTACTTCCTTCCCTGCAAACCACCCCCCCCACCCTATGATCTTATAAGAATTAACATTGAGACTATGTAGTTACAGTAGTCCAGTGATGAGAAAAAAGTTAACTGCAATTGAAACCTCCTGAAACTTTTTTCCTCACTAACATTAGTTGTTTTAAGCAGTAGTCAAATTATCAGTAATACTGTTCATTGCTTATGGTCAGTGTAAAACATTTTGTAGTTAGTATGAGGAGTGTGATAAACTCCTATGCAATGGTAAAATCATTCTAAAACACAGTTTGTTAAAAGTCAGAATATTTTCATGTGACATAACATCTATTGCTACTTTGGCTAGGCATGTGGAATGTTATAGAAAAATCCATTAAAATATTATTTTTGGCTTAAAAAGTTATTGATGTGAATTTTATAAAACATATATTCCTTTTCAGAATAAGATGAAATCATTGGCTTCCAAAGGAGTACCAAATGTAATTTCAGAAGATACATTAAAAGGTCAGGATTCCTTGTCAACAGATACAGGACAGTCCCGTCAACCAGAGGAACTATCTGGTGCTACTGGAATGGAGCAAACAGAATTGGAAGATGAGCCTCCTCATCAGATGGATCACCTGTCCACAAGCTTGGATAACCTCAGTGTCACCTCACTGCCAGAGGCCTCGGTTGTTTGTCCAAATCAGGATTACAATTTAGTGAATTCTTTGTTAAATCTTACTAGAAGTCCTGTGAGTTATGGTCCTTACTTTTTCCCCCCTAACATTATTTCAATAATGTGTATTTATTTATTTTTTTAATTTTAATTTTTAATTTATTTTTTTTTTTGAGATGGAGTCTTGCTGTGTTGTCCAGGCTGGAGTACAGTGGTGCGATCTTGGCTCACTGCAACCTCCGCCTCTGGGTTCAAGCGATTCTCCTGCCTCAGCCTCCCTAGTAGCTGGGATTACAGGTGCACGCCACCACGCCAGCTAATTTTTGTATTTTTAGTAGAGATGGGGTTTCACCATGTTGACCAGGCTGGTCTCAAACTCCTGACCTCAGCTGATCCACCCGCCTTGGCCTCCCAAAATGCTGGGATTACAGGTGTGAAGCTCCACAGTTGGCCAATAATATGCATTTAAAATAGACAAAAATCTATTTTTCTTTTAGTGTGAAACATTAAATCCTTTTATGTTGAATGTTTTCAAACAACCTGATGTATATACAATTCAAGAATTGAAGGGGGATTTTTTTTTCCTTTAGGATGGCAGAATAGCTGTGAAGGCATGTGAAGGCTTGATGCTGTTAGTAAGTTTGCCAGAGCCTGCGGCTGCAAAGTGCCTTACACAGAGCACTTGCTTGTGTGAACTACTGACAGACAGACTTGCCTCCCTGTACAAGGCCCTACCTCAGTCAGTGGATCCGTTAGATATTGAAACCGTGGAAGCAATTAACTGGGGGTAAGCACCGTTACTTGTATTTTCCCATAAAGGTGACTTCTTAACACCTACATTTTAAAATCCATTTCTATTTTGCAATGGTAGAAGTCTTTGAAAAATTGAACACCACTAGTGATCATTAAATGGGAATATTTTCTTGAAGCTTGTATTAATCAGTGGTAATGAATTGGTGTGGGAACAATCCAGCTGTTACATAGTTAAGATATTTTTATTTTGTCCATTTTACTGATCAATTTTTAAGGGCTTACATTAAAATCAATAATTTTAACTGATTATTAAAAACAAAAAACCCTCAAAGAAGGAATCTCCTTTTAAAATAATTTCCACAGCCTCTAGAGCAGTCTAATCTGTCTCCTGGCCTGTTTGTACAGAATCTCTTCTACCTCATTCTTTCACCTCTTCTTCCTACCTTTTAGACTCCCCAACTTGATTATCATAGGGAAATATGATTATTGCAGAACGTTTATAAATTATTAAAAAGTATAAAGCAGCATAAACAAGTTGCCCATAGTCCCACCACCTGTAAGCAGCCTAAGGTTTTGACATAATCACCTTTTATTGTATTTCTCTGTATTTTTAACGTGTCTTTCTTTTTTCCACTCTATTTTCTGTCAACATCTATAGGGCAGACCCACTTGTTAACATTATGACTGTATTGCATTTTAGGGCAGGAAGAGAAGTAGTCCACTCGCTATTTCTGTTTGTAGATCCCCATTTACCGTTCTTTTCTTCCATCCCAGCAGCTGAGAACCTCCATCTTTTCGTTGATGTTACTTGGTAACATTTAGGGCAGGAGTATGAGGAGCTATCCCAGTGTTTTTTCTCCTGCAGCTCCACTGTTTTTTTGTTTGTTTGTTTTTTCTTTGAGACGGAGTCTTGCTCCGTCGCCCAGGCTGGAGTGCAGTGAAGCAATCTTGGCTTACCGCAACCTCCGTCTCCCAGGTTCAAGTGATTCCCGTGCCTCAGCTTCCCAAGTAGCTGGGATTACAGGCATGAGCCACCATGCCCAGCTAATTTTTTTTTTTTTTTTTGTATTTTTAGTAGAGAGAGAGAGAGAGTTTCATCATATTGGCCAGGCTGGTCTCGAACTCCTGACCTCAAGTGATCCACCCACCCACGCACGTTGGCCTCCCAAAGTGCTGGTATTACAGGCATGAGCCACCACACCTGGCCTCCTGCAGTTCCATTCTGCTTTAACCTCTCTTCTCCTACTTAATACGTGAAAATTATTTACAGCTCTTATTTAAAAGATTTTCTCTTATCTTTGGTTTCTTTTACAGAATCCTCTTCTCACTGTCCTCCAGCATTTCCTGTGTGAATGTACCATACTATCTGAGTGTGTTCATGTGCCTTCATTTTTCCATACATTCTGAATAGGGTCCATGCTTTTGGATAACTTTGGACTTAGCAATTCTTCCTTGTCTTACAGCTTGGACTCATATAGTCATAAAGAAGATGCTTCAGCATTTCCAGGAAAACGAGCCTTAATTTCATTTCTTTCCTGGTTTGATTATTGTGATCAGCTCATTAAGGAAGCCCAAAAGGTTTGTAATTTTTTATTGTTTTTTGATCATTTTAAGATATAAATATCTATTAAGTGAAATTGGAATCCCTAATTTATATCCCAAATACATTTTAATTGTCTTAGAATACCATGGTTAGTAAAATAAGTAAACAAAAAAGTGTATATGTGTTTGTATGTGTGTATTACAATTCCAGAATAAATCAAAGTTCAAGTTCTGCCCTTTTATATTTCCTTAAATATTATGGTACAGTACTTTACAAAGTAACACTGATTTCCCTTCAGTCCTGCTCTTTGGTGAGATGTTAATACTATATGGACATTGGAATAATTTTTCATCCTATTCCTCTTATTCTTGGAAATTTAGAAAAAAGTGTAAATGACCCAGTAGCCAACATCTAATCTAGATTTATATGCCACCAATAAGAGGGTCATTAGGCAAGTTTTGTCTTTCCACATTAATTCAGTTGGGAGTCCAAACTGATTTATTGATGTTACAAATTAGTCTTTCTTTTATATTAAAAAAAAAAATGATGTTCCTACTATATTCTAGACTGCTGCTGTTGCTCTTGCCAAAGCTGTTCATGAAAGATTTTTCATTGGTGTTATGGAACCTCAATTAATGCAAACGTGAGTAGCCTGTTTTCTTTTGAAAAAAACCGCATCACTGTGTCATGTTATTTTTGCCCACTGACTACCTGTTCATTGTGCTCAGTTCTGAGATGGGTATTCTCACATCCACTGCTCTGCTTCATCGCATCGTTCGGCAAGTGACCTCTGATGTTTTGCTTCAAGAAATGGTGTTTTTTATCCTTGGAGAACAGAGGGAACCAGAAACTCTGGCAGAAATCAGCAGACATCCTTTAAGGCATAGGTTAATTGAACATTGTGATCACATATCTGATGAGGTAAGCTACGTAATGATTTAGAATTGGACTTAGATTCTTTGAAATACGGTTTTAATGTATTATACTTCAGATATTTTCAATACAACCTCTTTTATTGGCTTTAGAAATTGAAAGCATGACTCACAAGATGGTAAGAAGAGTAACTTATGTAAAGACAT
The DNA here is from genome assembly GCF_000001405.40 of Homo sapiens. Taxonomy (NCBI): domain Eukaryota; kingdom Metazoa; phylum Chordata; class Mammalia; order Primates; family Hominidae; genus Homo; species Homo sapiens. Next base: position 114,846,526 of record NC_000010.11, read on the forward strand.
TTTTCAGTTAGCTTTTATCAATTTTGGTTTCAGATAAGCATAATGACATTACGAATGTTTGAACATCTTTTACAAAAACCCAATGAGCACATTCTTTACAACTTGGTCTTGAGAAATCTTGAAGAAAGAAATTATACAGAATATAAACCTTTGTGCCCAGAAGATAAAGATGTGGTAGAAAATGGATTGATAGCAGGAGCAGTGTAAGTTTCCATCCAACTCCGTGAGTTCAGCATTTCATGTAGAGATAGAACTTTCTCTCTCCTCTTATCTACCTCCCTTATCCTCAAAAGAAATACCTCTTACAGTTTAAAAGTTCTTAAAAGTAAAATTAGATGCATTGATACTACCATCCTTTTACATTACAAATAATATTGTGTATTCATTAGACCCAATAACAAAATAGTATAGAATGTTAATTTGCCTAGAAAATATACATAATTCCTTAATCCTTTATATTAGCAAAATTATGTAACATTTTCTAAGAACATAGCAGAGAATCTTTTGGTTTAGAAAATGTCATAATAAAATAGTGCTTTTTATGTGTCATTAAATTTAACTTAGAGATCTGGAAGAAGATCCATTATTTACTGACATTTCACCAGAAAACACTTTGCCAAACCAAGAGTGGCTTAGTTCTTCACCTCCTGCTACTCCAGACCACCCCAAAAATGATGGAAAAACTGAAGTTCATAAAATTGTAAATAGGTGAGTTGCTATATAAAATTTGACTTCCATCTCTCTTGTTTTTTGTTTTTGTTTATTAGTATTATTATTTTTTGAGATGGAGTCTTGCTCTGTTGCCCACGCTGGAGTGCAGTGGCACGATCTCTGCTCACTGCAACCTCCGCCTCCTGGGTTTAAGCGATTCTCCTGCCCCAGCCTCCCAAGTAGCTGGGATTACAGGCTCCTGCCACGTCACCCAGCTAATTTTTGTATTTTCAGTAGAGACAGGGTCTCACCATGTTGGTTAGGCTGGTCTCAAACTCCTGACCTCAAGTGATCGGCCCGCCTCGGCCTCCCAAAGTGTATAACATGTAAGAGCTCTGCTCTTAGGTGGTTACAGAAATCTCTTATGAACTTGATCTTCTTTAAAGATTATGTCAGTTTTTTGGTCTTGCTTATGTAACAAGTGCCAGGCTGCGGGCAACACTTGATACTAAGAGAAAAGCTCTACTTAATATTAACTGTGGTTAAATGAACCCTCAAAGTTCCCTCCCCCACCTTTTTTTTTTTTTTGAGACAGAGTCTCACTGTGTCGCCCAGGCTGGAGTGCAGTGGCATGATCCCTGCTCACTGCAACTTCCGTCTCCCGGGTTCAAGCGATTCTCCTGCCTCAGGCTCCTGAGTAGCTGGGATTACAGTCGCATGGCTACTACGACTTGACCTCCCAGAGTGCTGGGATTACAGGCATGAGCCACCATGCTGAGTCATCCCATTTTTAAAAAATATAAATGGTTTAATTTTAAGTAATTCCCAATTGTAACAACATTGAGAATTGCTGGTTTGATAAGATGTACTTATTAAACATGTGTGCTAAGTGTTGGGCTATTCCTTTTTGTTAGTTCGTGGTTTTATGTTTTTTTAAAAGTGCCCTTTTCTGTGGCAATTTTTTTTCTCTCTTTTGCTTCCCTTGCAGTGTTGTCACTGATATACCTGGTTCTGGCAGGTGATTTTAGAGAAAAATTGCATGTGGCTCAAGATGCAAAATTAGGGTACATAAAAATCTCAAGTTCAATTACTTAAAACCAGTTTCCTGAGATTAACAAATATCATGGCAGTCTGTCATTATACAGCAATCTGAAGAGGAAAAAAATGTCTTTCTTAGGCTTACTTCTATTTTAAGTGGAATTAGTCATTTTTAAAACCTTTAAAATAATGAGAATATTTAATCAATGAATTGTAAAACTTATCAGGAATTAACAACATATAATTTCATTTCTCGGGTTTCCATTTGTATTAATACTTAGCTGAACTTACGATATCACTAGATGCTTTAGTACTTATAAAGTTATTATTGAATTATGAGAGTATTGATTATGGTCTTTTTCACTTCTACTTTTTCCTTTTTTTTTTCATGCAAATGGACATCTTGCATAATTGTGGCCGTTTTCATTTAAGTTTTCTCTGTCTGGTACCGGATGACGCAAAATCCTCCTACCATGTTGAGGGCACAGGATATGACACTTACCTCCGAGACGCTCATAGGCAGGTAGGTGAAGTCACTAAATGTTGGAAATGAAATCTAAGAATAGACACATGCACACCCCTTGTCACACTGCCCACCACCACTGCTCCAAGGAAATGACTTCATTCTTATTAAAAATGAGACCTGGGCCGGGTGCAGTGTCTCACACCTGTAATCCCAGCACTTTGGGAGGCCGAAGCGGATGGATCACTTGAGGTCAGGAGTTCGAGACCAGCCTGGCCAACATGGTGAAACCCCGTCTCTACTAAAATACAAAAATTAGCCAGGCATGGTGACAGGCGCCTGTAGTCCCAGCTACTCAGGAGGCTGAGGCAGGAGAATCGCTTGAACCTGGGAGGTGGAGGTTGCAGTGAGCCAAGATCGTGCCTGGGCAAGAGAGCAAGACTCCATCTCAAAAAAAAAAAAAAAAAAAAAAAAAAAGACCTGGTCTCTGCTATAACTACTTTTGCTTTGTGCAAGTGACTTTAGTTTGCACTTCACCGATTGTGTGTCTCCATCTCAAGATTTCTTTGTGCTCTTTAATTTTTTCCCACTTTAAATTATATCTCACCCGGATCCATTTCTCCTACTGATCCAAAACATGATACCTTAATAATTCTACCCACCATGCACCCTTGATCCTCATACACAAGCCATTATCCTTTTCTCCTTCATTCTGATGCAGACAGTGATTCACAAGTATAGTCCCTCTGCTGCCCAGCTCTCACTCCTTCAGCCCCGGAATTTCACCTTTCTACCTCACTCAAACGACTTGCTCAAAGGTTTGCTTCTAAATTAAGGAGACTTTTCTCATTCTTCTTTCCTCTTTATAGCATTTTACATCGTAAGATTTTAAAAATTGTATTAAAAATTCCTCCTGCAAAGAAAACTTGTATTGAGATAAAATTCAACGTTTTAACTATTTTAAAGTGTACAATTTAATGTTTTTTAGTATATTCACAATGTTATGCAACCATCATCACTATCTAATGCCAGAAGATTGCTATCACCCCAGAAAGAAACCCGGTACAAATAAAGCAGTCACTTCATATTGACTTCTCCTCCCCGCCAACCCCCAGCCCTGGCAGCCGCTCATCTACTTTTTGTCTCTATGACTTTGCCTTTTCTTGACATTTCACAAAAATGGAATCATACTATATGTGACCTTTTCTGTCTGGCATTTTTTACTCAGTGTAAGGTCATGTTTTCAAGTTTCATTCAAGTTGAAGCATGCATCAGTACTTCCTTTTCTTTATGGCTGAATAATATTTTATTGTACGGATATTTTGTGTATCTGTCAGTTAATGGACATTTGGGTTGTTTCTAATTGTTGATTATTATGAATACTTATGCTGTGAATATTCCTTTTTTGTTGAATACGGGTTTTCCGTTTTCTTGGGTATATGCTTAGTAGTAAAATTGATGGGTCACGTGGTAATTCTATATTTAACTTTTTTGAGGAACTGCCAAACTGTTTTTCACAGTGGTGGCACCATTTTACATCACACCAGCAGTGTATAAGGGTTCCAAGTTCACCATTTCCTTGCCAATACTTACCATTATTCTTTTTAAATTTTAGCTACCCCAGGAGGTGTGAAGTGGTGTCTCCTAGTGGTTTTGATTTACATTTCCTTATGACTAATGATGTTGAGTACCTTTTCATATGCTTAGCAGATACTTGTACTCTTCTCTGAAGAATATTTAAATCCCGGCCAAGTGTGGTGTCTCACACCTGTAACCCCAGCACTTTGGGAGGCCAAGGTGGAAGGATCACTTGAAGCCAGAAATTTGAGACCAGGCTTCACAATCCCATTTTTACAAAAATTTTTTAAAAAAATTATCCGTGTGTGGTGGCATGCACCTGTAGTTCCAGCTATTGGGGAAGCTGAGGCAGGAGGACTGCTTGAGCTCAGAAGTTTAAGGCTACAGTGAGCTATGATGGTGACACTGCACTCCAGCCTGGGCAACAGAGCAAGACCCTGTCTCCAAAAAATAAAAAAAATTCCTTTGCCTGTGTTTTAATTGGGCTATTTGTCTTTTTATTGTTGAGTTGTAAGAGTCCCTTACATATTCTGCATAGTAGATCCTTATCAGATACATTATTTACAAACATTTTCTCCCATCTGGGAGTTGCCTTTTCACTTTCTTGATAGTGTCCTTCAACACACAAAAGTTCTTAATTTTGTTTTTTTGTTTGTTTGTTTGTTGTTGTTGTTTGGAGACAGAGTCGCGCTCTGTCATCCAGGCGGGAATGCAGTGGCATGATCTCGGCTCACTGCAACCTCCGCCTCCTGGGTTCAAGCAATCCTCCTGCCTCAGCCTCCCGAGTAGCTGGGATTACAGGCTTGTGCCACCATGCCAAACTAATTTTTGTATTTTTAGTAGAGATGGAGTTTCACCCTGTTGCCTAGGCTGATCTTGAACTCCTGGCCTCAAGTGATCTGCCCACCTTGGCCTCTCAAAGTGCTGGGATTACAGTTATGAGCCACTGCACCTGGCCAAAAGTTTTTAATTTTGATAAAGTGCAACTTAACTATTTTTTCTTCATGCTTTTTGTGCCGTACCTAAGAAATCATTGCCTAACCAAGATTACATAGATTTTCACCTAAGTCTCTTTCTAAGAGTTTCATAGTTTTAGTTTATCCATTTAGGTCTTTAATCTGTTTTGAGTTAATTATTGTATATAGTGTGAGGTGGGGTCCAGATTCATTTTTTTTACATGTAGACATCCAGTTGTCTCTGCAGCACTTAGTGAAAAGGGTATTTTCCGTGTATTGACTTTAAGTGTAAAGTTTATTTGAGGACTCTCAATTCTATTCCACTGACCTATGTACCTGTCCTTATCCCAGCACCACCCTGTCTCGGTTACTGCAGCTTTGCAGTAAGTTTTGAAATTGAGAAATATGAATCCTTCAACTTGCTTCTTTCTCAAAATTGTTTTGGCTATTTGGAGTCCCTTGTAATTCCATATGAATTTTAGGATTACTTTGTCCATTTCTGCAAAAAAAAAAAAAAAAAAAAAAGCAATTGAAATTTTTGTAAGGCTTACATTGAATTTGTAGATTGATTGGAGAAGTACAGCCATCCTAACAATATTAAGTTTTCCAATTCATGAACACCGGATGTTTTTCCATTTACTCAGGTTCTTTTTAGTGTTATTCAACAGAATTTCATAGTTTTCAGTGTACAAGTCTTGCACTTCCTTCATTAAATCTATTCCTAAGTATTTTATTCTTTATTGTAAGTGAAATTATTTTGTGAACTTCATTTTCTGATTGTTCTTTCCAAATGTAGAAATACTGCTGGTTTTGTGTATTGAGCGTCTATCCTGTAACTTCGCTGAACTCGTTTAAACCACCTCCCACCCCCCACCCCAGCCCTGCCATTTCAAACTTTCTCCTTTCTTAAGGCTTCTGCAGCATCATTCTTTGCTGCTGCTGCTTTTAGGTGTCAGGTGTCATTTTTACTCTGTCCACCATATTATGATGTGGCCAAAAAACCAAAAATATCTATCAATGGCCCTCTTTTCTATCTTCATTCCTTTGATATTCTTTTGGTTTAACATTCATTCTGTCATGAATTCTCTATCTGAGGTGTCCCCAAAGCTCTAGCCTCAGCCACTTAGGTGTTCTTCTAAGACCTCAGACTTTATCTTTCCAAAGCAGAACTTATGATTGATGCCTTTAAAACTGCATCTGCTCCTTTGTTTCCTGCTGTGGTCAGTGGCATATCCATCCTCCTGGTCATTCAAGGTTTGTATTTCAGAGTTGCCTGGGATTCATTCATCTTCTATTCTCCTTAGCCTCTAGTGTATTGCCAAGTTGTATCAGTTTTGCCCCTACTATATCTCTCCTGTCTGCCCCTTCTCCATTTTTGCTTTTTGCTTTCAGAATCCTAGTTTACATCTTTATTACCTCTGCCAGATTACAGTAGCCTCATAACTTGTTTCCTCAGCTTGTTCCTTCTGCTTAGAAGCCATTAACAGATTAATCTCATTGAAGTGTGGATCTGAGAACCCCTTCTTTATTAACTCATAAAGTATAAATACTTAGACATCAAATCTTAGAATTCAAGATCCTTTCGGATCAATTTTCCAGCCTGCTTTTCTATATTTCTTACTATGACTTTCACTTGCTATCCAAATATAACATTTACGTGCATTTATTGATGCTATTCTGTTTGCCTACAAGGTTCTCCTCTTATTTCTCACCCACCATCTGATATCTATATTTCTACACTGTCTTCAACATCCAGATTAAATGCCAGCTCGTGATTTATTCTTTTTACCCTCTTCCTCCTCTCCCTTCCCAACAGTAAAGGTAACTACTCGTCTTCATGCTCATGGCATTGTCTCTAATCTTTTGTGGTCCTTTGTGTTTTCTTTCTTGCCTTGGGGTTATAAGGTAATAGTCAGTCTCTTGAGGATAGGATTCATGCTTGATTTACCATTAAATCCCTCAAAATATGTAGCTTAGAGCTTTATACATTTTACAATATCAGTAACTATTTAGTATTTGTTGAATAAATAACCAGAATAAAATATTTCAAAATTTGAAAGAGAATTTTAAAATTTACATAGTCTAAATTTTAAAAATTCTCAAATCTGAAAAATGTACATTTAATTTGTATTTAAATTCTTTGTATTGAAGTATCCTATTATATATAACTAATCTGCATATGCACATAGTTAATTCATAATACTTTAAGTCCACATTAGTACATGAATTTGTCTGCATTAATACATGAATAAATTAATGGAGTAGCAAGTAACATTCAAATAACAATAAAGTAAAGACAATAAAAGTAAAATATATCTTTTGGCAGTACCGATTGGATTTTTAAACTGCTTTTATTCTTTCTGTAAAGTTTCATTTCCATTTTGTGATTACAAATGCAGTTACAATTGTTTCAGAAATATTAGAAAAACCAAAAGCTATAAGAAATTATAAGTCAGAATATAAGAAGTGTTAATGTAAAAATGATTTCTTAAAAATTGAGATTTGGGCCAGGCGCGGTGGCTCATGCCTGTAATCCTAGCACTTTGGGAGGCCGAGGCGGGCAGATCACTTGAGGTCAGGAGCTGGAGACCAGCCTGGCCAACATGGTGAAACCCCATCTCTACTAAAAATACAAAAATTAGCTGGACCTGGTGGCTCATGCCACTGCACCCGACCATTTTCTGTTTTAATTTCAGGTAATTTCTAAACTAGAGAAGTCAAAGTAATTTTGCTTTATTAAATAAGGAGAATCTGAAGAGGGAAGGAATATAGAAGAAAACAGTGCTTTAAATTTCTTTTGTTTCAATTCAAGTAAATTACATATTGGGGGAGACTTTTAAAATTCATTTTTATTATATGAAATAATCTTGTGCTTATAAATATTCACACTGTTTCACTGATAACTATCTGTAGTGAAAGACCAGGGTTTTTTTTTTTTTTTTTATTTCCAATCTGTCACAGACCAACACTTTTGTAAAATGCAATAAAAATGAATTCCTGGCCAGGTGTGGTGGCTCATGCCTGTAATCCCAGCACTTTGGGAGGCCAAAGCAGGCAGATCACGTGAGGTCAGGAATTCGAGACCAGCCTGACCAACACGGAGAAACCCCATCTCTACTAAAAATACAAAATTAACCAGGCGTGGTGGCACATGCCTGTAATTCCAGCTACTTGGGAGGCTGAGGCAGGAGAATCGCTTGAACCTGGGAGGCGGAGGTTGTGGTGAGCCGAGATTGTGCCATTGCACTCCATCCTGGGCAACAAGAGCAAAACTCCATCTCAAAAAAAAAAAGAATTCCTATTGTAGAAAAATGAAGAGAAAAAAAGACACAAAATACAAACCCTGATTATTTCATAGTTAGATTCAACAGACATAAAACTCTTCATAGTCAAATTGTTAGGAACGTTTTTAAGTGCTTGCTCTTGCTTTTTGTCCTCATCTCATTGTGGACGGTAGTGAACACTTTGAGGACCAGCACTGGTCGATGGACCACCTTTGAGTAGCACTGTTTGATCCTATCATAACATCATGCCTAGTGTGCTAGTTTGCATCCATTCTAGGAATGGCAGGCTTGTCTTCTCAAATAACATGTATCAGTTCATCTGTGGTATATACCATTTTAGAATAAATTTGAAAACTTGGCTAGGTCTGACTTTGCTTTTTAAATGTCCTCTAAATCGGTGATGAAAGTAACTAAAGAGTTAAATTCCTTTAAAGGAAAGAGCTGTTAGGGGTATTTTAGTAAAGTTAAAATATGTCTCTTTTTCATCAGCTTATATTGGTAGCAGCAGTTAATATAATCTTACCTGTGCCCCTAGTCACAGAAAGATCTGAGTCATCTCTTCCCCCTCTCCCTTGGCACCTGAAGCATAGCAGACATTCTGCATTCAAATGGTTTTTTATATGCCTATTTAATGAAATCATTTCTATTTCATCTTAATTTGTTTTTGTTCTTTAATGATTCACATGCTTTTTTCCCCCTAGTTCCGAGACTACTGTGCTATCTGCTTAAGATGGGAGTGGCCTGGGTCTCCAAAAGCATTGGAAAAGTGCAATTTAGAAGCTGCTTTCTTTGAAGGTCATTTTTTGAAAGTGCTGTTCGACAGAATGGGAAGAATTCTTGATCAGGTAATACATTTTAAAATACTAATTTTCATATTTTTTTTTGCCATTCACCACAGAATCATCTCAAGTCTTAGTAGATCTTCAATAAAGTACTTTTATTGTTTTCTTACTTTTTCCACTGGATGACTTTTTCATGAAGCTTGATTGCCAACAACTGGCAGATTTCTGATGCATTCTGTATGTTAAAAACATTTATTTGGCCTGACAGCTGCTTGTTTATTTTACTTCTCATGATAGGCCATTGTCTTAATATCCTTAACACATTTTGGAGATGATTAGGACTGCTTTTCTTTTATGACTTGCTTAGCCTTTTAGTTAGTACATTTAGTACAAATACAGATGCTCAATTTGGAAGACCTTAAATGTCATTTCAGATTGAATCTTGAACACTGGTCTCAGTAAAATCACAGAATAGTGTTAGATGAACCTGGCTCTTTAGACAAAGCTTGTAAACGATACTCATTTTCATAAGGGAGAGGTGAAATAGAAAAGGTTAATGTACTCCTTTAAAGGTGGATAAAAATCACCATCAGCTGATAAGTTGCTATGTACATCTCATCTGACTGTTAGGAGAAATAAATTTGGGATTATGGAATCCCTCCTTCCATCTCTCATTGGCTCATAAGCTTAGTGATGAGAGAGCTTTGAAATGCTTGACTCATTAGAATCTAAACCTGAAAGAACACAACTAGCATAGTACTTTCCTCAGTGTGGAAACTGAGTGGACCAATTTGGAATTAATTTTCAACTGTATGTTAAAGTACGTGTTCTTTTTTTAGCATTTTAGTTAAATATTTATGTGAGCATAGGGAGTTGTAAAAGAAATTTACTAAGTAGGCTGTCTTCAGTAACTAGAAAGTCAAATAAAGAAATTGTAATCTAAGAAGTATTTCACTATGTTAGAGTTTAGTCAGCGTTGTTTCTGACGGTAATCTCTATAAGAGACCAGGTCCTTTTTTTTTTCTTTTTTAACCTCTTAATAGCATTCGCTGTATTTCTAGTGTTGCTTGGTTGGTCGTTTTAAACCTGACAACCAAAGTATAAAAATCTGGCTATTAATAGGTATTGTGGCCTCACCTCATGGCTGTGTAAACCTCCTGGGTAGCCAGGATGCATCAGTTTATTGTGGTTTGTTTTTTGTTTTTGTTTTTGAGCCAGTTTGCTAGGCGTAGTTTAAATCAAGCTTGTTGCTTGATTAAGCTAACAAGCAAGAGGTAATAACAATGAGTATCAAGACAGTAATGTTTAGGAATTTTGACCGAAAGTACTAAAAAGGAATCTAAATTTTAAAAAGTAGTTTCTGAATTGAAAGATCTACCCTGAATCTTCAACCTTGAGCACTTTTTCTCTAGTTTGTGGAGTGCTGGCACAAAAGGATACATTGAAAACAGAATATCTGAAATACTTAAAATACTTTTCAATTTCACCAGATAGCACTTCATAGCACAGCGCTGATTCATAGACTGTTTCAGTCATTCTTCCTGTAACCGTGTATCATAGGCAAGAGAGATTTCTAGTATTATTTTACAAATGAGGAATCTTTGGTTTCAGTTATGTGACTTACAGCTGGTAAGCTATGGAGCCCCGTCTGAAACCTTTTATCTTTAAAACTCTTGAGCCGGGTGCAACTGTAGTCCCAGCTACTCAGGAGTCTGAGGCAGGAGGATTGCTTGACCCCAGGAGTTCAAGGCTGTAGGGCGCTATGATTGTGCCTAAGGATAGCCACTGCACACTAGCCTAGGCAACATAGTGAGACCCCGTCTCTAAAACAAAATTAAAACACAAACAAAAAAAAAACCCTTGATTTTCAAAGCCTTTTGGGTAAGAACGTGGTATAGTCTGATCTCAGAGATAAAACACAAGTCCTAGAAAGCTAAGCATTTTTGGCCTAGTTTTACTTTCTTTCCTAAACATTTTTGCCGGAAGTGATACTTGCTTGTAGTTTCTTTTTTTTCTTTCTCTCCCTATTTCTTCTTCTTTTTTTTTTTTCTGAGACCGAGTCTCGCTCTGTCACCCAGGCTGGAATGCAGTGGTGTGATCTTGGCTCATTGCAACCTCTCCCTCCCGGCTCAAGCGATTCTCCCGTCTCAGCGTCCTGAGTAGCTGGGATCACAGGTGCACACCACCACGCCTGGCAAATTTTTGTATTTTTAATAGAGATGGGGTTTCACCATATTGCTCAGGCTGGTCTTGAACTCCTGACCTCAGGTGATCCACCTGCCTCGGCCTCCCAAAGTCCTGGGATTACAGGCATGAACCACCACGCCTGGCCTTCTTCTTTCTTCTTTTTTCTTTTTCTTTTGTTTTTCTCTTTGCAGGGCATTTTCTTAGTATAGATTCCTAATAGGGTCTAGGTAACTTGACTGAGATTAAAAATTTAATATGAATAGTTTGGCAAGTGGCTAATGTCTTCATGCATAATTGAGAACTTACAGTATCAAGTATTCATAACACTATTGTGTTATCACAATGCTAATTTGAAAAAATTCATAATACAAACATTTACTATTGTTTGTAACGGTGGTGATTTTAAAAAGATAGTAAAATACTAAAGCCCATAGCAGAATGTAAAGAACACTGGGAACATTGTAAGGAGGCCAAATCTTGTCCCTGCCCTGAGCATGATGAGTTTGAATTTGATCAAGTAACTTAGCTACTTGTCACATTTTCTAATTGTTAAAGTGAAGTTGATATTACTTTTTTAAGTCAAAGTTTATTATCTCAAAATTTGAGTTCAGTCCAAAAACATGGGCCAAGTCCATTTGTCATGTCAGAGAAATCTGGCTTGCTTTCCTTTCAGGTAAATACTGTATAAAGTATAAAATAAAGGGACCTCAAGTAATAGATATAAACACTTAACTACCAACAACTTCCAAAAAGGCTAGCTTGTTTTAAAGTTATTACCAATAGGAAGTAGAGACCATTTCAGAGTACAGTGAAACAAGTTTATCTTGTTGAAATTTATTTTCATTTTTACTACGTTGAGAAATAATCTGTGTCAGCCTTAAATTTCTTAAGCAACCTATGACCTACATTTATGTTAAAATAAACTACAAACCAAGGTAACACCACACAGAGAAAATACAAAGTCTAAATAGTAATGTATTTGTTTAAAGCCAAATTGTACTGATTTATTTATTTAAGCACCTGCAGATGGCGAAATTTAGTGACCTAAAAATCTTAACTACCTGCAGTGAAGAGTCATGTACAATTCTGGACTTAAGTTGTATTTTAAATTTTTTCTACTTTTTTTTTTTTTTTACTAAATGCATTCTTTTAAATTATTTTTTGTAAATGATTCCTTCATACCTAAAATACAATTTAATGTGAATTCATTGTTTATTATGAGTTGAGTCTCAGAGAAGGCTATTCTGTTGCAAATATTATCAAGGGAGGAGGAATGGAGAGAAGTTGGTTAATGAGTCCAAAAGTACAGTTAGAAGAAATAAGTTCTAGTATTCAGTAGTACAGTAGGGAAATTAGTTAACAAAAACGTATTGTATATTTCAAAGGAGCTAGAAGAGAACTGTGATGTTCCCAACACGAAGAAAAGATAAATGCTGGAGGTGATGGATGTCCCAGTTACCCTAATTTGGTCATTACACATTACACATTGTGAAATGTATCAAAATATCACATGGACCCCCCCCAAAATAGGTACAATTATGCTATATCAATAAAAAATACCCAAAGCCCCCAAGTATTACCAAGTAGGAGAATTTACTCTTAAACTATCCTTTACTGGGAATACATATTTCCTTTCAATTACCTTGCTTACAGCTAGGTTTTGAAAAAAAATAATAAATGACTTGGAGCAGTTTTTAATTCTTTAAAAAAATCCATGTTCATGAATCTAGTAGTAAGTTAGAAAGACTAAAATGGGCCTTACAGCATAGGACTTGAGAGTTTCTGTTTATGTAACAAAACATGTTCATCGTAGCGTCTGTAGCTGTGGTGATTTTCAAAAGATAGTAAAATGCCGAAGTCTGTAGCAGAACTGGCGTGTGCCCGAGCATTCTCCACTGAATGCCAGAGATTGACTTCCTCATTGCTATTCACTGTGATCAAGGCTTTGCAGGTTGTTCAGTGGCTGAGAGTGAAACATTCCGCTGTGCTGGCTGATGTTGCACTTGGTCCTGACTCCCTCTTCCCTCCACTGTGCTGCAGTGTCTGTCTCACTCTTGCCACCTGGGTTCTCTGCAGCCTCCTCACTGTAGTTAGTTTTGTTGCAACCAATCCGTTTCCTTTGGCTGCTTAGAAGAAGCAAACTGGAAGGGGTGAGAAGTTTCTATTGAAAGTTCTGAGCAAGTAGTAGCAACTCCTTGTGTAGTGTGCCTTTTGCTTTGTTGACATGACTCTGTAAAGCCCCTTTCTGTGAAGAATAAACAGACAATTAGAATTCAAGTAAAATCACGATATTACATGTAAAACAAGTGTGAGGAACTGTACACAGATATACAGTTGTTTGGAGAAAGTTAATACTCATGCAAGAAATGAGATGATCCCTCTCTGTAATCACCATTTTGAACCTTCTCATCCACTTTGAGGCATAGGGTCGTCATCAGTTCTATCCCCAAGTACTTTCATTTCATTCTGGTGACAAGGTTCTGTGATTCGACTTTATTTTACTGTATGTGTTTTTGGGAATTGGCAGTAGTTGAATAATCTGAGGTGAGGAATATCACTTCTAAAATTACTATATTTAAAAAGGTGTAATATCTTCCCATCTTGTTTTTTGGTCTTATGCTCAATGGGTCCTCTGTAATTAATATTATATATGACACACTGGTGCTTTTTTATGACCCCTTGAACAATTTCATTAATTGAATCAACCTGCATAAAATAAACATTCTGACTCTGTCACATATTTGTCTTTATATGTTTATATATTTTTTAAATCTTTAAAGTTTTAGGCCTGCAATATATGTAATTTGAGATGATGAGAGCTAGTTTAGTTGTAGATATTTTCATTGCAGAAGAGCATGCGCAGCAGGGAGGAAGATGGTGGATTCTGCTTTCTTTTTTTTTGTTTGAGACAGAGTTTCGCTCTTGTTGCCCAGGCTGGAGTGCAGTGGCGTGATCTCGGCCCACTGCAACCTCCACCTCCTGGGTTCAAGCAGTTCTCTTGCCTCAGCCTCCCAAGTAGCTGGGATTACAGGCATGTGCCACCACACCGGGCTAATTTTGTATTTTGAGTAGAGACGGGGTTTCTCCATGTTGGTCAGGCTGGTCTCGAACTCCCAACCTCAGGTGATCCGCCCGCCTCAGCCTCCCAAAGTACTGGGATTACAGGTGTGAGCCACTGGGCCTGGCCAGATTCTCCTTTCTTAAAAGAACAAATTGAAATAGTAAATTAAGCACACCGGTATACATTATTTTTAAATGTCTTTCTGTTTTTTATCTCTCCATAGCCATATGATGTAAACTTACAAGTAACCTCAGTGTTATCTAGACTTTCTCTCTTCCCTCATCCACACATCCACGAGTACCTTTTGGATCCTTACGTGAACCTCGCTCCTGGCTGTAGATCTCTCTTCTCTGTAATTGTCAGGGTGAGTTACTAGTTCTGTTATATTCCCTAGGATTGATAAATCTGTGCAATTAATATGTTAATATCATTGTATGCAGTTAGTGTCACATAATGAAAAATATATCTACTGCTTAAAAGTAATTATTATACATTCTGAACTACTATTTTTTCAATTATTTTAAATAATATGTAACTTTTATTTTAAAGAATTAGGTATGAGTCCTTGGTTAAAGATGATTATATGAGTAGTGAAAGTTTACGTTCTTTATTAAATAGTAGGGAAGGAAGATTTTTCTTTTTAGATCCTGAGGTTGTCTGTGTAGCTGATTTCAGGAACTGAAGTGCCTTGCCTCTGTGATGCAGGTTGTTGGAGACCTTATGCTTCGAATCCAGCGTATTCAAGACTTTACTCCCAAGCTTCTGTTAGTCAGAAAGCGGTTACTTGGTTTGGAACCTGAAGGCCCTATGTAAGTTAGTGTTTTACATTTTTTTAATCCAAAAATTTCAGTGAACTTAATGATCGGCTGCTATCTTGAATTGATTTATTGTCTGTTTTTTCCTTACCAGTATTGACCACATCACACTGCTAGAGGGTGTGATTGTGTTAGAAGAGTTCTGTAAGGAGCTGGCGGCAATCGCATTTGTAAAATATCATGCTTCCTCCACACCATAAATAACATCTTTCATGTAACTGGGGGAACAGAACTACTGTGTACATTTCACCAAAAAAGACTCAGTTCCACCCAGCCACAAGAGGATAAAAAGCCTTTTTAAACGCAGTATTGCTGTAAACTGGACAGAACCATTAAGAACCTATTGAGTGGACATTCTTGGTGAAATGTTGTATAATGTTGTTTTCATTGGCTTTATCATAATGGTTCTATATATACAATTGCACATTGTTGAATCCAGGATACAATCAAAGGAACTTCAGGAAATAAGCATTTCTAATGACTGTGAAAAGCTGCAATATTTCCAATGTCATGACTTTGATGATATTTCTGTTATATTAATGTCCTTTTAGGTAGCAAGGCATTTTGACATTCTCTGGGACTCAAATGCTTGTATTCTTTTGGATTAATAAGTAGCAAAAAAAAATCACTAATTTTATAACTTTTTAAGGTCAGAATTCTTATCAAACAAAATATGAAAACTGTAAATGAGAAAAAAATACAATTCAGAAACCATTGAATGAATTAATTATAGGCGATAAAAATGTGTAGAGCACCATTAACTTTCTTCAGCTTTTTTAAGAATAACAATTTAATATGATAAATTCTTGATTAATATAATATATCTATATTTTTAAAGAAATGTTCTTTTACTCTTTTGTGCACATAGCCATGTTAGTGATTTTCTTCATGTGTGGGTCCCAGTTTATTTAAACTGTGTCGTTTTCGCAGCAGTGTTCAATTTGCTCACCATTGGTAGTGTTTGCTAAAATTGTATTTTTTTAAGCTAAGTAACATGTACTGGGTTGAGAACCTTTTTCCCCCCTCTCCCTCTCAGAAAATTGCTTTATAAAATTGCTTTATAATTTGATTTTCTTACTGAAACGCATGGTGGTGTCTAGGTGGGGAACTGACTGATAACCCTTGGCAGCAATCAAAGTGCCAGTGGCTCCTCGATGTTTACATTTTTTTCTATTTTGTTCAGTCTTTTGTTTTAAATGATTCTAAAGAGATTAAAGAAAACAGAGTTTTAAATGTCCTATTTACATGTTAAAGGATTTGGGGAAATTGGGTATGTATGTGAATGGGTGTACATGTAGGAACCTGTAGTTCAGCAAAGCTGCGCTGGGCACAGCATGCTTGTACTTGATTGACAAAATCGTGTTTGCCAGTCCACTTTCTATTTTTCCTTTAAGTGATGCTGATCACTCAAATAATGCTTTTAAGCTATTGTTTGTTTTTATTTGACATGTTAAGCCGCAGCACTTTCTTCTTCATCTTTCCATTTACTGATATTTGGGGGAACAGGCTATCAAAGGTTCCGGCTTGAAGGGAACTGTCACTACCCCCTCTAGGAAGTTATTTTATGTAGCATGTTTGCATATACGCATTGTGTGGCATGTGCATAGAGGCTTGTTTTACACCTATCTGCTCATTTTGTTGTGTTAGCTTTTCTGGTTTATTTCATAGTTTGTTCTTGCTATTTATTAAGAACAGAATATCAAAAGATTATGAATAGCCTCAGCTCTAGAATGCTTACCACTGTTAAAACAACAAAAAGACTAAACCTCTAATTTCATGCAAATCTTTGTTAGCTTATTCTAAGAAATTTATTAAGTAAAACAAAGAAAAAACAGAAGTGGGAGATAGTTATTTTGTGCGTAATTTTCTTTAAATCATTTTGAATGATGTGAAGGCATTCAGTTTGCTGTATTTTTTTAATCACTTCATACAAGGAAAACTTCGACATTTACATTTCTAGATGTAGTAACAGTCTACTTTGATATATGAGTATTTAAACTAAGGCATTAAGAGATATTAGATATTTCTTAATGTTTTCATAGTGCTCAATAGGTGTAGTAGCAATGATATTACCTCTGAAACCAAATACTCTTTTATCCTTGATTCCACTATGGGACCTTATAACTAGTCCATGAAACCAAGCTCAGAAAAGCTTTAACTCTTATATTTGTGTATATGTATGCTGCTTCTGAAAATATAATTTTTCTAAGTTGTTGTAATGACTTTAATTTGTAATCAGCTAAGGCTTAAGATTTCATTTGTTTCTAAGTTTCTGTTTTTCATCCCTTCTTTTTTCTTTTATATTTAGTTCAGACCTAGAGCCAGTAGAAGCTCTCACAGTGAGTTCAATTTGTTAGTGAAACATTGTACTGCATCACCAGTTTTTCTTACCTTCTGTTGACAGCTGAATATTTCTGTTACTCAGTACTTGCAAAAACAGTAACTAAAATGCACTATGCTGAGTGGAAAGCACCGTCATAACAATTGATTGCCATAGCAAGTTCCAAAGTGAATTTCAGCCTTGCTTCACATTTGTATCAATAAATATGCACATTTTTTAAAACTTTCTAACAATATAGTCTTTGGATTTGTTTTTAGTTATGAGCCGCATTCTTTACTTGATAGAACTCAGATTTGTCTTAGCCTATTGCCATATAGTACTCACCTTATAACTATGTAACTTTCTCGTAATGTATCTGTTTGTGCAATATGGAAGCTGTGAGTGGATTCATAGCTTTTTGGTTTAATTGTACATTATTGTGTGTGTATATATGTATATATGTATATATATAAGGACCAAAATTCTTAGCTCGCTTACACTGTTGCTAGTGTAAACATTGTTACACTTAATTTTACAGGGCACAAATTATGGAATTACTTCATAAATTCATGGTAATGTTTTCATAAATTATTGCATTAACATACAATTGCCATTTAATTATGAAGTCCATCAGTATTGACAGAAGACGTTACAGTGAAGTGCTAAAACCACACTATATGGTAATTATATTTTGGGTTATGTAGTAAATCAAATATGCATGTCATTGTGACACTTTATGTGTTAAAACATGGTAGATAATCACATTTTCTGGGCCCTGTAAAATAGTGTTACTGTAATACTCTGTTTTGCCTCCTGCCTTGTTTACATTAAACAGGATATTTGGTAAATTTTTTTGTATTGAAAGTTGTGTAGGTTACTGACAGTGTTACCAGCGTCTGGAATTCTTGGTCCCTCCGTGGAGAAACTCTTCAGATGGTCATTGTGTACCTACTCTCTCTTCAAAGGAAGTTGTGATCAAGTTCAACTTTTTGTGCTAACAATGCATGCAGGACTAAGAGGGATGATCTAAAAAATAAATAATGTAATTTAAACAAAACGTCTTATGTTTTTGTAAAATTCTAATTGGGAACATTTTATCCAATGATAAATCTCAAACAATTTTTAACTTTTTGCACCCCCAGCACACAAAGGGATATGGCACCCTACAATCAGTGGGTCTCTATAGTATTCTAGGGAGAGAACAAAAAGCAATGTATCTATTTGTGGAGGAGAGATGTGTAGCTTGAAAAATTCCCCCAGGAAAACCTCCACTTCCCTTCTTAATAATCACTGCCCAAAAGGAAGGAATGTTTATGCACGTCTCAAAAACAATTTTTTTTTTTTTGAGGCAGAGTCTCGCTCTGTTCCCCAGGCTGGAATGCAATGGCATGATCTCAGCTCACTGCAACCTCCGCCCCCTGGGTTCAAGTGATTCTCCTGCCCCAGCCTCCTGAGTAGCTGGGATTACAGGTGCCTGCCACCATGTCTAGCTAATTTTTATATTTTTAGTAGAGACGGGGTTTTACCATGTTGATCAGGCTGGTCTTGAACCTCTGACCTCAGGTGATCCACCTGCCTCGGCCTCCCAAAGTGCTGGGATTACAGGTGTGAGCCACCGCGCCTGGCCCAGAAAAACAATTTATTCTAAGCATTATTTCTTAGTATTTTTCTAACATATATAAAAACTTTTCTTTTTAGCTGACACTTAAAACAATTAGACTCTAGACTTACCCTGTTCACTTGAGTATTTGCCAGAGGTTCTGAATTGGAAACAAACATGTAATACACAGCACAGCCAGAAAGAGAAAAATCCAGTGATTAATCCCAACTACCCGAAGATTCTTTTCAAAATCACTTTAGACGGAAATAAAGATGATAGGTTGAAAGGATGGAAGAGGCAAGGTTTAGACATTGAAGAGTTGAAATCACCCTCCTTGCCCTTCAAAAGAAGCTACTTCAAAAGAAAACTGTGTTTTGGGAATGCATAATTGGATCCCCAGTCCAAAACCTGCTTCAAACTGTTAAGAATTTAGCAGTGTTTTAGCTGGAAAACTAGTAATCCCAAGGGAATTTAAAGAATTAACATAAAACTGTAAAAGTTGAAGTTTTGCTAGAGTAACTCTCAAGTAAAATCTATACCTCTTTTCAAAAAAAAAAAAATAGATATAAGCAAGCAGAAACACTGCATGTGAGTTTGTTTAATGCTGAATGATGCAGAAGAAATGGAGTGTTTTATAGTTGTTCTTATGGCAATAAAGTTGTCACCTAGGGACTACCTTGCAGAAAGTCAGTTTTTCTGTTTGTTTGTTTTTTTTAATTTATTTTATGTTCCGGGATACACATGCAGGATGTGCAGATTTGTTATATAGGTAAACGTGTGCCATGGTGGTTTGCTGCACCTATCAACCCATCACCCAGGTATTAAGCCCCACATGCATTAGCTATTTTTCCTGATGCTCTCCCTCCCCACCCCGCCCCCAGCACAGGCCCCAGTGTGTGTTGTTTCCCGCCCTATGTCATTGTTCAGCTCCTACTTATAAGTGAGAACATACAGTGTTTGGTTTTCTGTTCCTGCGTTAGTTTGCTAAGAATAATGGCCTCCAGCTCTATCCATGTCCCTGCAAAGGACATGATCTCCTTCCTTTTTATGACTGCATAGTATTCCACGGTGTATATACACTACATTTTCTTTATCCAGTCTATCATTGATGGGCATTTGGGTTGATTACAGAAAATCAGTTTTTAACTTTATTTGGTAATATACCCCACTACCCACCTCAGAGAGATCCATCTAAGCCTGTTTCATTCACACTCACTACTCATTGATTGGACTATTGTGGGCATTAGAAATTTCTCTGTTATATCATTTCTAAAAATGTATCAGAAATAGGACATCCACAAACCAAACAAGAATTTTGTTTATTTAACACATATTTCTCAAGAACTTTCTATGAACCAGGTATTAAGGTGCTAGGAACACAAAAAAATGATTTCGGCCCTAAAGAAGTCAGTCTTGGTGTGGTGTTTACAAAAATAAATTATAGTGCACACTGGTGAACACTGTTAGAGAAACGAGACCCAAATGGTGTGAGCCCCAGGGAAAGGAAGTAAGATGGCAAATCATCTAAACAGGAAGATCTGAAACTCAAGCCTTGCCTGAATATTCTTACTTTTAAGTATGTTATATATGTATTATTCTTACTTTTGGGTTATAGTCTTACTTTTGAGATATGCCAGATAGTCTCAGAAGTTATAACCAGAACAGACGCCGGGCGCGGTAGCTCACGCCTGTAATCCTAGCACTTTGGGAGGCTGAGGCAGGCAGATTACTTGAGGTCAGGAGTTTGAGACCAGTCTGGCCAATATGGTGAAACTCCATCTCTACTAAAACTACAAAACTTAGCCAGGCATGGTGGCACGTGCCTGTAATCCCAGATGCTCTGGAGGCTGAGGCAGGAGAATCGCTTGAACTGGGGAGGCGGAGGTTTCAGTGAGCAGAGATCACGCCACTGCACTCCAGTCTGGGCAACAGAGTGAGACTCCATCTCAAAAAAAAAAAAAAAGAAGTTATAATCACAACAGAGTCAACCTAGCAAGAAACTTCTGCATCCTATTGTATTTGCCATGCTTAACTGTGGCCTTTCACTTCATTCTGATGTTGGTATAAAGCACTAGCCCAAAGAACAGTGCTTTGGGCCCATATTTTCTCAGCTGATGAATAGCAATTAGCTTGTGATTTATGATCTCTTTCTAAGACTATTGTATAGTGAGAAGGCACATAGTCAACTGAAATACTAAAACCAAAAGATTAAATTGGACTTTTAAAATGACCCAAAGATTAGGGGTAAGATTTGGTTCAGCTAAAGCATTTGTAGAACCATGCCTTTCTCCTTACTTTTAACTCAGTACTCTTTTGACAGCGTTCTTTATTGTCTCCTGGTTTGGGGCACAAAGCAGCTTGCATATCCAATTAAGAGAGAACCAACCTAGGCTGATGGAGATGGTGGAGATGAATTCAGAAGCCACGTGCCAGATGTGCATGGAGAGATAGGATGTGTAGACCTCCACTGGGTTATCATCCCACAACTCCCCCCCATTCCTGAAATCTAAGCCTGGAGTCAGGCTAGAAGGCAGGTGGACAGGCCAGAGCTCACTCCTGCCAGGGAGCAAGATCAAGAGACTTCTGCTGCCTTCATACCTAGTCTTCTTGAGGTGGCTTCAAGGAATTACCTGATTTCCCAAGTATGAGTCTAAGGAGTTAAAATTCAGTGTGCTTTATAATTTTTTTTTTTTTTTTTTGAGACAGGGTCTTGCTCTGTCACCCAGGCTGGAGTGCGGTGGCACTATCAGCTCACTGCAGCCTCAACTCAAGCAATCCTGCCTCAGCCTCCTGAGTAGTTGGGATTACAGGCAGGTGCCACCATGGCCAGCTATTTTTATTTTTGTAGAGATACAGTCTCACTATATTGCCCAGGCTTATGATTTTATATGATGACCTTCCTCTTCTCTCTAGTTCAGGGGTCCCCCAACCCCCGGGCCACAGACCAGTACCAGTCCGTGGCCGGTTGGGAACTGGGCTGCATAGCAGGAGGTGAGTGGCAGGCGACCACCTGAGCTCTGCCTCCTGTCAGATCAGCAGCAACATTCAATTCTCGTAGGAGCACCA
Organism: Homo sapiens; assembly: GCF_000001405.40. Lineage (NCBI taxonomy): Eukaryota > Metazoa > Chordata > Mammalia > Primates > Hominidae > Homo > Homo sapiens. Next base: position 114,868,327 of record NC_000010.11, read on the forward strand.
ACCCTACTGTGAACTTGCATGCGGGGATCTAGGTTGTACGCTCCTTATAAAAATCTAACTAATGCCTGGTGGATCTCAGGTGGAACAGTTGCATCCCGAAATCATCCCCAAGTCTGTGCAAAAATTGTTTTTCATGAAACCAGTCCCTGGTGCCAAAGAGGTTGGGGACCACTGCTCTAGTTGGACTAGTCAATATATTGAGGAACTGACAGGGAGTCTTTAAAAAAAAGTGGGGGGAATATATATATATTTTAAATATTAGGTAATACTTTAGACTTCTCTTGATTGAAGAACCACAACCTTACATGAAGGTAAAACCCCTAGCAGACTGCCAGAAATCTAAATACCACCATGGGTCACTTTGCTCTTATATCAGAGGGGAGAGTAAGGGGAAAGGGAAGATATCCTTTGAATTTTGTAGCTGTAAGTTCATAATGGTACCCATGTTGTGATGTGCATTCATTTGCATCGTGATCACACTATTAATTTCTTCCAATGATGTGCTAAAGTTGTCCGGGATGGTATTCAGTTTAGAGGATCCAAACAAGCCAGGAACATGACCTGGGTCTGACAGCCACTCTTTTTCAAGGCTGAGAACTATAATCATAATTGCAAGCTGAAGAGCTAGATGTGGTTCAGAAAAAAGAACAAGAGACACACCCAGCCTGTGAGATTAGGCAAGACAAGCAAAAGCATCTCCAAGGCTGTTATTGCCTCAGGCCTGTGATTTATGAGTAAGGAATCATAAAATCAATTTTACTATAATGCAGAAAGATGAGATGACATACAAATTCACTATACTCTGGATAAAGCTATATTTCAAATCCCTGAAGATGAGACTCATTTATATAATAACATGAGAAATGTATTCCTTATTCCACTCACAAGTAGAATAGCATGTAGGGTTTTAATTGATTAGATTTCCCAAGAGAGCCATGTACTGGAGATTTCTAGGGGAGAAACAAATTAGCCATTCCTTAAACATTATTTTTCCATGTTTAAAGTATGCTCTTCTACTTAAATCTCTTTATCCTGTTGCTCTTATCAACAATGTAGCAAGTCACAGAGCATTTATGGTTCTATATTCTTTGTGGGCTGCTTCAATTCTTTGTCCTGTGATCTTTATTTCCATTTTGTTTTAGAAATGATTAGAAAATAGACCATCATTTTCTTAAGCTGCGTTGGTGTTGGGCTCCCACAGAAATGGAATTGAGAAGAAAACACCTACTTTTAAAATAAAATATTACCTCATTAGTAATGTAGCTTGGACTCCTTGACAACAAACAGGTTCCATTTCATAAAGACTTACATTTTCCATAAAATGATCCAATGTCATGCAGCTTCAAGTAAGCCTTTCTCTGAAAATACTGTTGGCAACAGTACATATGACTCATTGGAATTTGGGTTCAAAACCACATCCTAAAAATAATAAAAGCTATAAATGCAAACGTGCATAGCAATTTCTGGGTGTTTTTCTTTGGAATTTGACATTGAAATAAAAATAATTTTGCACAGTTCTTAATGGTTGGAGTCTTTTCATGCATAGCATATAATATAATTTATATTCATTGAGCTGAGTATTTCAAAGAAATTAGTCAGAAATTGCTGATATACATCTTGCGAAGTAGTGTTGCTCATTATCATTTTCATTTCAATGGAAAGGAAAAGACTAGGGAAGTGTAATTAATTTGACATAGATAATTCTGGGCTGAGCATTTTAATATCAACACCATTTTAAGGCCATTATTAAAATTTCTTTGTCCTCATTGTACAGCTTGCCATTGCTATACTCTGATATAAGACCATTGTGTTTTGGCCCTTCCTCCAGTGATCTGTGTAATCAATCATTCAACTAATACCATTAACTTCTTCTAACAGAGATGCTGACTGTCAACCTTATTAGGTTAAGAAAGATGTTGGATAGGCGCAAATGCTGAGTTTTTCTGCTGATTCCTGTGTTATATTTAAAGACCTTGCTTTTATCTACAAACTCTTCAGAAATCCTTACATCACCATGGAAGCTGATCCCTGCCTCTTAACAATGATTTTAAATAAAATATATATATATATATCTTTTACAGGAGCAGTTAAGCTCCCCTCAGTACCTCTATTCATCAAACCACTGACAGTAAGAGGCTACTCCACTTACACAAAGGCAGGCTCTACTCTCTTGACAGGACTTTCCTAAATGATCCTGCTTGGAGTGTAAAAAACTTTCCAGCTAGACACATAAAACACTGTAATTGAGTGCTGGTTTCATAAATGTTGAGGTCTGAGGTCCAAAATGTATTGTATTGTTGCAAGGCTACAGTAGTAACATCATCCGTGATGTTCAACAGATATTCACTAAATCTTGTAGGGCTCTGACGAGGAGAGGGGATTTCAATAAAGTCCCTGTCTTGGAAAGGTTTGCTTTTTAAAGTACAAGGGATAAGGCAAGTTCAGTGGGGCTTACTAAGCTCTTGTCCTTCTGTTCCAAATCCACTCCTCTATGTACTGCTTTGTGTTGCTAGGCTAGGACGCTACAAACTACATTTCTCCTTTGCTAACTGGCTTTCTATTACATTTGGTTAATAAGAGGCTCCAGAGAAGGGGAACAGGAGGAGAAAGAAGCAACTTCCTTCCTTTGACGTTATTGTTCCTATCTGTATCACCTCAGCAATGGGTCCATAGCAATTGATTTTAGCCTCCACATATATATATATATACACATACATATACATACATATAATTTATTTTTAATTGTATGTACAAATATATGTTTTTAAATATGTAATATATATACTGTTATATATATATATTATATATATATACACACATATACACAAACACACACATTTTAAACTGCGTCTCTGTTGCTATGTTGCCCAGGCTGGAGTGCAGTGGAACGATCATAGCACACTGCAACCTTGAACTCCTGGGCTCAAGCAATCTTCCTGCCTCAGTCTCTCCAGTAGCTGGGACTACAGGATCATGCCACTGAGCCTGGCTAGGCTCTGTATTCTTTAAATCCTCCTAGAACCAGCCTCCTCTGGTCTCAATGCAGCAACAGTAGCATGGCAGGCCCCCTCTCAGAGACCAGAGTTCTACATTTCTAGGGCCCTGGCCCTAAGCTTCTAGCTCTGCAACCCCAGCCTCTTCCCTTTGTTCTGTCAGCCCCAGTGGTAGTAGCTGCCTCCTGGGTTATTATTTCTGGATGATCTCAGTGAATAATCCATTTTCCTCACTCAGCCTTCCAACATTGATGTAACCAACTCCCATATGAAATTCCCTCTGCAGAAACCTCTATTACATAATTGCTATTTTCCTGACTAGACCCATCTCAGTGGCAGCATCTTCCACTGTTAACCCCAATCTAGCGAGGGGATCCACCACAGAGCTTTCCAGGGAGGCTGGTACGCCCCTCATTAATATATTTCTTAGTACCTCAGAGAAGAGATTGTCACCTGCACCCCATCAGGAGATATGGCTGGGTGTTCATGCCCCCATGTAATTTTGCATTCCTATCTCCCTAAATCTATGGATTGTTTTTTCTACATTACCCCGGGAAGTTCTGTCATCTCAGCTCACTGAATGTAGGCCACCAATAAATATATTTTATTGACTCAACTAAGAAAACTGTTAGAGCCACTTCCAGTTGGATGAGCTAACACAGTAAGTCCAGACTCTGATAAGTCCGCCCAAGTCCATACGTTGGCCTGATTTAATGTTATATTTTATCTTCCTTTGAAACTTCTCAAATAATCCTCAGATTTCTGCCTAAATCAATTAGCAAGATGTTGTCATTCATTTGGAATAAAAGCTAATTCTTCCCAGGTCAGACTTCACTTTTTCCCCCTGGACCATGCTGAGATCTGACTCTAATTATAGACCTAAAAGACAAAAACTTCCACTGTCAGAGAGGCCTTGGGTTCAAAGCTTCACAAGGCAGAGAGGCCTTGGGTTCAAGATTTTCAGCTTTATTCCCATCTACCCAGATGTGATCATTCAAAATCCTAGAGGCCCACTCACCCAGTCAATGCGTTTTCTCATAAGAGTCAGGGAAGTCTATGAGTTCAATTTACATTGTAATTTTATAACCCACACAATTTAATTATGGTTCTTTTTTGTATGAGATTGGCCCTGTGACTAAAAAAATTACATTATTTTAGGGCTGCCATAGAGCCTCTCACTGCTCTGTTTTAGACTTGAATTTAGAAGTTTAAACCTGAGCTAGTGATTTCCTTTCTGTAATCTCTCCAGTTGGAAGATGTCATCCTACTCCAATGCTTTGTAGTCATAATTACTACTGCCATTAGGATAATCAAGGGACAGTGACAGTTTATGCCTATTGTCCTTTTCATTCTTGGTGTAAAAGCTATATGGTCCCACAAGGCACTTGATTCCATAGGCATTTCATCTCAATCAATCACTGGTGACAACTTAATCACTATGCCTCCAAATGCAATGGAGTACTAGCATAGCAATTCCCATTGAAAAGATCTCAGCCCAGCATTTAAAACCAAGCAATGATCAAATCAACCTCCAAATCCCCATCCCTGAGGGTCTATTTCCTGGTACCAAGCACTGTAACAGGCACAGCTCAGTTTGGAAAACAGAAACCACACAAGGTACTTCAACAGAGGAAATTTATACAGGGAATTGGGTGTTGGGGGGTGGAATAGCAAAGGAGGAACATTACTGTAATACAGGGCTAAAAATAGCAGGAAGCAGCACCACCTCTAAAGCTGGAGGATTCAAAGGAAAGGAGTTGAGATGATCAGAACCTAGAAGGTTAGGGGATGGGCCCTGCAGGGCTGGTGTTCAGACCTCTGAGGAGTGGTTGCTATTAGGCTTTCTGCAGTGTCTGCAGCTGTTCTTAAGAGTTTCCATATATTTTTGTTGATTTTGGCAGTTTTGAGGAGTATTGGTTGGGTATTTTGTAGGATGCCCTCTATTGGAATTAGTCTGATGTTTTCCTCATGATTAGACTGGGATTGTGGATGTTACAGAGGAGGAATACAGAGATAAAGTGTGATTTTAGTCATATCTTATCAAGAGTACACACTGTCAGCATGATGTTGGGCTTGATCCCCTGGCTGAAATAGTATTTGTCAAGTTTCTCCACTGTAAAGTTATTCTTTCCCTCCCATTTCCATACTGTATTCTCGGGAAGCAAAGTCACCGTAGATAGCTCACACTTCAGAAGTGTAGAGTTAATACTGTATCTTCTTGAGGGTAGAGTATCTGCAAAAAACTGTTTGGAATTATTCTGCAAGGAAGATTTGTGTCCCAAACCCTTTATTTATCCAATCATTTATATCAATACAAACTCATGGATATTTATCTTATACTTTGGGTTATAATCTAATACTATTTCATTGGTTTTGTTGCTCAAATTGTTCCAGCTTTGGCCTTTGGGAACAGTTTCAGTTGGTTCCTGTGTCTCTTTAACATACCCCCATCAATATATGGGTGTTTTGTTTGTTTCTTTTTGTTTTTTAGTACTTCCTTACTTTTGGAGATTACAAAATACTCCCAGCTCATCTCATATGTTTCCTGCCCCAGTCCTAGGATCAGCCATTTCTCCAAGATACATCAGAGTCTTTTAAAACACTGAGTTATTTAGGAATATTCAGGAGGGGGAAAAAAAAAAACAACCCTAAGTTCTGTAGCACTGCATTGACTTGGCATGGTGCTTTGGGTCCAGATAGCCGAGGAAAGGGTATTGGACTAGACACGTGGTATTTATAAAGCCTTTCAACCTAAGCACTCTGAAGACAGGGTAGAGGACATGGATATGCTAACAAAACCATCCAGAATGAGTGACTGAGTGGGAAGCACAGCTGAACTTGTTTGGAGACAAGAGTGTCTATGTTAGCAGAAGGGAAACTTTCATAGTCATCAATATCATACACTTTAACACAGCCACACAAAAGATTTCTACTTTAGATCTTTAATTTTTTTTCCCAAAGGAATCACATCCTAACAGGTTAAAGAAGTTATTCAAAATACAGCTATACACCTGTGCCCCATTACTTATAGCACACTAGGAATGATTACTTTTTACAAATCCTGTAATTAGCTAGTAACTAGCACAATTATATTGCATTATCTCTTTTGTGCTAAAAATATTAACTTGCTAATGATGAGCATTTACAAATGAACTACAAATTGTATAACCTATTTTAGTATTTTTTCGTTTTTCTTTTTGGAGATGGAGTTTCGCTGTTGTTGCCCAAGCTGGAGTGCAGTGGCACAATCTTGGCTCAGTGCAACCTCCGCCTCCCGGGTTCAAGCGATTCTTCTGTCTCTGCCTCCTGAGCAGCTGGGATTACAGGCGCGTGCCACCATGCCCCGCTAATTTTTTGTGTTTTTAGTAGAAATGGGGTTTCACCATGTTAGCCAGGCTGGTCTCGAACTCCTGACCTCAGGAGATCCGCCCGCCTCTGCCTCCCAAAGTTCTGGGATTACAGGCATGAGCCATCGCGCCCGGCCGGAATTTTTTCATTTTAAAATTACTAGGAGACTCAAAAAGCAGAGGTGACTCAGGCCTCTCTAGGCCACAGAGGCCCTTGGATATAGATTTCTCCTTTCTTCTGACAGAAGCGGTTAGCTTAAATCTGTACAGATGAGAACACAATTATTGTAACACAGGAAAACCCACGTTGGTTTTGTACATTCGTGTTTGCTCTGTAAAGGGCAGCGCTCGTGCATCTTCAGCTGTATCTTGAAAGCTTTCCTGTTTCCGAAGCTTGCTTGCATTAAACATGAGGCGCCGCTAAGTGCTGTTGCCACCAGGGACTGCAGGCCGCTCTGCAGCCCTGGATGGGCTCAGTTCCGAGGGAAGGAAGGCGGCCGGCGGAGGCAGTGCTGTGCTGCAGAAGGACTGCTGTGCTGCGGAAGGACTGCTGTGGATTCTGACTGCAGACGGGTCTGATTTGGATGTTTTTTATTACTTAAGCGATTGATCGTTTCTCCTTGCCATCCTGTGAGGAGTGAGGGCATGCCTTGGATCTGTGAGGGAGGAGAAAACCCCTTTTCTAAGAAAGGGGAAGTGAAGAAAGAAGAAGCAAGGATGGTGGAGAAGTAAGAAAGGAACATGGGACCGGGCGCAGTGGCTCATGCCTGTAATCCCAGCACTTTGGCAGGCTGGGGAAGGGTGGATCACCTGAGGTCAGGAGTTCAAGATCAGCCTAGCCAACATGGTGAAACCCTGTCTCTAAAAAAAAATACAAAAGATAGCTGGGCATGATGGCGGGTGCCTGTATTCCCAGCTACTCAGGAGGCTGAGACAGGAGGATGGTGTGAACCCAGGAGCGGAGGTTTCAGTGAGCCAAGATTGCGCCATTGCACTCAAGCCTGGCAATTGAGCGAGACTCTGTCGAAAGAAAAAAAGAAAGAAAGAGAGAGAAAGAAAGAAAGAGAGAGAAAGAAAGAAAGAAAGAGAAAGAAAGAAAGAGAAAAGAGAGAGAGAAAGAAATAGAAAGAAAAAGAACAGAAAGAAAGGAAAGAAGGTAGGAAGGTAAGAGAGAAAGAAAGAAAGAAAAAGAAAGAAAGAAAGAGAAAGAAAGAAAAGAAAGAGAGAGAAAGAAATAAAGAAAGAGAAAGAAAGAAAGAAAGAAAGAGAAAGAAAAAGAACAGAAAGAAAGGAAAGAAGGTAGGAAGGTAAGAGAGAAAGAAAGAAAGAAAAAGAAAGAGAAAGAAAGAAAAAGAAAGAAAAGCTCTAGAAGGAAGAAAGGAGCCTGAGGGGAAAGACTGAGGAGGAAGCAGAAGAGACCCGGGGCCCCCACCCTCCCGCTCACCAGCGCTTTGCCTTGGTGGCTCTGACTCCCCCCTGTCTGGTGGCTGGTCATGCCTCCTCTCCCCTCTCTACCTTCTCTTCCTTCCTACGTTCCCACCTGACTCCAACCCTTTCCTCAGGGAGAACAGAAGGTCCCCAAGGAGCGCTGTGGACCAGGCATGCAGGTCCACGTCATCTCTGGTCCTGCTCCGACCTTTGGCACTGAGCCTCCTAATGCAGGATTTGGCTTGTTCCTGTGACAGCTCCCCCTCATCGCCCGCAACAGGGTACTGCAGTCCAGACTCCATCACTGCTCAGCTCTGGTGCTTTAGGCACCCCACATCACCTCCCCGAGCCTCAGTTTCCTTATCTGTAAAATGGGGATGGTACCAACTACCACAGAGGGTTGTTGTAAGGACTGAACGAGGGCACAGGCCTCCTTCCACACCTGCTACCAAGTAGGTACTGGATGCACGGCAGGCCCTGCCACTGCTTCTCAGAACCCTCTCGGGTTCCTAGGCCTCTTGAACCACAATTGATAGGAATGGGACCTGCCGGGAGCTTTCTGGACAAGCTTCCCAGGGGGCTCAGATGGACTCTCAAGCATTATTTCCAGAGATGAGTCTCTTCTCACCTGCCAGCTCCTGGGGCCAGGGCTCAGCACGGCCCCCTGGTCCTGTCTACTCTGGTGAGACTTCTTCTCTGCTGCCCCTCCCCACAGTGCACCCCACTCGCCTCAGACTTCCGCCCCCGCACAAGGGAAGGGGCTAAACGGAATGTTCCAAATGTTTTGCTATGAATTTACACTCTCCCTCCCTCCTAAACCCTGTAACTATTGACATGTTTATTTATTTTTTCTGTTAAGTTACCGGAATAATTCTAGTTGTGCTCAGCCTTCCCAGTATTGAGCAATTCTGCAGCTTTTATCTGCAACTGTTACTCCTGACAGTTAAGAACACGTCTGAAGTTTTGTTCTGTTTATGCCTCCAAGCGTGTTGCCGACACATCCGGGCAAGGACAAACGTACAACGAACTCAAGGGAGCTTTCACAGGCTGGAACGGGCTCAGAGCACCCCTGTTCTTAGAGGAACAATCAATGGGAAGCAAAGGTGTACCCAGGCCTCTCAACAGTTCCCGAGTGCTGTCACTGGAGGGCGATGTCTCCAAACAGTCTCTTTCCCCACTGGGAACGGCGCCGCCCGAGGGTTCAGGTCAAGCACGAGTTTCCAAATTCATTCAATTAGTAGGGCAACTGGAACCCATGCAGCTCCTTCAGAAATCCCGCAAAATATGGATACGCTATTAAGCTGGAGACAACAAAATTACTCAATATAGAATTTTGCATTCAATCAATTATACTGTCAGTATAATTATATAATTATAATTATATATAAGTCTCAATCCTGGCTGAAGGATCGAATCACCTACAAAGGATTAAAAACCATAGCGGTTCGGGCCCCACAAAAGGCCAGTTAAATCTGGAATCTGGAAGATGGAGCAGGGGAATTTGTATATTTTTAAAGCTCCCCAGTGATTCTATTGTTCAGACTACAAAATTCTAATTGAGACATTGGTGGCAGGCACCAAGGGAAAATTTATGGGAGAAAATTTTAATTTTAGACAATTCTATCATGTTTTCTCCTGCAAACTGGTAGAACTGCTTAGCCTAGTTCTGCAAAGGATCAATGGTTGAGAATTTCTGCATGAAGTCATCTTGCGTCTGGAAGCCCATTTTCAAATAATAACACCCTTGGAGAGCTAGCAAGTTGTTAACACCCGTGTGTGAATTATTTTTATCAGATATCAAGGATAGCTAGGATTCTGAGAAAACTGAGACCAGAGAAGCAAAAATTTTTTAAAGGGAAGAGAGAAGAAAATCTACATTGGCTCCTTCCCCCTACTCCCACCTTCCCCCCAATATATAGACTTCTCTTTAACAGTCAGTATTAAAAACTAAAAGAAAATTATCTAGAATCCCTCTATTTCTATTCACATTTTTATGTATTTTCTTTCCAGTACTTCATGCATATATATTTTCTAATCTGTGAGGTCTACATAATTTTGTCTTATCCTTTTTACCTTAACATTATAAGATGACCATTTTCTTAGGGCTTAGAAAAAATTTTAGAAGCATTATGAATGGCTGCCTAGAATCACATTTTGTGAACATACTTCAAATCACAACTACAGTGGAACACGGAGGATCAGTTTCACGCCCACTGGCTAAGAACTCACTGAACTCCCTGGCCAAGCTTAAGTTGGGTGTCCTCACCTAGTCCAACCAACTGAGGCTGAGGATAAGAGGAGTGGGGGCAAAGTCACTCATAGAAGCTGCTGGAGCCCATTTTCATATCTTTGTGGATGGACAATGGGAATCAGGATAGATAAGTCCAGAAAAGAGAAGCCTTGGCTGGGCGCAGTGGCTCACTCCTGTAATCCCAGCACTTTGGGAGGCCGAGGTGGGTGGATCACCTGAGGTCAGGAGTTCAAGACCAGCCTGGCCAACATGGCGAAACCCCGTCTCTACTAAAAATACAAAAATTAGCCGGCCATAATGGCAGGTGCCTGTAATCCCAGCTACTTGGGAGGCTGAGGCAGACAGAAGTGCTTGAACCTGGGAGGCAGAGGTTGCAGTGAGCTGAGATTGTGCCACTGCACTCCAGCCTGGGTGACAGAGACTTCGCCTCAAAAAAAAAAAAAAAAAAAGAAAGAAAGAAAGAAAGAAAAGAAGCCTGGGCAGGTGGCTCATAGGTGTCCTCTACAATCTGTTCTTTCCTAACTCTTTCTTGGCTTTTGCATAGGACACACTATGTTACGAGCTATGTGGGGATCAGGGACAATACTCAAAGGAGCTAAGAATCCAAATGAGGAAACATAACATATATGAAATGAGAAGTTAAATAATAGTAATATTTGCTACATTTTTACAGAACAGCTATTATTATGTGCCAGGCTTATTATTTAATTTACTCTTCAGAATCATTCTATAAGCAAGCTACCAATATTCCATATTTATAGATAAGAAAACTGAGGCTGAGAGAAGTAAAGTCACATTTGTTAAAGGTAACCAGAATTTGAACTCAAGCAGCCAAAGCCCTCACTATTTCCACAGCACTGGGCAATCTCCCAAGACTGCATTGTGATCTGATCTTAATGGAGGAACAGACTCTCAGAAAATTGGGCATCATCTTACAGTGTCTCAAAACAAACAAACAAACAAAAATCCTGCAAATCCTTTAATCCCTATTTTACCTCCCTCCCTTGGGACATGGCTTAGGTAAGCTCCAAAATTAAGTTAGAGAAGGAAACAGATCTCATCTAAAAAATGCAATTATACCACAGCCAGATGAATAAATCCATATGAATACTGAAATACACACATACTCTGAGCACTAATACTTTTCAAGAAAGGTAATGATGCAGGAAAAAAATGTCTATGAAATAGAGCATTTTATAGAGTTCCCAAATTTCTGTCTGTTGAATCTCCCGGAAGTGGCATTCCCCTTTCTTGCAATAACAGACGATTGCTCAAATGCCTCATAAGAAGCGGTGGGCATCGTCAACTGGGGGGCTTTGGTTTTGCAGAGGGACGGGTTTACTTTTGTTTGTTTGTTTTGTTTTTCAGACAGGGTCTCGCTCTGTCACCCAGGCTGGAGTGCAGTGACCCCTGCTGATTGCCTGGCGTAATACAAGGCTGGACCTACAGGAAGACTGACTAGCTTCCTTCGAGCCAATATTCTTTTTTACTTTTTAGACACAGGAGGCTCTCGCGGTGTGCCCAGGCTGACTTGAGCTCCGAGGCTCAAGGGATTTTCCCACTTCAGCCTCCCAAATAGCTGGGACTGCAGGTGCACACCATCATGCCCAGCTATAAGCCAATATCTTTACATATGTATTCCACACTTATTTAGAGGGGTGACATCCGGCATTCAGTGGGGAAGACAATAGTGGTGCTCTAAGCCTTTCCTCTGTTGCCTGTAACCAATTAGCTCTTGCTCCAAACTCACACACTTCACTATACGATCACACAGTGCATGATTCAATTTACATGAAATGCCCAGAACAGACAAATCTATACAGACAGGAAGTAAACTTGGGCTTGCCTAAGGCTGGGGGTTGGAGGCGGGAGGATTGGGGTGATGGCTAAGGAGAGCAGTGCTTCTTTTGGCGATAATGAAAATGTTCTGAAATTATAGAGATGGAAGCACAGCTCCGTGAATATATTAAAAGCCATTGAACCATACACTTTAAATGGGTGAATTGTATAGTATGTGAATTACATCTTAATAAAACTGTTAAAAACCCTTCAGGCTGGGTGCAGGGGCTCATGCCTGTAATCCCAGCACTTTGGGAGGCCAAGGCAGGCAGATCGCATGAGGCCAGGAGTTGGAGACCAGCCTGGCCAATATGGTGAAACCCTGTCTCTAGTAAGATACAAAAAAATAGCCAGGTGTGATGGTGCACGCCTGTAATCCCAGCTACTCTGGTGGCTGAGGCAGGAGAATCACTTGAACCTGGCAGATGGAGGTTGCAGTGAGCCGAGATCACGCCACTGCACTCCAGCCTGGGCAACAGAGTGAGACTCCATGTCAACACACACACACACACACACACACACACACAGATTCCTGGGCCCCTTCCTAGGAATTCAATGTGTTGCATGGGTGTAGATATCTGTATTTTAAGGAAGCACTCCGAGTGATTCTGATGCTGTAGGGCATGAGACAGGCATTTGGAAACCACCATACAAGGCTTCGCTTCAGAGATAAGACAAAAGCTTCCTTTGTTTCCACATTTCCCTATCAGTCCAACTTCCTTGTAGAAGCAGCAACAGGGACCTTCCCTCCTTACAAGGCCATCTCAATTATTATATGGAAATTCCATTTTACAGAGGCCAATGGTAACTTTCCAGTATAAACATAACAGAAAGCCTTGGAGACAGTGTCAAACTGCTGACCTGCTGGGCCTTTCTTATTCGCTGGATGAATCTGGGACTTCAAACAATCACTGTGCCTGAACTAACGAGGGGGCTGTAAACATGCCTGCAAGTTCTCCCAGCTCCCCTTTTGGGGCCTGAAAATTTATCTCTTCGCAGTGAGCGGAAATATTTTCCTTAGCTGGGTCCCCTGTTTTATGCCTTTGATTTACAGAAGCTTCTCAACAAATAAATACAAGTTGACTGTTAGGTCACAGCCTTTTGGAGAGCTTTCCAAAAGCCTTCAAGAGTAAGGGAGATAAACTGGAACAATATTTGGAAAATAATCCCAGTTGTTTTATCACTTTCCTGGGGGCTGAGACGCTGATTGGATCTTGGCCCCTCACCGGCACCCTATGAGGCAGACAGGGCTTCATTAGCTGCTTTCTGCATATAGAGAGCGGAGACTCAGAGAGGTTAAGAGGGTTGCCCAGGATTCCCCAGCTGGCCAGTAGGAAACTTGTCTGGGACCTTCATTCCAGATTTCAAGGACCTGGGCTTGCTGTGTTGCCTAACAGCCATAAATATTTTAGAGAAGCCTGCTGGGATGTAAGGAACTTCAGAGATTTTAGCCCCCACCATTTAGCCACAGAGCCTGGGTTTATGGAGCCACTAATTCATTCTGACAGTGCCTGATCACCCGCAGAGCCTCAGCAGGGAGATCTACACATTTCAAGGATAGCTAGCTCAGGAGTTCTCCCCAATGCCCATTCTAGGCCATCTCAGAGCTCTGCTAGACTCGCTCTCCCTACCCTCAATTTCTCCTGGAAAAAGCAAACATGACCAGGTTTATTTGTAAGCCCAGGTGGTTCATCCATTTCCAAGACAGTCAAGACCTGGCCATTAAATCATACTTGTGTTTGTGCGTGCACGTGCGCGTGTGTATGTGTGTCTGTGTGCGTGTCTGTATGTGTATGTGGGCTTTGTTTGTTTGTAATGACTTCGGTTTAAGAAGGCTGCTTTTGGATCTTCCTGTCTGGCCTGAGTGTGGGACACAAGCTAGCGCTTGCTGACCTGAATCAGCACTGTGCCGCTGTGAGCATAAGTCTGCTTACTCACGGACAGAAGAGAAGTTCATGGGCTTTTTCGGGAGCAGCCTCAGCTGGGTGGTAACTGTTGCTCACCTCCAGAAGCTGGGGGAGCTTCAGCAGCCACCTAAGGCAGGCACCTCTCAGCGAAGAATGAGGCAGTCTGTCCCCAGACGTTTCCACTGTGTCTCTAGCCACAGGAGTCTCTTGTGGCTGGAGAGCCCATGTGTGCTACGCTCTGTGCCTCTGTGATTTTCTCCTACCCTCATCACAGTCTACATGGTATATATCCCAATGCTCACCTATGGATGAGAAAACAGGCTCAGAGAGAGGAGAGAGGCACTAGAGAAATCCCTGCTAGTGCAGTGAGGACTACAAAGGACATTCCAAGAAGTGCTAGGCAGTGTTTGAAAGGCAGATTTTGTTTGGGGGGGTCAGAAAATGCCTTGTGAGGCTGGGCAAGGTGGCTCGCACCTGTCATCGCAATGTGGGATATGATGAGGTTTCTCTTTAAGCATTATTCCCAACACCAACACTTTGGGAGGCCAAGGCAGGCAAATCACTTGAGGTCAGGAGTTTGAGACCAGCCTGGCCACCATGGTGAAACCCCGTCTCTACTAAAAATACAAAAAAATTAGCCAGGCATGGTGGTATGCACCTGTAGTCCAAGCTACTTGGGAGGCTGAGGCAGGAGAATTGCTTGAACCCAGAAGGCAGAAGTTGCAGTGAGCCAAGATCGTGCCACTGCACTCCATTCTGGGTGACAGAGCAAGACTCTGTCTCAAAAAAAAAAAAAAAGAAAGAAAAGAAAACACCTCATGAGCAGCAGTTCCTTTTTCAGCTTGATCCAGAAGGATGACTAAGGGTTCATGAAGGTGCAAGGCAATGCCAGGCGGGAAAGAGCAGCCAGGAGATGGGCGGAGACTGGCGAAAGGCTTGTGACAGGGTAGGATGCTGGGCACTTAAAGAGCACCAGCATGATATGGGTAGAAGGAGAAATTACCAGGAAAGGAGGACAGAAGCCAGACTAGGGGAGGCCTTAGAGGTTAAAGATTTTGGATCATTTTGTGACATTACAGGGTTAGTTTTTCAGATGAAACATGGAATAGCAGGACCTTATATCACACTCTTCCTATGAGGAAATATTCCAAGTTTCACACGCCTGCTTTCCAAGGGACTTTTGGATCACAGCAGCTGATTCAGGGGATGAAGAGTGGCTTTGGACATCAGTTCTCCTCTTCTCATATCCACGTGTCTTCTCTTCCTATCCACATTGTAAATTCTTTGAGCTCAAAGACACCGTGCTTTGTAGAACATCCTCCCCTCACAACCCACTCCCCAACAGCCTTAATTATGTACTATTAAAGTAAACAATTTTTGATAAGGATGACATTAAAAAGATAAGGCATCTAATGGTTCTATACTGGATGAAAATAAATGCAATATTCTATCCAAGCTTAACATGATATACAAGAGATTTATTTTTTTGTTTGTTTGTTTGTTTTTCTGAGACAAAGTCTCACTCTGTCACCCAGGCTAGAGTGCAATGGCACGATCTCAGCTCACTGCAACCTCCGCCTCCCAGGTTCAAACGATTCTCTTGTCTCAGCCTCCCAAGTAGCTGGGACTACAGGCATGCACCACCCCTGGCTAATTTTTTGTGTTTTTAGTAGAGACAGGGTTTCTTCATGTTGGTCAGGCTGGTCTCGAACTCCCGACCTCAGGTGATCCACCCGCCTTGGCCTCCCAAAGTGCGGAGATTACGGGTATGAGCCACCATGCCCGGCCGATATACAAGAGATTTTCTTAAACTGCAGGGTCAAAACATGCTTCCCTTATAAAAGGTGTGACCAGATAGTAAAGAGATTGGTTTCCATCCTCCAAAAACAAATATCCATCTGATTACAGTGACATCATGTATAGAGTAATACATCTATTTCACTATGTAATATGCCAAGAATGAATTTACGACCTGCCCTATCACTGAAATTGCGGTGGGGGTTCAATTGGGATACACTAGGTTGTAAGAGTTAGAAACTCAACTTGAATTAGTTTAATAAAAAAGTGAATTTCTGGGAAGGATTCTGGTATAATGAGGAGAATGAGGGAGATGGGATGTGTATAAAGGCAGCCCCAACATGGTTAGAATGAGCCCTTCCCAGGAGAAAGATCTCTGAACAAAAAATCAATGTTAACTATTAGGCATCTGCTATTTAGACTTTGAGACTTGTTTCTATAACGTTATTAGAAGAACACAGTGTGGTAAAAATGAAAGTCACTTTTTGGGGTCAGACAAAACTGAGTTTAAACTGCTGATCTGCCACGTACTAGTGCTAAGAACTTAGCAAATCACTTAAATTCTCTGAACCTCTTTCTTCTCAGCTAGGAAAATTACCATTTAAGGATTTAATGAGAGCATGTATAAAAGAAAATAGCTCTGTGCCAGACACTCACTAAGAGCTTAATAAACGTTGCCCCCATCCTTCCCTTCATTTGTCAGGGAATGAAGATTAACTACCTGTATTAAATGAGCCAATATGGCCGGGCGCGGTGGCTCACGCCTGTAATCCCAGCACTTTGGGAGGCTGAGGCAGGTGGATCACCTGAGGTCAGGAGTTCGAGACCAGCCTGACCAACATGGTAAAACCCAGTCTCTACTAAAAATACAAAAAATTAGCTAGGTGTGGTGGCATGTGCCTATTGTCCCAGGTACTTGGGAGGCTGAGGCAGGAGAATCGCTTGAACCTAGGAGGCGGAGGTTGCAGTGAGCTGAGATAGTGCCACTGCATTCCAGCCTGGGCGACAGAGTGAGACTCCATCAAAAAAAAAAAAAAAGCCAATATATGTAGAGTACTAGGACAGTATCTGATATTCAGGGTAAGAATGCAATAAACATTAGCTGCCATTATCATCATTTTGATAATATTTGCATTTCCCTATAAGAATATCCCTAAATGAATCCAATGGCTTCTCATACTGCCCACCTTCCTGGGGGAGAAAAATATTTTTAAAAGGTGACCCGGCCTGGCGAGGTGGCTCATGCCTATAATCCCAGCACTTTGGGAGGTCGCAGCAGGTGGATCACCTGAGGTCAGGAGTTTGAGACCAGCCTGACCAACATGGTGAAATCCCGTCTCTACTAAAAATACAAAAATTAGCTGGGCGTGGTAGCAAGCATCTGTAATCCTAGCTACCCAGGAGGCTGAGGCAGGAGAATCGTTTGAAGCAGGGAGGCGTAGGTTACAGTGAGCAGGGATCATGCCATTGCACTCCAGCCTGCACAACAAGAGTGAAACTCCATCTGAGAAAAAAAAAAAAAAGAAAAAAAAAAGCAGATGACCCTTTTTCTCTATCCTGTTTTCATTTTAAGGCTGGGAATTGTTTTTGCTCTGCAGTACCCAAGAGGCTCTGGACACTTAGTCAATATTAATTAATGATGTTTTTGGTGGTGTGCCAGGTTTTTGACACTAAACATTTTTATGCCAACTTCGTTGAATTAAGGTAGAATTAAATAGCTGTGCTGCAATCCTGTCTCAGCTGTAATCACCATTTGCTTTGCTCATCTTTCCCATGCTATTCACCCCACCTAATCAGTCCAGTTTTATTGCATTTACGTAGATTGTATTGATGCATCTGCTGAAGCTCCTGCAGGAATAATCATCTCTCATTTTTCTCTTCTGTGGCTGTGGGTATTGGAAGACCCTGTCTCTCCCTCAGCTAGGACCTGAGTAGAACCTGTGGTGAAGAGAGTGTAGAGAAAGCAATAGGCTTTGCAACCATGGTGAGTTAGGAGTGTCAGGGCTTTGTTTACCCTGAGAGTTTACCTAGGTTGAAGGCTGTCAAAGAAAACTTTCCTTTAACGTAAAAGGGTGACATGGACATGGTTCCCTTAAAGCGGCTTCTCAGGTGGAAGATCACAACCTCTTGATGGCAGTGGCATGGAATAAAGCGTCTTAGTGTCTCCTCTAGTGCCTAATTTAGTCCCTTGATCAAATAACAACTACAGTAACAGGAGGAGGAGGAGGAATTAACACTTATGAAGAGCTAGGCATTATTCTAAGCACATCACATATTATAGATTATTTATGTTCAGAACAACTCTATGAGATGGTTACTATTATTATCCCCATTTTACAGATGAGGAAACTAAAACACCAAGAATTAAGTAACTCGCCAAAGGCCACCCAATTATTATGTGGGGGACGTGGCTCTTGAACAACAGGAGCACACTTTGGAGTCCATGATTGTGGATGTTGGGTAACTATTTATTTGGCTATTTTTTTTAATTTTTTTTTTATCTGTAGAGTGCCTTTTAAAGTTTTCTCTGAAAGAAAAAAAAACAGAAACAGTCTATAGTGGGCCAAATATGGCCTTAGATGTTAACGCGTGCTTTATTTTATTTAATTGTCAGATAATTCTGCAAAGTAGATGCTATTTTGCTATTTTTGTGTTTTGGTTTTTGGGTTTTTTTGAGACAGAGTCTCGCTTTGTCACCCAGGCTGGAGTGCAGTGGTGTGATATCGGCCCACTGCAATCTTCACCTCCCGTGTTCAAGCAATTCTCCTGCCTCAGCCTCCCAAGTAGTTGGGATTACAGGTGCCCGCCACCACACCTGGCTAATTTTTGTATTTTTAGTAGAGACGGGGTTTTGCCATGTTGACCAGGCTGGTCTTGAACTCCTGACCTCAGGTGATCTGCCCACCTCAGCCTCCCAAAGTACTGTGAGCCACTGCACCTGGCCTTTTTTTGTTTTGTTTTGTTGGTTTATTTTATCCTCCTGCCTCAGCCTCCCAAGTAGCTGGGATTACACTTGCAAGCCACTCTGCCTGGCTCTATTTTCTCTGTTTTTACAGAAGAAGGCTCAGGATCAGAGAAGTAAAGAAGTTTCATGAGATTACACACCTAGTAATGGGGAAAGGTGAGACTTGAAGCATCATGTCTGTCCAACTCAAAGGCCATGATTCCATGCATTTCCTACCACTGCCAGCTTTGCACCAGGGATGGAAAACTTTGAGTCATTTTCTGCAAAGTTTTCACAACACTTTCCTTTGGGGTATATTCACCAGGCTAAGCAGATACTATTATCCAGGTGCACATGGCTAAAATTACTGTACAGGGAGAGTACTGTCCAAAAGACCCAGAAACCTCTTTTCTAACAGTAGACAAGCAGCTCTATTCCAATATGGAGCACAATTTTAGCCATAAGTAACAATACCAATCATTACAACACCTTATATTTTTACATTATAATTTCATTAACAATAAGCTCCTTACATTTTTATGATACTATGTGCCTGACACTCTTCCAACCATTTCATGTATATTCAATCACTGAATTCTTACAAAAACCCTATGAGGGAGGCCTAGTTTTCTTCCGTTTTTAGATTGGGAAACTAACGCACAGACAAACAATTTGCCAAAGGTCACCCAGCTAGGAAGTGGTAGAAGCAGACCTGACCCTAGGCAGTGTGGCTGTGAAGTCTGTGCACTCAGCCACGGGCTATGTTGCCGTTCATTAGTTAATTATTTGGGAAATGTTAGTTCCGTTCCTCTCTCCATAGATTAGGCAATGGGGATTAATGTGAGAATTAACGATGTGTACTGCATCACCTGATATGTGTACTGAATGATTTAAAGATTTCTTTGTAGGGTGTTTACATATACAAGGCATTGTACCAGGCTGTGAGAATGCCACACCTGCCTTCAAGGAGCTGAAATCAGCAAACCAGCAAATACAACACCATGTGATAAAGAATTAATATGGGAAATGGTGGCTATTCTCCTTTCACCGTCTATTCTCTGTATCTTTCTGTCAAACTCAAGGCTCCCAGAGAATGGCCTGGGCTTTCTTGCCCTCTGACTTCTGGTTAGGTGCAGCCTATGGACAGATATTGGAAGGAGAGGAAAGGAGAGGGACATCAGAGTATTCATTCCCCAGCCCCATCTCAGCCTTCTTCAGTCTAGCAGTGCCGATGATCTTCTCTGGCTATGACTTCTGCTGGACGACTCTGCTTCTATGGCCCCAGCTCCCACGAGGGTGTCAGTAACACCACTCTCTCCATTTGCTCCTTCAGGCTTAGGGGTATGAATGGCTTCTCAAGTTTTCTGGTTCCCAGATGCCTCAGCATTCCTTGTTGGTTTCTATAACTCTGAGTGTACCGTTTGCTTCCTGTGGGGCCCCTGACTGTTATGAAGGGTAAGCAGAGGAGATAATAAGAGGAGCATTCAGGAAAGATCCCTAATCTAGACTTGGAGGGAGACGGGAGGCTGCTCAAAAGAAGTGAAATCTGTAACTCCTAAAGGATGATCAGGAATTATCCAGTTTGGGGAAGTGGAGGTAGGAAGAATATGCTAAAAAGAGAGAATGACAAGTGGAAAGATACGAAAGCAAGAGCATAAAATACTCCCAAGAACTGCAAAGTGTCCGTAAGATACCGTTCAAGGTAGAGAGCGGTGAAGAAGCTTAAGTAAGCACCTCCAGATCATGAAGGTGGAACTTTTCTTTTTTTCTTTTTTCTTTTTCTTTTTTGAGACAGGTTCTTGCTCTGTCGCCCAGGCTGGAGTGCAATGGTGCGATCTTAGCTCACTGCAAACTCCGCCTCCCAGATTTAAGCGATTCTCAAGCCTCAGTCGCCCAAGTAGCTGGGATTACAATCACCCGCCACCATGCCCGGCTAATTTTTGTATTTTTAGTAGAGATGGGGTTTCACTATGTTGGCCAGGCTGATCTTGAACCCCTGAGCTCAAGTGATCTGCCCACCTCGGCTTCTCAAAGTGCTGGGATTAAAGGTGTGAGCCACCGCGCCCTGCCAAAGGTGGAACTTTTGAGGTTTGTCTGAAGTTTGCTGATGAAGTTTTGCTCTATGACTTGTCATGTAATCTTCCCTTTGATTTCCTTATGAAGCATTCAGTGAAATCTATATTGCTTACCAAAAGTTCTGAAGTTGGGTTTCGGAGTAGCCAAGATGAAGTGCTGAGGCTGGTCTGAAGGAGCTCTCGGAGGTAATTTAGCAATAGGTTTGAGATTGCGCTGTCAGATTTTGAAGTTTATGAGGCCACCCGCATCATTGCTAATGTGTGCTGTGTGGGTGGAGAATGGATGAGGCCAAAAAAATTTAGGACAAATAGTTTGGAGATGGAGAATCAGCAAAGAAAAGGTTGAGAGGAGAAGGCAGCTAGAACTCAAACATTATAAAAGAAGGCTTGTTCTCCGCCTCTGCATAATCCTTAGTAAAATACGCCTGGGTTACAGCAAATGCTATTTAAAAAATAACACTGAGTTCTGACTAGGAGACATGAGACAGGCACTCTCTCTCCCTGCTCCTTCATTCTTGCCTTTTTTTGTGGTTCTAGATATTAAGCACCACCCTTGTTGGCACCTGTGTTGCCCCTGCAGATGCCTTGCTCTATCAGTTATCTCCATAGCCCCTTGTTGGTCAACACCCTCTTCCACACTGCTAGTCATTACACTCATTATGGCCTCCTGGCTTCTGGTGGTTAAGCCACCTTACCTCTATTACTTCAGGGCTCCATCATCCCTATCCACATTAACAAGCCCAACTCAGACCATCTTCTCAATGGCTGACCCTGACCTGCAGTGGAGCACCACCACTGAATGGATTAGCAGTGCTGATGCCCCCTCACCAGCACATTCCAGTGCCCTGGCTGAAGGGCGTGTCCTTTGGGCCCTCCAAGGGTTGCTCCTCTGGTGGATCTTCTAGCTTGACATGAAATAGCCATCCAAGCATCCTACTCGCCTTAGCCTCTGTCCCTTAGCGTTCCTCCCTCAAGCATCTTCAGGGCAACTCGGGCATGTCCCTTTGCCTCAGTGTTGGCCATTGCTTTGCCAGGTTTCCCGGAGCCAACCCCACAGTGACCTTGCCCCATCCCTGGAGGCTGTCTGTACTTTATCTCAGTCTCTTGATTGTCTATATATTTTCTTTTCTTTTTTTTTGAGACAGAGTTTCACTCTGTTGCCCAGGCTGGCGTGCAGTGGCATGATCTCAACTCACTGCAACCTCTGCCTCCCAGGTTCAAGAAATTCTTGGGCCTCAGCCTCCCAAATAGCTGGGATTACAGGCGCCCACCACAACGCCTGGCTAATTTTTGTATTTTTAGTAGAGACGAGGTTTCGCTATGTTGGCCAGGCTGGTCTTGAACTCCTGACCTCAAGTGATCCACCCACCTTGGCCTCCCAAAGTGCTGGGACTACAGGCATGAGGCACCATGCCCAGCCTAACCACCTGTATTTTTGAAATTACTTGTGGAGTTTGATACTGGGAATACCTTTGATTGTGTGAGTCTAACTTGAGAACCCAGTGATTTATGATTATATATATGTGTGTGTGTGTGTATACACACACATATATTTGCATATATTATATATACAATATATACTATATATGACATATATAGTATATAAAATATACGCTATATATGACATATATAGTATATTAAATATACGCTATATATGACATATATAGTATATAAAATATACGCTATGACATATATAGTTTATAAAATATACGCTATATATGACATATATACCGTATATGACATATACGGTATATAAAATATATACCGTATATGACATATAGTATATAAAATATATACCGTATATGACATATATAGTATATAAAATATATACTGTATATGACATACATATAGTATATAAAATATATACTGTATATGACATATATTATATATGTTTCAGGAAAATATGAACACTGACTAGATATTTAATAATATTAAATAATTATTGTAGAGGTTTTTGGTGTGATAATAATCTTGCTGTTAGGTTTTTAAAATATATGCATATACAGGCTGGACATGGTGGTTCATGCCTGTAATCCCAGCACTTTGGGGAGCCAAGATGGGAGGATTGCTTGAGGCCAGCTGGAGACCAGCCTGGCCAACATACTGAGACCCCGTCTCTACAAAAAAATTTTTTTAACTAGCTGGGCATGGTGGTGCCACTTGAAGGCCCCAGCTACTGGGGAGGCTGAGGTGGGAAGATTGCTTGAGTCCAGGAGTTCAAGGCTGTAGTGAGCTATGATCACATTACTGCACTCTAGCATGGGCAACAACGTGAGACCCTGTCTAAACAACCATAACAACAACAACAACAAATATATATATATATATATATATGCATATAGAAGTGTTTACTGATTAGAGTATTTGATGTCTGAGACTTGCTTCAAAATAATTCAGTGTGAGAGAAAGAATGGGGGGCATAGAGACATAGATGGGCCATGATAATTATTGAAACTGGGTAATGTGTCCATGGAGGTTTATTATAGTATCTTCCATAGTATTATATACAGTATATAAAACCTTTAAAAGTTTGAAATTTTCCATAATACAGAGATTTTTAAAACACTAAATCAAATTTAAAGCAAATAATAAGATACCTGAAATGCCACAAGGGTGAATATATATATATATGTGTGTGTGTGTGTGTGTGTGTGTGTGTGTGTGTGCACGCGTATGTATGTGTGTGTATATATGTGTGTGTGTGTGTATATACATATTTTTTTTTTTGAGGTGGAGGCTTGATCTGTCGCCCAGGTTGGAGTGCAGTGGCGTGATCTCAGCTCACTGTAACCTCCGCCTCCCGGGTTCAAGCGATTCTCCTGCCTCAGCCTCCCGAGTAGCTGGGATCACAGGCATGCACCACCATGCCGGGCCAATTTTATATATTTAGTAGAGATGCGGTTTCTCCATGTTGTTCAGGCTGGTCTCAAACTCCTGACCTCAGGTGATCCGCCCACCTCAGCCTTCCAAAGTGGTAGAATTACAGGCATGAGCTACCATACCCAGCCAAGGGTGAATATATTTATATGGAGTATTCTAACAACCATATATGAAAATATGAACTTGACTACAGAAAAATAACATAGTTCATAAATAAGACATTGGTAGAAGGAGAAACAATATTAACCACAAAACTGGAAAGCAGTTTTCAACCCTCCACTCAGTAAAATACAAATTAATATAGAAATATTATATTAACTCTTTCTATAAAATAGGCAAAGAACAGAAAAAATATTGAGGCAAAGTATTTCATAGGGTGAAGAAAATTCAACAGTTTAAATTTTTATCTTTCTGCAAACCATTTTTCCAACATACTTATCAAAAAATCTTAAAACTCTGCCCTACTACTTGACCCAAAGTCCAGCTTCTGTGAAATTATTCTTAGACAATAAACATAGATATGTGTGAACATTTAGGTATACATATGTGCCATAAGTCATTGTTTAATAATAATGAAGACCGGGTGCGGTGGCTCACGCCTGTAATCCCAGTGTTCGAGGTGGGTGGATCACCTGAGGTCAGGAGTTGGAGAGCAGCCTGGCCAACATGGTGATACCCCATCTCTACTAAAACCACAAAAATTAGCTGGGCGAGGTGGCGGGCACCTGCAGTACCAGCTACTTGGGAGGCTGAGGCAGGAGAATCGCCTGAACCCGGGAGGAGGAGGTTGCAGTGAGTGGAGACGGTGCCACTGCACTCCAGCCTGGGTGACAGAGCGAGATTCTGTCTCAAAATAATAATAATAATAATGACAAAAATTTTAAATAATATAAGAATACTAATTAGGATTGAACAAAATAAGGATGAAGGGTGACCTGCATATCCAACAACAGAAAATCGTTAAAGGAATTGTGGTATTATATACAGATAGAAACACACATTTTATCCAGACATTACATGAGACTATGTAATGACAAGGAAAGATATCCAGGAAAATTAGATAAAGAAAGAAAACTGGAAAGGAGGACTACCAGAATTTTTCATTTGTGTTTCTTTTGTAGCTCTATAGAGGAACAACAACAAAAATGGAATAGAAGAATAAGCTCTAAACATTAAACAGGGATAATATGGTGTGGAGAGGGGTAGCTTATGGATGTTTTATTTTTCTTCTTTTTATATATCTATATTTCCTAAATGTTCTGTAACAGACTTGTATTACTTTAATGACATTAAACAAAACCATCTGTTGATTCACCAATCCACTTCGAGGAATCTTTCCTAACAAAATAACCAGGAATATGATCAAAGATTATTAGCATAGTCTCTGGAGCATTATTTATAATAGGGGAAATATTGTGAGTAATCCAATTATCCCATAATAAGAGAATGATTAGATAAACTATTGTATTAAGAATTTTTTAAAATCGCATATTTCTGAGAAAAGGTTGATTGTTCTATAACCACGGTAACAAGTACCATTATAACCAGGTTTTAAACTCTATCAATCAATGCAACTTGCTTCAGTGAACGTGCTTTGACAAATCAACCAATCAGTGATAGTCTCTTACATATGCAAGTCAGCCAATCGGGAACAGAGTTAGTCTAATAGATGAGCTTCTGAATGCCAACCAATCAGCAACAGTCTCACTGGAGTAACCACATTTCTAGAGTTGACGTCAATCTACTTATATCCCTGAAAATCTTCCAATCCCTGAACTCTATGCTTCCCCAAAATCCAGTATAAAATCATTATTCTGCTAAGCCAGATTCTACCTGACCAGCATGGCTCTTCCTTACCATAATAAGCAATAAATTCAGCTTTGTGTTATGTGGTATTCTGTGTGTGTGTGTGTCCGTCCCTGTATGTGTGTGGAGTGTGTGTGTGTGTATGTATATACACACTGAGGGAGCACACATACACATATATACGAACATAGAATTTCATACATTCATTGAAAATTTTGTTTTCAAAGACCACATAATGACAAGAAAAATATATTCAAAATATATTATGTGCAAAAGCATTGAATACAAAACTGTGTATTGTACAGTCCTAATGAGAGAGAGAGACAGGAGAAAATACACCAAAATTTTAAAAAATATATCTGGGTTGTGAGACTATGGGTGATTTTCATCTTATTTTTTCCTTATATTTTCAAAAACCTCCATAGTGACCATTTATCACTTTTATAATGAGGGGGAAGACTTTCTTAAAAAGTCTTGGTTTAGCATTATAGCCCTAAACCAGTTAATTTTAAATGTCATCTGAAAAGTTTAGAACCTCCTTATGAGTTCTTCTTTTATGATTCTTTCATTGATAACAGGCTATGACATTAAGCCAAAGGCCTCCATTCCAAATATTTATTGTGTGCTTGTGTACCAGACACCAAATAAGGCACACAGACAGCTGCTAAGATGATGTAGGATGAAGCTGGGCATGGTGGCTCACGCCTGTAATCCCAGCACTTTGGGAGGCTGAGGCAGGTGGATTGCTTGAGCCCAGGAGTTCAAGACCAGCCTGGGCAACACAGCAAAACCCCATCTCTACAAAAAAAAAAAAAAAAAAAAAATTAGCCAGGCGTGGTAGCACATGCCTTGTAGTTCCAGCTACTTGGGAGGCTGAGGTGGGAGAATCACCTGAGTCCGGGGACGTCAAGGCTGCAGTGAGCGGTGATTGTGCCACTGCACTGCAGCCTGGGTGACAGAGTGAGACCCTGTCTCAAATCATCCCTCAGATGATGATGTTTAATGATGTAACACCTTCCTGAAAACTATATGGAAAAGGACATTTTCATTAATTGGACTGAGCATAGGAGACTGTGTTTTCCTATCAAGTATGTTCAAAGCTTATTATTAGTGGGGACTATCAATGCAGCAAGTAAAGGCAAGAAATGCAGTCTAGGTGTTTGTTAGGCAGGACTATGAGTAATGGTCTATAAAATACAACAAAAAAACTGGGAACGACCTAGAGTGTGTAGTAGAAAGTGAAAAACAAATGTTAATTTCTTCTACTATCTTTTTCTTTATTTTGGAGGAGAGAGCTTTGGCTTCTTCTTTTCTTAATAAAAATAGTGTCAAGGTCCTAATTGCATTTAATTAAGCCATATTTCTAGCACTGAGAATGCAGAAGGATACACTGTAGCCTGCTGTTCTCCATTTCCTAATGCATGCAAGCAGCTCTAAATGAGTAAGAAATGATGATTGAATATTGTGAACAGGCACAATAGTTAATCTCATGTGAATAGACAGTAGGAGTGGAATGTGTTTGTCTTGGGTTTGTTAGAAAGATTTTCATGATCAAACACTGAAAGAGGATTTTCCCCATTTTCTTCCTGCTGACAATGCATCACTGATAGTTTGACTTAATGAGGTTCTTAGATTTAATAAAATAGAAAAAGGCAGTGAGCCATTTCCCAAAATGACTTGAAAGAAATATTTGGCAGAAATAATTGAGATTCAGAGAGTACTGGTCCATAGAACCCTACCAATTCCTACCACCCTGGACTATGCCCGCTTGCTCTACATTTTCTGCTGATTTTAGAAATCACCCCATCGCTGCCTGGGTGGCAGTAACTTCCCTTAATAGGGCCATTTATCATAAACTATGAGTTGCTAAGGAATTAATCAAAATTTTCCATGGGTAAGCAGTAACTTGAGAGTCTGTACAATCCTTAATAACGATACCTTAGCTTTGTATAATCTGCTGGAGTTTACGTAGTGCCTTCATGGACCTTTAACCATTCAGATCTCATTCTAATCCTGTCAAGAGGGGACCAGTATCCTGACTTTACAGTTGAAAAAAATTGAGGCTCCGGAATCCTTAAATGAGTTGCCTAAGGTTTTGCAGTGAGTAAATACATGGTAGCATTCAGACCTAGGTGTTATATCCATGTCTGGTGCTTGATCCAATCTAGCTGAACAACTATCCCTAAAC
Source organism: Homo sapiens (assembly GCF_000001405.40). Classification (NCBI taxonomy): domain Eukaryota; kingdom Metazoa; phylum Chordata; class Mammalia; order Primates; family Hominidae; genus Homo; species Homo sapiens. The sequence continues at coordinate 114,895,782 of NC_000010.11, forward strand.
GAGCAAAAAAGATTCTGATTTGAGGTCTGAGGACCAGGGATGAAGTCCTGGCCCTTGCCTCTTGGTAGCACATGATGTAAGGCATATCAGTTAGCCTCTCTGAATCATAGTTTTCTTATTTGAAAAACAGAGACAACTGTGCTGCTATCAATTTATTCTCATTACTCAGCCCCAAATCCACCCTTTATTGCCTGCTTTGTGAAACTGCGGCTTCCTGAGAGATGCAACTGCCACCTGGCCATTTGGGGTGACTTGTGCCACTGAGCCAACCAGCAGAAAAAGGTGTTACTCCATGGGCTAGAATGATTGATCCTAGTTACCAAGGGGGAAATTGAGCTGCTACTACACAATGGGGAAGAGGAACCATGTCTGGAACACAGAGGATTATCTAGAGACCCTCTTAGTACTTCTATGCACAATAGTAAAAGGTAATAGAAAACTATAGAAACAAGCAAACAAAAAAAAAAGCAACATGACTGAGGACTTAGGCCCTTTGGGAATGAAGGTTTGGGTCATTTCACCCGATAAAGAACCTTGACCATCTGAGGTTCTGCCTCAGGGTAAAATGAATATAGGATGGATTCTGGGAGGAGGAAATCATAGATTATTCCATGGCATCTTACAGAAATCAGGACTGTGGTCATGTGAAAGGAAAATATCTTAGGCCCCCAAAATCACTAAGGAAAACTCAAGCTGGAAACTGCTTAGGGCCCACAGGCCTCCCATTCTATTCAAAGTCATCCCTCTGCTCACTGAGATAGATGCATATCTGATTGCCTCCTTTGGAAAGGCTCATCAGAAACTCAAAAGAATGCAACCGTTTGTGTTTCACCTATCTGTGACCTGGAAGCCCCTCCCCGCTTCCTGCCTTTGCTTCAAGTTGTCCCACCTTTCCAGACCGAACCAATGTACTTCTTACACATATTGATTGATGTCTCCTGTCTCCCTAAAATGTATAAAACCAAGCTGTGCCCTGACCACCTAGGGCACAGGTCATCAGGACTTCCTGAGGCTGTGTGCTCAACCTTGGCAAAATAAACTCTCTAAATTAACTGAGACCTGTCCCAGATTTTCTGGGTTCACAGTAGCTTTGCAGATTTTCTCCTTACTTGTTATATGTGTATGTAAAAAGTAAAGTAAAGGTTCCTCTTCAAAGAGACTCTCCTCCCTGACTAATTAGGAATATAGTAACTTCTCTTAGAAGCAAAATTTATTTAAAGACCTGTGCTAACATTCTTAAATATCTGCTAGCCGTAATAAAAAAAAATCAATGTACTTTATGTTCTTAGCTCCCACAATTTAGCCTTAATATTTGCCCTGGCATGCTTATACTGGTCCAAGCAAGCATTAGGTCATAGCCTGTTCCTCTTCCATATTTGGCGGTGCTTTTACCTTTCTCAGCATTCCCCAAGTTACTTCCTCCTTCCTTTGTTCTTCTCTGCCTTTGCCTCTTTTAGAAAGTTCTAAGTTGCTAGCCAATTGGGACAAATAGAGAATGTGAGGTCTCGTTCCAGCCAATGGAAACCGGACATAGCAGTAGGGTGGATGTGTCAGGTTATAAATGACCCTTTATTCGGTGTACTTTCGTGGCAAAACTGCTGGCAAGTGTACCCTTTCTGCAGAAAGTCAAAATGGCCTTGCTGAGGAAATTAAATGTATGTTCAAATGCTATTTCTTTACGGCACTGGGGCACAAGCATTTTATTACTAAATAAGCATTTCAAACAGTATATATTCATTTGTATATTATAAAAATATTCTTTTCTCTCCTTCCCACTGTTATTTTATATCTAAATTGTTGGAGGTTAACTTTATAATTTAGTGTTCAGGTAACAAAATATTCACTGGGGCCCAGCGCATTGGCACACCCTGTAATCCCATCACTTTGCAAGGCCAAGATGGGCAGATTGCTTGAGCCCCTGAGTTTGAGACTAGCCTGGGCAACATGGCAAAACGCTGTTTCAACAAAAAGTACAAAAATTAGCCAGGCTTGGTGGTGCACACCATAGTCCCAGCTACTCAGGAGGCTGAGGTGGGAGGATTGATTGAGCCTGGGAGGTCAAATCTGCAGTGAGCCATGATTGCGCCACTGCACTCCAGCCTGGATGACAAGACTCTATCTCAAAAACAAACAAAAATTCATTGGGACTGTGACTGAACTTGAGAATTATTACTATTGGGATTGTGTGTTTCCTTATTTTGAGGAAATGGTGAACACGTGTTCATTTTTACAAAGGGAAGCTGTATTATGTTAGGTGAAAACATAGAGGTGTTTTGTTTTCATGAAGGAGTTCAAATGTTTGTAAAAGGGTGCATATGGAAGCGAAGAAGCCAAAGAGATGGACAGTGCCCCTTTTCAACTGATCGCTTTTCAGTTCTCTTTGTTGTTCTGCTTTGTGATACTGTGGAGCTGGACCCTATACATGTTGACCTCTGTCAGCCAGCACTGTGTACAGCTTTGTCAATAGAGAGTGCCATAGGGACTCTGCAGGTGCAAGAGGCTTCTTTTTCCAGTTCCAGTGTTATTCTTTCCCACTTGCTCCTATGGCACATAGGATGCATGGCACGTATATAGAATGGCCAGGGACATTCATACTCTTGCAAGTTTGGCTGGCACACTGGTGAGAGACTCATGGTTCCCTGCTCACCAGCCTCAGCCCACCAGCTGATAACCAGCTCTGGCCTGGGACAACTCAACAAACTTCTCCTCTATCTACTGGGCAACAGGCACACTCCTACCTGCCACAAGGTGTGAGACTTGACCTACCTTCCAAGTTTGTTCTTTTCTTGGTCACTCTCCCCGACTCTTAGGTTATTCTTCAGAGTTCTCTTTTATCTCCTCCCAGTCCCAGTTGCTAGTTCCTTATTACCAGTTGATAACTCTTTATATTACATTTTTTCTCGTTAAATTTCTGATGGTATTTCTCTCTCCTGATTGCAGCCTGACTGATACAAAAATGATATTGATTTTGAGTATTTCACAGGGTTATTATGATGCTTAAATAAGCTAATGCACAGAGAAGCACTTAGAAATTTTTTAAGAATTTGGTAAATCATTGTATAAATGGTCTCAATGTATCATCCTTCTTTTATTCATGCTACTTTATAGCATGAATCACTGATGCTAAGATTGGTCATAACATTTGTTTTGGCCAATGGACATCTACACACATGATATAAGTAGAAGTTTGGTAAGCATTTGTATACTGACATGTGCCCCTGAACACTGCCCTGACATTGCCATGTGAAGAGGAATAGTCTAGCCTCCTAGAGGATGGACAACCACATGCTGAGTGAAGCCCAGCCCTAAGCTGGTAGACCAGTGGGGTGCAGCTTCACGGGTAAGCCTAAGCAAGGCCAACAGAAGACTCACTCATTTAGCCCACAGAATCACAGAAAGAAAACATTGTTATTTTAAGACCCTACATTTAGGGGTGATTTGTTGCATAGCAATACATTATGGATGCAAGTATAACTGAAACACTAACTGAAAAGATATATAAGTTAAAATATTAGTAAAAACTTTTTCTGTGGTAAGTGACTGAAATCTAACTTAAGCTAGTGTAAGCACAAAATAATATGTATTGGTTTACATAGTTGAAAGTCCAGGAGTTGGTTAAGCACATAGTTAGATCCGTATGCTCAGGCTACATCCTCAGGGATCAGCCGTCTTACCTTCATTTCCTGATCTTCTTTCTTTTATCCTCAGGCAGACGTTGCCTTCATGGTGGTAAGAGGGATTCCAGAGTCTCTTATGTCCTCAAAGCTTCAAGCTCAGCCAAAAGAATCTCGATGGTTTCCACAAAAAATCTTGGGCCTTGGATCAACTGCCCACCCTTGAACCAATCCTGGTGGCCCCAGGCTGATTGGCAGACCTGAATCACCTATCCCATGCCCAGAACTTTGGCTTGACCAGGCTCATCCAAAACAAGGGAATCCAGAGTGTTTCCCCAAAGAAAATCAGGGGGCTATTACTGGGAAAAAGAATTCCACCACAAGTATAAAAAATACTGTTATCAATAAAACATCACCTGATACTTTGGTTCATTAAAGATGTATTACTTTGGTTTTTCTTGGTTGGGAATCATTTGGATACCAAGAATATAAATACTCTTGACTTAAGAAATGAGAAAGTTTATCAGAAGCATGCAGGATACTCCTGAATCCACAGGCAATGTGGCTAGGTGTCATGAAGAATTATATCCAAGAACTAGAAAGTCATAAGAGAGTCTTTTCTTTTTTTTCTCTCTCTCCCCCTCCACAATTACATGGTCTTTTGTCTCTGCTTTTCATTGATATTAATTTTTAACTCTCTAATTTCTGTGGGGAACCCATTCTGCGAGGTTTGGTTAAAGCTGACCCAACTTCCTGCCACAGGGGCAGGCTCATCTCTCAGACCAGCCAATCAGGGTATATCATCTCCCTGGCCACAGTGATGAATCTAGCTTGATCATGTGATCCAAGCTAGGTCAATTGGAGTCCTCCTGGGACCTTTCTGCCATAGTGATCCTGAGTCCTTTTTCCTCAGGGGTTCCTAAGTTAATTCGATGTGTATTGAATTTCATGGCCATCATGCTTGGCATATGGAAGAGAGCTTGTTTGCGAGCAGAGAGAAGAAAAACAACCTAATGATAGAATTTGAGATCTCAGATCCAACCATGACGTGAAGCCTTAGGTCTTTTAATTGCTTGAGCCCTGGGGTGGTGCTTCAACTTGGCCTAACTTCTCAGAGTCGGCCTAACTTTGCTCAGTTGCTCTAAGGTTGTACTATTTCTCTTGGGAACAAAAATTCCCAAAGGAAAGAGAATTTATGAGCAGTAACTGTGGAGGAGTTAATTTTTTAAAAAATGTCCTCAAAAAAAGGTGTAAAAATATTTCTTTAGTGGAGAAAGGCTCTTTCCTTTCCACCTGGCGGCAGCCATCCATTAAACCAAGGTGGATGCATACAAGCACATCCAGGAGCTATGCAGGAAGAAGCAGTGTGATGTCATGCACTTTCTTTTGAGGGTCCACTGCTGGCAGTACTGCCAGCTCTCTGCTGTCCACAGGGCTCACCGCCCCACCAGGCTCCACCGCAGCAGGCCTCATAAAGCTGGCTGACTGCGCTACAAGGCCAAGCAAGGTTATGTTATATGTAGGATTCGTGTGCGCCGTGGTGGCCAAAAACGCCCAGTTCCAAGGGTGCAACTTACAGCAAGCCTGTCCATCACGGTGTTAACCAGCTAAAGTTTGCCCGAAACCTTCAGTCTGTTGCAGAGGAGCGAGCCGGATGCCACTGTGGGGCTCTAAGAGTCCTGAATTCTTACTGGGTTGGTGAAGATTCCACATACAAATTTTCTGAGGTTATCCTCATTGATCCATTCCATAAAGCCATCGGAAGAAATCCTGACACCCAGTGGATCACCAAACCAATCCACAAGCACAGGGAGATGTGTGGGCTGACATCTGCAGGCCAAAAGAGCCGTGGCCTTGGAAAGGGCCATAAGTTCCACCACACTGTTGGTGGTTCTCGCCGTGCAGCGTGGAGAAGACACAATACTCTCCAGCTCCACCGTTACTGCTGATATAAGTAAAGTTTGTAAAATTCCTTCCTAATACACAATTTAGGACAGTCCAAAAAAAATATTTCTTTAAAGAGGCCCTACTCTTTAAAAAGAACTCCAATGGAAAGTTCCTCTTATATTCCAGTTGTATTAGTCTCCTATTGCTGCTATAATCAAAATGCAACAAAGTTAGTGACTTGAAACAGCACAACTTTGTTCTCATACAGAGGTCAGAAGTTACCAGTGGGTTGGCAGAACTGTGTTCCTGCTGGAGAATTGGCTTCCTTGCTTTTTCCAGCTACCAAAAGCTGTCCCCATGCCTTGGTTCAGGGCCCCCTTCCGGAAGTGGCATCATCCCAACCCCTGCTTTCATCACCACATCTTCTTTTTTGATATTGAGCTTCCTTCTTACCTCATATAAGGACCCATTTGACTACATTGGGCCCACCCAGGATAATCTCCCCATTGCAAACCCCTTAATTTAGCCACATCTGCAAAGAGCCTTCACCATGTAAGATAACAAATTCACGGGTTTCAGGGATTAGGATGTGGACATCTTGGAGGAGGGCATTATTTAACCTACCACACTGGTGGACTTATTTATTTATTTATTTATTAAAAAAAATCTGTGTTACCCCCAAAATGTTGTAATAAGAATAATGAGAAATTTGGAGTCACCTGTTTAGAGGAAATGTTTGTCTTCTAAGTCAAAGTGTATAACTCAAATAATCTGTCATTCTGCTTTATCCTGGGTGAGGAAAGACACTGGAATTTCAAGCACATTTAATTCCTTTGTAAAGATGATACTGCTCCTACTTTTCTTAAAATATACTCATTTTAGTTGGTATTTGTGCAGAAAAGTAAAATGCAGACAGGGACAAGAAAAGATAGAAATACTTGAGAAAAATGTAGAATAGAAAGGGCAAAAATTCACAAGCAACTTCTTTGCACTGCTTCAGAAAGGGAGGGGGAGAAAAAGAGAAACAGCAAAGACATACCACAAATATTTGCCATTCTCATAAAATGGAACTTGAGTGGAAAGTATAACCTCTGACTTGGTGGATGGAGAGGGCCAGAGAAAGCTTCTTTTTTCTTTTATCTGACCACATTTCAAAACAATACCAGGCAATAATTGTCTCTTAGAGTAAACGGCAAAGGGAATTGATTTTTAAATTACTTTTAAATCATAAAATCCCACAATTGTAACTGCATTTTGGGTAGTCATCCGGCAGTATACCAGGAACTTTACTGGAGAAAAAAATCCAGGAAGGCATTGAGAAGCACTAACAAAGCATGTCTCTGTTGAATTGATGTTAACTCTTCTCCTTAGTAATTGAGTTCTCATCCTAGGAAAATATTATTTATGAGAGGTGAACATTTTTTTTAAAAGGCTGCCCTGAAAGAATAGCAGAAACTATGACATTTTTTAATTTTATAAAACCATATAAAGAGATGCCTGACAACTTTGATGATTGGAAGCTTTAAAACCAAATTAAATCTATAAGCAGGTTTTTCTCAAAAAGAAAAGGCTTGAATTCAATATACATGTTCTACATTTATGTCAATGTTCTTTCTTTTTTTGTTTTCTTTTTAAATTTATTTTTATTTTATTTATTTTTTGTTTTTTCTTTGTAATGTTCTTTCTTCATTAATGGAAACTGAATAATTTCTGAGTGAATTATCTGAAAATCAACTTGCCAAATGCCAATTTACAGAAATTTAATTTAGCCAATGATAATTTGCCAAATATGCAATTCTCCAAATTTATCAAACATATGGATTTATTTAAAAAAACTTGCTTTTAATAATTATTTCAATGTCATTTCTTACTTTTCAAACACTAAATTAACATTAAAGAGTATCCTAAAAAAACAAGAAGTAGCTTATAAAACCCTACCATGTAATAAATGCTAACATTTTTAGTTCTAACCAGGAAAAATTGTATACATAGACTCAGTAACAGTTTGCAGAAGAACTCAATGTGGAAAAGGAAAATTATTCAACTTACTAGAAAGAATACCTAAAAGGGGTTAGCATAACAGACTGTATGATTAATAGTTCAAACTTGAGTTACCTTAACCATAAACATGAAATTGTAGGCCCGGCATGGTGGCTCACACCTGTAATCCCAACAGTTTGGGAAGCTGAGGTGGGTGGATCACCTGAGCTCAGGAGTTCAAAACCAACCTGGGTGACATGGCAAAACCCCATCTCTACAAAAAATACAAAAAATTAGCTGGGTGTAGTGGCATGTGCCTGTGGTCCCAGTTACTTGAGAGGCTGAGGTGGGAGGATCGCTTGAGCCCAGGAGGTCAAGGCTGCAGTGAGCCGGGATCATGCCACTGCACTCCAGCCTGGATGACAGAGGGAGACCTTGTCTCAAAAACAAACAAATAAACAACAACAACAAAAAAACCACCACCACCACCACCAACAACAAACTGTAAAGGAGGAATTTAAAAAGGGTTAAAAAAAAAAAAACCCTTAAAAGGCTAAATGAAGAAATGAACCAGACAGTGATGAGAGCAATCACATTATATAATAAATAAGGGCTATGGATAATAAAAATTACAAACAAACATTGATTTGTTACTTGAAAAGTAATGGAGAAAGTATCTTAAAAGTACTAAAATATTAGAAAATTAAACTTTAAGAGTGACCTAAAAAGAGTTAGAAAGAAATTAATATAAACATAAAAATCCCTCAATGAAACATTAAGGTGTTGGTTAGAGTTGATTTATGATATTAAATATATTCATCAGAATACTAAACCTCTCTATAATTTGTGGCCATTTGACTATCTGACCATTCCCTAATATGCTGCTAGGGAGATAAAATCAGAACCAGTCAACAAAAACTTCACAGGAACCTTCAAAAGCTGTTAAAAGTACTGCATTCAATTTGAGATGCTGCAAGACAGGGAGAGAGCTCTAAACTTTAAACATAAATTTAAATAAATAAATTAAAAGAACAAAGTTTTGGTCAATGTTTAAGTTTATTGAACAGGTCATCTTTTGGCAGACCACAAGACTCATATCATTGAAATCCCATAATGGCACCACTGTGCTCTTAAAAATCCAATCTCTTGCCATAGCCAATCAGATCTCCCCTTGGAAAGCTCCCACCTACTTACCTGTTCTCATCTCACCTTCAGTCAGACGTGCTGGCTCCTTTATGTTCCAAAAAGGCCACTTGTGCCCGTTTTGGCTTTGAGATATTTGCTTTTGATAGTCCCTCTGCCTGGAAGACTCTTCCTTCACTTCTCACGACTGTCTTCTCATCTTTCGGGTTTTGGTTTAAACATGACTTCATCAGGATGGCCCCGCATGATCACCCTATATAAAACTTCCTTCCCCAGTATGTGAGTCTGTTTTGCCTTGCTATAAAGGAATACCTGAGACTAGGTAATTTATAAAGAAAAGAGTTTTATTTGGCTCCGAGTTCTGCAGGCTGTCAAGCATGGCACCAACATCTGCTTGGCTTCTGGTGAGGTCTCAGGAAACTTGCAATCATGGTAGGATATGAAGGGGGAGCAGGTACGTCAAATGGTGAGAGAGGGAGCAAGAGAGAGGAAGACGGGAGGTCCCAAACTCATTTTAAACAACCAGCTGTCTTGTGAACTAATAGAGTGAAAACCTCACTCATTACACAAGAATGGTAGCAAGCCCTTCATGAAGGCTCCACCCCCATGACAAAAACACCTCCCACCAGGCCCTACCTCCAACACCGGGGATCACACTTCAACATGAGATTTGGAGGAGACAAACATCCAAACGCTATCACCCAGTTACCCTCCAATTACCCTATTCATTTCTTTTAAAAAAATCCAAAGCCTATCACTACTGGAAGCTGTTAGGTTTCTTTGTGCCCTTCACTTCCTTATTATCTATCTTCCTCACCAAAATATATGCTCCATGAGAGTTTAAAGTTATACTTTAAACCTAGTGCCTCTTCCTACAAACATTGATTTGTTAGTTGAAAAGTAATGGAGAAAGTATCTTAAAAGTATCTTCTGAGTAGCTACTAAATAAATATTTGTTGAATGAATCAAAGGATACATTTATCTTTGAGAACAGACTGCTCCTTAATTTTTTAAAAAATCCACTTAACTGCATCTTTTAGCAATGTGAAAATAAAGAGCTTTTGCAATGGAGTCTTTTGAGACAACACATTTTCTGCCAGTCATTTTTACCCCATGTCCAAATGAATGGAAGATTCCTTTTCCACTAGAAAAACATTCCCCCACCTAGTGGAAAAGTACTTGAATCCAGAATGCACTGACTACAGGGATTTGGAAGGATCTATAATAGGCTGTCTATGAAGAGTCCATGCAAGAATGACTCATAAGAGTTGTCATTGAAGACAAATCTGTGAGGGTGTAGGTGCATGGATCAGCATAAATCAGCCAGTAGTCCATCTGGGAATTGTGTCTGCTTGTATACATCAATACCTTCTCTGGGAGGCTTGGTTTCAAAGGATATTTTACAGACAACAGTATTAATCCCTAGAATTAGCACAGAGGAAGAGATGAAAGGAGTCCAATTACTTTTGCAACCTAGGTGCCCCAAGCAGCCTCTCCGACTTTTTTTCACTTTCCACTAACTCTTGTCCTTGAAGAAAGGCTAATTAGAAGTTAGAAAGAGGTTGAAGTTCCCCCAAAGACAGAATTTCAGAGAATTGGGAAAACTTTTTCAAGCCTGGCAATAAGAAATGGTTTTGATAGCCATTAAGGTGACCTCATGTTCACCTTCAAGCAAGATTTTGAGAAAACTGGGGTAAGCCTCAATCTATTTTTACTCAATGAACTGAAAGATAAAGGGAAAGAATGTAGACATTCTGTTGCCTGTCCTGGGTAATCAATAAGGAAACTGCTCTTTTTTTGAAGAGTTATATGGGCTTAATGATCCTCAGATCCTGAGTTCAGAATTTAAAATACATATGTATATAATTGTTGCATAGCCCACTCTGAAGTAGTAGAAGATTCAATGAAAATGCATGTGGAATGCTGACTATAAATTATCACACATATTATCATCATCTAGTCAAATATTTATCTTTTCTGGGGACTCTATGCTCATGGGGATTGATAATGAGATATTAAGCCTTTTGCCATTAATATTCTGTCTCAAATTGAGCCCAGCTTTACAGAGGAAAAAAAAATTGTTGTCATCTCAGTTTTCGCTGCCTGCTCTTTGTAAAGAGGCAGGAGGATACTGTCAGAATTGGCTCTAGGGAAAATTGCAAAGTCGAGGTTGGCATTCACTTTTCCTTTTTCCTGTTTGTCACCCCTCACCCTGAGTCTCTCATTTCCTTAGGGTCTTCCTGTTATCCTCCTGCCTTCCTGAGGGTTTGCAATATACTGTCCCAATGAGGCAGCCCCCTTTGCTGGGACCTCTACCTTCCTCTCCTCTGTTTGTTACTGCACTGTGGTCCTCAAGCCTTAGAAATGAAGTTGCCCTCAGAGAGTTAAACTCTAAATGAATTCCTAATGGATCAGAGCAGAGATTAGCAAGTACCTTAAAGCGGTCAAGTGGCTCCCCAGGCAATAAGAATGGACATTAACCAGATTGAAGATATAATAATGTATCTAACAAAAAAAGGGCAGGGGAGGATTTGGTCAGCCAAGGAGATAAAAATCACTTGTCAAAGACAAGACTAGCAGCGTTCATCTAAGCACTGAGCATAGGTAGAGGCCCTTCTGTCTTCTTATTGTAGTCCTGGGTGGATGCTACCAAATGTTCAAGTTGTAAAACTCCTGCCTCTGATTCCCCTACCTCCAGCTTCTTCCATTCTCTCCAAGCAACTGTCTGATAGTTTGACGTCCCATGGAGCTTGCCTACATGGGAAAAAATGCAGTAATCAAGCCAACACAAACATTATGCATGTCTAATAATTGTTTTTCATATTGAAAATTTGCAAGCAAGTACCCTGATTATATGACAGTGTGGGATGAGCTATACAGATCCTTCACCTCCAGGACTCAACGAAGTTTCTGAGACTACCAGGCTAGTATAGAAGGAATGCCCAAATGGGACCAGTCCACTGTGGTCCACTGTGGGTTGTGTGTAGAGAAACTGTAGGATGTCACGGGATCTGTAATTAAAAGCAATGCAAATTTCTTACCATTATGGGTTGAATTGCATCCCCCAAAAGATATGTTAAAGCCTTAGCCTCCCAGTACCACAAAATGTGACCTTATTTGGAAACAGAATCATTGTAGAAGTAATTAGTTAAGTGAAACTGAAGTCATACTGAAAAAGGGTGGGCTCTTAATCCAATATAACTGGTATTTTTACAAGGAGAGAGAAATTTGGACATAGACTCAGAGGGAAGACTGCCATGTGAAGTCAGAGGCCAGGCTGAGTGATGTTGCCTCCAGGCAAGGAATACCTGGGCTACCAGAAGCTAGAAGAGGCAATGACAACTTCTCCCTTAGAGACTTTGGAGGGAGCGTGGTCTTTCCAACACCTTGATTTTGGGCATCTAACCACCAGAACAAATTTCTGTTGTGTAAAGCCACCCAACTTATGGCAATTTGTTATGGTGACCCTAGGAAATGAATACACAAACGTAAGAAGAGAAGGCACTTGGTGGCCTCACAACCCTGCACTGTATGAAGTGAAGTGTGGCAGGAGAAAACAGTCTGTCAGACCTAGGGCTTAGTCCAAAGGGGAAGGGGAAGGATAAGAGGATTCGAGATGGAGAAGTTGGTGAAGTCCTGCCTTAGTCTGTTTGGGCTGCTATCACAAAATACCTTAGGCTGGGTAAATTATAAACCACAGACATCTACCGCTCACAGTTCTGAAGGCTGGGAAGTCCAAGATCAAGGTGCCAGCAGATTCAGTATCTGGTAATCCCATTCATAAGGACTCTGCCCTCATGACCTAATTATCCCCCAAAGCCTCAACCTCTTAATACCATCACCTTGGGGGTTCAGTTTCAGCATATGAATTTTGGGGTGACACAAACATTCAGACCATAGTAAGTCCCCTCTCAGAAATAAAGTCTCAAGGCACACAACCCCTTTGGGCCTCTGTTTAGCATGAATGAATAAAATAAAGGAACCAGGAATTAGAATTTTAAAAGTTTTTATTATCTTTCTGACTGGGCATGGTGGCTCATGCCTGTAACCCCAGCACTTTGGGAGGCCAAGGCAAGTGGATCACCTGAGGTCAGGAGTTCAAGACCAGCCTGGCCAACATGGCAAAACCCCATCTCTACTAAAAATATGAAAATTAGCCAGGAGTGGGGGCGTGTGCCTGTAATCCCAGCTGCTTGGGAGGCTGAGGCAGGAGAATCACTTGAACCCGGGAAGTGGAGGTTGCAGTGAGCCGAGATCGCACCACTACACTCCAGCCTGGGCAACAAGAGCAAAACTCCGTCTCATAAATAAATAAAAACATGAAAGTTTTTATTATCTTTCTGTTTTCCTTTTGTGATTCAGCGAAATCCTGAAAAGTAATGTAGGTAGCAAGAAAGAGGAGTCAAGAGGGGCTGTGGTCTTGAGTTAGGTAACTGGGAAGATGATGGCACCCCATAGCCTAGTTTTGGGGAGAAGATTCCCAAAGAAGAGAGATCATGGACATAGGAAGAGAAAACTGGGTGTTGGTCCCATAGTCTCCCCTTGCCGAGCTTCCTTAGAGGCGGTTCCTGGGAAACTGCTTCAGGATCCCCACTTCAGTGGCCTCCTGAGCAATCTTTTCTTCACTTGCCAAGTCTTACTCATGTCTGTAAATTATATAACTACTCCCTCCATTACTCAAGCCAGAAACCTAGGAGTCACCCTGGATTCCTCCCTTTTCTTCACTGTCTCATCCCTCATATCAGGGAATTCCACAGAGCTTACCTCCAAATAAATGTCCTTTACTCACCATCTCCACAATCCCACTGTAGTCCGATTTTGCGCCATCACTTGCCTGGAGCCCACAACAACCTTCTAATTGGTCTTCTCACTTCCGCTCTTGCTCCTTTAATTGTTTCTTCACTCAACAGCAAAAGTGATCTTCTTAAAACAATAATCTGATAACTCCCTGGCTTAAAACCATCCATTTCAATGAAAGTAAAACCCTAACTTTTTATAATGGCTTACAAAGCATTTTACGATTGAATCCTGCCTCTCTCTCACTGTTTCCTCAGTTGTAGCTGCACCGTTCCTTCAGTTTCTCTACCAGAAACTCTTCCCACCACAGGGCCTTTGCACATACGGTTACTTTTGACTGGACTATTCTACCCACAGTAGCATGACTAGCTACTCCCTGTTCTAAGTTTCAGCTTAAATGTCACCTCAGAGAGGCCTTCCTTGGTGACCACCATTAATAGACATGAATGCATGTCTATTAATCTTTATCTCAGCACCTCATTTGTTTCTCCATAGTAAATATTTAACTTGCATTTACTTGATCTCTGTCTCTCATCTCTGTCAATATGTAAGTCCATAGATGTAGGAACCGTAATTGTCTTTTCTACCACTGTATCCCTGGCATATAGCACAGACCCATAGTAAGTATCCAATAAATATTGTTCGAATGAATGAATATTTAGTGTAACCACAGCTGAACATGGCCCCAGGACTGAAAGTTGGGGGACAGGGAGCAGGATGGGGTGGGAGGATGGTTAGAATGATTTGCTGGGAAAAGGATTTTCTAAAATGAGCATGAAGAATAATTTCACTCAGTATAACTATTTGCAGTCCAAAATGCAGAAAAAAAGTATTATCGGTACATGTTTATTGAGGTATTATTTACAATAGCAAAAAAGTTAAATGATCTCTAGGCTATAAGTGGAGAAAATGTATATTTGTGAAGACAATACTAGTCACGATATTGAACTTTAAAAACTTTCAATGAAGATATGTAGAAGCAAATCTCAGTGTGGTCTTTATCTGTTGTTATTTTGTCACATAAAAGGTCAAGTGTTTTTGCATATGTGCATAGGGTTTCTTTTCTTTTTTTTTCTTTTCTTTTTTTTTTTTTTTTTTGAGACAGAGTCTTGCTCTGTCACCCAGGCTGGAGTGCAGTGATGCAATCTCGGCTCACTGCAACCTCCACCTCCTGTGTTTGAGTGATTCTCCTGCCTCAGCCTCCCAAGTAGCTGGGATTACAGGTGTGTGCCACCATATCCGCCTAATTTTTTGTACTTTTCGTAGCAACAGGGTTCCACCATGTTAGCCAGGATGGTCTCAATCTCCTGATCTCGTGATCTGCCCCCCTTGGCCTTCCAAAGTGCTGGGATTACAGGCGTGAGCCACAGCACGTGGCCAGGGTTTCTTAATTATTTATTTTTTGTATTTGTGGTTTAAAAGAATGACAAATGTATTTTTGGTTAACAATTGTATCATACTTTTTTTTTTTAGACAGAGTCTCGCTCTGTCATCCAGGCTGGAGTGCAGTGGCGCCATCTCAGCTTACCGCAATTTCTGGCTCCTGGGTTCAAGCAATTCTCGTGCCTCAGCCTCCGAAGTATCTGAGATTACAGGCATGTGCCACTACACCTGTCTAATTTTTATATGTATTTTTTAATAGAGACGGAGTTTCACCATGTTGTCCAGGCTCTCTCCAACTACTGACCTCAAGTGATCAGCCTGCCTCGGCCTCCCAAAGTACTGAAATTACAAGTGTGAGCCACCGCGCCCAACCAATAGTATTGTACATTAATCCTGATGAAACCTAAAGAGTAGACACATCTTTCATACACAAACACACACACACAAAATACAAGTGGATTCAGAAGTTTTCAGAAGGATATTAGTGGCCCAAAGTCATGGCAACTGCCTTGTAGAGGGAGAACCTAGTGGTTCTTCCTAAGATAGCCTAAGCAGTAGAGTTTAAAGTGTGGTCCCCAGATCAACAGAAACAGCGAATTCTCAGACCTACTGAATTAGAAACTCTTGGGGTGGAGGGCAGCAATCTGGGTCTAAATACTCCTTCTGAGTCATTCTGATGCACGCTAAGGTTTGAGAACCACTGGTTAAAGCAACATTCTGATGACCAGATCTAGGTTTGCTGAGATCTGCCAAAGGAAGGAAGTTCAGTTTCCACTCTTCGTGAGCAGGGTTGAAGCCAGTTTCCCTGAGGATCCTCTGTAAGCAGAAGGGCCCACCCATCCTTCTCTACCTTGAGCAAGCCTCTGATCCTGCCAGGAGTGGTGAGACTTACACCCCTTAAGCTCCTACCTTTGGCCAGGGCTCCTCCCTTTTTTCCCCACTGGCTCTTAGGAGGATGGGATTCAACAACAAAGCTTGTTTTATCCTGACTCTGTCACTCTGTGTCTCTGGGCAAAAGGCTGCTTATCTAATGGGAGAAAGCTGCTTTTAGTGCCGTCTCTGCAACTACTATAGAAGACTTACTTTTAACCTAGAGTAATAAACTCCCTACACCTGTCCTTGAATTAGATGGAATGAAACCAGATCTAGAGTTCCCCAAAGCTAAAACCGAGACTCCAGACATTCCCATTATACATTTTAACAAAGGAGGGGACAGAGGCCCAGACAGTGGATGTCTCTGAGGTTACACAGTTTGTAAGGGACAGACCTCAGATTAGCCCCCAGGTCTGCGGCTTCTAATTCAGTACTTTTGTGGCTGTACTTTATTCAGTGTCCTTTCTACTTCCTACTCAACAGCCCAGGGCTTTACTCCACATCTATGAGGTAGGGCCTGGGGATTTGGGCTGCTATGAATACTTATGCAGTTTTGTACTGAAGAAGTCAAAAATATGCCGCCCCAAAATACACTGCTCTGGCATAATGACTATTTTGAATTAAAGACGCTTTTACAAAAGCAGCAGGTGCAAGAAGATCACTCTGACCTTCATTCTGTTTCTTAGAAGCAGAGCATAAAAATCCCATGTGAAAGATACCGGCCTTGTACCAAAAAGAATAACATTCTTATCATCAAGGACAGGAAGTTGAAGCTGAGGGAAATTTGTACAAACCAACCTTGTCAAACGAACCCTTATCTGCCTCATCACTTCTCTAGCCAATTAACTACCCCAGCTCAAGCCCCTTTGCCTTCTTACATTTCACAACTTACTATTATTTGTGCAATTCAGTATGTGATTGACTCTCTCAACTGCTTCTTTGGGTCTTCATTTTTGTATGAGGGCTCCTGTGCCATGTAAAACTTCTATTGAATAACTTTGTATGGTTTTCTCCTGTTAATCTATGTTAGGTCAATTTAATCCTCAGGCCCAGCTGGGAAACCACGAAAAAGGAGGTGGAATTTTGCCCCCACTACAATATTGATCAAGGAGGTCAGGATGCAGAGAGGGGAGTAAGGGTAAGGCACAGCCTGAGCCAAACCCCAACCTCTGCCCTGGGGCTGCATCTGTCAGAAGAGAGGCCCTTTTACAAATGCAGATGCCTGGGTCACACTTTAGGCTAATGAAATCAAAAGCTCTAAGAAAGGGGATTGCCATTAATACACATATGTGCATGTGTGTGTGTGTGTGTGTACATATGTATATATACACATATATATTTTTGTTTTGTTTTGTTTTGTTTTTTGTTTTGAGACAGACCCAGGCTGGAATGCAGTGGCGCAATCTTGGCTCACTGCATCCTCCACCTCCCTGATTCAAGAAATACTCCTGCCTCAGCCTCCCAAGTAGCTGGAATTACAGGCGTGCCACCATGCCTGGCTAATTTTTTTTTTTTTTTTTTTTTTTTTTTTTTTTTTTTTTTTTGAGACAGAGTCTTGCTCTGTCACCCAGGCTGGAGTGCAATGGCACAATCCCGGCTCATTGCAACTTCCGCCTCCTGGGTTCAAGCGATTCTCCCTCCTCAGCCTCCCGAGTCGCTGGGATTACAGGTACCTGCCACCATGCCCAGCGAATTTTTTTTTTTTGTATTTTTAGTAGAGACAGGATTTCGTCATGTTTCGAACTCCTGACCTCAGGTGATCTACCCGCCTCGGCCTCCCAAAGTGCTGGGATTACAGGTGTGAGCCATAGCACCTGGCCATAATTTTTGTATTTTGAATAGAGACAGGGTTTCACCGTGTTGGCCAGGCTGGGCATAAACTCCTGACCTCAAGTGATCTGCCCGCCTTGGCCTCCTAAAGTGCTGATTACAAGCATGAGGCACAGCACCCAGCCAATACAATATTTTTTGAGACAGGTTTTGCTATGTTGTCTAGGCTGGAGTGCAGTGGCTGTTCACAGATGTGATCATAGCACACTACAGCCTTGAACTCCTGTCCTCAAGCTATCCTCCTGCCTCAGCCTCCTCAGTAGCTGGGACTACAGGCATGCACCACTGGACCTGGCTCATTAATAGTTATTTTTTAAAGCTTATCAGGTGATTCTAATGTTCAGCCAGAGTTGAGAATAACTGTTTGAAATTATTCCCAAGCTTCCTTTACTATACTGTTGCTTAAGTGTCCAATCCTAACATTGTTATCAAAAGCAAGAGACTGTAGATTGACTCAATAATTCAGGCTAATATAATCCGGTCATCTCCACAAAAAAGCACTAGTTGATGAAGTTAAATACTTTCTCCAATTCTGAGCCAGAAATTCAATACTGCATCTCAAACGATCTTAAAAAAAAAAAAAATCTGTTTTAAGGAGAGAGACTATTTCTATTTCCATCCTTAAAGTATGATTACTAAAAACTGAAAAATTCAGTTCTCGTTTTGCAAAGCAGTGAGATATTTAGGTAGGTGGGAGTCATTTTCTCCTCCTGGCTTTTCAGCCTTGGCCCTCAAATTAGGGACTTCCAGGCTCTTGGAAGTGTTGGATAAAGGCTTCCACCTTCCTTCTTTTGCAGGCTTTTTCCTGCGGTGGGATTTATAGAGGTGCATTGAGCTACTGGCATACATCTTTTCTTAGCTAGGCTGTTCACAGGACACAAATATCCTTTATTTCTTCAGGTGACAGGCACAAGGGCAAACCCTACCCCTGCAGACAGCTGGTCCTCAGGCGTATCTATCTAGGAGAACTCAGAAAAGAGAAAGATTAAGCCTGACTTTGTCATAGATTCAAGCCCCTTATTCCAGTCCAGCTTTACTAGCAATAAATCTAATATTTTGACCTCCATTTGACTTTGGGCCTATTTCTCACCTGATTCAGAATGAGCCCCCTTAAATCCTAACAGTTAAGTCAATCTACATGACCAAAATGACCAGCTTGACTGTCTTATTTGTTGTGCTGCAAAACATTCACTGCAACTTTATCACCCTAGCTTTCAGTCAATCTAATAGGTTTTGGCTGAGAGAAATAAGGGCTGGATTAGCAGAGGCCTGGTCATCCTGATTGTACTCCTGTGTTGAGCTGAGGCTAATTAATTCAGTAGAATGCTGCTTTTGTGATGTTTTATAACGATTCTGGACTAAACACATGAACACAGCTTGAATTGGTTTATAGCTCCCATGAACTGACAGAAATTAGTTTGTTGTTGTTTTGGGATGTGGTAGTTAGAATTGGTAGAGTCAGGATTACCTAGAAGTCTTCATGAAACTTTATAGTCTGACTTTCACTATGATTCTTGCTCTACTGGAAAGAAATGGTTGCTTTATTCTTAGAAAAGAGATGAGATGCAAAAGGTCTAGTTTTTTTGACTAGGAAAACTAATTTAACCTTTTATTTTACTGACGTGTTTCCACCTATAAAAGAAACTAACCGAGTAATTCTGTAATCATTGCTACCATGGGACTTATTAATATATTACTAAATAGCTGCAAAACTAGTAGAATATTAATGAAAATTTGTGCCAAAAATCCATAAGATGAGAATTTTAAAATGTATAATAACCTTAGATGATCTAGATACATAAATATATGTACCTAGAATTAAAGACATTGCCTTGATTCTAGAAGCTGCAAATTAACATTTAAAATAATGACTCACCTTTGTTCAAGTTTGAATCTTATGATGAAGCTAAATTTCTCAGGTTTTAAATCCTGAGGACTGCACTCAGAAGAAAATCAGATGTTTTCAGCCACAAACATTGCTTAAAAGAAATTTCTGGGAAGAGAATATATTGATAGAAATTATGTAGTCAAAGATTTAGATAAATTTATGGGCAAAAGACTTTTTAGTGTCCCCAGCCTACATGATTAATAATTCAGAGCCAAATTTAGGGGCACTCCACCCAGAAGGAATTACATTATCCAATTTCTGTCATGTCATCCTGAAGTGTAAGCAGCAAGCTCATTAAAAATGAATGAGGTAATCAGACAAATTCTATGACCATGCGTGAGCTTCTCATTAATGTTTTACTAGACAGCATTAAGAAAGACTAAATAGACTGCACTAGATCTGGAAGTAATAAATGGACTTCAAAAGCAAAGCAACTTAACGACCTTCCAGTAAACAGAAAGACTTGAAAGGGAAAGGATGAAGGATTTTAGAAACCTATCAGCTACACATTTTGGCTGCATCTACAATGGAAAAGCGAAATGCAGTATGATCAATTACCTGCTTAATTTGATGAATCAACAGGCCAGGTTTAAATATTACTTTGAAGCCCGAAATAACGGATTGGGCTGTTATTAGCAGGTTAAAGTTCCTAATTCTCCCTTCACTGAGTACTGTTTGACTAGTGCACAGTTTCTCAGCAGTAACAGTACCGGTGTTTTGGCCTGGGTAATTCTGTTCAGGGGGCTGTCCTATGCATTGCAAGGTGTTTAGCAGCATCCGTGGCTTCTACTCACTAGATGCCAGTAACATCGCCCAGCTGTGACTACCAAAATGTCTCCATACATTGCCAAATGTCCCCTGACATTTATACCTGAGCCTGGTGAAAGGAGTCACACCTGTTACAGAGGCAGAGAATTCCAAGAGTACCAATATCCCATTTCCAATGGGAGGCTGTACAAACCATTAAATGAAGGGATTAACTTGCAATTGTTTGGTCAATTTGGACTTTGCAGACAATTAAACTAGTTAATTCAGATCAAAATTTTTTCTTTGGGATTTGACTTATCAGGATTGGCATCTAAATTAATTCAATTAGTGGACTTACTGCTAGGCATATTTTTAATTTTGACTTGAGGTTTCAAGCTCAGAAATATCTCAAGTGCAATGATCAGGGTTCAGAAACAGATGGAGCTGCCTCATCAGCATGATTGTATTTGGGGGGCTTTGTTACTATGAGCACACACAAATACACACATACACACATTCCTCTAAGAATTCTTTCCATTGGTTTCTGGTTATCTGGTTTTTGCTCTGGTATCTACACCGCTTCTCCCCTTTGCATAAACGTCATTCCAGCTTGACTTAGCAGATAGCTTGATAATTAAAAGTGTAAGCTTTAGAGCCAGATAAAACTGTGCTTGAATTCTGACTCCAGGATTAATCAGTCCTTCATTATGTTAACAACAACAACAACAAAAAGAATCAGTTGTAATAGTACTTCCGAGGTCGTCAGAAATATATGAACTGGTTAGGAGGTGTCAGGTCCATGACTACGCCAAATGTCATGCCGAGCTGTGCCAAGCCATGTCCACGAGCGCCTGTACAGCAGAAGCAGGGCAGTTATACCTTTTGAAACAATAGTGGCTCCAAGTCAAATATGCGCTTACATAAACAGGTTATATAACAAGTGGAGGTGTGCACCTGCGCACCAATCCCGCTGAGTCATGCAGGCCTGAATGTCTGCCTTGGCCTATTCCTTGACCAAAGCATGCCATGTCCTTTACAGGAGGTTAGTGCTTCTGTCAATAACAGAGATGGATCGACAATGCTAAAAAAGGGAAGGGTTAATATCTCATGTAAAATTCTTGATGGAGGGACCCCTGAGCTAGGAACTGGATCCCTTCCTATATTCCTGCTCTGTAATTTTTAATGAGTGGTTCTCATCCTCAGGATTAATAGATAGCTGTTGGACTTCCAGACATGATTTCCTCATTTCCAGCAGGAGGAAGGGAAAGCCCAAAGAGCATATGGCCTTTTTCTAAAGCCCCTGTTGATGACTTCTTCTTTTCATTGACCCCAGGTGTGAGAAAGGTAGGTAATGCAGTGTTTAAGGCAGGTACAGCTGCCTCTGGTAACTTAGCAGTTTTGTTATTTAGAAAGAATGAATATTGGATAGATGCTGGTAGTTTTTGTCACTTTGAAACTCCTTCCCAGTCTCCATTGGATCCTAAGCATCCAAGAATTTACTTGACTTTAAGAAAATAAGGACAGCCCGGATTCCACAATAATTGCCATCTTTCCTGATGGCTTCTTCAACTATATGCTCTGTTGCTGGGCACCAGTGCTTTGGGTGGGCTTCAAAAATCCTGCCACAGAAACTCCCATGGGCCAGAGGCTGCTCTCCAGGCCACAGTACTGGGGATACGATCTCCATACAGGCATATCAGACAACTAGTGAGCTCCAAAGAGCTGGGTGGGAATGCACCTCACACACTGTAGAACTTGCCACCATGTTTTACTCCCCTACTCAGTCCCAGGGAATTTAACTCTACCATGTTTGCTTGTCTCTGCCTCAACTCCCAGAAACACCCTGGGGCTTAGGTTTTGAGACCTTAGGTTTTAAACCTCTATGGGCCTAGGGTTTGAGAACTTACACCAAATAATTCTTCCTGTAGCTAAGGAAATTCAAACCTTCAACATACAGAGACTGGGCTGCTTTATTTGGGGTAAGAGTGGGGAGTACATACAATAAGGCTCACAAACAAGGTTATTATGGAAAAAAGAAAAGACTTAATTTTACATTGACCAGTGAAAGTCCTTAGGGATTTAAAGAGAACATCCAATAAAAATGTATGATCATCTCTGTGGGAGAATGCAAATTATTTGATTGTTATTTTAATTTTAAAATAATGGGTCCTTTTTTGTCCTTTTCCCCTAATGCCATTGTAATGCTAAAAGTGTAACACTTAATGAGTACTACTGCTCTTCATCAAAAGGTAGCTCCTTTTATTTTTCTACAACTTATAGAAATCTGCACCTGTGAATTAATGTTTAATGATTCATTCATTGTCTGCTGTCAGGCTTGTGTCTTGCCCTTTTGAAAGAAAATACTATTTAAGTAATGAGTGAGGTATCATGGAATTTCCTAAATATGTACAACTCAGAAGAACAGTTGTACATCACTGCGTTTTGTAAAACAGAGTATGTGTGGCAAACAGGAACTTTTATGGATCCAATAGCCACTCCTCCCCACTTTCGTGCCTACCTCTTTTCTTCCTTGATAACTGAGCCCTGGTTTTGTTCAAGTATTTACCTTCCCACATACTGAACCCCGGGAGGGAATTGTTGATGAGTCAGTCTAAACCACTTGTTGTAATCTATTACTTTTGCTAATGATTGGTTTAAGTGTGTGCATGTGATGCTCACTGAGTCTGGTGGGAGAAATTCAGGGAAGGTTTCTTCCTGGAAGGAACACAAATGAGAACTTGTGCCTTCCCATGTTCGGATGTTGTAATGTGAGGGCATCCTACAACCATTATGGTCTTTCTTTTGACCATAAAGAAATACATTGTTGGTATATTATGACTGGCATAACAGAAAGATGGCAGGTACCTGAACCTTGATAACATTTGTTGAGTTGCTGCACTAACCCTGAACCACCCTTCATTTGTAGGATAAAAGGTACTGTGTAAGCCATTTATTCTTAGGTATTCTGTTATTTGCAGCCAAAGCATTTTAACTGTTAAATAAAATAATTTGCTGCTACTTGCCTGCACAATATCTGCTGTCCTCTTTTATCTTGATTATATTCTTGGTAGCACTGACCACATTTTTCTAGCTTCCCTTGAAACTACAGCTCAATTGAGATATAAACAGAAATTGATGGATGTGGGTTCGGGGATATTGCTCCCTACAGGGCACTAACTCAGCCAGGATGCTCTCTCTCTTGTCCTTCTCTATTTCTGTCTTTCTTCCTGTTTTCTGTATGAACAATATGGAGGTATAGGGGAGCACTCCTGCTGCCATATTTGTACATAACTTTAAGAATAGAAGGCACACGTGAAATAAGGTAGAGTAGAAAGAAATAAGGAGTGTGAGTCTCCGATTGACCATGGAATCACCATGCCACCACTGGACTACCTATTTCTGGACGTTTTCTTGTTTAAGTCACTATTGTTTAGGTTTACTGATATATGCAACCAAATCTAATCCTGACTTGACTGTTGCAGCTGCTGAATGGCATTTAAAGTGATCCTTTATGAAGGAAATTAATATAGAAGCAGAAGTCTTATTTCTTAGATTGATTTTTTTAATTTAAAAATTGCCATTTAGTTATTTTGAAACAGCAAAGAGCTACTCAAATTGTATTTGATATCTCTATTTTTTCCATAATTATCCTAAGATATTATCTTTTGAAGCTGATTGAGAAAGCAAGGAATAGAAGTCATTATATTACTTGTTACTATGTTTACAGGCATGCCCAAAAAAGGAGTCCAAAACTGGGTCACCAAATTCATCCCATCTCCATATAGTTGTTGAGCACATAAAACGTTAGAGACACTATGTTAGGCACTGTGTGTGTGTGTGTGTGTGTGTGTGTGTGTGTGTGTGTGTGTGTTCGAGAGATAGAAAGATATAGGTCCTACTATCAAAGAACAAAATTAGTTTAGCTGGCAGAAAATAATACAAAAAGATACAGACAATTTTTTAGAAACACCAAAATAAAAAATACAAAGAACTGCCTAATGAATTGAAGGAAATAAGCAAGAATGTTGACTTCTGTATCTTATATGGTTTTTATTTCCTTTTTTTGTATTTTTTCAGACTTCCTATAAAGAACATACAGTTTTTAGTAAGAAAGAAAAAAATTTTGGCCGGGCATGGTGGCTCATATCTGTAATCCCAGCACTTTGGGAGGCTGAGGCAGGCAGATCACAACATCAGGAGCTCGAGACCAGCCTGCTCATCATGGCAAAACTCCTTCTCTACTAAAAATTCAAAAATTAGCCAGGTCTGGTGGCACGTGCCTGTAATCCTAGCTACTCGGGAGGCTGAGGTAGGAGAATTGCTTGAACCCGGGAGGCAGAGATTGCAGTGAGCCGAGATTGCGCCACTGCACTCCAGCCTGGGCGACAGAGCAAGAATCCATCTCAAAAAAAGAAAAGAAAAGAAAGGAAAAAACTTTATAAAATATTTTTATTGCTCAAAAAATGTAGTTGTTACAAGTAAGGAATTTGGAGCCAAAGCTCCTCCATGCATTATGTCTGGGGAATTCTCAGCTTTCTGCAGTTCTCTCCCATAGCTACTTAAAATTCTTCATTTGATCATAGTGGGTTTAGTTGCAGGTTTTGGACCTATTAAAATGCAGAATCTAATGGAAGATAAGTATAATAACTCTTAATCAGAAATGCTCATGAGCTTTTTAAAAATCAAAATTCCTGGTTCTCACTCCCAGTGACTCAGGTTCCTTGTCTGGCACAGGGCCAGACCATGTGAATCTTTACTCCTCATGTGATTCCTGGTTGAGATCTCCTGGTTGAGAACCCCAACCCAGGTTAAGTTTAGGTTGTTATCAGTTAATTGAATGTTAGTATAAACGAGGATCCAAAGAAAAGTGTGATGGAGGTAAGGGGATGTAAAAGCACAGTAGCACCTGAAATTGAAAAGATGTGAGACAGTCAGCCTTAGAGAGAAGCACAAAAGCTTGCAACTTCACCATTCTCCCAGGGCCTTGCCTGCAGAGGTTATAAAGGAATAAGATGTATGAAAATATACATATACCTTTTGGCCAGGCGCGGTGGCTCATGCCTGTAATCCCAGCACTTTGAGAAGCTGAGGCAGGTGGATCACCTGAGGTCAGGAGTTCGAGACCAGCCTGGCCAAGATGGTGAAACCCCATCTCTACTAAAAATACAAAAAATTAGCTGGGCGTGGTGGCATGTGCCTGTAATCCCAGCTACTTGGGAGGCTGAGGCAGGAGAATTGCTTGACCCTGGGAGGCACAGGTTGCAGTGAGCCAAGACCGCGCCACTGTGCTCCACAGCCTAGGCAACAAGAGTGAAATTCCGTCTCAAAAAAATATATATATATACCTTTTAGGGTATTTCAGCTTATTGTGGCAATGAAACCACCACGTCTAGATCTCAGAGAGGTAAAACACAATGAAGAAAAAGAGAGAAAGGGTTTGAATCTCCTGATGAACAATGTAAAATCATCTTGAATTTATCTCCTTTTTGAAGGCTAATTAATTTAGGACCAAAAGTCACAAGAGGGTCACTGTAGGTATATCCAGAGGGTAGGATCTGGGTGTCTCCAGATATCATTAAAAATTGAGACTATAATTAACAATAATTTATTGTATATTTTATTCAAAAACTTATTGAATTATCACATGGTAGCCCCTAAATATGTAAAATTATTGTGTGTAAATTTAAAAAATAATAAAAGCAAAGAAGAAAAAAAAGAAAAGGAAAAAGCAAACAAAGAAAAGCTGTGCTAAAAAAAATGAGAGATGGTGTTAAACACAGGTCACTGCTTCCTTGTGCTATTTAAGGGACATATCTGGGGGCCATCGCAGTTTCAATACAGAGCCACATTCTGTGCCATGGTTTTTATAAACAATTCCCACTACAAATGTGTGTATATGTGAGGATAGGTCATAGTATATCCATCTTCGTTTATCACTGACAAAGGAAGATAACTATACAAATCATTTTCTCTTTTATATCTTGCTAAAACAAAAGAAGATCTGTCATGGGCCCTAAATAACCAGTGGTTTCTACTGATAATTTTTTGAAAGCTCTTAAAGCTCTACATCCCATTGTGTCCCAGTAATTTCTTCCTGAATTCTTAATTAGAGTATTACTACTTGAAAAATGAGCATATTTTTATTGCAAGAGGAATGATAATAAATCTTATAATTTTAAACTAGGAATCAAAGCCCCTCTGAGTTAGGAGGAAATCAAAGGGCTGTAAAATGTATTTCATTCGTTTTCCCCTGGGCGGTCTGATTCTTCTAATGTCAGACTCTGCCTGCTATCTTTTCATAATGGGCTGAACTATGCAGATATTCAAGATGAGACATTACATTTGTACGTTACTAATTATACACATAGAATTCTGATGCTTACAAACGTTTAATGCATCAAAGGGCAAAAGGCCTTTATTACATACTTTTGATTTTGTCAGCTTCTAGGACTTAACATCCTCTTGGATTTAGTTTAGAAAGCTTTAGCTAATTGAAGAAGTAATTTTTTTAAAAAATCAGAGTTAAAGAATGCTAAGGAATTTCCTAAATCCAACGTGATGAAAATTAGAATTCCTTGTGGGAATGGAGACTGATTCCTTAGTGTCCTGGTAAGCCTACATATTTTCCTTTACTCATCCCTAGAAACAAAAGAGAATTACTTCACAGAAAAATGGTCATTTTCAATTCTATCCAGAGAAGGAATTACCATATTAAGTATTTGTACAGCACAGAGCATTGTATTATTGCTGGTAGGTGGATATTTTACTTTATTCTCAGTAAAAACTAAAATCTTTTCCTTATAGAAGCACCAAACTAAGTACTTTTTAAAATCACAGAAAAGCAGTTTTTTGTAAGTGCAAGAAAAAGAGCTTTGTGTTACAGACTTCTACAGAATATTGAAAATGGCCAAATGTGATTTTTTGGAGGAAAACAAAATGTACTTTCTCCAATGGCAATTCTTCCCGCAAAAGGAAAGTGAAGAAAAGGTTGTAGTCTTAAAATGAATCATTGAACGCTAATACCCAGTTACAGGTTTTATTGCTGTAATCTCAAAAGGCCAAAGACCAATATCATTTCCTATCACATCTGTAGCCAGGTAACAACCTTTTAGAAAAGATCATGGTCCGGGAACACACACCAAAATAACTGATGTATTCTGCAAAAAGAAATAGTACTCTGCAGTGCCCATCAACAATCCTGGAGAGGGATGAATAGCCTCACTCAGCCTATGCCACCATTTCTTTTTTTTTTTTCTTTTTTGAGATGCAGTCTCACTCTGTCGCAGAGGCTGAAGTACAGTGGTACGATCTCAGCTCACTGCAACATCTGCCTCTCGGCTTCAAGCGATTCTCCTGCCTCAGCATTCCAAGTAGCTGGATTATAGCCACGCGCCCCCATGCCCAACTAATTTTCATATTTTTAGTAGAGATGGAGTTTCGCCATGTTGGCCGGGCTGGTCTCAAACTACTGACCTCAAGTGATCTACCGGCCTCAGCCTCCCAAAGTGCTGGGATTACAGGCGTGAGCCACCACTTCCATCTGCAAAGCAAGCTCTGCTATGGTAGGGCATCCTGTGTAATGATACCCAGCTAAAGTTACACATTAGTGATCACTGATAGTCTTTCTTTATATTTGTCCATAAAAAAACGCTAAGTATGTCTCCTCTTAAAGCTATGAACAATTTGTAGTTTTCAAGAGCTATCAAGCTATGTAATCTTTTTTCATCTCCAATTAAATAGGTGTGTCCCAGAGCCATGCTACTCCACACTTTGCCTGCCTAGCACTGTGCTGGCTACATTGCTCAGTAAGTACCCACTGAAGGACAGTTCAATGACTGTGGTGTGGTGGCTAATGCCCAGTGAAGGATAGTGACCTCACTTTGAACCCTCACTGGCAGCTAACCTAGGAATTTGTGTCTCACCCATTCCAATTTCTGCAAGTTATTAATATAATGAAGCACTTTCTGGAACTCGTTAAAGTGAGAAAACCCTTCAATTTTTCTCTGCTGGCATTGCCATTTTCCTTTGCTTCCTTTTTTGTTCTCTTCCTTCTTTTTTACTACTTCCCTTCCTTTTCCTTTCTCTCTACACTCATAAGCATTTATTGTTGGGCGCTGAGCTAGAAATTGGGGCATATACAAAGAAAAAGATGTGGGTCTCTTTTTTCCACAATCTGCCTTAAAAGGAGCTCCCAGTTTAGTGAGTTGCCATTTATAATGATAGTTCCATTTATTGCCTATTCACTTCATACAAGATACACTTTATACATTGTTGCATTTAATCTTCATAACAGTCTTGAGAGGAAATTGTTATGGGCACCGTATGTTACAGATTAGGGAAAAAAAGCTCAGAGTGGTTAAGTAACTTGCTAAAGAGCCAGTAAATAACAGATCGGATTCAAACCTAGGTCTGATTCCGAAACCTGTGTTTATTCCACAATATTTCATCCCCAGAAAGGAAAAGATGAGTTCCACATTGGCGGATATATACCACTGAACTAACAAGGTATCTTTCCTCTTATGAGACAAAATTTCCTTGAAAAAGTTTGCATCTCAGTTTGATTTCAATTTATCCAAGCATATAAGGATATATAAAGCACAAAAGGCAATGGTTCAGGTCATGTTACTTAAAGCCTGACCTATAAACCTGCACCAGTGAGTGAACTATGTCTCAGTCTGTCATGAGATAAATACAGAAATTGAGAATAAATATTTGAGAACTTTTATAGGAATTTAACACAGTATAATAATAAATATGGCATTGTATTATGGGCTTTAAATTTTTTAATTAATTAATTTTTATGTATTTATTTTTTAAGGCAGGGTCTCCTTTGTCCCTTTGTCGCTCAGGCTGGACTGCAGTCCATACATGATCATAGCTCACCGTAGCCTCAACTTCCCAGGCTCAGGTGATTCTCCTGCCTCAGCCTCCCAAGTAACTGGGACCACAGGCACACACCACCAAACCCAGCTAGTTTTTGTATTTGTTGTATAGATGGGGTTTTTTCATATTGCCCAGGCAGTTCTCAAACTCCTGGGCTCGAGCAATCCACCTGCCTCTGCCTTCCAAAGTGCTGGGATTACAAATGTGAGCCACCACTGTGCCCAGCTTCTTTTTTTTTTTTTTAGTTTAATATTTTTAGTAGTTCATTTTCATTGTGTTTTATAAAAGTATGAGTGTACAATAGATTGGGCATTTTTTAAAACTTGTCCTTTTCCACAAGTAGTTTGTGAAGCACTAGTTTATATAAATATGTAACATTTAAATAATGTTAATAAATTGTCAATATGATTTTCCAGTGATACCACTAGGATTCCCAGAATAGATAATTTCCCTTTCCTGGGCCAGCTACTATTGTTCTTGTGAGCTCTAGGAAGTATATTTGCCCCAGAACTTCTTTAGCATGGAACGTGAAACAAAGGCTCTGTTTTCAAGAGGTGTTTGATGAACATTGAATGGACCAATCAGTGACCAGTGACCCCTGAGATAAAAATGTTTCCTGAGTGTTAATTTATATTTCTCAGTGAAAAAAGAAATGTGGACACATTGGTGCACCTTCCAGTAATTTTGATCATGAGACTGAACGACAGACGTTGAAGACAGTTTTGAGTGGTGTAATTTACACACGACATTAACCCAGAGTTGTGTCCTTTACCCTACCACAGTGGAGTATGTCAGGGAATAATACACAGCGAAAAGATTCTCTCAGGGCTCTTCTCTGGGCAGAATATAGAGGTATAATTTGGTACTTGGAAGAGACATCCTGGACAATTTATGTACCCAGGAATCAGAATTGGCTTATTCATGACTTCTAAGGGAAGTCATGCATTTAAGGAGTTAGTTATTGCAACTGATGATAAAATGCTGCTGCTGGCAGAAAATGTTATTTTATGAAAGCTTTTAACAGAATTCTTCCTCCAGAACCTGAATGATAATATATTTAAGATTTCAATTGCATGTGTCATTTCCTTATTTTCACAGCCGTGTCCTGGCTGTGAAAACATCTTCTGCCTACAGTGACACCTTAACTGGAGTTGATAGGGTTGATTTTCTGCTGGTTGGTGACAAATGTGAAACCATGGAAAAATCTGCAGTTGCGGGCTGGCCCTGTCCCCAGAGACCAGCAACTCTGGGCCACAAGACTGCTCTTTTATCTATGACTAAAGAAACTAACAGGATGACTCAGAGGCCAGGGGAAAACATGCTCTAGGGATTTCTTCTCTCAGACCCCTAAAATGGGAGGAAGATTAATGGCTGGCAAAGTCACACTGCAGGTTATAATTCTCTTCCAGCAGGTTATAAAGGTGTACTGACAAACTCTGCAAGGTGGAGGAGATGAAGAAAAGCAAAGGCTATATGGCTGCTTTCAAAGCTGTTTATCAGAAAAGAAGATATCTCTCAACAAAATGACACCATGTCTAAAAATGCTTGCCTGGCATCCCTATCTGTTATATGCTGGAGTGTGAATTACATGTGCCTTCATTGTAATCAGAAAATAAAATGTATGCCCATGAAATATGTAAATGTTAGATATGAATATGTGCTTAATACAACAGACTGGCTATAAACTTTGAAATGGATCAAGACTAAAATTTTATATATGAGCTTGCCCTTCTGTTTGATGAATTGTATAGACTGGTAGCTTTGTGGATTCTATAGGTATCCCAGCTTTCTCATAAAATGTGGAATATTTATTATGTAATATCGACAGCAGGATATTAATATTATTCTAAAAACTACATACAAATGCTCCTTGACTTATGATGGGGTTGTTTCCCAGTAAATCCATCATAAATTGAAAAGATCATAAGTCAAAAATGCATTTAATATGCCTAATTTACTGAGCACCATAGATTAGCCTAGCCTACCTTAAATGTGCTCAGAACACTTACATTAGCTTACAGTTGGGCAAAAGCCATCTAACACAAAGCCTATTTCATCATAAAATGTTGACTATCTCATGTAATTTATTGAACACTGTACTAAAATTGAAAAACAGAATGATTGTGTGGATATTTGAAGTACAGTTTTTACTGCATGGGTATCGCTTTTGCACCATGCCACCTCTTTCTTTCTCCTCATATATATAAATATATATATATATATATGATGGGAGGAGGAAAGAGAGAGAGGGAGAGAGAGGGGGGAGGGAGAGAGAGGGGGGAGGGAGAGAGAGGGGGGAGGGAGGGGGGGAGGGGGAGAGAGAGAGAGAGAGAGAGAGAGAGAGAGAGAGAGAGAGAAAGAGCGAGTTGTCCCCCCTGGAATAGTTCTTGGTTATCAAAGATAAATTTGTTAGGTGAGATATACCCTTTAGCAGAACAGGATAAAATAAATCAGTTCAGCTACTGACTGAGATGTCATGACCAATCACAAACCAGATATGAACTTTAAGTTCCCGTGGTACAGATTAAGAAACAGATCAAACCCCAGCAACACTGAGTTTTGAGTGTGGTCTTAAATGAACTAGGAAAGTATTGTTTTCTTTCCCTTTAGAAACTCCATAAAGTAGAAGTAAATTTTATTTCTGGGGCAATAAAGGATCAGGTGTTCATGGTTAATTAGTGCTGTTGAAAAGTACGACAGTAGAATAGAAAAGAAGTCAGAAAATAACGTGTATTGTGGACATAGGATGTGAGTGTAGGTCAGAACTTATTCTTGAGTTTCCTATTATGAAGTTCATAGAGTAATAATCTGCAATCCAATGTGAAGAGTAAAAAGTAATTTTGGGGTTGGTAATCAAGATTTGCTTTTTAAAATATTTTTCTCTACTTAAAGCTAACCATAAAGATCAAGACACTTAGGCAGATATGCCTTGGCTCCAAGGCTGAGAACACATTTTTATTTTCTAACTTGGCCAAAACATTCAGATGTTTCTTAAATTGTGGAATAGATACCAAATCACAGATTAGAAGGAACATATCCAAACCTTCTCCAGCCAGCACCCCCGCCCCCATCAATTTTACATTTAAAAGCCTGTAAAATATTTAAAAAGAAGATCACGATTTTCTAAATTCAATTAAGTAGTAATAGGAAAGGTTGAAGCTTTCAGTTTTGAGATAAAAAATGACAGAGGGTAAAGCCTTCTTCCTCGGTTCGCCTCTAAGCATAGACAATGCTAAATAAGAGGCTTTTCATTCAACCTGGTAATGGGAGACATCCATCACCTCTGTCTCTGAAGCCGGCCTTAAACCCTTCCTCAAGTGGAGAATATTATTAAATGTTTAAAGAAAACTGAAGTCACAGAAGGACATTTCCCCAACCTATGATAGTGTAGATTAATCAAGGAAGACAATTTGCTCCTTATCTTCGAAATGTGAATATAAAATGGTTTTAAATATTCCAAATCCTCAGAGCCTACTTAAGAACAGATACTGATAGCACTTCTCCAAACTGTTTATAAGAATGCCTCTGTTTGCAGCAGTACTCAATATGAAAGTTATCTCACGTGTCCATTACTGAGCAATTGCATAATAAACGTTTGTTATACAAATGAATGTTAAATAACATAAAAACAGTCATAACTACTGTGTTATTTTGGCAGCATTAAAGACAACATTCGACCAACTCCAGAGTAGTCTGTTCTATTGTATTTGTAATGTATCCAACATATATAATCACACATATTTAATGTTATATTATAAATATTTATATTAATGTAATTTAATAAAAATTCAATATTTGTAATTGTATATATCCATTTAATTTGAGGCTTTATTAAATGCCCTGAATGTCCCTGTATAACATTCTGTACATTGTAGAGAATCAATTATGCCCCAAGAATGAATGTTCTGAGGGCTCAGGAGTAATTATAGGGATTTCTTTATGGACTAAAAAGGAAAAAATTCTAGTACTCGTATTTTTATATATTGTAAAATATCTTCATCCTCCCAGGCCTCTGCATCCTGTTCCCTCATTTCCACCTCTTTGCCCTTTAAAATGTTCACATTTGTCTTACTCCAAACTCCTAAGTTGAGGGAGAGAGGACATGCTGTCTCTTTTTGCTTATTAATGTGAAAATGTGCTATATACTTTTTGATAGAGAGGGTTGTGTGAGCCAGCAAATGCACTGGCAGGTGGACTAGTTTTTGCTGCCAAATGAGTCAGCTGAGATAGGAACAGTAATTTATTCGAATGGACATGGGTTGACAATGCCATAAAGAGGTACTGGTATAGCTTAATGGAAGAAACTGTCAAGAAAATGTAGGTTGAGCATGGTGTGATTCGGCAAGCATCAGAGTGTCTCCATGTCCACAAGTGTCTGCCCTTCCTAATCCAGGCCACTGTCTTCTGGATTCCTCGGCAAAAATGCAAATACCCCTAGAGGAGTGACACATCAAATGATTATCAGGTGTTAATATTATGTTGAAATCACTAATATTAATTTTTTTTTTGAGACGGAGTCTCAACCTGTTGCTCAGGTTGGAGTGCAATGGCACGATCTCGGCTCACTACAGCCTCCACACTGGGTTCAAGCAATTCCCCTGCCTCAGCCTCCCGAGTATCTGGGATTACAGGTGCCTGCCACCACGCCCAGCTAATTTTTGTGTATTTTTAGTAGAGACAGGGTTTCACTGTGTTGGCCAGGCTGGTCTCGAACTCCTGACCTCGTGATCCTCCCACCTCAGCCTTCCAAAGTGCTGGGATTACAGGCTTGAGCCACCATGCCCAGCCAAGATTGCTTTTTTAACAAAAGCAGAGGACATGGCGTCTTTGAGACAGAAAAAGACCTGGAATATGAACTGTTGCAGAGAGTCAGCCATGTTATGTTATCAGGACCTGATAACAATGCCCTCATTCTAGACACGATGAGTCTGTTATTGCTGTCAAGATCACATTCGCTGTTCTGGTGGCCATTTTATATTCACACAAAGCTTATATTGCACTCATGTAAGGCTCATTCTAGACTGAAATCCTCAAGACTTTTCATATAGGTTGACTCTAACCTATATTTTCTATGACCTGATCTTGAAAATTATTTTTTAGCATTCACATGTGAGGGCCTAATGGTCCATTTCTGTAAAAATTCAGTTGCATGTGGGTTAAATGAGTTGTGCTAATCACCATGGCTGACATATGCTAAGTGCTCAGAATTTACCATTCTGGAAGGTCTTTCTGTTCTCAAATGTGCTTACTCTTTTTTCCTAGCTTCTTGTCAATGGTAAATGATGTAAACATACTTTCTATAACTTCATCCAAGTCGATGATACTTAAATTTTTGGTCAGAACAGGGCCCCAGATGCTGCCCTGTTACACGACACCAAAAATCTCTTTTGAGTGACATTAATCCATTAAACAGCATCCTTTCCCAGTGAATATTCCATGTAATTTTTCCTACAATGCCCACATTTCATCATCTTGTTCTTAAGAATATCATTATAAACCTTACCAAATAGTTTGCTTAAGTGCAGGTAAACCATACCTGCTGATTTCCTTCACTTACCAGTCTAGGAAACTTATCAAAGAAGGAACTGTGTTAGTATAACATGACTTGTTTAAAAGGAGTTCTGAGGGTAGGAACTTTTCCTTTCACATCTGGCACAGACGCTCAAAACACATTTGCAGAATTCCAAACTCTGTACTGCTAAATCCCCAACGCTTTATACATAGTAGATTCTTGATAAATGTTTGTGGAATTAATAACCCATTCTGGTTTTTTATGACCACAACTTCCTTTCTATACAACTTTTTTTATTTTGAGACAGAGTTTCACTCTCATCCGCCAGGCTGGAGTGCAATGGTGCGATCTTGGCTCACTGAAACCTCTGCCTCCCTGGTTCCAGCAATTCTCCTGCCTCAGCCTCCCAAGTAGTTGGGATTACAGGCACCCACCACCACACCTGGCTAATTTTTGTATTTTTAGTAGAGACAGGGCTTCACCATGCTGGCCAGGCTTGTCTTGAACTCCTGACATCGTGATCTGCCAGCCTCCGCCTCCCAAAGTGCTGGGATTACAGGCATGAGCCACTAGGCCCAGCCTATACAACTATCTTATAAGGAACTTATGTTAGAATTTTGCCCACATTTATTGCTTGTGGTTCACTGAATCTGGCTTCAATTCCTTTTGAAAATTGAAATATGTACCCAATTTGTGTCTTCTGAAATTACTCCAGAGGTAATTCTTCACTTTGCTCTAAGATCTTTGGCAGTGGGTATAGCAGGCTTTGAAGGATTTGGAGGAGGCAGGGGTTCCAGTGCCAGCTTCTTTACTGTGCAGTAAAGGGTTAAGGCCATGTGTTGGTTAATATTAAGTGTCAACTTGATTGGATGGATGGATGCAAAGTATCATTTCTGGGAGTATCTGGGTGTTTCTGGGTGTGGCCAGAAAAGATTAACATTTGAGTCAGTGGACCGGGAGAAGACTCACCCTCAGAAAGACCCACCCACACTGTGGGTGGGCACCATGCAACCGGCTGCCAGCATGGCTAGAAAAAGCAGGCAGAAGAAGGTGGAAGGAGCCAACTTTCTGAGTCTCCCAGCCTTCATCTTTCTCCTGTGCTGGCTATTTCCTGCCCTCAAACATCAGACTCTATGTTCTTTGGCTTTTGGACTCTTGGACTTACACCAGTTGTTGCCAGGGGCTCTTGGGCCACTGGCCACAGACTGAAGGCTGCACTGTCAGCTTCCCTACTTTTGACATTTGGGGACTCAAACTGAGCCACTACTGGCTTCCTTGCTCCTCAGCTTGGGCCTATAGAGGGAGTTTACTTTGTGACTGTGTGAGTCACTTCTCCTTAATAAACTCCCCTTTATATATACATCTATCCTATTAGTTCTGTCCCTCTAGAGAACCCTGACTAATACAGACAGTAAGCTTGGGGTACTCAAGTTCTGCACATTTCAAAGAAATGACTGACCCTTTACTGGCTCCTGGGAGACAACCTCTGAGCCCGTGGAGTATCCTGTCTGATAAAAACGTTTTCGTGTACCTAAGGCCCTGAGCTACTGCTGTATCAGTTTGATCTCTAGGGGACTAGAGACTGAGTACCTAAGGTCAGTCATGGAGGCACTGTGTCTACATGACTGATCCCCAATAAAAACTCTGGATGTCAAGGCTCAGGTGAGCTTCCCTAATTGGCAGCACTTCATACACCTTTGTCACACTTCAGTGCTGGGAGAATTAAGCACTGTGCATGTGTCAGTTGAGAGAGGATAACTGGCCTTCATCCCATGTGCTTTGCCTTTTGCTGATTTTAATTTGTATCCGTTCACTATAAGAAGCTATAACCATGAGTATCACAGCTTTTCTGAATCCTTGAGTTTTTCTAGTGCAGCCAGCCTGAGATTGGTCTTGGGAACTCCTGACATATCCACTTACTCTATGCTAGCAATGTGTCCTTGGTCATATTATCTAATCTTATTTAGTTTCAGTTTCTTCACCTATAATATGGGGATAATAATAATAACATCTCCCTTGTAGTGAAGTTCCAGCACCCAGCCTACACTTTATTTTCTCCACAAGTATAACTTGAGAATTGCTATAGAAATTATAAGAAAGTGCTATGTCAGCACATAGTGGATGCTTAGCAAAAGTCTGTTTCCCTAAGCAATCCCTTTTGTAAGTTCTCATATTTCCCCTCTCCCCCAACCCTAAGATATAATTGTTGAGACCAGGAGATGTCATCTCAGCTAGTCCAAGGAGATGTCCTCTTCCAATCTTTTCACCCTTATGGACACCATTCTCTTTTTATCAATTGTTTGCTTTTTCCATTTCCATCCAAAAATTGTTCTCTCTGATGAAGAAGACAGGAAAAGTCAGAGCTTTGTTTGGCATTTGTCTTCCATCACCTTTATCTTATTGGCCTTAAGCAGTAAATCTATCTCTTTTTCCATCTTTTTTAAAAGTTCAGTTTTGTTTTATTCTACTCTCTCTGGGATGTTTTCCTATTCCCAGATCAATTGGATGACAGCTTTTCTGGCCTTACTCCTACACGTTTGTGATGGTTCCTGGTATTAGTTTTTTTTTTTTAATCTACCCTTCCTTTTTCAAAAAAATAAAAACATATTCTTTACTTAATTTTAAGATTTATTTTGTTGCTATTACTTTTCCTAATTACAAAAGGAATGTATGGTCAAAATCAAAACATTACAGATATTTGTACTTTAGAAAGTAAAATTTTCTAGAAGCCTACCTCTAAAGATATCATATTTCCTTTAGACTCTTCAGTTCATAGCGAGTTCTTGTGCAACCAGCCACTGGTTTCTTTAATTACCTTACCATTTTCTTCCCTGTTAGGAGAATTTTCAATTGCATAACAGAAGTTATTTTTAAAAGCGTTCCAGCTCTCTCAAATTTCATTATGGAAATCATGAAAAGATGGATCATGTTCATCCTTTTCTCTGGACTTTAAAACTATGTCTTTCTCAAGTCTACACACAGGTTTGAGCATACTCAGCTTTCTCTCCCTGGTTTTCAGGAATACCTTTTCGTGCTTCTTTTTTTAAATGAAGGACTTGGACTATGCGGTCTAAAAGCACTCATCATTTGCTATTTTCTCTGATTCTACCATCCACAGAAAGCTGCACAGGTGAACAACATTTGAACAAGCCTTTGTGAAGAACAGCTTTCCCAGGCATACATGCCTGTGACAGGGATCAGAGAAGTGCCGCAGGAATGCAGCCATGGGGGAGCTAGTGACAAATTTGGAGTAGCTAATTTTTGAATCTTATTAATTAACGACCCTTTGAGGTACATGGGTGGTTGAAGGCAGCATGGAAGCTGGTCTAGAAAGGTAGAATCTTATTATATGGCTTTAGGTGATACTATTCTCTTTGCCTCAGTTCCATATATGTAAAATGAGATAATGGAAATTGAAGCCCGGTGTGGTAAGCTACACTGGTGACTCACATCTATTATTTGATGTGTTCAGCACTCCACTTTTCTGGGAACAGGCACTAACTCGCTGTTTTAGTCAGGGTTCTTTCAAGGGACAGAACTAATAGGGTAGATGTATATGAAGGGGAGTGTATTAAGGAGTATTAACTCACAGGATCACAAGCTGAAGTCCCACAATAGGCTGTCTGCTTGGCTGAGACGCAAGGAAGCCAGTCCGAGTCCCAAAACTTCAAAAGCCGACAGTGGAGCCTTCAGTCTGTGGCCAGAGATCTGAGAACACCTGGAAAACCACCGGTGTAAGCCCAAGAGCCCAAAAGCCAAAGAACATAGAGTCTGATATTTGAGGGCAGGAGGCATCCAGCACAGGAGAAAGATGAAGTCTGGAAGACTCAGCAAGTCTGCTCTTCCATCTTCTCCTGCCTGCTTTATTCTAGCTGTGCTGGCAGCTGATTAGATGGGGCCCACCCGGATGGAGGTGGGTCAGCTTCTCCCAGCCCACTGACTCAAATATTAATCTCCTTTGGCAACAGCCTCACAGACACACCCAGGAGCCATAGTTTGAATCCTTCAATCCAAGCAAGTTGACACTCAGTATTAACCATCATAGCCGCCTTTATAGAAATTTCATTCATTCATTTATTCAACAATATTTATTGGCTGGGCGCTGTGGCTCATGTCTGTAATCCCAGTACTTTGGGAGGCTGAGGCAGGCAGATCACCTGAGGTCAGGAGTTCAAGACCAGCCTGGCCAACATGGTGAAACCCCATCTGTCTCTACTAAAAATACCAAAAAATTAGCCAAGTGTGGTGGCAGGCACCTGTAATTCCAGCTACTTGGGAGGCTGAGGCAGGATAATTGCTTGAACTCGGGAGGTGGAGGTTGCAGTGAGCAGAGACTGTGCCATTGCACTCCAGCCTGGGCAACAAGAACAAAACTCCGTCTCAAAAAAACAAAACAAAACAAAACAAAACAACCCAGTACTTATTGAGTGCTATGTCTGACACTATTCTAGGCCCTGGAGATATAGCAATGAATAAAACATTCCTGTCTGCATGAAGCTGATATTCTGATAGAAGGCATCAGACATTAAACAAAATTAGTAAAATATGTGGTACGTATTAGTCCATCTATGTTACTATAAAAGAATATCTGAGACTGGGTAATTTATAAAGAAAAGAAGCTTAATTGGCTCACAGTTCTGCAGGTTGTAGAGGAAGCATGGTGTGGGCATCTAATTCTGGTGAGGCCCTCAGGAAGCTTCCAATCATAGCAGGTGAATGGGAAGCAGGCACGTCATGTGGCTGAGAGTAGGAGCAAGAGAGCAAGGGCAGGGAGGTCCCAGACTCTTAAACAACCAGCTCTCACATGAACTAACTGAGTGAGAACTCATTTGTCACCAAGGGGTTGGTGCTAAACCATTCACGAGGGGTCCACTCCTGTGACCCAATCACCTACCACCAGGCCCAACCTCCAACACTGGGAGCTAAACCATTCACGAGGGGTCCACTCCTGTGACCCAATCACCTACCACCAGGCCCAACCTCCAACACTGGGAGCTAAACCATTCACGAGGGGTCCACTCCTGTGACCCAATCACCTACCACCAGGCCCAACCTCCAACACTGGGAGCTAAACCATTCACGAGGGGTCCACTCCTGTGACCCAATCACCTACCACCAGGCCCAACCTCCAACACTGGGAGCTAAACCATTCACGAGGGGTCCACTCCTGTGACCCAATCACCTACCACCAGGCCCAACCTCCAACACTGGGAGCTAAACCATTCACGAGGGGTCCACTCCTGTGATCCAATCACCTACCACCAGGCCCAACCTCCAACACTGGGAGCTAAACCATTCACGAGGGGTCCACTCCTGTGATCCAATCACCTACCACCAGGCCCAACCTCCAACACTGGGAGCTAAACCATTCATGAGGGGTCCACTCCTGTGATCCAATCACCTACCACCAGGCCCAACCTCCAACACTGGGAGCTAAACCATTCATGAGGGGTCCACTCCTGTGATCCAATCACCTACCACCAGGCCCAACCTCCAACACTGGGAATCACGTTTCAACATGAGATTTGGAGGGAACCAACATCCGAATCATTTTCATGGTATGTCAGGTGAGATGTGCCATGGAAAAAAATAAAGCCAGAAAGTTAGCTAGGAAAGTGCCATGGTAGAGGGATAGAAAGAGGGAGGTATTATGTTCTGTAGGTGGTCAGGAGTGACTTCATCCAGAAGATTTTTGGAATTGGATCAAAATAGGATGGTTTAAAACAAGGATGTGGAATGAAGAGTTAGAATAAAAGGCCTGTTAGAAACAGGAAAGAGGAATAAAGACACAAGTGGGCCAGGCGTGATGGCTCGTGCCTGTAATCCCAGCACTTTGGGAGGCCGAGGCAGGCGGATCACCTGAGGTTGGGAGTTCATGACCAGCCTGACCAACATGGAGAAACCCCGTCCCTACTAAAAATACAAAATTAGCTGGGCATGGTGCCACATGCCTGTAATCCCACCTACTCAGGAGTCTGAGGCAGGAGAATCATTTGAACCCGGGAGGCGGAGGTTGCAGTGAGCTGAGATTGTGCCACTGCACTCCAGCCTGGGCAACAAGAGTGAAACTCTGTCTCAAAAAAAAAAAAAAAAAAAAAAAAGACACAAGTGAGTAGCATAAAAGAAGGATGTGCAGCTAGAGACAGAGAACTTTCTAGGTTCTGAATAGTGTGTCAGTGTATTTCTGATAAATCTTCTCCCCCTGTGCCCCCAAGCTGGTATGAATCAGTTTTCTGTTGACCAAAGAGCCCAAACTCATACATGTATTGGAGCAAAAAAAACCTGTGAATTCAAGGCCTGCCCAATGTGGGAGATGTTGATTACCTTAGAAAAACAAAGCTTGGTGCTTCTGATCCCAAGAATGCCGATATAATAGCAGAGTAGCATTAATTTTGTTGTGTCCTAGCATCCCAGAAATCAAACATGCAAGAAATATACATTTCTTCATTTTCTTTAAATCAGATTAACTCTGGTCCTACACTGGGCTGATGGAAAATTCAAATATAAGCATCATATGTTACCCCTAGTTCTGTTCTCCCTCTGCATCCCTCACCCCCAGAGCCACAAGAGAAATAGGGAGGCTTGCTGATGTCCGGACAATTGGGAAAAGGCCTCTAATCTCCAAGTGCCTTGGAGTCATCCAAGTCATCATTGATCAAGCCTTGCAACCTTCCCTGCAAGTCCCTGGCTCTCTGCTTCCATGGCACAAGAATAGAGAACTCTTTCCTGAGGCTAATGGACACCATGCTCCTTTGGGTGCAGTCATCCCTTCTGAAGTCACAACATCTTTGTGGAAAAATTAACATCTTGAAGCAGGGCCAGGTGTCCACTAATCCTGTGATATGCCAATCTTTTCAGTTAGCTTAGGCTTTTATAATAGACCACAAGAGTAAGTGACTTCCTTCTAGGAGTTTCAGCTTTCCACCCTGAAAAAACTCCCTCAAAGATTTTTTTTTCCTTTTAATAAATTGTTCTGCCATGTGTCTGTTGCACGAATGGGTGCAAGTTCAAATGGGACCCCATAACTGGTGATTGTGAGCAGCTAAGGGGCATCACTAAAATACTAGATATTAAAGTCCAAGAGTATGATGAGGACAAAGAGTGGTTGTAAAGAAACCTAAAAAACAATGAGGGCAAACTTTATCTGTCTCACAATAGTTATGATAGCATTTAATGTTTCTGGTGCAGAAGTAATTTTTCTCCACTCTGCCTTGTGCTGGAATCAAAACAATATTCCTCAATCTTGTTAGGGAGTGAATAACTTTTAGGGAGAAGGTCTCAAATGGGAAGTGGTTTAAAGTTTATGAATTGCAAGAATACCTTTTGATATCTAAACAAAGTGTACTAAGGAATTCAACCCACAGAAGAGCTGATATTCAAAATCAGAATTATTAAAAATTGTAGTGGGGTCAGTGGGGGTTTGGGGAGGGTGAACAGGAGTGCATGAAGAGCATCAAAATAAGCACAAGTGATTTACCATTGGCTTGGTTTCTTCGGGGAATTTGAAGAATTCATACTTATTTATACGTTTTCAAATATTTATTTAAGTGCCTACAACATGTGAGGCATTTGGGAATGTCTCAGTTAACGTGGTACATAAGTTCCTTGCTCTAATAGAGCTCACATTTGGATGTCTTCTAATTCTGAACCTGAATGTAAGAGCACAATACAATCAATGAAGCAGTGAGCCCAGGAAGCCATGGATCTTCACAAGCCTCAGGAAAAGTCAACATTTAAAATTTTCTATTTAAAGTCCAAGGGCACAGCAAGCTCTTGGTCTATATGGGAAGGCCATGGACTACAATTCCCACAAGTCCGTGCGACCTCTCCGTTCTGCGCAGCTTCGCGGTATGAGGAAGAGGGTCCTGTCAGGCGCACTCTTGTTGCATCATCAGCGTGCACCTCCACGATGAAACAGGTCTGGGCTACAAAAGTATGGCCGCTTCTGAGGCGGCGGTGGTGTCTTCGCCGTCTTTGAAAACAGACACATCCCCTGTCCTTGAAACTGCAGGAACGGTCGCAGCAATGGCTGCGACCCCGTCAGCAAGGGCTGCAGCCGCGGTGGTTGCGGCCGCGGCCAGGACCGGATCCGAAGCCAGGGTCTCCAAGGCCGCTTTGGCTACCAAGCTGCTGTCCTTGAGCGGCGTGTTCGCCGTGCACAAGCCCAAAGGGCCCACTTCAGCCGAGCTGCTGAATCGGTTGAAGGAGAAGCTGCTGGCAGGTACTGCAGCCCGGGTGGGGACCAGGCTGAGGCGGTCGCTGCGAGAGGGGAAGCACATTAGGCTTTTTGCGACGCTCGTGATTCAAGAGACAAAAGGAGGGGAAAGGGAGACTGACCATTGAATTAGCTCTGGACAGGAATCTCGGGCATCTCGGGCTTGGACTTGCCCTGGCACGAACTCTTGTAGCCTACTTGGCAGTTGTAGTTCTCAACGGGAGGAAAAAAATCCCGTACTTACACAATAAAACCCTGCCCTTGGGCGTGCAGACCTGTTTTCTGTAATCTGATCGATCCCTCAGGAGGCTTTTGTTGGGTTCATGTGGATGAACCCCAAAAGGAAGTACTGGTTCTGCACCCCTAAAGTTGCATTCCTCAAAATGTATTGGAAATGCAGATATACTTCGTTAACCAAGACTTAATATAGTCGTTTTCACATTTTAATGGGCCTAACAATTACTTAGAGTCTCTTGTACAAATACAGATTCCTAATCCCTGCCCTGTCCGAGATTGTGATTCGGAGAGTTCGGGGTATTTTTAGGAAACTGCAATTCTAAATAGTTGCTCCAGGTGATTCCAGTGTAAGTAGTTTATGGACCACATTTGAGGAACACTAAATATAACTTGGCCACTAAGCTGAGAGTGTTCATTTTATTGATTCGTTTATTCACGTACACTGGGAAAATAGTAGAAAAGCCTAGAGAATCACCCCGTTAATCAGCTCGGATGATTTCACACATAAAGCATCCAGGATCCTTAAGTTCATTGGACATATACAATAAGCCAGGTCTGTGCTAGCCTATAGAGACTTGAAGATGAAAGATAACTCTCTTACCTTAACTGAGCTGATAGCCTAGTAATTTCTGCACCTTGTGGTGGTAAAACTAGTTAGTTAGGTTATTCAAGGCCCTCCAGAGTTTGGCCGTATTCTGTCTCGCCATTAAACCAGTAACAGGGACTTTCTTACATTGTTTAGTGTCCCATGGAAAACTTTACACTTTAAAAAAATGCAAAAACAAATTATTCTGATGGGAATTATAACTGACAGTACAGATTTAAGTGTTTATGGGCAAATAGGTACACTCCTGCAGATGTTTAATTCCAGTATCACGACTACTTATTCTTTTATTAAAGTTTTGCTTTGTTGCCTGAAAGTATGGGTCATACAGAGGACGTCAAAGTGAGGAATTGCATCAAGGATATGTATTGTGGTATCATCATAGTTTTTTAGTTTTCCTTCATAGAACTGCTGCTTTCCTGATTTGTTAGCTAAACTCTGGGTTTCTTTTCTTTTTTTTTTTTTT
Source organism: Homo sapiens (assembly GCF_000001405.40). Taxonomy (NCBI): domain Eukaryota; kingdom Metazoa; phylum Chordata; class Mammalia; order Primates; family Hominidae; genus Homo; species Homo sapiens. The sequence goes on from NC_000010.11 coordinate 114,939,841, forward strand.
TTATCCTTAAGGTAATGATTACCATTCTTTCAGACAAGTTTCTGACAAAGCCATATTCTGGCCTTCTGGCTAATCTGCCTCTAAGAACTGAAGTTTCTTGTTGAATCTTGGTTAAAATGTTTCAAGGCTCTTGCTAGGCTAGAACCTTTAGCTAGAGACATTCTCATTATCCTCGATTTCTATATTGCTTGTGATTGGCCTATTTTGTATTTATGTTAGTTAGGCTAGGGCTTTCCAAATGTCATTGTAATTGGCTGTCAGAATTGCTTGGGAAGTTTTTGTTTTTGTTTTTGTTTTTGAGATGGAGTTTCGCTGTTGTTGCCCAGGCTGGAGTGCAATGGCAAGATCTCGGCTCACTGCAACCTTCCCCTCCTGGGTTCAAGTGATTCTCCTGCCTCAGCCTCCCAAGTAGCTGGGATTACAGGCATGCACCACCATGCCCAGCTAATTTTGTATTTTTGGTAGAGACGGGGTTTCTCCATGTTGGTCAGGCTGGGCTCGAACTCCCGACCTCAGGTGATCTGCCCGCCTCAGCCTCCCAAAATGCTGGGATTACAGGCATGAGCCACCACTCCCGGCCTTGGGAAGGTTCTTAAAGATACCTACATTCTAATGCCATGTTTGACAACCATGATCAGTGGTTGTGTCCTCTAATACCATTCCTTGTCTTTCTTTGCATTGATTCCTATTATGCTACAATCTCTACTGTTTGTCTGTTGGGATCCTTCAAAGCCCTAAGTGTACCAGAATTTTATAGCTAGAAAATAATAAAAATCCACGAATACTTAGTTCAGTGGGGTGAACCAAATTCCCCACTTTATATAGTAGAGGCAGTACGTCTGCAAGTTAGAAGGAGGTATATTTGGGCACAAAGGGAAGATAGTATATTTATGGGGCCTTCTTACTCCAAGGGGTGTCAAGTTGAAAATGTAAAGAGTTCCCCAAAAGGTTTCTGTTAATTTATGAGTGAGAGATCCATGATGGATTGCAAGTGACAGATCAAGGGTTTGAAACTGAGGTCTGGCCTTAGAAGTTTATGTCAAAGCAGACAACCATACCCTTCTAAGTATGGTGATGTCATAATTAGGGAATGACGCCAGGGTGTTCCAGAGACCATGGTTCTGACTCAGTAGAGTGGTAATTTTGTTGGGAGGCCGAGCCACCCAGCATATCCTTTTGGCCATTTAATCTGGCTTCTGCATTTCCACTGTTGCTTTGTTTTCCCTCCTCCCTTCTCTGTCCACTCGTTTCGTTTTCTTTGCTTTATTTTCTTTCTGCTCAGTGTCAGTGTTGATAAGGAAGGTTTGATGGGCTTGGGGGCAGGTATAGATCAATGTAGCAGTTCCTGCTTTTCTCTTCTTTCTCACTTGAAGTCTAATAGCCAATACTCTCTCAGTATGTTATATGCCATCATCAAAAACAATTTATATTTATCCAGAAGGAAGCACTGGCTCTGTCTCCCCAAAGTACTTTCAAGTAACATTATTTTGCATTATCTTTTTTTTTTTTTTAAACAGGACAGGATCTCACTCTGTTGCCCAGGCTGGAATACAGTGGCACAGTCTTGGCTTACTGCAACCTCTGCCTCCTGAGCTCAAGCAGTCCTCTCACCTAAGCCTCCCCAGTAGCAAGGACTATAGGTGCACACCACCATGCCCACCTAATTTTTGTATTTTATTTTGGGTAGAGACAGGGTTTCCCTGTGTTGCCTAGGGTGGTCTCAAACTTCCAGGTTCAAGTGATCCACCCATCTCGGCCTCCCAAAGTGCTGGGATTACAGGCATGAGCCACTGTGCCCGGCTCACTTTATGTTTACAACAGGAATATGAGATAAGCCGGGCTGGCATCCTCTTTTTAAAAATCTAAATGCTTAGGAAGTTAAGGTGCAACTTAATCTTAGCTGCTTTCCACATAACGTTTTGTTGAGATTCGCTTCCTTTGTTTATTTATTTATTTTTTTTTGAGACGGAGTCTTGCTCTGTCGCCCAGGCTAGAGTGCAGTGGCGTGATCTTGGCTCACTGCAAACTCCGCCTCCCAGGTTCACACCATTCTCCTGCCTCAGCCTCCTGAGTAGCTGGGACTACAGGCACCCGCCACCACGTCCGGCTAATTTTTTGTATTTTTAGTAGAGACGGTGTTTCACCGTGTTAGCCAGGATGGTCTCAATCTCCTGACCTCGTGATCCGCCCGCTTCGGCCTCTCAAAGTGCTGGGATTACAGGTGTGAGCCACAGCACCCGGCCTAGATTCGCTTCTTTAATGAATTGAAAATTTTGGTTAGGAGAAGGAGACAGCGAATGCAGGGAGTTTGGGAATTTAGTGTATTTAGAAGTAGCCCTGCATGAGATGTACTCGCAATGTTAGGTAGCTGGAGATAGCAGCAAAGACCATGGAAGAGATTCAGAAATGGAAATTGAGGACTTTTAAAAGTATCTTTCTATATAAAAATTAACTTCTTTTCATGATTCTCTATCTAACAGCCCACCACTACCAAGAATTTACTAGATTTTTGCGGGTTAGCTTGGATATTTACCCACCTTTTAAAAATGCCGTTTTTCTCTTAGAGAATGAATTCTACTGTCTTGATAGCTGATTTTGGAATACTCTTTCTTTATAATTTAGGGAATGTCCATTTTAAAATCTTTTCTTTGCTAGTAATGAGGTCATAGTCTCTTAACATGTAAAGTTTGTATAATACTTTTTGTTTGTTTTGAAAATGCCATCCCCTTTTCCTCCCAAGTTTATGAAGATCCTACTTCATTTGTCTTGGTGATCACCTTTTTTCATCCCCATTTCTCTCATAGAAGCTGGAATGCCTTCTCCAGAATGGACCAAGAGGAAAAAGCAGACTTTGAAAATTGGGCATGGAGGGACTCTAGACAGCGCAGCCCGAGGAGTTCTGGGTAAGAGATATGAAAGGCAGTTAAGTGTCCACTGTCACTTAATATCAGAAAGAAACACTGGTTGAGAACAGATAGATTGACTAAAGCCTTCTATTTTTCAGTCATTTTGGAATGTTTCAGATCTACTGGATATATATAGTGCCATCTTTTAAAGAAGCCCTTAAATGGTACAAGGCCTACAAGGCTGTTAGAAATAGCTACTTTTATGTGTGGATGGGACTTTGAAAAAAGGTTTCTCTCTGTGCAGAAAAGAGTTAACATAGCAGGCCTGAAATTACTATCTTTAGAAAGGCTTGCTTGGACAGCTTGCCCTTGGTTGGTATCTGGGAACTTGGATTTTGGGAGTGTTCCCACCCTTCTCTGTCTGATAAGGCTGGTTGGCTGTGCCTCAGATGTTCTGAGAACACCAGCTTTCCTTCTAGGAATCTGGAATTTTGTTCCACTGCTAAGGCAGAGGGTGCCTGAGTGATCATCCTGTCAAATCCCCAATAAAAGCTTTGGGCACTGGGGCCGGGTGCAGTGGCTCATGCCTGTAATCAGCACTTTGGGAGGCTGAGGCGCGTGGATCACAAGGTCAGGAATTCGAGACGAGCCTGACCAACATGGTGAAACCCTGTCTCTTCTAAAAATACAAAAATTGGCTGGGTGTGGTGGCATGTGCCTGTAATCCCAGCTACTTGGGAGGCTGAGGCAGAAGAATCACTTGAACCTGGGAGGCAGAGTGTTCAGTGAGCCGAGATCGCACCACTGCACTCCAGCCTGGGCGACAGAGGGAGACTGTCTCAAAACAAAACAAAACAAAACAAAACACAGCTTTGGGCACTGAGTTTCTAATGAGCTTCCCTGAGAGAAACATTGCACATGTGTTACCGCTTTTTTTGTTGTTGGAGAAAGCAGCACGCTTGAGCATCCCCTCACAGGAGGGAGAGAGGATAAGGAAGCTTGTGCCCAGATTTCTCTGTGTCTTTTTCTCTTATGGTCCAGCTGTGTATTCTTACTACATCACTGTAAAATTCTGAGCTATATATCAATCTTCGAATGTGGGCTGGTCTTGGGGATTCCTGACAAGGTAGAAGGCTCTGTTTGTCTGCCTATCTCTAATCTAATCTCTGAGATCAACTCTCTTGAGAAGGGGAAGCTTGAGAGTAAGTCATTTTCGGCTGGAGATGTATTAGTTGACCGTTTTATTGCTTGTGAAGGAAAATTGGTAGAATTGATCGAAGGGAATAAAAATATTTTATCCTTTTTTATTCCATCTTTTTTTTTTTTTTTTTTTTTTGCACCTGGTAGAGATTCTGAAGTCCAACTTAATGGACTGCTAAAGTGTGTATACACAGGCTAGGGTATATTTTACTCTGTAACTGCATCCTTAGTCACAGAACTACCTACATACATTGGGATCCCTCTCAGTGCCCCCTTCCCGACATATGAGAAACAAACTTTTATGGAACAATACTTATCTTTTTACATGCTCTGGTATTTTATATTTTATTCAGTTTCATTTAGAGCAAAAATTAGGTACAAAGAAACAACAGCAAACCTTGATCTAAGCTATCCAAAGTAAATGAGCGCTTATTTAAAAGGATAAAATCGGTGAAGAAAATAGTATGCTTCAAGAACATTATATACTGTATGATTTTGTATTTTCTAAAATTATAGATTTATGTTGGCAATAATATTTTTACTTGAGGTTAAAATAGAAAAAATCAGTTCGAGACCAATCTGGCCAACATGGTGAGACCCTGTCTCTACTAAAAATACAAAAATTAGCCGGGCATGGTGGCATGTGCCTGTAATGCCAGCTACTCGGGAGGCTGAGGCAGGAGAATCACTTGAACCCAGGAGACAGAGGTTGCAGTGATCTGAGATCGCGCCACTGCACTCCAGCCTGGGTGACAAGAGTGAAACTCTTGTCTCAGTAAATAAATAAATAAACAAACATAAAATAGAAAAAAATCAGGCTGGGCACAGTGACTCATGCCTATAATCCCAGTACTTTGGGAGGCCGAGGTAGGTGGATTGCTTGAGCCCAAGAGTCCAAGACCAGCTTAGACAATGTGGCGAAACCCCATCTCTATAAAAAATTAAAAAATTAGCTGGGTGTGGTGACACATACCTATAGTCCCAGCTACTTGGGAGGCTGAGGTGGGAGGATCACTGGAGCCTGGGAAGTTGAGGCTGCAGTGATCTGTGATTGCACCACTGCACCCCAAAAAAACAAGCACAACAAAACAAAAACCCCAGTTAATAATAACAAGCATTTATTGAGCATTTACTGTATATAAGGTCTTCAGTTTTGGGTATTCATAAGTTCTATAGTTTAATTCTCATTGTAACCTATAAGAGAGGTTATTACTATCCCCATTTTACAGAAGAAGAAAGGAAGACCCTGAGAGATAAAGTAACATGTTCACTGTCATAGAATTAGTGAGTGACAAAGTCAGGATTTGAGCCCAGATCTGCTCAGTTCCAAATCATCTGCCCTATTGTGGATGGCAGATACCTGGTGCTCCTGCTTTTGTTCCTCATGCCCTGTGCTCTTGGCAGAAATTAGGGCTTCATGATTCTTACCAGCTTAGCACTTCAGTAGCCTATACCAGTTGATTAGAGTTGGCCTTTGAGTTGAAGCCTGTGTTTCTAACCCTTCTGCTTTACTGTTTTCCAGGCATGGCACCACAAATACAAGGAAAGAGAGGATCAGATCAGTTGCTTGTTTACGAATAGATCAATTCTATTAATTTCGGGTGGCGGTTCTTCATTGGCATGCAGAAAATAGTGATATTCAAGGCAGTGAATGAAAGTTTAGTTTTTACCCTGAACCTAAGGCTAGCTTGTCCAACCTTTGGCCTGTGGGCTGCACGTGGCCTAGGGCAGCTTTGAATGCAGCCCTACACAAATCTGTAAACTTTCTTAAAACATCATGAGTTTTTTTGTGATTTTTATTTTTTTTAAGCTCATCAGCTATCGTTAGTGTATTATGTGTGTGGCCCAAGACAATTCTTCTTTCATTGTGACCCAGGGAAGCCAAAAGATTGGACACTCTTGGCCTAAGGGATCTTGTTGAAGCTTCCATTTTAGTATTGTGAAGGGGCTGAGATTTGTATGCGTGGAAGAAATTGTATTGGAAACAGTTTTCTGGTTGGAGGCTCAATTTATATTTGATCACACAGGGAATTTTATGATGATATAATATGTTCATATGTCAGATGTATTAATTTTTCTTTTAATGCATGTGATTTCCGAGGAGAGAGAAAGTTTAAAAAATTGTAGGTGTTTAGTCACAGAGTAAGGGATGTTTGTTGTCCAAGTTAGCAGTTCTGGAAACTTATGAGAAGTCGATTTTTGATTGTGTGATAAAATAAACACTGAACTCTAATCATACTTCGGTTTGTACACTGGCTACTGGCTGCTTTAGTTACTAACTGTATACATCCTAAGAAAATCTCGTAACTTCACTGAACGTGTCTTCATCTCTTAAAAGAAGATAACGTCTACCAAAACTAAGTCAAAAGGTTTTCAAAAATATTTTACAAAATACCTATAGTATATAGATATATACTTTATCCTGTGAAGTGCTGTATACAGGTCTTTTTTATTTTTATTTATTTATTTTTTTGAGATGAGTCTTGCTCTTGTTGTCCAGGCTTGAGTGCGGTGGCGTGATCTCAGCTCACTGCAACCTCCACCTCCCAAATTCAACTGATTCTCCTGCTTCAGCCTCCTGACTAGCTGGGATTATAGGCGACTGCCACCATGCCCTGCTAATTTTTGTATTTTTAGTAGAGTCAGGGTTTCATCATGTTGACCAGGGTGGTGTTGGACTCCTGATCTCAAGTGATCTGCCCACCTCTGCCTCCCAAAGTGCTGGGATTACAGGTGTGAGCCACCATGCCCGGCCAAAAGGTCTTTTTTGAAACAAACAAACAAACAAACAAAACTAAAACTGGACCTATGCAAAAAAAATATACTTTTACTTTCAACATTTTTTTTTGCAATATTAATGGTGCAGATTAAGAATTTAGCTGACAATTTAAGATTATAACCTGAAATTCAGGTTTATAATTCTATAGCATAATTGCTAGAGGGTTCACAAGTTTCTCAAAAATACGTGGTAGGCAAAATAATGGCCCTCTAAAGGTGTCTGTGTCCTAATTTCCATAACCTGTGAATATATTAGGTTACATCACAAGGAACATTAGGGTTGTAGATGGAATTGATGTTGCTAATCAGCTGACTTTAAGATAGATTATCCTGGAATTTCCAAGTGGACCCAATGTAATCACAATATTCTTTAAAAGTGGAAGAGGAGGCAGAAGAGAGAGTCAGAGGAGATGTGGCAGTGGAAGCAGAGGTTGGAGTAATGTGGTTGCTGGCTTTGAAGAGTGAAGGGGATCACAAGCCAAAGAATGGGGGCAGCCTCTAAAAGCTGGAGGAGGCAAAAAAAAAAAGGTCCTCTACGGAGGCTCTAGTGAAGGATTCTCCCCTAGCACCTCCAGAGAAGAACACGGTCAAGCCAACCCTTTGATTTTAAGCCTAGTTAAACCTGTTTCAGGCTTCTCACCTCCCCAACTATGTGATAAAAAGTTTGTATTGTTTTAAGACAGATTGGTAATTTGTTAACAGTAGCAATAGGAAAGGAATACACCTATTTATCATAAATCACTTAAAATGTAAATAAAATTTCTATATACCATTTCAAAAAAATTTTTTTAACTTTAGAGGTTATAGAAACAGTGAGAAAATTTAGAAAATACAAGAAAGTTGCAAATAAAAAATTATCCATTTTCCACCTTTCATCAATAGTCAGTTAACATTTTTGCCATATTTCCTTGTAGCTTTTTGTCTATGCAGATTTTTAAAGTTGAGATCTACTTCACTGTGTATACTTATATATCCATTTTTTTAAACTTAACATTGTAACATAAACATTGTTCATGTTGATAAGCTCTTTGTAAACTTTATTTTTAATGGCTATAAAATGTTCCATCATATGGCTAAAATACCATTTATTAACCATTTCCCTATTTGAGGTCACTGAGGTTATCACCAGAGTTTTGTCAGAACTGATTTTGTGAGAGATGTCTTTATAGATAGAACTTTTTGTTTGTTTTGTTTTTAGTTTTTACCCACACATCTGTATCAGCCAGATGTTTCAGATTCTTAAAATAGATTCCTACGATTGGAAAGATACAGGTCTTGTAAGATGATCCTACAGAAAGCTGGAAATACATGTATAGAGTCCATGCCTGTCCTAAAGAGACTCTCATCATAAACAAATTCTATCTTTTTGATTTGAGAATGGGATACTAGGACATTGGATAAGTTTGGAGATAGTTATTTTTGTTTTTGTTTTTTTAACGGAAAAGACATTTGAGTGAGCACAGAACACTTGGGAGATAGAGTAGGAGAGTAGTAATTGTGCAACAGTGCATGGAAAACCCCGTTATTCATCTGCTCTCTAAATTCTCCACACCTTTTCAAATGTGGTGCCTTTGCTCATGTTTTTCTTTTATAAGCTGCTCATCTCTCTCAGCACCTTTGGTTGTAGAAGTCCTACTGACCTTTCCAGGTTCAGCTGAAATGCCATTTCCTACCTTTGAAGCCTGCCTGCTGCTCTTCTATACTGCTAATGTAAAATTTCATTTTGTTCTTTTAGTTTTTGTTAATATCTGTCTCCCTATTATATTGTTAAATCACAGCTGAAGCCAGGTCTTATTTATTTCTGTACCTACACAATAAGTACTGGATACAATTTTGAATGATTGAAGGGAAAAAATGCCGAGTAAAAATTCTGTCCGGGAAACTAACCTGTGAATGAAAAGCTGCTGGTTGGCTAGGTCCCAACTCCAGATAATTTTTCTATATGCCACCACCATATTAGTCTTCCTAAAATTCTGCTTTCACTAATCACCTCACTTCAATGGCATTTGGTTATTCTTAGGTTAAAATGAGAGGATTAAGCTGGGTAACTCTAAGATGGCTTCTTTTAAATTTTATCCTTCTGGGTCACTAAACTAGCTCAGAAACCATCATGAGTTCAGTATTTCAGCCATGTTAAAGTCAAACATGTCAGTCTGCTTCTAAGACACCCTGTGTTCAGTTGATAAACCTACTGTTCTCATCCTTGTATCTGAGAGTTTGTGCAATTATTTTCTTTTTTAGAACATGCTTCTCTTCTCTCTGTTGTGTTCCCTATACATCCTTCAAAGGCCTAATACAAACTCCGAAATGCTTGAATGAAGCATTCTCCGGCCTCTTTAGCCGTTTAGGATGCTCCCACCTTTGCCCTGCTTTGGCAGCGGTTCTCTCTCTGTTCATTTGACACTTAATCATATACTATCATATTGTTATTTAGCATTATTCACTCATTAGGCAACATTTCTTGAGCACTGTGATTTTTCTGTATTTTATTTTCCTGATGAGATTATAAGCTGTTTCAGAGTTAGGAAATGTGTCACAGGTTTCTTTGTTTTTCCATTGGAAGTATTCCTCTTGGGATTATGTGCATAGTAGTTGTTCAAGAAAAATTGATTGGAGATTTATTTGAATGGAATCAAGTCGCATTGAATCTTTCCTGTTTGCCTCATCAGCAGCAGTATCTACAAGTTCTGTCATTTGAAGAGTATTATGCTCTTCAGAGGATTACTGAGGACAGACTGTTTTTGATCTTAGACCTTGAACTATATGACTTAGAAGGACAATACAGATGAGTGTCATAGAGGTTTTGAGGAGGTTGGAATAGACTTTATGAATGAGTTGGGGCTTGAGCTGGGCTTCAAAGGATTGACTTTGAATACTTTAATAAGGAGTTGGTGCTGTAGGCACTGGGACCCTACTAAGGATTGTTTGGGGGGCTTTGTAATGTGAAAAATAGGGTTTCAGAAATGGTTATGAAGTGGTATGAATTGGAAGAGGAAGGGATAGGATGTAGAACCGTCAGGTTTGCAGGGATGTAGGCTGGTTGCAGTGAGGAGAAAGCCTAGGTGAGTTAAGGTGGCAGAGGGAATGGAAAGGAAGGGGGGTCTGTTCTTAGACCATTTGGTTTGAATCTTAACTCTACCAGGTACTGGTTGTGAGATGCTGGACAAAGTTCTTAGTCTCTTATTCCTGTTTCCTCATCTATCAACAGGGGTAATTATACTATCTTTTAAAGTTTTTTTTTTTTTTTTTTTGAGACAGAGTTTTGCTCTTGTCACCCAGGCTGGAGTGCAATGGTGTGATCTTGGCTCACCGCAACCTCTGCCTCTTGGGTTCAAGCGATTCTCCTGCCTTAGCCTCCCAAGTAGCTGGGATTACAGGCATGCGCCACCATACCTGGCTAATTTTGTATTTTTAGTAGAGACGGGGTTTCTCCATGTTGGTCAGGTGGGTCTTGAACTCGTGACCTCAGGTGATCCGCCCGCCTCAACCTCCCAAAATGCTGGGATTACAGGCGTGAGCCAACACACCTGGCCTTTTAAAGTTGTTATAAGGATTAAATGGGATAATGAAAGGAGAGCATTTAGAGTAGAATCTGATACATGGTAAACTCACTGAATGGTATTTGCTGTAAATATTGGAGATATTTTTTCTAGTTTGCCAATCAGTAGTCCTTGTTTACTCTTATAATTCTGAATTGTGGTGATTGTATTGTGTTCTTATGCACAGTTATATCTGTTGATGACAAATATTTCTATACTTACAAAAATGTGGCTTCTTAACAAAAAGAGAAGTGACTAAATCCTCTCACCCTCACCAAGTGAAATGTGTTGACGTATGAATAATGTTTGAAATTTAAGAGAAAGGTAGGCCATTGTTGTACTTTGGGCTCTGTAAATACATTCTTCAGCCTTCATTTTACCTTGTATTCTTTGTGTTAGACTGATTTGTTATGTTTCTCTTTTCTTGATTGTATATACTGCTGGGTGCTAATCATCTTTAAATGGTTCATTAGCTGTGATAATGGCTTTTGCTTTGTTTAATAATGAATTCTGTCAAAAGACTTTATCATACCCACTTGAACATGGTTAATTGTGCCGTGTGTTTTTCACTGGTGCCCATATAAAATTCCAGTGCGTCCTTTGAGATTGTTCTAAGGCTTCATTGTCTAATTGGCTGGGTTAAGGTTTCTACTGAGTTTAATACTTTGAGAATGGGGAGAAAGGTCTTCTCTTGTCCCTTCTTTAGAATTTCTTAGTTGCATGACAAGTTCAACTGTTTGGAGTAATAGGAGCCCTAACATTTTGCTAAATATCTGTTCTTTCCCACTTCACATTACCTAAGCTGGGAAATTATGACCAAAAAATATAGCTATTTTAAAAACCTAGTTTTCAGAACAGAGTGTCATAATATTTCTTTCTTTGATTTGTAGTTGTTGGAATTGGAAGCGGAACAAAAATGTTGACCAGTATGTTGTCAGGGTCCAAGGTAAGAATACTGAAATAGTTCTATTTTTCTTTAATGTTCTTAATGATCTACATGTATTGGGTTTTTATCAAATAAAAAATAAACTGAGTAAACTGCATGAATGGGTATCATTCCTGAGTATTAATTATGTCTATAAACATATCTGAGATTGAAAATATCGAGACTGAAAATTGGAAATTCTTAATTGAAAAACCAATTAGACTTAAAGAAACAATGCTACAGTGCTCATCATTTAACAAAATTATATTTAGACTTTTAAAACATCATATTTCTTAGATGATTGGGACTTAGAGGTCATAAACTCTAGTGACAGACTTTTTTAAACCTTGGAATTTTTATAGAAACAATACCATTTTGTAAACTGTGCCCTTTGAGCAAAAATATGCTTTGTTCAATGGTTATAAATGTTTATTAAAGAAAAGAGTAGGGCCTCTTTAAGATGATAAAGTATGTTCATATATGAGAGTAACCTTGAATAGATCCAAAAGCACTTTTCCAGGCACTTGATAGAAGAGAGAAGGGGTTATTTGGAGGCAGGAGAGGCTGGAAAGCTGTGAACTGCTGGTAGAAGGGGTCTCTTCCATCTCTCAAAGAGAGAGTAATATCTGTATCCTAATGAGTAATTAGGTGCTGGTTATAAGTGCTGGGACTAAGGGTCAATGAAAATGCACGTGGAAGGAAGCTTAGTATGCCAAGAGGTAGCGAAAAATTTCATTATGTTCCTGGAATAAACTTTGTTTTAAAACTCTTGCTCTAAATGTGATATAAATTGTTGATAAAATGATTTTTGTTTCTTTAAAAAAATCTGTTGTCAAAGACCATTTAAAAAACAATTTCCAGTTCATTGCAGACTGATTGATGACTTTTGTAAAATATAATTAAAATACGGCAATGTAAAATTGCTAAATAAGTTTCTACGCAATCTCATTTTCTGAACTTATTATAGATAACTGGCCTGTGGAAAACACTTGACGTAGTAGTGGTTTAAGTATTAAAATAAAAGCCCTGACCGAGCGTGGTGTCTCATGCCTGTAATCCTAATACTTTGGAAGGCCGAGGCGGGCAGATCACTTGAGGTCAGGATTTCGAGACCAGCCTGGCCAACATGGTGAAACCCATCTCTGTTAAAAATACCAAAAAAAGTATCCAGGCGTGGTGCTATACACCTTTAATACCAGCTACTCGGTAGACTGAGGCAGGAGAATCACTTGAACCCAGGAGGCGGAGGTTGCAGTGAGCCAAGATCACGCCATTGCACGCCAGCGTGGGTGACAGAGTGAGATGACTCCATCTCAATAAATAATAAGTAAGGTAGGTAGGTAGGTAGGTAGATAGGTAGATAGGTAGGTAGGTAGGTAGGTAGATAGATACATAGATACATAGATTGATTGATTGATTGATCGATTGATTTTAAAAAGCCTCGGAGAACATATTGCATGTGATGTCTCATTTTGGTTATCAACTGGCATAAAAATCTGTGCCATTCAATTGGAAGGAATCTTAGTGCCTCTGATAAATGAAAAGCTTCAGTGTGGCTTGCTCTGTAATCTTCAAAATATTGGTGTTGAAAAATTACAGAGTATAAAAATTGCATTAGAATGAAGGTGTTTGACAGTTTCTCAGTAAATTTTTATACTGTGCTTACTGACACATAGAGTTTAGAATCTGTTTCTGATACTGGTTTTTGCCAGTTGTTTAATATTTGTTTCTGAACTCCCAAAGATGAACAATGTTTACTTTAATATGGGATTATGGATGATTTTTTTTTCACATTATTTGGTATTTTCTAAAATCTATACAATAAACAAGTCACTTTTATGTTAATAATAAAAAAGATATATTTACGTTAAGGAATTTGTTTGGGTTTTTTTACCAAGATAAAATATGTTGAGTTCATTGAGATATTCGTTGTTCACCCCTCCTCCCCCAAACCACAAACACAGCACACTATATATTACTGAAAGATTTTACTTGTAAATTTCAGGCATATTTTCAGAAATATTATGACTGAAAATGTAAATACATCATTGACTCTGGTATAAATTTTGTAACAGCCAATTTGCTGTTCAGCTACGAAAGCTGAATGTCATACAGTGAAATCACTGATCCTCAAAATGACTGTAACATAAATAGAATACCACAGGCACGTCTTGTTACAGAAACCTAGTTCTTAGGTATTTCAAAAATAGGCATCGTTGTCTTGTTAGCTATTTATATTTCTTATCCTTTTAATTTTATGTACCTGTTAAAAGAACTAAATCATTAAGAGTTTAATGTTGAAGATTATTTTTTAATAAAAAGTAGTTAAAAACTGTTAATAAATATTTTTTCTTTTTTTAAAAGCACTAGAAGGAATCTTAGAGATCATCTTATCTAGTGACTTTCAAAATTTTTTTGACTAAGACCCATAGTAAGAAACATATTTTATGTAATGACCATATAGATACATACATTTATGAAAAGGAAAAATTTTATCAAACAACTTTGTGTTAGTCTGTTTGTGTTGCTGTAAAGGAGTAGTCGAGGCTGGGTAATTTATAAAGAAAAGAGGTTCATTTGGCTCATGGTTCTGAAGTCTGTACAAGAAACAAGGTACTGGTATCTGCTTCTGGTGAGGGCCTCTGGAAGCTTACACTTGTGGCCATGTCGCATGGTGAGAGAGGGAGTGACAGAGAGAGAGGCGGAGGTGCCAGGCTCTTTTAAACAGCCAGATCTCGCGTGAACTCATTGCAGGGAGGGCACCAAGCAATTAATGCAGGATCCGCCCTCATAACCCAGACAATTCCCACCATGCCCCACCTCCAACACTGGGGATTATATTTCAACATGAGATTTGGAGGGGGCAGACATCCAAACTTTATCCAACTCTAACCCTATGTATGATGTATTCTTGATACTTTTCCTTCTATTTCATTAAAAAAAAAAATGTGGCTGCAGCCCCCTAACTTGGCCCAGATCTAATGTCCACTTTTTCTTCACTTCCTATTTTGACAGATGAATTTTTATTTGCATCACAGTGCAACTAGAAAAATTAGACTTCTGGTATGTGTAGGATGGAGTTACGTCAAGAGTAGAAATATTTAGTTCTAGGATGGCAAATATTCAGTGTTCTTGTTACAGCCATATTACAGAACAGCCTTCTCTCCCTAGCCAGTCGTAATTGGAGATATTGCTAATTGAACATGGCCTAACATTTCTTCTTGCTGAATCAAGAAACACCCTTAGAATCTTCTTCAACATGGTGCCACTTCATACAACTACTGTCACTTACTAGATGAAATTCTGGCTTTTAAGTAAAATCTTTAGGCCATCACATTATTTTGCTTCCATCTGTGAAGACTAGACACTAATCAGACCACCCAAATCATTTCTTGCATTTCCTCCCATTCAGATCAGGGTAAAAGTTAAGAAAAGAGCCACTGCTCTGTGTTCCTCATTGTCTTCCTCTCCTGCCTTGGAGTGAGCTTTGTTCTGCCAGTGATCATATTTCTCAAGTCTTTTTTTTTTTCCCTGTGCCTGATCATTTAGGATTATGTGTATAATGTGTGTGAAAAGCATGTGAACTTTTTGTACAGTGCCTTGTGTATGGAAATTGCTCATTAAATACTGTTATTACTATTCCCAAGTATTTTACTTATCCCCAAGTCTCTCTCTTGAGGTCCAGGCCTGTTGGAGCTTTCTAGCCACATGTTCTGTAGACACCTGAAATTAATTTTACTCAGGCAAGTTCTGTTGGAACTCTTGAATACAGTTAATTTCTTTTTTTTTTTTCATGGCTATCTGTGATTGCTGGTGATGTAGGCAAAATATTGCACTCATCAGAAAGAGAAAGCATGCCAGTTCTTTAAGGGAGAGACAGACTTTCCTTGGACATTAAAGCCAGAAAGAAGTTTCTGACAATAAGAGATATTAAATGACAGATAGATGGTGATTTTCAAAAATAGTTTTACAACAGATGTAGAAATGGAGCTACATAAAATACAGTTTAGGTAAAATTCTGAGAGGTTAGGCTGATGTGTTCCTTTGGCCTAAGTTGATCTAAGTATAAAACGTTGCTTACCTAGAGGAGGGCAAATAGCCCCTCTTATATCTTCCCTAAATTACACTTTCTTTGAGCCAGTCATTCAGCAAAAGCTGGATAGCAGATGTCGTACTTTGAAGGAACAGACAGAAGGAACAGAAGAAAACAGATGAGGTTTTGGAGTGCTGTCTTTATTAGTTTTCTATATTGTTGATCAAAGTTGGTTACTTTATAAATGCTTTAGAAACCAGATGGAAAGGTTATGAAAACCTGAATAATCTAACTAGCATGTCCAGATATAAAGGTACCTCCATATCTCTGTGCAGGTAAACCATAGTGGCACCTGCAGGCAAAGCCAGCATCTCCTCAGAAGGCAACTTTGTATCCCCCTCCAGTAGTTAAACAAGTGTCATCATTGGAGTGAATGAAGTTTCCCCTTCTTGGTGTGGTCAAAGGATAGTAACTTTCCCCAAGAACACAGTAACATTTTTAGGTTAACCAGTTATGAGAACTCTAAAGTGTGGCTTGAGTAATGCTCCTATGAAACTTAGCCAACTCTTGAAGATTTCAGCATTTCTAATCAGTTTTCTCCAGAGGCTAGTCCAGTTTGTACCTTTTCTATATACGCTATTAATTTTCATATATTTCATAAATACTGTATTGAAAATTTTAAAGGGCTTATACTTATGAACTATAAAAAAGGACTGTTCCTTCTTAATGAAGACATTCAAAGCCACATGTTTTTGGTTTGATAGGTTTTTTAAAAAGTGTTCTTTCTCATCCTCAGTAATATCCCTATTTTGTTTGTGAAGGTTTAAATCACAAGCTTTCAAAATCACACCTCAGTTGAGATCCAAGGAAATGATTGTGTGTATACTTTCTGTAGTAGAAACATTTTTCTTTCTCCTAAACAGAACAGAAGCTGATTTGCTGCTAGAGATGTCTAGCTAATACCTGCTGTGGGGTTTAGGGAGCTTGACGATGAGTAAAGTAGAGAGTAGAATAATACCAGTGAGAAACTGTGAGTCCCAGAGAGTACACAGGTCAATGGAATGTTCTTCAGGACCTCTCTTTTGTTGCAGTAGAATTACATTGTAATGAATACAGTAGTAGAATTCACGGTTCCCAGGTATACGTCTTGGAGAATTAACAACTCCAAAGCACAGACTCTACGTAGAATTTAAGCCAGTGAAAAGAAATATTTTAGACTCCATAAGATAAAATGTTAGGGTTGAATGTGTGTATCTCCATGTCTTTTTTCTTCTATCCCAATATCTTTTTGGTCGTGAGGCTTTGTTTCAGCTGAAGGCTTAACTGTGTGGGTGAATTTTTCTAAATGGTTTGTGGATAATTGAATAAAATTGAAGGATAATTATAACTAGATGCCAGGACAAGGGAAAGCTAGGAGACAGCTGATTTCAATCATCGGTTCGCAGGGTGTGGTCTAAGGACTCCTGAGACTCTTTCAGGGTGTCTGTTGAAATTGAAACTATTTTCATAGTTTTGCCTTTTTAACTTGCAATCCCACAAATACATGGTAGAGTTTTTCAGAGATTACTAGATGTGCAATGACATCATTGCTCTGATGGCTAATGGAAGTTTTAAACATTTTTCAGCTTTAATTTCTAATACAATAAATCTAGGCAGATATAACATGTTTTTAAAAAATGTGTGCCAGGGTTTCTCAATAAGTTTTAAGTGTGTATAGGAGTTCTGAAAGCAAAATGTTTGAGAACATTTTGATTTGATTTGATTTGAGAATGTTGATTTAGATATTGTCTCCCCTAAAAAGAATCCAGCACGTAGCTACATACAATATAATTGCAGACCCTGGAGTGGGTTGAGACTTAGCAGATGAAATCTAGATATTCAAAACTATGGTGAAATGTGAAGAATTGCACACATAGGCACTTCTCTAGCATGTGTATCATTCTGTCAGCAACTTTTTATTAAGCTGCTACTGTGTTTCTATTTAGGAAAGAACACAATAGATGAGCAATGGGAAACTCTAGCTGAGAGTTCATACTTGCAGAAAGTAAGGATCAATAAAGTATACTTGGAAAACAGTGAATATCTCTGTAGGTCATCATGTGCTAAGATGTGTGATATGTGTGATATGAGAGCTCAGTGAGATAAACCAGACATGTCTGTTGTTGCCATTATATCCAGTCCTCTCTGCAGTAGTTGTGTTTATTGAAGTTTTCCTGTTACACTGTAACCTCTTAGAGGGAGAGCAATCTATCTTATGTATCTGTGTATCCTTCCCTAGCACTTAGGAGAATACTTTGGACATTCATAGTCCTTAAGAAACATGATCGAATTTGTGGATTTGATATATGCCTTCCTTCTTTCTATGTATGGAATTTGTATCGAGCACCTACTCTTAGTCATGCTGTGGAGGTGGGTAAATGGAAGTTGGGATGGATTAAGGGGTGGCTTTGAAAGCTGAATAAGGTTTGATCCTTAGAGAAGAGTGGGAGTTCAAGGCCAGGGAAGTGGCATATGTGCCCCAGGTGCACAAAACACCAAGAGTCCAGAGACTAGAATGGGCATTGCATACTTGGGAAACATGTTAAGGTTCCTAGTTCAAACTCGTTGCAGAGCAGAATACTGCAGATACATTCAAGGCATAGTCTGCAAGATTGCACCATGGTTTTCTTATGCAACTAAACAGACTCTAAAGACAAAAAAATCATAAAGCATTTTGATGCTTTGCTTTCCTTATGGGAGCTGACTGTAACCAGATGAGTCAACTCTAGCCACTGTTAACTGCGAATCATTCTGTATTTTCTTTCTTAGAAAATAAAGATGATGATGGTATTATTATCTGTTATTTACCAGGGCTAGATATTGTTACTCTAAACTCTTTGCTTCTTCTCATGAGGCATTATTGTTTTCCACATTTTAAGATAAGGAAATTAAGCTCCAGCCGGAAAGACTAACTTGGTCTACAAATTGTGGTACAGTCAGAATTCAAATCCAGCCAGTTGACCCTGAGCCTGTGCTGTTACCATTGTTGTACTTCTCTCATACTTCCCCCTGTGGTATGCTTAGTCGAGGTTGATTGTCCCAAAATATAGAAGCAGGAATGGGTGTCTCAGGTGATGAGACTGTGTTTAGTTACAAAAAACTAATTTTTGTCAATACCTATGAAACTTTAAAAAAATTAATTGAAATGCGTTGGAATATTCCCTTCTGTATTATATTTATTTTTAAAAAATCTGAGCTAGATAATATTAAGGTGATTTCATCGAAGGGCCTTAAGCTGTTATAAAATGTCTGCATACTTACAAGGTTTTGAAGTTTTAATATTTTTCTCATTTTTGTCTTGGGTCCCTTCACTAGCCTCATAAATTTGTCATGAATAAGCTTATATTTCTGCAAAGTACTTTGAGTTTTCTTTTATAAAATTGCTCACATAAATACAGATTATTTTCAGTGGGAAATAAAGTTCTTGCACTTTTTTCACTACTTCATGTGATGCCCCAAATAAAATTTGCGTTTGACCAAAGTGAAAAGAGTACGTACTACAAGTGTGTCCTAAGATGAGAAATAAGACAATCCTCACGTAACTAAGAATGATCTAATTCTTCACTTGTGAATAAAGATCAGTTCTTAGAAACGATTCTTGTTCCTGAGATCTTAAGTAGTAATTTATCTTTATTAAGAAAACACATGGCCGGGCGTGGTGGCTCACGCCTGTAATCCTAGCACTTTGGCTTTGGGAGGCCGAGGTGGGTGGATCACCTGAGGTCAGAAGTTCGAGACCAGCCTGACAACATGGTGAAACCCCATCTCTACTAAAAATACAAAAAATTAGCCGGGCGTGGTGGCGGGTGCCTGTAATCCCAGCTACTCCACAGGGTGAGGCAGGAGAATCGCTTGAACCCGGGGGACGGAGGTTGCAGTGAGCCGAGATCGCACCACTGCACTGCAGCCTGGGCAGCGAGCAAAACTCCATCTCAAACAAACAAACAAACAAAAAACACATTTAATAGTTAAGTCACTAATTCTGTGACTATACTGGTTTTGCTCTTTTTCTACAGATTTAGCTTTTGTTTAATACATGACCTAGTTACTAAGAATTGTCTTAGTATTTCATGTAAGAAGTACTAAGTTGGCTTATTTAAAATTAATTTTAATTGTATATGTGGGAAGATTATTGAATCTTATGATGACCATGGAGTCAAGGCTATTGTACCATTCTCTCTACTCATGGATAGACTTGAACATTTTCCTTAAACAAACTTCTCAGTATAAAGGTGGTTTGAGAAATTTGCTTACAATAATAATGGTCATAATTATTAAGCCATAATTATCAATAAAATCAGGTTTATCTTTCTCATATTGGCTAGTGTGAGACGTTTGTTAATGTTCTTCAGTTTACACAATTGCTTTCCACATATTAAAAACAAAACAATTGCAGTCTGTTGTTTTAGCCTGTATTTTGTATCAGGTTGGTAGTAGTAGTGAAATTCTGTGTAAACTTCAAGACATGCATAACAGTTTTTGTTTGCCTCACGGCCCATT
Source organism: Homo sapiens (assembly GCF_000001405.40). Classification (NCBI taxonomy): domain Eukaryota; kingdom Metazoa; phylum Chordata; class Mammalia; order Primates; family Hominidae; genus Homo; species Homo sapiens. Next base: position 114,959,701 of record NC_000010.11, read on the forward strand.
TTCTCTCTTGTTTCCCTTCCTCTAGAGATATACTGCCATTGGAGAACTGGGGAAAGCTACTGATACACTAGATTCTACGGGGAGGGTAACAGAAGAAAAACCTTACGGTATGAAGCTCATCTAATGTAGGCCTCTTTTCTAACATTTAGGAAAAGTTTCTGTGCAGGTAGCATTTTAAAACAAATCTCTGATATTATCAGCCATTTTAATTCTCAGTGTGTTTCTTTGGGCTAAGAAGATTGGAAATTGTTTATCGCATTGTTGCTTACTTGATAGGAGTTTTTGAATAAAGATTTATTGTGATTGCCTCTTTTTCTATAGTGATGTTTTAAGTGTTCAGAATTATTCTTCCAAATAACCTCCTTGCAAAAGCATGTATGGCTAGGATTTAGGTTATTTTCCCTAGTAAACGAGAAACAAAGCAGAGATACTCTGTTAGATTTCATCTGTCTTGCCATTAAAAAAAAATATATTACCTGTCAGCTGTTGAAATAAATGTACCAGGTTTAGTACTTTAAAACTTGTCATGTTTTTGTGCTTTCGGACTATGTAAAAAGAGGACAGAGGGCAAGCTATTTCTCTGGAAGTAAACCAGAACTCACTGGGGCCCACCTTAAGTTTCCTACTATCCCTTCTTTCACTACCGTAAGGAAGAATAGATAAATTAAATGGTCTCCTAGCAACTCTCACAGTGCTTATGCTGTTTATAATGCAGCAATTGCAGTTTTCTAAGTCAGTTCACCTGCATCATTATGTCACCAATTTGTGGACTGTTTTTTTGTTTAGTGTTATCTCTTAGTCATAGGCAAGCCAGCATTTGGCCCCCTTATATTTTTGTGTTGATTATCCTTATTACGTACTGCATATTGCCCCAGTAGTGAGGCCAACCTTTTTATTGTTCATAATAGCTTCATTTTTTCTGTTAACATTTATATGTAGCTTAGTATCTTGCTCAATTAATCAAGCAACATAATGAAAAGAAAAATTACTGATTGATTTCAAGGCTTTTCAAAAACAGATGTTGAAATATTCTTGGAATTATTATTATTAATAAATAATAGCAGACCCTCACTTAACTGAAAGCCAGCTATAACCTTCAACCAGAAGACTTTAAGATTAAGGAGGCATAGGGCAATAGGAGGACGTCAGAGACTTCCAGAGGATACTAAAGTATTTATAAGTACTTATGTAATTAAGTCTCCTGTATCTCTGACTCCATTTACCAAACCATAATAAGGAGAATGATTATTATTCAGAACAGTAGTCCTGGGGTAATATAATTAAGGCTGGGGGGTGTGGGTACCACGTGGTGAAAAATATAAGGCGCACTAGAGTAGACAAATCTGGGTTTAATTTCTAGCTCTGCCCTTATCTAGCTGCGCAAATTTGAAATTTTCTTAGTCTCTTTATGTTGTAGTTTTTCCATCTCCAAAATGACAATAATGATAGCAACCTCATAGTGTGATTATGAGGATTGATTGGAGGAGAATGAATTTGGAGGTCTCATAGACAAGTCATGAGGCTCTTATAGTAGTCCAAGCAGAGATGATGGTAAGTTGGACCAGGGTGCCAGTGGTAGAGACAGAGTTTTCCTATTAGAAAAATTTCCCATGATTAGGAAGTAAAATTAGCAAGACTTGATTTTTAGTTGATTGGACAGGATAGCGAGGAAGTTGTCAACCATGACCTAGGTTTTGGGGTTTTAAAATTGGTTACATGATAGTGTAATTCATTGAGGATGCTGGAAGGGGCCCAGGGTGACAAAAATACTTAAACATATCCTTTCTTCCTATTCTTAAGCATTTTAGTATTTTAAAAAGCTCTATGCTGTATTAGGTAATTTGTAACCTTATTTACTTACCTTAAAGAAAGCTCAGTTTGTTAAATCATCTCATTGTAATGATGCAGTAAATCATAGAGAAACTAAGAACGTTTTTCAGGCTGTGAAGAGAAGAGCTTCCTACAGTTTATTGAATAGTATTTATAGTCCCGGAAAATGAGAGCTCAGAGAATTTTGCTGATTGGCATGATTTTTCTGTGTGCTTTCAGTAAATCAACAAATATTTTTTATTTGTTGAAGCTGCTATAGCAGGTACCAAGGGAAAGATAGATAAATGTAAGACCTAGCTTGTGTCCTTAAGGAACTTACTGTCTAATGGAGAACTCTGACCAATATTCTCAGCCTTCTGAGACCTAATACAGAGACCTATGACCAATATCTTATAATGCCTTCTTTACTATCCTGAAATAAAATTCAGAGATACTTGAATTTACTTATACATTGAGAAAAATCAATATGATGTAGTAAATGGAATATAAGTAAGAAATAAAAGTAATTTATAATAAAGTAGGTGCATTCATATGTAAGCACACAGATATTAGCAGACTAAAAGTCTTTTGGCTGGGGTGCAGTGGTGCACTCTTGGCTCACTGTAACCTCTGCTTCCTGGGTTCAAGTGATTCTTCTGCCTCAGCCTCCTGAGTAGCTGGGACTACAGGCATGCACCACCATGCCTGACTATTTTTTGCATTTTTAGTAGAGGCAGGGTTTCACTTTGTTGGCCAGGCTGGTCTTGAACTCCTGATCAGCACTCAAACATACAGCATAATTGTAAATAGTGAAAAATGCTATTTAGGAATAATAGAGTGTTATGATAGAGAACAAAGGGAAAGGCCCTGTTACATGCTTTGATGTTTGAGTCTAAGCCAGAGACTCATTTTCTTATTCCTCTGAGCTAGCTTTCAGCTGTCTGAAATAACAGTTAAAAATAGTATTTGTCTAGATAGGACAAAATGACTTAAGAACATTAATTTGCCATTGACTGCATACTGAGTTACTTTAGCCAACATCAGTTGTTCTTGACAGGTCAATTAAAAACTGTGTTTCTAGTTGTTACAATGACTGGGTGGGGTGGTGACACCAGCTGCCTTCAGTGGGTGGAGACCAGGGATGACAGATGTCCTGTAACACAGAGGATCGTAGAACACAATGAAGAATTGTCCTGTGTACTGTCAGACTTCAGGATGTCTGCCAGATAGTCATGCAGGTGTATTTCAGCCATGAGGCTGAAACCATGTCTCTTTTGGTCCTCAGTAGTGTATTTTTGGTGTGGTATACGGCATACAGAATGACATATATGACATATAGAGTTTGAATCAAAAAAGATAGGCAGCAGAGGCATTCTCAGAAAAGATGACTGCAGATAAGCCGGGAAAGGCAAAGCATCTTCCTGCCTTCTGCTGCTGTCTTCTCATCCACATCTAGGTATTAAGTGTCTGCTACTATTGCCAGTGTCTCTGAGGACACACAGCTTCAGTGTGCTCATCTGTTCTCCGCTGAGCTAAGGACACTAAGACCATAGCTTCCCAGGCTAGATGTGGACCAAGCATCCGGGAAGGCCTAACTGTCCCTGTACTGGGAGTAGTTTTTTCTGTCCCTCCCATGAGTCAACAAAGGTAGAAAGAAAAGTGGAATCTCATGCTAATCTTTTATTCTAAACACCACCACCCCTTAGTCCTGAGATCAGATGTTACCAAGGTCTTCTCAAATGGACGTAGCTGATGTTGTATCTAATGGTACTGTCTCCTCTTGGACTGTATATGGTTTGGCTGCTGAGACTTATCCTGGAGTAAGCTCAAGAGTTGAATTTAGTTTCAAATTGTGATATGAACCAATAGGGTATATGCTATAATTGGACTAGTGTGTAGCTGGGTATAAAAATTCTTACAAAGCTGTTTGCATTTAAACTTTTCATTATAAAATGTACAAGTAAAGAAAACTGAACAAAAAATAAAGGTACAGCTCTATCAATTTGCACAAGACAAATATCTGTAGCTAGCTATCACCCTTAGTCAAGAAATAGAAGATTGCTAGAAACCACACTTGTGCCCTATCTGTCATTACCCTGTCCTCCTTTTGCAAAGATAACTACTGTTCTAACATCCAATGCTATGGAGATGGTTTTAAAACTAAGGCATAGTTTTGCCTGTTTTTGAATTTAGTATAAATGGAATTAAACACTATGTGTCCTTTGGTGTCTAAATTCTTCCACTTATTATATTTTTGAGATCCATGTTGGTACATGTATGAGTATTTTGGACTTTTTTGTTGCTATGTAGTATGCCACTGTGTGAATATACTACACACATACTCTCCCAGTTTGGGGCTTTGTGAATAAAGTGCTGTGTATATTTTATACCTGCCTTTTGGTAGACACATTTCTACCGTCATTTCTTTTGGGTATATACCCAAGTGGAATATAGGTCGTGTGTGTGTGTGTGTGTGTGTGTGCGTGTGCACGTGTGTGCCTGCATGTGTTCCTGGGTTATAGAGTGGGTGTATATTTAACTGTACTGGAAATTGTCAAACAGTTGTCCAAAGTGATTGTACTTGGAAAACTTTGCATTTCCACTAGGAGTGCATAAGCATTCCACTTGCCCCACATACTTAGCTATTAATAGTGTTTTTAATTTTGGCTGTTCTGGTGAGTGTGTAGTGATAATTCCATTGTGGTTTTAATTTGATTATTGATGAGATTTGGCACCTTATTAAGTGTTTTTGGCTTATTAGCCATCTTCTTTTTTGTATTGTCTGTTCAGGTCTCTTACCCATTTTTTGTTTTTTCTTTCCCTTTTGAGTTGCCTTTTTCTTATACATTTGTATGAGTTTTTGTTTTTTATTAAGCACCTTCCATTCGAGGATGCATAGGTTCTTTATATAGTCTGGATATGTTCTCTTCTTTTGCCTATGTGTGTTGCAGATATTTTCTCTTACTTTGTGGCTTGCCTTTTTCCTCTCTTGTCTTTTGAAAAACACAAGTTCTTAGTTTTAATTTAGTCCAGCTTATCAGGCCTTCTCCTTTATGGTTGGTCCTTTTGGTGTCCTGTTTAAGAAAACTTTTTTGACTCTAAAAGTGTGAAGATATTTTCCTATGTTCTAGAAGCTGTTATTGCTTTGCCTTTCATGTTCCCTCTGCAATCCACCTTTTCTTCCTGCATGGATGTCCAGTTGCTTCAGCACTTTCCCAGTACTCTTGTGTTCTCTTCTTTATTACACATCAAGCACCCACTTAGGCTATTGTTTAAAAAAAAATCTATTTTTTTACATTGATCAGTTTGTTTATACTTGTATATACACCAGACTATATTAATTGCTGTAGTTTTAGACTATCTGGATATCTGGAAGAACAAGTCCTTCCTGCTTTATTTCTTATAGATTTTTTTCTATAGGTTTTTTTTTTTTTTTTTTGAGACGGAGTCTTGCTCTGTCGCCAGGCTGGAGTGCAGTAGCACAATCTTGGCTTACTGCAAGCTCCGCCTCCCGGGTTCATGCCATTCTCCTGCCTCAGCCTCCCAAGTAGCTGGGACTACAGGTGCCAGCCACCACGCCTGGCTAATTTTTTGTATTTTTAGTAGAGATGAGGTTTCACCGTGTTAGCCAGGATGGTCTCAATCTCCTGACCTTGTGATCTGCCTGCCTCAGCCTCCCAAAGTGCTGAGATTACAGGCTTGAGCCACCGTGCCCAGCCTTACAGGTTTTTTTTTAATAGCTTTCTTATCAAAGTAAAGAAGTTGCCTTTTATTCCTAATTTGCTGAGTTCTGGTTTTTTAAAATCATGAGCAGATATTAAATTGTATCAAATTTTTTTTCTGTATCTATTGATTTTTCTCCTTATTCACATATTAAAGTAACTTTACATTTCTGGAATAAACCCAACTTAGTTGTAATGTGTTATCCTTTATATAAATTGTTGCATTTGTTTTGCTAATATTTAGTTTAGGATTTTTGCATCTGTGTTTGAGTGAGATTGCCCTGTATTTTTCTTTCCTCTTAATGTCCTGGACTGGCTTTGATATCAAAGTTATGATGACCTCATACAATAGTTTGGGTGCTGTTCTCATTTTTTCTATTCTCAGGAAGAATTTCTATCAGATTGGTATTTTTTTCTAATGTTTGGAAGAATTTACAGGTAGACATCTGTTCTTGAGTTTTCTTTGTTAGGAAGGTTTTAAACTATGGGTTGGATTTTTTTCTACTAGCTATTGGATATACTATTTTTTATTGCTTATATCAATGTAGATAATTTTTTCTCCTAGGAATTTGTCATCTCATCTAAAATTTCAAAAATATTGGTATAAAGCTGTTTATAATAGTCCCTTATGACCTTCGTTTTATTTTGAAATAATATCAAACTTACAGCAAATAACTTTTGCTAAATTACCCAAGAGCAAGCTCAGCCATGATGTCCCACCACCCCAAATTCATTACTGCAATTCAGTTTGAAGACCCTATTTATTTTTTAAAAACAGCTTTCTGAAGTATAATTGGCATACAGAAATACTGTATTTAAAATATATAATTTTAAAAATTAATATACATTCACCTATAAAATCATAGCTATAATGAAAACAGTGAACATATTTATCATCATAAAAGTGTCTTTATGCCCCTCTCTCCATTGTGAGTTAATTTTTGAATATGATTTCAGATATGGATTCAAGGTCATTTTTTGCATATGTACATCGTTTTGTAACCATTTTTTAAAAGACTATCCTTTCTGTGGTTGCCTTGAACCTGTGTCAAAAAACAGTTGTCCATATCTGCATACTTTTATTTTGAGACTTTTAATTCTATTCCATTGATGTATTTATTTTTAAACCAGTACCACACTGTCTTGATTATTGTAGCTTTGTAAGTCTTTAAATTAAGAAGTGTTAGCCCTCCAACTTGTTCTTTTTCAAAGTTGCTTTTGCCATTCTTGGTCCTTTGCATTTCCATATGAATTTTTGAATCAGCTTGTCAATTTTTATGCACACACACACTCAAAATCTACTGGCAGTTTGAGATTGTTTTGAAGCTATAGATCAATTTTGGAAGAATTGACATCTAAACAATATCAAGCCTTCTGACCCATGAAATAAGATATCTCTCTTCATTTATTTAGGTCTTTTATAGCCATATTTTTGTAGTTTTCAGTATCAGATCTTTACATCCTTTGTTTATGAAATCTCTGAGTACCTCAAATTCTGAAGTTTCAATTTCTAATAGTTCATTGGTGGTATATAGAAATGGAGTTGATTTTTGTATATTGATCTTGTGTTTTTCAACCTTGCTAAACTCACTTATTTGTTCTAGTTGTGTTTTGCATAGATTTTATATTAGGATGGCTCTAAAATAGACTTTTTTTCCAGGTCTAGATTAGCTCTGCTTCTAAAGCATGACTTTTCTGGGGTGTCTATCAAATGACTTGTGCATTCAACAAAGTTTCTTCATTCTGGATGGTTGAAATTAAAACATCCCCCAGCCTTGTAAGAGCTTTGGTAGTATTTCTTTAGTTAATTTTGTAGAGACCCTGTATGTATGTATGTACAGCTTAGAATTTAGTCAGAGTATCAAGGGTGCCTTCATAGACATTTCTTTGTCTGTGTATTTTCCTCAAATTCCAGCTGCCACTACTTCCTCAGATTCTGATCTCTGTTCAGTGAGATCACTGTGCTTTGACGTTCCCCTCTCTGTCCCACAGTTAAGAAAGCACCTCCAGACAAAAACAAGTGATCATGAGACTTGCTTTGTTTGTTTCTTTTTCCTCAGGGTTTACAGTGCTTGCTGCCTGTTGTCTGTCTAAAAACTGTTGCTTAATAATTTTGTCCAGTTTAACAGCTGTTTATGGTGGCAAGATTTGTCTAGTCACAGTTACTCTTTCGTAGTCAAATATGATTTTTAACTCAATCATATTGTTTTTAGCTCTGTAGTCCAGTTAAATCTCAACTATGATGTTGTGAGTTCACTGGAAGAGTAAAATTTTAAGCAAATAATGATGTATAACATGATCTTGTATATATTCATTTTATGAAAATGATTTTAAAAAATTAATTTCAAATGAATGCTGTCACATTGATGGCTTATTAATTTACTAAACAAAAAATAATTACCCAAGTCCTATGACACTTGTACCTCTTTTACCAAATATGTTTATTCTGCCTAGTTATTGGATATATTTACTGTGGACATTTTATTCTGTTTCTTTTTAAATACTTTGGAAGTACAGTCTTTATACTTATGTCATAAGAACGATTATTATTAATTTGATTGAACTTATATCATGTTTTAGATATAGCCAGTTTGTACTACATACTCATGTACCACAAGCTTAGATTTTATTATAAGATAACTTGCTGTGTAGGCTGCCTAGTAATTCAAACATCAGATGGATGATTGGCCTAGGTGACTTTTAAATGCCCTTCAGCCTTGAGATTCTATTATTCTTCAGCAAATTAAATTCAGCAGATGTCTTGAGTGCCATTTTAATAGTGTATGTTATATACGAAAAATTGTCTTTGAGAAGCTTAGAATTTCATTGGTGGGATAATACGTACGTGTGTGTATGTGTGTGTGTGTAGAAATCAAATATGTAGAAAGAAGAGAGAATATAGAAAGAATAGTTAAAAAATGTGTATGATTAATTACAGAGTGAACAGCACAAACCACGAATGCTTGACATGTTCAGTCAGAGAAAGAGACAATATGGCAGAAGTAGAATGAGAAAGAACACATCTTGTCATCTTGTGTGTGATGATATCAGCAAAAGAGGGCCACCAAAGCAGCATAAAGGAGAACACAGTTGCAGGAGCGTCAGTAGAGAGACCAGCGTAGCAGAAGTAGAAAGTTGTTTGGCCTTGTTTTTAAAAATATGTGGCTAAGTTGTTAACTATTGCAATTTTATCAACAGTGACATTTCCTTCAGCAAGTGCCAGCATGGTGACAGCATTGGCTGTCTAGATCTGGAAATCTTACATTTGTATGACTAAGGTGCCGCTAGTAATAATGTCTTAATGTTGCTGTAGACTAAAATTTTTTCATAGAAAAATCCTCATCTGTATCATGAGATACATCTGTTTGAGAAACAGTATGAACAGATCAGCCATCTGAGGTCTGCCTTGTTGGAGCTGCTAGGTGCTAGAGAAATTCTTTTGAGTGTTATAGCTCTTCTGTCTGTTTGAGTCTAGTAGATTCTAGTCTTTTGTTTGTGTTTAGCTTTTAAGGGTCAAGGTCATACTGAGGTTAAAACTGTCTTGTTGGGTTGATATTAAAATCTGGACATAGTATTCCATGCTGACTTTTAATTCTGGTATTGGAAGAATAATTCAAAGCATACTTGTTTTTATTTAATATTGTTCAAATAAATTCAAATTTAATACACATATACCAGAATAAAAAGTTTAGATAAATTTTCTACAAAATGGTAAAACCACTGAAATTTCTTACCATTGGCTGTGAACTAAACAGATTATAGAATATTTCTGTGATTTAGTTTATTACTAAATAGGAAATATGTATGAAGACATCTTTGAGTATGAAAATTCTAAATTTCAGTATATCATAGATTTTAGTTTTTAAAATTATAGAACTGTATTTTTTGTCTTTTTTTTTTTTTTTAAATATGGAACACGGTCAGGTACAGTGGCTCACACCTGTAATCCCAGCACTTTGGGAGGCTGAGGCAGGAGGATCACCTGAGGTCAGGAGTTTGAGACCAGCCTGACCAACATGGTGAAACCCAGCCTCTACTAAAAAATACAAAAAGTAGGCATGTGTGGTTGTGCACGCCTGTAATCCCAGCTGCTTGGGAGGCTGAGACACTAGAATCGCTTGAACCCAGGAGGCAGAGGTTGCAGTGAGCCAAGATCACACCACTGCACTCCAGCCTGGGCAACAGATTGAGACCTGTCTCAAAAAAAAAAAAAATAGATAAATAAAAATAAAATATGGAACACTTCACTAATTTGCATGTCACCCTCGCTCAGGGGCCATGCTAGAACTCTACTTTAATATTGCATCATTTTGTTTGAAGCAATACCAAACAAAAGCTGAAAACATGATTAACAGATAGTAAAAGCTTTATGTATATGTCTTCATTCATATTTTCTAAAATCATTGTTTAAAAAATGCTTGTTTAGTAAGCATGCTAAAATCCTTGCTTATGTGTGTTTTTTTTTTTTTTGCACTGGCTTATTTTTGAGGCCGGCTGGGAGTGTTCATGTAAAACAAGAGAGAAATTCCAACAACAGAGAAGGGGGAGGCTGGGGCGGGGGGACAGATAAATGCAATTTTACTTGACAACAGAGTTGAATGTGAGTGTGTAAAATTTCTGCCATAACATAAAACAGATTTGAAATCTTACCAGGTAAAATTTAAAATGTGGATAATACTTGTTAAGTGCCACATTAAGTTATTTACAATATTTGATCCCTAGAGAAACTTAGAAAAGAACTTACGGGGATTATTTTGCTGCTTGTATTCTGATCACTTCATTATTAATTACTGCAGGATCATTTCTATAGCTAATGTGGGATTTTCCTCAGATCTTCTTAAGGCCATAGTCAGAACCAACTGAATATATATATAAGATGATTGCATTATTTTTATTGGAGAAAAATTGAAGCAAATGAAATTGTTTTAATAAAGAATATAAGACTTTCTCCCTCTTTTATCTTGTTAATGTATATTTTATTCTTTTTAACAAGGTAGAATTTTGGCTATAAAACATATACTGTAATATATGCTTTTGGAAAAAGTTTTAAATGAATTTTCAGGGCTGTTGGTGCTGTGAAAATAGTACATGTACTTCTGTGGTTGTTTTAGTGTCTTTTTTGTTGATTTTTGGCAGATAAAATAACACAAGAAGATATTGAAGGCATTCTACAGAAATTTACTGGAAATATAATGCAAGTGCCCCCCCTGTAAGTTCAATTAGTAAATTTGGAAAAATGTTTACTTTTCTTTTCCAATGGTTAACATCACTCTAGTTAAAATACACGAGTTTCCTCTTAGCATATGGCAAGGCAGGTTTTAAATCTGATGTGCCAAATGTTAAAGTGAAGGTGAGACAGGATGTGGAGCTTTTGACACTCTAAGAGGCAGTGGAATGTGGTCTTCTTTGTTTCTGAGTGTGGCCCCAGCCTGGCATCTGTGCTATTACAGTGTTTATTGGCTTTTCTGATTCTATCAACAGACATAAGGGCAGTTAAGGAGCCCAGAGATGTCTCTTTTCCTAGAACTGTTGTGAAGGGACCAGTCCCGTCTGGGAGGGAAGTCAGAGCTGTGAGTCAGAGTCCTAATGTGCACTGCATGTCAGGTGCTGGGACCATTCCTATTGGGCACAATCTTTTGCTTCACTATTCTCTGCAGCCAGCGAAACCGATGAGAGTTACAACTTATTAAAAATACAAGTATATTGCTTTACTGCTTGTCTTAGTTTGGGCTGCAGTAACAAAATAACATAAACTGGGTAGCTTATAAACAACAGAAATTTATTTCTCACCATTCTGGAGGCTGGGAAGTCAGGATCACAGTGCAGTGGGCTCAGCGTCGGGTGAAGGCCTGCTTTTTCACAGATGGCACCTTCTTACCGTATCCTCCTAGTAGAAGGGGCAAGGCAGCTCTCTGGAGCCTCCTTTATAAGCGTACTAATTTCTTTCATGAGGGCTGCGCCCTACGACCTAATTACCTCCCAGAAGACCCTACCTCCTAATATCAACACCTTGGGGGTTAGGATTTCAGCATATAAATTTGGAGGTTTGGCATTCAGATCATAATACCATGTAGCCATATTTTCGTGCACATTACCATTTCAAGCAAATTGCCTCTTTTGAAAAAAATGGCTGAATTGGTTATAGGATATGTCAGGGTAAGTTTCTGACTTTTTTTTTAGAATTTAGTATTTATTTTGTATTTAAAATCTTGAGTTTTTTTCAGGAACATTGAAATATCTCTGAGGAGACGCTTTTTAATGATTTTGCCTCAAATGTAAAAATTTAAAAATTTTAGCAAGATCTGCATAAACGTTATTTTGGATCATTGTTAAATTTATTTATATTTATGTATAAGAATTGTTTTAATATTTTCTGTGATTATTGCAAGGATTTTGTTTTCTAGTAAAATTTTATCACGAAAAGCTAAGATACGCTAAGTAGGTTATTTGCTTATTAGCTTCTTAGAAATGTTTTGGTAACTTATATAAAAATGAATATTATAGTAGAGATTGTTTCAAGGAAATATAGCTGAGAGTATTATGACCAGAGTCTACTAAATTCCTTGTGCCTTTTAACACAGAATGAGGACTAGTAAGGACAAGACATGAATACATTGTCTCTAGAAAGATGATTAAAGAATAAAATTGGTAACACTGCATATTGTGTGCCAGAATGAGGTTATATCAGCCTTAGAAATATTTAGAAACTCTATCCATGACAGCATTATGGAGTAGATTAGAATTAAAAATTCATTCATTTTTTAGAAGGATTTTCATTGTGAAGCACTGCCAGTCATCCTTCCTTTCCATGCTAAATCTGAAATTATCATCTCCCAATCCTTCCAAATCCCTCTCAATTCTTGCTCTCCTTTCCTTCCATTTCTCCTTCTCTCATCTCACAAGCTATTCTGCATTAAAGAAAGATGGACAAAGACTTTCGACTTTGATGAAGAGAGGTGAAGTCGTAGAAGCAAAACCTGCCAGGCCAGTGACTGTATACAGTATCTCCCTTCAAAAATTCCAGCCACCATTTTTCACATTAGGTAAGATGGAGAAATTTGAAATCATTTGTATTTACGTGTATTTTTAATTTGTATTTGGCTACTTTTGTGTCATTTTAATAGATCCGTAGGATGTTGGAGATTTTTTAAAATTTGAATTTAAGGAAAGTTAGGATTTCTTTATACCTTTTTTGGTAACACATTTAATGAGATACCTGTAGCTATATGGAGGTTCAGAAATGCGTTTCTAACTGGGCTGACTTTTTCATATATTGTACTATGTTATCTTACTAGAAAGTTGAAAGTAACATACTTTAGATCTCTATAGAGAAGAGTAGGTAAGGAGTGTATATACTTTTTAAATTTTAGGTTTTTATTATCTTTTGGATGCTTTTCCTCCCATTTTGGCTAGTACCTAATACATTCCGTTTTAGAACTGACATTAATTTTCCAATGAAAACAAAGCATTTTTAGTTTTTGGACAAGAAACCCCTCACTCCCTTCTTCACCACCTATCACTTACTATTAAAGATCCTGCAAATATGGAAAAACATGGGTAAGGCAGAAATGTATTCCTGAATACATGGTCACATTTTTAATTCAAGTTATGAATTTTAATTTCTAATATATATTTGAAATGTAAAGACTAAAAAGTTCATTTCTGTTGTTTGGAAATTTTATGATCTGGCTGCAGAAAGTTGTAAACATGTAAGATCTGTGAAGAATCCAAAGCCGTGGTTCTTAATCCTCAGACTCCTTTAAATTGAGCCTACCCTTAGTTTCACAGTGCACTGAATAGGATTCCGTTTAGAAATAATGTCCCCAAATCTTTTAATCTAAACTCTATTGCTTTTTTATTGGCATTATTGTTTTATCTGTGTTGTGTTTCTGCAGGATATGGTTTTGTACCATTAGAAAAAAAAAGTCACTTTGTTTCTTCATGTTCCTGCTTCTAAAATATTTGACAGATAATGAAAAAAACACACTTAGGAAGGTTGTGCTCCATTCCATGGAAATGAAGCAGCTGGTTTGACACAGTAGATATTCTCTATGAAAGCAAGAAAAAACTCAGATTTTTCAGATTGCATTTAAGTCAGAAATATTTTATTGACTAGGGAGAGTGTAACGGGCCAAAAGAGCTGTCTTTTCACTCAAGTCAAATATCACGCAAGAGTGCTAGCGCGCCTGCATTTCATCCCAGTGCCCACTTTCAATTTCAGCAGTGGCCCCCAACCATGAGCTGACTAAAGAAAGCAGGGGGTGATTAAAATCCCCAGGTGGTGAGTTTTGATTAATTCCCCCAAATGGCTTTATTTGTACCAGTAAGACTCGAAGCAGCTAGAATATAGTCCTTTTGTGTGGAAATGTGGCAGCTCTTTTCAGGAAGTCTTGCTGATGGATAAAAATAATGGAGAGCTCTGTTCTTAACCAATAAACTTGTGTTAGATTGTGTTAAGAAGATATTTAGATTTACATTCAGTTCTGGGACATTGTGCAATTTTAAGTTGTTTTATGATTTCTTCAGGAGTATTTCCAAGAGAACATTTAAATAAACTGAGTTCTTCATGTGTAGTACGGTACCCTAAACATAATTCTTGTCACTGTGAAAAGGGGTTTTTGGTTGGTTGGTTGGTTGGTTGTATTTTTTTTGAATGTACAAGTCAGAAAATATTTTAAAAATCTACCGCTCATGATGGCAAAGCTGCCATTTCTAACCATTTACAACCTATTAAATGAACAAGGCATATAAATCTGAAAATATTTTTTAAAATCTCAAGCTCATGATAGCAAAGCTGAGATTTCTAACTATTTAAAACCTATTAAATGAACAAGGCTGAAGTATTAAAGTGGTATGCCTTGCCAGTTAATTTAAAATGTGTTCATGAGTTTGTGCTGTTTGCTTTCTCCACACTCTGACTTTTCAGTCTCACAAACACATATGCTACTGGATGAATAATTTATGTTTTAGTGCATAAATATTTTATCACTCAATTGTTTGCATAGTGCATTTTTACATTTGTTTAGGGACATCATTTCTATGTAAAGTGGATTTCATAGGAGGTTAGCAATTTACTATGTCACTGTTAACATTCCAGATGTTGAATGTGGAGGAGGTTTTTATATCAGAAGCTTGGTCAGTGACATTGGAAAAGGTAAGCATAAAAATGAATTATGAATTATCATTTAGAGAATAATACTCCTTTTCAATTGGAAGAGGGAATTTTCCGTTTTTCTTATTTCTGAGTACTGGCCTTAGGAACTGAACTCTTGCTGCCTTCAGCTTTAAAAGCATTGTAGGTTTCTGGCTTGCAATTATCAGCCTCAGCAGCTGCAGTGAAATGTTTGTAATGGGAAAGAAGAGAAAGAGAGAACAGAAAACGAAGACAGGAATAATGAACGTAGGGCCAACATCTTTTCAAGTACAAAAGATTTTAACTCAAACTAGGGATCAAAAAAAAAAAAAGATTTAACCTTCTAAAAGTTATTTTCAAATTTTTTTAAACTGGAAGCCGTAGTCTTATAAACAGCCAGAAGGTTTCGGTTCTGGCTGTGCCATTTACTGGCAGTTGTCGCACTGGACAGGTCATATGATCTCATCTGTAAAGTGCGGCTAATCTTTACTCCATGGGGTTGGCTGCATGAGTTAAATAACAAAAATGTGTGCAAGTTCTTTGTTGATTTTAAAGCAGCTTATAAGGTGGATTATTAAGTATTATTTTGCTACTTAATCATTTCTTTATCTGAGGCCTCTTGGTTCTTATATTGGATTATTATACTTTTGGGTGGTTTTGAGAGATTTCAATTGAGTACGGTCATTTGAACAATTACAGACTATGAAATACTGAATCGTTTATCTTCTGGATTTTTTTTCTACCTTTTGTTGCCATAGAACTATCTTCCTGTGCCAATGTGCTAGAGCTGACCCGAACCAAACAGGGACCATTTACGCTAGAAGAACATGCCCTTCCTGAAGACAAATGGACAATTGATGACATTGCACAGTCTCTTGAGCATTGCTCATCTCTTTTCCCAGCAGAGTTGGCACTTAAAAAATCAAAACCTGAGTCTAATGAACAGGTTTTGAGCTGTGAATATATAACTCTAAATGAGCCAAAGAGAGAAGATGATGTAATTAAGACGTGTTGAGATTGGCCTGGGAATATCATCATTTTCTAGTTGACATTTGAATCCTGTGTGCAGATGCAGAATGACAAGCTGCATTCAAAAGACAAACAATATGTCTTTTTTTTTTTTGCATGAAGAAAAATGTCTATCATTTACAGTTTCAATAGCACATAATTTATTTTCTATGCATTATAAATGGCCTTGCAGTTGGCTCAGTTGTTTGTTGTGTTGTGAAATGTTTTAGGATTTTTTGTATTGTGAAAATATGAATATGATTGGATTCAGAAAAATTAACTTTCTGAATTTGATCTGTCTTCAGTCTTGTGAAAAAGTTGAACAAATTTCCTAATCAAAGAAAAAAGTATGAGCTCCATGTTTCTTTAGTTTCACAAAAATGACCATAATTTAGTGTTATTTTTACTTTATTTAGGCTTCCTGGTGGCTTCATTTTATTGAAATTCTTTAAATTGTTTAAAGTGGCCATTATTGATCTCTTTCTTCTGTTTTGGAGAGTTTATTATTAAAAACATTTCTTTGATAAAATGGCCATCATCTAGTAATACCTGTGTTTGTTTAGATCTTGGAAATGAATAAGCTTTGATAATATTTGTAAATGAACCAAATTATTACTGCTACCACTAACAGGTTGTAAATAGAAGACTAATACTTAATTAAAGTCACCTTCCTACCATTAGAGCAGAAGACAGCTCCTATAGTTTTGTATTTTGGCAGCTATGAGATATTTTCATGGTAATGTCAACATGGTCAAGCACTTTGTACCAAGTTATTAAGTAACATAATTTTTAAAATTTAAAGAATGTGTCTTCAACTAAAAACTTTATTCTTTAGCATTTATTTATATTTCTCTGTAGGGTGTTCCCTGTGACATTGTCTCTTTAGTTTGCTCTTTCAAGAGATACTTACAGATGTTGAGATGGCTGCCCTGCATTTCCAGCTAATCTCTTCTGCTCTAAATATTTAAAAACAGTTCTTCTCAAACATTTTCATTCAGATAGCTTTCTGAAAGTTCCCTATCCCTCTTTACCATAATTTTTTAAATGTAGCCACATTGTAATAGTAAACTTCATATATAATGAGTGCTTCATATTTTTGTTATGGGAAAGCAATATATTATGCAGCCAGTCTGTAGAAACATTCAGATCCCTCTTCCTTTACTCAAATACAGTTTCAAAAGGAAGACTCATGAGAAATTTCATAAAATACAAGTTTTTAGATGTTTATGCTTTGCCTTTCTTTTTAAAGGTGTTTTCCTGCTTTGTAGTCTCTAACTCTGAAATTTAAAATATGTAAACTAAAGTGGTTTTATTTGTGCTTAACCCAATTTAAACTCAATGTAAAATGTTATATATGCATCAGTACAGCATTTTCAACATATTGGCAACATATTTTAAATGAAAACACTAAAACAATTCTTAGTATGAGACAAAACTGTAAGGAAAAAGAGTGTTAATACCATGATGCATTAACATAAAATATCAAACACACAAAGTCATAAAATGAAAATTTACAGTTTTACCTGTTCATATCT
Organism: Homo sapiens; assembly: GCF_000001405.40. Taxonomy (NCBI): domain Eukaryota; kingdom Metazoa; phylum Chordata; class Mammalia; order Primates; family Hominidae; genus Homo; species Homo sapiens. The sequence continues at coordinate 114,976,908 of NC_000010.11, forward strand.
AGTGCCCCACAGTGTGTGTCAACCAAAGGTGGCAGTGGCTACATCTGCCTGTTGGACTGGTACAGGTTACAATATGTCCTCTTCCATTGCAAATTAAAGTCCAAATAGAGAAATACTTAGGTTTTAGAACACATCAGAGGTATTTCTGCTGTATTTTTCACCTTAAAAATTGACACAGAGTTTACTAATAGAGGAGTAGAGATTGTTGACCATTTTTAAAAAACGATAGCCACTCTTTTTCTTTTATGTTTAAAACTGAAGTTTTGCCAAATGGGAAAATTACTGTTACCTCTACCATCTTAATGTAGTAACTTTAGAATTTAAATTTTTATATTACTATTTTCCTTTTTGTTGTTCACATAGTCTTAAGGCACCTATACTTTTAAATTGACTTTTTCATTTGATATTATCTATATGTATGTAGTTGTGATAATGATTATTTTAATTATATTACTTTATACTCTTAATTTATTTAGAGTATTTCTCTATTGCTGAATACTTAAGTAGTTTTAAATTTTATTATGATAAATTCCTGGGAGGGGGATTATTTAGTGAAATAATATGAAGAACTTTATGACTTATGTTTGCCTTATTGCATTCCCAAAGAGTTGTAACATTTTACAGTGTTACCATTTGAGTAGGGGTTTTATATGTTGTTGCTAATTTAGTAAACATAGGAGAGAAATCAAAGTTTTTCTGATTTGCTTTTATGTGATTTATCTGTATACTTTGTTCATTTATATAAATAAATGTCTTAATGGTTTCTATACATATTTGCATGAGTTATTTGTGTTGTAAATACCTGATAGAAGGATTTTTCACGGTCTGTTGTCCTTTTAGTTTTAATTTTCATTTTTGCTAACTAAATTTGCTAATTCTAATAACTCTTCCCCTTTTATCATTGTCAGATTAATAAGTATGAAAAATTTTAAATTTATTGAGACTTTAAAATCTTACTAACTCTCATAAGCAGTTGAAACTGAGATACTCTGAAAAGTTCAAGACTCATTCATAAAACAAATTAGTTTTCCCTGATAGTCTGGTATTTAAATACCAACTCAGTTTTTTTTTCATTTTTATCAAAATATTCAAGAAATTTCTGTGTCTTATATTTTTCTAGGTCTAAACCTTCATGACATGATAAAGTTGTTTTACTTGTAAGAAAACGATAAAAGATTTAAAAAATCCTGAAAATGTTTCAACCTGGAACATACCAAATCACTTCATTTTGACACTTTAAGTTTTTTATATTTGAAAAATAATGTCTTAAAAGTTGTTAAAAGTCATAGAATTATTTTATTTATAGTCTTAAAATCCAGGACCTTTATGTAATAGAAATTTGCTCTTTGCAAATTCAAAGTTTTGAAATGTGAATAAAGGCTAAACACAGTTTCCTCTACCTGTACTGACTAGATATTTTTTTCTTAAATACTTGAATTAAAACAAGCCATTGACTCATCATCAGAAATGAGTTACTGTATTAAATAAGAGTGCTTTGTATCAGATCTTCAGTACATTTTATGTCCCCTGACCAGTTTGAAATTTGTATCAGATTTACAATGAACATTTTGAGGTTCAATTAGATGGTGAATTGTTCTGTTTCAAAGAAAGTAAGTAATTTACCTTATATCATGATGTATACAATAGAAAGAGATGTGATTCAAAAGCACTGTAAAATGCCAAAACATTTAAATAGAGGAAACGATAATAGATATGAGGTTTATGCACTGAAATGAGTATAATGGCCTTGTAGTTAAATTTAAAGAGAGGGATTGTCTTGAAACCATTTCTTTCTCTAAGGTATGTATGGGCAGAGCTCTAGATTGTCCTAATTCTTCATTAAATACTATTTATTAAGCACATTTATTAAGGTGTTGAATCAGTAGTACCTTCATTTGTTAATGTGTGAGCTAAATTCTCTTTATGAATAGGAATATCTTCAGATTGCTGCTATAAATACTGATACCGGCCGGAAAGTTGAAGTTCGGGAATTATTTTGCTCTTCTTATCCTTAACCCTTAAAATGCAGCATATTAACTTTATTTCTGTCTTTACCGTTAGTCAACTTTTTGATCCTAGGTGAATCACTTAATCTCTTTAGGTCTCAAGTTTCCTTATCCTTACAACAAAGGAGACAGACTAGTCCATCTTGAAGAATCTCTCCAATGCTAAAATATTAGGCTTCCAAGTGTAGATAATTTGTGATTATTTTGCTTAGGAACTCATTCCTCATGAACTTGAACTTTTATATTTATCAGTTCTGGGGAATTCCCATCCTTCATTTCTTTGGATATTTCATCTCTTCCAGCTAGTAATCCTATTTAAGTCTTTTTGTTTTATTCTGTGTCTAATTACTCTTTCATATTTTCCATCTCTTTATCCCACTGTGCTGCATACTGGGGAATTTCCTCCAATCTTTTTTCCAGATAATGAATGCCTTTTTCTATTTTTATTTACTGTTTAACAATCATATATTTATTCCAATCACTCTTGTGTTTTATTTTTATTTATTTATTTATTTTGACACAGAGTCTCACTCTGTTGTCCAGGCTGGAGTGCAGTGGCGCAATCTTGGCTCACTGCAACCTCCGCCTCCCAGGTTCAAGTGATTCTCCTGCCTCAGCCTCCTGAGTAGCTGGGATTACAGACGTGCATCACCATGGCCAGCTAATTTTTTTATTTTTTATTTTTAGTAGAGACGAGGTTTCACCATGTTGGCCAGGCTGGTCTTAAACTCCTGACCTCAGGTGATCCTCTCTCCTCGGCCTCCCAAAGTGTTAGGATTACAGACATGAGTCACTGTGCCCCGGCCTTTTGTTTTTATTTCTACACCAGGTTTTTTTCCTCCAAAATCTGCCTCTTCTTTTTTCATGTGTTGTCTTAGTCTTTCATTAAGGTTTTAGTAAAAAAAATATTTTTTTTACTTTGGTATTTAATATACAGAAAGTCACACATAACTGTATAGCTTAGTGAATTTTCACAAACCAAACATGTCTATAATCAGCAACCAAGTCAAGAAACAGAACATCACTAAGCCCTCCAGAAGCCCCTACTGCTCCATCAAGATTATAGATTAGTATTTCATGTAACAATATAGATTAGTAATTTTGTCTGTTTTTGTGCTTCATATAAATAGAAGTATGTGATATGTTTTCTTTTATGTCTGGCTTCTTTTGCACAAAGCTACAATCATGAGGTTCTTCCATATTGTGGCTGTCTTAGCTTGGGCTGCTATGACAAAATGTCATAGACTGGGTGACTTTAACATACTTGTTTCTCACAGTACTGGAGGCTGGAAGTCTGAGATCAGGGTGTCAGTGTGGTTGGGTTGTTGTGAGGGCTGTCTCACTGGCTTGGAGAGGGCTACCTTCTCATTGTGTCCTCACGTGGCTGAGAGAGGAGGCTTTTGTCTTTCTTCCTCCTCTTATAGGGACGTTAACCCCATCATAGTGGCTCCAATCTCATGACCTTGTCTAAATTTAATTACCTCCCAAAGGCCCCACTTACTGTTCATTGTCATTGTTTACTATTATTCAGTTATTACCACTGTTGATCTATTTTACTGAATGATGGACACTTGGTTAGCTTTCAATTTTGACTATTTTGAATAATGCCTCTATGAGCAATGTAATACTTGTCTCCTGGTAAACATGCACACATTTCTGTTGGAATTTTTTTTTTTTTTTTTTTTTTTTTTTTTTTGAGACGGAGTCTCGCTTTGTCACCCAGGCTGGAGTGCAGTGGTGCCATCTCGGCTCACTGCAACCTCTGCCTCCCAGGTTCAAGCAATTATCATGCCTCAGTCTCCTGAGTAGCTGGAAATAGAGGCACACACCACTATACCCAGCTAATTTTTTTGTATTTTTAGTAGAGACAGGGTTTCACCATATTGGCCAGGCTGGTCTCAAACTCCTGACCTCAAGTGATTTGCCTGCCTCAGCCTCCCGAAATGCTGGGATAACAGGCGTGAGCTACTGCGACTGGCCTCTGATGGATATTTCTAAGACTGGAATCTAGGTTGTAAAGTATACACGTTAAGCTTTAGTAGATAGTGCAAGGAGTTTTTCTAAGTTGCTGTACCAGCAGCATATGGGAATTCTGATGGTTCCACATCCTTATCACCACAAAGTATTTTACGTTTTCTTCTTAACCATTTAGGCACATGTTTACTTTATCACAATATGGTTTTAATGAACTTTTCTCTGATTTCTTAGGGTTTTTAGTTATGTGTATTTTTTAGTCTAATTTTCTATGTAGTCTACTAGTCTATTTAGTCTTATTGTCTAGTCTAACAGTCTCTGTTAACTCAGTTATCTGAAATTCTTATGGAGTATGCTCTAATATTGCTTGTTGAATCTCCCAATTCTCAGCCAAGGTAGATTGTGTCCTACCTTGTGTTCTTTGTGTTGTAAACTTGGATTATGAGGTAATTCAGTGAGACTTTATGGGAGTGTGTGTGCTTGGGTTGAGAGTGTCCTTCCAGAGAGATTTTGGGATTGTTTCTGCTAGGCACACCAGAGATATCGCTGTTCCAAAATCCTCATCGTAAATGATCATTGCAGAGATGTTTTATTATTGTTGTGTTGTGTTTTGTTTAATTTAAAGCCTAAGTCAAAGAAAAGCTTCCTTGTTTTCGCCCTGTGTTTATGGTAAATTGCATTGTAGTCTACCATTTTATTAAATGTATAGTCCTTTAAGGGTACCAGTTTTATGCCTATGTTTGTGGGTGTCACAGTTCCAAAACCTGCCTCTCAAGATCCACACTTGGTTTCCATCCCCACTTAAAAGGCAAACACTTTGGTTACAGAGAGGAGTAAATCTTGCCTCCCTCCCCCACTACCTGGATTGCTGTAGCATCAAGAAGTATGTTTACCACTCTGGGTTTCAGATCGTTCTTTGTTTTGGACCCTGGTGAATTTCCTTAGTATAAGTTCAATTATTTTTTAAAGGAATTTTTAAAAAGTCACATTTATATGCAACAAAATTCACCATTTTAAGTGTATAGTTCATTGAGCCAGCTTGAGGTTTAACTTGCTCTTTTTCTAGTTTTAAAGTAGAGGCTTAGGTCACTTCTTTTTAAACTTAAGCATTAAATCTTATCAGTTTTTCTTTGAGCACTGCTTTAGCGGCATCTCATGAGTTATTATAAGCTGTGATTCAATTTAAAATAATTTCCATTGTGATATTTCACTTTACCTATTACTTAGAAGTATATCATTTACTTTCTGGATATTAGAGGATTTTCTATATAAAATTCTCTAGTTGATGTCTTGTTTAATTTCATTGTGGTGAGAGAATATAAAATACATGAACATAAAATGTGTGATTTCCATTCTTACAAATTTATTAAGACTTGTTTAGTGACTCAGAAATGGTCTACCTTGGAATTTGTTCCATGTACATTGGTTAAGAATGTGCTTTCATGGTTGTTGGGTGGATCATTCTGTAAATATCAATTAGGTCAAGCTTGTTGCTTGTGTTATTCAGGTCTTCCATAGCCTTAATGGGGTTTGTTTTGCTTTGTTTTGTTTTCTGTTTTTGGTCTACTTTGCCTATCAGTTACAGTGAGAGGAGACCTGCAATCTCCAATTATAATGTTGGACTTGTCTGTTTCTTCTTTCAGTTCTTTTTTTTTTTTTTTTTTTTTTTTTTTTTCACAAGAGGGAGGCTCACTGTGTTCCCCAGACTGGAATGTAGTGGTGTGATCTCGGCTGACTGCAACCTCCACCTCCTGGGTTCAAGGAATTCTCCTGCCTCAGCCTCCCAAGTAGCTGAGGTTACAGGTGCCAGCCACCACGTCCAGCTAATTTTTGTATTTTAGTAGAGACGGGGTTTCACCGTGTTTGCCAGGCTGGTATCAAACTCCTGACCTCAAGTGATCTGCCTGCCTCAGCCTCCCAAAATGCTAGGATTACAGGTGTGAGTCACCGCACCCAGCCCTTCTTTCAGTTCTATCACCTCTTTTTGCTATATTTGTATGAGAGCTTTATTATTAGGGGCACATACATTTAAAATTGTTATGTCTTATTGATAGATTGATCTGTCATTATGAATGTCTGTATTCATTCCTGATAGTATTTCTTTTTCTAAATATTTTTCTGAATGTGTCTGCTATTAACATAGCCACTCTGGCTTTTTAAAATTAGTATTTTTATGGTATATATTTTTCCTTTTTTTTTTTTTTAAGTTTTAGATGTTATGTTTCCTTATACTTAAAGTGGGTGTCTTATAGGCAGCATATATCTGGGTCTTGATGTATTATTTAATCTGATAATCTCAACCTTTTTGTTGGAGTGTTTAGGCCATTTACATTTAGTGTAATTATAGACATGGTTTGATTTGCTATACCATCTTTTCATTTGTTTTATATGTGAGCCATCTTTTCATTGTTCTTTTTTCATCTTTGACCATTTTCTTTAGTACTGAATACTTTTTTTGTATTTCATTATATCTATTGGCTTTTTAGTTATACCTCTTAAAATTTTTTTTTCTGTTTTATGTAGGATTTATAATATACATCTTTAACTTATCACAGATTACCTTCAAATAGTATTTTACCAGCTCAAGTGTAATGTAGAAACCTTACAAGAGTATATTTTCATTTCTGTCTCCTAATTTTTATGCTATTGTCTATAATACATTAGGTTTGTTGTTGTTTGTTTTTACCTTATTGCTGTTGGCTGGGGTCAGCAAACATTTTCTGTAAAGGGCTAGATAGTACAGGCATACCTTGGAGATACTGTGGGTTTGGTTCCATACCACCACAATAATACAAATATGCAAGAAGTGGATATCACAATAAAGTGAGTCACACAAGTCTTTTGGCTTCCCAGTGCATATAAAAGTTTTGCTTATACTACACTGTAGTCTGTTAAGTGTGCAATAGTGTTATGTCTAAAAAAACACATACCTTAATTTTAAAATGCTTTATTACTAAAAAATGCTAACAATCATTTGAGCATTCAGTGAGTTGTAATCTTTTTGCTGGTGGAAGGTCTTTTCTTATTGATGACTGATCGGGGGTCAGGTGCTGAAGCTTAGGGTGGCTGTGGCAGTTTCTTAAAACAACAGTGAAGATTGCAATATCAGTTGACTCTTCCTTTCATGAAAGATTTCTCTCTAGTGTGTGATGCTTTTTGATAGCATTTTATGCACAGTAGAACTTCTTTGAAAATTGGAGTCAATCCTCTCAAACCCTGCTCTGCTTTAACAACCTAAGTTAATATAATATTCTGAATCCATTGTTGTCATTTCAACAATTTTCACAGTGTCTTCACCAGGAGTAGATTCCATCTCATTTCCTGAGATGGAATCTTTGCTCATCCATAAGAAGAAATTCCTCATCTGTTCAAGTTTTATCATGAGATTGCAGCAATACAGTCATGTCTTCAGGCCTCACTTCACTTTTAATTCCAGTTCTCTTGCTGTTTCTACCACATCTGTGGTTCCTTCCTCCATTGAAGTCTTGAACCTCTCCAAGTCATCCATGAGGGTTGGAATCGACTTCTTCCAAATTCCTGTTAATATTTATATTTTGACCTCCCATGAATCATGAATGTTCTTAATGGCACCTGGAATGGTGAATCCTTTCCAAAAGGTTTTCAATTTACTTAGTCCAGATCCATCCATCCAGAGGATCCACTTTCAATGCCAGTTATAGCCTTATGGAATGTATTTCTTCAATAATAAGGCTTGAAAGTTGAAATTACTCCTTGATCCATTTTCTGCAAAATAGATGTTGTGTTAGCAGGCATGAAAGCAACATTAATCTTTTTGTACATGTCCATCAGAGCTCTTGGGTGACCAGGTATATTGCCAGTGAGCAGTAATACTTTGAAAGGAATTATTTTTCTTAGCAGTAGGTCTCAACAATGGGCTTAAAATATTTGGTCCACCATTCTGTAAACTGATGTGCTGTCATCTAAACTTTGTAGTTTCATTTATAGAGCACAGGCAGAGTAGATGTAGCATAATTCTTAAGGGACTTAGGATTTTCAGAATGGTAAATGAACATTGGCATCAATTTAAATCACTAGCTGTATTAGCCCCCAACAAGAGAGTCAGCCTATTTTTTGAAGCTTTGAAGCCAAGCGTCGACTTCTCCTCCCTGGTTACAAAAGTCCTAGATGGCATCTTCTTCCAATATAAGGCTGTTTTATCTACATTGAAAATCTGTTGTTTAGTGTAGCCACCTTCATCAATGATACTATCTAGATCTCTTGGATAACTTGTGCAGCTTCTACATCAGCATTTGCTACTTCACCTTGTACTCTTATGTAATGGAGTGGCATCTTTCCTCGTACCTCATGAACCAACCTCTGCTAGCTTCCAACTTTTCTTCTGTAGTTTCCTCGCCTCTCTCAGCCTTCATAGACTTGAGGATAGTTAGAGACTTGCTTTGGATTAGATTTTGGCTTCAGGAAATGTTGTGGCTGGTTTGATCTTCTATCCAGACCACTAAAACTTTATCCATATCAGCAATAAGGCTGTTTTGCTTTCTTATTATTTGTGTGTTCACTGGAGTAGCACTTTTAATTTGCTTCAAGATATATTTCTTTGCATTCACAACTTGGCTGACTGGTGCAAGAGGCCTAGCTTTCAGACTATCTTGGCTTTTGACATGCCTTCCTCACTAAGCTTAATCATTTCTAGCTTTTGATTTAAAATGAGAGATGTAGGCCAGGCACAGTGGCAGGCACAGTGGCATATGCCTGTAATTCCAACACATTAAGAGGCCAAGGTGGGAGGATTGCTTGAACCCAGGAGGTGGAGGTTGTAGAGATCACACCACTGCATTCCGTCCTGGATGACAGAGCAAGACCCTTTCTCAAAATAAAATGAGAGGTGTGCTTCTTCTTTTTGTTTGAGCCCATAGAAGCCATAGTATGATTTTTAATTGGCCTAATTTCAATACTGTTGTGTCTCAGAGAATAGGGAGGTCTGAAGAGAGGGAGAGAGGTGGGGGAATGGCTGGTCAGTGGAGCAGTCAGAACACACATAACACTAATAAATTGTTTGCTGTCTTATATGGATGTGGTTTGTGATGCCCCCAAACAATTACAATAGTTACAGCAAATATCACTGATCACAGATCACCATAACAGATATAAGAATCATGGAAAAGTTTGAAATATTTTGAGAATTAGCAAAGTGTGACACAGAGAAACAAAGTGAGCACATGCTGTTGGAAAAAATTGGTGTTGATAGACTTGCTCCATGTAAGTTTGCCATACGCCTTCAATTTATAAAAAACACAATATCTAGGAAGTTCAATAAAGTGAAGTGCAATAAGATGAAGTATGCCTGTAAATATTTCAGGCTTTCCAGACCATAGGGTTTCTGTTGCAACTGCTCACCTCTGCCATTATAGCATGAAAGCAGCTATAGAAAATATACATAAATGAGGCCTGTAATCCCAACACTTTGGGAGCCCAAGGTGGATGGATCACTTGAGGTCAGGAATTCGAGACCAGCTTGGCCAACATGGCAAAACCCCGTCTCTACTAAAAATACAAAAATGAGCCAGGACTACGCATGCCTGTAGTCCCAGCTACTTGGGAGGCTGAGGCAGGAGAATCTCTTGAACCCGGGAAGGGGAGGTTACAGTGAGCCAAGATTGTGCCACTGCACTCCAGCCTGGGCAACAGAGTGAGACTGTCTCACAAAAAAAAAAAAAGGAAAAGAAAATACACATAAATGAATGTATGTGGCTGTGTACCAGTATATCCTCATGCTCTAGCTTGCCAACCCTTGCTTTACACTGTCAGTTACCTTCTAAAGAGATTAAAAATCATAACAATATCTATTACGTTTATTCACATCCTAGTGTCATTTCTTCCTTATGTAGAATCAAATTTCATTCTGGTATCATATTTCTTCTTTCTAAATAATTTCCTTTAATATTTTTTATAGCACAGGTCTAATAGCAATGCATTATGCAATTCATTGCTATTAGACCTGTGCTATAAAATAGCAATGAATTATGTCAGTTTTTATTTGTCTGAAAAAGTTTTTTGTTTTTGAAATATACTTTTGCTGGGTATATAAATCCATGTTGCATAACTTCTCTTTTCTTCAGCACTTTAATGAAGTCACTCAGTTATCTTCTGGCTTGTATAGTTTCTCTGGCTGCCTTCAAGATTTTTTCATTGTCTTTAATTTTTAGCAGTTTGATGTGTCTAGGAGTGATTTTCTTTGTATTTATCCTTTTGGGGGCCTCTTAATTTCTTTGATCCTTTTTTTCTTTTTTTTTTTTTTTTAATCAGTTTTGGTCTGTCTCCTCAAGTGGGCTGAAAAAAAAAGAAAAATAAAATCATAGTTTAAAAAACTAATTTTGGAAAATTTTCAGCTATCATTTCTTCAAATATTTATCCTACTCTATGCTCCCCTCCTCCCCTTTCCTTCTGTGACTCAAATTACAGGTATATTTAACCATTTTATTTGTTCACGGCACTTGGATGCTCTGCTTTCTTATTTTTTGTCTTTCATTTTGGATAATTTCTACTGACCTATCTTCAAGTTCACTGATTCTTTTCTCAGTCATGTCTAGTGTGCTCAACGCCTGTTGAAGAAATCCTTTGTCTTTAATATCATGTTTTTTATTTCTAGCATTTTCATGTAACTCTTTGTTCTGGTTTCCATCTCTCTACTCACTTTTTTTTTTTTTTTTTTTTTTTTTGAGACAGAGTCTCGCTCTGTCACCCAGGCTGGAGTGTAGTGGCGCGATCTCGGCTCACTGCAACTTCCGTCCCCTGGGTTCAAGTGATTCTCCTGCCTCATCCTCCCGAGTAGTTGGAATTACAGGTGCCCACCACCGTGGCTGGCTAATTTTTGTATTTTTTTAGTGGAAACAGGGTTTCACCATGTTGGCCAGGCTGGTCTTGAATTCCTGACCTCAGGTGATCCACCTGCCTCAGCCTCCCCAATTGCTGAGATTACTGGCATGAGGCACTGCACCCAGCTCTGCTGACATTTTTTATCTTTTGCTGCATTTTGTCTACCTTTTCCATGAAATCCTTTAACATAGTAGTCATAGTTACTTTCAATTCCTTGTCTGACAGTTCTGACATTCAAGTCTAGGTCTGTTAATAGCTTTGTGAGTCTGTTAACAGCTTTTTTTCATTCTTGTCTGTGTGTTTTGTATTTCTTGATTGTATGCCAAATATTGCCTGTAAAATAAACTTAGATAAGTCATACTTCTATCCAGAAATAGGCACATTTTTTGTGTCCAGTCATTAGTGTGGAGGGAGGTTGGGGCAGTCTAGTCAGTGGCTGAACTAGGTTTGGATTTGTTGATGCTATACTTAGAATGCACCAGACTTCCATTCACTGCAAGAGTGGGCTGCTGCGCTTTGTGATTCATGTGAGGCCTGAATTGTGGAAGGGTTTTTCCTTAGTGTGTCCCTCCATGCTCAGATTTCAGCAAGTCTTCATATCTGTGCCACAGAAGGAATCTGACCCATGCTCTTTTTGACCTCCCCAAGTGATCAACTGTTGCTTGTTATAGCTTGTCATGGAGTAAGAGGGTGTTTTTTTAGTTTTCATCCTCCAGCCTTGGTCTTGGGCCCTGAGCTCCTAGACTCCAGGAGTGGATGGAATCCAGTGATTTCTCAGTAATTCAGCCCCTTCTCCAGTAGTGGCAGATCTCTGCTTTGTATCAGTGCAAGATCCTGGGCTGAGCTCATTTTCTGCCCTTCCTCGAGTGGCAGACAGCTCTTGCTTTCACCCTTCTACCAAAGGCAGTGCATCTTTTCTTGGGCCTCTCCCCATTGAACTTATGACTTTCACATAAGAGAAGGGCTCATGTATCAGAGAATTCTGTGACTTTGTGCCACATACAGAGTCTCTCAGTTCTCTTGCCCTGCCCCAGTCTTTTTTGTGAGCACCTAGTAGAGACCCTTGGAGAAGAGCAAGGAAGCGAGTATGGACTTCTTTTGTGTCTGTCGATTGCTTTGTTTCTCAACTGCTACTCTTGGACTTTAAGAATTCATTAAAATTTCAGCTGTTTTCTTTTTTTCTTTTTGTTTTTCTTTTTTTTTTTTTTTTTTTTTAGATGGAGTCTTGCTCTGTTGCCCAGGCTGGAGTGCAGTGGTGTGATCTTGGCTTGCTGCAACCTCCGCCTCCCGGGTTCAAGCGATTCTCCTGCCTCAGCCTCCCAAGTAGTTGGGATTACAGGTGCCCACCACCACACCTGGCTAATTTTTGTATTTTTAGTAGACACAGGGTTTCACCATTTTGGTCAGGCTTGTCTCAAACTCCTGACCTCATGATCTGCCCGCCTCAGCCTCCCAAAGTGCTGGGATTACAGGCATGAGCCACCGCGCCAGGCCTCAGCTGTTCTCTTTTTACCTGCTGGGATGGCTAGTTTTCTGTGTCAACTTGACTGGGCCATGGGATGTCCAGATATGTAATTAAACAGTATTTCTGGGTGTTTCTGTGAGGGTGTCTTCAGAAGAGATTTGCATTTGAATTGGTGAACTAAGTAAAGCAGAGGGCCCTGTCTAGTAGGGGTAGGCATCATCCAGTCTGTTGAGGACTTGAATAGAACAAAAGGCAGGGGAAGGTTGGAATTGCCCCCTCTCTGCTTGAGCTGAGACATCTATCCTGCCCTTGGCACTCCTGGTTCTCAGGGGTTCAGACCTGGATTCCTGGGTCTCCACCTTGCCCATGGCAGACTGTGGGACTTCTCAGCCTCCTATCTAATTAATAAATCTCTTCATACACACACACACACACACACACACACACACACACACACACACACACACCCTATGTATCCTTCTGTTTCTCTGCAGAACCATATCTAATACACCTGCTTTTATGACGATTACCTATCGATTCTGTATTCTGCCAAAACTGAAAACAGTTCATTTTTCCATCTCTTCTCAGAGAGGCTTGTCAGCCATTAGTTCTCTGATGGGCTCAAGAAGTTATGCAGTTTTTTTTTTCTCACTGTTAGGATGGAATTGATATTCTGTTGAAACTTTCTATACCTAAGTGGAAACTTGTTTTGAGGTTATTTTCTCTACTTACTTTTGCTGGAAATGGAACACTCTGTATCTAGTTAAGACACATAAACTGACTTGTGATACCATAATGTTGTGTTGAATTTTATATTCTTAGAAAATCATCTGTCAAGGTGTTAACTAATGGCAAAGCATTTAATAAATCAGCATTCATGTATTCAGGTGCTCTGAATTATCTGACTTTTAAATTCTTACTTTATAAATGAGAAAATTGGGGCATGGAAAAGTTAACTCTCCTAACCCCGAATTATTACATTATTAAGGACAGGACTTAGAGGCCAGATATCTTAAGTCATTAATATTCTTTGGCTCACAGAATTGGCAGTATAACCTAAAGGTAATAACTAGGTGATTTTCTTTTATATCAATTAAATATGTCAGTTTTCAAATATTCATAAGTACCTACTGTGCAGGGAAAGAACATGCCATACAAAAGATGTAGTCCAGGCCTTTAAGAAACTTTCATTTAATGGGAACTCAAGAAGTGTACATATAAGGAGGGAAGTAGCAGTATGGTACAAGATAATACATACATATCAGTGAATGATATTGCCAAAAAGTGCTATTGATAGAGCAATAATTCATTTCTGCAAACAGCTGCTGATCTCCTACTGAAAACAGAGGAGGGAGAACAGGACGCCTCGTGGTCAGGATAGAAGAGAAAGACCTTGAGTTGAGCCTTGAACAGTATTTAATATTCAAAAGGTTAAGAGAGGAGAGCAATTGAGGAGGGGAGAATAGTTCCAGCACAAATGATGGTGTACAAGATGAACACAGTCAGTAAAGAGCAGACTGGTCTGGATGGAGAGGAGGATTTGCATCATTTGGGATTACGTCATTTAGACCCTTGAAAGCCAGGATTGAGTAAAGCCACAGTGAAGCGACTGGCTCGTATGGAAGCTTTATTTTAAGAAGATTAATCTGGTAGTGACATGTGCCAAAAACTGAATAGGTAGAAATGAGATGCAGAGAGCCCAGTTAGAACTAAGTCTGGTGCAGTAATGCAGGATTGAGGCAATAAACACCAAACTACAGTATCACCAGATAATGGATGTTTGAACGGACGGTTTAAAGGAAAATTGATGGTATTTGGTAATTTATTAGATAATCCAGGGCCATGGAATGAGAGGGGAAAATGACTAACCATAGTCATCAAATGGTTTTTCTTAATGAATCTGAATTTTGGTGTAAGAGCAACATTTTCTTAGGCCTTGCCTAGTTGGTACAGCTGACTATGATAATGACTGCTACCATGCTTGTTCCTCTTTTAGCAGCTGTGAGTCCCCCACCAGCCAAACAATGAGCCTCTTGAAAAGGACGATGCCTTTTCACTTCTCTCCAAGTGCTTGGCAAATAGGAGGCCTTTTGAAGTTACTTTATAGTTAGGGGTTCCCAGTGAGTATTTGAAATATTAAGTCATGCCCGTGGTTGACAGCATGGCCCTACTGCTCATCATCAGCTATTAACCTTAGGCAAGTTAATGAACTTTTCTAAGCCCCAGTCTACTCATTTATAAAGTGGGATTATTAATAATGTCTACTTCATAAAATTATGAAGCCTGAGTTAGGTCATTCAGATAGTGTTTAGTCTGATTCTTCGAACCTAGTAAACAGTCAGTAAACAGAAGCAAATGCCACATGCCTGATTTATATCCAAGGGGAGAAAGGTAAAAGTGAAATTTTCATGATTTATGGATTCAAATTATACATTTCAAAGATGCTTTATAAGCTATTGTTTTGGTAAGAAGAATTGAGCTGAAACAGAATTTTCTGACAGCAGTGATTATTAAATGGTGAAATAGGCTATTGATGTCTTTAGAGGATATAGATGTTCACCTTTTGCATATAAGTGCACAAAAATTCACTAAGTAGATATGTCTGTCTACACAGAGAGAGAGAGCGTGAGAGCATTAAAGTTAGTAAACATCCCCCTCGCTTTTTTTTTTTTGAGACAGGGTCTTACTCTGTTGCCTAGGCTGGAGTGCAGTGGTGCAATCGTGGCTCACTGCAGTCTCAACATCCTGGGCTCAAGCGATCCTCTCGCTCAGCCTCCTGAGTAGCTGAGGTGTGCACCACCACACCCGGCTAATTTTTAAATTTTTTTATTGTAAAGGTGAGGTTTCACCATGTTGCCCAGGTCTCAAACTCCTGAGCTCAAGCAATCTGCTCACTTCAGCCTCCAAAAATGCTGGGATTACAGGCGTGAGCCACCACGCCTGGCCAGTAAACCCCATTCATTTACATCATCTTACTTGTCCCTCCAAAATCCTGCAAAGTAGGTAGGTTCTGTCTTTATTTGTTATTTAGGTGAAGAACTTGAAGTGGTGTTGAGGAATAGGTGTTTTGCCAAGAGTCACGCAGCTGGAGTGGCAGAGCTGTATACTCTTCTGATTCCACCAACGCTGTTTACATCACATCTGGAGAAAAGTGCTCTGAGGCACAGATGTTTAGTGGGAGGGATGAGACACAGGCTGCAATGCCTAAAGATAATCGGGAATAAAAGCAGAAAACAAGACGTTTGTTTCTGTTAAAATGAGACAGAAAATAAGGCGTTTGTTGTTTGGGATTGAGCACTTGGAGAAGTGGGGAGCGATTTGATTTGGGTGAGACTGCTCCTGGAATGCTGCATCTGGTTCTGGACTACTCATTACTAGGCTTATAGAAACTAGCTGGAGGAGGTTCAAAGAAAAGCTCCAAAATGATTAGCGGGCTGACGGGATTGATTTATAAGAAATATTAAAAGAATTAAATGTGTATAGCTCAGCTAAGCAAAGATGAAAGAGACCAGCTAAATGTATACAAATATCTGAAACGTGCAAACTTTAAAAAGAGAGATTAATTATTTAACATGATACACGGGGGCACAATATGCAGTCACAGGATGAAAATTTCAGCTGAGTATCTAGAAGAATTCCCCGATAGTGAATCTGTTAAGGCTGTCTGTAGTGTGGCCTTTCCCTGGAGAGGCAATAGAAATTTCAAGTCTTACGATTTTAAAAGTTTCTTGGGAACTAGGTATTAGATGATGTTAGAGAATTATTATTAATTTGGTCAGGTATGATAATGGTATTGTAGTTCTATAAGAAAAATTGTATTTTTTAGAGTTACATACCCTGAAATATAAGCATAGAATATGATGTAGGAGATTTGCTTTAAAATACCACAGTAAGGAAAGAAAGGAAGGAGGAAGAAAAGAAAGGAAGGGGAAGAAAGGGAAAAAGAGGCAAAGAAGGAAGAGAAGGTAAGAGAAAGAAAAAGAATGAAGGAAGAAGGCTGGGCACTGTGGCTCATGCCTATAATCCCAGCATTTAGGAGGCCAAGTTGGGAGGATCACTTAATTAAGCCCAGGAGTTCAAGGCTGCAGTGAGCTGTGATTGCGCCACTGCACTCCAGCCTGGGTGGCAGAGTGAAGCCCTGTCTCTAAAAAAAAAAAATAAGTTAAAAAGAAAGAAAAGGATAGATGAAGTATGGCAAGATGTTGGTAATGTTGAACCTGAAGGAAGTTAATATGTGAGTTCACTTTCCTCTTCAGTCTTCTTTATGTATGTTTGCCAACTTTCATAATAAACAATTTAAATTATATTTTCCTGATCAAAACTTAGTAGCAGTATTAATCCCTGGGCTTCCTGACTAGAACAGCCTCATTACCACATGGGCAGAGTTCTGGCCGACCAGGGACCACGTAGTGGTTCACCATCTTGCTCTGGTAATGTGGTCTGGGCTGAAGGGCCCTTTCTAAGGTTGTAGATAGAAATCCAGGAAACTTGTTAGAACTGCAGACCTATCAGGGTACCTGCAGGAGGTGAGTCTACTAAGGTGAAAAAGCAGAGGGCAGAGGTCGTGATTAGCAGCTGACCGCCCCCTGCTTTTCTGTCCCTCATTCGTGGAAAATTGAGTGGAGCTCAATTTTGAGTGGAGCTCTAAGTAGCTCCACTTGTAGACATTGAGTGGAGCTCTAAGTGTCTTCAGAATAGCAAAACACTAGTTTTCTTTTTCTTTTCTTTTTTTTTTTTTTTGGAGACAGAGTCTTGGTCTGTCGCCCAGGCTGGAGTGCAATGGCACGATCTCCGCTCACTGAACTCTGCCTCCCGGGTTCAAGCGACTCTCCTGCCTCAGCCTCCCGAGTAGCTGGGATTACAGGTGCCCACCACCACGCCCAGCTAATTTTCCTATTTTTAGTAGAGATGAGGTTTCACCGTGTTGGCCAGGCTGGTCTCAAACTCCTGGCCTCAAGTGATCCGCCTGCCTTGGCCTCCCAAAGTCCTGGGATTACAGGTGTGAGCCACCACACCCAGCTGCAAAACCCTATTTTTCTTGAATGGAGAAACACTTTCCCCTTATTTATTGAGTTTGGGAAGCAAGAAGAGGGGTAATTCATTAAGTGAAAATTTCCAAAATCCAGAAAACATCGATAAAGCAGCAGCTTAATTTTTTTAAGGAAGAATTTTTTAAACTATCTTCTTTTGAGCCTCTTTAGGAAGACCTCACGTCCTTGCCTTGAATGTTGAGAGTGGGAAATCCAGGGAGGTTTTGGAATGCATGCCTTATGTCTGCTTTTTTGTTTGTTAGAGAAATATAAATATTTTATCTAGGTTTTGCTGATGGCAGTCAAGCATGAACACAACCCACTGTTTGAGAAGCTGTAATTTCTGAATTTCTGCAGAGTGCACATCTAGGCCAGCAAATGGCAGTAAGAGTGAGGTGGATTTAGCTCAGTGTAAGGATGAACTCCAGAACCATCGGCTCTGACTGAAAGTGAAGCGGCAGCCGCGTTGTGGGAAAGCTGGCTGGAGTCTCTCTCATAAGCAGGCATTCTTTTTCTCCAGCCCGTCACTGTGTTGGTTTGGGCCCACGGTAAGCCTCCTGGCCTCTAGGCTGTAACCCCCACCATCCTCCTCTGCCTCGCCTCCAGAGTGATTGTTCTGAAGCACAACTGGATGTCATTCCCCTTCCTGAACTCCTAGCACCTACAGGGACTCCATCCCTTGTGCCCCACATACCTCACACGTAGACATTCCTAATGAAGATTTGATTGAATTATTGTAAACTCAGTGCCTCCCACTCTTCTAGTTGCCTCTCTGCCTGCCTTTGTACATTTATTTATTTATTTATTTATTTATTTATTTATGAGACAGAGTCTTACTGTATCACCCAGGCTGGAGTTTAGTGGCACCATCTCAGCTCACTGCAACCTCTACCTCCCAGACTCAAGCAATCCTCCCACCTCAGCCTCCCGAGGAGCTGGGACCATAGGCACGTGCCACTATGCCCGGTTAATTTATTGTAATTTTTGTAGAGATGGGGTTTCATCGTGTTGCCCAGGCTAGTCTTGAACTCCTGGACTCAGGCGATTCGCCCGTCTCAGTCTCCCAAAGTGCTGGGATTATAGGCGTGAGCCACCATGCCCAGCCGCTAGCACTCATCTTAATCGTATATTTACTTATCTGGCTTTCCCACCAGACTGCGGGCTCTTCAAGAGTAAATGCCATGTTTTCACCTTTATTTCCCCAGTTTGTGGCACATTCTAGGCACTCGCCATCATGAAATAAACCTCTGGAGCTGTGATATTACAAACGTGAAAAGATGACGAGCACTCAGCAACTTTCAGTGAGTAAACAAAGGCTTTCATTCAGCATGTATTTATTGACTGCCCTGACTCTGGGCTGCCTTCCTGTCTGTGGTTCAAGGAGAGCATAGTCTACAGAACCAGAGACCTGGCTACTCTGGAAGTTAGACTTAAGCCCACCCCGGTCCTTGAATGGGGAAATATTTCCCTTCATTCCTGTGTTTTAGGGACAGAAAGATGAGTAATGCAGTGATACATGCTGGAAATGTTTATTCCACTACCCGAAGCTGCCTCTCAACTTAACAATCCATGAAAGAAACAAGATGGTATATAACTTTTTCTAATTTGTGATGCCTTTGTTTATTTGTTTCCGGTTAAAAGAGGAGGTGGCATTGAATTGTTTGTTTGGTTTGGTTTCTTCTTCAATAAGAAGCATCTTAATATAACTAGACTGGACATCTGTCCCATTTTCAAAAATTACAAGTTTCGATCATTGCTAAATTGTACAGATCCCAATCTGTCTGCTCTGCATACATTTGCATTTATAAAAGCAGAAGCAGACTAGCAGTCTTTCTAATGCAATCCCCCAAATGCATGAAGTATTAGATTGCTTCTCCCTATTGGTTCATGCATTGCTAAAGGCTTAAAAGGATCATTGATTTTAATTATTTAATGTGTACAGCAGGCTGAGCTTCCTTTCTTTTTTAAGGGAAGAACCTTCAGGGGCATTGCTTTAGTTTTTTAATGTTAAATCTCATTTTTCTTTGAAAATAAGAAGTTAAAGCTGTATTCACACAAGCTCTCAAAGTGCCAGATTTTCATTGTGTTTTTAAACCATCTAGGAAATGTTTGATTCTAATGAAACATTACTGCTGAAAATTGGGCTGAAATTGCTGGGCTGAAAATATTGTTATAACTTCACATGATTCCAGTGTTGTATTATTATTTTTTCTTTTTCTTTTTTTGACCCGATATAGATGAAGCGAAGAGACAAGGAGCAATCCAATGTGTAATAAAAAAAGGCAGCCTGAATTGTTGTTGCTGTTTTTGAAATTTAAGCTGGTTTTCAATTAAATTCAGTAAATGGTCCAGGACTATAAATGTTGAACATTTTTTACCGTGTAATTTAAATTTTAGTCTTATTGTTTTTTTTTTGGTTTTTTTTTTTTTTGATGGTTTACATTTTCCCCATGGAAAGCAGCTATGTCATGTCGGCATGATTCATCATGGTAACATCTCGGGTTATTTTGGTTTGTGTTATGTTCAGAAAGCGGAATGCCAAAAATAAAGAGTGGTTTGTGATGTCTAGTGTGTCTTCCTTTAACAAATCAAAGGCTTTTATTTAATCCACTTAATGGGACACTGCAGAAATTTAAAAAATGGAAGTCCCATCCACAGAAGGCAGGTACTATGATGTAAAAAGTTTAGGTGGGGGATTAATAGAGTGATCATATAATTTATGAGCTAAACCGGAGGCACTTTTTTTTTTGAGATCGAGTCTCACTGTTGCCTAGGCTGGAGTGCAGTGACGTGATCACAGCTCACTGCAACCTCCGCCTCCCGGGTTCAAGCGATTCTCATGCCTCAGCCTCCTGAGTAGCTGGGACTATAGGCGCCCACCACCATGCCCAGCTAATTTTTGTGTTTTTTGTAGAGATGGGGTTTCACCATGTTGGCCAGGCTTGTCTCAAACTCCTGACCTCAGGTGATCCGCCCACCTCGACCTCCTAAACTGCTGGGATTACAGGCGTAAGCCACCATGCCTGGCCCAGAGACACTTTTGAGAGTGAAGAGGAAGCTGAGAATAATTCACTGATCTACAACTGGGACCATCCAGGGCAAGCCAGATGCCATTACCACTAGCTAGAAAGCTTGCCAAGGTCTCATTTACCTTGGTATATAGCAAATTCTTCTTTGAATTCTGGAAATTCTGGTAAGTCATTGAGGTAGCTCTGTGCCAAGGAGCAATATGGTAGAATTCTAATATTTCAGGCAGTACAACACTTTCCTGCATTTGTAGCAGGTAAAGGGAGGTCAGGGCAGAAGACAAAACCACTGGGACTCGACAAAGGGCATAAACGTCTAATGCACCTGATGTAGCTGATGGTAAATTGTTATCAGCTAAAGATCTTTCATAATAAATAAACTTATCATTTGTAGGAGGGCACAGAAATCGTGGAAAGCTGGGATTCAGGTTGCCTGTGGCTTTAATTCTGGAATCAGAAATATTAGTCAAGGATATCAGTCTATGAAGTAAGTTTTCAATGTTATATGCCACAAGATGCAGCTGTCCTATTTTCACTTCCAGTAATTCCTTCTGAATTAATACACCTTAAAAATAGCTGCAGCTTCTCAAATCTGTGAGAATCGTATGTGCTGCTTGCTACACTTTCCTTTTTCCTGAAGGCCTCTTTGAGGTCTTTCAAGAACTCAATTCAATTCAGCAACAATTAGGGGGTCTAAGGTATACAGACGCTGTGCAAGATGCTCCTGAGACACAAAGAGGAGGTCAAGCCCCTGCCTTCAGGCACCTCTCTATAATATAGGAGGAGAAAGAGAAGAAACACTAATACACATAGGTAGGTGCCATTAAAAGGGTGCATACATTAAAGCCAGGTGGTAGGTGTAAGAAGATTTGTAACATGAGAATTTTCTGCATGTTTGAAATATCTTATAATTTTTAAAAATTAAAATGGGAGATACATATATATGTATTTATGTATGTATATATGTATGTACATATACACACATATATACATAAATATATACATAAATATGTATATATGTGTATATAGACATAAATATGTATATATGTGTATATAGACATAAATATGTATATATGTGTATATAGACATAAATATGTATATATGTGTATATAGACATAAATATGTATATATGTGTATATAGACATAAATATGTATATATGTGTATATAGACATAAATATGTATATATGTGTATATAGACATAAATATGTATATATGTGTATATAGACATAAATATGTATATATGTGTATATAGACATAAATATGTATATATGTGTATATAGACATAAATATGTATATATGTGTATATAGACATAAATATGTATATATGTGTATATAGACATAAATATGTATATATGTGTATATAGACATAAATATGTATATATGTGTATATAGACATAAATATGTATATATGTGTATATAGACATAAATATGTATATATGTGTATATAGACATAAATATGTATATATGTGTATATAGACATAAATATGTATATATGTGTGTATATAATAATGTGTGTACATATACACACATATATACATACATAAACATTCTGCATTATACCATTCACTTTGTAACCCATCTTCCCTAAAAACTGTCTCATAAAGAGTCTTCTTTTCCCTGTACCTATGCAATGGTAAGTAGCAAAACACACATTCTTTTGGGTCCCCATAACATTCCCTGTAGTTTGCCCTTAACAGTCTTTGATGTGAAATTTACTGTTTCTGTCTTAACCTTGCCTGTCTCGCGTACATGGAGTTTTGGCTCCTGGCTCCTAGTCTGCATCTTCACCCCATCCCTTGCCCAAAGAATCTGGTTATGTGACCACTGCTCATCTTTTCTGCTGCCACAACTCCAGTCCAAGCCACAAACCTCTCTCTCCTGGACTCCTGCGGGGAGTTCCTTTCTCTCCCTGCATGAGTCTATTCTCCGCACAACTGGCAGAGGTAAGTGAGACTGCGGAAGAGGCAAGTTTGCAAGTCCAGAGGAAATGAAGACTCTGCTTGTGCACATGCTGGGTTTGACGGGTGCTGGATATCCGATGGATGGCCCTTAAGGTGAGCTCAAGGCTTAAGGGAGAGATAGGGGCTGATGATCTGAGATTCATCAGTGTGTGGCTGATGTTTAAACCCAGGGGACAGGATAAGAAGGTTATTCCAGGGAGAGCGTAGATAAAGAAGCTAAATGGCTTCTGGGTCCTTAGTCATTCAAAATCGGACCTCTGAGGCAGGAGGAAAGCCCAGAAAGAGTAGATTCCTGGGACTCACGGGATAAAGACTTTCAAAAAGTGGGGGCTGGCCAGTGCTGCTGAAGGAAGTAGCAGGACCGGAACAGAAGGGTAATCGTTGGACCTGGAGAACTTGAATTTGAATTTTAAGGTTGGTAACCTTAAAAAAGAGCAATTTTAGATACCTTTTGAAATTATTTGCAAGATTTGTTTGGTATATGTGTTATTCCAGGCAAAGGGACCAGAAAAGTAAAAAATACTTACTGAACAGTTACTGCATGCCTGGCACTGTAACACCCTGTTTAATTCTCACGGCAACCCTATAGAGTAGGTGTCATCATCCCCATCTTACAGATGAGGATATGAGGTGCAGCTAGATTAAGCAGTTTGCCTCAGGTTACACCAACTGGTTAACGTAGAGCTAGGATTTGAACCCGGATGGGCTGATCCCAGAGCTCATGCTTTAAATCGCTAGACTGGTGCTCACAGAAGACTGGGACCGAAAAAAATTAATAAAAAAAATAAGGAGCCCCCTGGGCTAGCAAATTAGGAGTTGTTCAGACAGATGTGAAAAGGAAAGCAAGGCAGAGGGAAAGTCACTGTACAGAAGAGAGAGACCCATGACAGCAGAGACAGTGAGCTGGTAAAGTGGCTGGCGATCTAGCCCCTGAAAATACCTCCAGAGAGGCAGGCTCACGCCTGTAATCCCAGCACTTTGGGAGGCCGAGGTGGGCAGATCACCTGAGGTCAGGAGTTTGAGACCAGCCTGGCCAATGGCGAAATCCCGTCTCTACTAAAAATACAAAAATTAGCCGAGCATGGTGACAGGCACCTGTAATCCCAGCTGTTCAGTTGGCTGAGTCAGGAGAATAGCCTGGATCCGGGAAGTGGAGGTTGTAGTAAGCCAAGATTGCGCCACTGCATGCCAGCCTGGGCGACAGAGCAAGACTTTTCTTAAAACAAACAAACAAAAAAGAAAAAAGAAAAGGAAAGAAGAAAGAGACAAAGAAAGAAAGAGAGAAGGAAAGAAAGGAAGGAAGGAAGAGAAGGAAGGAAGGAAAGAAAGAAAAGGAAAGAAAGAAAAAGAAAGAAGAAAGAAAGGAAAGAAAAGAAAGAAAAAGAAAGAAAGAAAATACCTCCAGAGAGCCAGGTCTCTTAGGCCTTCTGAGAAACTCACATCCCTTTTGATGAACACAAATGCTTCACACTCTCAATGTTATTGGTAATCCAAGTTATCAATATACCTAAATCACTTAGTACTGAATCTGGCATATAGTAATCACCTAATGAAGAGATAAGAGTCATGGAGTATTCTGAAGCAATTAGAATCAATAGACTCAATATACACATGGCAACAAAGTTGGATCTTAAAAACCGACCTGAGTGAAAAAGGAAAGGGAAAGATACATAACACGGTACCATTATGTAAATTGATAATATATGCTTACACAATTTGTAAGAACACATACAAATAGATACATGTATATTAAACATACTCGAACGGTTACCCTATGGGGTGGTGGCTGGAGTGGGGGTAAGTCCGTAAGCTGTAATGGAACCTAAACAAATACATGAAACGAGTAGGAATCAGAAGGAGTAACAATAAAAATGTGCCATGAACTGAGGAGTGTAAATTAATCAACTCACTGCATCTGAGGTTAAAAATAGAAAGATGATAATTGTTATTCTTATTACTCCTAGGTCTTCCACTTGCACTCAGCTTTACAATGTTGGACTATCCTTCAGATGGCACCCTCCTTGCACTTGCTCAGGCAGGAGAGCTTTTTCCTCCAGCTTTCTAGGTGATTTAATATATCAGGGAATAAGTATAAAAAAAGGCACGGTGCTCCCTGGGTAGCCTTTCTGGACTTCAGAGCTAAATTGCAAAGTCAGTTTTACACATGTGATTTCATCTATGAAATTAGGGCAAGGTAGAAAACTGGCACAGAAAAAATGTGATTTATTATGGTGTTACTATCCCTTACAAGCGGAGTGTCAGCTGCCTCTTTTTGTCCACTGATTTAAGGCAAGATGAACTGAAAGTGGCTATGATCACGTCTTCAAAAGCACACTCTGGCCCCTCGGCTGCAGGCGCCCTGCACATTCCCCAGCTGCGTGTCCGGTGGTGACACAGTGCATAATTGTGGCGCCTTCCTGGTGCAAACTGTCTCACTTAGCTCCGTCTTGCTGGCACAGCAGAAAGGAAGAAATCGAAAATGTTTGGATTTCAAAGGTAACAAGAAGCTGGAAAACAACTACTGGCCGAGTCTGAGAGTTTCAGCGGAGACTGGTGCAGCCTTGTGTTTTTCCACTGACAGCTGAAAATGAGCCCAGCTTCAGTGAAGCTTGTTTCCTTCCCTCCTCAAGGTTACCCACAATTCTCAGTTCTCTCAGGAAAGCCAAAAAATGAATTTGAGGGTTTAGGATTGTGGTTCTTTTATCTATTACAGGATTGATAATATGTTCCTCCACCAGATGTTCTGCTTGTAACAATACTCACTTCCTGACACTACTGCATATGCAGGAGTGTTACTACCAAGGTAAACACAGAATTGGCTGCCCAATTCCAAATCCCTGAACTGAGTGAGAGAAATCAGAATTATAATAGGGGATTCAACAGAGCTGGCTACGGATGTGCCAGTGGTCAGATACTTTGCTCATCATACGCAGGTGCTGCTGCTCTAGCAACTGCTCACTGCTTCATTTCCTGCCTTGGTCTTTAAATACTGCTTTTCTCAGCTCAATTGGCTTTCTTCCCTCTGGCAGTCACGTTTCTTTGGGTCAAACAGCAAATGATTCTTTAGAATCACCTGGTACTCAAAGGAGCTACAAGACATTGGGCATCCACTTCCACTCTCTTGGAAAAACAATTTTATGGAAGCCAAGGTTGCCATAGTGCCTCTTGAGGTTGTTTGCTCAGCCAAGGCCCAAGCTTTGTGCTTCAAACATGAAATTAGAGAGCTTCAGAACAAGATCCACATTTTCAATGGCCTCACCCAACTGGATAAAAGAACAATTGCCATATCTCAATGACCACCTTTTCTCAGGTGGGATGGTAGATGCTGGAATGGGTCACAGCATTGCCCAACCAAACTTTGCAAAAAAGGCTGGAAGCTCTGACTGGGGACCCTAAATATGCAAAAGTTAATAGGCTCTTCATGCAGAATATGAACCCCGTGTATGGATATAGCTAAAGGGTTGGCCTTTATGTTTCTATTCCTTCACAAACCTGGTAGAATAGATATGCTTGTTTCCCTTTAAAAAATGTCAACAATTGCATTTATGATGCTGTGTATAGTAACTCACAGATCATGCTCCATGAAAATGCTTCAGAACCCAATATAAGGAGATTTTTTAGCCATGTGTGACAAAAGAGAGGCCATTTCAGTGTTGAAATTCTTCAGAGAAGTATTTGATTATGTTTTCTCAGATCTTTTTATTTTTATTTTTTTTGAAACAGAGTCTCACTTTGTCACCCAGGCTGGAGTACAGTGGCTGTGGTCTCGGCTCACTGCAACCTCTGCCTCCCAGGTTCAAGCGATTCTCCTGTCAGCTTCCCGAATAGCTGGGATTACAGGCGCATGCACCACCATGCCTAATTTTTGTATTTTTAGTAGAGACAGAGTTTCGCCATGTTGACCAGGCTTGCCTTGAACTCCTGACTTCAGGTGATCCACCCACCTCAGCCTCCCAAAGCACTGGGATTACAGGCATGAGCCACCGTGCCCAGCCTGTTTTCTCAGATCCTGTATTTTGTTTCTGAAGCCTTCATTTCTATCTTCTTATTCATTTTGGAAGTAGTACACCTAAGTAAGGTTTTTAACAATCAAATATCTTTGGAAAATTCCCTGGTTCCTTTCTTATTCCTACAAAAATATGTTCAGTATAGCTGATGTTATGTTTCTTTCAAATTATTCATTTCTCTATCTCAGAATTTATCTCATGCCTAATTGTTATTGAATAGTCTTCACTTCTTGTCATCCAGTTTCTGGTCTCTTATTTCACTCTAAGTCTAATTGGCTATTAGAATAAAGAGCTTGTAACAGATTCTTTCTCCAATATGTCTTATCTTTTGACTGCATGCCAGTGACAAACTGTTAACTGTTTTGATTCTTCATAACATTCCACAGAACATGCTGACTCCTCTCTTCCTGAAAGCAATGCCCAAGCACAGCATTGTTAGATAGTATGTACGCAACAGGGACATGGGTGCATAGCAAAAACTAGAAGGAAGGAGGACCTTCCTTAGCAATGGGTGATATGGTCCCTGGACTTAGACTCCAAAGGGTCGTGAGGTGAAACACACATCGTCCATACCCAGGAAGCACACAGGTGGGATGGAAGAGCTGTGCCTAATGAAACTTCATCCACGTGGAGGTGGAGGAGGCTGCAGCTGCAAGAACTCAGAGCTGCCTTACCCAGACCAGGGACCAGGGAGGGCTTTCTGGAGGAAACAGCCTCTGAACTGCCAGCTGATAGAGGAGCTCTACCTCAACTCTTCTGGTTCCCCAGGGCTGCTTTTCCACGTCCATTTATTGGCACTGAAGTTTGAATACCTTCAGGGGCCCGAAAGCCTGCCAGGTCCTCTTCTCTGCAGAGCAATCACACCAACCTGCAAAGGGCTAGGAAAGGGCTGTCATCATCTCCTACTCAGAAACTGGTTCACTGGAAGGACTCAGGGGCCACTGAATACATCCTGGCAGCTTTCACAAGAAGGGCTTCTGACTCAAGGATGTTTCCATCTTTGCCAGGTCGCCTTTTCTCCTTCTCTTAGAGTTTGGAGGACGCAAATGTGCTGAGAAGTCAACCTTTCCTGCAAGGTGAGACACAAGGGCCTTTCCCAGCAGAAAGAAGAGAGCAAATGGAAGGTCCTTCTTCCTCCAGTAGAGGATGGACTCTGTCTGGCAGCCACCCAACAGGAAAAGCACAATGCATGCCTGCCTGCTTCCCTCCCTCCCTCCGTTTCTCCCTCCCTCCCTCCTTCCTCCCTTCCATTCTCTTCCCTTCCCCTCCCTTCCCTTCCCCTCCCTTCCCTTCCCCTCCCCTCCCCTTCCCTTCTCCCTCTCCTTCCCTTCCTCTTCCCTTCCTTCCTCTTCCCTTCCTTTCCCCTCCCCTTCCTTTCCCTTCCTCCCTCCCTTCCTCCCTTCTTTCCTTCCCTTCTTTCCTTCCTCATTTCCTCCCTTCCTTCCTTCCTTCCTTCCTTTCTTCCTACTTTCCTACCTTTAGGGCTCTGTGTCTTTGGAGTCCATTCTGATTATGCTGTAATGTCTGCCCCTTCCTCTTCTCTGTCAAAAAATGAAAGACATGGAAGCCACTTGCCTTTTACTGAATTAAAAATTAGTAAAAGAGCTAAAAATTAATGGTTAAAAATGTACGCATAAATTATGCAGTATACTAACCAATGAAAAGATACACTTCTCTTAATTAAAAGCTGACAGGGAGGGAAACAAGAAAAGAGAAACACAAAACAATAATCTAAATGACCTATTAGTTGGAAGAACAACATCAGAGAAAATAGATACTGTGTATAGTCATGTGTATGTCTATGGAATAACATTTGTAGAGAAATCTGGACTGATCCTTTCTGAGTAAAGAGAGCTGTGGGTACAATTAAGGGGAGATTGAAAGGAATCCAAAAGCATAGCAGATGCTGTGCCTCACTGGAATGGTTGCCGATCTCCTCCAAACTATGAAGTGTTTGAGGCTCAACTTTAATATAATTAAGATACAAAGACAGAATGAGAGAAAGAGAGAAGGGAGCTCACTGGAAGAACACTCAAGATTCCTTACTACTCATTCTCTAAAATTACAATTGTTCTAGATGGAAAAGAAAAAAAGCTTCTCTGTTAAAAAAGGAGCTTGTGCTATAGGAGGTTTAAAATATACTTCTGACCCATCTCCAACATTCTAAATCCTTCCCAGAAAAGTATGCCAATCCCAAGAAATATTCAATCAAATTGCTGGAAAGAAAAATACAAAATATTAAAATGTATTAGGAAGCGACAGTAATTAAATCAGAACTGGAGCAGGAATAGACCAGCAGATCAATGAGACAGACATCAAGTCCCGGAATGTGGACTTGCAAATGCATTAAGTAATATGATATGCAATAAAGGTGGCACAGTGAACCAATGGGAAAAAAATTAATCTTATAATAATTGATATTGCAATAATTGTCTAGTAATTGGGGGAAGAAATAAGCTTATTCCTTATCTCATTTCTTTTTTTCTTTTTGAGACAGAGTCTCACTCTGGTAGCCCAGGCTGGAGTGCAGCGATGCGATCTCTGCCCACTGCAACCTTGCTCTCCCGGGCTCAGGCGATTCTCCCACCTCAGCCTCCCGAGCAGCTGAACTACAGGCGTGTGCCACCACTCCCGGCAATTTTTTTTTCCATTTTTAGTAGAAATGGGGTTTCACCATGTTGCCTGGGCTGGTCTTGAACTCCTGGGCTCAGGCAATCCACCCGCCTTGGCCTCCCAAAGTGCTAGCATTACAGGCATGAGCCACCGCGCCTGGCAGCTCATTTCTTAGACTAAATAAATTGGAGATGGCTAAAAGATTTCTATGTAGGCCAACTATGTTTTTAAAAAGTTTTTTTTTTTAAGGATATCTGCTGGAACCAATCATGCCACCAACCAAAGATGCAAGACTATAAAACATACCCAGTTTTTCAAAGCATTTAAAAATTATTCTAAAAATATTTTTTCTCCAGAAATTTTGCATTGATTCCCTGAAGAAGCATTAATATGGGACCTGACTTATAAAATGATGAACTCAATCTCCCCACTCAAGGTAGGAGTCTCTCAGATTTAAAAAATAAGCATCCTAGTCCTCTTGTCCCTGTAAAAGTTAACCCTTACACCTGAAACACCAGGAGACTGGCGGTTGTTTGCATAGGGGTTACAATTAAAGTTGAGCTACCTCTGACATCTATTAACACCAAAATTAGTAAACTATGCATGTATGGAGACTTTTATGATTGAACTTGTTTATTGAGTCAAGAGATATAGTTTACAATGAAAATTTGGGGCATATCAAAATGACCTTGGCTTAGCTTAGCATTTGCTGATGTTAACTATTTTCTTCATTGGGCTGATTTTAGTTGCTTAGGAAAAATACAAACACACACACTTTAAAATTATATTAAAATCCCGTCCTAAACCTCAGAGTCCAGAACCGCATCCTAACACTGGTCATGCATAATATGTTTAAATTTTTGTGCTTTAAAAACTACAAATAAGGAATGTATTAATAGTTCCACAATCAATGGTCAGTTAGCCGAGGGAAGATTAGCATAGTTAAAGACTTAAAATGGCTTAACAACATATATCAAAAGGACAAAATAAGGGGAACAGAGTCTAGAAATGAGGAAACTGGGACACAGGCAAAAAAAAAAAATGAGAACTGGGACATGAATAACGCAAGGGATAAGACTAATACACAAAACACCCCAAATAAATAGCCAGCATTTGCTGAGCTCTTACTGTGAGCCTGTTCTAAGCACTTTACATATATTAACTCATTTCATCCTCAAGGAACCATCTGAGGCAGGCACTGTTATCATCTCCATTTTACAGATAAGGAATAGACCCAGAGAGGCTGAGCAACTGGGCCTATTCCACAGCTACTATGGTGGAGATGAGATTTAAATCTAATCATTGGCTCCAGAGCCCATGCACCCAATGGCTGCACTAAGTGAATGCATGCGCTATCAACGTTGCCAAAAGTGGGCCACAGCTCGGATCTGCGTTTTCCAGTAGCCAAAGCAGAGAGTGTGATCAGACCTCACTTTAATAAGCAAGTCTCAAGCCAGAGAGAGGTGGTATCAGGCAGCAAACAGGCTGCTAGTCGAAATCCCACTTCTTCTCTGAGTGGTCCATACAGTTTTACTCTACTTGCTTACAGAATGAAAATAGCTGGAGTTCAGGTGCGCTTTCAATGCCCTGTTGTCAGGATTGGGCTTTTCAAGTTTATTTTTTGTTGTTGTTTTTAATAGACTGTACTTTTTAGAAAATTTTTAGATTTACAGAAAGATTGAGAGGATAGTACAGAGAGTTCCCGTATACCTCACACCCAGTTTCTGCAATTATTAACCTCTTACATTCATGCGGTACATTTGTTACAATTAATGAGCCAGGGCCGGCCGGGCACAGTGGTTCAGGCCCCTAATCCCAGCACTTTGGGAGGCAGAGGCAAGCGAATCACTTGAGGTCAGGAGTTCGAGACTAGCCTGACCAACATGGTAAACCCTTTCTGTACTAAAAATACAAAAAATTAGCCAGGCATGGTGCTGGTTGCCTGTATTCCCAGCTACTCAGGAGGCTGAGGCACAAGAATTGCTTGAACCAGGGAGGCGGAGGTTGCAGTAAGCCGAGATCGTGCCACTGCACTCCAGCCTGGGCAACAGAGCGAGACTCCATCAAAAAAAAAAAAAAAAAAAAAAGAAGGAAGGAAGGAAGGAAAATTAATGAGCCAATATTGAGACATTATTATTACTAAAGTCCATGCTTTATGCAGATTTTCTTAGTTTTTACCTGCTGTCATTTTTCAGTTCCAGGAATGCATTCAGGATGCCATACCACATTTAGTTCTCATATCTGCTTAGGCTCCTCTTGGCTAGACTGAGTTTTAATCTACTTTCTGCAGAGCCTGAGAACTTTAGCATAATTTCCTTGAAATTACAGCTCAATATTTTCAAGCACTTATACAAACAGCCTAATGTTACGTTGGCCCATAACAGTGTTTCAAGGTAATAAACTTCTTTGTTTTCTGTGCCGATTGAAAGAACTGCTGCTTAGCCTCCTGCCAGATGATGAACTGGGTACACACGAGCATTTTTCCAGGTAAAGCATATTTCGTGCGACTTCTTAAGCTGCAGCCTTATATGCAATAATTGTCCATTTACAAGACTTATGTTCGAATTTCAGGCACTCTGTTTTCACTAACCATATCTTCAACTTTGATAAGTACTGCTTTAATCACTCAGAAAATTTAACTTGACTAATTTTTTTTCACCATCAGTTTTTTTTCTGTTGACTCTTTCTCCTTTTTCTGTTTGCCCAGAAACATGCTCAGGATTCTCTCAGGCTTTAAAAAATGAAAAAATGTTTCCTGCAATCTAGTTACTCCTTGATTCTCTTGTTCTGTTTATCGCTGGAATTCTTGAAAGCTTGGTGTATTAGTCTTTTTTCATGCTGCTGATAAAGATATACCTGAGACTGGATAATTTATAAAGAAAAAGAGGTTTAATGGACTCACAGTTCCACGTGGCTGAGGAAGCCTCACAATCATGGTGGAAGGCAAAAGGCATGTCTTACATGGCAGCAGACAAGAGAGAATGAGAACCAAGGGATTTCCCCTTATAAAACCATCAGATCTTGTGAGACTTATTCACTACCACAAGAACAATATGGGGTAAACCGCCCCCATGATTCAATTATCTCCCACCGGGGCCCTCCCACAACACGTGGGAATTATGGGAGCTACAATTCAAGATGACATTTGGGTGGGGACATGGCCAAACCATATCACCTGGCCTATAGCATTATTTCCATTTCTTCCCCATCCTTTTATTCCTCAAACCGGTACAACCAGACCTCTTTTTTTTTTTTTCTACCTGAAACTGCTCTTTTGAGGGTAGCTGATAAGTCCAAAATACTGTCACCTTTTCTCAATTCCGTTCCTTCTTATGCCTTTGGAGCAATTGACTGTGTTGGTTGCCCCCTCCTTTAAAGTGTCTCTCACTTGGTTTTTATGACTAATGATCATGATTTTCTTTTTCCTCTCTAAACATTCCGCTATCTTTTTAGCTTCCCTTCCCCCTCCCATCCCCTAAATGTCCTTGTTTCCCAGAATCTGCCTCACCTCTTTGACTTCTCTATGCCCTGTCATTCACTCATGGGTCTTTATTACATTATTGCATCTGTGTCAATAACTCTGGTCTTTCTCTTAAGTTCCAGTCTCCCATTTTCAAATGTCCCCAGACATTTCCAATTGAGTATCTCTCCAATGTATTTAACCTGCTAAATATCTAACACATAATCTTTCCCATCAAATCGTTTCCTCTTAAGCTTTTCTTATTTCCTATTAGTACTCCTGCACTTCTCCCAGGAGCCCAGACTTAAAACCTTGAATTTCTCACCATAACCTCTCTTTTGTCTCCCATAATCAATTAGTAGCAAGTGTTATCAATGATTACTTGACAATATCTTTTTCTATTTCCCTCCCTGCTATGATCATTCATCTAGCAAGAAGAGTTGGCCCTTTGTATCTGTGGTTTCTGCATCCCTGGATTCAACCAACTGTAGATGGAAAATATTTGAAGAAAAAAGCGTCTATACTGAGTATGAAAAAATTTTATTTCTTGTCATTATTCCCTAAACAATACAGTATAACAACTACAGCATTTACACTGTAGCGTATAGATCTTATAATCTAGAAATGATTTCAAGTACACCATTATATATAAGGGACTTGAGCATCTGTGAAGTTTGGTATTTGTGGGGCATACTGGGACCAATTCCCCCATGGATACAGAGGGACAACTATATTTACTCAGTGCTTACTAAATACCAGTTGGCCAATGTGTTTTTCTTTTTCTGTTTTCCTGTCTTTAGTTTGCCCCTTGCCAATTAATTCAATAGTGCTGCCAATGCCAGGTGTACCTTCAGAATATTCTATTCTAATTTTGTCATCTCCAAGCTTAAAAATATTTAATGGGCCAGGCGCAGTGGCTCACACTTGTAATCCCAGCATTTTGGGAGGCCAAGGGGGGGTGTATCACTTGAGGTCAGGAGTTCCAGACCAGCCTGGCCAACATGGCGAAACCCTGTCTCTACAAAAAAGTATAAAAGTTAACCAGGTGCTGGAGCATTTGCCTGTGGTCCCAGCTACTCAGGAGGCTGAGGCAGGAGAATCACTTTAATCTGGGAGGTGGAGTTTGCAGTGAGCCAAGATCTCTCCACTGCACTCCAGCCTGGGTGACACAGCAAGACTCTATCTCAAAACAACAATAACAACAACAACGAAAAACATTTAATGGCTGCACCTTGCCTGTGAAAAATGCATTTCTTGGCCAGATGTGGTGGCTCAAACCTGTAATCCCAACACTTTGGGAAGCTAAGGCCAGGAGTTCGAGACGAGCTGGGATATATAGGAAGACACAATCTCTACAAAAAAAAATCCACAAAATTAGTCAGGCTTAGTGTTCATGCCTGTAGTCCCAGGTACTCAGGAGGCTGAGGCAGGATTCCTCAAGCCCAGGAGTTCAAGGCTTCCGTGAGCTATGATGGCACAACTGCACTCCATCTTGGGTGACAGAGCAAGGTCCTATCTCTGGAGAAAAAAAAAAAAAAGAAGGCATTTCTTAGGAGAGTTCTTCTCTGTAGAGTCCTAAGGGTTCCATGGAACTCCTTAAAAGCATCAGAGTATGTGAGTGCAATGGGAGGAAGCATTTAGCCAGAGCAGTTGTGCTCCCATTGCATATTAATTTTTAAAAAACAAAGCTATAAAAAAAAGTTGAAAACTACTACGTTAGCATCAGCCTGACATTTAATGGCCTCTTAAATCAAACCTTAATTGACTTTTTAGCCAGTTATGCTACTAGCCAACTACAGACAACACACTTTTTAACCAAATTAGACTAATAGTTGTCATCAGTGGAAATCAAGTTTGCCATTCTTCCATGCCTTTGCTCACACCATTACCTTTTCTGGAATGTCCTGTACTCATCTTCCTGTGTTGAACTCTATACCCAACTTTAAAAACCTAGCTCAAAGTTCAACACTTCCATTCCATTTCAAAAAGAGCTTTCCTCTTCCTTAAAGTTTAAGAACTCATTTTCATGAATCTTTTTGGCATTTATTGCACACATGCTTGCTTTGTGTTATTTGTGTTCATGCCTCATATGCCCCCAAGGTGTTTTAGACTCCTTAACGGCAAAAATGATGCTCTAAACACCTTTCTATCTTTCATAGTGTCTTAGTCTGTTTGTGTTGCTATAAAGGAATACCTGAGGCTGGGGAATTTATTTAAAAAAGAGGTTTATTTGGCTCACAGTTCTGCAGGCTATATAAGAAGCATAGTGTCAGCATCTGCTTCAGGTGAGGGCTTCAGGAAGTTTCCACCCATGGTAGAAGGCAAAGGGGAGCAGGCATCACATATCAAGAGAGGAGGAAAAAAAGGAAGGAAGAAAGGAGGGTGCCATTCTCTTTCAACAATCAGTTCTTGTGGGAACTAATGGGACAAGAGGCTGGGCACGGTGGCTCATGCCTGTAATCCCAGCCCTTTGGGAGACCAAGGTGGGTGGATCACCTGAAGTCAGAAGCCTGAGACCAGCCTGGCCAATGTGGTGAAACTCCGTCTCTACTAAAAATACAAAAATTAGCTGGGCCTGGTGGCGTGTACCTGTAGTCCCAGATACTCAGGAGGCTGAGGTAGGATAATCACTTGAACCCGGAAGACAGAGGTTGCAGTGAGCTGAGATTGTGCCACTGCACTCCAGCCGGGGCAACAGAGTGAGACGGTCTCAAAAAATTTTAAAAACTTTAAAAATAATAGAGCAAGAAAGCACCAAGTTATTCAGGAGGGATCCACCCCCAATGACTCAAATACCTCCCACCAGGCCTCACTTCCAACACTGGGGATCAATTTCCGTATGAGATTTGGAGGAGACAAATATCCAAACTATATCACATAGTAATGAACATAGTACCTTATCTATAGAAAGCAATGGCTAGACAACTGTTGAATGGCTAACCAAATCTGCTTTCCTATGGTCTCGCTCTAGAGGGGGTCAGTATGAGTTTCTGTCAAAAGGAGAAAAAAAAATGTATAGTCAGTTTTGTGTGTGTGTGTGTTCATGTAAAAGAGATCAAGAGAAAAGAACAAGAGAAATCATGAAAAGGAGGGGGAATATAAGAATAATACATAGAAAAAAGCAAATTATCTTGTTTATCAGTAATACCCAAGGGGGTAGAAATGGTAAGTAATAATCCTTCTTCACTTTGTCTGTAGTTCACTTTTTTGCACCTTTATTTTGATGAATTCACATCGAAGACATTAACTCATTAAGGCTTCCAATATTTTTGGAGATAAGAAGGGCTGCTATGCTCTTTATAGATGGAAAACTTGGGTCATTAATAACTCAAACAAGGACATAACAAAGAAATGGAGCATAAACTGCCAGGTCCTGACTGTAGATTTGGATTCCCAGTTGGTGTCTTGTCACCCTTTGTTACTCTTCCTAAAGTTATGATCTTTTCTTGTGCATAGGAAATTCATAGTGATTTCCCATCACCCTTGGGATTATCATAGCTCCTTTAAGGTCCCCTCTATGCACTCAATAACATCAACAGTAAGTGTTCTTCGAGCACTTACTGAGTGTATATCATTGTGTTCTCACGCAGCACCCACAGATCTCACCAAGAACCTAGCTGAAGCCTGTAGAATGAATAGGTAAGTACTGCCATGCCAATCTGGAGTACTCAAGCGATGCAAATGATTCCTTTAATTGTACTTTTGCAGGCTTGTCAGTTTTGCTCATGGAGAAGTGGCTACTGCATCCATGTTATATCTATGTAATGTTGGACTGCGAAGCATCACTTGACTTTTTCCAAGCAGAAATTACAGCTGATGACAAGCTGCTGCTGAGAAAATGGATATTTTTCTGAATTCAGTTCTACGTGGAAACAGCTGACTAGTTTCCATTGCTGTAAGATGGCTCTTTTGCTCTTGGTTGATTTTGAGTAATGGCTTTACTTCTGTAGAAAGGAGATTTCATTTGAAGTCCACTCAGGGATTTGGTTCAACAAACTGGAGTACAGGTTTCAGAAAATATCTCTTTAATCCTCCAATAATAAATTTTCTCATCTATAATTCCTGGAACACTTCATCCTTTGCAGCCGAGCATATAGATAGATTTGTTGCTCACTGTGTTCTGATTGCCACTTTGACCTGCTTTTTCAACTTAGGTTACAAATAGAACAGAATCTCTCTGATTTTTCTCATTAATTGTTTGAATTCCCACTTTTCCTCATTAGCAAGAAGTCCAGTATCTTCCTGAGAACTTCCTTTTCTCAATCTAGGAACTTACTTGGTCCATAAGGTAACAGTCTTATTTCTGACTATCAAGGAGAGAAATAACAGGAGCCATTATCATCTTCATGGTGTCACTTTTGAAAACTGGTCCTCTGTAGATCTTCAGATTCTTGCGTTAGTCCATTCAGCTGCTATAACAAAATTGCATAGACAGCATGGCTTATAAATAACAGAAATGTATTTCTGACAGTTCTGAAGGCTAGAAAGTCAAAGATTAAGACACTGGCTGATTTGGTGTCTGGCGAAGGCCCATTTGCTCATAGATGGACGATGACCTTTCACTCTGTCTGCACATGGCAGAAGGGCAAGAGAGCTCTCTGGGTCTTTTTTATAAGGGCACTAATCTCATTTTTGAGGACCCTGCCCCCATGACTTAATCACCTCCCAAAGGCACTGTCTCCCAATACCATCACCTTGAGGGTTAGGATTTCAACATATGATTTTGGGGGGACAGAAACACGCAGTCCATCTCGCTTGTCCACTCCATGGTGGTATTCTTGCTGGATCAGTTTCCTCCTTGGGGTGCATTTGTGTTCCATGTCTAACTTGCAAGTTATAGCAGGCCCGATAGCAAAGTATTCCAATGTTGGTATGCAGAGGCATTGAATAATCAGAATGAACCCACGCCATAAACAACTGGTAGAGCTGCAGAGAGTACCAGCTGATTATGAGCCCTGGGTAACAGTGGTTTTTAGTTCCTATGTCCGTCAGCCCTTTTCTCCCATAGTAGCCCCACTGTGTTGAAGTGGCTGAATCGACAGAAGCTTCCAGCTTGGGCCACATGCTCATGGAACCAATTCTCCTTATGAGCCGTACAAGAGCTGGGTTGCCATTCTGGATACCCTCTTTCTTCAAGAGATTTTATTTCAAGGATATTTTTTCTTTTATCAACTACAGGGATTATTTAGAATCTTAGGGCAGTGGTGCCCAACCTTTTTGGCCCCAGGGACAGGTTTTGTGGGAGACAGTTTTTCCATGGACCAGTGTCAGGGGGCTGGGAGGCATGGTTTTGGGATGAGTCAAGTACATTACGTTTGTTGTATACTTTATTTCTATTATTATTATATTGTAATATATAATGAAATAATTACACAACTCACCATAATGTAGAATCAGTGGGAGCCCTAAGTTTGTTTTCCTGCAACTAGACAGTCCCATCTGGGGGCAATGGGAGATAGTGACAGATCATCAAGCATTAGATTCTCATAAGGAGTGCTCAGCCTAGATCCCCGGCATGTGCAGTTCACAATAGGATTTGCTCACCTATGAGAATCTAATGCCACTGCTGATCTGACAGGAGGTGGAGCTCGGGCAGTAATGCGAGGGTTGGGGAGCAGCTGTCAATATAGATGAAGCTTTGCTCGCTCGCCTGCCACTCACCTCCTGCTGTGTGGTCCACTTCCTAACAGGTCACAGACTGGTACTGGTCCATGGCCAGGGAGTTGGGGACCCTGTCTTAGGGAGTAGGGGTGGAGTTCCCTTCACTTCTAGAAGGCCCTGGATTAGTATCCCAGAGCTGTCATTACAGAGTATCACAAACCAGGTGGCTAAAAACAGACATGAATTCTCTCTTATTTTTGATGGCTTGGAAGTCCAAAGTCAAGGTGCTGCCAGGGCCATGCTCCCTCTGAAATGTGTAGGGGAGAATCCTTCCTTCCTCTTTCTAGCTTCTGGTGGTTTGCTGGCAATCACTGGCATCGCTTGGCTTGCAGCACTTCAACATCTGCCTTTACTGTCTCATAGTGTTCTCCCCTCATGTCTCCAGGTCTCTCTGTCTCTCTTCTTTGTATAAGGAAACTAGTCATATTGGATTAAGGGCCAACCCTACTCTAGTATGACCTCATCTTAAGGTCACATGCAATGACTATTCCAGATAAGGTCACATTCTGAAGAACTGGGAGTTAGGACTTCATATCTTTTGAAGGAACACAGTTCAACCAATAACAGCCCCTGTACTGTTTTACAAATAGGTATTCCTCTCCTTCCCAAAGTTCTTCATAGCAGAGACAACTTGTACCAAAAGGCAAAATACCTTATTATGTAACCTTAACCTAGGATCATAGATCCCTACTTGTCTGGTGCTTTTATAAGCCACAGAACCACCCGGGAAACTCATTATTAAGACAAGGAAAGGCCAAGTGCAGTGGCTCATGCCTGTAATCCCAGCACTTTGGGAAATTGAGGCGAGTGGATCACCTGAAGTCAAGAGTTTGAGACCAAACTGACCAGCATGACAGAACCCCATCTCTACTAAAAATACAAAAATTAGTTGGGCATGGTGGCATGTGCCTGTAATCCCAGCTACTCAAAAGACTGAGGCAGGAAAATCACTTGAACCGAGGATGCCAAGATAGCAGTGAGCCAATATCGTGCCACTGCACTCCAGTCTGGATGATAGAGCAAGATCCTGTCTCAAAAAATTAATAAATAAATAAAAAGACAAGGAAAGCCTTTTCCAAGGAGACCCTTCTGCTTTGCTAGTTCAGAGAACTTCTCTTTGGAGAAAACAAACACCCAGTCCATTAGCAGCAACGTCAGGGATTGAATTCTTAGGGCAGCAGGCTGGGCACAGTGGCTCATGCCTGTAATCCCAGTACTTTGGGAGGCTGAGATGGGTGGATCACTTGACATCAGGTGTTCGAGACCAGCCTGGCCAACATGGTGAAAACTCATCTCTACAAAAAATATGAAAAAAAAAAAAAAAAAAAAAGCTGGGTGTGTTGGCTTATGCCTGTAGTCTCAGCTACCTGGGAGGCTGAAGCAGGAGAATCACTTGAACCCGGGAGTTGGAGGTTGCAGTGAGCTGAGATTGCCCTACTGTACTCCAACCTGGGTGACAGAGAGAGACTCCATCTCAAAAAAATAAAGAATTCTTCGGGCAGCAGTCTTTCCTCCACCTCATAGACCATGGAGGTGAGCCAGCTCTGACAAACCATGAGAACAATGGCAGAGACATACCTGTAACGTAACTGACTGGGGCAAAGACAAAGGTGAGGAAAATGACAAGTTTGAGGAACTATGAGACCAGGCAGTGGGGAACACCACTAGCAGAAATGATGGAAGTTCTCAAGAATAACAACAGAGAAATAGACCATGGCCAGAGTCTAGAACCCTCCAGGGAAAGGAGATGGGCTCCAGAGGCAGAAGAGGACGTTGAAGGGAATGGGGAGTGGGTGAAATATATAGACGATGGGGACCACCCAAGAGCAGTCGCTATTGCAAAACTGAGGAGAAGGAGAGTCTGGAGGGGGTGGTGGGAAGCTGGGTCTCCTAAGGAGGTTTTGACAAAAGCAGTCATGGAGCGGGCTTAGAAATCACAGTTGGGGACAGGGTAGAGTTCCTCGGGATATAGAGGATGAGATTAGAAGAGGTTCCAACTAGGGTAGTGTGGAGAAAAGCACTATTGACCCAAAAAGGAAGGAGAATGTGGGTGGAAGTGGCAGAGAAGAGGGGTTTGAGCAGAGAGTGGTGATTTTTCTAATGCAGAGTTGTGGGAGGTGGAGTGCAGGGAGCCAGGCTGGGTGGCTGTGCTGATGTGATTAAGCACTTACTGACTGCCAGGCAATGGGCTAAGTACCTGAGATGCTTTGTCTGTTATCCCTCCCGAAACCCCTCTGAGGCAGGTGCAGTTATTATTCTCACTTCACAGATAAGGAAATTGAGGCACAGAGAAGTTGAGTAACTTACCCAAGGTGACATAGCTCATATATGGTAAAGCAGGCTTTGAACTCAGTCTAGCTCCCGAACCTAAGCTTGTAACTACTATGCTTTTCCCAAAAAAAGGGGGCTGGCACAAAAAGAGCTGAGGGGGGCTGGGCATGGTGGCTCATGCCTGTAATCCCAGCACTTCGGGAGACTGAGGCAGGTGGTTCACCAGAGGTCAGGAGTTCGAGACCAGCCTGGTCAACATGGTGAAGCCCTGTCTCTACTAAAAATACAAAAATTAGCTGGGTGTGGTGGTGTGCACCTGTAGTCCCAGCTACTTTGGGAGGCTGAGGCAGGAGAATCGCTTGAACCCCAGAGGCGGATGTTGTAGTGAGCCAAGATCATGCCACTGGACTCCAGCCTGGGTGACAGAGTGAGACTCCATCCAAAAAAAAGAAGAGCTGAGGTGATGGCCACCATCAGCATCAGCCTGGAAGTTATAGCAGGATGCTAAGTTTCTCTAAAGCTGTCTTTCTTAGGACTTGAAAAAGATAACTTGGGTTTGTATCCCATCTCTGCCATTAGTAGTTTACTGGCTTTGGATAAATTACTTAGCCTTACTGAACCAACTTTGGATTTTTATAGAGATACTGTAATGAAAGGAATAAGGTATCAGTCTTAGCAGAGCATCCAGAGTGTTCCTATTAAAACCTAAATCATATCCTGTCATTGCTCTGCCCCAAACCATTCAATGGCTTCCCAACTCAAAGTTAAAAACTCATCTTTCCAGTGGCCTGCAAGAGCCTATGCTATCCGGTGTCTGACCTCATCTGTTGTTCCTTTCTCCCTCCCTTTCTTGGCTCCAGACGCACTCTGGTCTCCTTGCTGTTCCTTGAATACACCAGGCACACTCTCTTCGCCTGAAACACTTTACCCCAGATATCTTAGCTTACTCTCTGCCTCCCTCAATTCATTGATGAAATGTCTCAGTGAAGTCTTCTCTCTCTCCTCTGTAAAAGTATACTCTCTGTTCCCCTTCTTTACTGTTCTAGCTACTATTGCTGTGTAACAAATCACTCCCCAAATTTAATGAGTGAAAACATCAGCCATCATCTTATTTCTCACGGTTTCTGAGGGTCAGGAATTCTGGAAGGGCTCAGCTGGGAGGTTCTGGCTCTATAATCTCTTATGCAGTGAGAGTCAGATGCTGGCTAAAACTGAAACAAAGCAGGGTTCTAGTAGCTGAGGGCTGGCTGGGTCTCTCAGATATAGTTCAGATC
Organism: Homo sapiens; assembly: GCF_000001405.40. NCBI lineage: Eukaryota > Metazoa > Chordata > Mammalia > Primates > Hominidae > Homo > Homo sapiens. The sequence goes on from NC_000010.11 coordinate 115,018,512, forward strand.
TCCTCCAGGGGGTCTCTCCACGTGGGCTAGTCTGAACTTCCTCACAGCATGGTGGCCTCAGGGCAGTGGACTCTGCATAGTGGCTGAAGGCTTCGCAGCTGAGTATTCCAGCAAGCAAAGTGGGAGCTGTATTGCCTCATATGACCCAACCTTGGAATCCACACAGCATCACTTCCGTGTATTCTACGGGTTGAAAAGTCACAAAAACCAACCAGTTTCAAGGAGAAGGAACAGAGATCACATTTCTCAATTGGAGAAGGGTCAAAGTCACATTGTAATCAGAGCCTATGGGATACGAAGTATTGCGGTCAGGTATGAAAAATTTGATTTGCTGCATCTGCTTTACTTTCTCCACAGCGTTCATGATCTGCTTCTCACATGATATTGACTTACGTCATTTCTGCATTTCCTGTCTTCCACACTAAAATGTCAGCCTGTTTTGTTCACTGCTGTATCCCCAGAGCCTAGCACGGAGCCCAGCATGTAGTGGTATCCAATAAATACTTGTTGCATGAATGAATTCTGTCTTTTAATCCTAGCTATAGGTTTCTAAGTTAAATATTACTATAATCATCTTACAGACGAGGGAAATGAGGCTCAAGAAGATTTGGTAACTTATGCGGGATCACTCAGCCACATAATGGAAGAGACAGCATTGAAGTACACATGCTTGCTCTGTCTGCTCTTCCAAGCTGCTCATCACACAGCTGCACCTCTGAGGACTTCCCTCCCCAGTCCACCTCCACCCTTACCCAGAGACACACATGGCCACAATCCACTAGCAGACCAAAATTCAATTTTTCCCCAGTTGGTTGCACTCAAGCTGAGAGCAAAGCAATTGCACTTTAAATCCCCTTACAGCAGATATTTCAGAGCATGTTCGGAAGAACCCATCACACTTGGCTTTTAGATCTTATTTCTGGTTTGTTACAAAAACACAATTAAATGAAAGGTTAGGTAGCTTTTGAATGGCCAGCTCAAAGTTTTGGCTTATTTTTGCCTTGCTGTCTTTATAGGCATTTTACCAATATTTATCACTATTTCCCTTAGGGAACCCTTAGATCTGTGATATTTGAAATAATAAAGCCTCTCCATTGGCCCTTTAAAAGGTTTGTGGTAAAACCACACCATTAACATTCACAGTTCCTTATTTATGAGGCCTGATTGCACTTATTTCCATATTTCTCACTGTTTCTCCGATGAGGATTTCACATAATAGTGTTTGAAGGCTAAAGACTTCAAAGCAGATTCTTTACTATTTTTATCTTGAAAAATATTCAATATTTGTGTAATTAAAGTGAAGTCTTCCTAGAGAAAATGACAACTCAAATAATCTTAAATGTACCTCCAAGAAAAAAGCTGTCAAAGTGACATTTAGTAGTAGAGTCACATTCTCTAAGGCCTTTGCTTCTCCTTCTGAGTTCTTATCATCTTTGAAGGTTATGTCATGGCTGACTTCAAATCACTTTTAAAATTATTATGGCCTTCTTTAAATGTGAGTTCTGAAGGTGAGGGGCTTTATCTTTCTTTTGCTCCAGATTTTTTCTACCGCGTCATTACCAAGCATCTTAAAACAAAACCTAAAAACAAAAATCTTCCTTGACCTGGTTTTTCCCACTAGCTAACATCCTATTTTTATCTTTCCCTTTGCACTAAAGGTTTTTAAACGGATCTTTATACCCTCTGTCTCCATTTTCTCATCTGCTAACTTATATGGCAAAGATTACCACTGCCTTTCAACATAATTGGCCAATCTACAGAAAGTTTTCAAGTTCTCTTTTTAATTGACCACCTCCTGCCTACCTCCCCACCTTTGACATCTTGCTTCTCACTTGGCACCTTACCCAGTGTTCAAGATTCCCTCCTTTAGGATGTCTTCAGAGCAGCTACACAGTTGGTACTATAATTTATACATCCTTGTACACAGGGCTTGCTGGGATATTGATGGAGAGAAGGAGGAAACTGGAAGTAGTTCAGGCCAGAGCTAGGGAAATTGACCCATCTCCAGGTCTCAGGTCTGCAAGGGGAGCTCACAGCTTAACACATGGAGTCTAGAAACTTGTGCTGGACCTTGACCAACACCAGCCCATGGAGTCCAATACAGTGCTCAATAGGGATTTCCAGGAAATTGCTATATTTATTCAAAGAGAACTTACCAAGTGTCAGCTACGTGTTGGGCATTGTGCTAGGCACAGGGACCACAAAGATAAGACATTGTAGCTTTCCTTAAGTTGCTCACTGAGTAAATAGAGAGACAGAAAGGTAAACAGGTAAGTGCAAAAATACATACAATTCAGCAATAGTGTTCATAGTGGCTATGGAGAGAACGCTCACTAACTTTGTTTAAACAGTTGTTCTTTCAAGGATTTGACATGGATTTGATTGGAAAAGCATGATACCATTTTTTGCAATTAAACACAGGAATACATAAATAAAATGCATCAGTATTTTTTACAAATAGCTACTAAGAGCTACTAGAAAACCTGGGAATTCTTAAAACCTTACCATGCTACTTGCTCTAAAATATTTTATTTTATGTTATTTTGTACATTTCTTTACCTACACAAACACCACTGTTTTCTTCATTTCTTAGTCTATTTAAACCTCACACCCTTTCAGCATCTCTTAATTATTTACTACCATCTGTTAGTTCTCCTGTCCTGAATGAAACAAAAATGGCAGAATGTAAAACGAGGGCGAACAGATTTTTGACAGGAAGTATTCAGAGGTAGAAGGAAATAGTCAAGACACATATGATAAACGAAAACAATAATAACTTTATACATAACAACTTATAGACACATTTAAAAAGTTTAAGATCTCAAGAGCTATGTCTGAATAGATAGAAGTAAAAACTCTATTAAGTAATTAGGAAAATAACAAGAACAGTGAATTTCTTAATGAATGGCATGTAATCAAAACTGTACTTATCGTCTAATTCATAATCTTGAATGTTTTTATTTTATTTATTTATTTTTTTATTTTTTGAGACAGAGTCTTGCTCTGTCACCCAGGCTAGAGTACAGTGGCGTGATCTCAGCTCACTGCAACCTCCACCTCCCAGGTTCAAGCGATTCTGCTGCCTCAGCCTCCTGAGTAGCTGGGATTACAGAGGCCTGCCACTGCACCCGGCTAATTTCTGTATTTTTAGTAGAGATGGGGTTTCACCATCTTGGCCAGGCTGGTCTTGAACTCCTGACCTCATGATCCACCAGCCTTGGCCTCCCAAAGTGCTGGGATTACAGGCGTGAGCCACCACGCCTGGTCGAATGTTTTTATTATTTGAAGAGACAACATGGGCCTTAAATCTGTCTTCTATTTGACAGACTTTGATGGAGTCAAATCCCAATGCTGCCACTTACTGAACGGCCTTAAATGACTTAGTCTCTCTCAGCTGTCTTTCTGCATATGTAAGGTGGAATAATGATGGCTTCAAGGAGGAATAAACCTATGAAAAGTGTTGAGGATAGTGTCTGATATGAAATAAGGATTCAACAAGTAGTAGCTGCTATTGAAGATTTAAGAGTTATTTATTACAACTATTTAATAAAATTTTAAAAACTAATACACTTAAATTATTAAAGAGCTTTGAAATGGGCCAGGCGCAGTAGCTCCTGCCTGTAATCCCAACACTTTGGGAGGCCAAGGTGGGCGGATCACCTGAGGTCAGGAGTTTAAGACCAGCCTGGCCAACATGGTGAAACCCTGTCTCTACTAAAAACGCAAAAATTAGCCAGGTGTGGTGGCATGCACCTGTAGTCCCAACTACTCAGGAGGTTGAGGGAGGAGAATTGCTTGAACCTAGGAGGTGGAGGTTGCAGTGACCCGAGATGTCACTGCACTCCAGCCTGGCAACAGAGCAAGACTCCATAAAGACAACAAAAGCTTTGAAATTGTGTAAATGAGTTGTACCTATCTTCATTTAAGAAATTCATCTTTGTTCATTTATTTTTACTTGACATGAGAGCTTCCAGCAATTTTTAATTAAGCCCTCACAGATTTTATGTCACTGGCTATGTGATAAACAAATTATTTGCTAAAATAATATTCTTGCTTCTTTTTTAAGGAATTGTCTCCCTAGAAACGGTTTGTACCAAACAATACACTGACTTTACACAAAATCAGATCTGATTGGCAACAGTTGCAGATGTTTTCAAAAGATTTTCATTTGAGAAGGGGCCCATTTGGGTTATTTAGATTCTAAGAACTGAAACTGCTTTGTTCTGTTTTTCTGGCTTCTGGGAGAGGAGGAGACATGAATTCAGTTAGCACCTTGGTATTTTCTTTATCCTTCATTTCAATACAGAAGATGCTTCATATGCACAGTGGTGTCAGGTCACATCAAAAGAAAGAGAAACAGTTTCTTGGTTTTTAATTTTCAACCGGAAAGGAAAGGCACCCATTTTGTTCCGCTCTAATTAGCCAGTGCATGACTTAGAGAGCAGGCAGATGCTTTGAAGGCGTGGTAACACAGGTCTTCATTAATCTCCACGCAGGACTTGCACTTCTACTATGCCTAGGCTGAAGAAAATGGCTCAGGAAGATGAACAATCTCACAGAGCCCTAACTAACTGAAGCCAGGTGTTATAAAGCACAAGTCAAGAGGGTGAGAAACTAACGTTCTTGAAATCTCCCACTTCTTTCTACGTCAGAAGAGCCAAGCTGATTATTTTAGTTGGAATTTAGAAATTTTTAAAAATTATTCTAAAGTCATGAACAAGCCTAATTATAAAGATAGTTGCTGTGAAGGTGCTGAGATAACTCGATTTTACCAACCCCCTCTTCTGGAGGAAGCCAGAATGGAATCCTGTAGAATGTTCACTCTACCAACGAACTCTTGTTTTTCTAATGAGGAAACAGAGGCCCACAGTAGTAAACTATCTTAACCAAGACAAAATGACTAGTGCTCTGGTCCTTTTATTAAGCACTAAAATTTTGATCCAATAATAAATCTGTCCAGTAGAAGGAGTTTCCCTAATGTACTGGTTCTAACTTGTTCCCTTCAAGGGGCCAGTGTCCCGTACACATAGCTAAATGGGACTTCTCTTCAACTACCATTACCCAGAGGGCAGAACCTAAAATGCTGTGAATGACATTCTGCTGTTCACATCTCAGCAGCAGTGTTGCATTTGAGCTTCTGCAGGGCCACCCAGGACCTATATCTGCTCAGATGTTTAACTCATCTAATTCAGTGAACACTTCATTCTAGTTAACTGAACATCTACTTTGTACAAGGCACTACAGCGGTTCAGAGATGAATAAAATCATGAGATTCCACTGTCTCCTATAAACCATCACTTTGGGAAATTTTAGAAATGTGGGTAAGCTCCAGGGCTTCCTGCAGCGTAGAAGTCACAAACTCAAATGCCTGCAGAGGCCCAGCTGACAACATAAGTAAATGATTCTGGCTGGGCGGAAAACAATTACGGGTGGGTGGGTTTCCAGCTGGGGAGTGCACGCCTGTGTTAAAGGACAGCTGCTACTCATTTCCAGCCAACTGTGTTCCCATGTAGAACTGCGGCCCAGTGTAGCCAGTACCGAAGATTTCTCAGAAAAAGCCGGAGATCTCAATGTTAGTGTAAAATCTCTCAAATTTCCAAGAGGATTATATGGGGCAAAGGTTCTCAGATCAGTTTGCAGTCTCTTACTTAGCCCATGTGCAGAGCAGTCGTAGAGGGTAGCATGCAGTGTCCTACATAATAATTCTTTTTTATTTTATTTTATGCCTTCCTCCTTCCTGTCTCTCTTTAACCTTTCTTCTTCCCTCAGGCTGGCTTCTTCCCTCAGCCTCGTCCGACCCCAGCCTGGGTTCAATGAACATTCGGTAAAGGAACACGGAATGTCAAGCGCATTAGAGACAACCTTGAGACACATTCCTCTTGCGGTAAGCACTTCACTGTAGATTTTTAATTTTAAACAAGACAATGTTTACGACTTGCTTCTTTCAGGGAAGAGCGATATCAATTTTAGTGAACACTTCAAGGCTGAGATACGCTAGGAGAGTCGTGTGGTGTTGCACAGCAAAGAATTCCACTTTGAAGCGAGTGGGAAAAAAAGCATCAAATGCCACATGTAACTCACCGCCTGAAGGGTTACATTGGTATGAAACCTGGGTTTAAAAAGGGACCGAATAGACTAGCCATTAAAAGACCTGCGTACAACCTCTCTCTCTCTCTTTGAGAGATAATGTATCTGGACAATAAACATGAACAGAGTGGAGTCTATCCTGTTTAAAACATTGCCTACTGTACAGGCACCAGGAGCTGAAGGGTCAGAATATTAGCAGTGGGAGCTTGATTAGAAGTTGATGAGAGATGGGTAGTAGGAGGAAAGAGTGAGATAGAGGAAGAGGACATGGGGGTTACCCGTAAGTGGAGAGTAGAAAAGTAGAATCAGCTGGCCATCAAAGGGCGTGGGACTGAGGAACAGTATGGCATGTATTAAATATACTAAGCGCTGACATTGGAGGAGAACTAGGAAGGTAAATGAAATCAATAGGGGATGATGGAGAATAGTTAGGTGTGCAGGGATTAGGGTTATGATAGAAATACATGTGAATACATGCAGTATTGTCCTGGAAAATGGTTAACAGTTGGTTCTCCTGGGGGGTGAGGGGAAGCCCTGATTTGTAATATTTGCCTATTTCTGTGGTGCAAATACTCCCACCATGACCAGTTTCAAGCTATGAATGTGAAGTCACAGAAAGCAGGGTTGGGAGGAGATGCGCACATTTGTTCCCCGGCAAGGTGGAAGGTAAGGAAGGTGAAATCAACAAGGTCAAAGAAAACTCAAGATTTCGAGGTGCCTCAGGTCTGAGGGGCAATGAAGTCTAGGGAATGGCTGTGCTGAGGTAGCTGAAATAGAAGTGACTGCAGAGGTCATGAAGCTGAAGAGGTGAAAACAGAAATTAGAAAGGCAAACCCCCACCGCCCAACCCCCACCCCTGCAGCCAGTTTCTGAGGGTGACAATAGAGGAAAGGGTGGAGATGGAGTTCAGGTCCAGAAGCCATAGAAGCGAGTGTGACATTGTGCTCAAGGTCAGCACATGTCAGTGTGGGGTGTCACATGCTGTTGTGAACCATCATTTATCACCAATTATGGAAGACCTCCTATGGGCATCTTGCCATATGCATTATAAAGATGTGTAAGAAGACATTTCCCTCCACTTGGTGAGGAGAATTAGGGCTGTACACAGATACTGTAGAGTGCCATGTGCCTGGTACAGATAAGGTGTGTTAGAGGTTAAAAGATGAGGCTCTTAATATTAATGATAGATCCCACTTACCTGAGTCTGACTTACAATGTGCCTAGCATTAAGTGTTTTACCTGCATTCCCTTTGACCTTCAGAACAACCCATTTTACAGATAGGGAAATTGGGTCAGAAAGTTTCAGTAACTTATCCAAGGTCACACAATTGGCAAGTGCCAGAGCTGAGCCAGGAACTGAGGTCCTTCTAACACCAAACAGCTTGTCTCCCCAATCACTGTGCTATTTTCCCTCCCCCAGAAGATAATACTCTGATGGAAATGAAGGATAGTGTAATAGGAGATTCGGTGTTCCTTTTTTTAAAAAAAATTCAGCTTGCATATTCCTAAAGAGTCAATTCATGTTTAAAAAAAATTTCCCTTGTGCTTGCATGTGACATGTATTTTTAGGATCTGCTGTTAGCAAGTGTATTTTTGTGTGATTGAGTGGGAGAGTGGGAAAAGTTTTGCAGAGCTGTTGAAGCCAGAATGCAGGGGGGCTGCGCAGCAGAGACTGTAAAATCTCTGCCATCTCAGGTCTTGGAACAAGCACAAAGAGATGTGTTCTCGATTTATTATTCTATGTACATCCCCAGATGAATGACTAGTTAAAGGTATTGTTAAAGCATTTTAAATGACCCACTTCCAGCAGCGAACAAAATCACTTGCTGTGCCAAGCCAACTGGCATTTCTGAGATGATAAAACCACAAAGTGAGGAAAACGTTAAAACTGCTAAAGCAAAAATGATACACAATAATGGAGAAGGAGAAAAATTGAGCTTTATTGTCTGCCTAGGCAGATGGCTGACCACTAGGTGGGCCTCGGCGTCACGTCCAGGGTAATTGGTTGCTGGGGTGTTTCTGGCGAGGAAGATTCACGCTTCAGCTCGGTCCACAAGATCCTGGCTCATTCTTTCCTAGATTCCATTTTCTGCGTCCTCTCCATGACTGGGTCTGATGGTTGATCCAAACGGGCAATTGAAATCAGAAGGTTACCTTTACCTTAAAATGCTTTTCTGGAAATAAAAGGACATGAAAAGTAACTAAGGACCGGATTTCCTAGCCGTCTTTCTCTCCTGCATGCGCAATTTATCCCCAGATATAAAATTGCCTGCTTTGATAATTATACCCTCTAAATGAGGGGCAAGTGGCTAATTATGCCCACATGTGGCCGATTGCACTCCCCATTAGCCAATTATGTGCTCAATTATTTGTGCACATGAATAATTGCACTCATGGAAAATAGCGGCCCTCCTTTCAAATCCTCCTGCTTGGAGTGGCTGATGGAGTAATTGTCACACTGGAAATGCACTTGGTGGGGAGGGAAAGAGTATCAGATACCAGGAAACGCATAAGTGACCAGAGCTCGCAGATGTTCACTGCCACAAATGGCCTTAGGAGCCAGAGAGAGCGGGAAGGACCACAGGATGGAACGGGCCAGCCTGTGAGTTAGGAAGCCTGCTTCTGAAGTTGCCTGGGCAGCTCATGTGCGGTGACCTTGGGCAAGTCATTAACTTTCCTTCAGGTCTAACTGGTTCTGCATACACAATGAGGATGGTAATAACGCCCAATTCCCATCACTATCGTGGGATGGATCAGACTATTTAAAAGGATTTACAATCTGCTTGGGTAAAAGCTTTACATAAATATGAGGCATTATCATGTCGCTTGGTACATCTCCAATTATGAAGGAAGGGTAATGACCCTCCACAGCAATGCAGGACTCCTGGTTTGGAGGGAGGGAAAGTTTGAGAAGGACAGGAAGCTTGTTGCCCCAGCACTGATGTTTCTACTGAGGTACCAGAAAATGTCATGTGGTCATACAGAATTCATTTATTCATTCAACAAACATCTGTCAATTGTTACACTGTCCTGAGAATTTGGAAAAATGATGAAAGACTCAGTCCTGCCTTAGGAGGTCACTGGCACATTGGCCCGGGCCCCTGTTTTGGGCCTTTTACTCTGACCTGTGCTGATTTGCAAATAGTGGGAAATTTTATCTCAAGTCTAGGAAATCTGGCATGCATTTTCACGGTTTGATTGCCAGGTACATTCGATGGCAATGAGTCTTATAATGTTTGGTTACCTTCATTTACCTAAGAACTGTGGTTGTTGCTGTGGTTGTTGTTTTTGTTGTTTTTGAGACGGAGTCTTGCTCTGTCATCCAGGCTGGAGTGCAGTGGCATGATCTCCGGTCACTGCAAACTCCACCTCCCAGGTTCAAGCGATTCTCATGCCTCAGCCCCCTCAGTAGCTGGATTACAGGCGCGCACCACCATGCCCGGCTAATTTTTGTATTTTTAGTGGAGACAGAGTTTCACCATGTTGGCCAGGCTGGTCTCGAACTCCTGATCTCTGGTGATCCGCCTGCCTCGGCCTCCCAAAGTGCTGGGATTACAGGCGTGAGCCACTGTGCCCAGCCGGAACTGTGGTTTTAATGACAATGCTAAAAAGTGGTATATGTCACAGTGTCGGGTGGGGCTAAGAGGCACATTGCTGCAGTGATCCATCATTCATTTCCCACCATTCTCGCCTGGATTAGCGCAGCAGCTCCCAGAGAGGCACCTCACTTTGACCTTCTTCCTCAAAGACATTCTCTGTGACCTGCCTGGCCCTTATTACCTCTCTAGCTTTGCCACTTCCCTATGTCTCCATCTCCCCTCTCACACGTAGTAGAAAGAGACTCTACCTCATGGAGTAAGGAGAGGCTTCACAGAGGCAGGATTGCTATTAGTCTTCAAAGATGAGGTATTTGCTAAATGAATGAGACAAAGGGATTGGGGCCACATTACAGGAAATTGAGGTATGTAATAGCCTGGTGCAGGTTAAGAGTGTGGACTCTGAAACCAGACTCAGCCTGGAATTGAATCCTGGCTGTGTGATGTTGGGCCAGTGACTTAACCTCTCTGTGCTTTTATTCACTCTTCTATAAAATGGGGATTATAATAAACCTACCTTATAAGGTTATTATAAGAGTCAGTAAATATAAAAATAGAAGTTTTTGGATGATGACTAGCACAGAGTAAACACTTGTTTGCCATTATTTTTATTACTTGACTAAAAATATACCAAAAAGACCATCCAAGAAAAGCCTTTAAGCTGCTAGTGCAGAAAGATTCCCCTTGTGTTTGTGTGCTGGGGGGTCAGTGGTGCCTGTGGCCCACTGGAGAGGAGACAGCTATGGCTGGAGTGATTCTCAAACTTCAGAATGTCTAAAATCATCACATGGACAACTTATTAAGGAAAGCAAATGCCTGGGCTCCATCCTCAGAGAGTCTCATTCACTGGGTCAGGATAGAGCCCAGGAATCTTTACCTTAAAGAACCATCCCACCTCCCACCTCATATGATCCTTATGCAGGTGATCTGGGGCCCACACTTTGAGAAATAGACTCAGGTCAAAGTGGCTCTAACTGCATCTCATTTCTCACCTGGCATATCTAATAGTAGAGAAGAAGACAATGCTAAGATTTTTGTTGGAGATCTTTTGCTGGGATTGCTGCTTCATTCATTCACTCATTTATTTATTTATTTATTTATTTTGAAACAGAGTCTCACTTTGTCACCCAGGCTGGAGGGCAGTGGCACAATCTGAGCTCACTGCAGCCTCAGGCTCCTGGGTTCAATCGATTCTCTTGCCTCAGCCTCCCGAGTAGCTGGGATTACAGTCATGCACCACCACGCCCAACTAATTCTTGTATTTTTAGTAGTGACAGCGTTTCACCATGTTAGCTAGACTGGTCTCGAACTCCTGACATCAGGTAATCTGCCTGCCTCGGCCTCTCAAAATTAGTAGCTGCAATTACACGTGTGAGCTGCCGTGCCTGGCCTGCTGTTTCTTTTAGTTGGGCCTCTTCTGTAATAGAGTGTGAGAATTCTGACTTGCTGCAACAGTCTGCTTTGAAGCAGGGCTGTGTTTACACTGGTCAGATGTGGAATTGTGGGGCACACTTAGCAGCTTCCTTCTCTAATTTTTCTGTATTTTCAGGAGAACAATTTTAAAAAATTTAATAAAAATGCCTTAAAAATTAACATTATTATAAGATGAATCCCATTTTTCTAATCTTGTAAATTAAAAACAATCATAAGCATATGAGCACCTGCACTTAGGGAATCAAGGTGGCAAAGCTAAACACTTCCAGCTCTAGGTGATTCGCGGCAATACAAATGGAGCTGGACTTTGGCCACAGTGCAAAAATATTGATCTGTTGTTAGATGCTCTGAAGTTTCCAGAAAGAATTGGTTCTGCCTGCTGTGCTTCAGTGCTTAAGGGAAGTGGTTCCTCAAAATGTTAGTTTTTAAGCCCAGCTTTCTTAAATAGGAAGATTCTAATAGTAGCAAAAATATAAACTGCTTCTAGGTTTAAAAAGGACCCAGCACACAATGGTTATCACACACCTTTCTCCTCAGGTGATGAGTGGATGAGTGGCCTGGTGTATTTCATAACATCTCCCAGGGTCCAAATGCTAAAGCAATTGCTGAAAAGATACCATGTGTACCGGAACCTTGCAGAGGTATTTTGTTGGCATAAAAAGAAATATTGATCATCTATAGTAAAAATGGTTCTACTTTAATACTACTGAGAAAAGATTTTCTTTTCCCAGATCTACATCCTGAATCTTCATGAAGACAAGATCCCCTAAACTTCCACTAACACCATAATGTGTGCTGTCCTTTGTAATGTAGTCCACAGATCTCATAAACTGTCAGAAATAGCAGAGATTGTAAGGTCATCCACTTCCCCTGTAAGGCCTGCGTCCCTCACTTACATCCCTAATAACGTCCTCTAACCTCTGCTGGAGGGCAGATTTAGCTGCCAGCTGGGAAGAGCTCTGCCCTAGTCAACATTTTTATCTGTGGCTTTCAGATGAGAACACTGGATGCTTATCTGAAAAAAGCTCCTCAGGCTGGAGGGAGGGATTGGCTCTAACAAGATGCAATGTGATAAGAATAAAAGCGAAGCCAAACTCTAGGCCCAAAGGCTCTAGCAACACACTTTTGAGAACCTTGGAGACGAGTTTTGGCTGATGCGAGCTTCTCCGCCTGCTAAAGTAGCCCATTCCATTTGGACGGCTCTAGAGGCTGGCATGTTCTTCTCCACGTTGTGTTAATGTACTCCAGTTTCTTCCTGCCATGAACTGGCATGCCCTGGCTCCTCCTACCTTCCCCACTTTAAGTCTTCCCTCCCTCCTTCTGACCTTCCCATTCCAGCCACACTGGCCTTTTGTCTGGTCCTAACAAACCATGCCTTTCCTGCCTCCAAGCCCTACACCTGCTATCCATCCCTCTGTCTGAGAGACACTCCCACCCCTTCACAAAGCCTGTTTCTCATCCTTCCAGTTCAGATGTCTTCTCAGCTTGCCTCAACTGACCTCTTTCAGCTATTCTCACTCTTTGTACTCTGTTCATTTCCTTCCTGGCAGTCACCATAATTTATCTTTATTTGAATCAATTTCTTAGTTGTATTATTTAGTTATTTGCACACTCTGTCTCTCTGTGCCTTTCTTATTCACTGCAGGCTTTCTTATGTAAGTAATTTATTTACTTAAATTTTTAAAAATAATTTCAACTTTTGGCCGGGCACAGTGGCTCACGCCTGTAATCCCAGCACTTTGGGAGGCCGAGGTGGGTAGATCAGCTGAGGTCAGGAGTTCGAGACCAGCCTGGCCAACATGGTGAAATCCCATCTCTATTTAAAATACAAAAACTAGCCGGGCGTGGTGGTATGCACCTGTAATCCCAGCTACTCGGGAGGTTGAGGGAGGAGAATCACTTGAACCGGGGAGGTGGAGGTTGCAGTGAGCTGAGATCACGCCATTGCACTCCAGCCTGGGGCACGAGAGTGAGACTTCATCTCAAAAAAACAAAAAACAAAAAACCCCTGCTTTTCAGAGGGGCTGAACTAATTTACATTCTCACCAATAGTGTATAAGCATTCCCCTTTCTCTACAGCCTCACTAGCATTTACTTTTTTAAAAAACTTTTTAATAATAGCCATTCTGACTGGTATGAGATGGTATCTCCTTGTGGTTTTCACTTGCAATTCTCTGATGATTAGTGATATTGAGCATTGTTTTATGTTTGTTGGCTGTTCGTATGTCTTCTTTTGAGAAGTGTCTTTTCATATATTCTGCCCATTTTTTGAATGGAGTTGTTTTGTGCTTGTTGAATTAAGTTCCTTATAGATTCTAGATATTAGACTTTTGTTGGATGCATAGTTTGTGAATATTTTCTCCCATCCTATAGTTCTGTTTACTCTGTTGATAGTTCCTGTTTTGTTATGTTTTGTTTTTTTGCTGTACAGAAGCTGTTTAATCTAATTGGTCCCACTTGTCAATTTTTGTTTTTGTTGCAATGGCTTTTGAATTTTAATAATAAATTCTTTCCTAAGGCTGATGCCCAGAACAGCATTTTCTAGGTTTTCTTCTAGGATTCTTATAGTTCAAAGTCTTATATTTAAGCTTTTAATCCACCTCAAGTTAATTTTTATATATAGTGAAATGCAGGGGTCCTGTTTCATTCTTTTGCATGTGGCCAGCCAGCAATCCCAGAACCATTTATTGAATAAGGAATCTTTTCCTCATTGCTTATTTTGTCAACTTTGTCAAAGATCGGATGACTGTAGGAGTGTGGCTTTTTCTGGGTTATCTACTCTGTTACATTGGTCTATGTGTCTGTTTTTGTATCAGTATCATGCTGTTTTTGTTACTATGGTCTCATAACATAGTTTAAAGTTGGATAATGTTATGCCTCTGCTTTGCTGTTTTTGCTTAAGATTGCTTTGGCTATTGAGGCTCTTTTTTCACTTCATATGAATTTTAGAATAGTTTTTTCTAATTCTTTGAAAAATGACCTTGGCAGTTTGATAGGAATAGCATTGAATCTATAGATTGCTTTGGGCAGTATGCTATTTTAATGATATTGATTCTTCCTATCCATGAGCATGGAATATTTTTCCATTTGTTTGTGTCATCTACTATTTCCTTTAGCAATGTTTTTTAGTTTTCCTTGTAGAGATCCTCCTAGGTATTTCATTTTTTATGTGACTATTTTAAATGGGATTGCATTCTTCATGTGGCTCTCAGCTTGAATGTTATTGGTGTATAGAAATGCTACAGAGTTTTGTACACTGATTCTGTATCCTGAAACCTTACTGAAGTCATTTATCAGTTCTAGGAGCCTTTGGCAAAGTCTGTAGTGTTTTCTAGGTATAGAATCATCATTAGCAAAGAAAGATAGTTTGACTTCTTCTTTTCCTATTTGAATGCCTTTTATTTCTTTCCCTTGTCTGATTGCTCTTCCAGTACTACGTTGAATAGGAGTGCTGAGAGTGAGCATCCTTGTCTTGTTCCACCTCTCAAGGGAAATGGTTCCAGCTTTTGCCCATTCAATATGATGTTGGCCATGGGTTTGTCACAGATGGCTCTTATTATTTTGAGGTGTATTCCTTTGATGCCTAGTTTGTCAAAGGCCTTTATCATGAAGGGATGTTGGATTTTATTGAAAGCTTTTTCTGGGTCTTATTTGGTGAATTGCATTTATTGAATTGTGCATGTTGAGCCAAACTTCCATCCCAGGGATTAAACCTACTTAATCATGGTGTTAACTTTTTGATGTGCTGCTGGATTTGGTTTGCTAATTTTTTTTTTTTTTTAAGATGGAGTCTCGCTCTGTCGCGCAGGCTGGAGTGCAGTGGTGTGATCTTGGCTCACTGCAAGCTCCACCTCCCGAGTTCATGCCATTCTCCTGCCTCAGCCTCCCGAGTAGCTGGGACTACAGGCACCCGCTACCATACCCAGCTAATTTTTGTATTTTTTAGTAGAGACAGGATTTCACCATGTTAGCCAGGATGGTCTTGATCTCCTGACCTCGTGATCTGCCTGCCTCAGCCTCCCAAAGTGGCTAGTATTTTTTTAATTACTATTTTTTCTCACCCTTGCTGCCATCTTATGATTTTCTAGTATTTTGTTGAAGATTTTTGCATCTATTTTCATCAGGGATATTGGCCTGTAATTTTCTTTTTTCATTTCATCTTTACCACATTTTTGTATCAGGTTCATACTGGCTTCATAGAATGAGTTCAGGAATGGTCCCTCCTCCTCGAATTTTCTCTGTAGAATTAGTACCAGCTCTTTGTGTGTCTGGGAGAAGTTGTATGCCAATAATTTAAATGCAGTTAATATTTACTGGACAATTTCCTCCAGATAATTGTATATGATTTTTGGTCCACCCTGAGTTGATACATGTATTTTAATTGTATCATGGTATGAAAAGAGCAAGAGTATTTGGTCACCTAGTCTTGCCTATAGATGTGCCTAATGATTCAAAGTAGATATTTTGGGAGCCTAACAGGTGCCGTGACTAGGCAGTTTTGTTTTTTTTTTTTTTTTTTGAGACAGAGTCTCGTTATGCTGCCCAGGCTGGAGTGCAGTGGCATGATCTCGGCTCACTGCAACATCCGCCTCCTGGGTTCAAGCAATTCTACTGCCTCAGCCTCCCCAGTAGCTGGGACTACAGGCTTACGCCACCACGCCTGGCTAATTTTTGTATTTTTAGTAGAGATGGGGTTTCACCATATTGGCCAGGCTGGTGTTGAACTCCTGGCCTCATGATCCACCCGCCTCGGCCTCCCAATGTGCTGGGCTTACAGGCGTGAGCCACCGCACCCGGAGATTAGGCAATTTTATATTCCCAAATATCCAACTCTTCTGACCCGCTTTCTCAGCCTGGGTGTATCAGGCACAAGGCCTGTTCAGATTATGTGGTCTCTGAAGATATGGCTCTCCAGGGTTGACAATGTGGATAAGGATTCACCTGGTTTAGGATTTACACATTCGCCTTGAATGTCTGTTGCACCAAGTAGACAGTCCATCCCAACTTGGCCATTTGGTCAGAGCTGTAAGGAGACAAGGAGGTGGGCAGCCGCTGCTGTGAACTGCTTGGACAAAGACTGCCAAATAGCTATCAGACAGTGTTAACAACAGCTGATTTAGGTTTGAAGGGGGCAGTCTCTTGGGCCACTTACTATGCTGCATCATCCTCTTTGGAAAATGCTCTTCAGGTAACTGCCTAACAGACTGAGAAAATAAAATGCTCACAGAGAAAAAAGACCCGGAAAGTCTGACTTCTCAGAGCTCAGTGTTTAGGTGCAGAACTGGATTGTGAAAGGATTTTTAAATTTTTTATATTCATTGCAGGGAACATTCATTTATTCCATCCTTCTCCACTCCCACCTGTCTGTCGTTGTCTTTGTCTCTGTCTCCCCACCTCTCTCTCTAGACACACACACACACACACACACACACACACACACACACACACACACACACACACACACACACACACACACACCCCTATTCATTGCCAACAGTAATAGAGTTGCTTCTTTACTTCTTGGAGAGAAAAGCCTCAATCTGAGGAAGCTGTGCTGACTAGCCTTGCTCTTAATCATGGAGACAATGCTTTATGCCTTTATCTTTGCACAGCTGAAAGCCATGGCAGAAGCAGTCCTCTAAACGAAATAAAATAGAAAGGTTCCTGCTAAGCCCTGGCAAATGCAGCCTTCTATCCCTCCCCCAACACTCACAGCTTCTGAGCAAGATGTAGCTGCCTTCCAGGAGGCTGGGTGATGGGCAATAATGAGCAGAGCCACGTGAAGGAAAGATGGGTGAAGAAATGTGTGTGGAGGTCATGCTGGCTGCACTGACCATGAAACAAAGGATCTACCCCTCTAGTAACTGCCCTACTCCTTTGGTAACTGTTCTGAAATTATAACTTGCCAGAAGTTCAGAAGGACCTAGTGCAGGTATTAGAGGAAATTCGTAAGATTGAGCCATTTATTCCTGCACAGATACATAATAATGGACACGGGCCATGGTGGCCAGCATTCTTGCTCTTGACAATGGTGAAGGGAAGGGTTGTAGGTCATGGCTATGCTCTCAGAATTATAATGGAAAGAAACAGCTCCTGAGTGTTTACTATGAGCCAAGGGCTGTGCTAAACACTTTACCATATGATGACATCTTTTTCTCACAGGTATCAAAAAACAATAGGACATACCGGATAGCTACAATCTTTGGGCCCCTGCAAACACAATAATGTGTATTCTCTTCTTCAAATCCTACATATTGCTACAAACTGTATCCCTGAGGCATATTCATTGTAAAATAAAAACATATAAAGTACTACTTTTGTTTTTTGAGATGGAGTCTCGCTCTGTCACCCAGACTGGAGTGCAATAGCATGATCGTGGCTCACTGCAACCCCCTGCTCCTGGGCTCAAGTGATTCTCCTGACTCAGCCTCTCAAGTAGCTGGGATTACAGGCGCACGCCCCCATGCCTGGCTAATTTTTGTACTTTTAATAGAGACCAGGTTTCACCATGTTGGCCAGGCTGGTCTCAAACTCCTGACCTCAAGTGATCCACCTGCCTCGGCCTTCCAAAGTGCTGGCATTACAGCTGTGAGCCACTGCACCCGGCCCATATAAAGTACTACTAATGTAACAGGGTGCTAGTCCAGACAGTGACCACACGTGGTGTTCATTGAAGGCTGGACTAACAACTCCAGCCTCTCCGCCATCACAGAGTGATGACTGCCTTCCCTGAAGCAAAGCTTCTGGTTCAAGGAAAGGCCAGTAAGTGACTGCTCTTTGTTGTATACATGTTAGATGATCAGGCCTCAAGAAAAGTATAAAGAGATCTTTGTGCTCTCTGGGACTCAAAAAGCTGCACTCTTTGGGGGAAGGATAGCCAGGTAAAAGTGGCCCAGGTAAAGAGGGCCTGGTACACCTGGTTCTGCAAGATGGTAGACACAAAAATGAGAGCCACATTTGGAGCTTATGTGCCCCTAACTCTGTACATAACCTGCAAGATCTAATTACTAACAACTGGAATCTTGGAAACACCTGTAGTACATCCTTGGCTAAGGTTAGCCCCAACAGAGAGGGCTCTCCTCTTACAGAGAACCATTACATTTGTGCCTTCATCCTAGAGTAGAAAAGGCATGATCAGACTACTAAAAAGACATCAGGAAAGGGCCTGTGACATCTGAGGGAAGTGGTTGCCCTCTCTGGGATGTTGGTTCGGGAAGAGGGGCATGGAGGAGTGCCTGCTTTAGATGGTCATTCAGGAACCCAGGCTGATAGTGAGAGGTGAAGCCAGCTGGGCTTCTGGGCTAGGGGGGACTTGGAGAACTTTTGTGTCTAGCTAAAGGATTGTAAATGCACCAATCAGCACTCTGTAAAATGGACCAATCAGCACTCTGTAAAATGGACCAATCAGCAGGATGTGGGCAGGGCCAAATAAGGGAATAAAAGCTGGCCACCAGAGCCAGCAGTGGCAAACTGCTCAGGTCCCCTTCCACGCTGTGGAAGCTTTGTTCTTTTGCTCTTCACAATAAATCTTGCTGCTGCTCACTCTTTGGGTCTGCACTATCTTTATGAGCTGTAACACTCACCGTGAGGGTCTGTGGCTTCATTCCTGAAGTCAGTGAGACCACAAACCCACTGGGAGGAACAAACAACTCTGGACACGCCAACTTTAAGAGCTGTAACATTCACTGCGAAGGTCTGCGGCTTCACCTCTGAAGTCAGCGAGACTATGAACCCACTGGAAGGAAGAAACTCCAGACACATCTGAACATCTGAAGGAAGAAACTCCAGACACACCATCTTTAAGAGCTGTAACACTCACTGCAAGGGTCTGCGGCTTCATTCTTGAAGTCAGCAAGACCAAGAACCCACTGGAAGGAAACAATTCCGGACACATTTTGGTGACCCAGATGGGACTATCACCAAGTGGTGAGTACCATCAACCCCTTTCACTTGTTATTCTGTCCTATTTTTCCTTAGAATTCGGGGGCTAAATATTGGGCACCTGTCAGCCAGTTAAAAGCGACTAGCATGGCTGCCAGATTTAAGAGACTAAAGACACGGGTGTCAGACTTTCTGGGAAAGGGCTCTCTAATAACCCCCAACTCTTTGGAGTTGGGAGCGTTGGTTTGCCTGGAACCAGCTTCCACATTTCCTGTACTTCTGGGCTGAGACGAGGGTCAACAGAGAGGAAAGCCATTCAGCTCTGGGGTCCCGACAGCAAGTTGGTTGACCCTGTGGCCATGAGCAGAACTCTCGAAGTCATGTTGCCCAAGCGAGACTCACCCATCTATCCTATCTATCCTGACTCTTGCTTCCTGGGTCCTAATGCCTGGAAGACAAAACTTCCTCTTGTCTCTGTTCTCCAAGGCTAGTCCCACTTCTAAAAACCACTCCCTGTCTCTGGTGCTTTTCTAGTTTCTCCTATAAGAATGATTTCTAGTATAAACTCCAGGACTCTATTCTCTTCTTTAGGCACCCGGGCTCACCAATCAGAAAGCCATAATTTTTGCCCAAAGCCCCATCTTAGGGGGGACTATCTGGAATTTTAGGATCCCTCCTCAGACAAGCAGGCCTAACAAAAGCTATTCCTGAAGCTAGGATATGGGGAGCCTCAGAAATGATATCCTTCCTATTCAAGTGAGGACAAAAGGCATCACTCTTCCAATTCTGGAGATCCCTTCCCTCCCTCAGGGTATGGCCCTCCACTTCACTTTTGGGGCATAACGTCTTTATAGGACACGGGTAAAGTCCCAATACTAACAGGAGAATGTTTAGGACTCTAACAGGTTTTCAAGAATGTGTCGGTAAGGGCCACTAAATCCGATTTTTCTCGGTCCTCTTTGTGGTCTAGGAGGACAGGTAAGGGTGCAGGTTTTCAAGAATGTGTTGGTAAGGGCCACTAAATCTGACATTCCTTGGTCCTCCTTGTGGTCTAGGAGGAAAACTAGTGTTTCTGCTGCTGCATCAGTGAGCGCAACTATTCCAATCAACAGGGTCCAGGGACCATTGTGGGTTCTTGGGCAAGAGGTGTTTCTGCTGCTGCATTGGTGGGCTCAACTATTCCAATCAGCAGGGTCCAGTGACCTTTGCGGGTTCTTGGGTCGGGGGGTGGGGGGAACAAACAGACCAAAACTGGGGGCAGTTTTGTCTTTCAGATGGGAAACACTCAGGCACCAACAGGCTCACCCTTGAAATGTATCCTAAGCCATTGGGACTAATTTGACCCGCAAACCCTGAAAAAGAGGTGGCTCATTTTATTCTGCACTATGGCCTGGTCCCAATATTCTCTCTCTGATGGGGAAAAATGGCCACCTGAAGGAAGTATAAATTACAATACTATCCTGCAGCTTGACCTTTTCTGTAAGAGGGAAGGCAAATGGAGTGAAATACCTTATGTCCAAACTTTCTTTTCATTAAAGGAAAATCCACAACTATGCAAAACTTACAATTCACATCCCACAAGAGGACCTCTCAGCTTACCCCCATATCCTAGCCTCCCTATAGCTCCCCTTCCTATTAATGATAAGCCTCCTCTAATCTCCCCCACCCAGAAGGAAACAAGCAAAGAAATCTCCAAAGGACCACAAAAACCCCTGGGCTATCGGTTATGTCCCCTTCAAGCTGTAGCGGGGGAGGGGAATTTGGCCCAACCCAGGTACATGTCCCCTTCTCCCTCTCTGATTTAAAGCAGATCAAGGCAGACCAGGGGAAGCTTTCAGATGATCCTGATAGGTATACAGATGTCCTACAGGGTCTAGGGCAAACCTTCAATCTCACTTGGAGAGATGTCATGCTATTGTTAGATCAAACCCTGGCCTTTAATTTAAAGAATGTGGCTTTAGCCACAGCCCGAGAGTTTGGAGATACCTGGTATCTTAGTCAAGTAAATGATAGAATGACAGCTGGGGAAAGGGACAAAGTCTCTCCCGGTCAGCAAGCCATCCCTAGTGTGGATCCCCACTGGGACCTAGACTCAGATCATTGGGACTGGAGTCGCAAACATCTGTTGACCTGTGTTCTAGAAAGACTAAGGAGAATTAGGAAAGAGCCTATGAATTATTCAATGATGTCCACCATAACTCAGGAAAAGGAAGAAAGTCTTGCCTTCCTTGAGTGGCTACAGGAGGCCTTAAGAAAATATACTCCCCTGTCACCCAACTCACTCAAGGGTTAATTGATTCTAAAAGATATGTTTATTACTCAATCAGCTGCAGATATCAGGAGAAAGCTCCAAAAGCAAGCCCTTGGCCCTGAACAAAATCTGGAGGCATTATTAAACCTGGCAACCTTGGTGTTCTATAATAGGGGCCAAGAGGAGCAGGCCAAAATGGAAAAGCGAGATAAGAGAAAGGCCACAGCCTTAGTCATGGCCCTCAGACAAACAAACCTTGGTGGTTCAGAGAGGACAGAAAATGGAGCAGGCCAATCACCCAGTAGGGCTTGTTGTCAGTGTGGTTTGCAAGGACAGTTTAAAAAAGATTGTCCTATGAGAAACAAGCTGCCCCCTCACCCATGTCCACTATGCTGAAGCAATCACTGGAAGCCACACTGCCCCAAAGGACAAAGATTATCTGGGCCAGAAGCCCCCAAGCAGATGATCCAACCACAGGACTGAGGGTGCTCAGGGTTAGCGCCAGCTCATGTCATCACCCTCACTGAGCCCTGGGTACATTTAACCATTGAGGGCCAGGAAATTGACTTCCTACTGGACACTGGTGCGGCTTTCTCAGTGTTAACCTCCTGTCCTGGACAGCTGTCCTCAAGGTCTGTTACCATCCGAGGAATCCTGGGACAGCCTATATCCAGGTATTTCTCCCACCTCCTCAGTTGTAACTGGGAGACTTTGCTACAGATAGTAAGTATGCTTACCTAATCCTACATGCCCATGCTGCGATATGGAAAGAAAGGGAATTCCTAACTTCTGGGTGAACCCCCATTAAATATCACAAGGAAACTATGGAGTTATTGCACACAGTGCAAAAACCCAAGGAGGTGGCGGTCTTACATTGCCGAAGCCATCAAAAGGGGAAGGAGAGGGGAGAACTGCAGCATAAGTGGCTGGCAGAGGCAGGGAAAGACAAGCAGAAAGGAAAGAGAGAAAGAGCAGAAAGTGAGAGAGAAAGAGAGATAGGAAGTGATAGCAAAGAGGGAGTCAGAAAGAAAAGAGAGGAGAGAGAGAGGGGGAAAGACAGAGAGAGACAGAGGAAGAGACAGAGAGACAGAAAGAGAGAAGCAAAGAGAGGAAGAGACAAAGAAGGAGTCAAAGAGAGGGAAAGAGAAGTAGTAAAGAAAAAACAGTGTACCCTATTCCTTTAAAAGCCAGGTTAAATTTAAAACCTATAATTGATAATTGAAGGCCTTTTCTGTAACCCTATAATACTCCAATACCACCTTGTTGTCAGTGTAAACAAGGGTATAGCCCAAAAGCACTGAGGCCACTGACAACCCGTAGCCTTCTTATCAAAAATCCTTAACACAGCAGGTTTCCTAACAGGGAATCTAAATCTTAAGGTCGGACCAGACATAGGAGGAACTGCCTTCAGGACAGGATGATAGATGGTTCCTCCCAGGTGATTAAGGAAAAAGACACAATGGGTATTCAGTAAGTGATAAGGAAACTCTTATAGAAGCAGAGTTAGGAAAATTGCCTAATAAGTGGTCTGCTCAAACGTTGAAGCTGTTTGCTGTTTGCACTCAGCTAAACCTTAAAGTACTTACAGAATCAGGAAGGAGCCATCTATACCAATTCTAAGTTAATATGGACTGAACGAGGTTTTATTAATAGCAAAGAAAATTAAAATCTCAAACTTACAAGGTTTTCAACTAAAGTAAAGTTTGCTAAAAGTTAACAGCGTAACATGTATTATCCTACTACCACACACTCTCTCAAAGGATTTCTCAGACAGTTTGCAAAAAAGAGACGAAATCTGTCCTTACTCTACAATCCCAAATAGACTCTTTGGCAGCAGTGACTCTCCAAAACCGCTGAGGCCTAGACCTCCTCACTGCTGAGAAAGGAAGACTCTGCACCTTCTTAGGGGTAGAGTGTTGTTTTTATACTAACCAGTCAGGGATAGTATGAGATACCACCCAGTGTTTACAGGAAAAGGCTTCTGAAATCAGACAATGCCTTTCAAACTCTTATACCAACCTCTGGAGTTGGGCGACATGGCTTCTCCCCTTTCTAGGTCCTGTGACAGCCATCTTGCTAATAGTCGCATTTGGGCCCTGTATTTTTAACCTCTTGGTCAAATTTGTTTCCTCTAGGATCGAGGCCATCAAGCTACAGATGATCTTACAAATGTAACCCCAAATGAGCTCAACTAACAACTTCTGCTGAGGACCCCTGGACCGACCCGCTGGCCCTTTCAATGGCCTAAAGAGCTCCCCTCTGGAGGACACTACCACTGCAGGGCCCCTTCTTCACCCCTATCCAGCAGGAAGTAGCTACAGCGGTCATCGCCAAATCCCAACAGCAGCTGGGGTGTCCTGTTTGGAGGGGGGATTGAGAGGTGAAGCCAGCTGGGCTTCTGGGTCAGGTGGGGACTTGGAGAACTTTTGTGTCTAGCTAAAGGATTGTAAATGCACCAATCAGCACTCTGTGTCTAGCTAAAGGATTGTAAATGCACCAATCAGCACTCTGTAAAATGGACCAATCAGCAGGATGTGGGCGGGGTCAAATAAGGGAGTAAAAACTGGCCACCCGAGCCAGCAGTGGCAACCCACTCGGGTCCCCTTCCACACTGTGGAAGCTTTGTTCTTTTGCTCTTCACAATAAATCTTGCTGCTGCTCATTCTTTGTGTCCACACTACCTTTATGAGCTGTAACACTCACTGCGAGGGTCTGTGGCTTCATTCCTGAAGTCAACAGACCACGAACCCACTGGAAGGAACAAAGAACTCCCGATGTGCTGCCTTTAAGAGCTGTAACACTCACTGCGAAGCTCTGCAGCTTCACTCCTGAAGTCAGTGAGACCACAAACCCACCAGAAGGAAGAAACTCTGGACACACCTGAATATCTGAAGGAACAAACTCCAGACACACCATCTTTCAGAGCTGTAACACTCACCGCAAGGGTCTGTGGCTTCATTCTTGAAGTCAGCAAGACCAAGAACCCACCGGAAGGAACAAATTCCAGACACAGTAGGAAATCTGTATTTTTGATCTGTGGCTTTCAGGGTTACTCCAGTCATTGAAGTCTCCATTGCAGCCTTAAGGAAACAGAGAATGGTTTGGAGGAGCACATGTGGGAATTGTTATGGACCAGGCTTGAGATGCACATAGGGCATTTCTGATCAAACCTAGCTGGAAGCAGGGCCAGGAAATATAATCTAAGGAAGACAGTTTTTGTAGACAGTAGTAGTCTTTGCATCTGAGACATGTAGATTATCAAGCAATTAATTAGAAAAAATATAGCCAGGTGCGATGGCTCATGCCTGTAATCCCAGCACTTTGGGAGGCCAAGGGGTGTGGATCACGAGGTCAGGCGTTCGAGACCAGCCTGGCCAACATGGTGAAACCCCGTCTCTACTAAAAATACAAAAATTAGCCTGGTGTGGTGGCACGCATCTGTAATCCCAGTACTCAGGAGGCTGAGGCAGGGGAATCTCTTGAACTTGGGAGGCAGAGGTTGCAGTGAGCCAAGATCACACCACAGCACTCCATCCTGGGTGACAGAGCGAGACTCTGTCTCAAAAAAAAAAAAAAAAAAAGGAAAGGAAAATATAATCAAGAATATTGACAGGTAACATTTATTCAACACTTACTATGCACCAGGCAATACACTAAGTGTTTTACATGGATTAACTCATTTAATCTTAACAATAGCCCTATGAAGTCAGTGCTGTTATTATCTCCACTTTATAGATAAGGAAACTGAAGTACAGAAAGGTCAAGTAGAGAAATGGCCATGCTTGCATTCTCAGTTTTTGAAGCAACTGTTACAGGAATCTGGTGTGAGAAATGCTCTAACAAGATGTGAGTCAGGGGTTGGGAGGTACTGAGTCTGAGTTGGGCAGTTGGGGATGGAAGGATGGATGAAGAACAGCTTGACAGAGAAGCTGACACTTGGCAACTCTGTGGGACCTTGAAGGGTTAGAGGGACTTCACCAAAGAAACTGGTGGTCAGGGAAACGGGAGGGTCACGGCAAGGAGGGAAAGGAAACTGTACCACAGCAGAGAGTCTGAAGCTACTACAGTGTAGTTCAGCGTATAAAGAATAATTATTTTAAGGTAAACTTATAACCTCATGCAAATATAAAATGAACACGTGTCAAAGATCTTATTTAATTTATTAATTAATGAGGGAACCTGTAAGATGTTACAGCCAGTTCAAAGGATAATTCAAATAAATCCATGCACATATGTAGGCAATAAGGAATGCTGAAATGAATTTAAAAGTAGATGTAAACTGATTTATCCACAGAGAAATAATCAGTTGCATTTCACATAACAAAATTCAGTTGCTTTTCTACAGAAGGAATTGTTTGCATCATTACCAATTTTTCTACAACTAACAGAATTATAAAATAACTCAAACACAATGAAAGGCAGATATAACCCACAATGGTATGATAGATACAATATCCACATCCAGGATGTTTTTTTCTCATTTCAAAGTCTTTCACAAGTTTTCCTGATAAGGGAGTGTCAATAATACTGTATGGCAGGCAATAAGACTGGATGGATGGTTGGGGCCAGGTTTTAAGGGGTAATAAATGCCATGTAAAGGTATGTGCATACTGTGCAACATGTCGGGGAATCTCAAATTATTGGTAGAGTATGTAAGAAACACTTGTGGAGCTTGTTAATAAATTCAAATTCCCAGACCCAACTCCTCAAGGGTCTAATACAGTAGGTTTGGAGTAAAGCCTGAAAATCTGCAATTGTGCAAAAAAAAAACCCAGGTGATTCTGATACACTTTGAGAAGCACTGGTGGAACTAATAGTCACTGAACGTTTTTGAGCAGGGGAGAAACCTGAGGACGTCTATGTTGCAGCAGTGGAAACTTGATTAGAAGTAGGAGAAGATGCATGGTCTTAAAAGAATGCAAAATGATGGCTAATATTTGAGTGCTTATGATGGGCCAGGGGCTGTGCTAGGCGCGTGGCACACATTCAATACGATGGAAGCCTGTACCAGTCAGTATTAGTGGGGTATCTTTAAGAGTGACCAGAATTAAGGGGGGTTTTCACCAAAGCCTGAGGACTGAGCCTCCTCATCCTAAATTCAGACACAATGCTGTACCTATGCATTTGCCTCCAGGCTGTTCCTGGGCCTCCAGGGACTGGCCCAGGCTCCTGATAAATAGGGACTCCCAACAACATAAAGCCTGGATTTTGGAACTTCCTGAATGTTACTCAGGCTTTCTAGTAACTGTGGAGATCTGAATAATAACACAATTCTAAGTTCCCCTACTCATAAAGCTGCTCATCATTTAGATGGGGTAAAGCACCTGAAATACAATGAGCATCACTATTTTCATTCATCCATGAAATGAACATTCCGGGGAGATCAGTAAGTTGATGTATCACCCTTGAACAGGGCAAAATGAATACTCACCAGGAATATGTGGTATTTTAAAAAGAAGGCAAAGGGAAGAACAGTGGGGATGGGGCAAAAACTTTAAATAGATTCCCCCAATCATATATGGCAATTGAAGATAATTAAATTATCATTTTAATTGAGTAAGTACTCATAGAGCCCTCACTATTTGAAAATGAACTGCCTCCTAATTGTTATTGTGCAAATGTGATACATTAAACTTAAGCTATTTTAATAAAACATCCATTTTCGGAAGCTGTAGTAGGTTCTCCCAGGTCAGATTTGATAAGCCATAAAGAACAAATGCCAACTCCTATTTTTCTATGGTGCTGGGAAATAAGAGAGAAATGTGTAATTCAAAGCAATCATTTAATTTTATCCAATAGCTTGATTCTCCTCTCTCTTCTAGCCTTTTAGCTAAGCTGTTACCAAGTAACCACACTAGTTGGCTTGAGTCTTACCACTGTTTCCCTGACCCCACAGTGGAGAGACTGCATCTGTTAAAGAGCAGTTATGTAACCATGGCTATGCTGAGCTGGGATTCCCAAGGCTTAGGTTCTTTCTGTGAATGACCTTCACCAAGACACCTGAGGTCTGTGTGGAACCACAGGCTTGTCATCTCTAAGGCAGAGTTGATAATTCCATCTGTTTCTTGAGCCCACACTGAGAAAAAGATTACATGACTGCAGTTATTTGAATGCCTCATGGAAAGACGTCTTATAAATATTATAATTAATGTTATCATTAAGTAATGCTTCAATGCAGATCTTCCAAGTATAAATATCAGCTGAGTAAGAAGTCAATCTTCCCTGAAGCAAAATTGAAATTTGTAAATGCGATTTCTGGGAGCTTATTTTGTAATACATGATTCCAGAGTGTCCATAACACACACAATTGTCTTTTTTCCCCTACATGGGCTATTTACAACAAAATTGGACTTATAATGTTTATTTCCAGGGATGACTAGAACTTTAATAACAAACCTTGGGCCAGGCATAGTGGCTCATGCCTATAATCACAGCACTTCGGGAGGCTGAGGCTGGTAGATTACTTGAGGCCAGGAGTTTGAGAACAGCCTGGCCAACATGGCAAAACCCTGTCTCTACTAAAAATACAAAAATTAGCCGGGTGTGGTGGCGCATGCCAGTAATCCCAGTTACTAGGTAGGCTGAGGTACGACAATCGCTGGAACCTGGGAGGCGGAGGTTGCAGTGAGCTGAGATTGCACTACTGCACTCCAGCCTGGGTGACAGAGAAAGACTCTGTCTCAAAAAAATAATAATAATAATAATAATAATAATAAACCCTGATGAAAGGTTTCTAAAATGTTTTCATCTAATGGTTTTCTTGACAATTAAATTTTCTATATAATGTCAGTTCATAAAAAAACTGAGAACGACCACATGTCATATCGACTGCTTAAAAGAAAATACGTATATTTACAAACATATACACAATACTGTCTTTTGTCTGGTTAGTTTAGAGGTTAGAATAAACTGCAGTATGTTGTAGTGGACAGATCATAGAACTAGGAGTCAGGATGTCTGGATTCCTAGGAAGCAATGAATAGGTTGCACGGTGCAGCTCAAGGTTATTCAAAGTGTGGTGCCCAGACCAGCATCATGAGTATCCTCAGGGAGCTTGTTAGAACTGCAGATCCTTTAACTCATTGAATCAGAATCCCTAGGTGTGGGGCCCTGAAATCTGTATTTTAGCAGGCTCTCTGGGATTGTGATGTGCCTTAGAGTTTGACAACCACTGGGTAGCTGATCCTGACTTAGACTTATCAGGCATGTGATCTTGAACAAGTCACATAATCTCACTGAGTTCAGTTTTCTTATGTTTAAAATAGGCCCAATAATATCTATTTCACATGGACTGCTTTGAGGATTAGGCAAGAGATCTGTAACAGACACTGTAGAACAGTGTCTCTGGTCTACAGCTGACCTTCCATAAATGGTAGTTGCCTTGATTCTCTGCTCTGCCACATAATAGCTGGTTAACTATGAGCAAGTAATTTAGTTCTTCTCAGTTTAGTTTCTTCACCTGTAAAAGAAGGAAAATAACTGTTATACTCAATTTCTGAAGTGGCTATAAAAATCAGTTTAAATTATGGGCATTGAAGCTCTTTGTACACTGTATAAGGACTGTACATCTAAGGGATTAATGAGACCAGGCTTATGATTTTAAGCATGGAGTAAATAGTAATACTGACTCTGTTCTATGAACCACATGGAAACTCTAAAGAATATGCACATTTGAAACACAGGTATCATCTGGGGAAGGTGATCTGCTCACCCAAACCAGTTCATGAACATCAATCTCCAGTGGCGTGCTGGAGCTAGCTGTACCAGCTCATGAGGGCCAATTGTTTCATTTTTAGGAATTTTGTTTGCTGGTTAAAAATAGTCATTATTTAAAATTAAATTATGTAAACAATAATATTAGATAAAATAAGTTAAAATAAAAACAAAGGAACTAATTATCCCCAAACTCTTCCCCACCTAATTATTTTACTATCTGTGCCTTGGGATTATTTACATTGATTTTATCCATATGGTGACAATACTATTCATATATAAATGGTGTGCTTCTCTTCATAACTCTACATAGCCTGATGTCAGGCTAGTAGCTTGAAATTGGCCACAGTGGGAGTGTGAGCATTTGTACCATGAGGCTTGGCCAAGGCTACAAATCCAGACTTTTGTTTTTCCCTCCTGGAGAGCTGTCTGTTAAAAATTTACCAACACACCACTGGTCTTACCTTTGTTAATTTACCACAGTCCAGGTTCTGACCTAGACTTAGAAACCTGGATTTGTCAGCAAGCTGAGGATAGAGCCATTATTTCTAAGAAGGACTCACATTACCCAAGTGCAAAGCCTGATATATACCTTCAGAATATCAATTTATTAATTTACAGTGAAGAAAGCCACCCCAGGGCATTCCCCAGGGGAAGGCAAAAAGAGCTAGTTGCACATTTTGAATGTTTGATGACATTAGGGTAAGGTGACACAGAATATCCATTTCCACAACTGAGATACCTGCTGCCTTAAGGAAGGGACAGGCAAGTCCTTGGGCAGGACCTTAGATTGTCACTGTCCATCTTGCTCTAGGACTCTCCTTTCCAGGCATGACGATGGCCAACTCTGTCCTCCTACCCTACTGATGGGATTATCTTTTCTTGACACATGGCAATGCCTCCAATCAGAGGCTGGTAGCTATTTTTAATCTTCAGGGCAGTATTTTTCAAAGGGAAGTTCATGGACCATATGCATCTGTATCATTTAGATGTATATTAAAAATGCTTAGGTCTTCCCCAGTTATACTAGATCAGAATCTCTGTTGGTGGGGCCCACGAATCGGTATTTTCAACAAATCACTAGGTAATTTCTGTATATACTATAGTGTGAAGACCACTGCTTGAAGGTTTCTTTGCATATCTCCACTAAATATAAAAAATATTGACTTCTAGATTTAACTCCCAAAGCACTTGCATTTTTAAGTTTCTGGGGGCATTATATTGTGGTACCCCTATACCACTCACACTCTAGTCAGGAGGTATATTATGGACTGAATGTTTGTGTCCCTCCAAAACTCATATGTTGAAGTCTTAGCTTCCAATGTGATAGTATTAGGAGATGGTGCCTTCTGGAGGTAAAATCAAGCCCTCATGAATGGGATTAGTGCCTTTAGAAAGAGAGCTCCGTCACTGTCTTTCCATCAATTGAAGATGCAGTGAGAAGCTGGTAGTCTTGCATCTGGAAGAGGGCCCTCACACAACCTGATCATGCTGGCACCTGGTCTCAGACTTTCTGCCTCCAGAACTATGAGATGATAAATTTCTGTTGTTCATACCCCACCCAGGCTACAATATTAGGTTGCTGCAAAGTATTTGTGATTTTTGCCTTTACTTTTCAGGGCAAAAACTGCAATTACTTTTGTGCCAACCTAATATTTTGTTATAGCAGCCCGAACTAAGGCAAGGGAGACTACATCAGACAGTGTAGCTATGTAAGTACAAATGTATCCCTGTTGAGGAAAACTAAGTTCTAACCCTGACTTCAGGCCAGTAGCCACCTTTTCAATCTCTTTCATGAAGGGACCATTATCATTATCACTGGTGGCAAAAATAGAGGCACGAGAATGGAATTTGCTTTTCTGTGAAATCTCAGTGTATACAGATTGAAGAGCAAGGGTTTGCTTTCATCTCTAAGAAGCAAAAGTGAGTACGGACTGGCACATTATCAGAGAAAGAATCATTCTAGCTCGGTGGGTCTTAACCAGGAGTGAATTTGACTCCAGGGAACAGTTGGCAATGTCTGGAGACGTTTTTATTTGTTATAGCTGGGGGATGAGTGGGTGGGTTGCTACTGGCATCTAGTGGGTGGAGACCAGAGATGCTGTTAAACATCCCGCAAAGCACAGGACAGTCCCCGACAACAAAGAATTATCTGGCCCCAAATATCAATAGTGCCAAAGTTGAGAAACCTCATTCTAGCTTCCTTTTCCCTTCTACGTTCTAATCAACTGTTGTTCTTTCAGCATTAGGATTCATCCAGCAGTCTCTTTCCCCAGCAATTTGTTGAAATTTTTTTAAAAATGGACTCATTTTAGTGTCACAAGAAAAAAATACATTCACAGGAAAGGATGGGTCATTTTGTTTAATGATGTTTTGCCTTTCACATAGCAAAAGCTTAATAAAGTATTTTTAAATAAAATGGTGAATAGATCAAAACATTAATTTCACATGTGTTTTAATAAATAACAGGAAGATGGCTATATTATATAAATTGTTCTTGTATATGTCTTGAGTGGATCATCAAACACAAACGTATCTACATGCCTTTTCTTGTGAATAGATCTAATAATAACGCTCTTCTAAAAACAAATTAAATGGATATTATTTGCTGAGAATGTAATGCTTGTGTGAATAGAAGCCAGCCCTGAATCCAAGCCCCCAGATCTATTTAAAGAATTTGAAGAATGTCAGAAAAGCACGTGGCTTCAAGGTTAATGTGTAAGACTGACAGAAACTTGAAAAATCACTATGACTAAAAAGAAAGTATGAGCTCCCTGCATGCCTGTAAATTGGAATGACAGCCAAAACCAGTTAATTATAAAAACAGCTAATTTAACAGGTTTTCAAATTTGTTTCTTTCTCCAAGTAGCATATAGTCAATAATCCTTAAAGAGAAAGCAAAGAAGGGGAAGCACTGAACCAAATTTGCTTTTTTGTACCTGCTCAGCTCAAATGCAGAGTTCTCTACCTGGAAATTGACTGCTTCCATAGTTTGATAGCCACAGAGAGATGGGAACAGAAGGAGAGGTATAATCCCAGACTTGATTCAGCTATAGAGAATGACAATAGTGTCAGAGGCCTTCCAACCAGAGCGACTCCATCTTGAATACGGGCTGGGTAAAACAGGGCTGAGACCTACTGGGCTGCATTCCCAGGAGGCTAAGCATTCTAAGTCACAGGATGAGACAGGAGGTCAGCACAAGACCTTGCTGATAAAACAGGTTGTAATAAAGAAGCCAGCCAAAACCCACCAAAACCAAGATGGCCATGAGAGTTATCTGTGGTTGGTCTCACTGCTCATTGTATGCTAATTATAATGTATTAGCATGTTAAAAGACACTCCCACCAGTGCTATGACAGTTTACAGGTACATTGGCAACTTCCGGAAGTTACCCTCTATGGTCTAAAAAGGGGAGGAACCCTCACCTCCCAGAATTGCCCACCCCTTTCCTGGAAAACTTGTGAATAATTCACCCTTGTTCAGCATATAATCAAGAAGTAACTGTAAGTATCCTTAGGCCAGAAGCTCAGGCCACTGCTCTGAATGTGGAATAGCCATTCTTTTATCCTTTACTTTCTTAATAAACTTGCTTTCACTTTACTGTATGGACTCCCTGTGAATTCTTTCTTGCAAGAGATCCAAGAACTCTCTCTTGGGGTCTGGATCAGGACCTCTTTCCAGTAACAATAGTAGTAAGGGGTCAGGGAGACTGGACAAAGGAGTTTAAGAAGCCTTAGATAAAGGGTCCTCATCATTGTCATAACATAAAATCATGGACTCCTAGAATTTTATAGCTGATAGGATTAGAAATTTCAAAATTCAATTTCATTAATTTTCATCTGCGAAAACAGATGGCCAGAGAGGCCAAACAATTTGTTAAGGAGCACTGAGGGCAGACCACACTGGAACGCAAACCTCTTAGCAGAGTATACAAGGCCTTTGATCTCCTCAGTCAGAATGAACTAGAGCTTTCCAGGGTACCCTTTCTGACTGTTTAGCATGTTTGCCAGTCTGACTAATTTTGAAGTTGCTTA
Organism: Homo sapiens; assembly: GCF_000001405.40. Taxonomy (NCBI): domain Eukaryota; kingdom Metazoa; phylum Chordata; class Mammalia; order Primates; family Hominidae; genus Homo; species Homo sapiens. The sequence goes on from NC_000010.11 coordinate 115,051,509, forward strand.
AATATCTGTCATTTCCACTGTATCATAATCTCCTCATTCATCTTCAATCTCCAATGCCTTGAACTCAGTAAATGTTAGTTGAACAAAAGTAAATTGAACCCAGAATTTCTGATCATAATCTGGAGCACTTTAAAATTGTCAGCTTACTGGGAAACGGGATAACATGTGATTTGTCTTTGATTTTTTTTTTCTCATATGCTTTTTCCACCTATAGATGCTACACGAATGTTTTTAAAATCTGATATAAAAATTAAAATTAAAAAATTAAAAAAAGAAAATTTGATACAATGCTACATTTAGAGTGTTGTGATTAGATTCCTTAAGTGTATCATGGTGATCTCTACATCACGTGGTGATCAAATTGCTTTGGGTTTTAACACATAACTGACAAAGGCTTGGGGACATGTAAGATCCCAAATACATTTTTATTGATTTTTTTTTCTTGTTTGTCCTCTTTTAAATAACTTTTTTTTGTTATAAGAATAATTCATGTTCAGTGGAGAAACCATAGAAAATAGTGACAAGTGAAGGAATAAATTTAAAATGACCCATAATTGTACCATACATTCTGATTTTTTAAACGCTGAACAAATTAGCCTTGGGTAAGTACCAGGAATAGAGTGCAGCATTGAAAGTTAAAGTTTGGGGAAGGATAGCTGACTTAAGAAATTATCTAGTTAGACATTTTTTGATGGGGTAATTTTGCAGATGACATTAGTGAGAGAAAGGACTTGCCACTCTCACACAGCTAGTAGGGGTGTGGGAGGATATTGGAACCAAGTTTCAAGTCTTCAGTGAAGAATCAAGGGAGAAGTTCTAAAACCTAACAATATCCCTCTGGATGGACATTTATTTTATTACTACAATAAGCCACACGGTGAGTCATAAGGAGCATTTCATTCTTCTAATATGTCTCTACTGTATTTAGAATCTGATAAAGCCCCTATTAGAATTCATCTCTTTAAGAATAAAAGAAGCTGAGGAACTAAAGAGAGGGTTGGAATAATCCACTAATTATATCCGTTAAGCTTCAGTTACGCTAATAAGGAATATCACATGACTGTGGTGTGTGCTTGTTCTGAACAGTAAAGTACATGAGGAAAGATAAGATTCAGGGCTGAAATGTCCTTCAGCATATGTAGGTAGTGGTGATGAAAGTCATTAAAAGAAAAATTGATTGAGGTATTTTAGTAAACAAAAGAACTCACCACTTACCCATCAGGAAGTGTATTGTTAATGCAGTGCTGTTCAGCCTTCTGGAAGAAAAGGTTTCTTCATGCTTCTCTCTTTAGCCTAATTCTTATCCTGTCACTTTTCAGGCAAAATTAAAAAAAAAAAAGATTGAAAACGATGCTCCTATTTTATTTGCTTCAAAAGAAACAGGCTGTTGCATTGTGCTTGGAACAGTTTACTCTTGGCCTTGATGTAAGTGTGAAAGGAAGCCCATGTAATTGACTAGGCAGTATCTGAAGAAGCAGGAAATACAGTGTTAAGAAAATGAACAGGCATGAAAACCATGGCTATTTGATAAAAGTAAATAATTTCTGCAGTTCACATGTTCTCAGCATATTTTCTTTGATACTGACTTGCTTAATATGACAATAGCAGAACCATGGTAGCTTGTAGGCATTACTTTTCTTTTAATTTCTTTTACATTTTGAATTTACCAGCACTCACATTTGTATTACTTTTGGGTTATACTGAGGATCTATAACTTATAGATCAAATACCTGACATATATATGCATTCTCTGAAGTCTTAGGGCAGAACTAGAACATTCTTGTGAACATCAGTATAAGATATTAAAATGGAAGTTTTGCCTAAGACTGAAGACAATAAAAATATCATAGTCTGAAATGAATGCCAGCACACCATACAGGATTTAAATATCTATACATATATATGTGTGTGTATTATATATATTTAATATATATCTGTGTGGGATAGGAAGAGGTAGGGGGAAATCAGTTTTACAATTATTAAGTATTTCACCCTTGACAAGAGTATATATATTGGAAATCAGTTGGAGAGTATTTTCAAAGATAAATGTTAGTGTGCTATGAATGAATCCACCCCTACCACCACTGAGGCAGGGTAGGAGAGGCCTGTGCTCCTCAAGCATAGTTGGAAAAGGACCTCAACAAGACCACTTCAAGAGCCTAATGTGTGGAGACTGTTGCTTAGGGAGACCTTATGGTCTAGCTTCTGACTCACAGCTAAGTCAGGGAGACAGGTTGGCTGCTCTGATCGTGGAGTCCAAAAGATGGCCTGCACTGAAAAGCCTCATGAGTGTTGACTTAGGGCTAGTCTAAGAGGTCCCTGGAAGAAGAAACACTCAGTAGGAGAGAAGCTGGAGGTACCTTCAGTGCTGAATTGGAACCTAGATTCATTCCCCCGTGGAGCAAATTACATAGGAAAGATGCCCAGTGATGGAGAGTGGGGGTGTCTCTAACAATTACCCACCCACCTGCCCCCACCCCTAAGAAAAAGAAAATCACATACAACCAGTCAGCTGTAAACATATGCCGAGCCTAGTAAACTCAGATACTAAGTTACCAGGGTACCTGGCAAGTAAGAACATTCCTGATTCCCTTCCCTCCTCTTCCTCTTTGCCCTCCAACCTTAGTGGCTAGCAAGATGGGGAGAGGAGGAGAAGCTGTAAGTGGGGAAAAAAGAGCAGCTTTCTCTCCTTTTCAGCTGCTGGATTCTCCCTCATCATAGGCCTGAGCTGGGGAATCAGGAAGAAGGATTCTTTTTAAAACTGAAGTAACGTTATCATTTAATTTTAAAACATTTTAAATTTTGACAATGTTGAGATTAGATATACTAATTATTAAACTAAGATTATGTTTTGCAGCTTGAAGTGATAAGAAAAACCTCTTATCTAAGAGCATCCAGGAAAGTCGGGGGTTTCCTGAACATCCTTTTAAATCCTTTGGAAGTCAGCTTTCAGAGAGGATTTAAAGTGTAGACTGGGCCTTCAGAAACTTGTTTAATGTAGGGGTTTCCTATGCAGACTTGGGGACTATACCTTGTGTGGAAGAGAGAAAATAAGATTATGTTACATTTTTCCCATTCCTTTTTCAAAAAGAAAGCTCAGCTAGCATGAAAGTTAAATTCAAAACGTAATGGGTATTATTTGCATATTCAAATCTAGTGCATATCATGTAAGTACTGAATTATGGTATTCATTATTTCAAATGACAAGCTGGATTTTTTTTTCTTTCGAATTTCACAAATTAATTTTCCTTGGAACCTTTTGGTTTGGGCTTTAAGAGTTTAGGCTTTCATCACAAAGAGAGGACAGCCTTGAAGATTAAAGTGTGTGGCTCTTCTCAAGATGTTCTTAGTCCAGCAAAGGATTCTATGCATATTTGGGCTTCCTTCTGTCTCATAACCTGTATTTCTTGATATTCTATTTATATTCTGTAAGATTTTTTTTTTAAAGGAAAAATTCTTCCATGGTTGAAGGACATGTCAAAAATAGAGGATACAGTTTTATATCAAAGGAAGTTTCATGATATGACTGTAGAAGCTCATTTGACTTAAGACACATCATTTCCTCATGGAAGTGTTAAACAGATCTGTACAATAAGGTTGGCAATCTTTGTGTAAAACAGTTTTTTTTCTCCTGCTCTAAAGAAAGTGTATATTTCAAAATGTGAATGTCAGCAGTCAGAAAATAGTATTTTTTTAACTTCGTTTTCAAAGTCCTCAAAAACCTGTACCTAATCATGAATTTTTTTTCCCACAGATTGTTTCTTCTTCTCCCTCCCAGAAACTTTGAAGTTTTTCTACATGACACCAGGACCTATGTCTTTTTTTAATTACACAGAAATGAAAGAAAAAAAGTGTGTTGTATCGTTAACCAAATATATGAAATCTTTAAGCTGTATTTTTATTTTTAACTTTGTTTTGCAAAGAGGCCATTCCCTTTGGTTAAATAATTTGTTATTCACAGTTTCCTTGTCCTCATATTATCAAGGGGAAAATTGTAGAAATTTTAAAGGAAGCTCTAGGCAATGTTTTCATCCCTGAATCTTTGGAGAGTTATAAAAACAAACAGATTACTGAACCTGTAAGAGAACCAATCGTGAAGTCATTACATCTAAGCATAAGCAAAATCTCCTCTTGGATCATTAAGTTATAGAAGAAAAGAAAGCCTGCACTTTGAAATTTAGATAAAGCTTGGTAACTTGTAAGTCAAACACGTAAAATTTTACAATTCAGGAATATCGATAGCAGTTGAGTTTAATAGACTTCTCACATTCCAAATTTAAAGCTTCCTTCTCTGTGCTAATAGAGATACAATAGCAGTAGGCGTTTAAGAAGAATGAATCAACAATTTAAAACTATAATGTGTTTTTTATTCATCTCCCTTATTCACATATATTTGTTTTGTTTTGAGAAGGAGTTCTGCTCTGTCGCCCAGGCAGGAGTGCTGTGGCACGATCTCAGCTCACCGCAACCTCTGCCTCCCGGGTTCAAGCGATTCTCTTGCCTCAGCCTCCTGAGTAGCTGCGATTACAGGCGTGCGCCAGCAACCCCGGCTAATTTTTGTATTTTTAGTAGAGACAGGGTTTCACCATGTTGGCCAGGTTGGTCTCGAACCCCTGATCTCAAGTGATCAGCCCGCCTCGGCCTCCCAAAGTGCTGGGATTACAGGCGTGAGCCATCACTTCTGGCCCTTATTCGCATACAATTTAAAAATCATCACAGAAGGTTTGAAAGAAGGAAGGGGCAGAAAATTACCTACTTTTCCTCTCCCCAGCGATCTCCTTCAAATCTGTGCCTTTTCCTCAGGCCCAGGCCTCAATTTACTGAGCAGTCACACCTCACAGAGGGAGGTCTGGGCAATCCACTCTTGGTCACAGGAAAGCCATTGACCCTCCCACTTCCTCTCCTCCACCTTGTTCTCAACTCTTGACTTTGGGCTTTGTTTCTGTTCAAGTCCTAGGAACTGGTTTCTTTTATCAGGTTAAGTGATTAGTTCTCTTTCCCTCTAGTTGCTCTCACTCCCTGACTCTTGCCTTCTGTAACAACTGGAGACAACTCTTTCAAAACCAGCTCCAAGCCCCAGACTTCTCTCTGGGCTTTAGTTCGTAAGGCAGGTGCCCTACTGAGTGAGCCTAGATCAGACAGAAACATAGCTGTTGGCAAGGATTTAGGTGAATTTCCTTCCATTGTTTTTCTAATACCTTTTTTTTTTTTTTGTAAATATAACCATGCACCTACACACATATTTGAATATCCTGCCTTTTTATTTAAAATGACATGATAGGTCCGGGAGTGGTGGCTCATGCCTGTAATCCCAGCACTTTGGGAGGCCGAGGTGGGCAGATCACCTGAGGTCAGGAGTTCGAGACCAGCCTGGCCAACATGGTGAAACTCCATCTCTACTAAAAATCAAAAATTAGCCGGGCATGGTGGCAGGCTCCCAGCTACTCAGGAGGCTGAGATGTGAAAATCGCTTGAACCCGGGAGGTAGAGGTTGCAGTGAGCTGAGATCTTGCCATTGCACTCCAGCCTGGGCAATAAGAGCGAAACTCCATCTCAAAAAAAAAAAAAAAAAAGACAGGATAAACATTCTAGATAGTCTCTATAATGGTCATGATTAAGACAATAAAATAGTCTGAAATTGTCAATATATATTAATAATAATTTATTTGGCCATTCTGCCAAGTAGCAGACACCTGTCATTCTGCCCACTCAGCACCTCTCTTTCTTTTAGGGAAATGCTACCCACTCTTTGCATGGGTTCTGGATGGAACTGTTGATCACAGTGTTTTCACTCCCCATTTTGCCTCACCAGAGGTAGACAGAAGACCCAAGCCAGGCCAGTTACACACAATCTTCAGATAATTACCGTATTGATCACAGTATCACCCCACTCAAGGCTTGGTTGGAGATGAGCAGAAGAGACTAAAGCTGGGTCATTTTAATTAACACCTGTACCCCAAAGAAAGACTGTCAATGAGGCTTTTATACCGACACTCCTGGTTTCCATTCTTCCTGATGCCATTCATTTGACGAACTACCCAATCTTTCCAACAGTGTCTTTGGAAGAAAGATAGTCAGAAAAGAAGATAGAGTTGTTTTCTGTTCTTTGCAACCAAGGAACTCTAAATGATAGACTTGTTGCTAGGCACTTTGGTTATTTTTATTATCTTGAATACTTCTGTGATATACTTCTTTGTGCATGCCTGTTTGTACGGATGTAGCTTTTTATATATTTTATATAATTTCTCAGAAGTGGAATTACTTAGTCAAAAGGTATGAACATTTTTCTGATTCTTAATATAAATTGTGCAAATGCTTTTTAAGAGGATTATACCAGTTTACATTTTGTGTTATATATAACAGAAAGTACTACTGAAAAAATATTACAAAAATTTGTCTCTCTGTTCAGGAGGACCTTGTAATAGATGATAAAGTACTTGAAATAGGAACATAGAGCATTTTCAGTTTAAAATAATTTCATTGGGTTATTTACGGAATCCTTAGAATTATGGCCAGACATTTATAGATGATCTGTACCAAACCTAGGTTGGTTACATAAATTGCTTATTCAACTGGCTTAAATCTATAATAGAAAGATGACACTTACTGAATGTTTAATATACACTTTGTCAGGGGCTTTGTATTATTCTATGACATCTTCAAAATGACCCTACTTTCCTATTTTATAAGTAAGGACAGGAAGGCTTCAAGAACATGACTAATTTTCCCAAGGGCTGTACCAAAGCCAGAACCCAAATCTATAAGGCTTTTAAACCTGCATTCTAAAACTGCATCTCGGCCATCTTATTCCTACAGAACTTAAGGTTAGAAAGCCAGATTGGAGTCCCAATTTCACCACTTAGTAACCAGACAAACTTGAGGAATTCACTCAACGTCTTTGAATCTTCATTTTCTAATCTTTAAAACTAAAACAATAATACTTGCTCTACCTATGTCCTAAGATTTCGTGAGGCACATAGAGATAGTGTGGAAGAGTGCTGTACAGATGTCAAGTGTTAGCGTGATTACTTAGATCCCTGAACACCATGGATGAATGTCTCTGACTGCTATTAGAGGTCATAAAGAATATTGGGGCCAGGTACATTGGCTTATTCCTATAATGCCAGCACTTTGGGAGCCTGAGACAGGAGGATCACTCGAGGCCACGAGTTCAAGACCGGCCTGGGCAACATAGTGAGACCCCTTCTCTACAAAAAAAAAAAGCAGCCACGTGTAGTGGCACACACCTGTAGTCCCACATACTCAGGAGGGTGAGTTGGGAGGATAACTTTAGTCCAGGAGTTTCAAGGTGCAGTGAGCTGTGATTGCACCACTGTACTCTAACCTGGACAGCAGAGTGAGACCCTGTCTCTAAAAAAAAAGAAAAAAAAATAATAATAATAAAGAATAATGGGGCCTTGGGATACCCACTCCTCTCTTTCTGCTCTGAGTTGTGAAGCAGTTGAGTTACATATGCATGTCCAATGGATGAGGTTGAAAATATCAACTGGATTGGAATGTGGCTTACTTGCGTGGCCACAATGAGCTTCGTAACACTTCCTGACAGGGTGAGAAGACAAACTTCCTCACCCAGTCACTGGCAGAGCTGGACACTCTGTGTCTCTCCCACAGAACAACCTCTTACTGCATGGAGGTGGATGAAAAAGTCAACCGAGAACAGGCTACTCCAAAAAGCAGAGCACCAAAGGCACCAGCTGGTCAGGTCCCCCTTCCTAAGTAAACAATCACGTAATTCATTCGGGACAAAGCCAGAGAGGTGGTGTGGAGAAAGAGAGGGCAGTTTCCTCCCAAGTTTTTCCTGGAATTCTTTATGGGAATATGAGGTTTAGGGGAATAAGACTTCCCTTTAACAGTGAAGAATCCCCAGCTCTATTGGTAATAGGAAATCGCTTACAAGGATCATGGGGAGTATTTCCTCAGCTCGTTCTGCCTCCTACTTGGCTGAGTGGAATGGAACCATCTGTGGCTGCTGCATATGATATTGTCAACTTTGTCATTCCACACCCACTCCTTGACGCCCTACCATGTGGTCATAAGACTCCCTTTAAAGTGTTCCTTTAAAAAACAAAATGTGTTTTGTTTCTATAAAATACAGCTCAATGTCAGAACCCTTGTCTTGTTTGCTCTCTGATGTAACCCTTTCACAATGTTTGGGCAGCTTATTCTCTCTATTTCCCTGTAGGGTCCCATCCAGGCCAAAGTGAGTGCCAGCCTCATTTGGGCAGCAGATGCCCTGTGGAAGGGCAGGAGGAGACGAGAGCTAATTGTAACTTTGTGATTAGCTGTCATGGATGCCTGGTCCTGTCAATAGCGCTCAATAAAGCCAGAAGGCCAAGCGTTCGCTTCTGCATACTGATTGCTGAGTCAGATTTCTCAGTGCAGAAGGGCTTTCTAGGCAGTCAATTTTAGAATATTAGTCTTGGTTCTTAAGTGGTTAAAATCCCTAGCTGGTCTTTAATCTGAGCCTGGAGAATTTAGTTATGGCTGACATTCTGCTGTGATATTTTTGCCCTCAATATATATGTCTTTCCTCCATCTCTTAGATCCCTGAATCATAGAGATATATATGTTATATAATCAACTGTCTCCAGTCTCTAAGAGTGATAAGTACACATTGTGTCAGGTTGAGGGGACAGGAGAACTTTCAAAAGCCTTTCTTGCCCCTTTTTCCTTCTCACTGCCTCCCACTAAGTCCAGCCACTTATTATTCAGCTGACACTATCATCATGACCATGAGGTCTTTTGGGGCTACCCTGGTTCGGATCCTTCTGGAGGTTTGTTGCTTAACTCTGTCTTCAGTCCTATGAGCTGCTTTTTCAATAAGTTTCTATTTTGGCTAAAGTTGGCCAGAATCTCCTTGTAACCAAAGAACAAATAAAATACCAGCTTGCAATGTTCTATGTTGCTTCCACCAAACTTATGCAGCACTTCCTATCTAATCCACCTACTAGTCTTTTTTTTTTTTATTTTTTTTGAGACGGAGTCTCGCTCTGTTGCTCAGGATGGAGTGCAATGGTGCAATCTCGGCTCACTGCAACCTCTGCCTCCCGGGTTCAAGCAATTCCCCGGCCTCAGCCTCCTGAGTAGCTGGGACTACAGGTGCATGCCACCACGTCCGGCTAATTTTTGTATTTTAGGAGAGAGAGGGTTTCACCATGTTGCCCAGGCTGGTCACGAACTCCTGAGCTCAGGCAATCCGCCCTCCTCGGGCTCCCAAAGTGCTGGGATTACAGGAGTGAGCCACCTCACCTGGCCCCGACCTACTAGTCTTTAGTGTTTGCTTCCTTCTATTGGGTAATTGTCTGTTTATATGCATGTCTTGTTTCCTCAAATAAAATGTGGTCTTCTCAAGGGTATTGGCCCATGTTCTATCCATCTGTAGATATCACAGCACCTAGCAGTGTCTTTCACAGAGGAAGTACACAACTGGCATTATTGATTCATTGCTCCATTTTTTCCTTCTTTATCCCCAGCATTTCTCAATAATTTCAAACATCTCCATTGGAGTACCGGAGAAAGCAGGTAGCTTTACTTGCAGCTATGTTTCTATCCCCATAGTAACTAAAAGAGGACCCAGAGAAACATGTTTAAATGCTGTCCTGTTATCAGGACCTCAGCCTTCTGATGCTCCGTGGCTTGGGGGTTATTGCTTGATCATCTCCTCCCCAACCTACACTGTGTACCTATGCTAGTCTCTTCATGAGGACTAAGCCCCATAGTAAAAGGGCTAGATAAATAGAAAATCATTTTATGTAATTATAAGAATGAGAATACTGAGTATTCTGGTGTTTGTTTAGGATAAGCACATCTTTATTTGTATGAGAAAAAGAAAAAGAGAGTGAAAAATATATTAACGTGCATATTGTTCAGAACCCTTGGATTGCAAGTGACAGAAACTCAATTCAAACCAACGTAAGTCAAAAGGAAAATATATTGGCTCATGTAACCTTCTCACAGAGAGGGCAGGATGGAAGGGGCTTTGGGAACAAGAGAATTGTTCTCAAATTCTAGGAATACTAGGATTAGTCCAGGATGGGTCACCTTCCTGTCCCTGAGGTGGTGGTAGCGATGGTAGAGTCTTATGGGAGGAAAGAGTGCATGTTAGGATGAAGGTAGGGCTAAGCAAACAAGGGCAAGGGCCACTATATCATGCTAAAAATGGTTTTTTTTGATGTCTTCCTTAATTTCACAAATGCTTCCAACAAAGTAGCACACAGGAAAAAGAACATAGGGACTCTACTGGTGGGTGCTTTTATCTTAAGCCTTGTACTTGCTTTTCACAGCTTACTCACTGCTTGTACCTGAGGCCATATGCCCTGTAAAAGCTTCTGCAGGGTTTCTACTAAGCTGGGTTCCTTATATGGCTCTCTCCCATTTCTGTTGCCTCACTCTAGTGATCTTTCTCTTTTCCTCACCTCTGGGACTGGTGGCTGTTTGTATGGACTGCCTTAGCTTTGCTTTGGGTTTTTTCCTGGGGACAATGTCTTCAGATTATCCTAGACCAAATAAACTACAGCCACTGGGCCAGGCTCTTCCTCCTCCAACTGGACCATGTTCCCAGGGCTCTTCACCTTAGTTTAGGTCAAGCATTCTTGGCAAAAGAAAGGCCTAGTTAACAATAGACATTCTAGCAATTGATTCTTTTTGACATGTTGTAAGATCTATTCACATTTTGTAATTAAAGCATTCCCCTATGGAAACCAACACGAACTAAGCTGCTCCTGGAATGCAGGGTGGCCTCCTCAATACAGGATGTTCTAGAAAGCTGTATTTTGGGCACTTAACTATTCTCCACTACTTAGGGCACAGCACTGAAATTAACACCACTAAGTTTGTCATGTCCATGTAGTTAGTCTCAGGCAGTGCAGCCTCAGGAGTGGAACTGACCTCTTATGTGTGTCCAGCCTTTCTTCCTTCAGAAGTCAGCTGTGTTTTCTGCTGACTCTCCATAGGAACATCAGTCCTGAATCCTCAGACCACCATCTGGAGTAGTAAGTGCTCCTGACAGTCCTAGAAGTTGTCTACCGCTGGATCTCCAAAGCGTGTGACACACCGTGAGAGAGAAATGAGAAAGCTGGGCTCTTCAGGTAAATCTTGCTTTTTCACAAGCCCCCTAATTTTACTGCATAATTATTTTGAATTCACTGATAATTTCTACAATTTTCCCATAAGTCATCTACACACAATACCCTCTCATGCAACACTTGGCTTTGCTAATACATATCTATTATGAGAGCTGTGCTTCTTAAGCGTAAATGTTTTATATGCACTAAGGCTCTTGGCTTACATATAAAAGGGGTATTGAGCAATGTGATACAGAAGTCTTTTCTCCACAGGTCTCATATGTAAAGAATTCATTAGATTGGCTGAAATAGACTGATCTGTCCATTTCTCTGCTCACTTATCATAAGGAAGTCATTAGCTAAGGAACAAAAACTACAATCTATGTAATTAGAAGAACAAGCTGGTTTTGCTCAATATAAAAATAAGAAAAAGAAACCATGTGAAAGTCAAAATATTTGTTTAATCAGGTCATTGAGAATCTATTAAAAAGTATTTGAATTCTTTATGATGAGAACTATCTTGACTCAAGTGGACAGTGGTGAGCTTTTTGGCCTGTGGTCCCTACGTAGAAAGGAGGCTTTGTCATAAAGTCTTATATGGTACAGGTGCCAAGTTAAGTGCCCAAGCTTGCTCTTAAAAGCATACTGGATTTTGTTTTAGACTTTTAGTGAACTGAAGGGAATAAACAAATCCCTCTGGGAGAACTTCTCCTCCATCCTTGGTGAAGTCATTCTGCCAGAATTCTATCTGGTAGTTACCTTCTCCGATTCATTAAATGTTGTCCCATGGTCCGACATGGGTAATTTTTCTCTCATTTGTGATTAGTTCCACTACAAGGAATTAAATATTCAACTTCTTGCCTTCTGGGATATACTCAGCCTTATCACAGAGCTCCTCCAGGGAAGGAACTTAGATTCTTTGAAGAACTTCCCTGCTCTTACCCAAACCGATTCAGTTGTTAATTCTGTCCACCTTGCTCCATTTTCAGTGCAGGAGAAAAAGCATTTGTGGCAAGTCTGACCTTACAAAGGCTCGTTAATGCTCAATAACTGTGAGGACCTGCTATAAGTCATGCCTTTTAAGAAAAAATACACACATGCACACACTCACAACAAGACTGCAACACAACTGTGATGGCAGCTTGCATATTGAACCAGCTGTTTCCCTAAAACATTTGATTCGGCATCCTTTCTAGACAGTAAATGCAAAAGACTTAGGTTGGAAAAGTGCATTAGGTTTTGATTAACGATTGGATGAGGGCCAGTTAAATTTTTAAATCTGAATGAGCTTGCTGACTCAGGAGCCTTAGCAGCATAATGGACAGACAGTCCTCAAAGCTTTCATTAAAAGGGTTTCTGGTAACTGATGTCTAGAGAAATGAGTTGAAATACAATTCACTGAACCACTCAGCTTTCATCTAAAACAGAATATGTAATCTCAAAGAACTCAACTGGTCTCTTGAAATATTCAGGTAAAATTAAATGTAAAGAAGCTAGAGCTTAAATATTTTGAGGAAAGGAAGCCTCCTGTAGCTTTGTGACTATATCACTTTATCCTTTTGAATGCCGTATTTAATTATGTTAATTGCATTTTAAGTATAGCTGGAGTCACCGATCTGCTGAAAACAAACTCTAGAATGGTTTGTGGGAGGTGCTCAGGATGTATCAGAGACTGATTTGATTTGCATTTTATTTTTAACTTTAGTTCCTCTCTGAACTCTGCCTTCTCATGTTTGTTTTTTTTGTTGTTGTTGCTTAATACAGTCATGTGCCACCTAATGACAGGGATATGTTCTGAGAAATGCATTATTAGGTGATTTTGCCATTGTGCAAACATCACAGTGTACTTACACAAACCTAGATGGCATAGCCTACTACACACGTCTGCTATATGGTAGAGCCTATTGCTTCCAGACTACAAACCTGTATAGCATGTTACTGTACTAACTACTGTAGGCAGTTGTAACACTGGTATTTGTGTATCTAAACCTATCTAAACATAGAAAAGGTACAATAAAAATACAGTATTATAATCTTATGGGACCACTGCTATATATGCAGTCCATCATTGACTGAAACATTATGTGGTGCATGACTATAATAGGATCAAACTATGCCTTTGCAGAAATCCCCCTGGAAAGCCTCTGAAACTACCCTGATCTTAGAGGCAGTTTTATAAATCACGGCCAATGATTCTCAGCCTTTGGGTTGTGCCAGAGATGTGTCCGCTCTCCTTTTGCAATGACCCTAGAGGTAAAGGTGCTCTTTCTTCTTCTGCTTCTCATGAAAAAATGTAAATGTTGTATTTTAGCTTCTTTTCCCAGTCTAGTAATATCTTGTTAAATTTACAAGATTGTAGCGGTGCCTCCAAAAGGGGATAGCAATAGTTACTTTGAAAATGGGTGAGTTCTTTGCAACCATCTCTGAGTTGAACAGTTCTTGTATAATCTGTCTTCCCAGTTAGGCTGTGAGCCGCCTGAAGGCAGCAAGTGTATCTTTCACTCTTCTCTGATCTCCTCAGCCACTCTTCTGCCCCACAATTCCAAAAATCAGTTACCAAGCCATTGTAATTCCTTTTCTGAAATGTGTAGTAGACTCCTTTTAGGGTATTTGCCCAGTTCACAAAGACCCCTGCCCTCTTTGGAAATCTGTCCTTGCAGCCATATATGGTTTTTGTTTGTTTGTTTGTTTGAGACAGAGTTTCACTCTGTCGCCCAGGCTGGAGTGCAGTGGTGCGATCTCGGCTCACTGCAAGCTCCCCCTCCCGGGTTCACGCCATTCTCCTGCCTCAGCCTCCCAAGTAGCTGGGACTACAGGCGCCTGCCACCATACCCAGTTAATTTTTTTGTATTTTTAGTAGAGACGGGCTTTCACCATGTTAGCCAGGATGGTCTCGATCTCCTGACCTCGTGATCTGCCCGCTTTGGCCTCCCAAAGTGCTGGGATTACAGGCGTGAGCCACTGCACCCGGCAGCCATATATGTTCTATATGACTCTTTCTGAGACAATAGCTGATTAGAACAGTGATTAGAACTGTGATTTCTGAGACAATAGCTGATTTCTGAGACAATAGCTGATTAGAACAGTTGCCACGAGCTGGACCAATCATATTAATATTCTCTATCTCTCTCTTTTGCTCTCGAAATCTCAAATTGAGATTCAGAAACAGCTATGTAGTCTCTGTTTGTGGCTAGAACTGTAACATATGAACCCAGAGCTAGAGAGATGCAATATTCTATCAAGCAGAGAGAGAAGCAGAGGAAGCCGGTCGGCACAGACGGAATGCAGTAGCACACAGAGAGAAGCAGACACTCGGAGATGTCTGACACCTTTCTGCTTAGATTCCAGTCAGTTCAGAGGCCCAGACGCATTCCTGTCTGGAAGCATTCTGATCCTGTTTTGTAAATCAACAATAAATCCCTTGCCACCCTCTTTGCGTGTTAGCTTAAGTTGTCTTGCTCTTAAAAATCTAAAGAGTTCTAAATGATATGAAATGTCTGTTATACAGAAAGTAGAATGACAATTGCCAGGGGCTGAGAGGAGAGGGAAATGGAAAATTGCTCAATGGTTATAGTTTTAGCTTTGCAAGAGGAAAAAGTTGTGGATATTGGTGGCACAACAATGCGAATATACTTACCACTACTGAGCTCTATGCTTAGATACGGTTAAGATGGTAAATTTTATGTTATGTATATTTTATCGCTGTTTTTAAAAAAGTTTAAAATAGCCTGTTGTAGTCAGCTTCCTTGTCTTCCTTACTACTGCAGCCATATTCAGGTCTCCATGGCCCAAGGTATGGACAACTGTAGTCACCAAACTGGTCTCCCCACTTCCACCCCTTGGAATTTGGTCCCCAGCAATCTACCCTACATGCATGGAGCAATCAATATTACCCATAAAGCACTAACGCTGTGCTGTACTCCAAAATGCAAACCTTCATGGTGTCCCATTGAATTCAGGATCAAGTTCATACTCCCCAGCTTGTCATACAGGACCCAGTGATCCTTTCCAACCTTCTGACCTACTGATTCCCAGTAGGAAGCAAACCCTAGCAAGACTGGTCTGCCTCATCCCAGAACAGTACTTACTCATGCTGTTTCCTTGCCATGATTACCTTCCTTCTCCTCACCACATCTTATCTTTCTTTCACTTGATCTTAGTCCAAATGCCGAGAAGCAATCTTATCTTACTTTCAAAGCCCAGGTTCAGACCCATCAATTCTATAAAACATTTCTGACCACACTAGTCCTCCATGGACATTTATTTGAATTGAACTTCTTAGCATTTAAATATACACAGTTTCTTATTCATCTGTCTTGTTCTTCTGCTAGTTTATAAATTGCTTGATTATAGAACATGAGCTTGATAATCTTTGATTTTTCCTGGATACTGTGTTCTTGCTAGGCTGTTAATAATGCTTGTTGAATGAAATGAGAAATGAAGAACGGCTGCTTTACCAGTTTGTCTCTTCTGCCAACTTTTTTACATGGATTTTACACGTCAACTTTTTTACACAATGATTAAATATACCTAATTTGATCATCCCAACAACACTAGTAAATATATATGATCATTATCCTCATACTACAGATGAGGAAACACAGGCACACATCGTTTGTTTGTTTTTTTTTTTGAGACGGAGTCTTGCTCTGTTGCCCAGGCTGGAGTACAGTAGCACGATCTTGGCTCACTGCAACCTCTGCTCCTGGGTTCAGGCCATTCTCCTGCCTCAGCCTCCCGAGTAGCTGGGACTACAGGCATGTGCCACAATGCCTGGCTAATTTTTGTACTTTCAGTAGAGATGGGGTTTCACTATGTTGGCCAGGCTGATCTCGAACTCCTGACCTGATGATCTGCCTGCTTCGGACTCCCAAAGTGCTGGGATTACAAGCATGAACCACTGTGCTGGGCCAAGCACACATAGTTAAATAACTTGCAAAAAAAAAAAAATCGTATCTATTTGTAGGAGGCAGAGTCGTGATTCTGAGCTGAATCTATTTGGCTCCTAAGCTTATGCTTTTTCTACAGTATCACCACATATCCCATACTCTATTGTTATTGTTGGCTTTATTGCCTGTTTTTCCTGTGAATTTTAACCTTCCCAAAAGCAGGAATCTTATCTCAGTATATCACAGAGAATCACTAAGTATCTATAGAGGAAAGGAAGGAGAGAAGGAAAGAAGAAAAGGAAGAAGGAAAGGAGGGAAGAAAGGAAGAAGGAAAGGAGGGAAGAAAGGAAGGAAGGAAGGAGGGAAGGCAAGAGGGCAGGAAGACAGAAAAGAAGGAAGGAAGAAGGAAGGAAGGGAGGGAGGAAGGAAAGAAGGGAGGGAGGGAGGGACGGATAGGAGGGCAGAAACTCTGGAAAGGAGCTTGTCTTACTCCTAAGCTTGGTAAAGATCAGTCTTGCAAGGGGCTTGACTAGAAAACACTGGCTTATCTCACTGAACCATATTCCCAATGTCATTGACTCCTTTCCCCTGGGGAGTAATTCAACCATGTGTTCACTGTATGGATCAGAGTTGATGATGAATATTCTCTTGCCTCAGTCTCTTTTGGCCAGAGTTCCTTGGCTTCCAGCCTGCTCCTTGCTTGTTTTGAACGAATAATATATGACTTTCCTTCTTAACTGGCAAATGCTGAACTGTGGCCTCTCTTAACCCTCAAGTCTCCCGATAAAAAGCAAAATATTAGATTCGCTGACCAGCGCTACTCCTTACCCCGGCTGATTTCACATGAAGAGCTATATATGGGGTGGTAACATAGGTTTAAGGATGGATGTGCATATAACTCCTGGATACCGTTCCTGAAAATATACTATTGGGGATTATTTCTTTGGTTGAAGAGTCCCTTCACTACCACATGTCAGTCCCCTTACCTATAAAATGGGAACCTTAGGGTTGTTATAAGGATTAAATGAGTTAATGTGTATAATGTGCTTAGCACAGTACCTGCCACTCAATGCTATTATTGTTGTTGTTGTTATTATTATTGGTAGTAGTAGTAGCAGTAGTTGTTGTATGAAGATGCATGATTTCCTGGGAAAGGTAGCACATTAAGGCAGGATCAGTCATGAGTTACCTCAAGCAGATTAATTTACTAGCCCTTTCATGCTATTTCCCAAAGGGATGGTTTATCAAGTTGAGGAAGATGTAGATGTGATTTATGATGGATTTGAGGTTAGTACTGTGTATCCAGGTTGTGTGTGAGAAGACAAGAAGGAACTGAGGGCACAGCTGTACTTAGGAAGAACTCTGGTTTGCAAGGTACATAAGCTAATTCAGACGAGTTTAAACCATAGGAGATTTTGTTACAAAGGCACTAGGTAACTGCAGGGACCAGGGAGCAGGGTGTCCACTCTCATTCCAGATTCTTTTGAATTCTGTATATTTTATTCTCTTTCCACAAACAGACTTTCTATCCACGGTGGTGATGATAACCAATAACATTTCCTTCAGTCTCACCCTTGTAGCTCTGTGACCAAAAATGCAAAGCTGCTGCTTCTCCAGCTTCAAAATTTAATAAGAATCACAGGGCAGAACATTTATTGGCTAGGCCTGAGTTGCATGTCTAACCTTGGAGAACTCACTTTGAATAGGGGAATTCAGAACTAGGATTGGTGGCTCCACAAATCTCACAAAAATGGAGCAAAGTAGGAACTCATCAAACAGAAATCAATAGATCTCCACTGGCTTTATAGTACGTGGTTCTGGGAATCCAGATATTCAGAGCCTAGGTGAACCTGAACATTTCCCTTTAGGCAGATGGAAATCCACGTTCTTCTAGCTAAAATTTTTCCATTCTCTTTGAGGGGAGTTTCCATGGAGAGGCTAGCTTTGTGGGAGAGAGTGGGAAGAAACAACTCATGCTGTTTTTCATTGGGGACCATTCTTATTGCTACTTTAGTCCAGTCCTGCCCACGGATCACACATTATTCCTTACTCTTGTTGCTTCTGGGCTTTTTCTTTTTCCTTTGCATGCTGCTTATATTCCCTTCCCTAAAAGCTACTCTATTAAGAGGGAGATTAGGCAAGTAGGCTGGTTTGATTATGTGCTGGTTTAACCCATAATCACATACCTCAAAAAGAAAATGTCAGACACACTATAATAGCTCCAGATACAAAACATGAAGTACGAAGACCTCTTCAGAAAACTGCAGGCTTGCTACTCACCCACAGACAAATAGAGCTGATTCTATTAGAACAGTGAGGAAAGAACACAGTAAAGAATGGCATTTAAGATCAATTGTGGCAATGTCTAATTTTGTCTGGGAAGACCATGGCAGTGAGGGATGCAAAGGGATGACATCAAGTTTTCAGAACAGTGCCTATATGTTTAGGACGAAGAGTTAAATAATGAGAGAAAACAAATGCAATACAATTTCATTGGCTACCTGGTTAGACCTAGCATGAACTGTGTCTGTGATGGTGCTATTAATTTGTGATGGAGACATTGGATATTGTCTTTCCCTATTTGGTAAGAGCTTGATTCAGGTAGAGAGAAACAATAATTATTTTACAGTGTACAAAGCACTTTCTTATACGATATATTATTTTCATCCTCCCAACTAGTTTGATAGGCAGTAATATTATTCCCATTTCACAGAGGGGGAAACCTGGGTTAGGGCCCAGGAACTTGGCTGGTGAGTTTGGAAAGCTTGAATAGCAATGATTATAATCTTGGTGCACAGAAGCAGCCAGTGAAATTCTGAAATGCATATTTCTGTTCTCTACTTCCAGAGGGTCTGATTGAGTTAGCTTGGGGAAGGGCCTAAGAAATGGAATCTTTTTTATTCACACCAGGTGATTTTGAAGCATGGGGTCTACTGAGTATGCTTATGAAACATTAACTTTAGGTCCTAGGCACTGGCTTAGTTGACTGTGAGAAACTGAAGCACAAAATTGTGTGACCAAGTTCTTTCTGAGCCTCAGTTTCCTCACCTGAAAAATGAATGATGATGATAAAAATAACTAGGCTCCATGCCAAGTGATTTACATATTTCCCCTCAAATCATCTTTCTTACAAACCTAGGAGGTCGGAGGCATTGTTGTTCCTATGCTATGGGACTCAAACCCAAATCATTTCTACTCACTCTTCCTTTCATAATTGTCAGGAAGATTAGACATAGAAAGTATCTAGCACATATTCCTGATGTTGAAGGAATAGCAGCAGCTGTTATAACTACTACTAAAACTGACAATACTGACCATACAGCCACCACTAAAATGCTGGCGTTGAATTCAGATAATCTCTAAGGTTCTTCCCAGCTCCACCATACCCTGATTTCAGCATTTCAAATATATGCTGTATTTGGGGGGGGGGTTCCTAGAAAGAGTGTGGCAGTAACTGAACTCAACTATACAAAAGACCGAATTCTTCCTTTAGTTGGAGATTTATTGATTTTTGTAAGTGAGTTTATAGACAAAAACGAGGAAGATACAGAGAAAAAAGAGAAGAATTACTGTGCTTTGATAGTAGGGCTATGGGTGATTATTTTATTTTTAAAATTTTATTTTTTATACATTAATGTGGTTTCTATAACAAACACAAATTTAGAATAAAAGTAAGATATTTCTCTTGTGCTTCCAATTTACCATATACTTCTTAAATGTATTTGTATCATAATCATCAGCTGTAAGTTTACTATTAAAAAAAATCAACAAAAGAACAATATCAGAGCTAAAGGACTTCAGGCCTGATGAACCTAAGTCTAGTTTCTGTGCTCACTAGCCTTGGCTTATCCCAAAATATTAAAAGTAAAATATGATCCAATCTGCATCTCTTGCACATGTCATGTTTTGTAAATAGAAAGTTCTTGGAACAATCTGTAACATCGTTGAAGTACTTCATTCAATTCTTGGGCATTAAATTTTATCTTCTGTTCCTGCCTCATATCATTAAACAGTACCTTCACCTACATTGCAGTCAACTATGGAGGACTAATGCTCTATTTTTTTTATGTTGAACATGAAGCATAAACATGTACAGCTCTGAACCTGAGTTTTCCTTGCTTTAGAAATAAGAGGTGTTGATGAAAGAGGAAATCCCTGAGACTCTGTAAACCTTACCTGCAGGTATGAGAATACAATCTGTGTTTTATTTATTGTATTCTTTAGCAAAATTATAGTAAAATTAGTATTTTTCTTTTCATTTGCTCTCGAATTATCCTTTAGTTAACAGAGTGAACTTGTATGTCCATATTTTGGGTTTAAAGAACATGGTTACTGTAGCAAAGAAGGGGCTAGCCCATGTATTAAGGTCCTGGATTATACTGTTGCTCACAGGAGAGCATGGGTTTGAAGATGAGGCTGCATAGTAAAGTAGGTAAAAGTTTGGACCTTGGGGCCAAACTGCCTAAGCTCAAATCATGGTCCTGCCACTACTCTCTGTGCGACCTTTAGCAAGTTACTTAATCCTTGTAGACCTCTGATTTGGTCTCTTCAAAATAGGGATAGCAATAATGCCTGTCTTATAGAGACATTGTGAGGATTCAATGAATTGATATTTGTAGAAGAATATTGAGTTGGTTTTGCTAGAAGATATTAAGTGCGCAGTCTTTCTAAAATAACTAAATGCTACAAAAAGCAAAATAGCCATTCTGCAAAGAGCAGTGATTGAAGCAGGAAAAATGCCTGCCCTCATAAAGCTTACATTATAAGGAGAGAAAAATAAGCAAAACAAACTACATGGTATATATGTAAAATAAAAATAAAGAGGGGGAAGCATGGGGTGGGGCAGATATTGCAGTTATAAATAGAATGGTCATTGGAGGCTTTATTGAAAAGGGGACATTTGAGCAAAGTCTTCAAGGGGGTATGGAAGTGAGCCATGTGAGTATTTTGGTGTAGGGAAGGAAAAACATCCTTCTACCCTCTTAGGTTTGGTGGCTAACCTAAGAATTAAAACAACATAGATTAACAAGAGAAAAGCATGCACATTTATTTAATGTTTTTATGTATACATGGGAGTCCTCAGAGAAAAATGAAGACCCAAAGAAGACTTTATGCCCCAAAGCTTATATACATTTTTTACACAAAGAATGATAAACTGTGGAGATGTGACAAGACAAAAGGCCTTGGGCTAGAAGCAGTAAATTGTGGGAGTAAGGGATATACAGGCGAAACTAGTGGAAAATGAGGATGATTTTAGTTTTTTTTTACAGGTCCATTTCGATGATAACTCCAGTCATCTCTGGTGATACTATTCTTCTCTTCCTGGCACAAGGAGGGCACCTTTCTCATGGGAAATTTTATGACCTGCTTTTTGGTAGAAAGGGGAAGTCTGAGAGCTCTTCCTGCCCCTAGTGTTTCTCAAGCGCCTTCAGCTCAAAATAATCATTATGCCAAAGTGGCATATTTTGAGGTGGCATGTTCTGAGCCATTTCATGGGGTAAGGATATTCCAGGCTGAAGGAACTGGGAATGCAAAGGCCCTTAGACAGGAACATGCCTGGTATATTCAAGAGACATCTGGGAAGCCAAGGTAATGAATGACAGCAGAGCATGAGGGTGTGGGTGGCAGGAGATGAGGAGATGGTACAGGAGGCACAAATCAGGCAGCATGTTATTGATCACCGGCAGAGCTCCAGGTTTCATTCCATTCTGAGTGACATGAACGGCCATCAAAGGTGTTTGAGTAGAGGAGTGACTGTGTTTAGAATGGACTGCAGGGGAATAAGGGTAGAAGCGGGAAGACCAGTTAGAAACTGTTAGAGATGATAGTGGCTTAGACCTGAGTGACAGCAGTAGAATAGGTAAGAGATGGATTATGAGTGTGTCTGGCTGATTCACTCTTATATCCCCTATGCTAAGGCATCATGCTTGGCACATAGTAGGGACTCAATAAATACTTGCAGAGCGAATGAATAAATGGGAGTTCAACTTGGGTAAGGCAACTTCTCTAAGGCTCTGTTTCCTCATCTCTAAAATGAGGGTAAGAAAAATATTAATAGATCTACCTCCAACGGTTATTGTGGAGATTAAATGAGGTCATTCCCATGCATTGCTTAGCATAGTAACTGAAACATAAGATAGGGCTAAGATGTATACATACACATAAATATAAAGCATTTTTGCAAGAGTTTACCTTTGGAGACATGGAGGAAGGTAGACTTTTATTCTTCATTTTATGAACTAAAAGCAAAAGAAGAAAACAAGTGTTGAAATTATGAGTCATTTTCAAGTTCTTTTTGTACTTTTCACTACCATTTGGAATTTTCCTATAATGAATATGCGAGGCAAAGACAGAAATGAAAGGATAAGATCACTCAGAATTTCAGGTTTTTATAAAGCATCAGAAATGTAAGACTTTTTTCTGCTACTGCATGGCCCATTTCTCTGACTCTTTGAATGTGGGTATTATTCTCATCTTTCTCCCTCCTCTTCTCTTTTTGGTTAAAAGTAAAGAGAGCTTTTGAAGCTATTATGGAACAAGAACAACAGCCTAGTTCATCCTCACATTTTGGAGCCTCTTATTCCTTCCAAAGAACAAACACATCTATTTAGTGGCTAAGAGTCTCTTGAGCTGAAACCATTCATCACCATAACTACATTCAAACTGTCTGAGGTATACATTATAACTAAGAAAATGGGGTTCCTCATTGGAATTTACAAACTAAATATTCAAAGAAGGGTTCTGATGCTTTTAAAATAGGGGCGCCACCAAAAGGTAAAGTAAGACATGTGGTTGAAGACACAGGAAAGGGCAGAGGTCACCAGAAAAGTTGGTTGTCACGCCTGATCTTAGGGCCTCATAAAGAAATAATTATGGCAGAATGAGCCCTAAGAAGCAAGCACTTTAGCATGGCTCTCCCTGGACAAAGTGGAGAGGCCCTTCCACCCTAACTTATCCTATTGTCCTGGTCTTCAGTCTTTCCTGTCTGTTTGCCTTTCCTGGTGTTAATATACTTGTTCCTAAGGTTTTCACCCTGCTGACTTTTAGCTCTTCTTGCTAAGATTCCTGGCTGTACATTAGAAAACTCCTGAGCAACTAAACACAAAAAAATATTTGGCAGGGGGATAGGGGGTGCTTCTAGGCCCTAACTAAGACCTGTTAAATTAGAGTCTCTTTCGGGTGGCTCCTGGGCATTGGGGTTTTTTTGTCCTTTTTTTTTTTTTTTTTAAATCTAAAGCTTCCCAGTTGATTCCAATATGTAGCCAGAATTGAGACCAGAAAGCTGTTAATACCCAAGTAGTATACTAATATTAATAATGATCATAATAGATTAATAACTAACATTGAATGAACTTTAAATGTGTTAGCTGATTTAATTCTCAATGACTCTGAGGCAGTTACTATTATTATTAATGTACCCCTTCTACAGATGAAGAATTCAAGATACCAAAAATCTACATAATTTGGCAAACAAGTAAATGCTAAAGTTGGAATTCAAACACAGGTAGTTTAGTGTCCGAGCCCACACTCTTCACCACCACACTGGTGGATTGCCCACCTGCAATGTTAAAAATCGCAGAGGATAGTGATGATACTGCAGACACACTGCCTGCATTTTATCTCCTCCTTGTTAGGCTGAGCCATTCATACCTCAGTGGTCCACACCTTAAAGGCAGGATATAAAGGTAAATATATGTACCTTCTCTGATATGAACTAGAGACTCCATCCCTTCTTTTTAAGTAATGTAAATGATTAACCAGCTTTCTGTTATTCCTTTCAGAATCTCATTCATAGAATAAACTCCTGGCATAAATTAGTATCATAAGTTTTCTATTATTGCTCATTAATCAGTATGTGATGTAAGATCAAGCAGTAAGAGTTCCCCCCAACCCCAAAGAATGGTCTTTCTGTTTGTGACAAATTATTCTTGGCAATGTAATTAGCCAGTTGGGTTATTGAAACAGATGGGAAATGTTACTTCCAACATTTTAGAACTGAAATGATTCTTAGTCTGGTGATAAATGTCAATTAAAATAGTTCTCCTTTCACAGAAAAAATTAAGAAAAAATTAGTTCAAGAAAATATCAATCATGATTGCCAGCGGAAATTTGTTTCTGCAGTAAAACAAGCAAAACAAATCAAATCCATTAAAACTAGCAACAGACTGTCTTCTAAAGTCAAGTTCACATCTGGAGATTTTTATAAACTTTATTGGAAAAGTTCTGGTTATCTATATTTTTAGCATAGCAAAATATTCTTCTTGTTTGTTGAATTTGATATAAAATGTTATTTTTAGCCAAGTCCTGGGGCAACTCCTACATGGCTGGAAAATGTTCTCGGTGTTAACAAAGATGCAAAGATCTTAAATATTAATGTTATCAATCAACTGGATACTCTTAAGTATTATTTGTAATTATGTCCAATGTCATCACCACAGGGCTGACCAACAAGCAAAGAGCTGACAGTAGTAGCAAAATGTAGAAATCTCTGGTAAGCATGTTGTGTTTATCAATCCTCTTCAAATAGATGAAATTAAATTGCATTTAAAGAATGTTACTTATATTAGGCATTTTTTGTGAAAGACGTTTTAAACTATGGTGTCAGAAAACAGAAATACTAAACAGAATGCATTTAACAGGACCTTGAAATCACTGAATACTCACCTGTGTAAAAGTCAAAGTTCAGATAATTGAAATGTTCTTACTAGTCTCAAGATGTCTTTTGGTTACATAGAAATTTCCATGCTGAATTTTGATTTTTTTAAAAAGCCATTAATATGAGTCAAAATCCATTATTTCACAAGTAAATGACCTTTTTATTAAAAAAAAAAAAGAGAGAGAGAGAAGAGCAAGGAACCACCCACATCTAACCTCTTAAATCTGAGATCAATATATCAAAATTTTAATGTACATTGAAAACATTTGCATTTTATTCCACACACTACCTTTTCTTCATAATTTCTTATTCTGGACATATAGCAGTTTTTTTTGTCTTTTAAAACAGGAAAAATAAACAAACATGGTCTTATTATTGTTACTAAGTCACAGGTAGTAAAGATGGGACCAGGAGAACCTTGGAGGACTAGAAACTTCTCAAGAGTAGTTAGATTTCACATTCAGAGGGAGGACTCAGAGTCCTGCCTGGGACATACATTTGCATTCTAGGCTCAAGAGCAAATATGTCAGCTTTCCTTTGGTCAAACAATCTTTGCTACAGGTCCTAGGTAGTTATATCAGTGGAACCTACTAAAGATGATGGAATTTGTGGTATTTCAGGGTAGGAGGTAAAGTCTTAGCAGGCTCAACTATACATGATCTTAAAACTAAATTTGAAATGCAGATGTTCTATGAGTTAGTTGGATATTGTAGTTATCCCATCTATCAACTGATCACATTTGGTATGAGCTTGTTAGTTCTGATTAGGACTCATCTCAACATAATAAGTAGGGTGGCATTTAGGGCCCAGTGTGGGGGCCTAGTGATCACTGCTGGGACACTGCTTCTAAATCAACATAACTAACCTCTCTAGGATGGCAGGCTGAGGCTGCTCAAGTACTTCCTGTCTGGCATCTGGGACAGGGCTGAGTCTCTGGGTGGGAAGATGGGTGGGAGGACTGAGGCTGATGAGTATATGATATAAATGAGAGCCATTGGAATGGCTCCACATACAGGACATGTTGATAAATCATTTTAACATATTTTGCTTTCTCTCTCTGGTGGCCCATTGAGAATCAAAACTTGCAGTGAGTGACTCTATAAAACGGAAAATTGAATCAAGTCTGAAAATGATCCACATAGTTCTACAGCAGGGCTGGACACCGTGGTCAGGACCTCAATATATTCTGCTTCCACAGAATTCAGACAGTTCAGAGTTTGGTGAATTAACCTCAAAGGCAGCAAGATATCTGTCCCGGGAGTCAGCAGGTAAGCATAGCAGAAATGGCTGGAGCAGCGGGAGCCTGCTTTCCTTCTGTTGGCTGCTAGCGTCCACTCCATTATAGCTCCTGATGGAAGATTTCTACAGAGTGATGCCTCAGAATCTTCCTTATACCTTTCTTCCATGATCCTTGCACCTCTTTTTCTAGATTTGCCCACATTCTTATGTGCAAGTAACTAGATATACATTATCAGACAAGCTAGCAGACCTGCATATATCCACTTCCCTACTTTTCCTATAATTTCTTCACCTGAACCTCTATCATTCTTCTCTTTCTGTGTTGACTCTGGTGTTAACCTTGCAGGCAAGTTGAGCGTGGGTTTGGTGTCACAGTGAAGGACTAAGGGAATAGTTAGCCTTCTATTTATTAACAAATCTTCCCTTTGATGTCTGGATCAGTGTCTCTCTAATAGGAATTATTGGCATGTTAAGGCAAAAGAACATATGCTTATTGAGTGCTGACTGATTGGGGTTAATACTAATTTGATACTATTAAGGTGTGGGGCCCAGGAATGCCAAAATTCTACCTCAATGTAGAGCCACCATTCCCCTTGAGGTAACCTAGGTGGGATAGATATACGTGTAAGGGCTAATGGAAGATAGGGAATCAAAGTATCACTTTATTTTTTATTTTTATTTTTTATTTAATTTTTTTGAGATGGAGTCTTGCTCTGTTGCTAGGCTGTAGTGCAGTGGCGCAATGAAAGTATCACTTTATTATTATCTGAGCTTGTGCCCTAAACTTCACTGCAGAATATGCTGGTAAAATGGACTGGATTACAGGATTTAGAGGCAAGGTCCACAGGTCAGGATAAGAGGTAAAGAGGGAAATCTTTCTCTCTTCCTAAGCCCAAACCCTCCATGACAATTGAGATTAAAAAAAAAAAATAAACTGATGAGAGAATCCAAGCACAGTTGATCAAAGAGGAAAGAGAAATGATGATGTTTCCCTCTTTCTTTTTCATGAGAAAGTGGCTCTCTTATTGATCGGCTACTTGATTAGAGAAACAGTGGGGGAAAGAACTGCCATATCCACATGTGCAATTTTTTAAAACACACAGTGATTCTGGACACTAGTATAAATTCCCAGTCAGTGTTCTGGCCATCTGACTACTCAGGTTATAATACCTAATTTTTACAAGGGAGTTGGGAAGTGTGCCAAACCTGTAGAAGTCTATATCTACTGTATTCAGATTTTATATGCATTATTTTATATAACCTTTTGACCTCTCTCCTCTATCATCACTTGAGTGATTTCATCCAGCGTCATCATTTAACATATTTTAAATAACTCTATATACTGATAATTCCCAAATTTATATCTCCATCCCCGATTGTTCTCCTAACCTCCAGCCTCTAATATCCAACTGCCTACTCAAGCCTCAGCAATGGTGAGCGCCCCTGCCCCAGCCTCGCTGCTGCCTTGCAGCTCGATCTCAGACTGCTGTGCTGGCAATGAGCGAGGCTCCGTGGGCGTGGGACC
Source organism: Homo sapiens (assembly GCF_000001405.40). NCBI lineage: Eukaryota > Metazoa > Chordata > Mammalia > Primates > Hominidae > Homo > Homo sapiens. The sequence continues at coordinate 115,078,902 of NC_000010.11, forward strand.
CTCCGAGCCAGGCGCAGGATATAATCTCCTGGTGTGCTGTTTGCTAAGACCGTTGGAAAAGCACAGTATTAGGGTGGGAGTGACCCAATTTTCCAGGTGTCGTCTGTCACAGCTTTGCTTGGCTACGAAAGGGAATTCGCTGACCCCTTGCACTTCCTGGGTGAGGCAATGCCTCGCCCTGCTTCGGCTCATGCTCAGTGCGCTGCACCCACTGTCCTGCACCCAGTGTCCGACGAGCCCCAGTGGGATGAACCCGGTACCTCAGTTGGAAATACAGAAATCACCCGTCTTCTGTGTCCCTCATGCTGGGAGCTGTAGACTGGAGCTGTTCCTATTTGGCCATCTTGGAACTGCCTTGCATTCAGTTTTTAATATCCAACTGCCTATACGATATCTTCACTTGGATTTTGAATAGGCATATCAAACTTGTCATGTTCAAAAGTGAGGTTCTAATCTTCCCTCCCAAACCTGCTTCTCCCATGGCTTTCCCCATCTCAGTAAATAGGAATTTCATCCTTCCAATTGCTCATGCCAAAAATTTGGGAGTTATCCTTGACTCTTCTCTTTCTCACACCCCACATTCAATCCATCACCACATTCTGATGCCTCTATCTTCAAGATATACTTAGACTTTCACCACTTTTCTTCACTCTGCAATTACCACTTTGGTCCAAGCCACTGTTATCTCTTTCTTGGATTATTGTAATAGCTTCCTAATAATTTGTCCCCTTTCTTCCACCTTTGTTTCCCCTACAGTATAATCTTAACGAAGCAGCCAGAATGGTTGCCTACAAACCTTTAAAATGGTAAGCCAGAACATGTAGGTATATTCAAAACCTTCCAATGGCTTGTCATGGAACTAAAAGTCTCTACATTGGCCTATAAGACCCTATGTCATCTACCCCTAGTCTCCTCCTTTCTAACTTCATCTCCTGCTATGCTGTCCTTCAACTCACTCTGCTCCAGGTGCTCTGGCCTCCTCAAACACACCACACACACTTGCAGCTCACAGTCTTGGCACTTGCTGTTCTTCTCCTCTAGGACCTTCTTCCTCCAACTGTCTGGTTCACCCACCCCTTCCTTCTGGATTTCTGCTCTGATGTCATTTTATCAGTGGGCACTTCCCAATTTCTCTATTTAAGACCACAATTCCAGGCCAGGGTGGTGGTTCATGCCTGTAATCTCAGCACTTTGGGAGGCCAAGGCAGGAGGATCACCTGAGGTCGGGAGTTCAAAACCAGCCTGACCAACTTGGAGAAACCCCATCTCTACTAAAAATACAAAATTAGCCGGGTGTGGTGACACACACCTGTAATCCCAGCTACCCAGGAGGCTGAGGCAGGAGAATCGCTTGAACCAGGGAGGTGGAGGTTGTGGTGAGCCAAGATTGCACCATTGCACTCCAGCCTGGGCAACAAGAGTGAAACTCCATCTTAAAAACAGAAAAAAAAAAAAAATTAGCTGGGCATGGTGGCATGTGCCTATATACCCAGCTACTTGGGAGGCTGAGATGGGAGGATTGCATGAGCCCAGGAGGTTGAGGCTGCAGTGAGCCATGATCATACCACTGAACTCCAGCCTAGGTTACAGAGTGAGACCCTGTTTCAAAAAAATTTTTTAATTAATTAAAATAATTTTTTTTAAAAAAACAGAGACTGAAACTAGAACTCAATAGCCATTTTGAATCCAAGGCAGCTCTAGAATGCTCAGCACCAAGAGTTCATGAATCTCTACTGCTTAGCCAGCAATATGACTCAAAAACTCTCCAGTGTTTGCTTCTCTATGTCTAATCACCAGTAGACAGAAATCTCTTCATCTTCTACTCTATGTCTCCACGTCATAAGTTGCTACTAATCCAGAAGTTCTTCTTACTCATAATTTTTACCTTCTTGTAACTGTTACTCAGGTCTTTTTTTGCCCCTCCCTATCTAATGATCTCTCTTTTTCTGCATAAATTTTTAGCCTTAGCTCTTGATTTTAGTTACTTCTTTCTGTGTGTGTGTGTGTGTGTGTGTGTGTGTGTGTGTGTGTGAGAGAGAGAGAGAGAGAGACAGAGTCTCGCTCTGTCTCCTAGGCTGGAGTGCAGTGGCACGATCGGCTCACTGCAACCTCCACCTCCCAGGTTCAAGCGATTCTCCCAAGTAGCCTCTAAAGTAGCTAGGACTACAGGCAGGCACATGCCACCACACGTGGCTAATTTTTGTATTTTTAGTAGAGACAGGGTTTCACCATGTTGGTCGGGCTGGTCTCAAATTCCTGACCTCAAGTGATCTGCCTGCCTTGGCCTCCCAAAGTGTTGGGATTACAGGCATGAGCCACTACACCTGGCCCTTTCTGTATTTCTTAATTCAAATTCCCCAAAGTGAGAATTTGGTTGTCCCAGTGCATCCCAGTGTTTGATTGGCACTTTCATGCCAATCAACTTGTAAAACTGCCAGTGAGCCTAGGGACTGGCTGCCCGCAGGTTGGTGCTTGCCTCTGTTCTAATCAGCAGCTGAGGAGAGCAGAATCATGTATACAAAACACAGCTGCAGGGCCGGGCGCGGTGGCTCACGCCTGTAATCCCAGCACTTTGGGAGGCCGAGGCGGGCGGATCACGAGGTCAGGAGATCGAGACCATCCCGGCTAAAATGGTGAAACCCCGTCTCTACTAAAAATACAAAAAATTAGCCGGGCGTAGTGGCGGGCGCCTGTAGTCCCAGCTAGTTGGGAGGCTGAGGCAGGAGAATGGAGTGAACCCGGGAGGCGGAGCTTGCAGTGAGCCGAGATCCCGCCACTGCACTCCAGCCTGGGCGACAGTGCGAGACTCCGTCTCAAAAAAAAAAAAAAAAACAAAAAAAAAACAGCTGCATAAGTGGGCTTTATCAGTGGAGGACATGTGCCGGACAGTTTTCTTCAGAAAGTGTTAAGGGCCTGTCTCCCACCATAATTATCTAGTGCAGATGGTAAAGGAGTTAGAAATCTAGAAGCATCTAGGTATTTTACTTAACCAGATAGATGAACACACCAAAGGCAGAAATTTAACTCGAGAGTCTATGATTCTAATGCATCTCAGAAGGAAATAACTTAAATAATATCTTCACAGGTACTGACTTAGTTATAACCCTTCAGGAAAAGCATGTAGACACCATTATGGACAGTTCAAAGAATACATCTTTTTAAAGAGCAGTGATAATTAAGTAAATAAGAAACTATTCTGGCTAAAAAGGGTTATAGAAAACAATATGATACATTTATATTCATTTTTACAGGGTATATAATCATCCTAATTTTGAATGGCCTGTTCCATTTTATCTTCTTCATCTTAAAAATGACTGAGCTAGACAAGAAGTAGTGTAAAGGAGGTCATAAAAATTACAGTGGCAAGATAGATCCCAAAGGTGAATGACTAGGACTTTTAAGTTGGGAGAAAAACAGTAGAAATCTGATAAGGGCTATAAAATAATAAATGTTAAAGAGAAGGATGATTGGATGCTTATTTACATTTTCTAATAATAAAGGAATAAAAATACACTTGATAAAATGAAAAGGCAGAAAAATTTAAAACTCATGAGTCTTTTTTCAAACTTAATTAACTTTAGAACTTCAATCATAGGATAATTGCTACAGATAGTTTAGGATGATTCAGAAAGATTAAGCATTCATGGGAATGAGGATAGCGTTTCCAGCACCAGAATTAAAACAAAAATAATGAGCATTAGAAAGTCCTGAGACTTCAGGGCATACACTGAGCATAAGCCAGAGGAAATGTTCCCAGCTGGTATAATATTGTCGACCTGCCAGGATTGCTGGTGATCTACAAGCCTCTGAGCATGAACTGGGGGTTAGCACTGGCTTCTCTGGTGGTTTCCTTTGAGTCATTGCATCCTCAAAGGCCATATTACCAACACAGTATTGCTGCTTTGCTGTTTATTCATACATATTTTTGGTGTCTGGCTAGCTCAGAATGCCCATATTTTTTCTCCTTTTAATGAGGCTAATTTTTTTCTAATTTTGAGTGATCATTTTCAGTTTTACCCTTTCCAATCTTTCTCTAATAAGTATTTCATTTTGACTAGTCTGCATGTTTAAAAGAAGATCGGTTGATCCAAGAATCTGTCAGTAATGATGTTATTATTTATGCAGAGGAGAGTTGGGATAATCTTAGAGACTGACATTTCCTTAAGCACCCTCCTAGCCATTAAAAATAGCAGAACTGTTGCTGATGATATCTGCCAGACTTGAGTTTGGGAAGAGTGTTTCCCAGTGAAGACCTAACCTTTCATTTTAATTCTCCCCTTAGATTCATTCGCTGTGTAGTCAGAGATGCCAAAATTCCACTGCTAGTTTTGACCTCCACTTAGGGGATGTAAGCAGCTACCTACCATAACTGACTTGAGATGTATGTCAAATCTTTCATCCAGGAGCCACTCTGTCTCAAATCTCACCGTTAGTATTTAACTCCTTTGTGTTCATTCCCTCTTTTGGTATTCTTGTAAAAATAAGCATTCCCTCCATGGATGAGATATTATGCTAAGATCACTAGAGGATGTTAGTGATTCTCAGATAGTGTTTCCTCTAAGAGGCCAGGTAACAAAGAATGTCCACACTGTGTGCGCTGGGTTGGGGGGAGTTGTTGGTGGCAGTAGAAGTGATATATCTTTATATTTTTCTTATATTCGTTATGAAAACTACTCTCAAGAATAGGTACAAAGTCATTCATGGTAAGATGTTAATAACTGGTACAAACAAAATGTGTTAGCCTTTCAAAGCCTTTCGCAATGGAACAAGTGCCCCTAAACCTTTAGCCTAAAGGACAGAATCCTTAGCTGGAGTTCCAAGTTTATAGCAAGAGTGTGGGGGCAGTGTATTTTGTTCTCTGGGGTCTTCCGATGGTCACTTCAGTCACCCTACACAGGTGGTCAGTTACCTTGCCTAGGCATAAAGCAATGGGCTGTGAAGTTGCTGCTCCCCCACCACTCCCTGCCCCAGTGACAGGCGATGGGGCTGTAGCTGCAGAGGAATTATTGAGCTTGCTCTGTGGTTCACCAGTGTTACATGGCCCCACTGGGTCCTTGTGCAGAGAAAGGAATCGAAGCTGACACAGTTCAATAAGGTTTCACTGTTTTTAAAATAATTTTGACATCTTATCTTATTTGGACTTTGGATTCTTCCAACAATGTTCAGGGATGCTCAATATTTTTTGCTCTTTTATGAATAAAGAAACAGGGTGAATGAGGCATGCCCTGTTTGGTTGTTGAGACTGGGTCTGCTGGCTCTTTGTCCAGTTCTCTTGGCACTACCTCCTGCTACCTCCATCAAGGATTGTGTCCAGTAATAAAGAACATGGCCATAAAACATGTCCTAAAATATCTGCTACCAAGTGGTTCAGATAACTTAATAAATAAAATTGTCACACATGCTTCCTAATTGTAGATATAGCATTTTCTGTTTACCCTGGAACAAATTTTCCTAGGAAAGTATGCTTCCATTTCCTGTGCGGAGAGACTTTTAGACTACGTTCCAATTTAAAAATGTAGAACTTGGGGCTCTGGCTTAAAATCAGCAAGGTTCATGTTGACTTTTTTTCATTTAATTTTAAATTTCACATCAGCTTTTGCAGAGGGGTACAAGTGAGGGACTTAAAATGAGAAGAATCATAAGCCTGGTTTTAATTTACTTGTGTACATTTTCAGAATTACTGTGCCTGAAGTCTTCCAAGACTGATGGTTTTAATAAGTGGAATGTCGTGTTATCGGGATTTGTGGGGCCTGGCTATCATTTGTCAGATATTTTTCTTTTTTTATGTGTGTGCTGTTTTGTGGTTCCTTTTTGTCTCTGAGCTCTTCAAGAAAACCTTGTTGCATCCTGATAGCTTTGTCTCTCCTTTGAGAGGGTCCATAATTCTCTTTCATGCTCCTTTCCTTGTAAACATAAACGTATTTTCCTGTGTCAGAACCCCAAGCAGCTTTCTAAAAGCCAGTATGTTATTGTTCTTATGAATTGTTTATTTTGCTTGGAAGCTTTTGTTTTTTAAGTACTTCCTGTGACTGACTTTTTCTTTAAACAGAGAGCACATGAAACAATCCTCAATTTAAGGATTATAGAAATTTTTACCTGGTTTATCTACATGTGAATGATGCCTTATTGTAGCAGTTGTTGGATGTTCTCACAACCAAAACGATCCTTTCTGTTTCTCAAAATCAAAAGTGCTTCTCTTTATGTTCAATGACACTTAAAATTGGTTTATTTAGATTTAAGATGATACAACACAATGCAGCGATTCCTAATAAGAGTTACCTTGAGAAATTAGAATTATCTCTTAGGGAAAATTTATGACATCTGAAAATAAAATAGTATGACATTTTCTTTTTTGCTACTTGATTCAAATTGAACTTCTGTTCATTTTAATTCACAGAACTGTATTCTTAAAAAGAGTCCCAGCAACTCCCCGCCCCCTGGCCTTTTATGAAGAAAAGTGCCAGCAAATGATTTCCTGTATGGAATGGAGGAAAGGTCCCTGACCCTTTTATCTTCCTCATGTCCTCATCCCTTTCAACATTATCCCAAGGAGGAGAAAACGGGGAAGCCTATTAGTTGTTTTGCAATAGCTTCAGGAGTTCCAAATTCAGGCACTTCTTGACACATTTTGTCCATCACTAGGCCATGCCCTTTCTTCATTTGTTTCCTTTCCTTTTTCTCACTCTCTCTCCTGGTTTGGTGAATCCAATTTTCACATCTTCATTTTCAAGAGGAATATTCTGTTGCTGACTCTGCTTGTCTAATTGCTATTTTTCTTTTTAAAGCATGCCTATTTTCTTTCCAGCTCTTCTCTCCATATTTAGGCAGGAACTGTAATCAGCTAGTTAATATAGCAATATAGCAGATTATATTATTGATAATCTGCTGTGTTACAGACTGGGCTGGGCTTTCAATTTATGCCTTTAACCATTCTGGTGAACTTTCATTTGGTTCTGAGTTTTTGGTTCAAGGTTTGTGCTTTGGCTGTTTATTTTTTTTTGGTTTACTCCACTGTTTACTTATATGATCTTGGCCAAGTCACTTAACTTTATTGAACCTTGGAAAATAAGGAACTTTGGCTACATCCATCTTTAAAATTATCTCCTCTTCTTCTAGGTTTGCCTGTTTTTGTATGTGTATGTGTGTGTGTGTGTTTGTGTGTGTGTGTGTGCGTGTGTGTGTGTATGTATGTGTATTGACCCAAATCCCTTTCAGTAAACCTTTCCTTTACATGGGAATATAATCTCTTCCTAATAATAATTTTTGGTGAACATTAAATATCAAAGTTCGTTTAATGCTTTATATCATTTACTAGGTGCTTTCATATGTTCTATTTGTACCCTCATCTCAGTCCTAAAATGAACATTGATAGATATTTGACTACTCTAATTTTATATGTTGGGAAACTAGGGCACAGACATTAATGGATCACTCAAGGGTAACCAGCATATAGACAGCAGAATTAGGAATCAAACCCAGGTTTTTATGAGTCTTTGGTGCCATGACTCTCTATTTTATTATGAATGCACATATTTATTTGTTATTTTTATCTGTCTTAGAATTTTTAATTTTCAATCGATCAAAGAGTACTAAAAGCCTTATAATAAAATGTACATCTCCTGCCCTTCTTTCCTATGCCCCAGAGTAAGAAGCTTTCAAATCTTTTCTTCAATGTAGTGTGATTATACTGCTATTTCTGGATGTATTAATTTGGACATATAATGACTTCTTGCTAAAAAATTAGGATTTAACATTACTGTTTCCCTGCTTCTATCTTTTAAAAATAGGTAATTCTAATTTTTGGTTAAATTGATGGTCAATGTTTACCTTACTATAACTATGTAAGCAAGTATTGATCACATCTTGTACATTTTTTTTCTAGTCAACAATTGCCTTATTTTATTCATTTTCTCAAATTCTTATGTGTTTATTCTATTTCTTCCCTCAATACTCCAAGATGTGTCACATCTTGTTAATCTTCTTTCCAAAAGTCCAAACATTTCCAAATACTCATGTATTAGTCAGTTCTCACACTACTATAAAGAAATATCTGAGACTGGATAAATTATGAAGAAAAAGGTTTAATTGGCTTACGGTTCTGTAGGCTGTACAGGAAGCATATTGGCTTCTGCTTCTGGGGAGGCCTCAGGAAACTTACAGTCATGGCAGAATGGGAAGCAGGCATGTCTTACATGGCTGGAGCAAGAGGAAGAGAGGAAGCAGGGAGGTGCCACACACTTTTAAACAACCAGATCTCATGATAACTCACTCACTCACTATCACGAGAATAGCACTGAGGGGATGGTACTAACCCCTTTTATGATACCTCCACCCCCATGATCCAATAACCTCCCACCAGGCCCCACCTCCAACACTGGGGATTGTAATTCAACATGAGATTTGCTGGGGACAAAGATCCAAATCATATCAACTCATATCCATGATCTTCATGGATACCTCTCTCCCTAGCCCTCTGTTCCAGGTTAGATTGATTATTCTGTTGGCCTGGGGCACAGCTGTATGTCATCCTGAGATGTCCCTGCACAATTCTCTTCTGTTTTGTCTCTTCCTTTATTATATTTTCTAGTAGTAGCCTAAAAAAGGGCACACTGGGAGATAAATTTTATAAATGCTTGTGTGTCATTATCCTCATATCTTACTGTTAAATGTCTTTATCCTCATACTTTACTGATAGCTTGGCTGGGTATAGAATTCTAGGTTGAAAATAATTTTCCCTTATATATCTACTTTTTCCCTTACATCTCAGGTTTGTTGTTGAGAATTTTAATGCTATTCTTCCTCTAATCCATTGCATTTGTCTTTCCCCCTTCAATTTGTGAGTCTTTTTTTTTTTTTTTTTTTTTTTTGAGACGGAGTCTCGCTCTGTCGCCCAGGCTGGAGTGCAGTGGCGGGATCTCGGCTCACTGCAAGCTCCGCCTCCCGGGTTCACGCCATTCTCCTGCCTCAGCCTCCCAAGTAGCTGGGACTACAGGCGCCCGCCACTACGCCCGGCTAATTTTTTGTATTTTTAGTAGAGACGGGGTTTCACCGTTTTAGCTGGGATGGTCTCGATCTCCTGACCTCGTGATCCGCCCGCCTCGGCCTCCCAAAGTGCTGGGATTACAGGTGTGAGTCTTTTTATTCAGTGTTTTATGTTGCAGTGGGTCTTTCATCTGGGGGTTCAGTTTAGTTCTGGGAAATTTCCTCATGTTAATACTAGGATGAACTGATATAAACAAATTTTGTCTGCTCCTATATATGTTGTGTATTAATGTACTCTCATATTAATACATGCATTCATAGTATAAATGCTTAATTTAAAATACTATCTATTCATGAATTCTCTAATTTTCTTAGTTTTTCCTTCATGATAAAGGAGAAACTTTCTTTACCTTTTCATTATAATTTCTAGGAAATTTCCTACACTTTATTTTCCCAAATTTTATTGCATTTTAAGTTTGGTTACTGCTTATTTATTTACTTATTTATTTATATTTTTGTTTTCTGATTGTCCCCTTATTATTATTATTTTTAAAGAATATCCACTTTTGTTTTATGGTGCACAATCTTTGCGTATCATTTGACTTTGTTTCCTTTAATTTCATTTTCTTTGTTTTGTTTCTATCTTTTATGTCTAGTGAACATTTACTGTCCTTATTTAGGAGAAAATTATGGAAAAAAGGATTAGGCAAAGCTTATTAACTATCAGGCTTCACTGTATAGTGATCCAGAAGCTGGATTTTCATTTGGTTGGAAGATGCCAAATGACAGTATCTTTTGTCTTGGAACCATTAAACGTCTGCAGATAAATATCCTTCAGTTTTCTGTCTGGGGGTTATTCATTTGATTATTGATGTTCTGGGAACCGGAGGAAAAGATGGCAGGGAAATTTTATCATTCATTATGTAGATTTTCACTTAGTCTCTCAAGTTCCAGCTGTATACTTCACTCCCTCCTTCTACCTTGCCTGGTGTTCCAAGTCTGGAGCCTCTGATTCAATTTCTCAAGAGATTAAACCTCTGTCAGGGCTGGGTTTGGGGTAGTGTTTAGCTTCTTGGGATGAGAGGGAGAGTATGGGTCCTTATTCTGCTCTCAACCATTCCCCTTATTTTTATCCTAGAGCCCCACCTCTGCCTTCCTGGTAACTCTTGCATCTGAGTCCTGAGGCTTTCTGGGGATCTTTGGGAGAAACAGATTTGTTTCTTGTTGTTACTTATCTCTGATGGTGTGTATGTTTTAGTTATTACGTCTCAATTCACTTTTCTCCTTCATTGACACTTCCAAATGCCTTGTCACCTCTCATCTGCAAGTTGGCTGTTTTCTCATTTTCTTTATCATTGTGAGTTTATACCTGAAAAAAATTAAAAGAAAAAACAAAAAACAAAAACCTTTCCTATCATGTTGGCAGAGTTTCCAGAGGGAGCAGAGGTAAATGCACATACTTGATCTACTTTGTTTATCAGGAAGCCCTAGCCCATATTTTTATTGAATTAGATTTCACTAAAGACAAGTTTCTGCAATTGGCTATTAGCAATCAACTTTTTTTGGTGACAAGACTGAATATTTAGGATTAAAAGTTTAAGGATGTTCATTTTATTTCCCAGCTAAAAAAGAATGTAGTAGCCCAGCATAGTGAATTTATAATCTTTGGATTTATTTCCTTGGATTTACTTATAACAATATGTTTGAAATGTGTTAAGTAGAAAAATTGGCAGAAGTGTATGTGTGTGTTTGCAACTGTGACAGCAAGGGAAACCGATGGAAGAAAAGAATGAATCCAAGAGAAAGCAGAATGTTAGATTTTGATTGGGACGGTGGTGGTGTTTCAGATCCATAGCCATATAAACATTTTAAATATCATCAATAATTTTTTAATAAGTACCTAAATTTGATGGTTGTTTTTTTAAACTGTCTAACGTTACAGACCATTCATCATCTATTTGTGTCTTAAGAATACTGCCCCAGTTTCGCTGTGGGTCCCTTTGAGTGAATGCATTTCTAGCTTTTGAGGCCACGCTATCTGTAGTTCTCATTATCTTGGTTGCTTTCAGAAGCCTCATATAAGCCAAAGGGTGAACAATAACCAGAGAACAGAGATTCTTAAATTAAGCAACTGAAAAGAGTCTGCTTTGGTTCATTAGCCCAAATAGGATCTTTTACTTTTTGAGTAGCAATCAAAAGATATTGGATCTATCATTTCTCTTGTTCTCTTAAAAAATCACTTAAATTTCCTTTAAACAATCTGGTGATGTGATGTCAGATTTTTGCCCATCATATTATAACATCATTGTTAAGTAGTATGAATGGAAATGAAACATACACCTCAAAATATCTAACGGTCCTGATATAAGGCTAAAGAAAACAAATAGTCTTTTCTTATCTTTCCCCTTGGATGAATTTAAAATAGATAATTCTTAACAGTTTCATCCTACTTCCGTAGGGTGAATTTTCCCCCAGTATGGCTTTGGAGTAAATTTTCACCTTTTTGCTAGATTTATGACTGCTATTACCAATACTATTAATTATTTCAGTATGATATAGCACTTCTAGGAGGCTGACCCTACTTAATTGGAAAAAAAGAAAATATGTTGGAGCTTTAACATTTCTTGATCATAGAAGGTACTGAAACATAACTCATGATTCTAGGCAAACTTTGCCATTGAGTTTTTGTGTGACCATATAAAATAATTTAAGTTTTCTGTGTCTACATTTGTAAAGTATATGACACTCAACTGTATAATGAGCTCACAGTCTAGTGAGCTTGATAGAAGATAAGCTAATCTGGGGTAGAAATCATGCTTTATTCATATTTGTTTTCTCTTGCTTAAATTCATAATAGTTACTCAGTAAGTGTTGACTAAAAGTGTTTGAGAGAGAAACAAAATACAAGGTGAGTGAAAATTCTGAGATCCTTGTGAGAATAATTCATATAAATTTAATATATTCAGCTTGATTCTAAAGGCAATGTTGAGAGGAGGCCCGTGGGGCTGCATGTTCTTCAGTGTAATGTGAAGTACTGAGCTGATTATAGTGGTTATTCAATTAAAAGATATGTATTTTAAAATTATTATTATACTTTAAGTTCTGGGATACATGTGCAGAACGTGCAGGTTTATTACATAGGTATACACGTGCCACGGTGGTTTGCTGCACCCATCATCCCGTCATCTACATTAGGTATTTCTCCTAATGCTATCTCTCCCCTAGCCCCCCACCCCACAACAGGCCCTGGTGTGTGATGTTCCCCTCCCTCTGTCCATGTGTTCTCATTGTTCAACTCCCACTTATGAGTATATTTTTAATGGGCAAGCTCTGCTCAAATACAGGCTACAGTCAGTATGTGACTGAGCTGTGATCTCTCTCGTCAAAGGGACTACAGCGCACCCTTTGAATTACCTTCACACTCACTGACGGTTTTAAGAGTTTGGCCACTTTCCCCACGTCTGAAAGCGACTCTACCTTAGATGTGAGAAAGATGCGGCTGACTTTGGCTGGCAGATGGAGAAGAATGGAAAAGCAGCAGACAGTGTTCATGCATGGCTGACACTAGAAAGAATTCTTCTGGATTTCACAGTCATTGAAATGAAAAGATGTGATCCAGAACAGGATCTTCCTTTTAACTGGTGTCTGCAGTGTTCTCTCCTCTGCTTCTTCACTCATTTCAAGAAGTCTCTAAGGGGCAGCCTGATGTGGAAAAGATGTTAAGGGAAGAAGAGGGCATCCTAATTCTAGGTTTGATAAGGACATTTTTGATACTGGTAAAACCCTGAAATTATGGAAATTATGATTTGTTCTGTATGCCAACGAGAATCGTGGTTTTCCTTTTGCTCTTTTCCTTGCGAAGGAGCCAACTCCTTCTGGATCTTTGTTTTTATTTTTTCCTCCTTAAGTCACTGCTGAGGTATTTTTAAACCAAGCCAACACGTATATTTTATTCACCGAAGGAAGAACAAAGCATCTGCTAATAGAAGCAGTGAAAAAAGCACAGCAGTCAGAGGCCTCGTGTCTAAAGCTCAGTTCATTACTCCTAACCTGCCATTGGCCAATATTTCAACCTTTCTGAGTTGCTCTTTCTCATCTGCAAAATGGGGTTAATGGAGGATTTCATCTGCAAGTGGGGATAAGAGACATGAAAAGAACTGACGCGAAATAAACACGAGTTGAATCCTAACAATAATATTTTGACTATGTAGTTACAACAAACTTTTCTTTCTTCTTTTTTTTTTTTTCTGTGAGAAGTGCCTTTGGTGGATTTTGAATTCTTTTTCATACTGCCTGTTCTTTGGTGGGACTCCAGCAACATTGCTGTAACTCGAGGATATATGGCTGCAATGTGTGTTTGGCTTCCTTTCTCAAGGGGGTCAAATAAAAAGGCAACTGTTTAGAGAAGGCACCAAAGTACAAAACAAAAATCTCAGAATATGCCAGCCAATCTTGGAAAGTCATCTGAAGAAGAAAAAGTGCTGCTGAGGAAGGAAAACGGCCCTTTTGTGGGCATCACTTCTGCTCTTCTGAAAAAAAGCCCCGATGCTGCAATATTTTTCAAGGCAGAATATCGTCCCAGATGGAGGAGGGAGCACTGACAAGCAGAAAAGGAGAGACGTGCGGTTTCGAGGCAGCGTCTGTAAGGGGTGGAGAGCGCGGGGCTCGGAGCCTCGCAGTTCTTTGTTGGGGGCGCGGGCTTCGTTATTCCCGAGGCAGCAATGGCTCCCCCTCGGAGGTCCCTCCGCGGAGACCGCCTCGCGCCTCTCGCAGTCCCCAATCCCCGCCCCTCCCAGCCCTCGCTGACCCCACAACGTGGTCGGACTGCGGTGCCTTTAAGGCTTTTGCCTGCTGCACATGCTCAGCTCTTTGTGTGTTGTTGGAGTTTTTCTCTCTTAAGAGAAAAAGAAGAAATAGGCAGGAGGATGGGGCGGAGGAAGGGGGAAGCGCTAGGGAAAAAGCGTTGCACTTTTGCAGCTGCAGACGGCGGACGGGAAGGACTTCTTTTCTGCTGAAGCTGCGAAGCCTGTGTCGATCTCTCATTCGTGGGGCTCCCGGGGCGCGGGGTGCGGGTGGGGCCGGGGTGCCCGCACCGGCCGGGGGGAAGGGCACGCGGGCCACACCTGGGGGGCCTGTCTCCAGTCAGCGCGCGGGCCAGGCGGGGTGGGCGCGCGCGCGTGGGGGAGTCCCCGGTCCCTGTCAGGGGCGGGGCGAGACCAAGGCGCCGGGCCTGTGGGGAGGAGTGTAGGCGCGCGCGAGGGCGGGGGGCGGCCCCACGCATCGTGGGCTCCCGGCGCTGCCGCTGCGGCCGGCTCGAGGCACCGGAGACAGAATGGCTGCCGGGGCGCCCTTGACCGCCGGGCGGGCGAGGCGGGGCTGACCGCCGCCTCCTTGATCGCCCCCTTCCACGTTGGGCGCGCCCACTTCGGGGCGCCCGCTCGGCCCCCGCCCTCCTGGGCGCGCGGCGCTCGGAGCCGAGGCAGTTGGCGCGGGCCGCGGGCGAGGCGGGGCCGCGCGCGGGGTCCCCTCCTCCTGCCGGTCAGGTCCCCTCAGGAGCGCCGGGCGCAGTCTGCGCCTCCCGCTCCCCGCCTCCGGCCGGGTCCGGGACGCCGCGGCTGTGGGGTCGGCCCGCTAAGGACAAGGTCGGGAGACTGGGTGGCGATGCCCGAGTGCGACTGGAGGCAGCCGAGCGGAGGCGACGGCGGTTGGGATCTGTCCCTCCTGACCGGGGAGCGGGACTCGGACGGGCGCCGGTGAGGAGGAGGAGAAGCGGCGGCGGAGAGGTTTTCTGCGGCCGGAATTCCCTTCAACAGCATCCCTGTCGGCGCCCGCGAGCGCAGTCTCGCCGGGCAGGGGCGCCGGGGAAGATGGAGACTGGGGGCCGGGCCCGCACTGGTACCCCGCAGCCAGCGGCCCCGGGGGTGTGGAGGGCTCGGCCGGCGGGCGGCGGCGGCGGGGGCGCCTCCTCCTGGCTGCTGGACGGGAACAGCTGGCTGCTGTGCTATGGCTTCCTCTACCTGGCGCTCTACGCGCAGGTGTCCCAGTCCAAGCCGTGCGAGAGGACCGGCTCCTGCTTCTCGGGCCGCTGTGTCAACTCCACCTGCCTCTGCGACCCGGGCTGGGTGGGGGACCAGTGCCAGCACTGCCAGGGCAGGTTCAAGTAAGTGCCTTCGCCGGACCCCGAACCTCCAGCCCTGCCTCGCTCCCGTCGCGGCCTTCCCCGCCCCCCTCGCGGCCTCCCCCGCCCCCGTCGCTGCCTCTGATCCCCCGGCCGTGAGTGAACCTCAGCGCGCGGCGGGAGCGGGCGAGAGTGGGGCCCGCGCCGCGCCCCCTCCAGCCCCGGGGCGCCCCGGGAGAGCTCGGGCCCGCGCGGAGCCCTGACCAACGGGGAGCTAGGCATTTCTCGAGCGTTCCAGATGTCCGCAGCGACTTCTGATCCGCTGCTCAGCACGAACATTTTCACAATCAGTTATGATGCCCAGCACCATTTTCTTGGGATAATATTTAAAAATCAGAAATTGTCCAAGTTACTTATGAAATACATGCGCATTGTGAAAAATTCACAAAAGTGTAAAGGTTCAGTTATGATCTATGAGTGCCTCTCTCTTTCCCCATTCTCTTCTCTCTAGAGGTGACCCCTTCTAACATTTATTTAGTCATCATAGTGATGTTAATAAGTAGAGTTTATGATGGACTTGCTAAGTGCCAAACACTCTTCTAAGCGCTTTATGTCAATTTTCTCATTTATTCCCTACAACAACTCTGTGAGTTGCTAGAATTATTATGCTGGATTTACGGAGAGAAATCGAGGCGATACATTGAAGTAACTTGGCCAGGATTACACAGTAGTAAGGGCCGAGTTATGATTCCAAATCAGCTGGCACATTCTGGAGCCAGTACACACTCCAGAATGTGTACTTTTAACGAATTTGCTGTGTTGTATTTGCTAGGACAATCTTGAATTGAGAAATACAAAGGTGACTTTAGGTTAGATAGAAGGACGTTTTTATGTGGTGAGGATAATGGATTTTTTTCTGATCGGTTAATTCACTGTCAGCTTTTGTGCGGGAACATCGCTTTGGCTTGTTTGAAGCTCAAGGAGCCTAAGAAGTTTGCTTGCTAAGGTGAAGGTACTTTCTTCGTACTGGTTGGTGTTTATTACATTCTTGCCTGATATAAAAAGCAATGGGTCACAGTGTAGGGGAGTAGCAAAAGTCACTTAATATTGGGGCAGGCTTCTAACAACATGCAGGTAACAGTCATTAAGAAAGTCAGCTTCTTAGTCTTCTAGATACTTAATATGAAGTTTGCTGGCTGGTTTGTGGCTCTTGAATATTGTAGATTACTGATATTGTTAGGCTGATAGCCAAAATCTAGGTGAAATTTCTCTTGGGCTCTAAGGCAAAGGTAAGACTGGTTCACCTTATTAATGTATTCTAGGACAATTTCCTGGAATTTTAAACACAGCATACTTTCCTTTTTTTTTTTTTTTAAAAAAAAACTTACTATTACTGATTAAAATAAATGTCCCTTAAAACTCAATGTAAAAATGTATATTTTTAAAATGGCACTTTAAAATTTTAGGTAGAGTCTATGATTTAAATTAACTAGTAGGTTTTGGAAGTGAAATCTTAAAGTGAAGTTTTATGAAACTTATGCAATAGGTTGAAATTTTTCTAGGGTTTATACTTTAAAGGTAGTATAGTAATGTAGTTTTAAAAATACTTTTTAAAAAAATTAGGAGAGATGCTGATTAAAAGTTTAAAAAGTGTTTCAAGATGAGGAAAGAGATCTTAATGAATTCTGCTTGTTAGTTGTTTTTTTTTGCTTGTGTTCTTAAACGTTTGCTATGACAGTAGAATTCAGCGTCTTTACCTAGCAAGAGAGAATTTTGAACATGTAAACTGGTAGTCAGCAGTGAAAAAGCCTCATCCATTTTTTACATTTTTTTTACATAAATAGGGAGAGTGCCTGATTTATATGTAGGGATATTGGCTTTTGTGTGGGTGGGTTTGCTCCGTTTGTCTAAAGAGGACAAAATTTGCTGCAGTCCTGAGAAGCTTCATTTTAAAGTAGCGGAACTTGTTAATCAGCTGGATCAGCAGCCTGTGACCTCACTAGCAGATGTTGTCCCAGTTAAAAAGATCACAGATCAAGTTAAAACTAGCTTAAATAACATTGAGAGGTGGTGTTCATAAACAAAATACATTAGTGAGTAGAAGAAGAATAGATATTTGATGTAGATATTGTTAAATAACAATAAATCCTGAGCTAATCACTGAGTATTCATCTTTTCCTTGGAAGCTATTATTTCCTAGGACTCATTGTACTCTATTGGGTAAATGCTTTTGCATTTCTCTGTGGAATACAAGCTATTAATTAGAGTAAATATAACTGGTGTAACGATCTGTGTTTTTATTATGTATACTCTTGGGGATAAAGAACACATTGGTATTTAATGTTAAAGAGAAGGATTATGTATAGTAGAAAAGAATTCTTCTTGGTAAAGTACATGCAAATAAACCTATGAAAGGTTTATTTGAAGATAGTAGCTTGTTTTACCTGGCATTTGAAGTAATAACACAGTGGGAAAGGCTTTAACTAGAAAATCTCACTTCACTAACTATCTTGAAAATCTTTTTCTAAACTGAAGGATAGCAACCTTACAAACAGACATTAAAAATGATTGATCAATCTTGGTAAGCAGGTGTCAAAATTAATTGGTTGGCTCCATGGTAACTTAGCTTTTTTTCTACTATAGGGATTTCGCCAGGGAATAAAAATGTTCTTCAAATGTTTCTTGAGGATAGAAGATTGATAGTTGGGGGAAGAAATGCAGAAGCAAATATAGTATCAAAAGTGGTACTTCAGTTCTCTTAGCATTGATTCCAGTCTTCTGTTTCCATTTGAAAAGAATAAAGCACTCAGAATAACAAGCCATTCCTTCCTTACACAGGTAAAACAAAAGGAACATTGATTTTTCACCCAAAGCTAGACTAAAGGACTTGGGATTGAGAATAGGAAAATATATTTGAAATATAATAATCAAAGATACAGACTCTAATTCAAGTTGTATTTATTTGAATAGTTCAGTGTAATGTTAAGCAAGAAAATATTCTGCTATAATCTATTTGAATGACGTTCTCTTTTAGAAGGGAGCCCTTGAGAATTAATTTTGTAGAGTAGAGATTTATATAAATTTATATAAATATAAAGAGTATTGCTCTTTATATTAGTCAAATATAAAGGGGTATATTTTTACCCCTCTTAGGTTAGTCAAATTTGGATACTTCATTTCACGCATTTAAAATGGAAGTATGCTGGGTGCCGTGGCTCAGGCCTGTAATCCCAGCACTTTGGGAGGCCGAGGTGGAAGGATCCCTTGAGCCCAGAAGTTTGAGACCAGTCTGGGCAAGATAGTGAGACCTCATCTCTACAAAAAATATTTTAAAAGTAGCTGGGCATGGTGGCACACACCTGTGGTCACAGCTACAAGAGAGAGTGAGGCGGAAGAATTCCTTGAGCTCAGGAGGTTGAGGCTGCAGTGAGCTGTAATCACGCCACTGCGCTCCAGCTTGGGTATCAGAGCGAGACTCTTCTTAAAAATTTATATATACATATATGAAGCATTCTATTTGTAGTGACAGCAAAATGAAGATGTAATGATATAATGTCAGGAATTAGGTTGTTATTATAGACAAAAACGGGCAGAATAAAGTGTGTAAACTCTTCCCCTAAGCTGTTAAAAATATATGCATATTGCCTGGCTTGGTGTCTCACGCCTGTAATCCCAACTCTTTGGGAGACCGAGGCGGGCGGATCATGAGGTCAGGAGATCGAGACCATCCTAGCTAACACAGTGAAACCCCGTCTCTACTAAAAATACAAAAATTAGCTGGGTGTGATGGCACGCACCTGTAGTCCCAGTTACTCAGGAGGCTGAGGCAGGAGAATCGCTTGAACCCAGGAGGCGGAGGTTGCAGTGAGCATAGGTCGCGCAACTGCACTCCAGCCTGGGCAACAGAGCGAGACTCCGTCTCAAAACAAAACAAAAATAAACAACAACAACAAAAAACAAATATATATATATGCATATGTAAATACATATATATTTGGAATCCTTTTTACTTGTAAGGAAACTGACAGTAATTATAAACTTAAACTGAATGTTCCCTGTCCCTAAGACTTCTTTATTTCAAAGTTTTATTTTAATGGATAATTTATATCCATGGATTATTTTTACATTATTAAAGTGTATAATCACACAGTAGGAATTTAAAATAATTTAAATTGAGTGTTTCTTAGATTCTAAATTGATAAGGTAAGTTACTTGTAGAAGCATAGTAGCATGGTTTTCAAGAACACGTGTCTGCATGATTTGGCCCCTTTAGCTGATTAGACTCAGGCCTCCTTTCCTCTGCCCTGACTGGCCTTTTGAAGTTCCTTGAAAGTGTCACATTCCTTTTGGCCTTAGTGCATTTTATACACGTAACTGTGAACTCTTTCCTCTCTGGTCTTTGCTTGGGTGATTACTGATCATCCTTCTAATCTTAGCTTAAATACTAGTTTCTTTTTTTTTTTTTTTTTTTTTTTTTTGAGACCGAGTCTGGCTCTGTCACCCAGGCTGGAGTGCAGTGGCGCAATCTCGGCTCACTGCAAGCTCCGCTTCCTGGGTTCACGCCATTCTCCTGCTTCAGCCTCCCGAGTAGCTGGGACTACAGGCGCCCGCCACTACGCCCGGCTAATTTTTTGTTTAGTAGAGACGGGGTATCACCGTGTTAGCCAGGATGGTCTCGATCTCCTGACCTCGTGATCCACCCGCCTCGGCCTCCTAAAGTGCTGGGATTACAGGCGTGAGCCACTGCGCCTGGCCACTTAAATACTAGTTTCTAAAGGAGGCTTGTCTGACTCTTCACACTAGGTTACCCCTTATATACTGCCCTAATAGCACTATTTTTCCTTCTTAGTATTGTCAAAAATGAGGTGTTTAATTATAATTTTGATAGTTATTTAAACAAAATTTTTAAGAGATTGAGGTATAATTGTCAAACAGCACAATTTAAAATGTACAATTTATTTAAATTATACAATTTGATAAGTTTTGTCATATGTATTTGCATCTGAAACTGTCACCACAATCAAAATCATAAAAATACCAATCACGCTAGAAAGTTTCCATGTGTTTCCTTTGTAAACCCTCCCTTTTCTAGTTGCCAATTCCTGTCCCAGGGCAACTATTGATCTGCTTTCTCTCACTATAGATTTGTTGGTATTTTCTAGAACTTTTTGTAAATAGAATCATACATTATATACTTCTTTTTTGTCTGGCTTCTTTCACACAGCGTGTTTATTTTGAGATTCATTCATGGTGTGTTAGTAGTTTATTCTACTGCCGAATAGTGTTCCAGTGTCTGGATACACCATAATTTGTTTATCCATTCAACTGCTGATGGACATTTGGATTGTTTCAAATTTTTGGCTGTTCCTTATAAAGCTGCTACGAAGTTTCATGTGGAAGCCTTTTTATCTTTGTATGGTCATATGCTTTCCTTTCTCTTGGGGAAATAACCTGAGAATGGCTGGATCATATGGGTAGATATATGTGTAACTGTTAAAGAAACCGACAAACTGTTTTCCAAAGTAGTTGTATCATTTATGTTCCCACCAGCAGTGAGTCAGTGTTCTATCTAGTTAATTTCACATCCATACCAATACTTGGTATGGTTAGTCTTTTAAATTTTTGTGATTCTAATAAGTGAATGGTATATTATTGGGTTTTAGTTTGCATTTCCCGAATTACTAATGATATTGAGTATCTTCTCATGTGCTTACTTGCCATCCGTATATCTTCTGTAATAGGCATTTATTCAAACCTTTTGCATGTTAAAAAAATTTTCTTACTGATTTTTGTGAGTTCTTTACATTTTCTGGATTACTAGCTTCTTATGAGGTATATCATTTGCATATATTTTCTACCAGTCTGCGGCTTGTCTATGAAAACAATGCAAAGAGAATGAAATCTCTTGACAGTATTTTTCAAAGAATCTAAGTTTTAAATTGATTAATTCCAGTTTATCATTTTTTTCTTTTATACTTTTCATGTTGTGCCTAAGAAAAGTTTGCCTAGGCTGGGTACTGTGGCTCATGTGTGTAATCCCAGCGCTTTGGGAGCCTGAGACAGGAGGATCACTTGAGTCTAGGAATTTGAGTGCAGCCTGGGAAACAAGGCAAGACACTGCCTATACAAAAACATTTGAAAAATTAGCTGGTCGTGGCGGTGTGCGCATTTAGCCCATCTACTTGGAAGGCTGAGATGGGAGGATCACTTTAACACAGGAATTGGAGGCTGCAGTGAGCTGAGCTGTGATTGTGTCACTGTACTCCATCCTGGGCAACACAGCAAGACCATGTCTTTAAAAAATAAAAAATAAAAAAAAAAAGAAAACTGCCTAAACCAAGTTGATGAAGATTTTCTTCATTTTTTTTCTCTAGAAGTTTTGTAATTTTAGATTTTACATTTATATTTATGGTCCATTTTAAGTTAATTTCTATATATGGGGAGAGGTATGGATCTAAATTCAGTTTTTTGGCATATAGGTATTTGTTTTAGCACTATTTGTTGAGAAGAGTATTCTTTCTCTGTTAAAGTAGCTTTGCACCTTTGTTGAAACCATTCATATATTTGTGTTTCTATTTCTGGACTCTGCTTTGTTTCTTGATCTCTTTGTCTATTTGTATGTCAGTACAACAATGTCTTGATTATTGTTTCTTTGTAAGTCTTGAATTCTGGGAGTGTTTTTCAGTTTTGTTCTTTTCCAATTATTTTGGCTACTCTGAGTCCTTTGTATTTCCATATGAATTTTAGAATCAGCTTGTCAGTTTCTATAAAAAGCCTACTAGGATTTTGTTTGTAATTATGTTGAGTCTATAGATCAATTTTGGGGAAAATGAATACCTTGTCAGTTTTGAGTTTCCTACATGGTATATCTGTTTATTTATTTAGTTGTTTAATCTGTCAGCAGTGTTTTTAAATTTCTAGTCAATAGATCTTGCACCTCTTTTGTCAGATTTTTCCCTAAGTAGTTAATATTTTTGGATGCTATTGTAAATGGCATTTTTTAAACTTTCACTTTTGATTGTTGCTATTATACTGAAACACAACTGATTTGTGTATGTTTGATTTTTTATCTTGCAATCTTGCCAAACTTACTTATTACTTGTGGTAGATTTTTGCAGATTCCTTATGGCTTTCTACTTAGATGATTATATTGTTTACAGACAAAGATATATTTA
This sequence comes from Homo sapiens, assembly GCF_000001405.40. NCBI lineage: Eukaryota > Metazoa > Chordata > Mammalia > Primates > Hominidae > Homo > Homo sapiens. The sequence goes on from NC_000010.11 coordinate 115,101,177, forward strand.
CTTCTTTCTTTACAATCTAGATGCCTTTTTTTTTCTTGCCTTATTTCACTGGCCAGAACCTCTATTACAGTAATGAATAGAGGTGATGAGAGTGGTCAATCTTACTTAAGATTTAGGGGGAGATATTTGATCTTTAACCATGAAGTATGATGTTATCTGTAAGTTTTTTTTTTAGATGCCTTTTATCACACTGAGAAAGTTCCCTTCTATTCCTAGTTTGCCAAGAGTTTTTACCAGTGATGGAAACTGGATTGTATTAAATGCATTTTCTGTGCCCATTGAGATAATCATATGATTTTTTCAAGTTTGTTAACATGGTGAATTATGTACATAATTTTTGAATGTTAAACCAACCTTACATTCCTAAGATAAACTTCCTCTGACACAATATGCTTTCCTTTTTATTTTAGGTTGGATTTGGTTTGTTAAAGTTTTATTTAGAATTTTTGTATCTGTGTTCATGAGAGATATTAGTCTGCACTTTTCTTATAATATATGACTAGTTTTGGTGACAAGATAATGCTGGCCTCATATAATGAGCACCATGGGACTCTCCTGATCATTTGCTGAAAGAGTTTTTAGGGAATTGGCATTATTTCTTCATTAGTGTTTGGTGGAATTCACCATCGACACCCTCTAGGCCTGAAGTTTTCTTTAACTCCAAATTCAACTTTTATTAATATACATTCAACTTATTTAATATACAGAAGGCTATATGACTAGAATCCTTTAAAATTTATTGGCCAGAATATTGTCTATCTTGGTTAAGTATTTTTTTGGGCGTGTGAAAATAATGTGTATTCTTCTATTGATGGGTGGAGTGTTGTATACATTTCAGTTAGGTCAACTTGGTTGATAGTCTTGTTCAAGTCTTCTACAACCATTCTGATTTTCTGTCTGTTTTTACCACTTATTGAGAGAAGGGTATCTTCAGTTATAATTTTGTATTTACCTGTTTGTCCCTGCAGTCTTATCTGTTTATCCTTCATGTATTTTGAAACTATGTTATTAGGTGCATAAAATTTTGGATTATGTCCTCCTGATAAACTGAGCCTTTATCGTTATCCAATGACCATTTGTTGAAAAGACTATCCTTTTTTCATTAATGTCTTTGTACCTTTATTGAAAGTTAATTGGACGTCTTTATGTATATTTATTTTTTGACTCTTTTCTGTTCCATTGATCCATATCTCTATCCTTTTGCAAATTCCTCACTTTATTAATGTATGTATGTACTTTATTAATGTATGTATATGTGTATATATATATACACATACATATATTTGAGATGGAGTCTCACTCTGTTGCCCAGGCTGGAGTGCAGTGGCATGGTATCAGCTCACTGAAATCTCTGCTCGTCAGGTTCAAGCGGTTCTCCTGCCTCAGCCTCTTGAGCAGCTGGGATTACAAGCATGTGCCACCTCACCTGGCTAATTTTTGTATTTTTGGTAGAGATGAGGTTTTGCCATGTTGGCCAGGCTGGTGGTCTCTAACTCCTGACCTCAGGTGATCCACCCACCTCGGCCTCCCAAAATGCTAAGATTAGTATATTTTTACAGTAAATCTTGAAGTTAGATAATGAGATTCCCCCAACTTTATTTTTATTTTTGAAAATTTACTTGGTTCATTTTGTTTTTCATATACATTTTAGAACTGTTTGTCAATTAAAAAAGTCTTGCTGGGATTTTTATTGAGATTGTGTTGACTTAGTAAATCATTTTGAGGAGAATTGATATGTAAATAATATTGAATTATCTCGTTCTTCATTGCAGTATGTTTTTTTCATCTATTTGGGTTTTCATTGATTTTTTACAACAGTTTTTTGTAGTTATCAGATACAGATTCTGTGTATATATTTTTAGTGTTTTTTTTTTTTTTTGAGATGGAGTCATGCTCTGTCACTCAGGCTGGAGTGCAATGGCATGATCTCGGCTCAATGCAACCCCTGCTTCCTGGGTTCACGCGATTCTCGTGCCTCAGCCTCCTGAGTAGCTGGGATTACGGGCGCCCATCATCACGCCTGGCTGATTTTTTGTATTTTTTGTAGAGATGGGGTTTCGCCATGTTGGCTAGGCTGGTCTCGAACTTCTGACCTCAGGCAATCCGCCTGCCTCAGCCTCCCAAAGTGCTGGGATTACAGATGTGAGCCACTGCGCCTGGTCATATTTTTTGATTTTATACCAAAATATTTTATGTTCTTTAAGGCTATTGTAGTTGGTAGTATTTCTTTTAATTTCAATTTCCAGTTTGTAGACTTTAAAAAAATAATCAGGGAAATCTTTCTTTGGTGATATTTCCTCGCCCATATCTCTTTATTTTTTATTTTTGTGGTTACGTTATAGGTGTATATATTTATGGGATAAATGAGATATTTTGATACAGGTATACAATGCCTAATAACCACATCAGGGTAAATAGGGTATTCATTACCTCAAGCATTTATCCTTTCTTTGTGTTATAAACAATTCATACTAATTATACTTTCTACCCATTAACCATCCCCATTTCCCCCACTCCAATACCTTTCCCAGCCTCAGGTAACCATCATTCTACTCTGTCTCCATGAATTCAACTATTTTAATTTTTAGCTCCCAGAAATAACTGAGAAAATGCAATGTTTGTCTTTCTGTGCCTGGCTTATTTCATGTAATGTAATGACGTCCAGTTCCATCCATGTTGTTGTGAATGACAGGATATCATTCTTTTTTATGGCTGAATAGTACTCCCTTGTGTATATGTACCACAGTTTATTTATCCATTCATTTCTTGATGGACATTTTGGTTGCTTCCAAATTTTGGCTGTTGTGAATAGAGCTGCAGAAAACATTGAAGTACAGCTGTCTCTTCAATATACTGATTTCCTTTCTTTTAGGTAAATACCTAGCAGTGGGATTGCTGAATCATATGGTAGCTCTATTTTTAATTTTTTGAGGAACCTGCAAACTGTTCTGCATAGTAGTTACACTAATTTACCTTCCCACCAACAATGTAAGAGGGTTCCCTTTTCTCTATATCCTTGCCAGCATTTGTTTCTGTCTGCCTTTTGGATATGAGCTATTTAACTGGAGTGAGATAATATCACATTGTAGTTTTGATTTTCATTTCTCTGATGATCAGTGATGTTGAGCATCTTTTTATTTACCTTTTGACATTGGTATGTCTTCTTTTGAGAAATGTCTATTCAGATCTTTTGCATATTTTTGAATTGGATTATTAGATTTTTTTTCTTACAGCATTGTTTGAGCTTATTATATAATCTGGTTATTAATCCCTTGTCAGAATGATAGTTTGCAAATATTTTCTTCCATTCTGTGGATCGTCTCTTCATGTTGTTGATTGTTTCCTTTGCTGTGCAGAAACTTTTTAACTCGATATGATCCCATTTATCCATTTTTGCTTTGGTTGCCTGTACTTGTGGGGTATTACTCAAGAAATCTTTGCCTAGTCTCCAGGTGTCCTGGAGAGTTTTCCCAATGTTGTAGTAGTTTCATAGTTTGAGGTCTTAGATTTCTAAGTCTTTAATCCATTTTCATTTGATTGTTGTATATGGTGAGAGATAGGGGTCCAGCTTCATTATTCTTCATATGGATATCCAGTATTCCCAGCACAATTTATTGAGGAGACTGTTACTTCCCCAGTGTATGTGCTTGACACCTTTGTCAAAAATGAGTTCACTGTAAGTATGGATTTATTCTGGGTTCCCTATTCTGTAATTGCTCTATGTGTCCTTTTTTTTTCTCTTTTTTTAATGCCAGTACCATGCTGCTTTGGTTACTATAGCTCTGTGGTATAATTTAAAGTCAGGTAATATGATGCTTCCAGTATTGCTCTTTTTGCTTAGAATGGCTTTGGCTATTCTGGGTCTTTTTGGCTCTGCATATATTTTATGATTTTTTTTCTATTTTTGTGAAAAATGTCATTGGCATTTTGATAGGGATTGCCTTGAATCTGTAGATTGGTTTGGATAGTATGGACATTTTAACAATATTGATTCTTCCAATCCATGAGCATGAAATATCTTTCCATTTTTTTTGGTGTCTTCTTCAATTTCTTTCATTTTTCCCCTGCCTAGAGGTTTGTGGAACTTTGAACTTCAGCGAGATGATTTAAGGTATCTGGCAGAAGAAATTTCTAAGCAGCAAAGCATTCAAGATGTGACTTGGGTGCTGTTAAAGGCATTCCATTCTCAAAGGGAAACAGAGCATAAAAATTTGGGAAATGTACAGCCTGACAATGATAGAAAAGAAAATCCCATTTTCTGAGGAGAAATTTAAGCCAGCTGCAGAAATTTGCATGAGTAACGAGAAGCCAAATGTTAATTTCCAAGACAATGGGGAAAATGTCCCCAGGCCACGTCAGAGATCTTCGGGGCAGCCCCTCTCATCACAGGCCTGGAGGCATAGGAGGAAAAAATGGTTTTGTGGGCCAGGCCCAGGGTTCCTGTGCTGTATGCAGCCTAGGGACTTGGTGTCCCTTGTCCCAGCTGCTCTAGCTATGACTAAAAGGGGCCAAGGTGCAGCTCAGGCTGTGGCTTCAGAGGGTGCAAGCTCCAAGCCTTGGCAGCTTCCATGTGGTGTTGAGCCTGCGGGTGCACAGGAGTCAAGAATCGAGGTTTGGGAACCTCTGTCTGCATTTCAGAAGATTTATGGAAACGCCTGGATGTCCAGGCAGAAGTTTGCTGCAGGGGTGGGACTCTCATGGAGAACCTTTGTATGTCAGTGTGGAAGGGAAAAGTGGGGTTGGAGCCCCCACACAGAGTCCCTACTGGAACATTGCCTAGTGGAGCTGTGAGAAGAGGGCCACTGTCCTGCAGACCCCAGAACAGTAGATGCTCCTACACCTTGCACCATGTGCCTGGAAAAGCCGCAGATGTTCAACGACAGCCCATGAAAGCAGCCAGGATGAGGCTGTACTCTGCAAAGCCACAGGGTCGGAGCTGCCCAAGACCATGGGAACCCACCTCTTGCATCAGCATGACCTAGATGAGAGACCTGGAGTCAAAGGAGATCATTTTGGAGCTTTAAAATTTGACTACCCTGTTGGATTTCGGACTTGCATAGGCCCTGTAACCCCTTTGTTTTGGCCAATTTCTCCCATTTGGAATGGCTGTATTTATCCAATACCTATACCCCCATTGTATCTAGGAAGTAACTAGCTTGCTTTTGATTTTACAGGCTCATAAATGGAAAAAACTTGCCTTGTCTCAGATGAGACCTTGGGGGTGCTGAAATGAGTTAAGACTTTGGGGGACTGTTGGGAAAGCATCATTTGTTTTGAAATGTGAGGACATGAGATTTGGAGGGGCCAGGGGCAGAATGATATGGTTTGGCTGTGTTCCCATTCAAGCCTCAGTTTGAATTGTATCTCCTAGAATTTTTTGATGTGTTATGTAAAGGAATTACCCAGCGGGAGGTAATTGAATCATGGGGGCCAGTCTTTCCCGTGCTATTCTCGTGATAGTGAGTAAGTCTCAACAATATCTGCTGGGTTTATCAGGTGTTTCTGCTTTTGCTTCTTCCTCATTTTTCTCTTGCCACTGCCATGTAAGAAGTGCCTTTCACCTCCCACCATGATTCTGAGGCCTCCCCAGCCATGTGGAACTGTAAGTCTGGTTAAATCTCCTTTTCTTCCCAGTTTTGGGTGTGTCTTTATCAGCAGTGTGAAAATGGACTAATACACTTGGTAATTTATAATGAATAGAGATATATTGGCTCATGATTCTGGAGGCTGGGAAGTCTAAGATCAAGAGGCTGACATCTTGTAAGGGCTTTCTTGCTGCATCATCCTGTGGCAGAGGGTAAATAGAGGGTCAAGGGATAGGCAAAAGCATTCAAATCTCATCCTTTTATAAGGAACCCATTCCCCTGATAATGAACTCACTCCTGAGGTAACAGCGTTAATGCCCTCATGGTTTAATCACCTCCCATTATGCCCCACCTCTCAACACTAATCCAGAGCCTTCACTCAGTCCAGCACCAACTCAAAAGTCCAAAGTCTAGGGTCTCTTCTAAATCAGATGTAGGTGAGACTCAAGGCACAATTCATCCTGGGGCAAATTCCCTTCCAGCTGTGAGCCTGTGAAATCAAAACAAGTTGTTTACTTCCAAAGTGCAATGGTGAGACAGGTATAGGATCTACATTCCCGTTCCAAAAGAAAAAAAGGGGTAACAGGCCCCAAATAAGTCCAGAACCCAACAGAACAAACAATGTTAAATCTGAAAGCTAGAGAATAATCTTTTTTGACTTTATGTTTCGCCTTCTGAGCATACTTGGATGAGGATTGGGCTCCCAAGACCTCAGGCAGCCCAGCCCTTAGGCTTTGCTGGGCTGAGCCTACATAGCAGCTCTCATGGGTTGGAGGCTCATGCCTGCCGCTCTTATAGTCTGAGGCTGCACATGGGTGACTCTATAGTTCTGAGGTCTCAGAGGCAGCCCTGCTCCCATGGCCCTATTAGGCATTGCTCTAGCAAGTACTTTATGATGAGTCTGCTGCTGTAGCATCCTTTCAGATCTACATTGAGGTAGCCGCATCTCCACAACTTGTGCAGTCTGTGCACCTGCAGAATTGGCACCACATGGATGGATACCACCAAGGTTTATTTCCTATACTTTTCAGAGCTGCAGCCAGAGACACACCCTGGTTTGCTTGAACAGTGACTGGGGAGGCTAAGGGAAGCTGTGCCAGAATGCAGGGAGCAGATACTTGAGGCAGCACAGGGCAGTGAATGCTGAGGTCCCATAGATGCCTTTCTGGAAACTGTGATCTCAGGATCCTAGATGGGAGGGGCAGCCCAGGAGACCTCTGAAATGCCTTCAAGATCTCTTTCTATCTTGATGAATAGCACGTGACTTCCTTTTATCCATGCTAATCCCCTTATGCAAGGGTTCCTTGGCCACACCCTTGCATGCTTTGCTTTTTTGTTCTTTACATATACAAACTGTGACTTTTCCAAATCATTACTTTCTGCTTCCCTTTTCATAATATGTTTTGTTTTTAAATCATTCTACCTTCTCGCATCTTTACTATATGCAGTTAAAAGTAGCCACGCAGCTCTTTCAATATTTTGCTTAGAAATTTCTTCCACCAGATATCCTAGTGAAGTGGCTACATTGTCTGGGGTATATACCCTGGGGTTCATCATCATGCACCAGGAAAATTTAGGGCATGGACACACACAAGGGGTTTAGGAGTAGAGGTTTAATAGGTAGAAGATAAGAGAAAGAGAAACAGCCTCCTTTATAAAGGGAGGGGTCTCTGATCGGAAAGGACTGGCTGGTGGCAAATGTGCCGAGTTTTATAGTCCAGTTTGAGGAGGCAGTGTCTGATTTCTGTAGGGGTCACAGATTGGTTAGATCAGGTATGAAGTTTACATAGTGCATGGGGAAGGCTGGTTGCCCCACCATAATCTTCTTATGAAAATGGATTTCCCAGTTGATCAGCATCATCTTGTCTGCTCCTTACAATACACATGGCTGGCAGAGAAGAGAGGATGGAGCCACCATTTTGAAAATGTCTAGTCCTTAGTTCCTGTCAGCATTCACCCATGCAAGCTCTCAGCTTGCAGGCTGCTCCTTGTTAGAAAATGATTTGGGGCTGCTTTTCATTGAAAAGGAAAGCCTTACCAAGCACTCCCATGCCCTTGTTCTCTGACTAAGTAATTCCTTTCTAACTCCCATTATACTAGCTTATTGCTCTTAAATTCTGCCTTCCATGAAGCACTCAGATATGGGCACAATTCAGCCAAGTTATTTGCTGCTTCATGTCAAGGATGGCTATTACTCCAGTTTGCAGTATCTCTTTCCTCCTTTCTGTCTGAGATCTCCTCAGAGTTCCCTTTACTCTCCACATTTCTGCCAATATTCTGATCATAAGCACTAATGTAATCTCTACAAAGTTTTAGGCTTTCCCTGCAGTTCTCTTCTGAGCCCTCATCAGAATCATCCTTAATGTTCTTTTCATACCAATACAAGTTTTTTCTAGCCTTTTTTTTTCCCAAACTCTCCCAGCCTCTACTTATTGCTGAGTTTCAAAGTGGCTTCCCTATTTTCAGATATTTGATAAAGCAGTGTTCTATGCTTCAATACCAGTTTTTTGTGTTATTCAGTTTTGTGCTGCTATAACAGAATACTTGAGACCTAGTGATTTATAATGAATAAAAATTTATTGGCTTATGATTCTGTTGGGAAGGCCAAGATTGAGGGGCCAGAATTTGGCAAGAGCTTTCTTGTTGCATCATTGCATGACAGAAGAGCAAAGAGAGGGTGAAGAGAGAAAGAGAGGAGGGCAAAAGGGGGTGAAATCATCCTTTTATAAGGAACTCATTCCTGCAATAACAGCATTAATCCATTCATGAGGGCTATGCTCTCATGGCCTAATCATCTCTCATTAGGTTCCACATCCCCACACTGTTGTATCGGGGATTAAGTTTTCAACACTTTTTTGGAGGGACACATTCAAACCATAGCAGAGACTCTGCTTCATGTCAAGGATGGCTGTTATTCCAGTTTGCAATATCTCTTTCCTCCTTTCTGTCTGAGATCTCCTCAGAATTGCCTCACAATTAAATATTCTGTTTTAGGAGGCAATCAACTTGTTTTGGTTCAGCACACATGACCTAGCTCACTTTTCAAAAAACAGAGCTTTACTGAGTTACAATTTGCACCTCACCATATTCACCTTTTAAAGATGTACAGTTCACTTATGTTTAGCATATTTAGAGAGTGGTACAACCATCACCATTACCTAATTTTAGGCTGAAGAGCCAAATTGTATAAACAAATTGGTATCTGTGACTTGTTAAAAAATAATTTCTAGGGTATCTTATATAGTCAGTATAAAATCAAACTAATCTGTACTTTAGATGTATAAAAATGAATTTTTATAATGATGTTTTATCATAACATCATTATATCAGTATTTTACCATCCTGAGTTATCAAAGCATATTATAATTTCCAAAAATATAGAAATAAACTGAGGTAGGCAGAACTTTAAGATGGCCCTTTTGACTTTTATCCCTGGTATTACTGTCATGATTATGTTATGTCATTTGTCAAGAGGGAGATTATTTGGGTTTTCTTACTCTAATCACATGAGCCCTTTAAAAGCAGAGTATTTCCCCTGGGTGCTAGCAGAAGAGGAAGCTAAAGACTCAAAGCATAAACTGGATTTGACATGCTAATGCTTGTTTGAAGATGGAGGGAGCCATGCCTGAAAGTACTAGAGAAAGTGGCCTCTTGGTGCTGAGAGCGAGCAACCCCTGGTCAGCAACTGGCAAGAAAGTTGGGACCTCATTCATATAACTGGAATGAACTGAATTCTACCAACAGTGAATAAGCCTGGAAGTGGATGCTTTTCTGGAGCCTCTGGATAACAGCCTAGCTCAACTAATACCCATCTGAGTCTATAGGGACTTCTGTCCTATAGAACTGTGAGATAATAAATGGATGTTCTTTTAAATTTCTATGTTTATGGTAATTTGTTACCAGCAGTAAAAACAAATTTAGGGGCATATTTAGCAATACATAGTTGAAAAAAGTTATTCTGGCTGAATTTCAATGATACTGAGTTAACCAGAAAATTAAATTAATTCTTTAAACATGATGGTCAATTGAGTTTTATTATCTTTAACAGTAATAATACAAGGTGATTGTCATTTATTAATTTAAGCTTTTTATAACACCTTGTGTACCTGTCTTTGATTTCTTTGGTCTGCCATGAATGGTTAGAATTAATGCTCAAAATGTTTGCCATAAGGTTACTAATTGCTGTCTGGATCCACGAAAGGAAGATGCTCTGGCATTTTAGATATCTGATTTATTTGACCCTATTTGATGCACAGTATACTTCCAGTCTACCATTTGAGCCAAAAAGTGAATAGGAGAACTATTTTACAGATAGCATAAAGTTATGAAATGATCAGTAGATGTGATGAAGTTTAGCCAAAAGGGGAAGAGATTGATCTTATCATTAGATAGTAGATTAATTTGAAAATAATGATTACCATGTGCAAGAGAAGTATTCCCTGATTAAAAAATGTTTGAGTTGTATAGTTATCTCAGTAGCTGAAGGGAATGTTGAGGAAAAAATGTATTAATGAGCTAAAATCTTATTTGGAAATATCCTTGTTAGAATTATAGAGCTCAGAATCAGCTGATGTTGTAGTCCATTTGTATTGCTACGAAGGAATACTTGACGCTGGATAATGTGTAAGGAAAAGAGATTTGTTTGGCTCATGATTCTGCAGGATGTACAAGAAGCATGGCACCAGCATCTGCTTGTATTGCGGGGCTCAGGCTGCGTCTACTCATGGCAGAAGGCAAATGGGAGCTGGTATCTGCAGATTTCATATGGCAGGAGAGGAAGCAAGGGGTGGGAGCGGCCAGGCCCTTTTTCATAACCAACTCTCTCAGGAACTAATAGAGTGAGAACTCACTCTTTACTGTGAGGATGGCCCCAAGCCATTCATGAGGGATCTGCCTCCATGACCCAAACTCTTCTCAGTAGGCCTCACCTCTGACATTAGGGATCAAATTTCAGTGTAAGGTTTGGAGGAGTCATATATTCAAACCATAGCAGTTGAGAATTAGGCCTCAAAGTCAGATAGATAATGGTTAAAATATCAACTATATCAATACTGAATTGGAGAACATCTTTTTCTTGTGTGGCCATAATGGGCTAATATTTCACCTCAAAATTAAATTACCCACTCATTTATGGGCCAAGTTAGGCAACTGCTGATCTGTATTGCAAGGTAGGACAACAGTAGTGGAAGATAGTAGTCAGAATGCATTTCCTGTGCCTAAAATAGTCTGACAGTGAATGATCTGATAAAGAAGTTAGGAAAACAGTTCCATTTACAATAGCATCAAAAAACAAAACAAAAAAAACCCAAAAAAAAACTTACGATAAGTTTAACCAAAGAGGTAAAAGATCTATATGTAGAAAACTAGAAAACATTAATGAAAGAAATTGAAGGTGACACAAGTAAATGGAAAGATACTTTGTGTATTCATGAAGTGAAAGAGTATTGTTAAAATGTCTATATTACCCAAAGTAATCCACAGATTCTATGCAATCCTATCAAAATAGAATTAGAAAAAAATCCTATAATTTGTTTGAAACCACAAAAGACCACAAATAGCTAAAGCACTGTTGAGCAAAAAGAACAAAGCTAGAGGCATTACACTAGCTGACTGGTCTTTGAAAAGTTAATGGAAAATGCATATTATGAAAAAACTGCGTGGATTTCAAATTTTTTTTGCACCAAAACAAACTCATACCAAATTGTTATAACAAGTCTGAATGGGATCAAGTTTGAGGCACTAAGGAGGATAAGACATTGGTTTGAAAAGGGCCCCTATCAGAGTAACATAAATTCTGCTAAAATTGAAGCAAGAGCAAACATCAAATTTATGGTGAAGCTTGGGTGGAAGAAGGTGAAATTATTGATGCTTTATGAAAAGTTTAGGAGGACAATGCCCCAAAGTAATCAGCAGTTTATAAATGGGTAACTCATTTTAAGAAGGGATGATATGATGTTGAAGATGAAGCCTGCAGCAGGAGACTATTCACATCAATTTGTGAGGAAAAAATCATCTTGTTCATTCTCTAATTGAAGAGGACTGATGTTTGACAGCAGAAGCAATAGCCAACACCATAGACATCTCAATTAATTCAACTTACTCAATTCTGAATGCAAATTAAAGTTCAGTAAACTTTCCAATCTATGGGTGCCAAAACCACTCGGACCAGATTAACTAGAGATAAGAGCAGAGGTTTTAGTGGAAATTATAAACAAGTGGGATCAAGATCTTGAAGTATTTCTTGGAAGAATTGTAACAGGTGAAGCATGACTTTACCACTACAATTCTGAAGACAAAGCACAATCAAAGCAATGGCTACCAGGAGGTAGAAGGGGTTCAATCAAAGCAAAAGTGGACTGGTCAAGAGCGAAGGTCATGGCAGCAGTTTTTTGGGATGCTAAAGGCATTTTCCTTGTTGACTTTCTGGATGGCCAAAATATAACATCTGCTTATTATGAGAGTGTTTTGAGAGTTAGCCAAAACTTTAGCAGAAAAACACCTGGGAAAGCTTCACCAGAGAGTCCTTCTTCACCATGACAATGCTTCTGTTCATTTCTTTCATCAAACAAGGGCAATTTTGTGAGAGTTTCTATGGAAAATCATTAGGCATCCACCTTATAGTACTGATTTGGCTCCTTTTGAGTTTTGTTTGTTTGTTTGTTTCCTAATTGATATGGTTTGGCTGTGTCCCCACCCAAATCTTATCTTGAATTACCACGTGTTGTGGGAGGGATCTGGTGGGAGATAATTGAATCATGGGGCCAAGTCTTTCCCATGCTGTTCTCATGATAGTGAATAAGTCTTATGAGATCTGATGGTTTTATAAAGAGGAGGTCCCCTGCACAAGCTCTCTCTGCCTGCTGCCATCCATGTAAGACATGACTTGCTCCTCCTTGCCTTCCACCATGATTGTGCATGCTCCCCAGCCACGTGGAACTGTAAGTCCATTAAACCTCTTTCTTTTGTAAATTGCCCAGTCTCAGGTATGTCTTTATCAGCAGCATGAAAATGGATGCTAATACACTAATCTTAAAATGTTTTCTAAGGGCACCTATTTTTCTTCAGTTGATAATGTAAACAAGACTGCATTGACATGGTTAAATTCCTAGGACCTTCAGCTCTTTAGGGATGTACTAAATGACTGGTATCATTGCTTACAAAAGCTTCTTGACTTTGATGGAACTTATGTTGAAAAATAAAGTTTATATTTTTTATTTTTATCTGTTTTTTTTTCCATGAACTTTTAGTCATCTCATAGTTATTAAAACAGCGTGATACCTGCATAAAAACAGACAAATTGACCCATGGAACAGGATAGAGAGCCCAGAAATAAATTCACCTGTCTGCTGTCCACTGATTTTCAACAGAGGCTCGAGGAATACACATTGGAGAAAGGACAGTCTTGTCAATAAGTGATTCTAAAAAACTAGGTATCCAGATATAGAAGAATGAAATTAAACCCTTATCTGATCCCTTATAGAAGAATCAACTCAAAATGGATTAAAGATTTAAATGGAAGATCTGAAACTAAAACAACTAGAAGGAAACATAGGAGAAAAGCTATGACTTTGGTCTGAGCAATGACTTCTTGCATGATTCCAAAAGCACAGACAGCAAAAGCAAAAATAGACAAATGGTATTGAATCAAGAAGCTTCTATACATCAAAGGAAATAACAGAGTGAAGAGACAACCTACACATTGAGAGAAAATATTTGCAAATCATACATCAGATAAGGGACTCATACCCAAGACATAAAATGAACTCAAATCATTCAATAACAAGAAAACAAATAACCCCTATTTAAACATGGGCAAATAATCTGAATAGACATTTTTCAAAAGAAAACATACAAAAGGTCAAAACATATATGAAAACATGCTCAACATTACTAATCATCAGGGAAATGCAGATCAAAACCACAATGGGATGTCATCTCATACCTCTTAAAATGGCTCTTATAAAAAAGATGAAAGATAACGTGTTGGTGAGTATATGGCAAAAAGGGAAGTTTTGTACACTATTGGGGGAAAGTAAATTAGTACAGCCATTTTGAAAAAAAATATGGAGGTTCATCAAAAAACTGAAAATAGAATCACCATATGATCCAGCAGTCTGAGTATATATCCAAAGGAATTGGAATCAGTATGTTGGAGAGATGTTTGCATTCACATGTTCATTGCAGCATTGTTCATAATAGCCAATATTGGGAAACAACCTAAGTGCCCACCAACGGATCAATGGATTAAAAAAAGAGGTATATATACATAATGAAATAGTATTCAGCCTATAAAGGGACAAAATCCTGTCATTTGTGACAACATAGATGAAACTAGAGGCCATTAGGTTATGCAAAATAAGCTAGGCTTAGAAAGACAAATATCACCTGATCTCACTTACATGTGGAATCTAAAAATTTGAATCAATTGAAGTAGAGAGTAGAATGGGGGTTACCAGAAGCTGTGGGTGGTGGTCAGTTGGGCAGGGAAAAGAAAAATATTGGTCAAAGGGTGCAAAGTTTCAATTAGGAAGAATAAGTGTTCTATTATTTCGTTGGCGTTCTATTGTACAATGAAGTGACTAATGTTACTAATTGTGCATTGTGTATTTCATATACTACATTGCTAATAGAGTGGATTTTAAATATTTTTGCTGCAAAAAATATGTATGTGGGGTGATGGGTATGTTAATTAGCCTGATCTGCTCAGTCTGCAATGTATACATGTATTGAAGCATCACATTTTACCCCATGAATATATACAATTATTATTTGTCAATAAAGATGAAATGAAAATAAAAAGGAATTAATAAGCTGATAAATAGTATTTTAACTAGAAAATCTGTTTTTAAAAAAGATTTCTATGTGAAAAAGGCTTACAAAGGCCACCCTGCATAAAGACTATCCCTGAGTGGATCTGACTATTCCTTGTAGGCTGGTTATGCCAGGACTAAACCTATATTCTGTGATAAACAGGATTTATTGTTTCAGAGATTTCGTAAATTAAAACTATCACACTTTCTTATTTTTATAATGTGTTAAGTTATATATCCATAGTCAAATTATATATCCATAGTCAGGATAGACAACAACATCCCACTAGATTTAATTTTAGTATTGTCTAATATTTGTGCTGGTTTTCCTGCATTTATTAGTGGCCAACCTTGTGTTATAAACAGCCCAGCATGCTTTTAATTAAGGACTCTACTTTCAGCTAGAATGAGATATTGACAAGGCATATGGATATGTGGCAGGCATCTAGACAAGTGATTGGCAAACTTTTTCTGAAAAGGGCCAGATAGTAGATATTTTAGGCTTTGTTGGCCAGATGGTCTCTGTTGCCAGTACTCAACTCTGTCCTCGTAGTGTGTTAGCAATCTTAGATAATACTTAAACAAACTAGTGTAGTTGTGTTCCAATAAAAGTTCATTTACACAAACAGGCTAGTAGTTTATGTAGTACTGATCTAGATGAATAAGTCAGTATGGTTCTCAGTTCAAGAAGAGGAATGATAGAAAGTTTAAAAAAAAGTTGTTTGAAACTTGGAATATGTATTAGAAATAATATTAGAAATAGTAGTTATGTAAGAGCCTATTTTACTTTCTTTAGGGAGTTGAACTATGTGCTACCTAATTTCTGGAGAGCACTACACAATTGGAATGTAAGGGTATTAGGAGTAAGAAGTAAAAAAAAATAAATGGAAAACTAGGTGTTTATGGTTAGAGTATGGTCCTGGAGTGCAAGACTTCTGAATTTTAGAAGAACAGTTCTAGACTGTAAAGAGGTCCAAAGTATGTAATGGGAATGCTTTGCCCAAGTGGCATGCAGGTAAAGGTTCTTGGAGTTTAAGAAGAGATCATGAAACTGAAGAAGGAGAATTGTTCTTTCTTTATTATAGAAGTAGCAGGAGATTTCTCCCCTTTACGCATGTCTTTTGGTGGTGAGAAGGAATTTTCCATTTCTTTTACCTTGATTGGTGACATCCTCCCATGCTTCCAGTGGACTGGTATTGGCAAGGAGGAAACCTTTTTGTAGTAAGTGGAGGAAAAGGTGGGCTCTTGGTAAGATCTTTAGTGCTAAGGATAAGGAATTCAGGGATTGTGGTGAGTAGTTTCCTTTTAAGTTTGGGAAATTGTACTACTGAAGTTGAATAGGACGGGACAGGGTGTGTAGTTTTCAGGTACTCCTATTGTTTAGCTTAGGTAGGGAGGCATAACAGTTCCTTCACATCACTTATAAGAGGGAGATAAGGATTACTATGGTAGCTCCTACAATATATGTTTCTTTGGAGGAAGGGGGATATATATTTTTAATTTTTGTGGGTACAGAGTAGGTGTATATGTTTATGGGGTATGTGGGATATTTTGATACAGTCATGCAATGCATAATCACATCATGGAAGATAGGGTATTTATCTCAAGCATGTATCCTTTGTGTTACAAACAATCCAATTATACTCTCAGTTATTTTAAAATGGACAATTAAATTATTATTGACTATAGTCACCCTGTTGTGCTTTCAAATACTAGTCTCATTCATTCATTCATTCTATTTTTTTGTACCCCTTAACCATCCCTACCTCCTCCTCACTTTACCACTACCCTTCCCAGCCTCTGGTAACCATCTTCCTACTCTCTTTCTCCATGGGTTCAATTGTTTTGCTTTTTAGATCCCACAAATCAGTGAGAACATATAATGTTTATCTTTCTGTGCCTGGCTTATTTCACGAAACATAATGACATCCAGTTACATCCGTTTTGTTGCAAATGACTGAATCACATTATTTTTATGGCTGAATAGTAATTCATTGTGTTTATGTACCACATTTCTTTATCTGTTCATCTGTTGATGGACACGTAGGTTGCTTCCAAATCTTGGCTATTGTGAACAGAGCTACAACAAACATGGGAGTGCAGATATTTCAATATATTGATTTCCTTTCTTTTGGGTATATACCCAACAGTGGGATTGCTGAATCGTATGGTAGCTAAATTTTTACTTTTACGAGGAACCTCCAAAGTGTTCTCCATAGTGGTTGTACTAATTTACATTCCCACAAACAGTATAAGAGGGTTCCCTTTTCTCCATATCCTTGCCAGCATTTCTTACTACCTGTCTTTTGGATATAAGCCATTTTAACTGGGGTAAGATGATATCTCATTTTAGTTTTGCTTTTCATTTCTGTGATGATCAGTGATGTTGAGCACCTTTTCATGTACGTATTTGAAATTTGTATGTCTTCTTTTGAGAAATGTCTGTTCAAACCTTTAGCCCATTTTTAAAATTGGATTGTTGGCTTTTTTTCCTGTTGAGTTGTTTGAGCACTGTATATATTCTGGTTATTAATCCTTTGTCAGATGGATAGTTCGTAAATATTTTCTCCCATTCTGTGGGTTGTCTCTTCATGTTGCTGTTTCCTTTGCTGTGCAGAAGTTTTTTAACTTGATGTGATCCCATTTGTCCATTTTTGCTTTGGTTGTCTGTGCTTGTGGGTTATTCCTCAAGAAATCTTTGCCCAGTCCAATATCCTGGAGAGTTTCCCCAATGTTTTCTTGTAGTAGTTTCATATGCTTAACTACCTGTTATTATGCTAGACATTTTATTTGAAAATTATTGATAGAAATAATTTAAGGCCCAGGATAATGTTATCTTTCTTTAGAGAGTACCATGTATCTTCTGTTAGGAGACTTGGCATATTGGCAGTTCTGGCAGCACCATAAGCCGATTTTAAGACTTGGGAGTTTTCTGCTGCTCAGATGACTCATAGCTAACCTACAGTTGAGGTAAAGGCTGGTTAACTTCTGGTACACCACTATTTTAATAGCAAGTCATTATGTCCCAAGTCAAAGTGCCCTGTTGTTTCTTTGAACCCCTATGTTTTGTGGGTTATTGCTTCCAACTTTTGTCCTCCTCTCCCCTTGAGGCTACTAAATGCACTCTCAACCTTTTGGCAGTCTCTTCTAAATAAGCAAATCTCTCAGAACAAAAGCATCTCTGAATGCCTGCCTCCTCTTAAAGAATTTGCAACTTCTGGATCTTGGCTTTGTACATTTTATCATTTTGTTACTTGTAAGATTTTAAAATTGTCCTTTAACTTTTTAAGTTGTCTTCAGTGGAGAGTTTTTCTGAATTACTGCACTTAGTATTAATATTATTGGAAGTGAAAAATCAGGGCAAGTTATTTAACTTGTTACTTAAAATGTGCTTCAGACTTCTCATCTGTAATATGGAGTTATTAATTATTTACTATCTTATAGGTTTTTTGAGATTTTTAAATGAGGCAACACATTGTGTTTATAGTGGTACCTGACATGTAGAAAATGCTTAAGTTATTATTACATTTATTTGAGAATATAGGAATTTGTTGCTCTTCAAAGATTTTCCAAGCATGAATTAGCCACTTTATTACAAAAGTAATTTGCAGGGATTATGAAAGATTTGCAAATGACATTAACATTGACTGACATTTCTGTCAACCCTGATTTAGGTAAATTAAAGTTTTTCCCCCCTAATGTATTTAAGGCTCTATACTATAAGGAAAATTTAATTTTATCTAAAAGTAGATAATGGCCCTGATATGTATATGTGTGTGTGTGTATGTTTATGTGAATATGTAAAAACTGATTAGCTGTGATGTGTGTGTGTTTGCATATATAAGTATAGTATATAAATGTTAAATGGGAAGACATTTTAATTCTTTAAAATATGGTCTCTTGATAAAATAATTGGGCTGGAAGTAAAAAAAACAAAATGAAGCAGAATTGAGATTTTTGTTTTAAAGATTTTTAATTTCTGAAAATAGAGTTTTTCCAAATATCTTTTTCTTTTTTATGCATAAAATAGAAGATACAATTTTTTTTATTTGTCCTGTTTTAAAAATTGAGTTCTTGGACTAGATGTAAAGTAGACAGGAGAAAATGATAATAAAAAATATATTTATAGCAGAACTCTTTCAAGTTTGGTGACACCTATTTTAGCAATACCAGTACATGAAGAAAAAATATAGCTTACATGCTAACTCCCCAAAGTGGAACATACGTATACTTTTTCTCTATTCCATAGATTTGTATTTGATCTTCCTTCTGCCTCAACCTAATTTTTGTGCAGATGAAGTTTAACTTACTCTATTTTGCATCAACATTGAATCCTTCAGTACTATGTTCAGTCTTTCAGTGTCTTTTTTCGCTTCGTAAATTGAAATGGTCATGATATATTAAGATTTAAAGAAATCCAAAATAAGTATCTTTTGAGATGCAGAGAAAAATACAGCACTTTGAAATTTTCCTAAGTTGTAAATAAATCCTCCTTTTTGAAAATTGTTATGTCCCGTTCCTTTGGCTTAATGACTTTTAAATTTTCTTATCCTGCTATATGTCTTAAAGTTATTTTAAGGTAATTATTTTCATTATTTTATTTTCTCTTCCAGGTTAACAGAACCTTCTGGATATTTAACAGATGGCCCAATTAACTATAAATATAAAACTAAATGTACTTGGCTCATTGAAGGCTAGTAAGTATACAGTCTGAGTCAAATTAATGTATTTTATTCTTAAATGATAAAGGTGATCATATTAATGTCAGAGCATTAGAGTATAATTACTTTATCATTTAGTTTGTTTATTATTAGATAATATTTACAACTTCTAGACATCACATTTAATGTAAATTACACTACCTCTTCACTTGTGACAGTAGTTTAATTTTTATATATATTTTGTTTTTGAGTTATGTTATTGTGGTATTAAATTGAGTAGGCATTTTTTTGGTTTATTTTGAACATCTTGTTATGAAATTTGAAGACTTAGAAATTATAAAAGTATTTCTTGCTGAGCTATGCTATTCATATAATTTAGCATTTTAGTTCAAAGGGTATTTTTAAAAGAACATTTTGTAGAAGAGAGAGTTAATTATTCATTTAGAGGTATTTTCAGTAAGTAGGGCTTGAAACAATCTATCTATTTAAATGTATTGTGAATGGAGCATAAAAGAATTGATATGAATTATTTTTGAACTGTTTTGTAATTTCTAAAGAGTATATTTGGAAAATTTTGTATTTAAATTTTTCTAACTTAAAAGCTGTTCATTCTCTGCTGTGCACCTGTAGTTACATTTTGTTTATTTGTTAACATTATATCACATTGAGAATTTTGATTAAAATTTAAATAGTTTTTTAGTGCCTCCAACTTAAGGGTTCTGTAAAAATAAGAATAGTGGCTTCTTGAGTGTTGATTTTTAAAAATCAACTTTATTTAAGTACCATTTGTATACAACAAAATGCACCCATTTTTAAGTGTACAGTTCCATAAGGTTTCAGTGATGTATACAGTCTATGTAACCTCTGCCTTCAATCAAGAGAAAGATTTTTTTTTTTTGAGACAGAGCCTCACTCTGTTACCCAGGCTGGAGTGCGGTGGTGCGATCTCGGCTCACTGCAGCCTCTGCCTCCTGAGTTCAAGCAATTCTCCTGCCTCAGCCTCCTGAGTAGCTGGGACTAGAGGTGCATGCCGCCATGCGCAGCTAATTTTTGTATTTTCAGTAGAAATGGGTTTTACCATGTTGGCCAGGATGGTCTTGATCTCCTGACCTCGTGATCTGCCTGCTTTGGCCTCCCAAAGTGCCGGGATTACAGGCGAGAGCCACTGCACCTGGCTGAACATTTTTTATTGACTACATTTTTAGAAAACAATGATACATACATATGTCCTGTTAATAGATTTTGAAAGTTACATTTTATTTGTACAAATTAGATATGATGGCTTATCAATCTTTCACCCTGATAAGGATTTATAGCAAAATTATCTATAAACAGATTTCTAATAAAATACCCTATCTAAAGTTTCTTCACTCTGTGCTTTGTATATTATATAATAAATATTATGTATTTATTCACTCTGTGCTTTGTATATTTTAATTTGAAAAATATTTCATATTCATTTTCAGTCCAAATGCAGTGTTAAGATTAAGATTCAATCATTTTGCTACAGAATGTAGCTGGGATCATATGTATGTTTATGATGGAGATTCAATATATGCACCTTTAATAGCTGTACTTAGGTGAGTAATTATATTTAATCAGTTGCAGAAAAGTGACTGTGTAATTGCTTCTTTAAATATATATTGATATGTACTGCAAAATAAATTTAGTAAAGATATTGATAGTTACATTTCACAGATGATTATAATACTTTGTTATGTGCTGTAACTGTCAATTTAGGTAATAATTATGTAAATATTGATATAACATAAATAAGTACTATATTGGAAATATAGATTTCTTTCTAAATATTTTTTATTCTCATTGTATTTAGTTTATTCTTTTAAAGTGCCTTGAATATGTTTTCAGAACTATCTGGATATATTAGCGTGAGTTCTAGCTGACAAATAAATAGACAAGTTTTGTTTTTTAATAGTTGTTTTTTTATTTTAGTGAAATGGTAAAATTTTAAATTCTGCATAAAAGGGTTAAGTTATGCTTTGTGCAATGATTAATAAAGATGGAGTTTCTACCAATTGTCAAAATGTGAGAGTTTTATTTGTTTCAAAATATTTTATTGTTAGTCGTAAGGTAGATTATTAATTTTAAAATTATAGCATTGTATCAATTTAAAAATCTTTTCTTGTGTATGTTTAGATTATTATAAAAAGTTTCGTGAATAGGAGAAAATCTATTAGACACAGAAAAAATTATGAACATGTATAGATTTTATATATAATTTAACATGATTGTTGATAAGTTACTCATTATATTATTTACTTTTGCTATTTATACAATATCTGTTATATGTTCTGTCATTGCTGGAAATTTAAGTATGGATAAAAGCTTATTGGTCCCTTCAAAATATTTTCTTTCCAATTTTTCTTTTTATTATTCATGTGGCAAATATTCTATTTCATTCTATTCTAATACATTTTATTTTGTTCTATTTTATCAGGAATGTGAATTATTATTTTGGACAAAAATGTAACGACTTGTATTTCCTTAGGAGCTTAGGTACTTATTCTATGATATTGCTATTGCTTACATTTTTGAGTCATTTGAACATTAGAAAAAGGATAGCCATAAGCAGCCCTTCATCTAAGGACAATAGAGAGAAAATAGAGTGGAGCCTTGCAAATAATTAGGTTGTAAGATAATTTATTGTAACAATTAAATTTGATCCTCAGTTCATACATTTATTTTTAGCAATTTAAACATCACTTTGCTATCTTTACTCTATTTTTATGATACCGTTGACTGACCATCATTTAGATGTGTGCCTGTTCATTTGTTTGTCTAGTAATTCTAATTACTTTGTATTAATACTCATCCATTAGCATTCTTACCAACATTTTCTTGTTATTAAAGGAAGATAATTAGCAGGTGAGATTTAGTATATGGCTGTGAAGATGGAATTAGTGATTTCTCATTAGCAAGTGTTCTTGTTAGCCCTCCTAAGGGAAATGGAAAACTCATGTTTATTGATATTGAATATCCACTTGATGTTAAGCACTAGGCTAGGCAGTTTAAATGTCATCTAATCCTCACAAAGATCTCGTTGGGGGAGTACTAAGTACTATTATCCCCATTTTACAGTTGAGAAAATTGACATTCAGAGAAGTTATTTGCTTCTAATAGATGGTAGAGCTAGGATTAGGACTTGAATCTCAATCTCCTGATTTAAAAGCATATGCTGTTTGTACTTCATCTTGCTAAGAATTCAGAATCTAATATGTTTGAATTACTTCAATTGTATAAATATTTATTACTCAACATTTAATTACAGAGACTGTGTCACAGGCTTAGAGTACATAGTAAGGAAGAAGGCATAGGCTATCGCAGTGGCTTTAGACACCAACTACCTGCAGTTGGGCTAGAACAGATTTCCTAGGTTAAGAGCACAGTCCTCTACAACAAGGGTCTCCTCTCCACCCCAGATCCCCGTACCAGTCCATGGCCTGTTAGCAACAGGGCTACACAGTAGGAAGTGAGTGGCGGGCAAGTGAGCAAAGCTTCATCTTTATTTACAGCTGCTCCCCACTGCTTGCATTACTGCCTGAGCTCCACCTTCTGTCAGATCAGCAGCGGCATTAGATTGTCATAGGAGTACAGACCCTACTGTGAACTGTGCATGTGAGGGATCTAGGTTGCTCATTCCTTATGAGGTTCTAATGCCTGATGGTCTGTCACTGTCTCCCATCAGCCCCAGATGGGACCATCTAGTTGCAGGAAATCAAGTTCAGGGCTTCCACTGATTCTACATTATGGCGGGTTGTATAATTATTTGATTACATATTACAATGTAATAATAATAGAAATAAAGTGCATAATAAATGTAATATGCTTGAATCATCCCAAAATCATCCTCCCCCGGTCTGTGGAAATTTTGTCTTCCATGAAACTGGTCTCTGGTTCCAAAAAGGTTGGGGATTGCTGCTCTATAACACTGCTGTCATTTCAGACACTAGCTGCAAGCTTGGTGCTCCCCACCTACTCTGACCATCTGGCTACATATTTAGGGGTTCCTACTCTGTCCTAAAAGTTTGATAATTCACTAGAATTATCATAGAACTCAGGAAAGTTCTACACTTATGACTATAGTTTTATCATGAAGGATAGAAATCAGAGCCAGCCAAATAAAGGGATGCATAGAGTGAGGTCTGGGAGGATCATAAATGCAAAGCTTCTGGGTCCTCAGAATGTGTTACCCACCCAGCACATCAACATGTATCACCAACAGGGAAGCTCATCTGAGCTTCAGGTGTCCAGAGTTTTATTGAAGTTTCATTATGTAGCCATGAGTGATTGAATCATTGGCCATGAGGCTGAACTCAAATCTCCAGCCCCTCCCATCCCCTTCTCTCTCGGGAAGTTAGGCTAATACCATATGGCCCCAACATTTTAATCACATGGTTAGTGTTTCTGGAGTGGCCATCCCCTATTCTGAATTATATCTTTAGCTTAAATTAATTAGGGGCCCACCATGAGTCACCTCATTGGCATAAATTTTCAGGGCTCACCATGAATAGGAAGACACTCCCATCACTCAGGAAATTTCAAGAATTTAGAGGTTATGTCCCAAGAACTGGGGACAAAAGCCAGCCAAATTCTTTAGTATGCAGTAGTCATGCATTAGTGGGGGTATGTAAACAGATTTTTCACACAGCCTAGTTAGTGTTACAATCAGGTTATGAAGGAGTTCTATATAATTTCAAAATAAATAACTAATCCTTCATGTTGACTTTCATCGTGAGTAAAAGTATGAAGTATGGGGGTCA
Source organism: Homo sapiens (assembly GCF_000001405.40). Classification (NCBI taxonomy): domain Eukaryota; kingdom Metazoa; phylum Chordata; class Mammalia; order Primates; family Hominidae; genus Homo; species Homo sapiens. Next base: position 115,125,014 of record NC_000010.11, read on the forward strand.
GATAGGACATTCTAGGGAGAGAAAAGCATATATACAAAGGTATAGACACATTAAAGAGCATTATATTTTAGGGCAATAGTTGAAAGTTTTGAGTAACTTGATTGTAGGAACTGTGAAGGATACGTAGGAGTCACATTACCCCAAAACAGCAATCAGTGACATTTACTTAGTGCTCATTTTGTGCCAATGTACAGGAGTTCTTTATATGCATTAGTTTATTTAATCCTCAAAATAACCTTTAGGTAGGTATTAATATTGTAATTTTACAAATGCAGAATTGAGACACAGAGATTTTCTGTGAGTGGCCCGAAGGTTGCCTAGCTGGTAAGTCAGAATATGAATCAAGGTTATGTAATTATAGGTCCTAATCCCTTAATCACTGTAATATTGCTTGCTTGTACACCACACTAAAGAAGTTGGGCTTTTATTCTGTAGGCAAGAGTTTTTAGAATGTGGAGAATGCATTGGAATGGAGAAGTGTTATTTTTTTTTTTTTTTACTGTGTGCTGGACAATTGTGTGTTGGACGTTGTTGTTTGGAAAATCATATATAGTAATAATTTGAGGCCTAGAAAGATTATATTCTTGCAGAGACTACCTGGGGACACTCGCAATCCATATTCAACTCAATCCAAACTCAGATACTGAGGTGATTCATAGCTCAGCTGCAGTGCAGTCCTTTGGAGGGCCTAACTTTAGGTAGTTTGCTTTCACTTCCAACCATTGGAGTCCCAGTTCAACGTGAAGGCCTTGTGTTTCACTTTTTCTTTCCTTCATTCTGTAAAATCCCTGAAATTACCACCGAGTTTTTTTTAGCCCTTCAAATCTTACCTCCAGCCTTGAAATCAGCAAATGCCAATAGGGTAAATGACCTCAATGCCTGGGCAGGCCTTCAAGCTGATTTTTTTGTTTTTATATAATTTGTCATTTTACTAGATTTCAGTTGGTCCGAATTTCCTGGTGTATTATACAGGAAGTGGAAACTCTCTTTTATTTATTGTTTTTAAAATACTTGTAAACAAAAAACCAAACAGATCTATTCTTTTTTGTTTGTTTGTTTTTTTGAGACGGAGTCTCGCTCTGTCACCAGGCTGGAGTGCAGTGGTGTGATCTCGGCTCACTGCAACCTCCACCTCCCAGGTTCAAGCGATTCTCCTGCCTCAGCCTCCCGAGTAGCTGAGACTACAGGCATGCACCACCGTGCCCACCTGATTTTTTTGTATTTTTAGTAGAAATGGGGTTTCACTGTGTTGGCCAGGATGTTCCTGATCTCTTGACCTCGTTATCCGCCTGCCTCCACCTTCCAAAGTACTGGGATTACAGGCATGAGCCACTGCGCCTGGCCCAGACCTATTCTTTTTATCTTTTTCAGAGAGCGCTCAGAGACTAGCTGTATCTATTATAAAGACCTATTTTTAGTAATACTCACCTTTATATAATTTTATTACAATGAACAATATGTATGTATAACTTAAGACTGGTGTCATAGGGTTTGTATTGTTTTGAGAGTCTCATTTTAAAATCATTTGTTGCTTCACAAACATAACCTAGTAGATGTAATAATAATTACTAAAGCGTTAAATCAAGAGTTGATTACTTTTTAACTTGTTTGCATTTGAGAATGTATTTTCTAAATCAATTATTTGACTATAATATTTCATTTATGTGTCAAATATGATTTGAATGGGGGAATTCAGTTCTTAGTGGTACCTAAACATAATTTTAACTGTTTAAAGGAATTGACCGTGTCGAGTTATATAATTTGTTTGTTAGCAGCTTCTTTTCTTTCACCAATTGCATGTTTTCATAGATTTAGAGAGGTTAGAACATATAACTAAATGAAGATAGGTAATTTTCCTCATGAACAAGTATCCTTAAAAAGAAGTACAAGTTACCAGTTTAAAACTATTTTGTACATTTATATCTCCCCCACCCCAAGTTTTTGTTTGTGTGCTTATGGGCTTATGTGAGCAATATTCTGTCTTGGAATAGTTATATATTAATGCAATTTGCATAGATATGCAAAATTAGAAAAACATTAAAGTCTATATAGTTTTAAATTTTTTGAAGTAAATATTTTAAATCACCTAGATAAATGTATTGGAAATGTACAGCTATAACTAGAATGTAATTGTAATTGCTTAACTGATGTAGAGTGTCTTCCAGCTTCATCGGATTTTTAAACCAATCAGAATGAGTAAAGGTACAGGGTTTTATTAGAGTAGCAAGGTGACTTTAAGTGAAGTTTTATATGAATTAAGTGGAAGACTACCCTGTAGTATTATGACAGGATGGATAGCAGGACAAAAAGGAGAAATGAGACATTGCCTTACAAATAGTGATAAGAAAAAAAATGGGGTACAGTGGCATGAGAGTAGATTTTAGTGTATTGGCAGCAGTAGTAGAACTAATTTAGTGAGAAATGGATAGGGACTTCTTTTAGATGTATTCTCCTTTTAGTTGCCCATTCTGACGTACAAGCATTACTGATCCTGGTAAGAATATTTCTGAGTAAATTTTATGTGCTTAACAGTCTTATGTATATCTATACATACAATATTCAGTTTTGTTCTCTTTTAGTGGTTTGATAGTCCCTGAAATAAGGGGCAATGAAACTGTGCCTGAAGTTGTTACTACATCTGGCTATGCACTGTTACATTTTTTTAGTGATGCTGCGTATAATCTAACTGGTTTCAACATTTTCTATTCGTAAGTATTTTTTAAAAATTCCTTCTTTTAATGATTCTTGTAATTTAATGTAAAAGAGGTTTTTTTTGTTTATTTTTATTAATGTCTTGTATACCAGAAGCAGGCTACCGTGTTAAATTTCAAATTAGTAGGCAGGATCCCTTCTTAAGTGACATAAAATCTTAATAATATGCCACAAAACGTGATCTAAACCTATAAGTTTGGTTGAAAATTAATTATGAAATTGACAATTGTTTTTTGGCAAGTGATTAAGTAAACAAGTACTAGTGTAGCTTTACTGGTAGCAACAGATGTGGTGAGACTGCAGGGAGTTGTGAACTGCCTTTCAGTGCTCTAAGGTATATCACTTGTAATTTGAAGAGGATTATGGGAGCTAAGTTTTTGTAGTCCCTATTGCAGAGACTGTACTGAAAGCTATGCATACATTATGTCATTTAATTACCTTCAATTCTGTCAAGTGGGTATATTTCCCATTGACACATGAGGAAATTGTGGCTTAAGAGTTAAGTGGCTATACCACTATCTCCTCTAAAATAAGAAAAGTAATATTCATTGAGAATCTATTATATGCCTGATACTTTATATACATTTTTATATCTAGAAGACTGAGGGTGAAGTAATGAGAGATGCTTTCACAGGAATGGCTAGAGAGGAAGTCTATATATTATTTTTTTCTTTTCTTCAGAATGTAGAAATTGGTAACCAGAGAATTTTTCACCAGAAATATTATAAATATCCTTGAATCAGCAATTTATTATGGAATTTATTTATCCTACAACGTATCCAAGTATGTATGCAAGGGAGAACAAATATATAGTAGAATATAATCACATGGTGGCTCACGCCTGTAATCCCAGCACTTTGGGAGGCCGAGGCGGGCAGATCACGAGGTCAGGAGATCAAGACCATCTTGGCTAACACGGTGAAACCCTGTCTCTACTAAAAATACAAAAAAATTAGCCAGGCATGGTGGCGGGCGCCTGTAGTCCCAGCTACTCGGGAGGCTGAGGCAGGAGAATGGTGTGAACCTGGGAGGCGGAGCTTTCAGTGAGCCGAGATCGCACCACTGCATTCCAGCCTGGGCGACAGAGCGAGACTGTGTCTCAAAAAAAAAAAAAAAAAAGAGTCTTAAAGCTAAATATGATAAACATACCTTTTCTTCAATAACAGTGTATGGGTGATAGCATGCTCTTTTATATTATACAACCAAGTTATATCTTGACTTCTCATATAGTTTTGAATTTTCATGAATTTAATTTTTTTCTGTAAAATATACAATCAAAACATTGAGTACTTAAGTCTTTACAAAACATTTTGCCTGGAACCGTACAGATCCTGCAGATGTTGAGCATGTAGTCGTTAGACATTTGGAGTCTTGGTATCAAAGTAAATCTGTTGAATAAAATAAGACCAACTGCAAATAAATACTAACAATTTCATAAGAGTAAGAGGGTACAGAGTAAAGAATTAAAACTACATTGTGAAATTCTGTTACATTTATAAGCACATAGGACACAGTATAAAAATTATAAAGTTTATGATGTATCAACCAAAATTCTTTTTCAATTACCTTGAATCTGAATATATATGAATTATATTTTACAGAATCAATTCTTGTCCTAACAATTGCTCTGGTCATGGGAAGTGTACAACTAGTGTCTCTGTTCCAAGTCAAGTATATTGTGAATGTGATAAATACTGGAAGGGTGAAGCTTGTGATATTCCTTACTGTAAAGCCAATTGCGGCAGTCCAGATCACGGTTACTGTGACCTGACTGGAGAAAAATTATGTGTCTGCAATGATAGTTGGCAAGGTAAGCATGTGTGGTGTGATGGCTTTTGAAACATTGATTCATATATGTAATAGATTAATACAAATTCCACACGTTTGTTTCGTTATAGTTTGCACACCCAAGCCTTATATATTTACTTTTATTTTTAGAATGTTCAGATTAATAATCAACTTCTTAATAATTTTTTTGTCACAAATAGAATTAATTGGCAAAGATTTTGTCTCCATACTACTTTGAAGATCAAATGAAGTTATATATGAAACTGAATTGTTAGGTGTGTGATAATTATGGTCTTCTGTAATTTGTTGTTGAATCTCCCCAAATTTGGTGACTTCACTGAATTTAATGTGGTGCATTCAAATTTGATTTATAAGGGTAATATAAATAGTATACTACAAAAATAAATGTTCAAAGGGACTGCAGTATATGAAACTTATTTCTTAGGAAAGGCTGACATCTTGTGGCTATTTTAAAAAGAACTAGACTATTTTTAAAAGTATTTTAGCTGCCTATTGCAGAAGTCAGATACCTAGGAAAGAATTTCTAAGTAATTTTTATAAATATCTATCATCAAAGATTAAGTTTAGACTACAGTGAAGAATGTTGGCTTATTTATCTGTATATAAAATAATAAATATTGTCATTATGAAATTAAGAGATATGCTTATACATATACCTACCCACCTAGAGCTTACTTTTTGCTAGTTACATTTACCTATGAAGAGCTTCCTTTGTGCCAACATATTAATCCTGTTGAAATAGGGAAATTTGACTCAATAATTACATAACCTGAAGTACTTGATTATGTATTATTATAACACAGTGTAATAAATAGTAGCAATAGTTCCCAAGTTAAAAACCAAAGAGAACATACTCTTCATGAAGTTGTATTCATTATTCCTGAGATGACCTTTTCAAAAAAGTGTTGTTGGGTATGTTGAGTACTTACTTAGAGGAATTATTTTAGGCTTTGTGTAAATTATGCCTGTCTTAAGCTCATGTTAGCTCATTAAAAAATATTAGGTATGTCAACTGCACAAAAGATCTATGATTTCTTATTAAATCGAATTTGGTTACCAATTGCAATTATGTCAGATGCAAATTTCTAAATGTTTTGTAATTACAGGGACATGTATTTTAAGTGACTCTTTTAATCATTTATGACTTTTCTTCCCCCCAAAAGTGCCTTGAGATGTAATTTTATTTTCATTTCTGTCGTGAAACTAAAATAACTGTCTTTTCTATAGAGACAGTGGTGTATCCATATTATATTTGATTTAAGGCCTGAGAAATAGAAATATAGCTCATATACACAGTATTTTTCAAACTGGTCTTCAATTGCTATTAGTCTCCACCTCATTTCAGCAGTCTTAAAAGCAAATGAGGAATACATTTGTATAACATTCTCTGTGAACAACTCTGCCCCTTTTCTGTTTTTTACTTACTTTCATTAGTCCTTCTTTGAAATGCTTTATTTTGTGTAAGTCTTGTAATATAGATCTGATTCAAAGTATTAAGAATTTTTTTCTGGCCTTTGTTTTTTGGCCTTTTCATATCCTATTATTCTCATCTGTAATGTCCCAAATCATAAGAATTCCTGAATCTAATATGTCTATAAGCAAATGGAAATGAGGAAGCAAATACTGGGTATGTTCACTTTTAAAGCAAAGTTATATTATCAGTAGTCTAAGAACTACTTGTCTGTGTGTGTGTATGTGTGTGTGTATGCATATATACACATATATTTATAACTACATATATATTTTATATGGAGAATAGTGTGAAAGTGCTTTGTAAATTATAAAACGCAGAAATAAGACAATTTTATACCATTTTCTTAATAATTAAGGAAATGATTTCTGAATTGATATGTTTGAAGGAGGCCTTGTAAATGAGATAATATGGTGTTTTCAAGACAAATTATGTGCAGACTGGTTACTTTGTGCCTCAAACTGATCCTGATTCTGTATTTAAGGAAGCATAGCTCCAAAGAAGGTAGGATTGTGAGCAAACTCATTTAGGGGAAAATGATGTTTTTATTTCAGATATATATAGAATGGGAAGGAATCAGTGAGGTAAGAAGAGGAGATAGATTTGCTTCTAGGACAAATGGGGAATGATCAAAGAATGAGAGACATGTGAAAATGCGGACTGCCGAGGCAATCTTTATGAGGTTCAAAATCTGGTAGTTTTATACAAGGTGTTATTTGGAACTGGATTATTTAGGTTAGAGTAACAGATTGTTGTTACCTCCATTATATTTTATCCTTTGTTGTTGCTTGACTACTTATTCTGTTTGGCTGTATGCCTAATGTATATTTTTTAAAAATGAGTGTTACCCTCTAGAAACTTGGGTTTTATTAAGATAACACAGAGGAAAAACCTAGCTTTATATTAAGTCCTTTTTTTATTTTTATTTTTATTTTTTTATTATACTTTAAGTTCTAGGGCACATGTGCACAACGTGCAGGTTTGTTACATATGTATACATGTGCCATGTTGGGGTGCTGCACCCATTAACACGTCACTTACATTAGGTGTATCTCCTAATTCTATCCCTCCCCCCTCCCCACACCCCACAACAGGCCCCAGTGTGGGATGTTCCCCTTCCTGTGTCCAAGTGTTCTCATTGTTCAATTCCCACCTATAAGTGAGAACACGCGGTGTTTGGTTTTTTGTCCTTGCGATAGTTTGCTGAGAATGATGGTTTCCAGCGTCATCCATGTCCCTACAAAGGACATGAACTCATCATTTTTTATGGCTGTATAGTATTCCATGGTGTATTTGTGCCACATTTTCTTAATCCAGTCTATCATTGATGGACATTTGGGTTGGTTCCAAGTCTTTGCTATTGTGAATAGTGCCGCAATAAACATATGTGTGCATGTGTCTTTATAGCAGCATGATTTATAATCCTTTGGGTATATACCCAGTAATGGGATGGCTGGGTCAAATGGTATTTCTAGTTCTAGATCCTTGAGGAATTGCCACACTGTCTTCCACAATGGTTGAACTAGTTTACAGTCCCACCAACAGTGTAAAAGTGTTCCTATTTCTCCACATTCTCTCCAGCACCTGTTGTTTCCTGAGTTTTTAATGATCGCCATTCTAACTGGTGTGAGATGGTATCTCATTGTGGTTTTGATTTGCATTTCTCTGATGGCCAGTGATGATGAGCATTTTTTCATGTGTCTTTTGGCTGCATAAATGTCTTCTTTTGAGAAGTGTCTGTTCATATCCCTCACCCACTTTTTGATGGGGTTGTTTGATTTTTTCCTGTAAATTTGTTGGAGTTCTTTGTAGATTCTGGATATTAGCCCTTTGTCAGATGAGTAGATTGCAAAAATTTTCTCCCATTCTGTAGGTTGCGTTTTCACTCTGATGGTAGTTTCTTTTGCTGTGCAGAAGTTCTTTAGTTTAATTAGATCCCATTTGCCAATTTTGGCTTTTGTTGCCATTGCTTTTGGTGTTTTAGACATGAAGTCCTTGCCCATGCCTATGTCCTGAATGGTATTGCCTAGGTTTTCTTCTAGGGTTTTTATGGTTTTCAGTCCAACATTTAAGTCTTTAATTTATCTTGAATTATTTTTTGTATAAGATGTAAGGAAGAGATCTAGTTTCAGCCTTCTACATATGGCTAGCCAGTTTTCCCAGAACCATTTATTAAATAGGGAATCCTTTCCCCATTTCTTGTTTTTGTCAGGTTTGTCAAAGATCAGGTGGTTGTAGATGTGTGGTATTATTTCTGAGGGCTCTGTTCTGTTCCATTGGTCTATATCTCTGTTTTGATACCAGTACCATGCTGTTTTGGTTACTATAGCCTTGTAATATAGTTTGAAGTCGGGTAGCAAATGGAAAACAAAAAAAGCCTGAGGTTGCAATCCTAGTCTCTGATAAAACAGACTTTAAACCAACAAACATCAAAAGAGATAAAGAAGGCCATTACTTAATGGTAAAGGGATCAATTGAACAAGAAGAGCTGACTATCCTAAATATATATGCACCCAATACAGGAGCACCCAGATTCATAAAGCAAGTCCTTAGAGGCCCACAAAGAGACTTAGACTCCCACACAATAATAATGGGAGACTTTAACACCCCACTGTCAATATTAGACAGATCAATAGACAGAAGGTTAACAGCGATATCCAGGAATTGAACTCAGCTCTGCACCAAGCGGACCTAATAGACATCTACAGAACTCTCCACCCCAATTCGACAGAAGATACATTCTTCTCAGCACCACATTGCACTTATTCCAAAATTGACCACATAGTTGGAAGTAAAGCACTCCTCAGCAAATGTGAAAGAACAGAAGTTATAACAAGCTGTCTCTCAGACCACAGTGCAATCAAACTAGAACTCAGGATTAAGAAACTCACTCAAAACTGCTCAACTACATGGAAACTGAACAACTTGCTCCTGAATGACTACTGGGTACATAACGAAATGAAGGCAGAAATAAAGATGTTCTTGAAACCAATGAGAACAAAGACACACAATCTCTGGGACACATTCAAAGCATTGTGTAGAGGGAAATTTATAGCACTAAATGCCCACAACAGAAAGCAGGAAAGATCTAAAATTGACACCCTAACATCACAATTAAAAGAACTAGAGAAGCAAGAGCAAAAACATTCAAAAGCTAGCAGAAGACAAGAAATAACTAAGATCAGAGCAGAACTGAAGGAGATAGAGACACAAAACCCTTCAAAAAATCAGTGAATCCAGGAGCTGGTTTTTTGAAAAGATCAACAAAATTGATAGACCATTAGCAAGACTAATAAAGAAGAAAAGAGAGAAGAATCAAATAGATGCAATAAAAAATGATAAAGGGGATATCACCACAGATCCCACAGAGATACAAACAACCATCAGAGAATACTATAAACACCTCTATGCAAATGAACTAGAAAATCTAGAAGAAATGGATAATTTCTCGACACACACACCCTCCCAAGACTAACCAGGAAGAAGTTGAATCTCTGAATAGACCAAAAACAGGCTCTGAAATTGAGGCAATAATTAATAGCTTACCAAGCAAAAAATGTCCAGGACCAGACGGATTCACAGGTGAATTATACCAGAGGTACAAGGAGGAGCTGGTACCATTCCTTCTGAAACTATTTCAATCAATAGAAAAAGAGGGAATCCTCCCTAACTCATTTTATGAGGCCAGCATCATCCTGATACCAAAGCCTGGCAGAGACACAACAAAAAAAGAGAATTTTAGACCAATATCTCTGATGAACATCAATGCAAAAATCCTCAATAAAATCCTGGCAAACCGAATCCAGCAACACATCAAAAAGCTTATCCACCATGATCAAGTGGGCTTCATCCCTGAGATGCAAGGCTAGTTCAACATATGCAAATCAATAAGCGTAATCCAGCATATAAACAGAACCAAAGACAAAAACCACATGATTATCTCAATAGATGCAGAAAAGGCCTTTGACAAAATTCAACAGCCCTTCATGCTAAAAACTCTCAATAAATTCGGTATTGATGGGATGTATCTCAAAATAATAAGAGGTATTTATGACAAACCCACAGCCAATATCATACCGAATGGGCAAAAACTGGAAGCATTCCCTTTGAAAACGGGCACAAGACAGGGATGTCCTCTCTCACCAGTCCTATTCAACATAGTGTTGGAAGTTCTGGCCAGGGCAATCAGGCAGGAGAAAGAAATAGAAGGTATTCAATTAGGAAAAGAGGAAGTCAAATTGTCCCTGTTTGCAGATGACATGATTGTATATTTAGAAAACCCCATCATCTCAGCCCAAAATCTCCTTAAGCTGATAAGCAACTTCAGCAAAGTCTCAGGATACAAAATCATGTGCAAAAATCACAAGCATTCTTATACACCAATAACATTCAAACAGAGAGCCAAATCATGAGTGAACTCCCATTCACAACTGCTTCAAAGAGAATAAAATACCTAGGAATCCAACTTACAAGGGACGTGAAGGACCTCTTCAAGGAGGACTACAAACCACTGCTCAACGAAATAAAAGAGGATACAAACAAATGGAAGAACATTCCATACTCATGGATAGGAGGAATCAATATTGTGAAAATGGCCATACTGCCCAAGGTAATTTATAGATCAGTGCCATCCCCATGAAGCTACCAATGAGTTTCTTCACAGAATTGGAAAAAACTACTTTAAAGTTCATATGGAACCAAAAAGAGCCTGCATTGCCAAGTCAATCCTAAGCCAAAAGAACAAAGCTGGAGGCATCACGCTCCCTGACTTCAAAGTATGTTAAGTCTTGAGTTCCTTCCTAACATTTCTCTTTTGCTTAACCTACCTGGTCTTGTGTGTCATTTTTTTTTCTTTGGTTTTTCTTTTTCTTGGAGATAGGATCTCACTCTGTGGCTCAGGCTAGAGTGCAGTGGCATGATCGCAGCTCTTGCAGCGTTGACCTTCCATGCTGAAATGATCCTCCCAACTCAGCCTCCGGAGTAGCTGGCACCACAGGTTGCACACCACCATTCCCAGCTAATTAAATTGTTTTTTTTTTTTAGAGATGAGATCTTTCTATGTTGCTCAGACTGGTCTCAAACTCCTGGGCTCCAGTGATCCTCCCACCTTGGCCTTTAGAGTAGCTGGGACTACTCGAGGGCACACAAGTTTGTTGTATAATATTTAATTTTGTCATAAAGTATAGTTGTCAAAGATAATGATATATACATATTAAATATATGACTAAAAGTATAGGGACCTGTGTAGACTCATCTGCTTCTATGACAGTAAAATAAAAAAAATAGACTTCATAGTTTGAGGTTCACAGGAAAATTGAGCAGAAGGTACAGAGAATTCCCATTTACCTCCTGCCCCAATGCATACACAGCTTCTCTCATTATCAGTATCTCCCACCAGAGTGTATATTCATTACAGTTCATGAGCTCACACTGACAAATCATTATCAACCAAAGTCATAGTTTACATTAGCATTCACTGTCAGTGTTGGACATTCTGTGGGTTTGGACAAATGTATCATTACATGTATCCACCATTATAGTATCAACAGAATAGTTTTTTTAACCTAAAAATCCCCTATGCTCTGCCTATTCATTCTTTCCTCTCCCTACCCCTGCCAACCACTGATCTTTTTACTGTCTCCACAATTTTGCCTTTTCCCAAATATCATATGGTTGTAATCATACAGTATGTAGCTTTTTATGATTGGCCTTTTTGACTTGACAAGATATGTTTAAGTTTCCTCCATGTCTTTTTATGGCTTGATAGCTAATTCCTTTTCAGCACTGAATAATATTCCATTATATGGATGTACCACAGTTTGTTTATCCATTCACCTACTGAAGGACATCTTGGTTGCTTCTGTAAAATTTGTTTAAATTTTAGTAAGTCACCTGAGGGAAAAAGGCAACTTTGAAAAGAACTGATCTCTTAAAATGGCTTCCAAACATTGGGATAGAAGAGCAATTTTTATAACACATGAAAAGCAAGATATAAGAAATTGAATTCATGTTCATGTGTAAAGAACACAATAGAACAGTAATTTTCAAAGTACTCTGTTTTATATAACTTTTAAAAAATCTGAGGAGGCTGAGGCAGGAGAATCACTTGAACCCAGGAGGTGGAGGTTGTGAGCCAAGATCGCACCATTGCACTCCAGCCTGGGCAACAAGAATGAAAATCCATCTCAAAAAAAAATCTGAATGATGGGAGGTCTTTGGTTGAAAGCAACAGAAACAATCTGGCTTACTTGAGCAGAAAAGTCAGTTATTGGAAAGTATGCAGAGACAGAGACTGCTGTCTCCCAGCATTCATTATAGAATTCTCATTGTAATAGAATTCTCATTTAGCTCAGCACATGGCCTTCCATCTACATACCAAATTTCTCATGCTGCCTTGCAGCTAGTATGGCTATGTTACTGTATTAGTCTGTTTTATGCTGTTGATAAAGACATACCCAAGACTGGGCAATTTACAAAAGAAAGAGATTTAATGGACTTACAATTCCACATGGCTGGGGGGGCCTCACAATCATGGCACAAGGTGGAAGGCATGTCTCACATGGCAGCAGACAAGATAAGAGAGCTTGTACAGGGAAGCTCCCCCTTTTTAAAACCATCAGATCTTGTGAGTCTTATTTGCTATCATGAGAATAGCAAGGGAAAGACCTGCCCCCATGATTCAGTTACCTCCTACTGGGTCCCGCCCAAAACACATGGGAATTCAAGATGAGATTTGGGTGGGGACACAGCCAAACCATATCATTCTGCCACTGGCCCCTCCCAAATCTCATGTCCTCACATTTCAAAACCAATGATGCCTTCCCAACAGTCCCCCGAAGTCATAACTCATTTCAGCATTAACTCTAAAGTCCTAAGTCTCATCTGAGACAAGGCAAGTCCCTTCTGCCTGTGAGCCTGTAAAATCAAAAGCAAGTTAGTTACTTCCTAGATAACAATCAGGGTACAGCCATTGGGTAAATACAGCCATTCCAAATGGGAGAAATTGGCAAAGCAAAGGGGCCACAGGCCTCATGCAAGTCTGAAATCCAGCAGTGCAGTCAAACCTTAAAGCTCCAAAATGATCTCCTTTGACTCCAGGTCTCACATCCGGGTCACGCTGATGCAAGAGGTGGGCTCCCATGGTCTTGGGCAGCTCTGCTCCTGTGGCTTTGCAGGGTTTAGTCCCACCTCCCACTTGCTTTCAGGGGCTGGCATTGAGTGTCTGTGGCTTTTCCAGGCACATGGTGCAAGCTGTTGGTGGATCTACCATTACTGGGGTCTTGAGGACAGTGGCCCTCTTCTCACAGCTCCACTAGGTGGTGCCCCAGTAGGGACTCTGTGTGGGGGTCCAACCCTACGTTTCCCTTCTGCACTGCCCTAGCAGAGGTTCTCCATGAGGGCTCTGCCCCTGCAGCAGACTTCTGCCTGGGCATCCAGGCATTTTCATACATCCTCCGAAATCTAGGTGAAGGTTCCCAAACCTCAATTTTTGACTTGCATGTACCTGAAGGCTCAACACCACATGGAAGCTGCCAAGGCCTGGGGCTTCCACCCTCTGAAGCAACATCCAGAACTGTACCTTGGCCCTTTTTAGCCATGGCTGGAGTGGCTGGAATACAGGGTACCAAGTCCCTAGGCTGTACAGAGCAGGGGGGCCCTGGGCCTGAGCCATGAAGTCATCTTTTCCTCATAGGCCTCTGGGCCTGTGATGGGAGGCGATGCTGTGAAGACCACTGACGTGCCCTGGAGACATTTTCCCCATTGTCTTGGTGATTAACATTCAGCTCCTCATTACTTATGCAAATTTATGCAGCCAGCTTTCTCCTTATAAAATGGGATTTTCTTTTCTATGGCATTGTCAGGCTGCACATTTTCCAAACTTTTATGCTGTGTGTCCCTTTTAAAACTGAATGCCTTTAACAGAATCCAAGTCATATCTTGAATGCTTTGCTGCTTAGAAATTTCTTCCACCAGATACCCTAAATCATCTTTCTCAAGTTCAAAGCTCCACAAATCTCTAGGGCAGGGGCAAAATGCCACGAATCTCTTTGCTAAAACAAAACAAGAGTCACCTTTGTTCCATTTCCCAACAAGTTCCTCCTCATCTCCATCTGAGACCACCTCAGCCTGGATTTCATTGTCCATATGATTATCAGCATTTTTGTCAAAGTCATTCGACAAGTCTCTAGGGAGTCCACACTTTCCCACATTTTTCTATCTTCTTCTGAGCCTTTCAAAGCGTTTCAACCTCTGCCTGTTACGCAGTTCCAAAGTCACTTCTACATTTTCGGGTATCTTTTCAGCCGCGCTCCACTCTACTGGTACCAATTTACTGTATTAGTCTGTTTTCACACTGCTGATAAAGACATACCTGAGACCAGGCAATTTACAAAACAAAGAGATTTAATGGACTTACAGTTCCACATGGTTGTGGAGGCCTCACAATCATGGTGGAAGGTGGAAGGCATGTCTCACATGGCGGCAGACAACAGAAAAAAGATTGTGCAGGTAAACTCCCCTTTTTACAACCATCAGATCTTGTGAGACTTACTTGCTATCACGAGAAGAGCACAGGAAAGACCTACCCCCATGTTTCAGTTACCTCCTACTGGGTCCCTTCCATAACGTGGGAATTCAAGATGAGATTTGGGTGAGGACACAACCAAACCATATCAGTTACTAAGTTTAGATTGGTAGGATGTGAGTAGAAAATCTGTATGCAAATATTAGATCATTCAGATATTTTCCTATGGCTGATAAATGGCAACAACTATAATAAGTAGCACTGGCCCATTCATCTCTAGAATGTTCATTAGAGAGAAATAAGCTTTTCCCTTCTTTTAGCAACTTATTTTGCTTCACTCAACCTGTTCTCTGAATAATACAAAAGGATATTGAGTAGCTCACAAGAGAAATGAGAAGACTGGATAAACTATTGTTGGAAAGAGGCCAGATACAAATAAAGGCTAGCCTACAGCAAAGATGAAGCCAATGGAAAGTTTGAGTAGGATATTCCTGTCATTGCCACAGGATCCTGGGTTACTACCACTGGCACCCTTTCAGTAGGTACTGCATGCTACAGGAATGGAGAGAAAGAATTGTAAATTGCCTTTACATCTTTGCATCACTTATTAAGACTGAGTCCTGCTTAATAGTATCTGCTTGGCTAAACCTAGGTCTTGTCCATACCGTGGCTGCCTAGAGATATGAAATAGGGAATTTAACTTTTCTGTTATATGTAGTGAAAGAGGTTCTCTTTCTGGACAAAATCCACACAATAAAGGATTCTCCCAAACACAGGAAAGGGGATTCAAATGATTGAGATTCCCAAACAAATAAAAAATTCAAATAATATATTTTTAGCTATAGATTGTTACCATAATTAACAAGGAATGGGCTAATTTGTTCTCTCATGTCTACTCAGAGAAACTTTGTAATGTGGACTAGATGTAGGGGTAGACAGGTTAAGAGACAAACCAGCAAGCTTCAGCATACAATTTTTTCTTAATGTATTACAACAGATTTTTTTTCCTATTCTACAGAGAACAGTGAAAAACAGGTCACCATCATTTATATGTAAGAGAGTTGCTTAACTGTTATCAAATTGTTCCTGTTCCTTTTCTATTCCAGAATGTCCTGCTCAATCCTATTGCTCGATTCTTTTAAATGTCTTCAGGACATTTTTATGTTTTTAGTATTCCTTTTTAATTCAATTCAGCTACAGTTCTCATATAAGGATTGAAGTTGGCTGTTTTAAACTCTTAAATTATTGATTGAAATACAGTATCTGGAAATGTAAATCATGTAATTTAATAGTTTTGTTGCGTAGTGCCTCTGATCTTTATTTAAAGTCACACTTTATTGTAACTTACTCCAGTTTCTCAGATGCTCTTTGTCCTTCACTATCTCAAGACCTTTCTTAATTCCAAAGTTCTTCCTAGAAAACCCTTACCCCATTCATATTCTAAGTCCAGGTCAGATCCCCCTGTAATATGCTGTCATAAGACCCTATCTTTTAAATTTATATCATTTATCCCTGTTTATAATTATGTGCTTGTATGATTCTTTGATTATCTTTCCCAGTGGAATATAAACTCCAAGAAGTTAAGAATGATTATGTTTTGATCATCTTTGGGTTTCCAGAACCTAATATAGTGCATGGCATGTACTAGCCACTTGCATTTGTTGTTGTTATTGAATGAATGAATTAGAAATGTATTAGTTTACTAGTATAGTGATATGTAGACATTCAACTAGAGATGTTTTATAAGGTTATTACTCTAATAAACTATGTTATTTACTTCCTGTATAATTACTTCTGAACATTGAGATAAGCAATTGAATTTGAACATTTTTTAAAATGTTATTTTATCAAGCATTGGTTCTTGGAATCTTGGTCTTATTTTGTTTCAATCCTTTGGTTTTAGATTTTAACATTTGCCATTGGGTGGCAGTATTGACTACCAGAAAACTCACTTAAACTCTGGCATTCAAGTTGTAGAAACTTGGTAGTTTTGTTTGACTTAGAAAAATGTAAAAACTTTCAACTCAAACTCATGAATATTTTATCTGAAGTATTTTATCTGGGTTAGTCATATAACATATATGGACATATTTAGTTATTTTAGGATAGTATACACATGAGATTATAGGTTGCCTTGTAGAAATTCATAAAGTAGCTTACATTTTCCTTTAGAAATATAATAATAATGAACACGGTCAATCTATTTCTTCTCTTTTAACTTTGAGGAGGGAGAAGTGACAGGTAATGCGTTTAATTCCGTTAAATTCTTCCCACTTAGCAAAAACAGCAGATCTGACTTTTTTGTGAGAGCTAATAAAATTAAATTTTTACTCTTAACCTACTAAGAAAGTTGACTGTTTGAAAATAAAAGCAGCATTAAAATGTATATATGACAGCCCTTTTTCATGAATTCATTTATTTATCTTTTTCATTTATTAATGTAACAGTTTCTTTTTTTGAGCTTCTATTAAGTGCTAGAGACTGCTCTAGGTCCTTGGGATACATCATGGAACAAAGAAGACAAAGATCCTTGTGGAACTTACATTCAAGCTAGGAGAGACAGACCCTAAATAATAAATATACATTATATAGTATGTTAGAAGGTGATAAGTACAATGGAAAATTAAAGTAGAACAGAGAAAGAGGAATAGAAAGATCTGGGGGTTACATTTAAAATATGATGATATGCTTAGGTTTTATGGAGAAGTTGACATGTGAGAAAAGACTTTAAGCAAGCAAGAGAGTTCAACCATATAGATATCTAGGGGAAGAACATTCTAGGCAGAGACCTGTCAGTTCAAAGACCCTAAGGCAAGAGCAAGCCAGGTGTACATAAGGACCAGTAAAAAGGCCATTGTGGCTGGAATTGAATTACTGATGGGGAGATTAGTCAGATATGAACTTAGAAGTTACACAACAAGGGAGATGGTTGGGGATGTGGAATTAAGGGGTTGCTGGAGGGGATGGAGATTCCTGAAGGATGGAGCTATATCAGCTAAATATTCTTAGCTTTGTAGACCATAGTGAGGATTTTGACTCTTACCCTAAGTGAAATGAGGGAGCCATTGAAGGATTTTGAGCAGAAGATTAGTATTATGTGGCTTAGTTTTATAAAGCTCCTATTGGTTTCCACCTGAGAATAGACTGTAGTAGCAGTATACCAGTTCAGAGGCTACTGCTATAATCTAGGTGAGAGATGATGATGATGGTAGCTTGGACAGGTTGGTAGCTATGGAGGTGGTGACAATGGCTTGAATACTGAATGTGATTTTAATGCAGGATTAATAGGATTTGCTGATGGTCTAGATGTGGGGGGTGAGGGAAAGAAGAGTCAAAGATGACTAAGGTTTTTGGTTTGAGCAAATGGAAAGACAGAGTTGTCATCAACTAATATGAGGAAGATTTTAGGAAGAATATTTGGTTATGGTATGCCAAGTTAGAGATATCTTTGAGATATTCAAAAGGAGATAGTGAGGAGGCAGTTGGATATATGGGTCTGGAAATTGATGGAGAGAGATCTGTACTGTAGATATAAATTTGGAGGTGTTCGCTTAAATATTAAATTGGAAACCATTGATGAAATTGGATGAGATTACCAGGAAAGTTAGCATAGAGAGAGAGAATCGAACCAAAGACTGAACTGTGGGTCACAACAAAATTCAGAGTATCCTGTGCTAGGCATATAAATTCCTTTCTTAGATAAGCTTGCCTTATGTTGAACTATTTATAACCACTTATTTTGTTGCCTCTGACTTTATAAGATTTTGTTGCCTCTGACTGCATAGGACAATGTAAAATGAACAAATCCTGCTCTCAATATAGCTAATTCTACGTTTGTCATTTTCAGCTGATCAGAACCAAGGTCTTAAATCTTTCTTGGGATTTTTTTTTTTTTATAGTGTGTATTGCCCTGTCCATACTCTTAACATGGTTTATCAATTTTCTTCAAAGCATAATATCTTAGCTCAGGCTGCTATAACAAAATACCACAGATTAGGTCGCTTAAACAATTGGCATTTATTCCTCACAGTTCTGGAGACCAGAAGTCCAATACCAGGGTGCTATCATGGTGAGGGCCACCTTCCTGGCCCTCTCACTCTGCCACATAAAGAACGAACAAGATGACTGCCTTTTTGTTCTATCCTTATATGACAGAGAGAAGGAGAGGAGGAGAGAGCGAGAGCAAGAGAGAGCCAGAGAGAGAGAGAGGGAGAGAGAACGCACGTGAGAGTGTGAACTTGTGAGAGCTGGAGAGAGTGAGCAAGCTCTCTGGTCTCTCCTTGTAAGGCACTGATCTCACCATGAGGACCCTACCCTGATAACCTTATCTAAATCTAATTACCTGTCCAGAGCCCCACCTACTAATACTATCACGTTGGGAGTTAGGGTTTCAACATATAAATTTTGAAGGGACACAGGCATTCAGTCAATAATATGAGAATTTTTTTTGTTTCTTTTTTTTTTTTTTTGAGACAGAGTCTTTCACTGCCGCCTGGGCTGGAGTGCAGTGGGCTATCTTGGCTCACTGCAACCTCTGCCTCCCAGTTTCAAGTGATTCTCCTGCCTCAGCCTCCCAAGTAGCTGGATTACAGGTGCCCACCACCACGCCCAGCTAAGTTTTTGTATTTTTTTTTTTGAGACGGAGTCTCATGCTGTCGCCCAGGCTGGAGTGCAGTGGCGCGATCTCGGCTCACTGCAAGTTCCGCCTCCTGGGTTTACGCTATTCTCCTGCCTCAGCCTCCGGAGTAGCTGGGACTGCAGGCGCCTGCCACCATGCCCGTCTAATTTTTTGTATTTTTTAGTAGAGACGGGGTTTCATGGGGTCTCACCGTGTTAGCCAGGATGGTCTCGACCTCCTGACCTCGTGATCCGCCTTCCTCAGCCTCCCAAAGTGCTGGGATTACAGGCGTGAGCCACTGTGCCCGGCCAATTTTTTGTATTTTTACTAGAGACGGGGTTTCACTACGTTGGCCAGGCTGGTCTCAAAACTCCTGACCTCGTGGTCTGCCCGCCTTAGCCGCCCAAAATGCTGGGATTACAGACGTGAGCCACCGTGCCTGGGCCATGAAAATTCTTAGCATGAATATTTCTTAATGTTATTTCAATTTATGGAGGAACTATTCTCTATTCACAATTAAAGTTATCTTGGGAAAGTCAATTAACTATCTGGTTATAAATTTCATTATTTATACAAAGAGATTATTTGCCCTTGTCTGAGTCTTGGGATGATAACTTGATCAAAGTGAATTGAAATAGTGTCTTGCTGTTTATGCTTGACTGGCTGATAATACAGTAGCAGTTTCCTTTTTAGTAAGTAGACATTTTGTAATAGTTTGATTTAGTAAAATCTTCTGTTTGCAATGAGGTTCAGTACATTTTATTAATAAAAAATTGAATTTGTGATTAATATTTATATATTAGGCAACTATTTACATATTCTGTGAGCATTATACATGCACCAGTCTAATAAAATGGGCAGTTTAACTTTTGTACCTAGAAGAAATTTTGACATACATGCTTTCATTATTTTATAATTTATTATTTTAGATGTTTTTGAAATATGATTTTGACAGTTACGATTATTCAAAAATCTGGTCTTTAAAATTTTTGAAGTTAGTCTTTTCTAAGCATACATATTTTGATAATACCAGGAGTTTTCAAAATGTGTGGTGCAAGGGTTATATAAGGAGATGGGTTGGGGTAGGATGGAAGATAAGTGACTCTTCCTTTTCTGCCTCAACCATAGTGTCATCACTTTGCAATATTTTACATATTGAGATTCCTTGTAAAACTTTGTTTTAAGCCTTCTGCAGCCCAAAAAGAGTAAATTGGAAACCATTGATCTTTAAACAAGAGGGCAATTTGTTTCCATGCCACAATAGCATCATTGACCGAAACTGTAAGAGCCAAGTATTCTTGGAACAGATCTAGTATAATGATTACCACTCACACAATTCATTGTCTTATAAAATTAACAGATTGTCAGAATAGTTGTGGATATTTAAAATAGACAAAAGTTAATACCTGGCCTTTGGAGATTGATTTTATGGGTCTAGAACATGTGTAGAATACTTTGGATACTGTAACAAAATCAAATTTTTAAAATGGTGTTAGAAGAGAGAACACTTGCATTGAAATCTTGTTTTGACTTTTATTGGAGAACTTCAGATTCAGTACATACTAAATCATAAGACTATATCTGGAATGATTACAACAAGCTACATTTACCCCTCTTGCTCTTAAAATCTTTATTCCCACCATATCTTCCACTTCTTATTAACAATCCAGTTTCTTCTGGGAAATTGCCTTTTGCTAACGTAGCATAGTCTTGCTGGGATGAAAAAATCCAGGTACCTGTCTATTCTAAGCTTGATTTTTCTCCTTGAAAAACTCTCTGAATTTCTACATATTTTTTCAATACAGTCCCATTTTCCCTTAAGCTAGCCAAATTAATTTCTGTGACTCACATGTAAGAAAACAAACTGAAGTACCACCTTAGAGATACTGTTAGGGTGTGTTTTTTTTTTCTGGTTATTAGACTTCTTTAAAATACCCAAAATTATATCAGCAACCTGCATTTGATAGAATTCAGAGTTAGCAATATTTATTTAATGTGTTCAGTTGAAAACTGCAAAAAGAAAATAAATATAGTTGGCTCTTTAAACATGTACCACTTCAACATTAAAATGAATGCTTTTTTCGTAGTAGTATAGATGAAATATAAATTAAGGGTATGAGCCAAAATTACATCAAAAAGTCTAAAATCCTGGAGTAAGATTATTTTTTACTTACTTTCCCTTTTACTTATTTTTTATTGATACATAATATTTACATATTTATGGGGTATATGTGAGTATTTGTTATCCGCATAGAATGTGTAATGATGAAGTCAGGGTATTTGGGGTATTCTTCACTTTGAGTATTTATCATTTCTGTGTTGGGAGCATTTCAAGTGCTCTTTTCTAACTACTTAGAAATATACAATATGTTGTTGCCAACTATAGTTACCCTACACTGCCATTGAATATTATAATTTGTATCTTCTAACTATATGTTTGTATCCATTAGCCAATGTCTGTCCTCCCCCACTACCCACACCCTGTCCAGCCTCTGGTATCCATCATTCTATTCTATACCTCCATGAGATCAACTCTTTTAACTCCCACGTGTGAGTGAGAACTTAGGATATTTGTCTTTTTGTGGCTAGCTTATTTCATTTAACATAATGACCTCCAGTTCCATCCATGTTGCTACAAATGACATGATTTCATTCTTTTTTTTTTTTTGTGGCTGACTAGCGTTCCATTATGTATATACACTATATTTTCATTATCCTTTTGTCTGTTGAGGGACACTTAGGTTGATTCCGTATCTTTGCTACTGTAAATAGTGCTGCAGTAAATATGCAGGTGCAGGTATCTCTCTGTTACAGTGATTTTGTCTCCTTTGGATAAATACCCAGTAGTGGGATTACTGGATCATATGATAGTTCTATTTTAAGTTTTTTGAGGAGTTTCCATACTGTTTACCATAGTGGCTGTACTAATTTACATCCCTACCAACACTGTATTAAGAGTTCCCTTTTCTGTGTATCCTTGCCAGCATCTGTTATTTTTAGTCTTTTTAATAATAACCATTTTAACTAAGATGATATCTCATTGTGGTTTTTGATTGGCAAATTCCCTGGTGATTGGTGATGTTAAACTATTTTTCATGTACCTGTTGGCCATTTGTAAGTCTTCTTTTGAGAAATGACTTCATGATCTTTGCTCACTTTTAAATAGGATTATTTGTTTACTGTTCAGTTGTTTGAGTTCCTTGTATATCCTGGATTTTAGGTCCCTGTCAGTAACATAGTTTTCAAATATTTTCTCCCATCCTGCAGGTTGTCTTTTCACTTTGTGGATTGTTTCCTTTGCTGTGCAGAAGCTTTTTAGTTGAATATAGTCTCATTTGTCTATTTTTATTTTTGTTGCCTGTGCTTTTGAGGTCTTAGCCAAAAAATCTTTGCCTAGGTCAATGTCTCAAAGCATTTTGCCTATGTTTTCTTCTAGTAGTTTGATAGTTTTGGGTCTTAGGGTTTAAGTCTTTAATCCATTTTGAGTTTATTTTTGTATATGGTGAGAGATAAGGGGTGTAGTTTCATTCTTCCACATGTGAATATCCAGTATTCCCAGCACAATTTATTGAAGAGACTGTGCTTTCTCCAATGTATGTTCTTGGTGTCTTTGAAATCAGTGAGTATAAATATGTAGGTTTATTCTTTCACTATTATGTTTCATTGATCTATATGTCTGGTTTTGTACCAGTACCATGCTGTTTTGGTTACTATAGCCTTGTAATATATTTTGAAGTCCAGTGGTGTGATACCTTCAGCCTTATTCTTTTTGCTTAGGATTTCTTTGGCTATTGGCCTCTTTTTTGGTTCCATATGAATTTTAGAATTGTTTTTTCTAATTTTGTGAAAAATGACTATGGTAGTTTGCATTGACTCTGTAGATTGCTTTGGGTAGTATGGTCATTTTAACAATATTAATTCTCCCAATCCATGTACATGGGATGTCTTTCCATTTGTTTGTGTCCTCTTCAATTTCTTTCTTCTGTGTTTTGTAGTTTTCCTATAGAGATTGTCCACATGCTTGGTTAAATATATTTCTAGGTATTTTATTTTTTTTGTAGCTATTGTATTGCCTTCTTGATTTCTGTCTCAGCTAGTTCATTATTTGTGTATAGAAATGCTGCAGATTTTTGTATATTGGTTTTGTAACCTGCAACTTTACTGAATTCATTTATTACATTTAAGAGTTTTTTGGTGGAGGCTATAGGTTTTCTAGATATAAGATTATATCATCAGCAAAGAGTGGCAATTTGACTTCCTCTTTCCAGTTTGGATGCATTTTCTTTCTTTCTCTTGCCTAATTTCTCTGGCTAGGACTTGAAGTAGTATATTGATTAGGTGGTGAAAGTGGACATCTTTGTCTTCCTCCAGTTCTTAGAGAAAAAGCTTTTGGTTTTTCTCCATTTGGTATTGAAGTGGCATCATTTGGGGAAATAGCCAAGGTTTGTTGTCTCGCACTAAGGAAATCGAAGACGTGGACACACAATGAGTGGGTTTAAGAGCAGAAAGTTTAATAGGCAAAGTAAAGAAGAGAAAAGCTCCCCTGTGCAGAGAGAGTGGTGTTCCGAATGGATCTCCCTCTTTGAGGCCAGATGCGTTTTTTTTTTTTTTTTTTTTTCTTTCTAAGAATCTGACTCTGTCGCCCAGGCTGGAATGCAGTGATGCGATCTTGGCTCACTGCAACATCCTCCTCCCAGGTTCAAGTGATTCTCCTGTCTCAGCCTCCTGAGTAGCTGGGACTACAGGTGTGCGCCACCACACCCAGGTAATTTTTGTATTTTTAGTAGAGATGAGGTTTCGCCATGTTTCACCTCCTGACCTCAGGTGATCCACCTGCCTTGGGCTCCCAAAGTGCTGGGATTAGAGGTGTCAGCCACTGTGCCTGGCTGTGGTTGGTTTTATAGAGGGGCTTTTGGAGGCGGTGTCTGATTTACATAGGGCCCAGAGGATTTGTTGGACCAGGTGTACCATTTGCATAGTGCACTAAGAGGCTGGCCATCCCACCCTAATCTTTTATTACGCAGATGGGGTCTTTTCCTGGCCAGTGTAGACGCCTGCACACATGGCAACAAAAGGGAAGGGAAAATCTCCATGTTGAATATACCTGGCTTCCAGGTATCCCTTTTCTGTTGGCACAGCTTCCAGCATTCCAGCTTGCTTATCTATGCTTGCAGCTTGATTTTTCAGGCTGCTTTTTGTTAGAAAAGAAATGATTTTGGGGCTGTTTTTTTTTAAAAGGAAATTCCACTGAGAACTCTTTTACCCTTACTAACTGCCTGAATAATTTCTTTTTAACTCCTGTAACAGTATGATATTAACTGTGGGTTTGTCGTATATGTCCTTTTTTATATCTTGGTATGTTCCTTTCATGCTTAGTTTGTTGAGAGTTTTTATCGTGAAGGGATGTTGAACTTTATCAAATGCTTTTTCTGCATCTCTTGAGATGATAATATGGTTTTTGTTCTTCATGTTGCTGATATGATAGATCACATTTATTGATTTGCATATATTGAGCCATCCTTGCATCCCTGGGATAAATCTCACTTGATCATGGTTTATTATTTTTTTAATATGCTGCTGGATTTGGTATTTTTTGAGTATCTTTGCATCTGTATTCATCAGGGATGTTGGCCTGTAGTTTTCCTTTTTTTGTTACTTTAATATTTGGGTTTGGTGTTAGGTTAATCCTGGCCTTGTAAAATGAATTAGGGACAATTGTCTCCTTTTCCTTTTTTTTTTTTTTTTTGGACTAGCTTGAGGAGAATTGGCATTAATTCTTCTTTGAAAGTTTGGTGGACTTTGGCCGTGAAGCCGTCCTGTCCTGGACTTTCCTTTGTTGGGAGACTTTTTATTACTACTTTGATCTTTTCAGTTTTTAATGGTCTGTTTAGGTTGTCTAAATATTTTTTCTTGATTCAATCTTAGTAGGATGTATGTGTCTAGGAATTTGTGGATTTTCTCTATGTTTTCCAGTTTGTTAGTGTATAGTTATTTATAATAATCTTTGATAATCTTTTGTATTTCTGTGATATCAGTTGTAACGTGTCCTTTTACATTTCTGATTTTGTTGATTTGGGTTTTCTAATTTTTTTTTGTTGTTGTTGCTTAATCTAGCAAGTGGTTTATTGGTAGACCACATCTTTTCATGTTGATCCTTTGTATTTTTTTTTTCCACCTCTATTTCATTTAGTTCTGCTTTTATCTTTATTATTTATCTTCTTCTAGTAATTTTGAGTTTGGTTTATTCTTACTTTTCTAATTCTTTGAGGTGCATCATTAGTTCATTTTAAACCTTTCTGCTTTTTTGACGTGGGTACTTATTGCTGTAAACTTCCTTCTTAGCATTGCTTTTGCTGTATCCAATAGCTTTTAGTATGTTATGTTTTGATTTTCATTTGTTTCAAAAAGTTTTTTTATTTTCTCTTTAATTTATTCTTTAATCCTTTGATCATTTAGGAACATGTTTTTAAATTTGCATGTATTTGTACAGTTTCCAAAGTTCCTCTTTTCATTGATTTCTAGTTTTATTTCATTGTGGTTTCACAAGGCATGATTTTGATTTTTAAATTTTTTTTGAAGTTTTTTTATTATTATACTTTAAGTTCTAGGACACATGTGTACAACTTGCAGGTTTGTTATATATGTATACATGTGCCATGTTGGTGTGCTGCACCCATTAACTCATCATTTACATTAGGTATATCTCCTAATGCTATCCCTCCCTGCTCCCCCCACCCCACGACAGGCCTTGGTGTGATGTTTCCCTTCCTGTGTCCAAGTGTTCTCATTGTTCAATTCCCACCTATGAGTGAGAACACGCAGTGTTTGGTTTTCTGTCCTTGCGATAGTTTGCTGAGAATGATGGTTTCCAGCTTCATCCATGTCCCTACAAAGGACATGAACTCATCATTTTTTATTGCTGCATAGTATGCTATGGTGTATATGTGCCACATTTTCTTAATCCAGTCTATCATTGATGGACATTTGGGTTGGTCCCAAGTCTTTGCTATTGTGAATAGTGCCGCAATAAACATACGTGTGCATGTGTCTTTATAGCAGCATGATTTATAATCCTTTGGGTATATACCCAGTAATGGAATGGCTGGGTCAAATGGTATTTCTAGTTCTAGATCCTTGAGGGATCGCCACACTGTCTTCCACAATGGTTGAACTAGTTTACAGTCCCACCAACAGTGTAAAAGCATTCCTATTTCTCCACATTCTCTCCAGCACCTGTTGTTTCCTGACTTTTTAATGATCGCCATTCTAACTGGTGTGAGATGGTATCTCATTGTGGTTTTGATTTGCATTTCTCTGATGGCCAGTGATGATGAGCATTTTTTCATGTGTCTGTTGACTGCCTAAATGTCTTCTTTTGAGAAGTGTCTGTTCATATCCTTCGCCCACTTTTTGATGGGGTTGTTTTTTTCTTGTAAATTTGTTGGAGTTCTTTGTAGATTCTGGATATTAGCCCTTTGCCAGATGAGTACATTGCAAAAACTTTCTCCCATTCTGTAGGTTGCGTGTTCACTTTGATGGTAGTTTCTTTTGCTGTGCAGAAGCTGTTTAGTTAGATCCCATTTGTCAATTTTGGCTTTTGTTGCCATTGCTTTTGGTGTTTTAGACATGAAGTCCTTGCCCATGCCTGTGTCCTGAATGGTATTGCCTAGGTTTTCTTCTAGGGTTTTTATAGTTTTAGGTCCAACATTTAAGTCTTTAATTCATCTTGAATTAATTTTTGTATAAGGTGTAAGGAAGGGATCCAGTTTCAGCCTTCTACATATGGCTAGCCAGTTTTCCCAGAACCATTTATTAAATAGGGAATCCTTTCCCCATTAATTGTTTTTGTCAGGTTTGTCAAAGATCAGATGGCTGTAGATGTGTGATATTATTTCTGAGGGCTCTGCTCTGTTCCATTGATCTATATCTCTGTTTTGGTACCTGTACCATGCTGTTTTGGTTACTGTAGCCTTGTAGTATAGTTGGAAGTCAGGTAGCATGATGCCTCCAGCTTTGTTCTTTTGGCTTAGGATTGTCTTGGCAATGTGGGCTCTTTTTTGGTTCCATATGAACTTTAAAGTAGTTTTTTTCCAATTCTGTGAAGAAAGTCATTGGTAGCTTGATGGGGATGGCATTGAATCTATAAATTACCTTTGGCAGTATGGCCATTTTCACGATGTTGATTCTCCCTGTCCACGAGCATGGAATGTTCTTCCATTTGTTTGTGTCCTCTTTTATTTCATTGAGCAGTGGTTTGTAGTTCTCCTTGAAGAGGTCCTTCACATCCCTTGTAAGTTGGATTCCTAGGTATTTTATTCCCTTTGAAGCAGTTGTGAATGGGAGTTCACTCATGATTTGGCTCTGTGTTTGTCTATTATTGGTGTATAAGAATGCTTGTGATTTTTGCACATGATTTTGTATCCTGAGACTTTGCTGAAGTTGCTTATCAGCTTAAGGAGATTTTGGGCTGAGATGATGGGGTTTTCTAAATATACAATCATGTCATCTGCAAACAGGGACAATTTGACTTCCTCTTTTCCTAATTGAATACCCTCTATTTCTTTCTCCTGCCTGATTGCCCTGGCCAGAACTTCCAACACTATGTTGAATAAGAGTGGTGAGAGAGGGCATCCCTGTCTTGTGCCCGTTTTCAAAGGGAATGCTTCCAGTTTTTGCCCATTCAATATCATATTGGCTGTGGGTTTGTCATAAATACCTCTTATTATTTTGAGATACATCCCATCAATACCGAATTTATTGAGATTTTTTTTAGCATGAAGGGCTGTTGAATTTTGTCAAAGGCCTTTTCTGCATCTATTGAGATAATCATGTGGTTTTTGTCTTTGGTTCTGTTTATATGCTGGATTACGCTTATTGATTTGCATATGTTGAACTAGCCTTGCATCTCAGGGATGAAGCCCACTTGATCATGGTGGATAAGCTTTTTGATGTGTTGCTGGATTCGGTTTGCCAGGATTTTATTGAGGATTTTTGCATTGATATTCATCAGAGATATTGGTCTAAAATTCTCTTTTTTTGTTGTGTCTCTGCCAGGCTTTGGTATCAGGATGATGCTGGCCTCATAAAATGAGTTAGGGAGGATTCCCTCTTTTTCTATTGGTTGGAATAGTTTCAGAAGGAATGGTACCAGCTCCTCCTTATACCTCTGGTAGAATTCGGCTGTGAATGTGTCTGGTCCTGGACATTTTTTGGTTGGTAAGCTATTAATTATTGCCTCAATTTCAGAGCCTGGTCTATTCAGGGATTCAACTTCTTCCTGGTTTAGTCTTGGGAGGGTGTATGTGTCCAGGAATTTATCCATTTCTTCTAGATTTTCTAGTTTATTTGCGTAGAGATGTTTATAGTATTTTCTGATGGTAGTTTGTATTTCTTTGGGATCGGTGGTGATATCCCCTTTATCATTTTTTATTGCATCTATTTGATTCTTCTCTCTTTTCTTCTTCATTAGACTTGCTAGCGGTCTATCAATTTTGTTGATTTTTTCAAAAATCCAGCTCCTGCTCCTGGATTCATTGATTTTTTTGAAGGGTTTTTTGTGTCTCTATCTCCTTCAGTTCTGCTCTGATCTTAGTTATTTCTTGTCTTCTGCTAGCTTTTGAATGTGTTTGCTCTTGCTTCTCTAGTTCTTTTAATTGTGATGTTAGGGTGTCAATTTTAGATCTTTTCTGCTTTCTGTTGTGGGCATTTAGTGCTATAAATTTCCCTCTACACAATGCTTTGAATGTGTCCCAGAGATTGTGTGTCTTTGTTCTCATTGGTTTCAAGAACATCTTTATTTCTGCCTTCATTTCGTTATGTACCCAGTAGTCATTCAGGAGCAAGTTGTTCAGTTTCCATGTAGTTGAGCAGTTTTGAGTGAGTTTCTTAATCCTGAGTTCTAGTTTGATTGCACTGTGGTCTGAGAGACAGCTTGTTATAACTTCTGTTCTTTCACATTTGCTGAGGAGTGCTTTACTTCCAACTATGCGGTCAATTTTGGAATAAGTGCGATGTGGTGCTGAGAAGAATGTATCTTCTGTCGAATTGGGGTGGAGAGTTCTGTAGATGTCTATTAGGTCCGCTTGGTGCAGAGCTGAGTTCAATTCCTGGATATCGTTGTTAACCTTCTGTCTCATTGATCTGTCTAATATTGACAGTGGGGTGTTAAAGTCTCCCATTATTATTGTGTGGGAGTCTAAGTCTCTTTGTAAGTCTCTAAGGACATGCTTTATGAATCTGGGTGTTCCTGTATTGGGTGCATATAAATTTAGGATAGTTAGCTCTTCTTGTTGAATTGATCCCTTTACCATTATGTAATGGTAAAGGATACCATTCTTCGAAGAAGAAAGGTAGCTTCTTTGTCTCTTTTGATCTTTGTTGGTTTAAAGTCTGTTTTATCAGAGAAAAAGAATTGCAACCCCTGCCCTTTTTTGTTTTCCTTGAGTTTTCTTTTGTGTCCTAACATATAGTCTATCCTGGAGAACATTTTATGTGCTGATGAGAAGATGTGTATTTTGTAGCTGTTGATTGAAATGTTCTGTAAATGTCTGCTAGGTCCATTTGGTCTAATGTGCAGTTTAAATCCAATGTTTCTTTTTCTGTCTGGATGATCTGTCTAATGCTGAGAGTAGGGTGTTGAAGTCCCCAACTGTTATTTTATTGGATCAAATAACACTGGTGCCAAGAAACGGTGCCAGGGAGCCCAAGACAGGCACTCTTAGACTGCCACTGTCACCCCTACGGCCCAAAGATTGGCCCAGGGCCAATTTCTCCCTTTAAATGTATTAATTTCTTCCTTTAAATGTAATAATGTTTGCTTTATATGTCTAGGTGCTCCAGTGATGGCTACATATTTGTTTAGAATTGTTATATCCTTTTGCTGAATTGATCCCTCTATCATTATAAAATGACCTTCTTTGTCTCTCTTTATTGTTTTTGACTTAACATCTGTTTTATCTAATTAGAGTTACTCTTGCTCTTTTCTAGTTTCTGTTTTAATGGATTTTTTTTCTATCCCTTTATTTTCAGCCTCTATATGTCTTTACAGGTGGTATGAGTTTCCTGCAGTTGGATCATGTTTTTCTTTTTTTTTCTTTTTAAAAAATCCATTCAGTCAGTCTGTGTTTTTTAAGTGGAAGGTTTAATTTGTTTACAATCAAGGTTTCTATTGATATATGGGGACTTAATTATACTTAATTTTTTTGTGTATAAAATGAGAAGGTTGTCTTAATAATAACAAAGTTACTATTATGAAGCATTTATTATAGTATTAAATATTAAGCATTTTACTTAGAATCTCATTTTATATTTAGAAAAATCTTATATTCTAGGTGGAAGCTCCACAATTAAACTGAAGCTTAGAGAAATTAGGTAAGTTTGCCCAAGGTTTCACAGCTAGTAAGTAGGAAAGCTAGATTTGACTGCATAGCTCATGCTGTTACTCCTTTACAGCTTAAGGTGCTTTTCATTCATCCATCCATTGATTGATTGATTCCATAAGTGTATACTGAGGCTAATCATTAGTAATTGTTGGCTATGTTAAGTACTTTTCATTGTATTTTATTATGATGGGAAGTCACTGAAGGATTATTAGTAGGGGAATGATAGGAGTAGAATTATGTTTTTAATCATTCTGGTTGCATTCTGGATAGTTGAATGTTATAGGAAAGGGATAAGTATGGAAATAAGAAGACCAGGTTTTAGACTATTGCAGTAGTCCAGTTGAGAGTGGGTGGTGGCTTGGACTGAAATGGTAGTTGTAGAGACAGGGATCAGTGGTTGGGGTATCGTGGGGTGCTAGAATTTAAAAATTCTTATAATTAGTAAGATACAGACCAGACACCAATCAAAATGGATGGTGGCCATTGGACTAGAGTAAGATCTTGATGTGCCGTGTTGTGCCAGGCATTACCCCTCTAGTTATCTATTGTAGGGAGGTTTGAATTATCTCAAGTGAGGAGTCAGGGGAACAGGGACAGCAAGACTGATAACGTGCGATGCTGAGGTACATCTACTTACCAACAGTCATTGAAACTTTTATACTTTAACATGTGGAAAGACTGTAATCCCTGCATACCTAATTAATATTCAGTTTGTTTGTGGGTTGGTTGTATGGGGTGCTGGAGAAAGAGGCAACTTAAGAATGGCACCAAAGTTTTTGCCCTGAGCAACTGGATGAATGGAAGTGCCGTTTACTCAGCTGGCAAACACTGCTGAAGGAATTGGTTTGGGAGGAAACGATCAAGGTTTTAGTTTTATACATGTGAAGTTTGAGATGACCCTCTATAGATATCCAAGTGGAAATGTAAAGTAGTAGTTTGAATTCATGAGAGATTGTGGGGCTGGACATATACATTTGGGATATATCAGAGCACAATTCTACTCTGTATGATTATGTAGTAGCTTTTTCCCTTAAAAAATCTCTCAGCAGCCCGACACTAATGCTTAAAGTTACAGTGTTAGAAATTCATTTATACTCTTTGGTTTTTTAAAACTGTGCATAACCTGCGGAGAAGATTCTTTTTGAAATTGCACTATAAGGTGAATTTGTTTATTACACCCTTTAAAAAACAGCTGAGATATACTACCTTGAGAAATTGTCATACTGATTGAGAAAAGTAATGCAGAGAGAGTTATGGGGATATATTGCATGAGATACTAAAGTATGAAGTGGTAGAATAATTTTTATGGATATATTTTTATAAAAAAGGAGTCTTGCACATATAGTATGTTCTTATTCATAAGTGGGGGCTAAAAAAGTTGATGTCATGGAGGTAGAGTAGAATGATGGTTACCAGAGGCTGGGAAAGGTTTCGGGG
Organism: Homo sapiens; assembly: GCF_000001405.40. Taxonomy (NCBI): domain Eukaryota; kingdom Metazoa; phylum Chordata; class Mammalia; order Primates; family Hominidae; genus Homo; species Homo sapiens. The sequence continues at coordinate 115,156,966 of NC_000010.11, forward strand.
AGAGAGGGATGACGAGAGGTTGGATAATGTATACAAAAATATAGTCAGACAGAGGTAATATGTTCTAGTACAATAACATAGTAGGGTGACTATAGTTAATAATTTATTATATATTTCATAGCTAGAATATTTGGAATGTTTACAACACAAATGTGTTTGAGGCAACAGATATCCTAATTACCTTGTTTTGGTCATTACACATTGTATACATGTATCAAAATATTACATGTAGACCATAAATGTGTATAATTGTTCAGTATCAGAAAAAAAATTTTAAAAAGTGGACTCTTGCTTAGATGTCCTTAAGTGTAGATATTAGTATTAGCTGTTTAATGGGTGGGGAAGTCTTTTTGTCGTTGTTTGTGTTTTAAATTAATATTCAGTTAATTAGTATACATTTTAAGTCATTTTGGTTATAGAATACAGAAAGCTTCAAATTAAGACATCTAATTTTTTTCTTAAATCTTTGAATTATATTTATAAATCTTGTCATTCTATTTATAAATGGATTAATTTAGAGTAAAATAAAGACAACATATAGATTGGGCTACAGACCTATAACATCCTGGAACTGCATTCCCTGCATTCTTTGCCTCCTTGCCTGTTCCTCTATCTTCAGATCCGGGACTGCAGCATCTTGCTTTGATAGTCACATTGCTTCCTTCTGCAGTCAAATCTCCCTCTCTTATAAGGACACCTGTAATTATATTTAGAGCCAATTTAGATAATTCACGATAATCTCTCCCAAATTTCAAAATCCTTAATTTAATACATCTGTAAAGTTCCTTTTGCCATATAAGGTAAAATCCAAAGCTTCTGGTGGTTAAGACCTGGATACCTTTGAGGGCTATTATTCAGTCCACTGGAAACTTGTTCTGCAGTATTTTGCTTTAATGCAGATTTGATAAATATATTGGTGATTTAAAAATGTACCCAATTTTCAAGATTTTTTTCATGCCAGTGTTCTCTATCAAACTCTTTTCCAAGTAATACCCACATATTACTTGGCTGCTTTCAACTCTGTGCCTTTGGGTGGTGGCCTGTTTTTAATGTTTTATTTAGAAATAATTTTAAAGTTTTAGAAAAGTTATTATACAAGAATAAGAATAGTACAAAGACTATCTGAATGTCCGTTTCCCAGATTCACCTATTAACATTTTACTCTATTTTCTTTGGTATAACTGACTTACATGTTAAAATAAATCTATATTTCCTTTTATGAAAATAGATACAACATTTATACCAATAGATGCATTATATATAATTTCTATATGATTTCATGTCTTTTCAGTTAAATTAGAGGTTGGCAAACTTTTCTGTAAAAGGCCAGGTAGTAAATACTTTTTCTTTGCAAGTTACATGGCTCTGTTGCAACCACTCAGCTCTGCTAAAGCAGCCATAGACAATACTTAACTGAATGAACATGGCTGTGTTTTAATAAAACTATTAAATGATTTCTAAGTTACTGTAATTAAATTAAAAAAGAGGTTCCTTTAATATCTCTGATTACTAAGGAATAGTTCACAGTCTTTTCTCACTCAGAAATAATAGTTTTCTATAGCTGATTTAAAATATTATCATTATCAAAGAGATAATCTGAGATACTTCCTAGTTTGTACCTGAAAAATACAGAGCCATACAATGTAAGCATTGAAAAAAATCTTGAAGATGAATCAATTAATACCTGGGTGAGTGAACACATGAAGACATGAAAACTGTATGGGTCAATATTTCTTAAATCAGACTCTGCTTGGGAGTTTTAAAATTTTGTTATTAAATGACAATCTAAAACTTTTTGATATAAGCAAATTGAAGATTAACTGCCTGATCTCATAATTGAGTAATGCCACTGTATTGTAATGCCAGCAGTTGTGTTGACAATTTAAAGTTGGGATTAAGTAGTATCCCTTTAATTACTGTAGGCTAAAAACAATACAACTAAAGTGTACTAATACTTTTGTGACAAGTGAAGGGTAAATGATTATATGCCATAGTATATGAATTTAAAAGATTTGTAAAAAGTAGGTTGAAGAAAAATGGTGGGAGAATTATGTTGTCAAAATAATGTAGGTGTGCTAAAATTATGTAAAAAAGGCATTATGAGAATTAATATCATTTTTAACTTGGGACCCATTATTTTAAACAAAACAATATTATCATATTCAGTAAATATTAGTTTTATAAATTTACTTATATATAATTTATAAATGTATGTTTGTTTTATGCTTATAAAAGAAATTTAAACATAGGAGTTTATGTCTAGTATTTGAGAATTTTTTAGTTTCATTAAAATTAAAATACTTTGTGAGCCCTAAAGTTTGATGAAAATATATTCCCTTTAGGAGAATTCCTTCTATTATGTTTGAGAAACACTGATGGGGAAACCAAGACTTATGAGTAACATCATGAATATGGAAAGGAAAAGGCTGTGTTTTCAACTTTATAGTATTTGAAATTATTCTGCACTAATTTAATAATTTTTATTTTATGATGCATAATTTTTTTTTCTTTTTGAGGACTCCACTGAAGCAAACTTTGGTTGTCCTTAATAATGCTAAAAAAAATGTAATCTTTTTTATGTTTGTTTAATAGTTAATAATTTTTAAACTTTAATTTTTAAATGCTTTTACTTCCACTATTTTAAAAAAATAAATATTTATTATAACCCTTGGTGGTAGATTATTATATCCATTTGTGTAGATGGAGGCTTGATGATGAAAGAGGTAAACATACTTCCCTGACAGAACTGATATTTGAGTACATTGTTTTCTATTTTAATACTCTTGTAGCATACTAAAATAAATCTGACATTTTATATTATTTAAATAATTCTTTAAAATTGTGAAATTTATTTGAACATCCAAGTCCGATTGTGAGTATATGACTTTTTTCACCTCTAAGCATTACATTTTCTGTGAGTATTATTCTTGTAAGTTATATTTCAGATAATTTATGTATATATTTGTTAATATGATAAACATTGAATTCTTAAATTCTCTTAATCCATATGTTGTATTTCTATAATCTGAGGGCTTTGTTTAATCTAGTGTGTTGTTTCATTTTTTTTTTAATAGGTCCTGATTGTTCTTTGAATGTTCCCTCTACTGAGTCTTACTGGATTCTGCCAAACGTTAAACCCTTCAGTCCTTCTGTAGGTCGGGCTTCACATAAAGCAGTTTTACACGGGAAATTTATGTGGGTGATTGGTGGATATACTTTTAACTACAGTTCTTTTCAAATGGTCCTAAAGTAAGTATTTATTTTCAGATTCTTGCTGTTTTTTAAGCTGGATTTTTATCCAAAATGTCTTTTTTTTTTAATTGTTGTCCGAGAGTAAAAGTGGTTATTTTTGTGGTAGTGTCTATTTGCTAGTGAGACTGATTTGTGAATACATGAACTCAGTATGTCCATAGCTGTCATTGCACATAGAAGTATGCTTCATGTAGAAATGTTATTACTTCTCTAGAGTACTTTTAATAAATTCTGAGTAAGAAAATATTAACTTCAAATACAGGCAGGCCTTTGCCTATATGGATAAAATGAATCAAATGAATTCATGCCACTTTTTTTTTTTAATGAAGTATAATCTCATATATAAAAATCCTCTCAATTTGTTCTGTAAATTTTAGTGTACCTGAACTTTACTTTGTATGTGCTTTACAAACTTTCATTGGGAGAACAGTTCTAGTATTATGAGAGAGATGATTGATTTACTGTTGGCTCAATAGAGATTGTTCTCTGCATGATTGGATAAGGGGAATCATATGGATGGCAGCTTTATCTGATTTCTTTTTCAGCTAATGATTGTATTTTATGAACTGTTTAGTAACAATACAAAAGGAAATAGGGAGAATCATTTGATTTTTAATGTTGCTTCCAGGGGTAGTGTTCATATTATGTAATAACTGGTACAGCTTGGGCATCAAACAATCAGAACTTGCCCTGGACAGTATGGCATAATGGTGTATACACAATAGAATTGCCAGATTTAGCAGATAAATATACAGGATACCCAGTTAAACTTGAATTTCAGATAAAAAACAAGTACATTTTTAGTATAAGAAGGCCCTTTTGCTGTATATATATATATTTTTTACAAATTTTGCATGGGTCATTCTTTAACAAAAAATTGTTTGTTGTTTATCTGAATTCAAATTTAACTGGGTATCTTGTATTTTATCTGCCAACCCTAACCACTGAATATATTAACCCTCATAATTAGGAAGATTTCAGAAATTCTGTAAGAGGAGATTGCTTTAAAACTATGATTGAATGCGACTGAAATTAAATTAGAAAATCGAATAAATTCTGGAGAGAAGGAGGGAGTTTTATGTAAGTATTTAAGTGGCAAATTAGAATTTTTTAACATGAAGAATAAAATACAGAAGGAAGAATTGAAAGAGAGTTGGTGGGATTAAAATGAATTGTTAAGATAAAAACCTGGAGAAATAATGATATTTAAATGTGAAAATTAAAAGGAAATTAACTATGTTTAAAGAAAATGAGAAGTCTATGAAAGTAGAGTCGAACTTTGAATTAAATTGTGATATTTCCAAAGTCGAGTTTGTAAGACAAAGAGCAACATTGTCAACAAGGAAGTTTGTAAATTTTAAGTTCATGTTCTTTGCAAGATGAGTAGCATATCAAAAATTAAATGATGAATATTATTTGCTATTCTTTTAAATTTGCATATTTTCCATTGGAACCAGATAAACTATTTAAGCCAACTTTTTTTTGTCTGAAATCTGAGTATTTTGGTTACAGTGTTTATATAAACAAATGAGGGATTAGAGTAGAATAATTGTGTTGCTGTTTTCACAGGTTAGAGAATACTTTTCATCATTCTGAATGTAGTTCAATTGTAGGTAAGGATAACAGCTTTCAGAAGTGATAGGATAAGTCATAACTTGATTTAATCATCTTCTATAGTGGAATTTAATTGGGGTGGAAATGTTACATTTTAAGACAAATTATTCACTAAATATAAAAGCTCTGTGTTAGTGTCTATTAAATTAGAAAGACTTTTACAGAATATATATACATTAACATTAATGAAAATTAACATGTATTCATGAGGATAGCAAACTTTTGAAAACACTACGTGCTTGTTTCTTGGGATATATCATTGGATATAACAAATGCCCGTGTCTTTGTAAAGTTAGGGAGGAAAGGCTGGCAATGACAAAAAAAAAACACTATTACCAAAGTAAATTATAGACATGAACATATATACATATAGAGACAGATGGGATGGATGGATGGATAGATATAGATAGATAGTAGGAGTAGGTAAATCAGGAGTGCCAAAGAAGAGGGAGTTGCAATTATAAATGTAATAGTTAAGGTAGGCTTCATAACAAAGGTGAGAACTGAGCAAAAACTTGAAGGAGATCAGAGGATTGCAGTTATTTGTAGGCGCAGAAAAGAGCCAGATCAAAGACTTAAGATAGGAACTCCTTGAGGTGTTTGAGGAGCAACAACCAGGCCCATGCAATTTGCATGGAATATATGAGAGGGATACATTAAATTAGAGTGATAACAGAGGAGAGAGACAGATCATGTAGGATGTTGTAGATCTTTTGGGAGTCATGGGAGGGTTTTGAGCATGTGTTGATCCATATTTTAAAAGTGTTACCATGGCGGTTTATTGATGATATACTGGGGATTAGGAGGAAGATTAGAAACGGGATTTGAGTTAAGATGAAATTATCAAGGGAATGCATTCTAGATAGAGAAAAGGACCGGGAACTGAGCCTGAGGCACCATATCACTAAGAGGTTGTGGGGAACAGGGGAAGCCATCAAAGGAGACTGAAAAAGAATGACTGGTGAGATAGGAAAACCTGGAGTACAGTATCTTCAAAGGCAAGAAAAGGCATTATGTGAGGATTAAGGAGTAATTAATAATGTCAAATGCTGACGATTATCCAGGTCAAGGAAAATGAAGACTGAAAACTGGTCATGGATTTAGCATGAGGAAATTGACCATAACAAAAGCAGTTTTAGTGGAGGGGAGGGGTTAAAAGCGTGTCTAGAGTTAGTTTAAGAGAGAATGGAAAGTGGGGTGGGGATGGGGGTAATAAAGAAATGGGGGAGTAGCTTAAGGGACAGTGTGGTCAAGGGGTTTTTCTTTTATTATTAATGGTTTATAACACCATGTTTGTGTGCTGATGGCAAAGATCTAGTAAGACAAAATATGGTGATGTAGGAAAGAGATCTCGTGTGCAAGGAAGAAGAATCACTTGTTATTCTTCGGCTTATCAAACTGCAGAATAGGGGCTCAGGGCCTGGAAACTAAGAATTTTTTCTTAGCGTTTTTAGTTTTTGCTTTTTTTCTTTTATTTGATTATTTTATTTTTTCTTTTATTTCTTTTATTTTTTCTTTTATTTTCTTGTTTTATTTTATTTGCTTTTTTCTTTTATTTCTTTTTATCTGTCACCCAGGCTGGAGTGCAGTGGCGTGATCATGGCTCACTGCAGCCTTGAGCTTCTGGGCCCAGGCGATCCTTCCACCTCAGCCTCCTGAGTAGCTGGGATTATAGGCATGCAACACTATGCCTGGCTAATTTTTAAATTTTTTTGTAGAGGCGGGGTCTCCCTATATTGCCCTGGCTAGTCTCTTAACTCCAGTGCTCAAGTGATCCTCCCACCTCGGCTTCTCAAAGTGCTGGGATTTCAGGTGTGAGCTACCGTGCCTGGCCTGGATTTTGTACTTTTAATGGGCTGTAAAAAAATGAAGAATATGTGAGACCATTGTGGCCCACAAAGCCTAAAATATTTACTGTCTGGCCCTTTACAGAAATAGTTTGTACAGCCCTAATTTATGATAACTTGGAAAGCAGTGTGTTGGCTGCAGATACTGGTAGATGGGTGGACTAGTGGTGTGAATCTGTGGAAGTTATGTTCTGATTATGTTTCCTCGTTTGTATCATACACATTTATCTTACAATTCCAAGGTAGGAAATAAGTTAAACAATGCTGCAAACAAATTTGGTAACCCTTACCTTTCTTGTGAAGGGGCACTTGGGCACTTCCTTTCCTTTCCTAATTCATTGGAGGAAGAAAGAGAAGTTGGGAAGATAACAATTGATAGCAAGCTTCTTAAAACAGGCTCCTGTTTCTTGGCTGGATGCTTCCTTTTGTATATTTTAGCAAATGGAGGAAATTTGAGCATAGAGTATAAGCATTTGGGATTTATAATTTGGGACTTCAGTTTTCATATGTATTACACCAGTAGAAAAAAATACGAATTTTCTTTTCATGTTACATAATCCAACAGTGACTTATTTTTATAGAAGCTTCTCTACTGCCAAATTCATTTTATACAGTCTTAAAAAATTATCAGTAAACAAGCTATATTTGTGCATAGGAAATAAATGCTTATTGGTTAATTTATATAATGCTAAGATAAGTGTGTGGGTATGTAAAGTAGCACAGTCATTATGGTAAACAGTGCGGAGGTTCCTCAAACTGAAAATAGAATTACTATATGATCCAGCAAACCCACTGCTAGATATGTAGCCAAAAGAAAGTAAATCAGTATATCAAAGCGATATCTGCACTCTCAGATTTATTGCAGCACTATTTACAATAGCCATAATATGGACTCAACATGTGTCCATCAACTGATAAATTGATAAAGAAAATGTGGTATATATACACAATGGAGTATTGTTTAGTCCCCCTAAAATGAAATCATGTCATTTGCAGCAATATGGATGGAACAGGAAGTCATTATAAGTGAAATAAACCAGGCACAGAGAGACAAATATTGCATGTCTTCACTCAAATGTCAGAGCTATAAAAGTTGATTTCATATAGGTGGAGAGTAGAATGGTGGCTACCACAGCATGAGAAGAGAAGCAGGGAGAAGGGGACAAAGAGAAGTTGGTTAATGAGTGCCAAAAAGCAATTAGATAGAAGGAATAAGTTGTAGTATTTGATAGTAAAGTAGGGAAATTATAGTTAACAATTTATTGTATATTTCAAAATAGCTAGAAGAGAAGAAATGTTATGCTCCCAACACAAAGAAGAGATAAGTGTTTGAGGTAATAGATATTCTAATTACCTTGATTTGATCATTACACATTCTATACATATATCAAAATACCATGTGTATACCATATATGTACAACTTAAATATCAATAAAAAACTTATAAGTATCAGGCCAACTAAAAAAAAGGAATAAAAATAAATACCTAAAACAAAATGGAGAGAATTTTCATCTGTTTCCAAGAAGGAAACCTGGCTTAAAAAAAAATTAAAAAATACAGTCAAATCACTATTGTTTAGCTTAATCAATTGATGGAAATTATTAAAGGCAATTGGACAATTAATTCCAGTAATAAATATCCTAATCAAGTTAATGTATATTATACATTCAGGAGACTGAATCCTAATTTAGTGTAGGTATATCTTGAATGAGTCTTTATTAGAAATTTCTAATATGGCACATGAAATTATGAGTTTATTAGTTGTAACTCTTTTTGAATTTAATGAATACTTGGACACAAGTGAATAAAAAGCACGTGAAAATTAAAAAAACAAAAATGAATCTTAGCTTATGAAGTTATTTTCTTTTCTTGCTTTTAGTTACAATTTAGAAAGCAGTATATGGAATGTAGGAACTCCATCAAGGGGACCTCTCCAGAGATATGGACACTCTCTTGCTTTATATCAGGTATGGCTCCTGCTTTTTAAATTTTAATCAGATTTTGTTTTTGATAGTTTACCACAGGCTAAAAAATACTAAATCTCAGATTTATTTCAAATATTTAATGAGAACAATAGATTATATGGATCATGATAACTTGAGATACCACATACTCTTATGCTTTTAGTAAAAGAATAGATTTTAGAACAATCCCCCACATGACATGTAAAGAAATGAAGATTGAGTTTTTGTCTATTTATGCCTAGTCAATCACTTAAAAAAATTATGGCGAAATACATGTAACATAAAATTTACCATTTTAACTATTTTTAAGTATAGAGTTCAGTGGCATTAAGTACATTGACATTGCTGTGTAACCATGGCTACCATTATCTTCAGAACATTTTTCATCGGGCAAAACTGAAGCAATAACTTCTCATTCCCCTCTTCCCTTATCCTCTTGAAACCACCAATCTACTTTTCTGTCTCTGTGAATTTAACTGCTCTAGGTACCTCATGTAAATGGGATTGTACATTATTTGTCCTTTTATGACTGATTTGTGTCCCTTAGCACACTATCTTCAAGGATCATCCATGTTGTATCATGTGTCAGAATGTCCTTCCTTTTGAAGCTGAGTAAATATTCCATTATATGTATATACCACATTTTGTTTATCCATCCATCTGTTGATGGACACTTAGATAGCTTCCATCTTTTGGCCATTGTGAATAATGTTTCTATGAACATGTGTGTACAACTATCTGAGTCTCTGTTTTCATTTTTTTTTGGTGTATACCCAGAAGTGGAATTGCTAAATCGTATGGTAATTCTATGTTTAATTTTTTTTTTTTTTAGCACTGCCATAGTGTTTTCCACTATGGCTGCACCATTTTACATTTCCACCAGCAGTGCACAAGGGTTCCAGTTTGTCCACAGCCTTGTCAACACTTGTTATTTTCTGTTTTTGTTTTTTTGATAATTGACCTAATGAGTATCTCACTGTGATTTTGATTTGCATTTCTCTAATGATTAATGATGTTAAATATCTTTTCAAGTGCTTATTGGCTATTTGTATATCCTCTTTGGAGAAATGTCTATTCAGGTCTTTAGCCAGTTTTGAATTGGGTTGTTTTGTTTGGTTGTTGAGTTGGAGGAGCTCTTTATATATTATGGTATTAACACCTTATCAGAATATGATTTCCAGATATTTTCCCCCTTTATGGGCTGTCTTTTCACTTTGTTGAGAGTGTCCTTTGATGCACAGAATTTTTAATTTTAGTTTAATTTAATTTTAATTTTAATTTATTTTTTCTTTTGTTACTTATGCTTTTGTGTCATATGCAAGAAATCATTGCTAGATCCAATGTCATGAAGCTTTTCCTCTATATTTTCTCATAAGAGTTTTAAAGTTTTAGTTCTTAGGTTTAAGTTTTTGTTGCATTTTGAGTTAATTGTGTCTGATGTAAGGGTCCATTTTCATTCCTTTGCACGTGGATAGCCAGTTTCCCCAACATCGTTTGTTAAAAAAGAAACTGTCTTTTTCCCATTAAATGGTCTTGGCACCCTAGCTGAAAGTCCTTTGACCATGTATATGAGGGTTTTTTTTTTCTGGACTCTCTATTTTATTCTATTGATCTATATGTCTGTCTTTATGCTAGTACCGTACTATTTAGATTACTGTAGCTTTTTAATAAGTTTTGAAGTTAAGAAGTGTGATACTTCCTACTTTGTTTTTATTTCTCAAGATTGTTTTGGCTATTCAGGGTCCCTTGAAAGTCTATATGAATTTTAGGATTAAGTCTTCTATTTCTGCAAAAATGTTGGGGTTTTGACAGGGATTGTATTGACATTAGTTATTTTTATGTATTTGTGGGATTCATAAATTTAGCATGATTAAAATGACAGGACACTTGTTTGGTTTTCATTTTGAATCAACAAAATTTCATGTATTTTGTGGCCTTTGGCTAGGCTGTCTAAATATGAATTTATATGTTTTCTGTGCTGTTGTTAAAAAAAATTGGAAAGCATGGGAGCAGTATAAAGAACAAACTACCACCTGTTTATCCATGCATTTGTGTGTTTTAAAAGTAAAATAAAAGTATTTCTATGTATGAAAACATATACCTACATTTTTTGCCTTGTTTTATTTTTTCTTTATTTCCCTTTTTGTAACAGCCTTACTGAGATATAATTGATATACCATACATTTCACTCATTTAAAGTGTACAATTCAGTGGTTTTTAGTATATTCAGAGTTGTGCAACCATCTATTGCAGATTTATGTAAGATTACAGAGTTGTGTAATCACTTTTAGAATACTTTCATTACTTCACAAAGAAACTTTGTATCCTTTCGGTATCACCCCACACTTCCTCGTCTTCCCTAGCCTTAAGCAGTCACAAAGCTACTTTCTTTCTCTATATATTGGTCCATGCTGGACATTTCATATAAATGAAGTCATATACTATGTATGTTATGACTACCATATTTCACTTAGCATAATTTCAAGGTTTATCCATGTTTTAGAATGTATCAGTACTTCTTCATTCCTTTTTATGGCTAAATAATATTACATTTTATGGAAATATACCGTGTTGTTTATTCATCGGTTGAGGACATTTGAGTTGTTTCCACCTTTTGGCTATTATGAATAATGCTACTAACAACATTGCTGTTTAAGATTTTGTCTGGACATATGTTTTCATTTCTTTTGGGTATATACATAGGGGTGGACTTACTGGGTCAAATTCACTTTTTGAAGAACTGACAGAATGTTTTCCAAAGTTGCTGCATCATTTTACATTCCCACCAGCCATGTATGAGGGTTTCTATTTCTATACATCCTTGCCAACACTTATTAGTATCTGCCTTTTTGATTATTGCCATCCTAGTGGGTTGAAGTATTATCTCATTGTGGTTTTGATTTGTATTTCCCTGTTAACTAATGATGTTGAGCATCTTTTTGTGTGCTTTTGGCCATTTGTATATTGTCTTTGGAGAAATGTCTATTCAAGTCCTTTGCTTATTTTAAAATTAAGTTGTCCTTTTATTATTGAGTTGTAAGAATTCTTCATATGTTCTAGATACAAGCCATTATCAGGTAAATAATTTGCAAATATTTTCACCCATTTCGTGTGCTGTTTTCACTTTCTTGATGTTATCTTTTTAAACACAAAAAATTGGACTTTATCTTGATAAAGTCCAATTTAACTTTTTTTCCTTTTATTGCTTGTGATTTGGTGTCATATTTAATAATTCATTGCCAAATCTCAGGTCATAAAGACTTAACCCAATTTTTTTTTTCTTTTAAGAGTTTTATAGTTTTGATTCTTGCATTTAGTTCTTTGACCTATTTTGAGTTAAGTTTTGTATATAGTATGCAGTAAGGGTGCAAGTTCTTTTTTTTTTTTTTTTGCATGTGACTATCCAGTTCTCCTAGCACCATTTGTTCACAAGACATTTTCTTTTGTCTTTGAATGGTCTTGGTACTCTTGTCAAAAATCAATTGGCCATAGATGTGTGGGTTTATTTCTGGACTCTCAGTTCTATTCCATTGATTTATCCCAGTATCACTCTGTTTTGATTACTTTTTTTTTTTTTTTTTTGAGACAGAGTCTTGCTCTGTCACCCAGGCTGGAGTGCAGTAGTGTAATCTTGGCTCACTGCAACCTCCACTTCCTGGGTTCAAGCGATTGTCCTGCCTCAGCCTCCTGAGTAGCTGGGATTACAGGCGCCTGCCACCATGCCCAGCTAATTTTTTTATAGTTTTAGTAGAGATGGGGTTTCACCATGTTGGCCAGGCTGGTTTTGAACTCCTGACCTCAAGTGATCCACTCGCCTCGGACTTTCAAAGTGCTGGGATTACAGTCATGAGCCACCATGCCCAACCTATCTTGATTACTTTTGCTTTGCAGTAAGTTTTTGAGAAGTGGGAGTACTCCAGTTTTGTTCTTTTACAAGATTGTTCTGATGTTCTGCATCCCTTGCAATTTCATATGAATTTTGGAATCAATTTGTCAGTTTCTACAAAGAAGCCAGCTGAGATTTTGATAGGGATCATGTTGAATCTGTAGATCAATTTGGAGAGTATTATCCTCTTAATCAATTTGGAGAGTATTATCTTAACAATGTTAAGTCTTCAGACTCATAAACATGGGATGTCTTTTCATTTATTTATATCTTTTAAAAATTTATTTAAACAATGTTTTGTAATTTTCAGAGTATAAGGTTTGGACTTCCTTTATTAAATTTATTCATAAGTATTTTATTCTTTTAGATGCTTTTGTCAATGTAATTATTTTCCCAATTTCATTTTTGGGGTGTTCATTACAAGTGTATGGAAATACAATTTACTTTTTGTACATTGATCTTATGTTCTGTAATATTGCTGATTCATTTATTAGCTCTAAGTGCTTTTTAAAAAAATTTTTAGGACTTTCTATATACCAGATTGCATCATCTGCAAATAGAAATATTTTACTTCTTCTTTCCAATCTGGATGTCTTTATTTAGTTTTTGCTCTAGCTGGAACATCCACTACAATGTTGAATATAAGTGGCAAAAGCAGGCATGCTTATCTTGTTCCTGACCTTAGGGAAATGTATCTAGTCTTTCACTGTTAGGTATAATGTTAGCTGTGAGTTTCCTTAAATATCTTTTGTCAGGTTGGAAAAATTTTTTTCTATTTCTAGTTTGTTGAAATAATGATAATTTACATCATTTATGTACCATTTATTTCCATCATATGCATTTGAAATAATTTGTATAATTTAAAAGTTCTACAAGGATTTACCAAAGGTGAACTGAAGGCATGTGGTGTCTGTCTATAGCCATTAGAAATGGTAACAGAGGTGTACTCTACATGATGCACAAATGTGATATGTCTTTTTGGTGAAGAGCACGTGATGAAAACAGTAAATAACTGAGAATAGCACAAAGCTACTAGGGACTCAGATGATTCAAATATTGAAGACTATGAGTAATATTAATCAGCAACTTAGTTTGTTATCTTCAGTTATATGGGAGGAGTACATTATTCTTTGTTATAGGACTACCTCACCCTTAAATTGTAAGTTCTTTATTAGCTTATTGCATTTTCCATTCTTAAAGCAGTAGTTTAGTGTTCTCTTACTGTATGACAATTAAAAGTATACTTAATTGACTACATAATGTGATAGTTAAAAAATATATTTAAAGTAGCTTTTTGAAAGCTTTGCTGTTTCCCCCCCTTTTTGTATATAAAAGCATTAGTTGTCATTATTCATGTGTTCTCATTACTTTTTACAAATGAGAACAATGCCTTATGCATGTTGTGAACAATTACTAAAATTTTATGTAAATTTAACCTTTATTTTTAATTAATATGTGTTAAGATATAACATTATTTTATCTATTAATATATGTATTTTAATTTACAGGAAAACATCTTTATGTATGGAGGCAGAATTGAAACAAATGATGGCAATGTCACAGATGAATTATGGGTTTTTAACATACATAGTCAGTCATGGAGTACAAAAACTCCTACTGTTCTTGGACATGGTCAGCAGTATGCTGTGGAGGGACATTCAGCACATATTATGGAGTTGGATAGTAGAGATGTTGTCATGATCATAATATTTGGATATTCTGCAATATATGGTTATACAAGCAGCATACAGGAATACCATATCTGTGAGTTACTTAAAAATTGTAATTTCTTTATTGATTGGGAATGTTTTTCTCTTTAATAAAATCTTCATATGAATTTAGTCAAAATGGTGAGTTATTTGAGATTGAAATTATAAGCTGATAATTAATAATTTTTAATATAAGCTTTTTTGATTATGTTAGATTTTGTCCTTTAATATTTAAGCTTACCTTTTTAACCAAATGAGGGGAAATATTACTTAATAGTCTCATTTTCTAAGATTTGTGAATTTTTTAAAAAAATATGTGAAATTCCAGTAGGTGGTGCTATTTCTTTGGATTTTATTTATGAACGAAGTACTGAAACTATCCCAGTCTCTTTACTATGCATTGCATGGTTTCAGGATTTTTTATTTTTTAGCATTCTATTTCTAATCTTACTGCTATATCTTTATGTATGTATTACTTCTTTAAAGTCAGCTTCTCAAGGATAGTCTGCTGGCTTCTATAAGAGATTATTATCTGTTATGTGAAGGTGAAGGTGTCTAGGGCAATCTACATGTGAGTTTTTGTACTATACCTTTACTCCATTTTGTTTTTCTGGTACTTCATTTTTTTGAATTATTTATAACATTTTTAAAACAGTGGTAACCTTCTTTATTGTTTTTAGTTTGTTTACAAATATATGCCCTATGGTGGTTATTCAGATTCAAGAAAATAATTCTTTTCTGGCTCTGGCCAGTATGATGAACTCAAATTCTTGGCTCTTTTGTGTATGGACAACTATATATACAACTATTTAGAGTCCTTGTGCAGTCTTAATGAGAAAACTCATTTGCAGACCACCATTAGCAAGAGAGTACTTGTATGCTCAGAGGAAGACTCCCCTTCGAAATACTCCACTGTTTCCCTTGCAGTCCTTTCAAGTGATGGCTGTTTTTGTTTACATATTCTCAGTACAGCTGGGTCAAAAGTGGGTTACATATCCCCTTTACTTCTTATTGCCATTTCCACTCTATTCTCAATTCCTCCTCCTTTAAATTGCCTGGCTTTGACTCTTACATCATCAGAATATATCACCTATTACTTCACCTTCCTGCACTCATCCTTTGCTCTCAGATGGCTGTGTTTTATTTCTTGAGGAATTTAGCTTCTGGCTTACTGTCACTGTGTCCAGAATACATAAGGCAAATATTTTTATGTTGTAAATATGCACTTAAGTACTTCTCCTACCTGGCCTGTCAATTTCTTGATCTACCAAAGATTTTGTTTTCCATCCTCCTTGAGCCACTCTCTCCATTGTTACGTTCTAGACCTTGTTATTCCAGTACAATGAGTCCATAATTTCCATATGAAATATCTTACTTTTCAAGTCCCACTGATCTCTCCAGCTTACTGTTTCTAATGCCCACACTCTGACAATTCTTTGACCTTACCAGAGCCTTTAGTCTGTTGAGACTATCAGTTTTTCCACTATCTCTCACTCTTTTTTTGTCCATATTTCTAACCCTACCTTTTTAATCCATACTTCTAGCCCTACCCATACTTCTAAACGTACCTAGCTTTAAATTTCATAATTACTGTTCTCAAGTTGTTTTTTTTTTTTTATGATATCCGGTACTTACTCAGCTGTAAGTTTATAATTACTCATGTCAAGTTGGCCCTTAATGACATCTGGAACTTCTGCCAGTGTAGCTTGGTCTCGCTCCCAGCTCTCCTGGATGACTATTTCATACCTTTTCCTCTCTCCTCAAGTTTCAAACACTTCCTTCTCTATCATCACTCGCAATTGATGACCTTAGTTCTTATTTTACTGAGAAAACAGAAGTAATCAGGAGAGAATGGCTATTGATGAGAACACGTTGGAGGGTGATGGTTAATAAGCAATGCTACATTGAATAAGCTTGCTTACATACATTATTGTCATAACAAACTCATGACAACGTTGAGGCAGATGTGTGGCTGAGTTATTCCAACTTTTGAAATGGGCCCAGGAGTTTTTAAGCAAGAGTTAACAGATGTTCTATGTAGAAGGGCAGTTTTCTTTTCTGATTTTGTTATTAATTTTTGGTTTTATTATAGTGCTCAGGAAATGTTGGTCTTATTTCTACTTTTTAAATTTATTGAAATTTTCTTTGTGCCTCAGTTTTCACAAATATTTGATAGGCACTTGAGAAGAAGATAAATCCAATAATATCAAGGTATGGAGTTTGATATTATTTATTTATAAAATCGACTTTATTGATTATATTGTTTAGGCCTTCTGTTACTGACTTAGTATTTTTTGTTCTTGATTTATCTTGCTGTGAAAGTGGAAGTAAAATTTTAAAGTGTTAGTGTATTTTTCATATTTCTCCTTATATATTCTGGAATTTATGTTTTATAGAAGTTGCTATTACAAATATTAATAATTGTTATGTGCTTATTGTAAATTGTATTACTTACTATTATAAAGTGGTTTGTTTAATGTTTTCTTGACCTGAATTCTACCTCATCTGTCGTTAATATTGCCCTTGTTTTGTTTTTTTGGTCAGTCTTTTCCTAGTATACCTTTGCTCATCCCTTTATTGTTATTATTGTTTAGTGTTTTAGAATCACTTTAAAAAAAATGTATTTCTTGCATACGAGAGAGTTGAATTTTGCTTTGTGATTCCTGTTTTTTTTTTTGTAAATTTTCTGTACATGTCTTGTATTTTCAAAAAGTCATTCTTGCTTTTTTGTTGATTTGTTTTTAATTATAGCTCTTCTCACGTTTAGGGCCCTCCTTCCCCTTAACTTTATTTTATTTTTTTGTGGGGATGGGTGTGGTAAGTTTTGAGATCTGCTTCCATTAGTTTCCTCTATGCTACTTGTTTCTCATTGCCCTTTCAGCATTTTTGTGGCTGCTTCTGTTTAGCTGTTTTGGTTTCACTTGATTTTTGTACGTTCATACCTAATCTAGACTTTATGAGGAATTTTTTTTTTACCCTCGTAATTTCTCTGGAAATGTAATTTTCTTTTCCTTTCACTTCATCTACTTTCCCCATGTTTTCCTTTTGTTTTCTATTTCTTTTCCAGGGAGAATGGGGGAGATTCAGAACTAAACTGTTACCACATTTGTCCTTGAAACACAGGTTTTGACTTTTGAAATTTTAAAATGAGTACTTAACTTAGTCTAAAGTTAAGCAATACTCTTATTCTTTGATCAACCTCCAATTTATAGGATACAGTTTTCCACTGTTTTAGTTATTTTTGTTTTGTTTCAAACACAATGATAATTATATCATTTTATAATATAAATAAATTAAAAATAAACAGTAAGTATATCATTTATTTACAGGGGTCAGCAAAAGGCATCTATAAATGACCAGATAGTAAATATCTTAGGCTTTGTTGGTCTTACAGTCTCTGTCACAACTAATTAACTCTGCCTTGTAGCCTGAAAGTTGCCATAGACAATAGATAAACAAATGGGCATGGTTGTGTTCAATAAAAATTTATTTACAAAAACAGGTGGTGGGCTAGATTTAGCCTTTGGGCCTTACTTTGCCTACACTTGCTCTTAAGAGAAAGAGTATGCTTCTAGGGCCCTAGTAACCCTGATCCAACTTAAATTAAAATTTGGCATATAGTTTTTTTTTGGACATTATATATAGGGAAAATTCATGCCCCAAAGTAGCCTGATATCTAGTAAATGGCCCAAAGTTCCCAGGGGGAATAGTTGTTTCGTATATGTGGAACCAAGGCTGAAATAGATGCTATCTATCTGCCTCCACGGAGCATATTTTTAAAAACTCACTTTTTCATTGAGGATGTACACTTTCAATGATCTTGACTTTACATAGATACTCTCTAATCTTATACCTACATGGGTCCACCTTCAATGTTGGCCATTAAAATGGAATCTCTAGGCCACCTGATTAGTATATGTCATCCTTACTGAATATAGTTTATAATTCACAGTTGGCAGAATATATTTCGTGTGCTTCATCGTTTCCTTTATTGAACGTTTGTCCCACTCAGCCATCAGACATAATGGTGGTTATGCTTTCCAAGGATGGCTAGGAAAGTACTATGGGTTTATTCTGATCAACTATTAGTGATAAATATTGATATAGGTTGTTAGCTGATATATTAATCTCCTGGTAGGTTTTTGTTTGATTTGGGATAATCTGATTACAGAATGCCAATTTTGTTTTAGATAATCTAAACATATTTTTATATTGAGTTTCTTTTGGCTTATTCTACAACCAAAATACTATGTCTAAATAAATTTATCTGCAGGGTATTTTTGGCTTGATTTTTGTCTTACTAACTGCATTACTTGTCAGGCATACTTAAGAATGTAGTGTAAGATGAAAATGGGAAGAATACATGATTGATGAGTTTTATAAGAATAATAGATAAACCATGGGCAGTTTCACATTCTGTGAATTATTGAAGTACAAAGCAAAACCCAACAAATTTTTTATAAAATTATTTCTTAATAGAAAAATTAATATCTTACTTTACTTATTCCTAAGGCATTTTGAATTTGCTGCTTACATGTTGAAAGTATGTGGTGTCATAAAATAATCTATAGTACTTTCAAAGAAAAGAGTACAAAATGATGGGTAAATGTAGTTTAAAGATGCTGTCAGAATAATTAAATTCACCACACTGTCTTCCACAGTGGTTGAACTAGTTCACATTCCCACCAACAGTGTAAAAGTGTTCCTGTTTCTCCACATCCTCTCCAGCACCTGTTGTTTCCTGACTTTTTAATGATCGCCATTCTAACTGGTGTGAGATGGTATCTCATTGTGGTTTTGATTTGCATTTCTCTGATGGCCAGTGATGATGAGCATTTCTTCATGTGTTTGTTGGCTGCATAAATGTCTTCTTTTGAGAAGTGTCTGTTCATATCCTTCACCCACTTTTTGATGGGGTTGTTTTTTTCTTGTAAATTTGTTTGAGTTCTTTGTAGATTCTGGATATTAGCCCTTTGCCAGATGAGTAGATTGCAAAAATTTTCTTCCATTCTGTAGGTTGCCTTTCACTCTGATGGTAGTTTCTTTTGCTGTGCAGAAGCTCTTTAGTTTAATTAGATCCCATTTGTCAATTTTGGCTTTTGTTGCCATTGGTTTAGTGTTTTAGACATGAAGTCCTTGCCCATGCCTATGTCCTGTGAATTGTTTTGGCTGCATGTTGTAAATAAACTTTATGGAAGAAAGAACAGAAAGAGGATAGTTAGGAAGTTGTTAACGGTAATCTGGGCCAAAAATGATGATGAGAATTAGTCGATCTGTTGGATTTTTTAAAAAAGTAGAGCCAATAGTATTTGCTGAGGGTTTAGATGTAGAGTGTGAGATAAAAGAGAGGAACCAAGGGTGATTCCAAAATTTTGGGCCTGAGCAGCTGGAAAGATGAAATTGCCATCAACCGACATGTAGTAGATTGTGAAGCAGGTTTGGGGCAAAGGTGTTTTAACGATGAGGAGTTCAGTTTGGACATGTTATACGTGAGATAGCCACTAGATGTCAAAGAGAAAATGTCAAGCAGACAGTTGGATATATATGTTGCTATAGGTACTCTTTTTTTAAAAAAATTTATATTCTTTTTCTAAGAAGTTTTAGAGCAGGAATTCTGCAGTATACCTCCTTATGTGTACACTTTCTAGTAAAGTGCCATATTCTTACTGGAGTCCTAGAGAGAAAGATTTGGGCTGAAGGTGTAAATTTGGGAGTTCTTGGGAGTTCTTAAAGCCAAGAGACTAGATCAGATCACTAATGAAGTGGGTGTAGATAAAAAGGAGAATAAAAGGATTGAGCTATAGGGTCCCCGAATAATAAGAGGTAGGGGAGAAAAGGAAGATAAGCAAGGAAGAGTACGGTGAAG
The DNA here is from genome assembly GCF_000001405.40 of Homo sapiens. NCBI lineage: Eukaryota > Metazoa > Chordata > Mammalia > Primates > Hominidae > Homo > Homo sapiens. Next base: position 115,177,104 of record NC_000010.11, read on the forward strand.
TGTAAGCCAAGTGCAGAAAGAATATTAAGTGGGAAAGTAATCAACGGAGCCACATTCTGCTGATGCCTCAAGTACAATCATTACTAAGGATTGATCATTGAATTTAGCACTGTGCAGTCATTGGTGATCTTGACAGGAACAGTTTCTGTGTAGTGATGGGGTGAAAGTCTCACAATATTGGATTTAATAGGGAATGAGAGAAGTAGAAGTGGAAATGATGGGTGGAACCAGCTCTTTCAAGGAAATGTGTTTGAAAAGGAAAGCACAAAGTGAGCAGAAACTGGCAAGAAACTTAGGATCCTTTTTAGCTTGGATTTTTACAGAAGCAGACAATGAGACAGGATTTCAGTGAAATAATTCTATTTGGGAAAGTGTAGGTAACACTGTTAGGGGAGTTGATACAAGGACGAGAAGGCAGCCATTTAAAGGTCCAGGCTTTAATTGACACATAATCTCTGAAATTTTCTTTAACTATTAACCCTGTCAGTTGTCAGTTGATGTGTCCCATGGACTATGTCTCCAAAACCTACCCATTCTTAGTAGAGAACCTATCCATTTTTGCTAGAGATGGGGTTTCGCCATGCCTGTCTCGCACTCCTGACCTCAAGAGATCTGCCTGTTTTGACGTCCCAAAGTTCTGGGATTACAAAGTACTGTGTCATCCAGTGTGGCTTGATTAATATGAAAATGTTTATAGAGATAAGACAACAGAATACTTAAGAAAATAGCTAGTGTGAAGCATACACAAATAAATCAGGAAGGGAGCTGTGTTTTTTTTTTTTTTTGGTTTTGTTTTTTTGTTTTTTTTGTTTTTTTTTTTGTTTTTTTTTTTTTTGAGACAGTCTGACTCTGTTGCAGGGGCTGGAATGCAGTGGCACGATCTCAGCTCACTGAAGCCTCTGCCACCTGGGTTCAAGTGATCCTCCCACCTCAGCCTCCCAAGTGGTTGGGATTATAGGCATGCACCACCACACCCAGCTACTTTTTGTATTTTTAGTAGAGATGGGGTTTCGCCATGCCTGTCTTGAACTCCTGAGCTCGAGTGATCTGCCTTCTTCGACCTCCCAAAGTGCTGGGACTACAGACATGAGCCACCGTGCCTGGCCAAGGACGGGAAATTTTTTGTGAGAACATCCTAGAGTACAACTTCTAAAAGTGATGTCGGGTTATCAAGTGCTTAGGTGTGACAGTGACAACAAGACTTATATTCAAAATTGTTGGAAAAATCCAGAAAATGTTTAATGAAGAAATCAGCTTGCAGTAAAGGTTCCACATGCTTTTGTTTGTCACAGAGTGGAAGTGGCCTTCATAATTGTATAATGATGAAAAGACTTCTTAATCCACAGCTTTATTTACTGCATTTTTCATTTTCTGGAAGTAGTTTTATTTTCCTCTAAGCTCCTGTGTCCTTTTGTTTTTAAATGAATATGACACATGCTACAATTTGAATATGTCCCCTCCAAAATTCATGTTGAAACCTAATCCCCATTGCGGTAGTATTAAGAGGTGGGGCTTTTTGGGGTGTGATTAAGTCAGGATGGCTCTGCTGTCATGAGTGGATTAGTGCCTTACAAAAAGTGCTGGAGGGAGCTAGCTGGGTCCTTTTTGCCTTCCATCCTTCCACCATGTGAGGACACAGCATTCTTCCCCTCTGGAGGACATAGCAAACAAGGCACCATCTGGAAGCAGAGCGTAGCTCTCAGCAGACACCAAAGCTGCCAGCACCTTGATTTTGAAATTCCTAGTTTCCAGAACTGTTAGAAATAAATTTCCATTGTTTATTAATTACATATATGCTGTTTTTTATAGGTACTCTTTTTTTTTCTAAAAAAATTTATATTCTTTTTCTAAGAAGTTTTAGAGGAGGAATTCTGCAACATATCTCCTGTGTGTATACTTTCTAGTAAAGGGCCATATATTAAATGCTTGATAAATATTTGTGGATGAATAAATACGATTTTCATCACACTTTCCTTAAAAGTGTGAATCTGTTTCTTGACTTTGTTTTTAGTATATTAACCAAATTATTTAAATTGTGTACTATACGTAATTATTATTCTCCTTCTAGTGGTGACTCATAACATGCTGTGCTTGATGTCCTCTATTTGTCTCTCCACATCTACCTTTTATTTTTTTCCATCCTGTTTCCATGCCCTCTGGCTTCCAGGTAGGCTGAGCCAGTGGTGGTAGATCTGATGGTGGGAGATGAGTGGGGTTGTGGTATTTTATTCCACCAACTTTCTCCCTGCTGGATAACCTTGGGTTAGTTGTGTTGCTTTATTGAAGGCTGAACTGTCAGGTGTCCTCATATAGCTATTTTCTAGGAATTCTGGAAACACTCCCTCCTCTTGCTTTTTTAAGGCCAAGGGGTGGTAAAGTCTTCCTGTTGTGGTAGGTCTCAGGATATTGCCCTGGTCATACCTTTATAAATAGCCTTTATTAGATACTTTATAATTGTTTTGATCATATTATTTATTTCCTGTCAGCACCCTGGCTGATATAGTAGCTACTATTGGCTTTTTAGAGATTCAAATATAACTTTTGACCAAAATGATCCTTCATATGTTCTTATTCTGGAAGTTGAGAGGAAGAAGTGTCTTGTGGGAGGATTTCACACTTTATTAGTGGATAAAAATGTTGGCAGAAGTATAAACATTTCAGAATAGCATGGAATTAGGTCCTTCAGTCCATTTCTATGCTTATTTTTGAATTTTTAAATTTTAATGTCACATGGTCATCTTTAATGTTGCATTTTCTCTTAATGTGAAAGATTAATATATTTATCATCTTTCAAGAGTAGCTGTTCCAGTTTTTTAATAAGCAGAACCCTTATTTATGTATTTCTTCTTATTTATTCAAGAAAACCTTTTTGTTGGATATTCTTTTAAATTTCTTTTTGAATTATGCTAACTCAGACTCAACTTTTTTTTGGTTATTATGCTATCAATGTAGAAGTAATCATTGTCTTACTAGCAAAATACCTCCAAAGTGTATTTGATGGGAGGATATTTATTTTTTTAAAAGCCCATTTGCTGTATTCCTTTAAGTTTTCTCTTTAAAATCATGTTAATTTAAAAAAATTGTTGATTTTTTTCAACTTCTCCATTATTCTGAAATCCAGAAATTCTTATTGTATATTTGTTTTTAAAAATAGCTTTATCACATATACATGTGCATGTCATCTGGTTTGCTTATTTTTGACCTTTATAAAAAGGTTGTATTTATGCCATTTTCTCAGGCTTTCTTTGATTTTGTTTATCACGATTATTACCAAGATTCATCCATGTCATTATATATTGCTGCAGTTAACTTCTTTATATTTCTGTATTTTATTTGTTGTATAACTCTACCACAATTTATTTACCTATTTCCCTGCTTTTGAGCTTTTGGATTTGGTATCTAGTAAAATTTACCCACAGTAGCCATTTTGAGACATATCCTGATAAACTATTGCATTTTAAGAGATAAAGAAAAAAATCCTTAGGATTTTCCAGCAGAAAGATGAAATATCTTACAAGGGCAAGAGATTAGACTAGTATCAGATTTTTCAAAAGCAACCTACAGATCAAGGCAACCATGGAACAAAATTTTCAAGACACTTCAGAAAGTATAGACCAAGGGTTTTATGTCTTGCCAAATTGTACCTCAAGTGTCAAGGCTATCAAAAATAATTTTGAACATAGAAAAACTAAGTTAATACTGTATGTGTGTGCCCTTACCTGAGAAATTTATATACTAGGGTAGAGGTTTGCAGATGTTTTTTGGTAAGGGTTCAGATAGTAAATAGTTTAGGCTTTGTATCCTACTAAATTCTGTTGACTCTGTTGTCACTACTCAGTTCTTCCATTGAAACTGTATACAAACAGTATAAATTGCATAAAAGGGTGAATGTGGCTATGTCCAATAAAACCTGATTTACAAAAACAATTGGTGGAGTTAATGGGCTGTAATTTTCCAATCCCTGTCCTGGAGAATGAGCTTCACCTAATGAACAGATAAATGGGAACACTTCAGGTAAAAGATTGATGGAAAACATTTCCCATACTTAATTTTAGAGCTAAGACTAAAATAAAGGTAGGAATATGTGTAGACAACTAAATGTGCAAATGTTACATGTTTTGTCCAAGTAGAAATAATGCAGTTAAAAATGGGAGAAGGGAGAGGAAAGGGGAAATCAGAGATAAGAACATTGACAGCTGCATATGTAATAGATAGGAATCAAAAGATGCCATTTAACACTTGATATTCCATCAAGGTCTATTGGACCCAATTTTAATTTTTAGTTTGTTTTCTGAGCAGGCCTAACTATTTGCGAAGACTATTATTTTATACATTTTATTCTTTCTTAGAAGTCTTTCAAAGAACAAAGAGAACATTTACTTGTTAAAAAAAATCAGAATAAAATATTCTGTCTGTAATTACCAGATGGGTCTGTTGCATTCTTTTAAAAATGAAAGATACACTGTGGAATTTAAATGTTGTTATTTTCTGTGTTCTAAAGCATTTTGCTATTTATCATTTTAGGAACTAATTCATTACTTATCAATTATTTCCAACTATGCTAAAAATTAACAATAAAACAGAAGTTTTTTAGAAAGATGATGCCACAGTGAAAAAAACTGTCATCCTTTAGTTGTATTATTGCGGTGCCCGAAGTATTTTATTACCTTTAAAGAAGGCATACAAGAAGACAAAGTACCATCATTGTAGTCCGCTTTTAGTTTTTGTTGAACACAGTTGAGAATTTAAAATTTTTCATTTTCTGCCCATACTAGTAAAAAGTTGAAAGATCTTTCGCAGTAATTAGACAAATAAGAAGATGAATGCAAAGAGACAGATAAGAATGCAAAGAGACAGATGGTAACCCTGTAAACTCTGGTGAGTTTACACTAAATCTCAGACTATGGATCTTCAGGAAATGATATCCTAAATGAATTTTTTCAAACTCTTAGATTCAGTGAGTGAACAATACATTTTTATTTTTTATTATGTTTATATGCCCCAACACTTTAAAACAAAGAGGTTTGCTATATTTAAATTCTTTTTGGAATTTGCAAAAGGTAGTTTTTGACTGACACTTTTTTCTTGTGTAAATTACTTATGATGTGATAAAGCAACTAAAAGGAACTATTGAATCATGATAAATGCTGATTACTATTGTTCTAGGTATACTGAGGATTAAAACTGACAGAACAGATAATAAAATTAGGTAAGAAAGATGAGAATTAAGGGCACTATGAAAGATACATACACAAAGGAAAACACTAACAAAGATATAAACGTTCTTACCTACCAAAAGAAATAAAAGCAAAGAAATATCAAATAGGAAAAAACTCAGAAATATGCATTATAATACATACACACAGTAATTATGACATAAAATTCTGTGACAGAGTTGAGATTCACCATAATATCAGTACATGGGAATGGGATTAACTTGTTTATTAAAAGAAAACATTTCAACTTGCTGCATAAAACAAAACCCAAATCTATGCTTGATTTAGGAGACATTTACAACATATTGATGCAGAAACGATGAAAATAAAGGAACAGAGAAAGATTTCATAGGTGAATGATTACAGTAAGACAGGGAATATCAAAACATTATACAAGAATACCTTATAATTACTAAAACCCACAATTCACCACAATGATATGATATATATTAGAAGAATATTATCTATACACCAGACAACCCAGCAACCACCTATAGAAAACAGAAACCACAGGCAGTGAAGAGAAACAGTGTCACTTCAGTACAAAACAGGTCAGTCATTATTGTCAATACACGATAGGATAAAAAATAAGAAAATATCTAAAAAAATCTAAACAACATAACTAATAAAGTTGAAGTTAAGGATGTATAGCGAACAATACAGCCCGATTATAGAGAATGTTGTCTTCTCAAATGCACATGGAAAACCCACAAAAATTGACTGAATATATATATAAAAAATTAGTAGTTTCCCAAGAATGGAAGCATTGAAAATAAACACCTGAATATTAAATAAAATCTTTCTATTGGGTGAATGGGGAAATACAAGGAAAAATTACAGAATTTCTGAAAAATAGTGACAGTAAAAGCAACACATATAAAGATTTATGGGATACATTTAGAGCAGTTATCAGAAGTATATTTATAACATTAAACAACTCTATTAATATGAATGAAAATAAATGCACCACATTCCCAATTCAAAAAGCTAGAAAAAGAATAGCTAAACCAACAAGTAAAGATTTTTGCATAACTTTTTATATAACTAGGAGGAGAATAAAAATAAAAGCTGAAATTAATGATGTAAGAACAGAAAAACAGATTAATTTTTTTGAAAAAAACAGAGAAGCCAGCAGCTCATTTAATCAAGAAACAAGAGAGCAAGCACAAATACACAAAACAAGAAATGACAAGGGAGAAATAATATTGATAGGATATTAAAATAGTAGACTATCTTGTACAACAATGCAATTAAATTTGAAAATGTTGAAGAAATGAATTATTTCATAGAAAGTAGCAATTTTTCAAATTGAACCCAGTAAATATAAAAAATTTGTATAAAGCACTTTCCTTAGAAAAAGTGGAGAAAGCACCAGGCCTAGATGATACCAGAGAGTAAATTTAGCAAAATCTTAATAGCTGGATAGTCTCAATGCTATGTAGGTTGTTTTAGAGAATGATAAAGGAAGGAAACTTCCAAATTTGTTTTATAAGGGAAGTATAACATTGCCACTTAAACCCACTACACAGAAATGGAAAATTTACATATGTATATGATTAAAAATGAAATAAAACCTTTCCCCGTTAAATATCAACACAAAATTCTAAATAAAATGAACACTCCAACACATTCTTTTCTTAATGTGTGTTGAGTTTTATTAATATATTTTATAATAAGCATCCTTGGATGCCTGGGTATACATCCCATTTAATAATAAAATACACATTAATAGATAATTAAGTATAATTAAGTGGGATATATAGCCAAGCATCTAAGGATGACTATTATGAAATATATTAATAAAACTCACTATATTAGTAGGTCAAAGGAGAAAAATGATATTATTTTCATTGGTATTAAAAAAATCACATTTCTAATAACGCTTGAGAAAATGGGAATGGATGGCTACTGTATGAACATAATAAATATGTTTCAATCCCAAAGCCAGCATCTTATACTTAATAAGGGAAATAAGCATTTCTATTCACTTCAAGAACAAAACAAGCGTGCACACTATCTCCAGTGCAAGATTATATATATATATACACACACATAAACACACACACAACTATGTATATAACTATATATACACAACTATGTATAACTATATATATATATACACACAACTATATAACTATGAAGTAGTAATATATATACATGTACTACTTTTTGTGTAAGGGAAGTAAAATATAGTTACACATGCTAATTTGAGCAAAAATGAACACAGGAAAGATAAACCAGAAAACAAGTATGTTGGTTATTTACAAGGGGTGGTAGAGAATGGTATGGTAAAGATATGACATGAAAGTATATTTACCTGTGTTTACTCTTTTAAAAAAATAGTCTTGACTTAGAAACATTGATTTTTAGAATCATATTAATCATTTACATATTGAACAATTAAATAAAAAAGGAAAGGAAGAAAAAAATCATAAAACAATGTAAGCTGAAACAAATGAACCCAACTATGTTTCAAATGAATAGGATAATCATTCTGAAACGGGATGAAAAGAACTAATGCAAGTGATTTTTGAACACAGTATTTGACTATGTGCTCTCAGTCGAGGTTTAGATGCGAAGAAGGACTGCAAACAAATCTTTGAGGTTTGTTTTTTGAAGGTTTAGGTGAAGCAATTCTGAAATTATTTTAGATATATGTTTAGACTAAAAAATAAGTAAATATATTTTTTTGGGAACCAAAGTTCTTCATGTGGAAGACGAGAACTGCAGCTATGAAATGGGGGAGTCAAGGAAGAATCCTGGCCTGGATGGATTGCAATTGGAGGTATCAGTATGAGTTTATGGTTACTTAGATAAATAGATACATGGATATGTAGATACATAAATAAATAAGTTAATACATAGATGTAGATTCTTCTGAAAGGGCCCAGAAGCTAAGACACCCCAGTAGTAGTGAGCACACTGAGCACTCGTATTCCCAGATCTGGTTTGTAATATTTCCTATGGAAAGAAAGCAGGGCTCCTTGGAGGAGCTGATTCTATGACTGTGACAAGGAAAGTAAAGATAAGCCAAGTACATCTTGTTATATCAAATTAAGGAAGCACTCAAGAAAACGATGGGTCATGTCAAAAGAACACAGGAATCACCTTCTAGGGGATCCCATTGGTAAAACATGGGACAATTTGAGCATTAAAATAATTTAAGAAAGAAATACATTAAAAACTATTGAAAAAATAGGAATGCATAAGCTTACACTGAGAGTAGACAGACAGGTACAAATACAGAAGAAGGGAAGCCTCTACATAGGATGCAGACTGTCATAGCTGGAGTTGAAAAATCATTTTGCAAAAGTCATAGTAAAAGTTGGGATGGGAAAGAATCATCAATGGATGTTAAATCTGTGGGGGTGGGTATGAAATTTTTTTATGAGATATGCACGGCATTTAAGTCTCCCCTACAGATTGCTGATAAGGTGCGGGAGAAAAATCGTAACTACATAGTAGAGAAACCTGTCAATAACTTGTCTGAGTGATCAAAATTAACATCACAAACTAAGGGGAATTGGACACTGTGTGCCTTTGTATATAATACCTACAGAAAGAGACATTACGTGTGGTAGAGTTCTGCAAACCAGTTCTGTAAAAGTTGAAATAGTAAATATTTTGGGCTTTGTGGACTATACAGTCTCTGTCTCATCTATTCAGTTTTGCCAATTCTGCCATTATAGGGTGAAAGCAAGCCATAGATAAGTAACTGAGTGAACAGAATGAAGAGACATTTTATGGAAAGGGGGAAAATATTCACAAATTATACATCTGATAAGAGATTAATATCCAAAATGTATAAACAACAACTTAAAACAACCCGATTAAAAAATGGGCAAAGGATCTAAGTAGACATTTCTCAAAGAAGACATACAAATGATGAGAAACACTGGCGAGGATGTGGAGAAAAGGGAGCCCTCATACATTATTGGTGGGAATGTAAATTAGTACAACCATGATGGAGAACAGTTCGGAGGTTCCTCAAAAAAACTAAAAATAGAGTTACCAAATGACCCAGCAATCACATTGCTAGATACATACCCAAAAGAAAGAAGATCATTATAGCGAAGAGATATCTACACTCCCATGTTTGTTGCAGTACTATTCATCATAGCCAAGATTTGGAAGCAATCTAAGTGTCCATCAACAGGAATGGATAAAGAAAAAATGGTCCATATATACAATGGAGTACCATTCAGCCATAAAAAAGAATGCAACCCTGTCATTTGCACCATTGATGGAACTGGAAATCATTAAGTGAAATAAGCCAGGCACAGAAAGAAAACTGCATGTTCTCACTTATTTGTGGGAGCTAAAAATAAAAACAAACTCATGGAGATAGAAAAATGATGGTTACTAGAGGCTGGGAAGGGTCGTTGGTGGGGATGTGAGGATGATTAATGGGTGCAGAAAGTATATATACAATGAGTAAAATCCTCTATTTGACAGCACAACAGTGACTATAGTGAACAACAGTTTATTTTACATTTTAAAATAATACAGTAGAATTGGATTATTTGTGTCAAAGAAATGAATAGATGTTTGATGTGATTATTATGCATTGTGTGCTTGTTTCAAAATATCTCATGTAACCCATAAATATATACATCTATGTGACCACAAAAATTAAAAATAAAAAAATTTATAAAGCAAAACATAAAAATGGCCAACAGATGTATGAAAACATGCTCAATATTACTAGTCATCAGGGAAATGCAAATTAAAACTACAATGATCTATGATCTCTCCCCTCACACCTGTTAGAATGGCTGTAAAAAAGACAAAAGATAACAAGTATTGGTGAGGATGTGGAAAAGAGGGAGTACTTGTACACTGTTTCTGGGAATAATTTTTTTTTTTTTTTAACAAAAATGAGCAGCAGAGTAGGTATGACCCCACAGGACATAGCTTACCCACCCCTACCTTACAGTATTGTGACTAGAAATGCCTAACCTGAAGCTAATCATGAAGCAATATCAGACAAACTTCAAATAAAGAATATGCCATCTAAAAAGAGGGATGGATAGCTTTATTCTTCAAAAATATCCATGTTATGGGAGACAGAGAAAGGCTGAAAAATTGTTCCAGATTAAAGGAAGCTTACAAGACATGACAGCTGGTTGTTGACCACTGGTGCACAACATGGTGACAACAAATGCATGAGAACTGGTGATCCCAGACTGGATTCTATGCTGGATGAAAAATTAAAAAATGCTATGAAGGACATTATGTACTCAGTTCACAAAATTTAAATGTATAGATACATTAAAGTATTGTACAAATGTTAAATTTCTTAAAGTTGATAATTGCAATATGGTTATGTATAATAGAAAGAGGGTGCTTGGTTTTTTTTTTTTTTTTTTTTCTTTTTTCTTTTTTTTTTTGAGATGGAGTCTCCCTCTGTAGCCCAGGCTGGAGTGATCTCGGCTCACTGCAACCTCCACTTCCCGGGTTCAAGTGATTCTCCTGCCTCAGCCTCCTGAGTAGCTGGGACTACAGGTGCGCGCCAGCATGCCTGGTTAATTTTTTAATTTTTAGTAGAGATGGGGTTTCACCATGTTAACCAGGATGGTCTTGATCTCCTGATCTCATGATCCACCCACCTCGGTCTCCCAAAGTGCTGGGATTATAGGCGTGAGCCACCGCACCCAGCTGGTTCTTAAGAAATACACACCAAAGTATTAAGGACAGTAAGAATGATGTATACAACTGGGAGAGAGGGAGGGGGAGGGGGAGGGGGAGAGGGAGAAAGGGGGAGGGAGAAAGGGAGAGGAAGGGAGAGAGAGAGGGAGAAAGAATTAATGATAAACGGGAAAAATATTGACAATTAGGGAATCTGAATGACAGGTATATGTGTATGGGGAGTTCTTTGGCTATTGCACTTTTGAAATTATTTGCAAATAAATGTGAAAATAGAAGAAGTAGATAAATGTTTTTTCATATTTGGTTATGTGGAATATATGTTTAACTGAAGATTTTAAGAATTCCCTTGAACTTGCTGTGGCAGTAAAGGAAATGTCAGTTTGTCCTTTTTTGTTATACTTAGAATTACGGCTTTTAGGGAATCTACAAATCTCAGAGGGGAATTATGTGGATGATTTTACTAACTTGGACCATAAAGCTCTTCTGGGTTAGTCCTGTGGGAAATTTATTTCACTTTAGTTTAGCAATACCTCATAAACTTTCTAAGAATCTCAATGTGAGTCTCAAGGTGAGTATAATATTAATGTTTTGCTTTAGTATTTTTCATGCTTTAAGAATTTTGGAGGTGTAGTTGGGAAGCCATAATTAATGTCATTTAATGTTAACTTTTTTCCTTTTGATCTAAAAATCATTAGATTTTTTCAGAAAGGTATTTTTTTAATATAAATTTATTGATACTATGAGTTTCTCCTCTGCTCTTAATATCACGTTTTTAAAAATTCTGTGGTGAATTTTAAGTGTAAATTGGACATTGATTTTTAGCACACTGGTGTCTGAAAATAGATCCATAAAACAGATGTATTAAGTGGTGGGAATTAGGGATTTTTAATAGGAGAAATCTCCAGTTTAGAAACAATTCAATCATAGGAATCACAGAAAGCAAAATTTTATTATGTGTTGCAATTAGGCTTGGCATTTGTGGTAGAGTTTCATTTGTGCAGACCTTTTTAGGAATAATTAAGTAAAATGAAACAGTATCAATATAATGAGTAAAATACAGTTATGCCATGCACAATATTTCAATTAATCACAGACTGAATATATGATGGAGGTCTCATAAGATTATTCTGGAACTGAAAAATTCCTATCCCTGGAGATGATGTAGCTGTCAAAATGTCATAGTGCAATGCATTGCTCATGTGTTTGTGGTGATGCTGGTGTAAACAAACCTACTTCACTGCCAGTCGTACAGAAGTATGGCACATACAATTATATATAGTACATAATATTTGATGCTGATAATAAACAACTATGTTAGTGATTTATGTGTTTACTATACTTTTTATTATTTTAGAATATACTTTTTCTACTTACAAGAAAAAAAAACTGTAAAATAGCCTTAGGCAGGAGGTATTCCAGAAGAAGGCATTATTATCATAGGAGATGAGAGCTCCATGCATATGAATGCCCCTGAAGACCTTCCAGTGGGACAAGATGTGGAGGTGGAAGACAGTGATACTGATGATCCTGACTTTGTGTAGGCCTAGGCTAATGTGTGTGTTTGTGTTTTTGTTTTTAGCAAAAAATTTTAAAAAATAAAAAGTGAAAAAATAGGAAAAAGCTTATATAATAAGGATTTAAGGAAAAAATTTTTATAGCTGTAAAATATGTTTGTGTTTTAGGCTGTTATTACAGAAGGATCAAAAAGTTAAAAAATTAAAAAGTTTATAAGTAAAAATTTATAGTGGGCTAAGGTTAATTTATTATTGAAGGAAGAAAAATATTTTAAAAAATTTAGTGTTGACTAAGTATACAGTGCTTATAAATTCTACAGTAGTATACAGTAATGTCCTAGGCCTTCACATTCACTCACCACTTACCCACTGACTCATCCAGAGCAACTTCCAGTCCTGCAAGCTTCATTCATGGTAAGTGTCCTATACAGGTATACCATTTTTTATTTTTTACACCACACTTTTACCATACCTTTTCTATATGTTTAGATACACAAATACCGTTGTGTTCTAATTACCTACAGTATTCAGTACAACAACATGCTGTACGGGTTTTTCGTTCAGGAGCAATAGGCTGTGTCACACAGCCTAGGTATGTAGTAGGCTATACCATTTAGGTTTGTAGAAGTATACTCTATGATGTTCACACAGTGATGAAATTGCCTAACAGTGCATTTCTCAGAATGTATCCTCATTGTTAAGGAACACACGACTTTATCATTTTAGCAAACTGCTTTGCCATTGTGACAAATGCTACTGTTAAAATTGTATACGTTTTTTTTACTTACTAAATGTTTTTAGTTTTGCTAAGTGAATTATTAAACCATATGCTTTTAAGCTATTTAGGAACTACAAAAATATTATACATATCCTTGAAAATTTGCACTGACTATATTAAAAAGTTTTAGTAGATGTGCATTCATATTCAGAAAATTCTTATTTTTCTGTATCTGCTTAACATTCTTTCACTGATGGATATATCAGTGCCTTAAAAGGCAGCCATTCTATTACTTTATATATTTTAAACATTTTATTTATTTGGAAGAAATACGCACTCCCTATAATTTGTACTTATAACATTTTTTATTTTTGATTATTATGGGCACATAATAGTTGTATATGTTTATGAGATACATGTGATGTTTTGATACAGTCATACAATGTGTAATGATCAAATCAGGGTAATTGGGACATCCATCACTTCAAGCCTTTATTATTTTTTGTGTTAGGAACATTTCAGTTCTACTTGTTTAGTTATTTATTGCTTTTGCATCAACCTAATAAAAATATACAATAAATTATTAACTGTAGTCACCCTATTTTGCTACCAAATATTCATTCTATCTGTATTTTTGTACCCATTAACCAGCCTCACTTTATCCCCTGCTCTCTGCTACCTTTCCTAGCCTCTAGCAACTATCATTCCACTCTTTATAGTCCATAAATTCAACAATTTTTGTCTTCCACATGTAAGTGAGAATACGTGATATTTGTCTTTCTGTGCCTGGCTTATTTCACTTAACATTGCCCTTCAGTTTCATCCGTGTTGTTGCAGATGACAGGATTTCATTCTTTTTTAATGGCTAAATAATGTTCTGTTGTGTATATGCATAGAATTTTCTTCTCATTCATCTGTTGATGGACACTTAGGTTGCTTTCGTAGCTTGGCTATTGTGAATAGTGCTGCAATAAACATGGGAACGCAGATATCTCTTTGATATACAGATTTTCTTTCTTTTGGATATATGTCCAGCAGTGGTATTGCTGGATCATGTGGTAGTTCTATTTTTAGTTTTTTAGGAACTCCAAACTATTCTTCATAGTGGTTGTACTAATTTATGTTCTCACCGGCAGTGTATGAGGATTCTCCTTTCTCCACATCCTCATCAGCATTATTGCCTGTCTTTTGGATAAAAGCCATTTTAACTGGAGTGAGATTGTATCTCATTATAATTTTGATTGTATTTATCTGATGATTAGTAAGTATTTTTTCATATACCTGTTTGCCATTTTTATGTTGATATGATTAGGCTTTGTGTCCCCACCCAAATCTCAATTGAATTGTAATCCCCATACTCTCCACAATCCCCACGTATCAAGGAATAGACCAGGTAGAGGTAATTACATCATGGGAGCAGCTTCCCCCATGCTGTTCTCATTATAGTGAGTGAGTTCTCATGAGATCTGATGGTTTTATAAGTATTTCATAGTTCCTCCTGTGTTCATTATCCTCCCTGCCACCCTTTGTAGAAGGTGCCTTCCTTCCCCTTCCCCTTCCGCCATGATTGCAAGTTCCCTGAGGCCTCCTCAGCCATGCTGAACTGTGAGTCAATTAAACCCCTTTCCTTTATAAATTACTCAGTCTTGGGCAGTTCTTTATAGCAGTGTGAAAACGGGCTAATAACATATGTTGTCTTTTGAGAAAAGTTCTATTCAGATCTTTTGCCCATTTAAAAATAAGATCTTTTTTTCCCTATTGAGTTGTTTGACAACTTTGTATATTCTGGTTATTAATCCCTTGTCAGAGGGTACTTTGAAAATATTTTCTCTCATTCTGTGGGTTGTCTCTTCACTGTGTTGATTGTTTCCTTTGCTGTGCAGAAGATTTTTTTAGCTTGATGTGATGCCTTTGCCCATTTTTTGCTTTGGTTACCTGTGCTTTTGAGGTCCTACTCAAGAAATCTGCCCAGACCAATGTCCTGGAGTGTTTCTCCAGTGTTTTCTTCTAGTATTTTCATAGTTTCATGTGTTAGATGTAAGTCTTTAATCCATTTTGATTTTATTTTCGTATATGGTGAGAGGTAGGGGTCTAGTTTCATTCTTCTGCCTATGGATATCCAGTTTTCCCAGAATCATTTATTGAAGAGACTGTCCTTTCCCCAATGTATGTTCTTGGCACCCTTGTAAAAAACGAGTTGACTGTAAATGTGTGAATTTATTTCTGGAGTCTCTATTCTGTTGCATTGGTCTATATTTCTGTTTTTATGCCAGTACAATGCTGTTTTGACTATTATGGCTTTGTAATATAATTTCAAGTCTGGTAATGTGATGCCTCCTGTTTTGTTCTTTTTGCTCAGGATGGCTTTGGCTATTCTGGGTCTTTTGTGGTTTCATATAAATTTTAGGATCATTCTTTCTGTGAAGAATGTCATTAGTATTTTGATAGGCATTATGTTTAATCTATAGAACCTTTGGGTAGTTTGGACATTTTAACAATATTTTTCCAAATCCGTTTTTTTGTGTATTCTCTTCAATTTCTTTCATCAGTGTCTTATAATTTCAATTGTAGAGATCTTTCACTTCTTTGGTTAAGTTAATTCCCAGACATTTTATTTCACTTGTAGCTATTTTAAATGGGATTACTTTTTTTTGGTTTCTTTTTCAGATTGTGCACTGTTGCCATGTAGGAATGCTACTGTTTTTTTGTATCTTGATTTTGTATCCCTGCAACATTACTGGATATGTTTATCGGTTCCAGTAGTTTTTGGAGTCTTTAGGTTTTCTAAATATAAGATCATATAATCTATAAACAAGGAAAAACTTGATTTCTTTCTTTCTATTTAGGATGTCCTTTATTTCTTTCTCTTGTCTAATTGCTGTAGCTAGGACTTCCAGTACTGCCTTGAATACAAGTGGTGAAAGGATCCTGTCTTTTTCTAGATATTAGAGGAAAGGCTTTCAGTTTTTCCCCATTTATTATGATACTAGCTGTGGGTTTGTTGTATGTGGCTTTTAAACTATTGAAGTATGTTTCTTCTGTACCCAGTTTTTTAGTTTTTATAGTGAAAGGATTTTGAATTATTGAATGCATTTTGGCATCAATTGAAATGGCCGTATGATTTTTCTCTTCATTCTGTTGACACCATCAGGTACTAGGCTTTTGTTTGATGGGAGACATTTCATCAGTGCATCCATCTTGCTATGTGTTATTGACCTACTCAGGTTTTGAATTTCTCCATGGTTTAATCTTGGTATGTTGCAAGTAATGTATCTGTTTCTTCTGTTTTACAGTGTATTGGCACTTTGTCTCCTAATAGTCTCTAATGATTCTTTGATTTTCTGTGGTATCCCTTGTAATGTCTCCTTTTTCATCTCTGATTTTATTTATTTAGGTCTTCTTTCTTTTTTCTTTGTCTGATTTAAGATTTGTCTATATTTTCATCTTTTCAAAAATAAACTTCATTTCATTGACCTTTTGTATTTTTTATTATTGATTTAATTTCTGCTCTGATCTTTATTATTTTATTTCTTCTACTAATTTTGGGTTTGGTTTGCTCTTCTCTTTGTGTTCTTTAAGATGTGCCATTAGGTTGTTTATTTGAAGCTTTTCTATTTTTTTAATGTAAGGATTTATTACTGTAAACTTCCCTCTTAGTACTGCTTTTGCTGTATTCTTTAGGTTTTGATCTGTTTGTCTCCATTTTCGTTTGTTTCTGGAAATTTTAAAATTTTCTTCTGAATTTCTTCATTGACCGAAGTGGTTTTTTTAGAAGCATTTCCATGAGTTTGTATAGTTTTCAAAGTTCCTCCTGCTATTGATTTCTAGTTTTATTCTGTTGTGGTCAGATGAGATACTTGATACTTGATATGATTTTAATTGTTTTGAATTTTTGAGACATGTTTTGTGTCCTAATGAATTGTCTATCTTGGAGAGCATTCTATGTGCTGAGGAGAAGAATGTGTATTGTGCAGCTATTAGATGAAATGGTCTGTAAATGTCTATTTGGTCTGTAGTGCAGATTAAGGTCTGATCTGATGTTTCTTTGTTGATTTTCTGTCTGGATGATCTGTCCAATCCTAAAAATGTGCTGTTGAAGTCCCAAGATATTATTGTTTTGGGGTCTTCTCTCTTTTTAGATCTAATAATGTTTGCATTATATTTTTGGTGCTCCAGTGGTACATATAGATTTACAATTGTTCTATCATCTTGCTGAAGAGACTCCTTTATCATTATGTAATAACCTTGTCTCTTTTTGCAGTTTTTTTCTCTTGAAACCTATTTATGTGATACAAGTATAGCTACTCCTTCTTGCTTTTTTTTTGTTTGTTTGTTGCCATTGGCATGGAATATCTTTTTTCATCCCTTTATTTTAGGTCTGTGTGTCTTTATGGGTGAAGTGTTTCTTCTAGGCAGCATGTAGTGGGGTCTTATTTTTTATCCATTCTTCTATGTCTTTTGTTTGGAGAATTTAGTCCGTTTACATTCAATATTATTATTGATTCGTAAGAACTTATTACTGCCATTTTGTTGTTTGTTTTCTGGTCATTTTGTTGGTCTTTCTTTTTTCCTTCTGAATTCCTTTGTATAAAAGTGATTTTTTTTTCTGGTAGTATATTTTAATTTCTTGCTTTTTATTTTTTGTATATCTGTTTTAGGTTTTTGTTTTGTGGTTACCATGAGGTTTGCAAATAAAATCTTATAACCAGTTATTTTAAGCTGATGACAAATTAATTTTGATTACAAGGAAAAGAAAAAAAACAAAACAAATAAGCAAATAAAAAACTAAAAAAGCTCTATACATTCTTTTTGGCTTTGGACTTTTTATTGTCTATATTTATATCTTTTTATACAGTCTACCTGAAAAAGTTGTGGTAGTTTTTAGTTTTGATTGGTTTGTTTTTTAGTTTTTCTACTACAGATATGAGTGCTTTATGTATTTCAGTTATAGTATTAAGCGTATTCTCTGTATGTTTGTATATTTACTATTGCCAGTGAGTTTTATACCTTTAGATGATTTCCTGTTGTTTGTTAATATCCTCTTGTTTCACATTGAAGAACTCCTTTTAACATTTCTTATAAGACAGACATGTTGTTGATGAAATCCTTTGGTTTTTATTTTTCTGAGAAAGTATTTCTCCTTTATGTTTGAAGGATAATTTTGCTGGATATATATAACTTTCTAGGTTGGATGTTTTCTTTCCTTCAGCACTTTGAAAATGTCATCTCGCTCTCCTGGACTGCAAGTTTCCTACTGAGAAGTCTGCTGCCAGATATGTCAGGGATTCTTTATAAGTTGTGTGCCTCTTTTCTCTGCTGCTTTTGGATCTGTTCCTTATCCTTGACCTTTGAGAGTCTGAATATTATATACCTTGAAGTAGGTATATACTCAAATAAGTATTTGAGTATATTTGAGGTATCTGTTGGTGTTTTATAACCTCGTATCTGGATATTTATATCTTTCTACAAGTTTGGAAAGTTCTCAGTTATTATTTCTTTGAATAAACTTTCTAGCTCAATCTTTATTTCTACATACTAATTAAGGCCAGTAACTCTTTAGGATAACTTTTCATCTTCTTTATAAACCAGAGGTTGTAAATTTTGATGAATTACCACTTATTATTATTTTAAAAAATGTCTGTACTTTTTGTATTCTATCTAAAAGACCTTTGCCAAGCTCAAGGTCACATTTTTCTCATGCGTTTTCTAGGAGATGTTTTATAATTTTGGCTTTTGTCCTCAGATATTTGTGATCCATTTGAGTGAATTTTCATATATTGTGCGAAGTAAGGGCTGAGATTTTTATAAAAATAGGCTGCGTCCAGTGGCTCACACCTATAATCCCAGATGCTCAGGAGCCTGAGGTAGGGAGACTGCTGGAGCCCAAGAGTTCAAGGCTACAGTGAACTATGATTGTGCCACTGCACTACAGCCTGTCATTTAGAGACAGGCAAAACCCTGTGCCTGAATGAATGAATGAATGAATGAATAAATATCCAATTGTTCCAGCTTTTTCCATTGAATTACCATGGTATCTGTGTAGAAAAATCAATTGGCCATATATGTGTGAGCCGATTTTTGTACTCTATTCTGGTCCATTGATGTATATTATGGTTATTCTAGTATCACACTCTATTGATTACTGTAGCTCTCTAAATCTGGCGGTGTAAGTCTTCCATCTTTTTTTCCATTTTAAAAAGTTTTGAGCTATTCTAGGTCCTTCATATTGCAATATAAAATTTAGAATCAACTTGTCAATTTTTGAAAGAAGGCTGCAAAGATTTTAATTGGGGTTGCATTGGATCTAGAGAGGGGAAAATTGAGTCTTTAACAATATGGAGTCTTGTAATGCATGGACATGGTATATCACTTCTTTATTTAGGTCTCTTTTGTTTCAGCAGTATTTTATATTTTTCAATATACTGGTGTTGTACATAGTTTGCTAAATTCCTAAATATTTCATATTTTTAATATTACTAAATGGTATTTAAAAAATTTAAATTTATAACAGCTGATTGCTAGTCTATGTAAAAATTCATTTTCAAATATGGGTTTGGTCATGCAACGTTGCTAAACACACTTATTAATATCTGTAGCCCATTGGTCAACAACTTATTTTCTATATAGATGCTCATGTGGTGTGGTAATAAACATTGTTTTACTCTTTCTTTTTCAGTGTGTATGCCTTTTACTAATTTTCTTTGTCTTGTATTTTTAGGATCATTAGTACACTACTGAGTAGAAGTAGTGACAGCAGATATTCCTGCCTTTTCCCTTATTTTAGCAGGGAAATATGCAGTCTTAGCAATGTGTTTAACATGACTTTTATCAGGTTGAGGAAATTTACTTTTATTTCTAGTTTGTTTAGTTTTTTTCATGAACAGTGTTAAATTTCCTCGAAATAGTTTTTTTTTCCACATCTTTTGAGAAAAACTTTTGTTTTTTCATTTTCTGATTTTTTAATATGGTGAATGGTATTGATTGACTTTTACATGTTAAACTGCAATTGCATTCTTGGATAAAGCTTACTTGGTCATAATATATTATCCTTTTCATATATTGCTGAATTTCATTTGCTAAAATCTTAAAGACTTCTATGTCTATATTCATAAGAGATATTAGAGTATGTATTTTTCTTGTAATATCTTTATATGGTTTTGTAATCTGGCTAATGTTAAATGATTTAAAGCATGTTTCATCTTTTTTAAGAGTTTATGTAGAATTGATATTATTTCTGTCTTAAATGGTTGATAGAATTTGATCAGGGAAACTATCTGTTCCAGGACTTTGTGAGAATGATTTTAATTATGTATGTATTTTCTTTACTAGATATAGAGATATCCAGGTTCAAATTGTAACAAATGACAGGGTTTTCTCCCTTTTTAAGGTCAAATAAGATTACACTGTGTATATACAGTTGTCCCTCAGTATATATGGGGGATTGATTCCAGGACCCCATACCAAAGCCAGTGCAGTCGGCCTGGGGAATCCATATGTAGGAAAAATTGGCCCTCTCTGTATAGGAAAAGTTGGCTCCCCCTAAACACAAGTTTTGCATCCTGCAAATATGGTATTTTCTATTTGCATTTGGTTGAAAGAATCTATATATAAGTGAGCCCGCACGTAAGTGGGCTCATAAAGTTCAAACCCATGTTATTCAAGCATCATCAATATGCCACATGTTTTTCATCTATTCACTCCATTGGATGGACACTTAGGTTGATGAGCCCTTAGGTTGATTCCATATCTTGGCTATTGAGACTAATGTTACAATGAACATGGAAATGCAGATATCTTTTTGACATGCTGATTTCATATTCTTTAGATGTATACCCAATAGTGAAATTGCTGGGCCATACGGTAGTTCTACTTTTAATTTTTAGGAGGCTTCATATTGTTTTCCATAATGGGCGTACTTCTTCCCACCAACAGGGTACAAGGATTCCCTTTTCTCCACATTCTTGCCAACACTTGTTATCTTTTGTCTTTCTGATAATAACGATTCTAACAGATGTGAAATGATATATCATTTTGGTTTTAATTTGCATTTTTCTGATGGTGAGTAATGTTGAACATTTTTTCATATACCTGTTGGGCATTTGTGTATCTTCTTTTGAGAAATGTCCACTCATGTCCTTTGCCCATGTTTTAGTTTGGTTATTTGTTTTCTTGCTGTTAAGTTCTTTGAGTTCCTTATATATTTTCATATTAACCCTTTAACAGATATATCATTTGCAAGTGTATTTTCCCATTTCATAGGTTATATCTTCAGTTTGTTGATTATCTCCTTGCTATGCAGAAGCTTGTTTGATGTAATATCATTTGTCTACTTTTGCTTTTGTTACCTGTGCTTTTGGCATCATATCCAATAAATCTTTACCCAATGAATGTCATTAACTTCTCGACTATGTTTTTTTCTAGTAGTTTTACCATTTCGTGTCTTATCTTTAAGTCTTTAATCCATTTTTAGTTGATTTTTATATATGATGTGAAATGAGGGTCTAATTTTATTCTTCTGCATGTGGATATCCAGTTTTCCTAGAATCATTAATTGAAGAGACTGTCTTTTTCCTGTTATGTGTTTAGGCATCTTCATCAAAAGTTAATTGACTATAAATGTGTGAATTTATTTTCAGGTCCCCTGTTCTGTTTCACTGGTCTTGTGTTAGTACCATGCCTGTACAATGTTGTTTTCATTACTACAGTTTTGTAGTAGATTTTGCAATCAACTAATGGGAGGCCTCTGGATTTGTTCTTTTTGCTTAAGGTTGCCTTAGCTCTTTGGGGCTTTTTGTGGTTTCATACTGATTTTAGGATTTTTAAAAAATTTTTTGTGAAAAATGTCATTGAGAGTGTGGTAGGGATTGCTCTGAATCTGTAGATCACTGTGGGAAGTATGGATATTATAACAATATTAATTTTTCCAGTCTGTGAATGTGGGATCTTTCCATTTATTTGTGTCTTTTTCAATTTATTTCATCAATGTTTTATAGTTTTCATTGTACAGATCTTTCACCTCATTGGTTACATTTATTTATTTATTTCAAGTATTTTCAGTTTTTTTAATGAGCAATAAAAGAAAATGTTTCGGCTGGGTGCAGTGGCTCCTGTAATCCCAGCACTTTGGAGGCCAAGATGGGCGGATCACAAGGTCAAGAGATCGAGACCTTCCAGGCCAACATGGTGAAACCCCATCTCTACTAAAAATACAAAAATTAGCTGGCGTAGTGGCACGTGCCTTTAGTCCCAGCTACTTGGGAGGCTGAGGCAGGAGAATAGCTTGAACTTGGGCAGTGGGGGTTGCAGTGAGCTGAGATTGCACCACTGCACTTCAGCCTGGCGACAGAGCAAGATTTCATCTAAAAAAAAAAATTCAATAGTTAAGCATGACTGAAACTTGATTATATCTGCTTTTTATAAAAATATCTTGATATCTGTGTAGATAATGTAGGGTTGGGATTAGGTACATGAATAGCAACGGAGTTGTGGAGACTTCTTAGCAAGCTAAAGTGGTAGTAATTATGAGAGATTCTGGAAATTTAGCTACACTGGCATTAGTGGGAAAATGTAAACTAGTTTGTTTGCTTTTTCAGTAAACTATTTTCAAGAATTAACAGGACTAAAACATGAGAAAGAAATGTTTGAATGCTTCTATTCAGAATGCTTCTATTCTTTCTACATTAAAGCAAAGAGACATCTAGAAGTCATCTCTGTAGACAGGTGAACAGTTACATTACTTAATTTCCTCTGAATCAGATTTGTGCTTAATTGCTGAGAGGGCACCATCAGGGAGGGAATTCAGATTAATGTTTGCATAGGGTGTGCAGTGGACCAGAGTATATTTTTCTATGTTAGCAAGATGAACTAATCTAGTGATTAAAAAAATACCCATTAAAGTAAGATACAAAGAACAAATACAGTTCAGTTTTATCACATTTATTTCATTTCTGCTGAATTTAGATACTACCAACAATTTGGAGTTAGCTGCAGATTTTTAAAAATGGATTTTTTTTGTTACTTGTTTAGTTTTTTTTTTTTAATTATACTTTAAGTTTTAGGGTACATGTGCACAATGTGCAGGTTAGTTACATATGTATACATGTGCCATGCTGGTGTGCTGCACCCATTAACTCGTCATTTAGCATTAGGTATATCTCCTAATGCTATCCCTCCCCCCTCCCCCCACCCCACAACAGTCCCCAGAGTGTGATGTTCCCCTTCCTGTGTCCATGTGTTCTCATTGTTCAATTCCCATCTATGAGTGAGAACATGTAGTGTTTGGTTTTTTGTCCTTGTGATAGTTTACTGAGAATGATGATTTCCAATTTCATCCATGTCCCTACAAAGGACATGAACTCATCCTTTTTTATGGCTGCATAGTATTCCATGGTGTATATGTGCCACATTTTCTTAATCCAGTCTATCATTGTTGGACATTTGGGTTGGTTCCAAGTCTTTGCTATTGTGAATAGTGCCGCAGTAAACATACATGTGCATGTGTCTTTATAGCAGCATGATTTATAGTCCTTTGGGTATATACCCAGTAATGGGATGGCTGGGTCAAATGGTATTTCTAGTTCTAGATCCCTGAGGAATCGCCACACTGACTTCCACAATGGTTGAACTAGTTTACAGTCCCACCAACAGTGTAAAAGTGTTCCTATTTCTCCACATCCTCTCCAGCACCTGTTGTTTTCTGACTTTTTAATGATTGCCATTCTAACTGGTGTGAGATGGTATCTCATTGTGGTTTTGATTTGCATTTCTCTGATGGCCAGTGATGATGAGCATTTTTTCATGTGTCTTTTGGCTGCATAAATGTCTTCTTTTGAGAAGTGTCTGTTCATACCCTTTGGCCACTTTTTGGTGGGCTTGTTTTTTTTTTTTTTTTGTAAATTTGTTTGAGTTCATTGTAGATTCTGGATATTAGCCCTTTGTCAGATGAGTAGGTTGTGAAAATTTTCTCCCATTTTATAGGTTGCCTGTTCACTCTGATGGTAGTTTCTTTTGCTGTGCAGAAGCTCTTTAGTTTAATGAGATCCCATTTGTCAATTTTGGCTTTTGTTGCCATTGCTTTTGGTGTTTTAGACATGAAGTCCTTGCCCATGCCTATGTCCTGAATGGTAAAGCCTAGGTTTTCTTCTAGGGTTTTTATGGTTTTAGGTCTAACATTTAAGTGTTTAATCCATCTTGAATTAATTTTTGTATAAGGTGTAAGGAAGGGATCCAGTTTCAGCTTTCTACATATGGCTAGCCAGTTTTCCCAGCACCATTTATTAAATAGGGAATCCTTTCCCCATTGCTCGTTTTTCTCAGGTTTGTCAAAGATCTGATAGTTGTAGATATGCGGCGTTATTTCTGAGGGTTCTGTTCTGTTCCATTGATCTATATCTCTGTTTTGGTACCAGTACCATGCTGTTTTGGTTACTGTAGCCTTGTAGTATAGTTTGAAGTCAGGTAGAGTGATGCCTCCAGCTTTGTTCTTTTGGCTTAGGATTGACTTGGTGATGCGGGCTCTTTTTTGGTTCCATATGAACTTTAAAGTAGTTTTTTCCAATTCTGTGAAGAAAGTCATTGGTAGCTTGATGGGGATGGCATTGAACCTATAAATTACCTTGGGCAGTATGGCCATTTTCACGATATTGATTCTTCCCACCCATGAGCATGGAATATTCTTCCATCTGTTTGTATCCTCTTTTATTTCATTGAGCAGTGGTTTGTAGTTCTCCTTGAAGAGGTCCTTCACATCCCTTGTAAGTTGGATTCCTAAGTATTTTATTCTCTTTGAAGCAGTTGTGAATGGGAGTTCACTCATGATTTGGCTCTCTGTTTGTCTGTTATTGGTGTATAAGAATGCTTGTGATTTTTGTACATTGATTTTGTATCCTGAGACTTTGCTGAAGTTGCTTATCAGCTTAAGGAGATATTGGGCTGAGGCAATGGGGTTTTCTAGATATACAATCATGTCATCTGCAAACAGGGACAATTTGACTTCCTCTTTTCCTAATTGAATACCCTTTATTTGCTTCTCCTGCCTAATTGCCCTGGCCAGAACTTCCAACACTATGTTGAATAGGAGTGGTGAGAGAGGGCATCCCTGTCTTGTGCCAGTTTTCAAAGGGAATGCTTCCAGTTTTTGCCCATTCAGTATGATATTGGCTGTGGGTTTGTCATAGATAGCTCTTATTATTTTGAGATACATCCCATCAATACCTAATTTATTGAGAGTTTTTAGCATGAAGGGCTGTTGAATTTTGTCAAAGGCCTTTTCTGCATCTATTGAGATAATCATGTGGTTTTTGTCTTTGGTTCTGTTTACATGATGGATTACATTTATTGATTTGCATATATTGAACCAACCTTGCATCCCAGGGATGAAGCCCACTTGATCATGGTGGATAAGCTTTTTGATGTGCTGCTGGATTCGGTTTGCCAGTATTTTATTGAGGATTTTTGCATCAATGTTCATCAAGGATATTGGTCTAAAATTCTCTTTTTTGGTTGTGTCTCTGCCCGGCTTTGGTATCAGGATGATGCTGGCCTCATAAAATGAGTTAGGGAGGATTCCCTCTTTTTCTATTGATTGGAATAGTTTCAGAAGGAATGGTACCAGTTCCTCCTTGTACCTCTGGTAGAATTCGGCTGTGAATCCATCTGGTCCTGGACTCTTTTTGGTTGGTAAGCTATTGATTATTGCCACAATTTCAGAGCCTGTTATTGGTCTATTCAGAGATTCAACTTCTTCCTGGTTTAGTCTTGGGAGAGTGTATGTGTCGAGGAATTTATCCATTTCTTCTAGATTTTCTAGTTTATTTGCGTAAAGGTGTTTGTAGTATTCTCTGATGGTAGTTTGTATTTCTGTGGGATCGTTTATTGGAATAAGAGAATAGCTTGGTCATTGTGGAAGTATGAAATGATTGTATTTTAATATACAGCTACTTTGTTATTACAACCAGAAGCAGGGTTCAAAAGCCCTAACAATGATGAATTTCTTTTATTATGGCCATCTACAAGTATAAAAGTTTTCAAAAAAGTGGTAATACTCCACCAACAAATGTAAACAAGCGAAACTTCAAACCTAGAGCAGTAATAGAGATTGGTGTTTGCCATATAAGCTGTTGAAGGGAATCTTTTGAAGACATCTACAATGACTTCTTAGAGAAAAAACAGACCCTATGTCAGGTTCACAGTAAATAATAGCCCCCTCATGTCTTAACTGTCTAACTGAATGTTTATGGAAAGGCAAGCTAGGAAATAAGCCCATGATCTGGTCATTTCTTGGTACATGATAAAGTACAAAATGTACTCTTCTTGAGCGTTTAGTTTACTTTTGAGCCTCTTAGGATTCTTAAAAGTTTAAAACTAGATTGGGCCACCTTTTTTTTTTTTTTTTTTTTGAGATGGAGTCTTGCTCTGTCACCCAGGCTAGAGTGTAGTGGCACGCTCTTGGCTCACTGCAACCTATGCCTCCTGAAGTCAAACGATTCTTGTGCCTCAGCCTCCTGAGTAGCTGGGACTGCAGAAGTGCACCACCATGCCTGGCTATTTTTTTTTTTTTTTTTTTTTTTGTATTTTTAGTAGAGACAGGGTTTCACTATGTTGGCTAGGCTGCTCTTGAACTCCTGGCCCCAAGTGATCCTCCTGTCTTGGCCTCCCAAAATGCTGGGATTACAGGAATGAGCCACCGCACCTGGCCTAGATTGGGTCAACTTTAAAATTTATCTTATGGTTGAAATTACTGTATTTCTAAATTTAAAAATATAGACATAATCAAGTAAAGAATATATAGTCTTATTGGTAGATTATATCTTGGAGATATAATCCTTGCTTATTTTTGAGTATTTTATTTTAGTTTTTAATGTTGTAAAGGGATCTTTTTTGGTTTCTTTTTCAGATAGTTTCATTGTTAGCATATAAAAATGCTACTGATTTTTGTACGTTTATTCATATCCTGCAAGTTTACGGAATTTTTAAATTTTTTTTTACAGATTTTTGGTGGAGACTTTAGAGTTTTTTACATATAACATCATGTGATCTGCAAACAGAGGCAACACTTCTTTCCAATTTGGATGTCTTTCATTTTTTTCTTTTGCCTAATTCCTCTGGCTAGGGCTTCTTGTATTATGTTGAATAGAAGTGGTGGGAATGAGCATCCTTGTCTTGTTCTTAATATTAGAGGAAAAGCCTTCAACTTTTCACCACTGTAGTGTTGGATGTGGACTTGTCATATATGGCTTTTATTATGTTGAAGTACATTCCTTTGATACCTAATTTGCTGAGAGTTTTTATCATGAAAATATGTTGAATTCTATCAAATGCTTTTTCTGCATCTATTGAGATGATAATAGAATTATTGTCCTTCATTCTGTTAATGTGGTGTATCACATTAATTGATTTTTGCATATTAACCCATCATTGCTTCTTTGGGATATATCCCATTTTATCACAGTGAATTATTCTTTTACTGTGATCTTGATTTTTATTTGCTAGTGTTTTGTTGAATATTTTTCCTTCTATATTTATCAGGAATATTGGCTTTTATATAGTGTCATTGTCTGGCTTTGGTATTAGGGTAATGCTGGCCTTGAGAAATAATTTTGGATATGTTCCCTCTTCTATTTTGTGGAAAAGTTTGAAAAGGATTGTTGTTAATTCTTCTTTAGATATTTGGCAGAATTCATTAGCGAAGCTCATTTGTTCCTGGGCTTTCTTTGTTGGGAGGTTTTTGATTAATGATTCAAAAACTTGATTAGTGTTTCAATCTTATAGTTGTAATGCTCTTTTAAGCTGATAACATCTTAACTTAGATCACATAAAATAACTCTACACTTTTATGCCAACTCTACCCCTCACATTTTATGTTTTTGGTGTGACGATTTATATATTTTATTGTATATTCCTTAGCAAATTATTGTAGCTATTATTTTTGACACTTTTGTCTATTAACCTTTATACTACAGATAACAGTGATTCACACACCACCATTACAGTATTAGAATATTTTGAATTGTGTCCTTACTTTTACTAGTGAGTTTTATACTTTCATACATTTTAGTCTCTTTGATAGCTGATAGGACTTTGCCTGTTTTTTTTCAATGTGGCAGATGTTGCCTTCTAATTGACAGTTTTAGACGATTTATATTTAATGTAATTATCAATATGCTTGGATTTAATCATGCTGTTTTGATTTTTGCCCTCTAATTATTCTATTAGTTTCTTTTTCCTCTTACGATTTCATTTTTTCTCCATTATTAACTTCTTGAGTGTAATTGTTGATATACTTAAACTTAGGTCTACTATTTTATTATTCAGTTCTTTGTGTTTCCTGTTTTTTATTCTTGTTTCCTTTTTCCTGTATTCATTTGGATTATTTGAACATTTTTTAGTATTCCATTTTAATCTTATCTTAATGTGATATTTACTATTATCTCTTTGTAATTTTTAAGTGATTGCTCCATAAATTAAAAAGTAATACTTTTTAGAGTGTACTAAGAATCAATATTTTGTCACATGGTTTGGAATGCGGAAACCTTACCTCATTACAGGTACCTTTACCTTCTCCTTTCATATGCTACCATTTCTTGTATATTTCATCTACAAACATTGAAAATCCCATAAGGCCATGTAAATATTTTTGCTTTCAACCATCAAGCATACTTTAAAGAACTCAAAAAGAGAAGAACAGTGTATTGCATTTACCCAGAAATTTACCATATCTATTGTTATTTCCTCATTCCAAGTTGCCTTCTGCTTCATATCCCTTCATCTGAAGAGCCTCATCTAGCATTTCTTTTAGAGCAGCTCCACTGACTGTATAGATTATCTTAGTTTTTCTGCATCTTAGAACGTCTTTATTTCACACTTATCCGTGTAGGATATTTCTGTTGCATATAGAATCCCGAGTTATAATTATTAGCACTTAAAAAATGTTGGGCCACTTCTTTCTGGCCTTTATGGTTTCTTATGATAAAACCATAGTCATTTAAATTGTTGTTCCCTTATATAATTTGTTATTTTTCTGTAGCAGCTTTCAAGATGATTTCTTCATTTTTATTTTTCAACAGTTTAATTGTTACATGCTTGGTGTGGATTTTTTTGAAAATACTTTGTTTGTGATTTGCTCAGGTTCCTGAATCTTTAGGACTATTATTAACTACATCTTTTTGTTTTGTTTTTTCAAATGGTTGCTGTATTATTTACAATATACATCTTTAGCTTATCACATTCTACCTTTAATTATGTTATATCACTTCATATATAGTGTCAGAACCTTAAAATAGTATACCTGATTTTTTAAATTGTTTCTCTTGAGCTAATATCATATCTATATAGGTTATAAAGAACACAATAAATTGTTCTAGTGTTTGTTTTTAACAGTAAATTATCATTTTAGAGAGATAAAAATGATAGATGATTTATATTTATCCACATATTAACTTTCTCCTATTCTCTTTATTCATCTGTATAAATCCAAATTCTGTATAATATTCTTTTTTTAAATTATACTTTAAGTTCTAGGGTACATGTGCACAACGTGCAGGTTTGTTACATAGGTATACATGCGCCATGTTGGTTTGCTGCACCCATCAACTCGTCATTTACATTAGGTATTTCTCCTAATGATATCCCTTCTCCAGCCCCTCACCTGCCGACAGGTCCCAGTGTGTGTGATGTTCCCCACCCTGTGTCCATGTGTTCTCATTGTTTAACTCCCACCTATGAGTGAGAACATGCGGTGTTTGGTTTTCTGTCCTTACGATAGTTTGCTGAGAATGATGGTTTCCAGCTTCATCCATGTCCCTGCAAAGGACATGAACTCATCCTTTTTTATGGCTGGCTAGTATTCCATGGTGTATATGTGCCACATTTTCTTAATCCAGTCTATCATTGATGGACATTTGGGTTTGTTCCGAGTCTTTGCTATTGTGAATAGTGCCACAATAAACATACATGTGCATGTGTCTTTATAGTAGCATGATTTATAATCCTTTGGGTATATACCCAGTAATGGGATGGCTGGGTCAAATGGTATTTCTAGTTCTAGATCCTTGAGGAATCACCACACTGTCTTCCACAATGGTTGAACTAATTTACAATCCCACCAGCAGTGTAAAAGCATTCCTATTTCTCCACATCCTCTCCAGCATCTGTTGTTTCCTGACTTTTTAATGATCGCCGTTCTAACTGGCATGAGATGGTATCTCATTGTGGTTTTGGTTTGCACTTCTCTGATGACCAGTGAGGATAAACATTTTTTCATATGTCTGTTGGCAATAGCAGGTATAATTTTCATTCAGCCCAAGGAATTTTGTTGTCATCTCCTGTAGGGCAAATCTCTGATTTTTTTTTCTTTTAGTCTGGAAATTTTTGTTTCACTTTCATTTTTGAAAAAAAATTTGCTGAGTGTAGAATTCTATTTTGATAGTTTTCCTTTGTTTTTAATATAGAATTATGGGTTGGCAGTTCCTCCCCTTGCCCCCCCACATTTTACTAGCTTAAAAATGTGACTCCACTGTCCTCTGACTTGCAAGTGGTTTCTGATGAAAAGACAGCTGTCATTCTTATCTTTGTTCTTCTGCTTTTTTGTCTTCATAACTTCATGAAATTCTTGGTGTGAGCTTCTTTATATTTCCCACTCCCCCATCCCGATCTTGTGTGTATTTTGTTGCATTTCTCAGTTTCATGGAATTACAGATTTTGTTAAATTTTGGAAATTATTTCTTCAAATAATATTTCTGTCCACCACATCACTATCACATATCTCAAACTCTTATCACTCTGGATTAGGCTGCTTGATATTGTTATCCAGGTTTTTCAATCTTTTTCATTTATGTGCTTCATTTTGGACAGTTTATATTTCTTTATAAGTTCACTGTTCTTCTGTAATCTCTAATCTTGTGCTAATTCTGTTAAATGTATTTTTCATTTGAGGCATTCATTTATAGGCATTCTATTTCATTTATAGGCATTCTATTAGTTTCTAAAATTTTTGCTATTACTTGTTATCATATTCATGTTTTCTGCAACATTATTAAACATATTTGAGTATATTTCCAATCATTTTTTAAAACATTCTGTTCTACCACTTCTATCTTTTGTTTTATTTCTGGGTCTCTTTCTATTGGATGATTTTCTTTTTGTTATGAATTATATTTCCTTTGCCTTCTATACTTTTTAATTTTTTCATATGTTTTAGGCATGTATATTTTAAACTTATTGGCTATTAGATTTTGTTGTATTCCTTTAAGGGGTGTTGGACTTTGTGCTGACACACAGTTAAATTGCCTTTTACCAGCTTGAACATTCTGGGAGTTTGCTCCTTAGTCTTGTTAGAGTGGATCCAGAGCAACTTTCAGTTTATTGCTCATTTATTTTGGTACTACATCTCTTCTCAGGACTCTACCTAATGCCTCCTGTAGTACGAGGCCATTTTTCTATTGTTGCTTGGAGCACAAACTGTTCCCAGTGCTGTGTAAGACTCAAGAGGTGTTTACTAGTTTTTTCTTGGTCCTTTCCATAGCCTTAAGTAGTTTTCCCGTTTTGCACATGCAGATCAGTACTCAGCTAAAGACATGTGGGACTTTTCTGCAGATCTCTGTGTTTTCTGTGTGTGCAAGCTGGTTTGATTTCTTTCTTTTTTTTATTATTATACTTTAAGTTCTAGGGTACGTGATTTCTTTAAACTCTAAACTTTGTTTTCTCAAGTTAGTGAGATCACCACTCTATTTTGGATCTCACTGAGTTTCTGTTTACCTTACAAGTAATCAGGGTAATTCATTATGAAATATAGTATTTCACTTAAAATACTACGGAAGCAAAAACTACTATAAAAGTAAAAAATAAAAATGACTCAAATATAACAAGAGTTCTTCATTAGGCCATGATGGAGTAATTTGGAAAGCATTTCCTGCCATAAACAACTCAAAAACCAGAAAAAATATATGAAAAATGCTTCACAGATGTTGGATAACAAGCAGAAGTAAAATATTTATTTCTCTTTAAAGAAAGAGAAATATTTATTTCGCACTAAAAAGTTTATTTCTTTCTCTTTACTTCCTACATCTTGTGTCATGGCCAGGGTATTGCCTACAAGCAGTATGCTCTGGCAATCATAGAGCCTACACTTGTTTCTGTTTCTTTTAGAGTCATAGTCCTATGCTGTCACAGGATCACAGTGTAATGCTGCTTGGTATCTAGTATCCATAAAGCATTTTTTATTTTGTTTTTTTTTTTTTCTGGTTTCTGAGTTGTTTGTGGCAGGAAGTGTTTTCTAAATTACTCCATCATGGCCTAATGAAGAACTCTTGGTATATTTGAGTAATTTTTGCTATTTACTTTTGCAGTATTATCCTGAGTTAGTTCATGTATTCATGCATCTGTTTTCACCACTGTCTTTTCTCATTAATGACCTACTTTTGAACCAGTGGTTTACTTTTTTATAAATTGAGAATATGATAAAGCACACTACCAAATTGAAAAAAAATTCACGCATATGCAAATAACAACAGAGGATAAGAACATATGTTTTCTGAGGTGATCTATATGTTGTTATCTTGCATGTTTATTGAGACCAGTTGGTTCCTTAGAGCATATATACATTTCCAAATGCAAAACATAAGAAGAATATAATGAGAATGTGACTCAAATTAATCTTGCTTTTCAAATTTGTCTCCTGTGTGGGAAGACAATTGTTTCCTTTTAATTTTTCACCTGAAACTACTATACCACTTATGAATTCCTTGCCTGAACTGCTAGTGACTGAACCTAGAGAAACATTGAGGTAGTACAAGAATGCACATTTTGGTGTTAGACCTGTGTCTTCGCTCTTACAATTCCAAAGTTTTTTTAAAAAAGTTTATCAAGTAGTTAAGTGAAATACTGTATTTCATAATGAATTATGCCGATTACTGGTAGCTGATCACTAGTAGTGAACATTATATTTTTAAAATAAACTTTTTATTTTGAGATAAATGTAGTTACAGGTATATAATTGTAAGAAATAATGAAAGTGATTCTGTATACCCTTTACACAGTTTTCTCTCATAGAAACATCTTGCACAAATGTGTAACATCCTAAGTCTAGATACTGACATGGATATAATCCTATGATCTTACTTAGAAATTCCCAGTTTTATTTGTATTTGTTTGTGTGTGTGTGTGCCTATTTCATTCTGTGCAGTTTTATCACACATGTTGATATATCTCCCACCACAGTTAAGATACAGAGTAGTTCTTCACCCCAAAGATCCTTCTCATTGCCCCTTTAACCACACATACCTCCTTTCTACCCTGGCTCCTCACAACCACCAGTTTGTTCTCCATTTTATAATTTTGTGATTCCAAGAATGTTTTATATATGGATCATTTACATTTAAGGTAATTTTGATATATTAGTGACTAAGTCTGCTGTTTTATTATTTGTTTTCTGTTTTTTTCCTTTTCTTGTGCCTCTTTTTCTCTTTACTTGCTTCCTGTGGGTTATGTGAATAATTTTTAGGATTCCTTTTTGATGCACTTGTATAGTGTTCTTAATAGTATCTCTTTGTAAAATTTTGATAGTATCTTCTGTATAATTTTCTTAGTGGTTGGTCTGTGTGTTAAAATATATATATTTGACTTATCACAGTCTACTGGCACCAGTAATTTACCACCTCAGGTGAGATGTGGAAACCTTGCTTTCATTTACGTCACTTTAGCTTTACTTTTCTCACTTTTAAATATCATTATCTTGAGTATCGGATGGTGTTATAATTTTTTTCCATCATCATATATTATTTATAAACATTCATGAGAAGGATAATCTGTTGTTTGTATTCATGTTTCTGCTCTATTTGTTGTCCTGACTTCTTTTTTTTTTTTTTTAATTATACTTTAAGTTTTAGGGTACATGTGCACATTGTGCAGGTTAGTTACATATGTATACATGTGCCATGCTGGTGCGCTGCACCCACTTTTCTGATGCTCCAAGCTTCCTTCCTTTATCTTTCTGTTTGAAGAAGTTCTTTTAACCATTATTTAAAGAGAGACCTGCTAATGACAAATTCTTTTTTTTTTTTTAATTTAAGAATTTTTTCCCTCTTAATTCCTGAAGGATAGTTTCACTGGAGGTAGAATTCATACTTTACAGTTCTTTTTCTCTCCAGCATTTGAAAACAGTTGTGCTACTTCTTTTGGACCTCCATGGTTTCAGATGAGAAGTCCATTATTATTAAAATTATTGTTTTTCTAGGTAATTTGTCATTTCACTCTGGCTGCTTTCAAGGTTTTTTTCCTTGTCTTTAGTTTTTAGAAGTTTAATTATGAGGTGTCTTGGCATGGATATCTTTGGGTTTAACCTATTTAAGATTTACTTAGTTTCTTGAATCTGTAAGTTTATGTCTTTTACAAAATTTGGAAGTATTTGGCCATCATTTCTTTTTTTTTTATTATACTTTAAATTTTAGAGTACATGTGCACAATGTGCAGGTTTGTTACATATGTATACATGTGCCATGTTGGTGTGCTGTACCCATTAACTCGTCATTTAACATTAGTTATATCTCCTAATGCTATCCCTCCCCCCTCCCCTCACCCACAACAGTCCCTGGTGTGTGATGTTCCCCTTCCTGTGTCTATGTGTTCTCATCGTTCAATTCCCACCTATGAGTTTAAAAACTCTGTAAGCCCCATTTCTTTTTCTTCTCCTTTTGGGATTATGGTGCTACAAATGTTGGATCATTTGTTATTGTCCTAAGGGTCTCTGAGACTCTGTTCACTGTTTTCTCTATTTTTCATATTGGATAAATTTTATTTATTTTTATTTTTAATTTTTTGTTTATTTTTATAATTTTAACTTTTATTTTAGATTCAGGGGGTGAATCTCAATGCAGGTTTGTTATGTGGCTGTATTGCATGATGCTGAGGTTTGGAGTATGATTGATCTTGTCACACAGGTGTACTGAGCTCAGTACCCAATAGTTATTCACCCCTTGCCCCACTCCCTCTCTCTTGATAAATTTTATTGTTCTGTCCTCAAGTTTAACAATTCTTTCCTTTGTCATTTCCACTCCGGTTTTGAGCCTATCCCGTTAGTTTTTATTTGTTATTGT
Organism: Homo sapiens; assembly: GCF_000001405.40. Lineage (NCBI taxonomy): Eukaryota > Metazoa > Chordata > Mammalia > Primates > Hominidae > Homo > Homo sapiens. The sequence continues at coordinate 115,212,289 of NC_000010.11, forward strand.
AGTTTTTTTTTAACTTTTTTTTTTTTGCTGAGATATTTTTGTTTGTTTCAAGATAATTTGTAATAGTAGTGAGGTTGCAGAGAAAAAGGAATGCTTATACACTGTTGGTGGGAGTGTAAGTTAGTTCAACCATTGTGGAAGACACTGTGGTATTTCTCAAAGACCTAAAGATGGAAATACCATTCAACTCAGCAATCCCATTACTAGGTATATATCCAAAGAAATATATTAATAAATTATTCTATTATAAAGACACATGCACATGTATGTTCATTGCCAGCACTATTCACAATAGCAAAGAATCAATCTAAATGCCCATCAATGATAGACTGAATAAAGAAAATGTCGTACATATACACCGTGGAATATTATGCAGCCACGAAAAAGAAAGAGATAATGTCTTTTGCAGGGACATGGTTGGAGCTGCAGGCCATTATCCTTCACAGATTAACACAGGAACAGAAAACCAAATACTGCGTGTTCTCACTTATAAGTGGGAGCTAAATGATGAGAACACATGGACACATAGAGGGAAAAAATGCACACTGGGGCCTATTGGAGGTGAATTGTGGAAGGAGGGAGAGGATCAGGAAAGTAACTAATGGGTACTAGGCTTAATACTTGGGTGATGAAATAATCTATACAACAAACCCCCGTGACATAGATTTACCAATGTAACAAACCTGCACTTGTACCCCAAAACTTATAATAAAAGTTAAAAATAGTTATAGTTACATGTTGGAGTATTTTTATCATGGCTACTTTAAAATTCTTTTTAGATAATTTTAACATCTGATCCATTCATCTCAGTGTTAGTATTACTTGATTGTCTCTTCTCATTCAAGTCGTGATTTTTCTTGTTGTCGGTATGACAGGGAGTTTTTGATCATATCTTTACATTTTGGGTTTCATAGTGGGAGTCTCTGGGTTCTATTTTAAATCTTTTATCTTAGCAGGTAGTCACCTAGTTTGGGTTTTGCATTCAGGTCTTGTGGTGAGATCTCTCTTTGCAGTCTTAGGCCTTGTGGGGAAGGGGAGTGCTTTCCCTGCATATTTACTGTAAGTAGTATTTGGCAGGTCCCTTTTGCTAGGGCTGCCAGGGTCATCTGGTTTTGTCCATTGGACTCGTGTTCAGTTTGGCTAAGGAATAAGCCTACCCAAGTAACCTTTTGTTCTAAGGATGGGGGTTGAGAAGTGCTGGGCCTCAGTAACCTTCTTCTGTTGGGTGAGTGAGTGTCATGAGACACACATTCTCCAGTCCCTAGCCAGTCTGCCTTCGTCTTTACACTTTAGATTTTTTCTTTGGTTGTCTCTTACACAGTTTCTAAGGTCTGTGGGGGGAGCAGGGAAAAATCAGTCTACACTATCTTGTTCCACTTATTAACTTTTAAACTTTTGATGTGTTATTCAATTTTTCTAGCTTTGAATTTCCTAATTTGTAAAGAAGAGATAGCAATAATATAACCCTCCAAAGATTATTATTAAATGAGATAATGAGATAGTTACTGAGAACTGTGCTCTATTAGAGAATGATGCTGCTGTTGATTGCAAGGTTGTTTATTGCACCATTGTTTCTAAGGGCAAATTGAAACCCAAATGAGTAACAAAGTAGAGTTATTTAAATAAATTGTATATTATCAACACAATGAAATTTAGCTCTTAAAAAAGTAATAAATGGGACACAGAATGATGCCCCAAATGTCTTGTTAAGTGAAACAGTAGTTGCAACATAGTATTTTTAGTACAAATATGTACACACACACACACACACACACACACATATATATAAACATATCTATCTAAAAAACATGTACATGTGTTTTATGTATACGAAAATATTCAGAACTGTAGTTTGAAAATAGTCTGTATGTAACAAATTGTGAAATGTACCTCTAGGTAGTGGGCTGGGGGAAAGGGTAACTTTTACATTTTATACCTCTTAATTCAATATTTTTTGGTAAGGATCAAGTTTATCTTTATTAAAAGGAAATGAATAAAACTATGAAAATCTTTTAGTTCAAATATATATATATATATATAGTTAAGTGGTTAAAGAATATTAATCAAATTATTTCTGATAAGTTGTCTTTTACTTCATTTTTTGGAAATTACCTCCAAAATGTAATGCCTGTTAGTTACATATGAGTTCCGCAAAGTTTCTTAACATAGATTAAGTACCAGTGGCTTGGATGACTTTTTTGGATATTTCTATTTTTTATGATCATTGTAGAATCATTTTCTTTACTACCTTAGAATTTTGTAAATGCAAAGAATTTTTAAGCATTATCATTTTCTATTAGTTGATTTGGGTATTTTCAATGAGCTGACTAGGATGCCACATTTTAGGTGGCTGGTTAGAGGAATGATGGAGATGTGATCTATATGCATATTTAAAAACAAATGACAGATTTTTATATAGCTGCTTTTTATAATAAATTTTCTAAGGCCAAGAAATTGTGGGTTTTTCGTATGCATTTCTTAAAAGCATCCCTTGCATATGATTGGTGTTTTTATTAGTGAAACTGCATTGGGAAATGAATCTATTGTAGATACAGCAAGCAGAGTGGGATTTTAATATCGGAAATTAGTTACAAAAGTGTTAGAAGGACTAGAGATACCAAAGGGAAGGGATCACCCAGAAATCCAGAAGTGCTACATACCTAGGCTGGAGCCTATGATCACATTTGCCACTGAGCAACTAAACATACCAGTTTTGCTACTGAGCAGGGAATACCTATTAAGCCAGCACTGCCATTACTTACTGTAATTGCCTTCCTGTTCCTGCTGCTAGAGGCAAAATCAGAATCTTTCCTCTTGCCCTTTAATCTCATACTAGTACTCCCATTGGTGGAACCTAATGTAACACAATTGTCAAGCGAGTCTTGGAAATTTTATTGTTTAGGTTTTCATCCTCTGCAATACAAAGGACTTTATAAAAAGGAAAGTGGGGCTTATAACCAACAAATAAAGGACCAGCACAGTACTAAAAATGTGTTCAATTAATTTTAGATTTCTAAGGGTAGGGATCATATCATTTTATCTTTATAATGTCAGTGACTAACTGTCACATAGTAGGCTCTCAAAATATTTGTTAAAAATTTTTTTCAGAGCTATTTATGTAATATAAGAATAAAGTTTTCCTTTTTCTCTTGCAAACACATAAAATGTTCTTTTTAGTATTTCAGAGTTTAACTTCATCTATGGAAAGACCAGTGTTACTCAACTTCAAACCCAGCACCTAACCTGGCACATACTTAATAAGTGTTTCTTGATTAAATTAATATTAGATATACAATGTTTACTCATAAAAATATGTCATTAGAATTAACTTGTTGGTATTTTGGTGATATATTAGTTATATTTAAAAATACTACTTGAAATTTATAATGTATTTTATTTCTGTTACAGCATCAAACACTTGGCTTGTTCCAGAAACTAAAGGAGCTATTGTACAAGGTGGATATGGCCATACTAGTGTGTATGATGAAATAACAAAGTCCATTTATGTTCATGGAGGGTATAAAGCATTGCCAGGGAACAAATATGGATTGGTTGATGATCTTTATAAATATGAAGTTAACACTAAGACTTGGTGAGTACACAAAATAACACATTTTCTATGTTGCCATTATTATTGTAAATGATTGACTTTAAAATGGTTTCTGACATAGAAATACTTACTTTATATGCATTCATTGTAAATGCTGATATCGTCTTAATTTCAGATGAGTAATTTTGTTTACCAGTATGACTTCGATATCATCTGTTCAGGGATTTGTTCTTCTTTGCACTCATATTTTATTGTCATCTGTAAATTTTAAAAAGCATTTATTTAGTTTCATCATCTAACTTCCTGTGAAATACAGAGCTTGTGGCATTTAGGTAAATTTTCACCTTTTGTTGTTATAAACAATGCTACACTGCACTTCTTGCACTGATCTTTTCATGTACATATTTAAGAGTTGCTCTAGGGTGCATACTTAAAAGTGAGATTTTTGTATCTGAGAGTATTTATATCCTCAACTTTATTACATGTTGCCGAAGTGCTTTTCAAGTCACTGTGGTAATGTGTATATACTTCCACCAACAGGGTATGTGTCCCTGATCCTTCATGTTCTCACCAACACTTGAAAATTGTGAGAATTTTTACTTTTGCCAAGGTGATGGGTGTGAATAGTATTTTAATGTGCATTTTCCTGATTAGTATTGTAAACATCTTCTTATGTGTTGATTTCCTATTGTTTCCTGTTTAGTGAATTGCCTACTCATATCCATAATATTCTCTTTATGTTTGAAATATTATTAATTAATTTTTAATTTATTGATTTTTTTGGTTATAGAAGTTTTAAAATAAAATTTTTGTTCTAATTTTTCTTTGTAAAATCTGGGAAATGACTTTTTTTTCTTTTAAGACAGTATACATTCTTTTAAACTTCTAGCATTAAGTTACTTTATGTGATCAAAGGAAATACACAGGTTTCCATCAAATCATGATTTGTTCTACCCTCTTCACTTTCATACATATATCCTAATTTCTACTTTTTAAAAAAATATAGAATTATAACACCTTTTTTCTTTTGGTAATTTTGATAATTCTTATTTTTAGTCTAATAAAATGTAGTTTTATTCTTTATATTTTTATATTCATTTTTATTTTGTATAACTCATAAATAGCATCTTCTGTACATTTAATATTTGTAAATTTTTCTCTGACATTTTGCTATGTTAGCAAGTGGAATTGTGGTATAGTGATGAAGGTACTATCAGTCTGTTACACATTTTAAACATGTATTTAATTTAATTTAATTTATTTATTTGAGACGGAGTTTTACTCTTATTGCCCAGGCTGGAGTGCAGTGGCACGATCTCAGCTCACTGCCACCTCCACCTCCCACGTTCAAGCGATTCTCCTGCCTCAGCATCCTGAGTAGCTGGGATTACATGCACACACCACCATGCCCGGCTAATTTTTTATTTTTAGTACAGATGGGGTTTCACTATGTTGGTAAGCCTGGTCTTGAACTCCTGACCTCAGGTGATCCACCCACCTTGACCTCCCAAAGTGCTGGGATTATAGGTGTGAGCAACTGTGCCTGGCCCTAAAAATATTTTTTCAATGCTGTGTCATACCAAAAGGGAAGAATAACTTCTGTATGAAGGAGGCAGTATAGTTCACAGTAATAATAATGGGTATAGCAATGCTCAGGTAAGAAGAATCTTAATGAAAGTGAATGGATAAGAGAGCAGAATTGGATATTATTTGTGTAAAGTCAAAATGAGAGATTCAGTTGTTGCTCACTACTTGAATAAAATTTTGTTAAATTTTCCATGATTTTCTACCTGAAAACTTTACATAGTGAAAGTTTTGCCTAGATGAATATTATTGTCAGCCCTGGCAATTTTAGTATGTGCACAAATGGCACTGGATATTTATATGTAAAACAATTTACTAAAATAATTTGTAAATTATTTTAAACACCTCATTACAAATATGTTGTAGATGTATGATGCTTTAATATTTTAATGGGTCTTAAATTTCTTTAAACACACAAAGTTATCAGTGAGCACTAATTGATTTTTTCATTATCCTTAAAATTTGTAGTATTCTTTAAGCTTAGATCTTTTTTAGCATATTTGTCAAGTTTGCTATTATATATGGATTATGTCAGTGGTCCCCAACCTTTTTGGCACCAGGGACTGGTTTTGTGGAGACAGTTTTTCCATGGACCCAGGGAGGGGAGATGGTTTTGGAATGATTGAAGTGCATTATATTTATTGTGCACTTTATTTCTATTATTTTTATTACATTATAATATATAATGAAACAATTATACAACTCACCATAATGTAGAATAAGTGAGAATCCTGGGCTTGTTTTCCTGCAACTAGATGGTCCCATTCTGGGGGTGATGGGAGACAGTGACACCGAAAGTGTTTTGCCTATGTTCAGTCTACTCCATAATCTCATTTTGGTTGCTGTCACTGCAGAAAACTCTGCTCCACGAAGACAGGATGCTGGAAATAGAAGCAGGCTTTTTGGTGCTTTTGTGGCAATCTCAGGATATTCTGCCTTGACTTTAACTCACAATGTATAGTGATTTGAAGTTGTCTTAAACATACTTTTAAGGCTACTGTCATTTGCGATCTCATGCAGTTGATCCTCTTCTAGCATGGACAAAGTCGATTCACCTGGCTTACTCGCAAATGGGTCGCGTATCCATTCCTTCCCAGTTTGGGGTCTTTTTGAAGTTGGGAAGTAATGCTGAAATTCTTTTGTAAGCTGTAATAGTTGTTCATGCACCAGCTGGGAGAAAGATGGTGCTGGGAGAAAAAAATCTCTTCTAATGTTTGAAACATGTCAGAAATTCGAGAGTTTACTTGTCGCCCCCATAATTCCAGTTTGGCATTGAATGCAGCCACTTTACCTGCCAACTTGAATGCAGTTGTTATTCTCTCCTGAAGTGACAGAATGAGTTTCTTGAGCAGGTTGAATATGTCACACAAGTAAGCAAGTTTTGCAACCCATTCTGTGTCACTGAAATGTGCTGCCAGTGGTGACTGTTTTTCTAAAAGAAATCTCTGCAGTAGCCCTTGTAAGTTGAAAACTCTGACCAGTGACCCACCTTTAGAAAGCCACCTCACTTCTGTGTATAAGAGAAGACATGCGGCCGGGTACAGTGGCTCACGCCTGTAATCCCAACATTTTGGGAGGCCAAGGTGGGCAGATCACGAGGTCAGGAGTTTGAGACCAGCCTGGCCAATATGGTGAAACCCCATCTCTACTAAAAATACAAAAATTAGCTGGGCATGGTGATGTGCGCCTGTAGTCCCAGGTACTCGGGAGGCTGAGGCAGAAGTGCTTGAACCCAGGAGGCGGAGGTTGCAGTGAGCTGAGATCGCGCCACTGCACTCCAGTCTGGGTGACAGAGTGAGACTCCATCTCAAAAAAAAAAAAAAAAAAGAAAAAGGGATGACGTGTGTGCTTTGCACCCATCTCCTCACAGAGCTGTGTGAACAGATGTGAGTTGAGGGCATGTACTTTAATGTGGTTGATAATTTTCATCACATCTTGCTAAATATTGTTAAGTTCAGGTGACATTTTTCGCCTAGCCAGCATTTCTCTATTGATGACACAGTGAGTAGACTCACATTCAGAAGCAACCTCTTTGACCCAAGCAGTAAAACCAGAAAGCTGCCTAGTCATGGCAGATACTCCATTTGTGCGTATATTGACAAAAAATGACCAATTCAGTTTTCCTGATATGTAATCATTCAAAGATTTGAATACTTCTGCAGCTGTTGTGTTGGTTGTCAACAAAAGTTCACATAATAGTCTGGGCATGGTGGCTCATGCCTGTGATGCCAGCACTTTGTGAGGCAGAGGCAGGTGGATTGCTTGAACTTAGGAGTTTGAGACAAGCCTGGCTAACATGGTGAAACCCCATCTCTACTAAAAATACAAAAGTTAGCCAGGCATGATGGCACACACCTGTAGTCCCAGCTACTTGTTGGTCTGAGGTGGAAGGATTGCTTGAACCTGGGAAGTGGAGGCTGTGGTGAGCCGAGATCGTGCCACTGTCCTCCAGGCTGGGTGACAGATTGAGACCCTGTCTCAAAAAAACAAAAAAGAGAGAGAGAGAGAAATGTGCACATAACATATCCTCGTGCACAGCCTCCTGAAAAATATATTGCACAAAAACAAACGTTTTATTGTCAACATCAGTTGACTCATCAACCTGGATTGCTTACCAAGGTGACTTATTAATTCTCTCTAACAATTGTGCCTCAGTATCCTCTGCTATTTCATCAATTCCTCTAGTTATGGTGCTAGCTGAAAGAGGAACACATGTCACCTTTTGAACTGCAGTCTCTCCTAAAAGACTACAAATGTCTTCAGCAATAGGCAGGATCAACTCTTCATCAATAGTAAAGGGCTTCTATGGTTTAGCAATGCTGTTAGCTACTAAGAATGATGCTCTTAGTACAGACCCATTTGATGAAGTGGTGGCTTTCAATAATTGCTTCGGCTCTTCGTGTTCACTTTTTTTCTTTTGAAAAACTCCAAAGGCTTGTTTTTTAATGCAGGGTGCTTGGTCTCCTTGTGGTGAAGCAGTTTTGAAGGTTTCATGGTTTCATTGGATGGCTGGTTGCAACGTATTGTACAAAGTGGACTTGGAGAATGTGAATCACCTGTTGTAATGAACCCGTAATTTAAGTAAGACTCTTAGTATTTTCTTTGAAATGCAGCTTTCTTTTTGTTGGCAGTCTAAGAGTCTTCTGCTATCTCATCATTCCCCCTTTTCAAAGAAGCTCTCCAGTGATGTTTGTTTTTTACTCAGTTTGGCTAAGGTTTGTTTGTGGGCTTACCAAAACTGTAACTGAAACAAGTGTGCAGTGTGGGAAAGAGGTGTGGACAGAAATGGTAAATAAAATAATGGGGGGGGGGGGGCGGGGTCAGGCAGTGCCCGCATGGACTAAAATAAGTATTAGATTCTGCCTTCAAGCTTGCTACCAGATGCGACTGTAAAATTGAAGTACATCATCTCACTTGCCACTATAAAGCCTGCTACCAGATGCAGCTTAATTATCACTTGCCACTCACTCACTGATAGGGTTTTGATATGAGTCTGCAAGCAATTGATTTATTGTGGTCCCTGTGCACTCAAACCTCTCTGCTAACATTAATCTGTATTTGCAGCCACTCCCAAGCCCTATCATCATCACCTCAGCTCCACCTCAGATCATCAAGCATTAGATTCTCATAGGGACATGCAACCTAGATCCCTAACATGTGCAGTTTACAATAGGGTTTGCACTCCTATGATAATCTAATGTTGCCACTCATCTGACAGGAGGTGGAGCTCAGGCAGTAATGCGAGTGATGGAGAATGGCTGTAAAGACAGATGAAGCTGTGTTTCCTCACTTGCTACTCACCTCCTGCTCTGCTGCCTGGTTCCTAACAGGGTGTTGAGAACCCTGGGATTATATTGTATAGGATGTCACCATTATGTGTCCATTATGTATCAGTATTATGTATCCACTGTATAGACTGATATTTATTTTTTACCACCTCAGAACTGGTTTCGGTTTTTAGTAGATATGGTTACATAGATAGGGCACTTTGTTGAGATACTAGGAAATGTGTTTTGAGGACTTATTCTTTTTCAGTGGTGAAATGAATTCTTTTGGACTGTTACTTCCCCTGAGAAAAATTAGGAATTTTATTTGCCTAAAGCATGAGAGAACTATCAAAACCATGAGAATTTGTCAGAGATTTAGGAGAGGTACAATGTCAAGGGATACAAGACAGGCATTTTGTGTAATTTTAACCTTGAGACAGTTAGAAATCCTGGAAACCTCCTGAGACACTGAGCAGTCCTTTTGTCAGCCATTACAGAGGAACAAAATTAGATATCCAGATGTGCCAAGGAAGAGGAGCCTTGGTACATACTTAAGGATTTAGTCTGGCCCCTGAGATTCTAAACCCTACTCGTGATAATTAGCCCACCTTTGAATCATCATAATCTTTTATTAGATTATGGTGAAATGCCCATAATGTAGTTAGATGGCAACATAAAAAGTAAATACTTTATTGAGTGAGATAACATCATATGGAGGCTTAAAGTATTTCTTCTATATATCATATACAATATCTGGCACAAACTAAAAAAAAAAGCTCGGAAGAAGATAAGATACGAAAAAACAACATCCGTTAGAAACATACATATAGGATAATGGAGTGTTTTAGACACAAACTTTAAAATAATTATTGTTATGTTCAAGGAATTAAAATTTAAGGTAGAGAATATTAGGACAGGCCTGGATACTCATACTTATGAATCAAATGGAAATTCTAGAACTGAAAAATACATTGAGTAAATTAAGAATTCCTTGGATGGAAATAACAGCAGATTAGACACAGCTGAAGGGGGAAATATGAAATGGAAGAGAGATCAGAAGGAAACATCCAGAAGGAAGTAAAGAAAGACAAAATGATGACCAAAAAAGGACAGAAAGAAATACAAGGAAGATGTGGAAATTGTCTAACCCACATGTGTAATTGGAATCCTAAAAAGAGAAGAGTGAAGACAAATGTGTAACATTATTTTAAGTGATAATGAATAAGAAATTTTCAAAAGTGACAAAGACATCAAGCCACAGATTAAAGAAGTTCTGTGAGCACCAAGGGGCATAAGTACAAAGAAACTCAGAAATATTATAGTAAAACTGCTGAAAACCAAAACATGAAGACAAAAATTTCAAAGCAGATAGAGGAAAAAGGGCATATTTCCTTTAAAGGAAAAGCATGAAGACAATTAATTTTTTAACTGAGGAAATGGGATCCAGAATACATGTTTTCAAATAGCTTAAAGACAATAATCATCCATCTAAAATTCTACATAATTAAATATTCTTAAAAATGTAAGCAAAATAAGAGCATTTTTAGAAAAACAATGACTGAGATAACTTGACAGTAGTAGGCTTTCGATAAAGGAAATACTAATTACAATAAGTGCTATTGAAGTAGAAGAAAAATGATCCCAGATACTGGATGGAATGTAATGAAATTATAGAGATGATTCTAAATGACTATCATATAAAGCTATAGTAATAATAGTGGCTTGCATATACACAAAATTTAAATGCATGGTCCTAATAGCACATAAGTCAGAAAAGGGGTAAATTAGTGTTAAAAAGTCTGAAAGTTGGTCGGGCATGGTGGCTTATGCCTGTAATCCTAGCACTTTGGAGAGCTGAGGTGGGCAGATCACTTGAAGCCAGGGGTTCAATACCAGCCTGGCCAACATGCTGAAACCCCATCTCCACTAAAAATACAAAAAATTAGCCAGGCATGGTGGCATGTGCTTGTAGTCCCAGCTACTTGGGAGGCTGAGGCACGAGAATCACTTGTACCCGGGAGGCAGAGGTTGCAATGAGCTGAGATCGCATCGCTGGACTCCAGCCTGGACGACAGAGACTCTGTCTCAAAAGACAAAAAGAAATTCCAGTTATACTAAATGTGACAGATTAAATATTCCAGTTAAAAGCCAAGAATTTTTGGATTGGATATAAAAACAAAACTTAGCCATCTGCTGCTTAGAAAAGATAAACCTTAAATAAAAATATTTAGAAAAGTTGAAAGTAAAAGGAAGGCATAACAGTTCTTAATTTATATATAATTTATAACAGTGTTGAAATAATGTAAAATTGACCAAACACAAGAGACAAAACATAGTGAGATGTTTTTAACCCAATTTTCTTGGTAACTGGTAGTACCAGGAGACCAAAAAACCGGCAAGAACATAAAACATTTGAATAGGACAATGAACAATTTTGTCTCACTTGATATTTGAGAGCATAATACCTTATAATTGAAGCATATACATGGTTTCCAAGAACAAAGGAACTTTCCCGGAATTTACTATATTCTGGGTTTTAATGCAAGTCTTAACAAATTTAAAAGGATTAAAATAATACAAATTAATTGACCACAGTGAAATAAAAAGTAACTTTTTGGTGATTACATAAAAATAATAAGAAAAACCCTAATATATATGTGTATATATATTTATATATAACATATGTGTATTTAATATATGTGTGTGTGTGTGTGTGTGTGTGTGTATATATATATATATATTTTTTTTTTTTTTTTTTTTCTTTGAGACAGACTCTCACTCCGTCACCCAGCCTGGAGTGCAGTGACACAATCTCAGCTCACTGCAACCTCTGCCTCTCAGGTTCAAGCAATTTTCCTGCCTCAGCCTCCTGAGTAGCTGGGACTACAGGCATGTGCCACCACGCCTGGCAATTTTTTTGTATTTTTAGTACAGATGGGGTTTCACCCTGTTAGCCAGGGTGGTCTCAATCTCTTGACCTCGTGATCTGCCCACCTTGGCCTCCCAAAGTGCTGGGATTACAGGTGTGAGCCACCGCGCCTGGCCAAAAAACCCTAGTATAATTTTCATACTGAAAATTTTCATACTTAAAATTACTGAATGATGACACATCAAAATGCATGTGATTCAGCTAAGGAGGGGCACTTATAGATCTAAATGCATTTATTAGAAATGATTTTCTAAAAGTCTGAAAATCAGTAGTCTAAGAATCCCCTTGAGAAGTTAGAAAAAGAACAGCAGACTGATCCCAAGAAAGGATAAAGAAAATAAAGATATAATAAAGGAAAGGAACATGAGATAAGAGCATGAATTAATGAAATAGGAAACATGTGATAGAAATGATCCATAAAGCCACCAAAACTCGACAAAGTTGGTTGTTTTTAATAGTAATAGATAAATCCCCACACAGACTTAGAAACAAAGATTACTTAAATAATCCATGCCAAGAATGAAAAGGGATATCATGACAGATCACATAGAGATTAAAAGTTAGTAAGAACATATGATAAGCGACTCTATGACCGTAAATTTGAAAAAGTAGATGAATTATGACAAATTTCTAGAAAAACAAAACTTACCAGAATTGACACATACATGAACATTGAAATAATCTTATGTCAAATAACTAGAATTTTTAATTGAAACCTTGTTGCCTCAAAATACAGAAGCATACATACAGATGAACAAATAAAAACAAAACAAAACAAATTCTCCAGGCCGTGATCACTTTACTGGTGAATTTTCCCAAATATTTAAGAAATAAGCATTTAAGAAATAAATAACATCAATCTTTCACAAACTTTCTGGAAACAGAAATAATTATGTTGAGATTTATGAGGCCAGCATAACCTTGATATAAAAATATGAAAAGGATGTTACAGGTAAGGAAAATTTTAGTATTGTCTTTTCCATGGACGATTCCAGCAATTTAGAAAGAAAATAATAGATTATTTGGGTTCATTCAAAGAATATAATGTTACTTAAAATTTATAAAATTTGAATAATTAAGAAAATAGAGAAGTAATGGTCTATAATCTTGAAAGATGCAGAAAAAAGTATAGATAAAATTTATCATGTATTTATGATAAAACCTCTGGTGAACTAGGAATGGAAGCAAATCATTTATGTGGTAAAATGTACAAGGACACATGAAAACTTTACTGCAAGCATTATGGTGAAATAGAGAAAGCTTTCCCTCTAAGATTGGGAATGGGATAAGGGTGCTCGCTGTCACCACTTTTATTCAACATTGTATTGGAATTTCCAGCCAGTGTAATAAGGCAGATTAATATAATATAATATAATATAATATAATATGTATATGGGTAATCAGTTGCTGCAAATAACATCAATATAAAAAATTAATCCAGAGTAATTCTGTATACCAGGAACAGTTTAAAACTGATAATTTAAAAATAATATAATTTATGTCACTGTCAGAACATTAATAACCTAAGGAATAAATCTAATGACTTATGTGCAGGATCTTTACACAGAAAACTATAAAACCTTATTGTGAGAAATTAAATAAAATTTAAATATATCTCAGACCAAATTATGACAATTGTTTGAAAAACTCAATATTATGCAGATGTCTATTCTGCCCAAATTGATCTGTAGATTTAATGTGATCCCAAACAAAATTTTAGCAGGTGTTTTTCTTTTGGAAATTGACATGGTGATTCTAAAATTTATACAAAAATGTGAAGGGTAATTTTTGTATAAATTTTAGAGTCTCCGTGTCAATTTCCAAAAGAAAAACTTTAGAAGAACAAAGCTGGAGGACTTTTCTATCCAAATTTTAGAAGAACAAAGCTGGAGGAGTTCTCTATCAGATCTCATCACTTATGATTTTACAATAATTAAGTGTTGTTGCAAAGACAGGGAAATAGACTAATGCAGCAAATAGAATTCCACAGACAGACCTATATATTTATGGGCACTTAATCTATGACAAAGGTGGAACTACAGAGCAGTCTTTCTTAATAAATTGTTCTGGGCCAATTGGGTGTACAATTGGAAAAAATGAATATTAAGCCCTACCTCACATCATCATAAACAAAGATCTGTTTCAGATCAATGTTAGATCTAAATGTGGAAGTACAATAATATTCTAGAAGATAACAGAGGCAAATATCTTCATATTTATGAGTAAAGAAAGATTTCTTAAATGGAATTTGAGTAGTTTTATTAGTAAAAGAAAAATGATAGACTGAACTATATTTATATGTCTAAAAAGTCAGTAAGAACACAAACATGCCATGCTCATGGATCAGAAGAATCAATATTGTAAAAATGGCTATACTGGCCAAAGCAATTTACAGAATCAGTGCTATTCCTATCAGACTACCAATGTCATTCTTCCCAGAATTAGAAAAAAAAAAACTATCCTAAAATTAATATATAACCAAAAAAGAGCCCGAATAACCAAAGCAATCCTGAACAAAAAGAACAAAGCTGGAGGTATCACACTACCTGACTTCAAACTGTACTATAAAGCTACAGTAACCAAAACAGCATGATACAGGTAGAAAAATGGACATGTAAACCAATTGAACTAAATAGAAAACTTGAACATAACGCCACACACTTACAATCATCTGATCTTTGACAAGGCTGACAAAAGCAAGCAATGAGGAAAGGACTCCCTATTCAATAAATGATGCTGGATAACTGGCTAGCCATATGCCAAAGATTGAAGCTGGACCCCTACCTTTCAACATATACAAAATCAACTCAAAATGGATCAAAGATTGAAATGTAAAACCTCAAACAATACAAATCCTAACAGACAACCAAGGAAATAACTCTTCTTGACATTGGCCTTGATAATTTTTGGCTAAGTCCCCAAAAGTAATTGCAACAAAAACAAAAATTGACAAGTAGGACCTAATCAAACTACAGAGCTCTTCACAGCAAAAGAAACCATTAGCAGAGCAAACAGACAGCCTACAAAATGGGAGAAGATATTCTCAAACTGTGCATCTGACAGAGGCCTAATATCCGGAATCTGTAGAGAACTTAAGTCCACAGGCAAAAGACAAATAACCCCATTAAAAAATGGGCAAAGGACATGAACAGACACTTCTCAAAAGAAGATATACAAGTGCCCAACAAACATGCAAAAATGGTCAACATCACTAATCATTAGAGAAATGCAAATGAGGTATCACACCAGTCAGAATGGCTATTTTTAAAAAGTAAAACAACAACAACAACAACACAGCAGATTCTTATGAGACTGCAGAGAAAAGTGAATGCTTAGACATTGTTGATGGGAATGAATGTAAATTATTTCAGCCACTGTGGAAAATAGTTTGGAGATTTCTTAAAGAACTGAGCTACCATTTGACCCAGCAATCCCATTACTGGGTATATGCACAAAGGGAAATAAATAAATCATTCTACCAAAGAGACATAGGCACTTGTTTGTTCATTGCTGTGCTATTCACAGTAGCAAAGACATGGAATCAATCCAGGTGCCCATCAATGGTAGATTAGATTAAGAAAATGTGGTACATACATACCACGGAATGTTATGCAGTCATAAAGAAGAGTGAAATCTTGTCTTTTGCAGCAACATGGATGCAGTTGGAGGCCATAATCCTAAGAGAAATTAATGCAGGAACAGAAAATAAAATAAATCAGACATAAAAGAAAACAGTATATTCTTCTATTGATATAAAGTTCAGCACCAGGAAAAACAGAATTATGGGCTTAGAAGTTATGATAGGGATTGCCTATGATTGTGTAGTATTTGAATGAGTAGCAGCAAAGCTTCTGGAGTGGTTATGTGTTCACTTTGTGATAATTCATTGAACTATACACTTAAGATTTTTATACTTTTGGCATATATATTATACTTCATAAAAATTTATAAAAAAATAGAAATCTGAGTTCAATTTGACTTCTTATATGCTAAAAGATTATGATAATTTGACATACCAAAAGAGGGTCAATTTTTTATGTAAAGTTAGCAAATTACGTTTTTATTATCAGTGTTAGAAAAGAATGGAGACATAAAATTTCAGTCATTTCTGCTATCCCACTCCTTCAGGAGTAGTTGCATCTGGTTTCGTTACATTTAATAAGTAAGAGAGAATAAACATCTTGAACTTATAGGAGTTCCTGTTGCTCAAAAATGATTCCTTTTATGTTTTTGGTATATTTTGCTGATTCATATTATCTTTGCTCAGGCACTTTAACTTTGGTGTAATGATTTTGAATATTGGGGTCATTGTGATCTTCATTTTATAGCCTTGTTAAATGAGGCATCTCATAACTTTCTTTGCATATGTTTGTACAACTTATAATGGGAGCTTATGTCTTCATTATTTTTCTATGTGAAGACTTTTCTCTGATAGTGGAGACCTCAGATTTTCTTGGCCTATTGTTTAGGTCTTTTCTTCAATTGTTGTATTCCTTTAGCCTGTGAAAAAGCACAGTAAGTTTTAACACATAAGGAATTTATTAAACTTTACCATTTATAACTTTCAGCTGTAATTATCAACTTTTTATTTTTATTTTTATTTTTTTCCAGTGAGGGAAAAAAGACTTCAATTATATTTCTTTCTTTCTTTTTTTTTTTTTTTTGAGATGAAGTTTCGCTCTTGTTTCCCAGGCTAGAGTGCAGTGGCACAATCTCGGCTCACTGCAACCTCTGCCTCCCAGGTTCAAGTGATTCTCTTGCCTTGGCCTCCTGAGTAGCTGGGATTACAGGCACCTGACACCACGCCAGGCTATGTTTTTGTATTTTTAGTATAGATGGGGTTTCACCATGTTGGCCAGGCTGGTCTCGAACTCCTGGCCTCAAGTGATCCACCCACCTCGACCTCCTGTAGTGCTGAGATTACAGGCATGAGCCACCATGCTTGCCCAACTTCAATTATATTTCTACAGATATTAAAAAGATAGGTAGTGAATCTAATGGTAATGCTTCTGTGGTACAAATTAATTCTGTACTTTTAAAATGTCTTTCTAATCACATATACTTAAAAAATGTTTTCATAGGCCACACCTGGTTACATGAAATGATTTAATCTAGCTTCAATTTGATATAATAGAAGTTGTTTTTACATTAAAATATTAAAAACTATGTTATGAAATTATTTTTTTTTGTGATTTCTCTAAAAAATTTCCTGTCCGAGGTTTTGGAAAGCGATAGAGGTTAATTTTATAAATTATGTTATTATTTAAAACCCATTTCAGTAAATACTGATGAACATCAGCATTTTTCTTTCTCTGCTTACTGAGTGTCTGAAATCTTTTCAATGAAAATTTTGTTGGCTCTTTATCAAGTCCTGTTTTGGAAATAATCCTAAGTAGTTCTCAGTAAGGGAGATTGAGAATTTAAAATTTAATTTTATATATTTATGAGGGAAATAATAGAAATATATACGCACACAAGCACACAAACATATAGTTGCGAAGTAAGATATCAGAGATTTATTAAAATGAAAATAAAATGTTTATACAGGCAAAAAGACTATTATCTTTAAAAACATCATGATAAGAGATTTGGAATTTTGGAATGTCTGGTTAAAATCCCATATTGATAATTTAAATAAGTACTTATCTCTGTAGCTTTGCTTTTCACAGTGATTAAAAAATTTGTAGTACTTATTTTTTACTAGTTCTCTTTTATAAATTGGGAAATATCACATATGGACAAAAGACTGTATGATAGTATGTATATATAGTTTCAAAACCATAATAAAATGAATTCCCTGCCTACCTGTGCTAAGAAAGAGGACATTACAATACCCTAGAAGCCCCCATGTGTCCCTTTATGATTGTATCCCTTATATTATCCCCCTCCATTATTCTTAATATTGTGTTATTTCCTTGCTTTTCATTGCATGTTTTTACCCTCCATATATGTATTTGCCAGCAAACCTTTCATTTAGTTTTTCTGTTTTTAAATTTTGCATAAATTGTTTATCATTGTATGCTTTCTTCAGAGATCTTTAAAAAGTCAGCTTTATGCTCTGGAGATATATTTTAATGGAGAGAGGCAGACAATAAATATGGAAATAAGTAAAATGTATTTTAAATGATAATAAGTGCTATGAAGAGAAAAGAAAGCATGGAAGGAAGATAGAGAGTTTCAGATTGTTGCATTTAAAAAGAGTGGCCAGAGAAGACCTCATAAGACATCTTAATAAAACCTAAAGGCGATTAAGGAGCGAGCCATGCAAATATCTGGGGGACAGGTGTTCTAGGAGGAGGTCCAGCTAGTGCAAAAGCCTTGAGATGGGAACATCCTTGTCATCTGGAACAGCAAAGGGGCTAGTGTAGTCGAATGTCTTGGAGTAAGATGGAAATTATCTTCCCTTAGAGAAATAACTGGAAACCCAGTCATGTAGGGCCTTAGAAAACATTATAGAGCTTTTACTTTGGTATGGGTAGACTTTGAGGGTTTTGAACAGATATGTGACTTATCTGACATATGTGACATGCTCTGACTTAGATTTTTACAGGAGCGGTGTTGTAATTACGATGCAAGAGCAGAAGCAGGAAGACCATTTAGGAGGCTATTTTAATGATCTAAGAGGGAGATGATGGTATCTGGAACCATAGAGGCCAATGTGAAGGTAGTGAGAATTGGTTGGATTCCGAATATATTTTCAAGGTAGAACCAACAAGAATTGAAAAAACTAGGGGACTGGATATAGAGTGGATGAGAGAGAGAGAGAGAGAGAGAGAGAGAGAGAGAGAGAGAGAGAGAGAGAGAAAGAGAGAAATAGTGAAAGATGAAGCAGGCATTTGGCTTGAAGACCTGAAAGCATGGAGTTGGCATTAGTTGGGATGATGAATTTTGTGGGAGAAGTAGGTTTGGTGTCAGGAAGAATGGAAACTTGGTTTTAGACACGTTTAATTTGAGGTACATACTATACAGCTTGTGGATATGTTAAATAGGTGGCTGGATGTAGGAATTTCAGGATCTGGACACTCTAATTTTCTGGTCAAAGAGATGAGGAGAAACAACCAGAAAAGGAGACTGAGAATGAGCAGTTAATGAGTTAGGAGGAAAACTGGGAGAATATGGTATTCTAGAAGCCAAGAGCATATTTCAAAGGAAAGAGAATTTGTCAGAAGCTGCTGATTGGTAAACTAATATGAGGATTGAGTAATGGTCATGGAATCTGGCAAACCAGTGCTTTTTGCTGAACTTGACAAGAGAAGTTTCAGTGGGTGGTGAAGTCTTGATTGGCATGTGTCAAATAAAGATGAGAGAAGAGGAATTAAAGAAAAGTACTAACAACTTTTTTGAGGAGTTATAAGGAAAGGAAAGAAACAGGGTAACAAGTGGTAAGGGATGTGGGACAAGATATATATATTTTTAAGTTTGGAGAAATAATTATGTTTGTAGGTTGACAGGAAAGATCAAGAAGATGTAAGAAATGATGCCAAAAATAAAGGGAATAATTTGCTAGAGGGATGTACTCAAGAAAACAAGTAGCAATGGGATCTAGTGAACAAATAGAGTGGTAAACCTTACCTAGGAAGAGCATGGGCACTTTATTCATAAGAACAGATATGAAGTCAGGTTATTTGAATACAAATACAGGTAAATAAGTAGAGGTGGAGAGAACTCTTGAAAATTTTGTTTCTTTTTATTTTCTCAGTGAAGTAGGAAGTAGAGTCATCACTTGAGGGTGAGAATGAGGGATAGTGGAAGATTGAGGTTTGAAAAGAGAAGTATGAAATCATTTAGGAGGGAGGGAGAGTGAATGAGTTAGGGAAGTGTAGTAGGATCCTTGGCAGAATTTTCCCATGTGAGAGACCCTTAATGTGCGAACGCAGAGTCTTTTTATATTTTCTGCCTTACTGTGGATGCATACTGGAATTGTCCTTAGTTTTTACTATTATGAGCAATTGTAGCAAAAATATTCTTATTTAGTCTTCTATTGTTTCACGACAGTTTGTCTAAGCTATTTACTTAATAGTATAAATGCTTGTTCATGCTCTATTTTACCCAACTATACTCCAGCCTCATCTTACTAATTTGCACTTCTACCAGGGGTGAATGACAGTTCCCATTTCTTCTCAACAATCTCATTAAGGTTTGATGTTTTTTCATTTTTGAATATTTTTTGCCAATATGGTGAGTATAAAATGGTGTCCTATTTTGGTTTTAATTTGCGTTTCCTTAATTGCTAATGAGGTATAACATCTTTTCATATTTATTGGCCAAACAGCTACTCTGAAATTTTCACCCATATTGTCATATGTAGTTGTTTGTGTACCCTTTTTTGATAATAATTTTTTGTTAGTTTTATATTTTGCCAACATTTTATCTCTCAGATTGTGGATCATCTTTTTACTCTTTGTGTAATATTTGATAAGCAAAACTTATTAATTTTAATATAGCAGAAGTTGTCAGTATTTTATGGATTTTGCTTTGTGTCTTGCTTAAATAATACTTACTTACCTTAGTGTTTTCAATATTGCCTTCCACACATTTAGTCTTTAACCCAACTGGATAAGGACTTTTGTGTGTGTGTGTGTGTGTATGTGTGTGTGCACAACCAGAACTATAAATAGTGCTCCCAGAACTATTTATTGAAAAGTCCATTCCATTAGTGGTCTGCAATACTAACAGTTTTTTTGGTTAGAATTACTTCCAGGTGATTGATATTTTATATGCTTTTCTAGGTGAAATCTGTATTCATTTCCTATGGCTACTATAATAAACTATCATAGACTTGGAGGCTTAAAACAACAGAAATTTAGCTTCTCACAGTTCTGGTGGCTAAAAGTCTGAAATCCAGGTGTCAGCAGGGCCATTCCCTCTTGAAAGGCTCCAGGGAAGAATCCTTCTAGCCTTTTCCATCATTTGGCAGCTCCAGACATTCCTGGGCATACTTTGATTGTAGCTGCATTACTCCAGTCTAACTCTTGGACTTCATATGGACTTCTCCTTGTGTGTTTGTATGTGTCTGAACGTGGCCTTCTTGTAAGGACACCAGTCACTGGATTTAGGACCCATACTTGTTTAGGATTAGATCTATGTGATCTCATTTTAACTTAACTATCTGCAAAGACCCTATTTTCAAACTAAGGTCACACTCCAAGGTTCCAGGTGAACAATTTTGGGAGGACAGTATTCATTCAACCAGTACAATATCTTTTAATTTCTTTTTCTGTTTATGATCTGATAGACTGAAAGGCAATTGATTTTTTATTACTCTTATGTCTAACAGTTTGCTGTATTTTTGTAATTTATGTGTAGACTTTTTTAGCGTTTTTTAAATAATAGTTGATCAGATTATATACAAATAATGACAGTTTTGTTTCTTCCTTTCTGGGTCTTACAGCTTTATATTTTTCTCGTCTTACAATTTCTGCTATAATCTTCAGCTCATTGTTGAATAGAAGTGTGATAACAGGCATCTATTTTATTCCTGAGCTTTTAAAAAATGCTTTCAGTATTTCTTCACTAAGAATGATGTTCATTGTGGGTTTTTTAGATATCATTATAAAGAAAGGTCTCTTTTTTCCTGGTTTGATAAGGGTTTATATTATGAATGGATGCTTGGTTTTGCCAAAGGCTGTTTTAGGAATGACTTACTTGATTTTTCTACTAAATAATTTAATGTGGAATATTATTTTAATTTACTTTATTATTAACTCAACTTGGGTTAAATCAAACTTAGTCATAATGTATTATGTGTTTTTTTTAGTTTGCTAGTATTTTTGTAAGGATTTTTACATTGATGTTAATATGTGAGATTTGCACATGTTTTTTTTGAGATATTCATGTCAGCTCTTTGGTGGTGTTACTTCGGGCTTTTAAAATGAGTTGGGGAGTATTCTTTTTAATACTCTAGAACATTTATCACATGTATATATGTATATATTATTGGAATTATTTTTCCTATTTTAAAATAATAAACTTTGGGCCAACTAGGTCTGATGTTTTCTTCAGGGTGTAGAGTTTTAACTACTGAATTCAATATAATAGTTGTAAGAACATTCAGATGTTCTATTTGTTGTTGAGTCTGTTTTGGTAAGATATATTTAAAGGAATTTATCCATGAAACTGATATCTTCAGTTAAATTGTTATAAAGATGTTAATATATTCTCTCAGGATCTTTTAGTATCTGCAATATCTGTAGTTGTGTTCCCTTTTAATTATTTTTAATACTGCATTTATTTATATCTCCCTATATATCTATGTATTGTTTTTGAATGGAGTTGCTTACATGATGCCCTCTTAAGCATAAATATTTTAAAATATATTTACTAAAAAACAAAGATACTCTCTTACATAAGGATCAAATTTAGAAAATAACATGGATAGAATATTATAATCTAACACATTTAATTTTTTCAATTGTACCAATATTTTTTACAAATTATAACATTAAAATTGCTAGATTCGATTTTTTTCTTTTTCTTTTTTTTTTTTTTTTGAGACAGGGTCTCACTCTGTTGCCCATGCTTGAGAGCAGTGGTACGATCTCGGCTCACTGCAACCTCCACTTCCCAGGTTCAAGCGATCCTCTCACTTTAGACTCCCGAGTCACTGGGACCCCAGATGGGTGCCAGCAGGGCCGACTAATTTTTGTATTTATTAGGGACCGGGTTTTGCTATGTTGCCCTGGCTGGTCTCGAACTCCTGAGGTCAAGCCATCCGCCCGCCTTGGCCTCCCAAAGTGCTGGGATTACTGGTATGAGCCGGATTTGATTTCTTAATAAGTTTTCATGAATGTTCACATATGTGATTGGCCTGTGGTTTTCCCTTTTTATACTCTCCTTCTCAGATTTTGATACTTTTTTCCTTACTGAGTTTGGGTATCTTTTCCTGATCCAGGATTACATCCAGGAGCATGCAAACATTTAGTTGTCATGTCTTTTTAGTCTCCTTTAATTTGGAATAGTCATGATCTTTCATTTGAAGTCTGTGCCTCGTTTGGGTTTATCTGATGTTTCTGCATGATTAGATTCACATTTTGTATTTTTGTTAGGAATACCAAAATGTCATATTCTTCTCCCATGGCTGGTGAAGTTAAATTTTTGTGAAAAAACCTTTTTTATTGAGATAAAAGTCATAACATAAACTTCTTAATTTTGATCATTTAAAACAGTACAATTTAGTGGTTTTCAGTATATTCATAATATTGTGCAACTATTACCACTAGTTCCAGAATATTTCCATCAGCCCCAAAAGAAACCCCATACCTGTCTATTCTCTCTATCTCCATCTTCTGGCAACCACTAATTTAATTTCTCTCTCTCTATGGATTTGTCTAATCTGGATATTTTGTATGTATGGAATTGTACAAACATGGCCTCCTGTGTGTGGCTTCTTTCACTTATTGTAATTTTTTTTTTCCAGAGTTCGTCTGTATTATACCATATATCAGTGCTTCATTGTTTTTGTTATGACTGAATAATATTCCATTATCTCAATATACCATATTTTAAAAATCTATTTGTCAATTAATAGACATTTGGGTTGTTTTCACTTTTGACTATTAAGAATGAGGCTGCTGTGAACATTTCTGGAAAGGTTAACTTTTATATCTTGGTAAAAGTGGTATATTTTAGTTTTCTCAATGGTAAATATACTGTTTTTCCTTTTTAAATTACTAAGTGCCTTATTGGGAGATACTTTCAGATTATGTAAATATTTTATTTCTTGTTAAACCTTTACATAATAGTTTTAATACCCATTGATGATTCTCACTAGAAAGAGTTATTAGTATGATGGTTACTAAGTGCTTATATTTCATTATTCCTTCTTAGTCTCCCCAGTCTATATATTCATTTATATCAGTATGAATTCATGTATTTTTATTTTATTTAATGTTTTGTAATCAATTGCTATTCTTTATTCTGGTGCTTATATTGTCACAGATTTGCCTAGTGAGCTCCTTTCAATCAGGTGTCTGTATTCTTTAGATATGTCCCCATCATTCTTTGTGCACTCCTTTACCTTCTGCACAAACATTTGTCCCTGCCCTAGTGCTCGAATAAATCATTACCCTCAAGGAACCTAGGTTCCTTTTAGTGGAGAATGTTCTTTAAAAACTAAGATTAGAGAACTACGCATATATCCATTTATATCCTCTATATCCATTTATAGATCTGGGCATGTATCTGTAGCTCTACATATCTATCTGTGCTTAAATGCTGTCTGTCTAAATTGCATAATGATGCCATACAGCATTACAGGGATCATTTTTGCCTTCCCCTCTTTCACATTTGTAAATCTCTTCTGCCAGTGAGAAACTTGGTTTCCATTTTATGCTTCATACATTACAAAATATTTTTGTATGTGAAGTATGAGGAACAAGATTTACTTTTTCCATTTAATATACCATATCTGGTAAATCAGATGTAATTTTAATCCCCACATTTTTTGTTTGTTTGTTTTGTTTTTTTAACAATAAACTCTATGTTTTAGAGCAGTTTTAGTTTTATGGAGAAATGAGCAGAAAGTACAGAATGTTTCCAAATACTCTCATCTCCCCTATCCCCAGGTCCTCTATTATGTGTCTTACGTGAATATGGTACATTTGTTACAGTCAGTGGGTCAATGTTGATACATTACTCATTAACTAAGTCCATAGTTTATATTAGGTTCACTTTTGTGCTGTATATTCTATGGATTTTCACAAATGTATAGTGACATGTATCTACAATGATCATTTCATACAGAATATTTTAATTTTCCTAAAAATAACCTGTGATCCTCTTGCTTATCTCTTCCTCCCTCCAAACTCTTGGCAACCACTGATATTTTTACTGTCTCCATACTTTTGCCTTTTCTAGAATGTCATAAAGCTGGAATCATGTAGTATGTAGCCTTTTAATTTTGGCTTCTTTCACTTAGCAATAAGCATTTAAAGTTCCTTTATGTCTCTTCATGACATAATAGCCCATGTCTTTTATTGCTGAATTATGTTGCATTGTATGGAAACCATCTTTTGTTTATCCAGTTACCTATTGAAGAACATCTTGGTTGCCTCCAAATTTTGACAATTATGAATAAAGCTGCTATAAACATCTGTGTGCAGATTTTTGTGTGGACATATTTTCAACTCATTCAGGTGACCACCATGGAGTGCAATTCCTGGATGGTATGGTAAAGTTATGTTTAGTTTTGTGAGAAACTGCCAAAGTGGCTGGCTGTATCATTTTTCATTCCCAGCAGCGATGAATGAGAGTTCCTGTTGCTCTAGATCGTTGCCATCTTTTGTCAGCATTTTAGATTTTAGCTATTCTAATATGTGTGTAGTGGTATTTCACTGTTATTTTAATCTGCATTTCCCTGTGACATGTAATGTGGGATATCTTTTAACATGCTTACTAGACATAAATATGTCTTCTTAGAAAAGGTGTCTGTTCAGATCTTTTGCCTTTTTTAAAATTGAGCTTGTTTTTTATTGAGTTTTAAGGGATCCTTGTATAATTTGGATACCAGTCCTTTATTAGCTATGTGTTACAAATATGTTCTCCCAGACTGTGGCTTGTTGTTTCATTCTCATAACAATGTCTTTCACTGAGGAGAGGTTTTTAATTTTAATAGAGTCCAAATTATGACTTTTTTCTTTCATCATTTATGCTTTTGTTGCTGTATCTAAAATGTCATCACCAAACCCAGGTTACCTAGATTTTCTCCTGCGTTATCTTCTGGGAGTTTTATATTAAATAATTTTGCATTTTACATTTAGCTCTGCGATCTATTCTGAGTTAATTTTTGTAAAAGATGTAAGGTCTGTATCTAGATGATTATTTCTGTTATTACTACTGTGATGCCCTGTTGTTCCAGCAATATTTGTCCAATAGACAGTCCTTTCATTGTTGAATCGTTTTTTCTATTTTGTCAAAGATCAGTTGACCATATTTGTATGTGTCTATTTCTGAGCTCTCTATTCTGTTTCCTTGATTTATTTGTCTATTCTTTTGCCAGTCCCAGGGACTGACTTGATTATTGTAGCTTTATAGTAAGTCCCAAAGCCAGGTGATGTCAATCTTTGACTTTGTTCTTCTTCTTCAATATTGTGCTGGCTATTTTAGGTCTTTTGCCTTTACATATAAATTTTAGAATCAGTTTGATAAAAATTTGGTAAATTTATTACTAAAAATCTTGCTGGAATTTTGATTTGTATTACACTGAATCTGCATATCAAGCTGGGAAGAACTGGCATATTGCCAGTATTAGTTTTCCTATCTGTGTTCATGTACTATCTCTTTATTTATTTAGATTTTTGGTTTCTTTTATTGTTTGTAGTTTTCCTCATACCAGTCTTGTACATATTTTGTTAGGTTTCTACCTAAGTATTTCTCTTCTTTTGGTTCTAATGTAAATGGTATTGTGTTTTTGTTCTTGTTCACTGCTGGTATATAAAAAATCAATTGTATATTACCCTTGTGTCCTGCAACCTTGCTATGCTAGCTTATTAGTTCTAGAGGGTTTTTTTGGTTGTTGTTGTTGTTGTTGTTGATTCTTTGGGATTTACTTCGTAGACAGTCATATCATTTGTGAAAAAATACCATTTTATTTCTTCCTTCCCAATCTGTATATCTTTTATTTCATTCTCTTGTCTTATTGCAGTAGCAAGAACTTCCACTAAAATGTTGAATAGAAATGGTGAGATGAAACATCCTTGCCTTATTCCTTTTCTTGGAAGGAAAACATTGTTTCTCACCATTAAATATGATGTTTTTATAGATGTTTATCAAGCTGAGGTATTTTCCCTCTATTCCTAGTTTGCTGAGTTTTTATCATGACTGAATGTTGGATTTTGTCAATGCTTTTTCTCCATCTATTGATATGATCATATGATTTTCTTTGTTAGCTTATCGACATGATGGATTGAATCAATTGACTTTGAATGTTGAACCAGCCTAGCATACTTGGAATAAGTTCCACCTTCTTCTTCATTATATTTAAATTATCTTAGCTTAAATATTGCTCTACTAGAGAATATTTTGTTCCTTGATCCATATTATTTATTTACTGTCCACTAGATTATAGTATTTTCTTGTTTTGTAAAGAAAAATTAGAGACTAGAGATTATTTTATTTTATTTTATTTTATTTTTTGTGATGGAGTCTCACTCTGTTACCTGGGCTAGAGTGCAGTGGTGCGATCTCAGCTCGCTGGAACCTCTGCCTCCCGGGTTCAAGCGATTCTCCTGCCTTAGCCTCCCGAGTAGCTGGGACTACAGGCGCAGGCTACCACGCCCAGCTAATTTTTTGTATTTTTAGTAGAGATGGGGTTTCACCATGTTGGCAAGCCTAGTCTGGAACTCCTGACATCGTGATTCGCCCACTTCGGCCTCCCAAAGTGCTGGGATTACAGGCATGAGCACCGCGCCCGGCCGGGGCTGTATTTTTTCTTAGCCTACCTCTCCTCCTGGGGAAAAACTTCTGTGCTACTGCTTTGGAGTTGCAGGTGGGTGGGCTTAGTGGCCTGTTCCTCTTAGAGTGACACCACTACTTTATGTACAGAGCACTAGATGGGGATAGTAGTCTCTGGAGTCTTCTCAACTTGGCTCTTTCTGGATGCAACAGTCTGCCTTAGGAGTGAGGTGGGATGAAGGCTATTGGGTCCAATGTTGTTAGCCTGCTGGAATTAGTGTATAGCTACCACCCTATGAGTGGCAACTGGGCAGAGGAAGAGCACCCAGACCTCTCATGATCTTTCCCAGAACAGAGCTTCTGTAACCCAGAGCTGGAGGGAATGAGAAGTGCTGGTATCCTGCCACTCCTAGTGAGATATCGCTGGCCTGGAGTGGGAGTTGAGGGATGAAGGAGCCTTATGTTCTTGGCTTTACTTGCCTGGGGTAGAATTTCTATCATGCTGAATTGGTTTTGTGTGTGTGAGGCAGGCGTGAGGGGGTTGGGGTAAGTAATTATCTATTGCCATAGACTATTGCTGTTCTTTTTGAGTAAATGTTTCTTTATTTGGTGTTGCTCTTAGCAAAATTTTCTTAGGTTAATGGTTGCTTTTTATAATTTTTACCAATTATAGTTCTTTTCCTAGTGGGAGTGTTTGTGGAACTCCTCATGTTACCATTCTGTAAGTGAGCTTCATACTTTTTTCCTTTTTTTTTTTTTTTGAGACAGAGTCTCACTCTGTTGCCCAGGCTGGAGTGCAGTGGTGCCATCTTGGCTCACTGCAACCTCCGCCTCCCGGGTTCAAGCAATTCTCCTGCCTCAGCCTCCCGAGTAGCTGGGACTACGGGCACGTGCCACCATGCCCGGGTAATTTTTTGTGTTTTTAGTAGAGACAGGGTTTTGCCCTGGATCAAGCCAGGATGGTCTTGATCTCCTGATCTCGTGATCCACCCGCCTTGGCCTCTCAAAGTGCTGGAGTTACAGGCGTGAGACAACACCACGCCTGGCTGAGCTTCATATTCTTTAGAAATTAATTGGTATTATAATCCATGGTTTTGGAGCTGCTACATATACTATACTAACTATACTTTACGTATTAGCTATGTTTATGTATATAATAATTCTAACTTCTAATTGTTTGTATCAGGGCTTTAGAGTAGTTATTTAATATTTATTTATATTGTCATGCACCTTTACTACATATCCATTCATTCAGATCAGTTATAATTGTGAGCATATATTTATAATATTTTCTCTCAGAATTATACTTTAATTAAAAGAACATTTATATTAATTTTAATGTTTCACAAGATGCGTTGTAATTGTAATTTTTGATTACACAAAAAATATATATCTCAAATATATATATATCTTGAGCAAATGTACCTATTCATCAATGAGTGCAATCTATAGACTCCACTTAGGTAAGGTACAAAAACAGCAAATGAATTTATGCTGTTAGAATAGTGGTAATATTCTTATAGTTTTTTATGTGAGTGCTGATTACTTAGTTGTGTTCATGTTGTGAAAAATCATTGAGTTTTAGGCTTCTGATATATGCAGTTTTATGCATGTTATACTTAAATAAAATCTTAAAAGTTTATTATGGAGTCCATATGAGTTACACAGTTTTAACCAAATATAGTTTAGACTAAATTTACTATATTTAACTTTTTACTTATTTGGTATTTTAAAATGATGTTTTGGGCCTCTAGTTTTAAGATGGCTTGTTTCCTATCTTTGTAAATGAAAAAATAATTTATAATATAAATTATTATGAGTATTAAAAATTCTTTTTGATATTGTGTCTCCTCAAAGCATTTTAAGATGCTATGAGCCTCAAAATATTTTTTTTTGAAATATTGAAGTTTAGAGGTCATTTATAAATTGTTAAAAAATATGTTTTTTTCCCCCACAATTCCAGGGAAACCTCTATATGCAAAGTAGACCCTTTATATAACATATATAAAATCAGGGAGGTCATTTTATCCTTTGTAATACATTTTTAAATTTTATTCTGTAGGACTATTTTGAAAGAAAGTGGGTTTGCCAGATACCTTCATTCAGCTGTTCTTATCAATGGAGCTATGCTTATTTTTGGAGGAAATACCCATAATGACACTTCCTTGAGTAACGGTGCAAAATGTTTTTCTGCCGATTTCCTGGCATATGACATAGGTATGTATCTGTTAGGATTGTACAAAGTAGGAAATATCAGAAATTTTCCATATAGATATTCTCAAATACATTAATTGATAGCATGTGTATATGTCATTTTAGAGTTAAGTGATAGAATATGAATGGAATTCTTTCTAATTTCAGCACAGTAGTATTATAGTAATAGAGCCAGGAGAACAGAAGTACTGAGCAGAAGTAGTGGTAGATACAGGGAATACAAAAAGCTAGATTTGGATGTCCTTTTTGAAGACTTTTTATGTTGTTTCCCTTTGTGAACACTATATCAGTTTATTGTGTTTGCTACATATTAATTTTGATAATGGGTAGATATGGAATACTGTTGAATTATGTAAATTTTTATACATAGTAGGAATGTAAACATTTTAGATTTTAAGGGATAAGCAAAAATATATTAAACATTTCCGATATACTTACTATATATAGGAATCTGATAGAACTAGAGAAAGGAATAGAGATAGTAGAGCTAAAGAAATAAGATTTTGAGACGAAATGGAAACCCAGATGTATCTGGGAAACAACTATATAAGCATGTTTTCCCAAAGAACTAAAAACAGTTTGCATTTATACAATTCACCTAATTTTAGTTACGCAATATAATCCTATCAATTTCTGAATATTTAAGTGAATGTATTTATTGAAATACTAAATTTAGGTATCCAGTAGACCCTTGTAGTGAAAACATTGTTTTTCTATGTATCATATTATATATAAAACCTAGCTGATATTTAAAATATACTTATCAGTACTTAAGAGCACCTTTTATTGAGGGTATAAATAAAGTATTATACCAATTTGAAGCGATTAGGAAACATTTTTATAAGTAAAATAAAAGAATAACACATTTAATAGATGTAAGAAGTATACTTTTTCTCTTAAACCTCATAAAGGCACATAATCTGCTTTGGTAAATTATTTCAAGTAGAATCATGTAAAGAAAACTCTGACTATTAATAAGCACTTTAATCTTTTTACTATTACAGTTGTTTCAAAGGAAATTCCTAGTAGTAAAGTTAAGCATGGTTTTTAAATCTAAGTAATGAATGTCATTCTGTGATTAATCATTTGATACTAGTAATTTGATCTTTTTCTTTTTGAAATAATAATTTGAAGTGGTAACTCCTGACGAACATGGGATTGTCTCAGCTTTTAGGAGGCTCATGAATCATTGTTTGAAATTAGTAAAATGGGTTGAATGAAGTACTGAATCTAGGCTGGCAGTGACTTTATCTCATTGCTAGATTGGGCCTGTCAATATATTATTGTTTTGGCTATGGTGATAAGACCCTGGGCTTATTTTTCTGGAAGTTGATGAAAGTTTTGTTTGTTTGTTTTTCTTCTGGGGAAAAAAAATCCCACAAAAAGTATACATTGTTGTTGTCATTGTTAAAAATCCATGAAGTGGAATTTTGAACTTTTGCAAAAGGTTCTTCAAGGAGCTTCCACACAATGTCTGTACTTCAATGAAGAATTTAAGGTTGAGCTATTTTCTGGCTGACAAAATGGGAATGTATTTTTATTTTTTTCATATTGTTGAAGATTATGATATATCAAGTTTTATGTGTCAAAAAACTTAAGTGAAAAAATTTGGAGAATTTTGTTTCAGAAATAGAAAGATGTCAGATTATGATGATTCTAATTACTACTATTTATTTAATTTCCTTCTATGTGCTAGGTACTATGTTAAGTAATTTATATACAAAATCTTTAACCTACCTTGTAGCATGGTACTATTATCCTAATATTCAGAAGATTAAACAGATGAGAGTAACAGGAACTTGCCAAAGCCATGCAGGTAGTAGGCGGTAGATCTAACTTTTGTAACTCCTAAAACTTGTGGTAGTCTTTCTATTTGACTACATCATGCTGATTAGTTGGGCCCAGTGTATGTTCTTAATTATGGCAACAAATTACCTTATTCTTAGTAATGCTTGTTTCTTAATGCTGTAGAAATATAGAAGAAAATATGAGTTCCATTTTTTCAAGCAAGTTGTTCAGACTGGAGGAAGGAATAGCATATTTTAAACAGTTTTACATTTTAACAAAGGTTTTTTTTTATCCCCTGTGCTAACACTGACAACAAAAACATAAAGACAGTTCCACAATTCAACATAGGTTAAAACTGTTCGGCTTTATCTCATTTGATTATTTGTAGGTAGTTCTCAAAAATGTTCTCTAAAATAATCTGTTTTATCCTCCTGGGTTTGGAGTATGAAATGTTGGACTATTTTTCTGGGAAAAGGTATTTTTCATATTATTATTTATACTTCAACAAATGTCTTTCAAAATAATTGTTTTCCTCATGGAGTATGTTTTTGTGGAAATAGATATAAGCATTATATAGTAAACCAATTAGGAAACAGAAAAAGTGTCATGTTGCTAGTTTTTCTTTTCACTGTGGTACACCAGGACATTTTTGGTGCATTTATGGAAGGCACTTAAAAGCTTAGCTGATTGTTTTGTGTTATATGATATTTAAACAGGAATATTTGTACCATTTCTAATTTTTTATTGTTGCAAAATGTATTATTTGAACATTACTCTCACAGTAAATTTTATACAGTCAATATCGCTAATCTTTGGGTATATAACCTTGCCTTCACAGTTCCCATTCTATTATTGCATGATGGATGTAGAAGGCATATACTGGTGATTTTCAATCATGCTCATACCTTGGCATCCTCTTTGGAGGTTGGTTGGAAAAAAAAAATAACTTACGTAATCAGATTCTTTGAGATTGGATACTGGGCATCTATGTTTTTTAAAAGTGACTAAAGTGCAGCTGATAATACAGCTAGGGTGGTGAATAAGATAGGTTGAGTATAACACATAGCATGACACATTTCTTAATTTGACTGTAACATATGACATGACACATTTCTTAATGTTCTAGTTTGTAAATCTAGTTTGAGGTCAGATTTGAGAATCCAAAAACTTAATTTTTTTTTGTTATTGTTAGTGCTGTTATTATTACTTTCAGAAAGCCACTATGGCACCTTCTTCAAGGTTAACAAGAACTTTCTGGTAAAGATAACCTTCTATTTAGAATTCACACAGAATTCTGAAACAAGATGCAAAACAACTTATTGACTATGTTTTTTTCTTAATCAAAAAGATAATAGAGGATAACAGAAACATGAAAATGTAATTTCCTGAGTTAAATTATTTAAGAATGGGTAGGGAATAGGATTTGTATAAGAACTATATCTTGCAGAAAGCAGAACAGCTGAAATTTCAAATGAGATTTAACGAATAATCGAGTTTTCAAAATAAATTCCCTGAACATAGTGGTTTACTTATGACATTAATTTCTTTGTAGTGATTATTTAAAAACTAAATCAGTAAAAACTAAAAAGTAATTTTTTATTTGGGAAAGTAATATTTTAATGGTAGTATATAATAATGTATATTCTTAACCATTTTATAATACAGTGAAATTGCAGTTCTGTATACTCTTAAAAGATCACTTAACTGGCCGGGCACGGTGGCTGACTCCTGTAATCCCACCACTTTGGGAGCCTGAGGCAGGCTGATCACCTGAGGTCGAGAGTTTGAGACCAGCCTGACCAACATGGAGAAACCCCGTCTCTACTAAAAATACAAAAATTAGCTGGGTGTGGTGGTGCATGCCTGTAATCCTGGCTACTCAGGAGGCTGAGGCAGGAGAATCGCTTGTACCCTGGAGGTGGAGGTTTCAGTGAGCCGAGATTGCGCCATTGCACTCCAGCCTGCGCAACAAGACCGACACTCCGTCTCAAAAAAAAAAAAAAAAAAAAAAAATCACTTAACTAATTAATGAAGCCTGGGATACCTGATTTTGTCCAACTGTTTGGAGTGATATATATGTATACATATATAATAGATATAGTTTGGTAAGGCATATAATTTCATAGCAAAATCATATTCAAATTAAGACATCTAATTATTTAATTTTTTGGAATACTCATGCAAAGTTATGAAAATTCCAATCTGCTTGCTTTTCATGTTTATAATTATTTTTATTTTCTGGAGGTTATTTTATTAGTTCCTCTCTCTGTTTATCCGTATTTCTCTATGCACTTCGTTAAATTCTTAGGGCTCTTTCTTGATGAAAGTGGTACCACTTACCTGGCCATCTGAAAGAAACAATTTCTTTGTAGATCAGGAAAATCCTTAGAATCATCACACATTTCTTTCAATGAATTTAGCCAACTGTCGACTGTTTTAAGCTTCATTGTATCCTTTGCTCAAGGTGTTCTCTTTCTTTTTGTTGGGATTATATACAAGAAATAGTAGTTTAATCTTTTTTAAAAAGAGGCCACTAAATAAAAGAAAAAATAACCTTTTATTTTGAGGAAAGGATGAACTAACATTTATCTAATGTTTTCAACAGTGCTTGGCATGTCACACATGATTTATAATATAATTATTGTTACATCTGTGTAGTGTACATTAGTATATTTAATTTATAGAAGAAGACACTGTGATTTACCATGGTTAAACCCAAACTCACACAGGCTATAAGATGTTGTATTCAGAATTTAAAGTTAAGTCTACATTCAGAGTCCTTTTGATATTAACACTATACACCGTGATATTTATTTTTCCTGGTTTAACAGGAAAAAAAAGGAATTTTAGTTGGAAAGAACTTGTTAGTGTAGTGAGACATTCAAAAATAGTTTTTATCAATAGATTTAATCATATTTCTGAGAGGTATTTGAATTTCACTCTACCTGTCCCCCTCCCGAATAAGTTGATTGGAAAATAGTGACCTCAAGATAGAAAATCCAGGAGAAAGAAAAGGATAATGGATAATGAATCTCTCTCATTCTTTTTTTTTTTTTTTTTTGAGACGGAGTCTCGCTCTGTCGCCCAGGTCGGACTGCGGACTGCAGTAGCGCAATCTCGGCTCACTGCAAGCTCCACTTCCTGGGTTCACGCCATTCTCCTGCCTCAGCCTCCCGAGTAGCTGGGACTACAGGCGCCCGCCACCGCGCCCGGCTAATTTTTTGTATTTTTAGTAGAGACGGGGTTTCACCTTGTTAGCCAGGATGGTCTCGATCTCCTGACCTCATGATCCACCCGCCTCGGCCTCCCAAAGTGCTGGGATTACAGGCGTGAGCCACCGCGCCCGGCCATCTCTCTCATTCTTAACAAGTCTGTATCCATTTTGAGAGACTGTATTGAATACAAAAATTACTGAATAAAGATTAATGAAAAAAATGCTCTGAAAAAGCAGCCTCTTTAATAAATAGTTCTGGGAAAAGTTGACATTCATTTGCAGCAGTATGAAACTAGACCCTCCCCTCTAAACTAAAAATGGATCAAAACAATAAAACAACAGAAAACAGGAATAATCCTTCAAGACATGGGTCTGGAGAAGACTTTCTGCAAAAGGCCGCAACAGCACAGGCAACAAAAGCAAAAGTAAACAAATGGGATCATATAAAATAAAAAGCTTTTGCAAAGAAAAGGACAATCAACAGAATGAAAAGACAACCTCCAGAAGGGGAGAAAATATTTGCAAACTATTCATCTGATGGGGGATTAACATCCAGAATATACAAAGAACTAAAAAATTCTCAATGATAAAAAAAACCTCAACAAACAATCCATTTTGCAAATGTTTAACAAAAATAGGCAAATGATCTCAACAGATATTTCTCAAAAGAAGACATACAAATAACCAATAATATATGACAACATGTTCAACATCAGTATTCATCAGGGAAATACAAATCAAAACACAATGAAGTATCATCTCACGCCATTTAGGATATCTATTATCAAAAAGACAAAAAAATAACAAATGCTGGTGAGGATGTGGAACAATGGGGAAATGTTTTTGATGGAAATGTAAGCTAGTACAGCCACTATGGAGAATAGTATGGAGGTTCTTCAAAAACTACAAATAGAACTATTATACGATCCAGCAATACCACCACTGGATATTTATCCAAAGGAAAGAAAATCAGTATATTAAAGAGACACCTGCACCTCCAGGTTTATTGCAGTACTATTCACAACATCCAAGATATGGAACCACCTAGGTTTCCAACAAGGGATGAATGAATTTGAAAAATGTGGTATATATACATGCTGAAATACTATTCAGCCATAAAAAGAATGAAGACCTATCATTTGTGGCAACATGGATGGAACTGGAAGACATTATGTTAAGCGAAATAAGCCAGGAACAGAAAGTTAAACACTGTATGTTTTCACTCATATGTGGAAGCTAAAAAAAGTTCATCTCATAGAAGACAAAAATAGAACAGAGGATACTAGAGTCTGAGGAGGGTGGGGGAAGTGGTAGGTTACACAGAGAGATTTGTTAAAGAATACAAAATTACAGCTAGATAGGAGGAATACATTGTAGTGTTCTATACCAGTGTAAGATGACAATAGTTAACTATTATGTGTAGTTTCAAATATCTAGAATTAGGATATTGAATGTTTCTAACACAAAGAAATGATAAATGTTCGAGATGATTGATATGCCAGTTACCCTGATCTGATCACTATACATTATATGTATTGAAGCATCACTATATACTCCATTAATATGTACAATTATTTCTCAGTAAAAAATGTAAAAAAGGAAAAAAGTTTTAAAAAGTCTTAACTCTTGGGGGAAGAAGGCAGGACAAAGAAGTCATGAATGTAGAATAAAAATTTTAAAATAAAATATTAACACATAGGCTCCAACCATATTTCAAAAGTTTAATAAACTATGATCAAGTAGGATTCATTCTAGGAATTCAACTGTGATTCGTTATCTGGGAATCTATAAATATAATTTATTAGTTCAAAACTACCAAAGCAACAGGACATATCATTGTATGTTAAGACACTATAAAATAATTTCGCCTACTTTGCCTGGCAGACAGTAAAAAACTAAATAAATATTTATTTAATGAATGCCAGGGGACAATTCCTGAGAGAAGATACGGGTATGAATGAGTTTTTTTTTAAACTGAGAATGAGTTAACCTAGAGTAAATTGTGCTTATTTTAGAATATTAAAAGAAGTTTTGAAGTAGGGAGCCAAAAAACAAAACCCCAGTAAAGTACCATCATTTCAGGGGCAGGTGGGAAAAGATATTTGGCAACATCCAGAAATGTAATTTTCTATTACAGAAGTTTTGAAATGGCTAATATAGGTTTTTCTTTATATTCATCTTGTTGTGAGCCTTGTACATACAACCTATGTGTACTTTCTGTCTTATTTCAAATTTGCATTTAAGACTAACTTATGAATTGGCATTTTAAGTGAAACAGTAAAAGATTTTTATTTTTTTTTGAGTTGGAGTGCAATGGCATGACCTCGGCTCACTGCAACTTCTGCCTCCCAAGTTCAAGTGACTCTTCTGCCTCAGCCTCCCAAGTAGCTGAGATTACAGGCGCCTGCCACCATCTCCGGCTAATTTTTGTATTTTTTTTGTATTTTTCAGTAGAGACAGGATTTCATCATGTTGGCCAGGCTGGTCTTGAACTCCTGACCTCAGGTGATCTGCCTGCCTTGGCCTCCCAAAGTGCTGGGATTACATGCGTGAGCCACCGTGCCTGGCCAAAAGATTTTTTAAAGTGTCTTTACAGTAATACAGATATATATATACACACACACACACGTTTATATATATGTATATGTATATTGTGAAAAAACATGAGCATTTATGGAAAAATTAGCCAGTGAATTTACATTTTCCACTTGCATTTTTTAATGTATAATTGTTAAAATAAATCAGTCTGCCTTCAGCTTGAGTTTTTAATGTAATTATCTATCCCTCACGTGTAAATAGTTTTGATGGTATAGTACCGTTTGCTCAAATTTGGGTTTGAGAGAACAGTAACTCTAATTTTTTGATCTTATGTGTATTGAGTATATGGTTCATAATTAATATTTAGTACCTTAAATAATGAGTACATTATGTTATTTTATTTTTTATTTTTTTAAGCCTGTATTCCAGAGAGTGTATATTATCTTGGTCTTCATTCTTTTCATCGTGGCTGTTTTGTTGGTATAGAATATTATTTCTGTAATTTTCATGATGTCAGTAACTATGGAATTTGCTTTAATTTGTTTGGCCTTGAACTGTTTATGAAGTGATAATAACCTAAGTGCTCCAGAAATATATTTTCTTCTTGGCAAGAAATATAAATTATAGTCAGACAGATTAAAAATGTAGGAGACTTTTTAGTGTAAGAATTGGTTTAGACTACTTGTAAACACATTATATTTATTTAGTATTGAGCTTTAAGGCATTTGATTTATGCCCACATATCAAGCTGGCATATTTGTGTTTTCTTCCTCTTGTTATCTGGACAGCAGAGAATTCCCCATATGGCCATAGGGAGGGGTGTTGATGTAACAGTGGTGGATGACATAGGGATTTGAGCTACATACTTACACAGATTGCTTGTGCCCTGTGTTTCTGCTCATACTTGATCATGGGTACCACTTCCATTTTATATT
Source organism: Homo sapiens (assembly GCF_000001405.40). Taxonomy (NCBI): domain Eukaryota; kingdom Metazoa; phylum Chordata; class Mammalia; order Primates; family Hominidae; genus Homo; species Homo sapiens. The sequence continues at coordinate 115,250,198 of NC_000010.11, forward strand.
CTTAGGGTTATTGGTAACAGAACTAGCTCATGATTGCAAACTCTCAACACATAGTCACTTGATTACCCATGGTCAAGCATTCTATTTTTATCTGGACCCAGTGGCATGGCAGTAATAGAGGTATATAACTTTCCACCACAGATGGTATGGCCTTTGACATGTGTGTGAAGCCTGCATTGTGATTCTTTCACTGGGGCTTGCCATAAATTCCACATACTACTTTTTCCAACAGTGACACTACCAATAACTATAGTATGTACTGGGTCATATGTGCCTAGCTGCAGAGTTGCATGCAGGGTAGACTTCACTGACAGCAGAGCTATTTCCTACCCTGGCTGGAAAGAGCTGGCAGCCTTTAATGTCTTCCAGTATATGGGCTGAAGCAGCATTCCTAGGAGTGGAATATGCTGCCTTTAGAACACAAAGAGGCCTACCAGATGGTTTGCTTTCTTCTTTGTAATGGGAGTTGCAAGATGCATAATTGGTCTTTTAATTCAGATGAGCTGTCTGAGAATGTTCTTGTCCACTGGACCCCTAAATATTTTACCAATATCAAAGTCTCTGAATCTTTGTAGGTTTTATTTTCCATCCTTTGAAGCATATGTCTTAAGAAGGTCTCTGTTGCATTATTCTTGCCCATCTGGCCCAATTAGCATAATGTTGTTAATGTAGTAGAACAATGTAATGTTCTGCAAGATGTCCAACAGGATCAAATGTATTCTGACTATGTATGACAAAAGAGGGCGGAATTAATATCATCCTAAGGCAAAAGTGTGAAGGTATACTAGTTTCCCCTCCATGTGAATGCAAACTATTTTTGATCCTCTTTTTTGATAGTTAGCAAAGAACACATTTGCCGACTCCATGGCCATGTTAATCTTCTCTAATAAAGATATACATCTTGCACGACACCTGCAATTTTAGTTCTACTTGGTAGTAGGTGTCTGCTATCCTTTAAGCTTTGTTTAGTTTGCCAAACTGATGATTTAAATGGAGATTTGATGGGGTCCATTATCCTGGCATTATTTAGATTCTTTAGGGTGATACTAATTGCTTCTACCCACTCTCTCTGGAATGTGATAGTATTTTAAAATTTATTGTATTATCCAGGGGATAAAAGCTCCCAGAGGCTTCCACTGTGAGAACCAAAGACCAAATGTGGTAGGTGTTGTGCCATTTGTTAAGCCTGTTTATTCCAATTCTATATCCAGCGACTGAAGACATGATCACTGGGTGAGTCTGTGACCCAGTGGACCCATTTTGAGCTGGACCTTGTCCAGCTGTTTTCCTATTGTCTCCCATCATTGGGCTAAGTTCTGTTACAGTTGCTCCTACTATCAGCTTTGGTCTATGGAGGAAAGCCACGAAATTCTTAGTGATGCTAGTGTCTCTCCCACCATCATATTCTTCATGGCTTTGGTAATTGGCATATCCTCTGGCCCTTTCCATAGATAAAATAGCCTGGTGGGTTTTCTGGCATCACATAGTGTATTGACTTCAGCATGTGCACATTTTTAGACTTTTAATCACTGCCTTTACTGTTTGCTATGGCAGTTCCGGCATTTTGACCTTACTTAGCATGGGTATACTTTTCATGTTTTACATGTTTCTAAGAGTCATCCAGATAGCAAGTGAACATCACCTCTTGTGGCATCCTTGTCAGAAAGGAAAATCCTGCATCTTGGCAGAAGGCTTTCAAATCAGTAAACTCTCCCTAATCCAATCATAAGGTTCTGGCCACCTTGATCAAGCTCCCCTCTGAACCTAGTACCACTTGTACTCTCCCACCTCCTGCCAACATGTGCTGTCTAGCTGTCTAGGTTTGTTGTTGTTGTTGTTGTTGTTTTGAGACAGAGCCTTGCTCTGATGTCCAGGCTGGAGTGCAGTGGTTCGATCTTGGCTCACTGCAACCTCTGTCTCCCGGGTTCAAGCAATTCTCCTGCCTCAGCCTCCTGAGTAGCTGGGACTACAGGCGCCCGCCACCACGCCCGGCTAATTTTTTGTACTTTTAGTAGAGACGGGGGTTTCACTATGTTGGCCAGGCTGGTCTCGAACTCTTGACCTTGTGATCTGCCCGCCTCGACCTCCCAAAGTGCTGGGATTACAGGCGTGAGCCACCGTGACCAGCGAAGGTCTTATAGATTCTTTGGTCGTATACTCTCTTTCTTTCCTTAGCAGTCCCAGCATGTACCTAGATGAGTTATGTTGATACCCAACCCAAGTTATAGGCCCTCTGGCCAGTACTGAAGATGTGAGCAGATTCTGCCCTGCGCCACAGGTCATGCTGGAGAGTAGCCTCTACATTGTGTTTAAGCAAAGGCAGAGTGCTATCTGTCTTTTAGGAAGGTAGGATGGATCATTTCTGCAGTGTCAGATGATTCAGGAAAATTTGGGAATTCAAAATTTGGGAAGACTTTAAGGAGCATCAACTTCTGATATTCCCATTTTGTGTGTCAGAGTCCTTTTTCTTCTGGGGCTTGACCTTCTTTAATTGACAGATCTTCTATAATTGGCAGTCTCGTTATATGGTACTGAGGAGACCCTCTGGCTTTATCAGCCTTTCATTATCTTTTTCTAGAGCTCACTGGGGCTAAGCAGTAGACATGCAATTCTAGTATCTTAATAGTTACCCTTCCTCATGTTTTTCAAGCATCTAGTACTTCACTCCTGCTATACTATTCCCTTCTATTGGCATGCCTTCCTACTTTATCACTAGTTTAAGTTTTTGCAGTTGCTTAATGGCCACTTTGTGCCAAGAGCTATCTGTGCTCCACCTACCACCAATGATGAGTTTTTCATTGCTAGCCTGGCAATGTATGATCCAGCTCTCAAACTCCAACTTATTTCTTACTTTAGTATACCATTCCTGAAACAAGTCAGAGTTTGAGTCCTCTGGAAAGCAGACTCTGAGGTAGAGTTTAGTATTCATGATGTTAATTGGGAGTACCCTTACAATCAATGCCTTTGCAAGAGGTAGGGGGATGATGCAGAATTGGACAAAGGGAGAAGTTGAGTTGTGATGCTCGATGGATAACCTTAGTCAACCCTGTAAGGATTGACTGAAGGCAAAATAATTGGTCATACTTCTCCAATGTTGGGCTGGAATGGCCAGGCCTTTATACCAATACATTGATCAGTCATTCAATATGGGTCATTCTAGGAAGGGTGTGCCCTTGAGTGAAGTGGGCCTGTGTTCCTCAGGCAGTTTGTGAGGTAGCTTGCAACTGACTCTTCACTGACAGCACTGCTAGCAACCCAGACAACAAGTTTTTTTTTGAATTATGATCTGGGCAGCATATATCCATGTCTACCAGAAATATCCAAACTTCAGATGATTGACACCAAATAAAAATTTATTTTTCACCCATTATACATGTTCATCATTGGTGGGCAGGGCAGATTTTTTTTATTATTATTATGCTTTAAGTTCTAGGGTACATGCGCATAATGTGCAGGTTTGATACATAGGTATACATGTGCCATGTCGGTTTGCTGCACCCATCAGCTCATCATTTACATTAGGTATTTCTCCTAACACCCATCAACTCATCATTTACATTAGGTATTTCTCCTAATGCTATCCATCCCCAGGCCCCCAACCCCACAACAGGCCCCATTGTGTGATGTTCCCCCTGTGTCCAAGTGATCTCATTGTTCAGTTCCCACCTATGAGTGAGAACATATGGTGTTTGGTTTTCTTTCCTTGTGATAGTTTGCTGAGAATGATGGTTTCCAGCTTCATCCATGTCCCTGCAAAGGACATGAACTCATCCTTTTTTATGGCTGCATAGTATTCCATGGTGCATATGTGCCACATTTTCTTAATCCAGTCTATCATTGATGGACATATGGGTTGGTTCCAAGCCTTTGCTATTGTGAATAGTACCGCAGTAAACATATGTGTGCATGTGTCTTTATAGTAGCATGATTTATAATCCTTTGGGTATATACCCAGTAATGGGATTGCTGGGTCAAATGGTAATTCTAGTTCTAAATCCTTGAGGAATCACCACACTGTCTTCCACAATGGTTGAACTAATTTACGCTTCCACCAACAGTGTAAAAACATTCCTATTTCTCCGCATCCTCTCCAACATCTGTTGTTTCCTGACTTTTTAATGATTGCCATTCTAACTGGTGTGAGATTGTATCTCACTGTGGTTTTGATTTGTATTTCTCTGATGACCAGTGATGATGAGCATTTTTTCATGTGTCTGTTGGCTGCATAAATGTCTTCTTTTGAGAAGTGTCTGTTCATGTCCTTTGCCCACTTTTTGATGGGGTTGTTTGTTTTTTTCTTGTAAATTTGTTTGAGTTCTTTGTAGATTCTGGATATTAGCCCTTTGTCAGATGGGTAGATTGCAAAAATTTTCTCCCATTCTGTAGGTTGCCTGTTCACTCTGATGGTAGTTTCTTTTGCTGTGCAGAAGCTCTTTAGTTTAATTAGATTCCATTTGTCAATTTTGGCTTTTGTTGCCATTGCTTTGGTGTTTTAGTCATGAAGTCCTTGCCCATGCCTATGTCCTGAATGGTATTGCCTAGGTTCTCTTCTAGGGTTTTTATGGTTTTAGGTCTAACATTTAAGTCTTTAATCCATCTTGAATTAATTTTTGTATAAGGTGTAAGGAAGGGATCCAGTTTCAGCTTTCTACATATGGCTAGCCAGTTTTCCCAGCACCATTTATTAAATAGGGAATCCTTTCCCCTTTTCTTGTTTTTGTCAGGTTTGTCAAAGATCAGATGTTTGTAGATGTGTAGTATTATTTCTGAGGGCTCTGTTCTGTTCCATTGGTCTATATCTCTGTTTTGGTACCAGTACCATGCTGTTTTGGTTACTGTAGCCTTGTAGTATAGTTTGAAGTCAGGTGGCATGATCCTCCAGCTTTGTTCTTTTGGCTTAGGATTTTCTTGGCAATGCGGACTCTTTTTTGGTTCCATATGAACTTTAAAGTAGTTTTTTCCAATTCTGTGAAGAAAGTCATTGGTAGCTTGATGGGGATGGCATTGAATCTATAAATTACCTTTGGCAGTATGGCCATTTTCACGATACTGATTCTTCCTATCCATGAACATGGAATATTCTTCCATTTGTTTGTGTCCTCTTTTATTTCGTTGAGCTGTGGTTTGTAGTTCTCCTTGAAGAGAACTCCTTCACATCCCTTGTAAGTTGGCTTCCTAGGTATTTTATTCTCTTTGTGGCAATGGCGAATGGGAGTTCACTCATGATTTGACTCTCTGTTTGTCTGTTAATGGTGTATAGGAATGTTTGTGATTTTTGCACATTGATTTTGTATCCTGAGACTTTGCTAAAGTTGTTTATCAGCTTAAGGAGATTTTGGGCTGAGATGATGGGGTTTTCTAAATATGCAATCATGTCATCTGCAAACAGGGACAATTTGACTTCCTCATTTCCTAATTGAATACCCTTTATTTCTTTCTCTTGCTTGATTGCCCTGGCCAGAACTTGCAACACTATGTTGAAGAGGAGTGGTGAGAGAGGGCATCCCTGTCTTGTGCCAGTTTTCAAAGGGAATGCTTCCAGGTTTTGCCCATTCAGTATGATACTGGCTGTGGGTTTTTCATAAATAGCTCTTATTATTTTGAGATACCTTCCATCAATACCTAATTTATTGAGAGTTTTTAGCCTGAAGGGCTGTTGAATTTTGTCGAAGGCCTTTTTGGCATCTACTGAGATAATCATATGATTTTGTCATTGGTTCTGTTTATGTTATGGATTATGTTTATTGATTTGCATACGTTGAACCAGCCTTGCATCCCAGGGATAAAGCTGACTTGATCGTGGTGGATAAGCTTTTTGATGTGCTGATGGATTTGGTTTGCCAGTATTTTATTGAGGATTTTCACATCGATGTTCATCAGGGATATTGGTCTAAAATTCTCTTTTTTTGTTGTGTCTCTACCAGGCTTTGGTATCAGGATGATGCTGGCCTCATAAAATGAGTTAGGGAGGATTCCCTCTTTTTCTATTGATTGGGATAGTTTCAGAAGGAATGGTACCAGCTCCTCTTTGTACCTCTGGTAGAATTCAGCTGTGAATCCATCTGGTCCTGGACTTTTTTTGTTTGGTAGGCTATTAATTATTGCCTCAATTTCAGAGCCTGTTATTGGTCTATTCAGAGATTCAACTTCTTCCTGGTTTAGTCTCGGGAGGGTGTATGTGTCCAGGAATTTATCCATTTCTTTTAGATTTTCTAGTTTATTTGCATAGAGGTGTTTATAGTATTCTCTGATGGTAGTTTGTATTTCTTTGGGATCTGTGGTGATATCCCCTTTATCATTTTTATTGCATGTATTTGATTCTTCTCTCTTTTCTTCTTTATTAGTCTTGCTAGCGGTCTATCAATTTTGTTAATCTTTTCAAAAAACCAGCTCTGGGATTCATTGAGTTTTTGAAGGGTTATTTGTGTCTCTGTCTCTTTCACTTCTGCTCTGATCTTAGTTATTTCTTGCCTTCCGCTAGCTTTTTGAATGTGTTTGCTCTTGCTTCTCTAGTTCTCTTATTTGTGATGTTGGGTGTCGATTTTAGATCTTTCCTGCCTTCTCTTGTGGGCATTTAGTGCTATAAATTTCCCTCTACACACTGCTTTGAATGTGTCCCAGAGATTCTGGTATATTGTGTCTTTGTTCTTATTGGTTTCAAAGAACATCTTTCTGCCTTCATTTAGTTATTTACCTGGTAGTCATTCAGGAGCAAGTTCAGTTTCCATATAGTTGTGCGGTTTTGAGTGAGTTTCTTAATCTTGAGTTCTAATTTGATTGCTCTGTGTTCTGAGAGACAGTTTTTTTGTGATTTCTGTTCTTTTACATTTGCTGAGTACTGCTTTATTTCTAATTATGTGGTCAACTTTAGAATAAGTGCGATGTGGTGCTGAGAAGAATGTATATTCTGTTGATTTGGGGTGGAGAGTTCTGTAGATGTCTTTTAGGTTTGCTTGTTGCAGAGCTGAGTTCAAGTCCTGGATATCCTTGTTAACCTCTCTCATTGATCTCTCTAATGTTGACAGTGGGGTTTTAAAGTCTCCCATTATTATTGTGTGGGAGTCTAAGTCTCTTTGTAGGTCTCCAAGGGCTTGCTTTATCAGTCTGGGTGCTCCTGTATTGGGTGCATATATATTTATCATAGTTAGCTCTTCTTGTTAAATTGATCCCTTTACCATTATGTATTGGCCTTCTTTGTCTCTTTTGATCTTTGTTGGTTTAAAGTCTGTTTTATCAGAGACTAGGATTGCAATCCCTACTTTTTTTTGCTTTCCATTTGCTTGGTAGATCTTCCTCCATCCCTTTATTTTGAGCCTATGTGCATCTTTGCACGTGAGATGTGTCTCCTGAATACAGCACACTGATGGATCTTGACTTTGTCTTTTAATTGGGGCATTTAGCCCATTTCCATTTAAGGTTAATATTGTTATGTGTGAATTTGATCCTGTCATTATGATGTTCGCTGGTTATTTTGCCTGTTAATTGATGCAGTTTCTTTGTAGCATCTATGGTCTTTGTAATTTAGCATGTTTTTGCAATGGCTAGTCCCGTTTGTTTCTTTCCATGTTTAGTGCTTCCTTCAGGAGCTCTTGTAAGGCAGGCCTGATGGTGACAAAATCTCTCAGCATTTGCTTGTCTGTAAAGGATTTTATTTCTCCTTCACTTATGAAGGTTAGTTTGGCTGGATATGAAATTCTGGGTTGAAAATTCTTTTCTTTAAGAATGTTGAATTTTGGCCCTTAGTCTCTTCTGGCTTGTAGGGTTTCTGCCGAGAGATCTGCTGTTCGTTTGATGGGCTTCCCTTTGTGGGTAACTTGACCTTTCTCTCTGGCTGTCCTTAACACTTTTTCCATCATCTCAACCTTGGTGAATCCAACAATTATGTGTCTTGGGGTTGCTCTTCTTGAGGAGTATCTTTGTGGTGTTCTCTGTATTTCCTGAATCTGAATGTTGGCCTGCCTTGCTAGGTTGGAAAAGTTCTCCTGGATAATATCCTGCAGAGTGTTTTCCAACTTGGTTCCATTCTCCCCATCACTTTCAGGTACACCAATCAATCAAATGTAGATTTGGTCTTTTCACATAGTCCCATATTTCTTGGAGGCTTTGTTCATTTCTTTTTAGTCTGTTTTTTCTTACTTTTTCTTCTCGCTTTATTTCATTAATTTGATCTTCAGTCACTGATACCCTTTCTTCTACTTGATTGAATCAGCTATTGAAACTTGTGCATGCGTCATGAAGTTCTCCTGTCATGGTTTTCAGCTCCATCAGGTCATTTAAGGTCTTCTCTACACTGTTTATCCTAGTTAGCCATTCGTCTAATCTTTTTTTCAAGGTTTTTAGCTTCCTTGCAATGGGTTCGAACATCCTCCTTTAGCTCAGAGAATTTTGTTATTACCTACCTTCTGAAGCCTACTTCTGTTAACTTGTCAAAGTCATTCTCCATCCAGCTTTGTTCCATTGCTGGTGAGGAGCTGTGATCCTTTGGAGGAGAAGAGGCACTCCAATTTTTAGAATTTTCACCTTTTCTGCTCTGGTTTCTCCCCATCTTTGTGGTTTTATCTACCTTTGGTCTTTGATTTTGGTGACCTACAGATGGGGTTTTGGTCTAGATGACCTTTTGTTGATGTTGCTGCTATTCTTTTCTGTTTGTTAGTTTTTCTTCTAACAGTCAGGTCCCTCAGCTGCAAGTCTGTTGGAGTTTGCTGGAGGTTCACTCCGGACCCTGTTTGCCTGGGTATCACCAGCGGAGGCTGCAGAACAGCAAGTATTACTGCCTGATCCTCCCTCTGGAAGCTTCATCCCAACGGGGCAGCCACCTGTATGAGGTGTCGGTCAGCCCCTACTGAGAGGTTTCTGCCAGTTAGGCTACACGGGGGTCAGGGACCCACTTGAGGAGGCAGTCTGTTTGTTCTCAGAGCTCAAACGCCATGCTGGGAGAACCACTGCCCTCTTCAGAGCTGTCAGACAGGGACTTTTAAGTCTGCAGAAGTTGTCTGCTGCCTTTTGTTTAGCTATGCCCTGGCCACAGAGGTGGAGTCTAGAGACGGTAGGCCTTGGTGAGCTGTGGTAGGCTCCGTCCAGTTTAAGCTTCCTGGCCGCTTTGTTTACCTAGTCAAGCCTCAGCAATGGCGGATGCACCCCCCAGCCAGGCCGCTGCCTCGCAGTTCAATCTCAGACTGCCGTGCTAGCAGTGAGCAAGGCTCTGTGGGTGTGGTACCTACCAAGCCAGGCACTGGAGAGAATCTCCTTGTCTGCTGATTGCTAAAACTTTGGGAAAAGCGCAGTATTTGGGTGGGAGTGTCCCGTTTTTCCAGGTAGTCTGTCACAGCTTCCCTTGGCTAGGAAAGGGAAATCCCCCAACCCCTTGTGCTTCCCGGGTGAGGTGATGCCCCACCCTGCTTCGGCTCGCCCTCTGTGGGCTGCATCCACTATCCAACTAGTCCCAATGAGATGAACCAGGTACCTCAGTTGGAAATGCAGAAATCACCCATCCTCTGCGTCGATCACACTGGGAGCTGCAGACTGGAGCTGTTCCTATTCGGCCATCTTGGAACGCCTCTCCAGATTTTTTTTTGTCATTATTTAGGGACCCAGGCTGACAGAAGACATAGGCTTTCATTGCTAATCAAATGCCTCCAACCAGAAACACAGATATTCCAGTAGCTTGCATTACATTGATACATTCAACTTCTAGGGATTGTAAGAGTATAATTTTGTGCCAGAAGGAAAGGAACTGAAATATTTTATTGAACAGCACAAATGTCTATCAAAAGTATTGTATGTAATTCTTTTTTAAACTTTTAGTATAATTGAAGATGATGTCTTGGAGATAGTAATAAAGCTGTCACTTCCTACCGCTACATGTATTGAAAGGCAAATAACTTCTAGAAGTAGAATTATGTTTTATTATTATTTGCCTAAATTAATTGCCTTCATGTATAATTACATTACTATTACTGTACTGTAATGTTTCTCTTCTGCAGGACTTGTGTACTTTAAAAACAAAACAAAAGAAAACCAGAACATGACTGAGAGCATAAGCACTATTTTGTAAACAGTGGGATTAAATGAAAGTATACATACTTAAGAGTGAAACCCTCTAGCTACCCTTTATCCACTTAGGGTCTTCCTAAAATGCTGTTAGTCCGATTTATGGTTTCCAGGCAGGAGACTGGAAAATTATCTGAAGAAATCTGACCAGCCTAAGAGAAAGCATGTAGAGATACTGACATTTGGAGGTCTCTAACTGAAATGGTTCCACCTGATCAGAATCCCAGAGGTCAACATGTCCTTCTTAAGCACTAAATTCCTAATGACTCTGGTGGTGCCTCACTCTTAAATTTGCAGCCTGTTATTATTTTGACAATTACAAAAAGTTACTAAATTTGATCAAAATGTCAAACGAGTAGGAAAAAATAAGAAATTAGGGGAAATAAAGATAATCCACAGAGGAGATTATAAGTTAAATCTTTATGGACAGAAGATGTTACATTTGTGAAGCAAAATGTGAGATTTTAATAAAAATAGTTAATTCAGAAAAGAAAAAAATGAGCTCTTGGAAATTAAAATTAGGAAAACAAATCAATGATTTGAAGATAAAGTGAAGAATCTCCATAAAGTATTATGAATAATGGACAAATGGAAAATAGGGTAAAAAATGAGAAATTTAATATGACTGTTCCAGAAAACTTTGTATCTCAGTAATAGAATTGAAAAAGCAAAGAACATAACATTTTAGACAGGAAGGAAATTATCAAGTGAGTAATTCAAAAATATGTTTGGGATTGAAGTACACAAATTTTAAGACTAAAAGAGCCTACTGAGCCCCAGAAAAATAAATACAAAAGACTCACAGCAAAGCTCATTACAAAAAGACAAAAAGAACCTAAAAACTTATATAGAGAGAAAAGAAATAGGACAAATAAATCATGAGACTTGATAGCATAGTGCCTTACAAAAGCAATACGAGAAGCCAGAAGAGTGGACTAATACCTTCAATATCTGAAAATGCTTTCCATGTTAGAATTCTAACACCAATCAAATCATACTAAAAGTGTTAGAGTGAAATAAAATTATTTTTTAGAATTGCAGATTCTCAAAAATATACCTCCAATGTACACTTTATTTAGATACTTTAGGATTATATCTCCTATTGAAGTATGAGATTAAATAAACAGATGAAATCTAAGAAATGGAATATATAACAGGGGAGAAATATGGAGGGAATCCTTATGATGATGTAATAGGCCTAGAGAGCAGTAAGTTCAGATTGGAGAAGAAAGATGGAGTTTCAGGAGGGATGTCTTTACAAAGTAAATGAAATTGCCAGATATCTTGATGTATTAGAAGATATTGAGAAGAAATGTACACATCTGGCAAAGGGTTGGGGGAGAAATAGCAGTAGATATACAGAAAGGTAAGCAAAAAAGTGAAAATATAATTTGTGGAGAAAGTAAGTTATTTAAGAATAAAAATGTAGTATGCTACCTGGCTTATCTGTGAATAATATCACAGATATATACTATCAAAGATAATAAAAACTGAACATTAGCTGAGTGTGGTGGTGTGCACCTATAATTCCAGAAACTCTGGAGGCTGAGGCAGGAGGATTGCTTGAGCCCAGGAATTAATTTAGTCCAGCCTAGGCAATACAGCCTAGGCAATATAGCAATTCCCCATCTCTAAAAAACAAATAAGAAACTGAATATTGCTCTAAACAAAATTATAATATAAATGTATAGAGAATGGAGGGAGAGGAAATATGCGTGTGTAAGTCTGTGTAAGAGCTTAATCTTCACCATCTGAAGAAGGAAGTCAGGCATATTATCTGAAACTGGGAACTAGGCATGCTGTTTAGAACAGATGAAAATACAAGAAACAAAAACAAAAACAAACTCTTTATAGCTGTTTATTTAGAATTAAAAGTGCTTACCTCCATGATTCTGGAATATGCTTTGGGAAGATAGGGGGCAGTGGATTTTTTTTTTTTTTGATAAACCTTGTAGAAATATTGGACTTTTGGGCCTCACACATGTATATATTTAAAAATGATAAAATAAAAGCAAAGTATAACAGTACAGAAATTAAATGATGCACAAGTTAGTGGATCAAGGATAAATGTTCAAAAATTGGGAAAATTAGTGCATTGACATATACTTGGAAATATCTGGAAAATATGATATATGGGAAAAATTAAGTTTGATGCTTACCAGATATACAAAAATAAGTTGCAAAAAGATTGAAGACCAAAATAGTAAAAGCCAACAGAAAAACCTTTACTGGAAAATTAGAGATTATTTTTAAAATCTCAGTTTACTGAGTAAACAAGCACAGATCATAAGGTGACCTAAAGGTAAGACCAACTTTCTGTAAAACAAGGTTTCATAAACTAAGTGAAAAAAAGATGCTGTAGCATGGAAGAATATATGGTAATACATATAGCCAGCAAAGGATTAGTATCCAGAATATTTAATCAAGAATCCTTTAAATTATTAAGAAAAAGACAAAAAGCAAATAGAAAAATGTGCAAGTCTTAAACAGTGATTTCATAGAAGACTAAAACAAATAACCTATACATGTGAAAATAAGTTGACTCACCAGTAACTGGAAAAATGTAAAATCAAACCATTCATCAGATTGGTAAAAATTTTAAGTCTGATAGAACTACATGTTGTAGAGAATATAAAACAAGAGGAACTGTTGTACACTGCTAATGTGAGTCAACACAACTACTTTGGGGAGCAAATTGGGAAAATCTAGTAAAATCGAAGTTGTGTCTTTTCTTATACCTCTTGGAAATCTAGAGAAACATTCAAAATATGCACAAGATACATATAAGAGTGAATATACCAACATGACTTGTAATAGGAAAAAAATCTTTAAAAAGGCTAATTATTAACAGCTTAATGGGTAAATATTTTGTGTAGTCATAACATGGAAAACTCTAACATGGTTACAATGAGCACACAGTACCACTTGTATCTATAAATTTAAATGAGCTGTTGAATTGACATTTCTCCAAAGATATACAAATGTCCAATAAGCACATGAAAAGATGCTCAACATCACTAATCATTAGGGAATGCAAGTCAAAACCACAATGATATACTAATTCATACTCATTAGGATGGCTATGATAAAAAAACAGAAGATAACAAGGGTTGACGAGGATGTGGAGACATATGAACCCTTTTGCATTACTGGTAAAAATGTAAAATGGTCCAGCTACTATGGAAAACAGAATGGCAGTTTCTTAAAAAATTGAACACAGAATTACTATATGATCTGTTAATCAAATGGACCTCATACAAGTTATTTACCTTCATGTAGGTCTGATTCTTCATTTCTAACATAGGGTAATACCTGCTCCATCAATTTCACTGGATTCTTATAAAGACCATTTTAAGATATGCGATGAAAACACTTTGGAACTTTTATGTGTACTTAATTTATAAAAGTATACAGTTTATACTTTATATAATTTCTTTTGCACCAACCTAATAGTGCTACAAACATATAATGTACATTTATTAAATTAACTCTAACATGTAAAATTGGCAGTCTTAATCTTTATCATAGGCCTCCATAATAATATTTTCTAAAATGTGATCTTCAGAGCATTGACTCTTGAGGATCTTAATAGGCATTATGTGAAAAGTGCTTCTTTGGATAAAACATTGGGAAAACACTGTGTTAAATAAAGTTAGGTTAGGTTTCTGTACCTTTACACTCTCTCTTTTGAGAATATTTAATAGGCAGATATACCATGTGGACTAAAAAGACAGATTATACACTTTTTCGGGGGAGATTTGTGTTTCCTGGATTATACTTTAGCATATACAGGTCAACATATATTTTATTGTTCTCAGTCTTTCAGCATCATTCTCTTTTTTTTTTTAATTATACTTTAAGTTCTAGGGTTCATGTGCACAACGTGCACGTTTGTTACGTATGTATACATGTGCCATGTTGGTGTTCAGCATCATTTTCTAAACTTACAGTTTTGGTTTTTATAATTTTTTGATGTTCATTAATAAAATATTGAGTTGAAACCAAATTTATTTTATTATTGTTATAGATGTAATTACTTAAATAAGAAAACAAGTAATTCATTACTTTAACTTTTACAACTAACTGTACTTAAGATTATTTTCTTGTTCCATAAAGGCTTTTACCTAAACAAAATTAATTTGTTTTAAAAAATCTTGTATCTATATGCTTTCATGAAATACCAAAGCATGCCTTTATAAATATGACATTTCTAAGAAGTTGAAATCTAAAACACTGTATTGAGAATGTTCCTAGTCACTGAATGATGAATTATTTTAAATCTCAAATTTACGTTAGTATATATGTCAGTTCTGAGTTTATATTGAAATAATACACATTTTTCTTAACCACTTTCCATAGTTTCTATATAGTTCATAGATTATTTATGATTTTCATTTTTTATCTAGAAGTTTTGCAGTTAAAATAATTCCCTTCTATATAAAAAAGCTTTTTTGAGAATTCAAATCATTAAAGTGATTTAAATGTTTTATCCTGATGATTATATTTTTAGGTATTCTTTCAGTGAACATTGTATCTGCCATTGACTTTTGTATGCATACATGTCATATTTGATTTAGTATTTAACTTTCAAAGAGGTGTGCCCTATACTGACATTCATAAGTTTTACTTGGAATATTTAATAAATATATGTCTTCGAAATTATCTTCCAATATAAAATACCTCTAAGTTCATTCTTTTCATTTTCTTGTTCTCATATGCTTAAAATTATTTGTGAGAATTCTAGGCAAGAGTTATTTTTATTTAATGAATAATGTTAGTTGAGTAAATACACTAAATTGTAGGTCATGGAAAATTAATGAGAATTTTTTTTTTGCTTCCTGCTTATGCATAGTGTATCTTTAATTCGGCCAATGATGTTTTCATATTATTTGTCTTAGTTTATTCTTTTATTTCATTTTTTGTTTTTCTGTTTTCTTTTTTCTAGCTTGTGATGAATGGAAAATACTACCAAAACCAAATCTTCATAGAGATGTCAACAGATTTGGACACTCTGCAGTAGTCATTAACGGGTAAAAGAAGCACATTTCCAATTTTTAGAGGGTCACTTATATCAGTCATACTATCCTCATATTCTGGTATTCTTTTTGAAAATTATCATTGGTACTTAATGGTATTGGATTTTATGCATCTCTTCTCTACCATAGAATGCATTTTGATTTGTCAATCATATCTTTTTTTCCTTTCTTGTTTAATATATTTAAGGGACATGGGAGTAGGTAAAGGAAAGGTGCTGAGATAAGACATCAGATACCCTTTTATGTCATCCTGCCTTCTTTTCTTTTTCCAGAGATCAGATAAGGAATGACTCTTCTTTTAAAAAGATGGAACTGAAATGATAGAGAGGCTAGCCCCATATTTCTATCAAGGAGAACAAGGAAAGTGAGAAGAATTAGATTCTCATTTTAGTTCTGTCATTTACTAAATGTGTGATTTTTGACAAGTCTCTTAACCTCTCTGGACCTTAAAATCATTATATCCATTGAGAAATTGGACTCAATGGTCATTACATTGCCTTCCCCATTTAAGTTAATATAATTTTTGTATTTCTATGGCAAAAATTTGGTAATTTGGAATCCAGTGACAGTAAACAATCTGCTAGCTCATTTAGTGGCTTAACATTTGTAAATCAGAATGACCTTTTTATAAGCCCATTTTATTACCACCTTATCCTAAATATGTAAAAATTCTCCACTATTGCCACAAAATGACTTAACCACAATGAAACTGTGTAACTGATATCAAGTGGCTGTCCAAACAGTAATACATGAAAACTGTGAAACATAAAACCTCCAGGGTTCTCTGGTTGATTTTTATTTTACTTTTTTAAAATAATAAAAGACATTCTTGAAGACTTTTTTGACTGATTCAATTTATTATGTTAATAATATTTTTGACATGAAAAATATGCTGTTTTAAGGGCATTGGCACTGCTTGGTATTAATTTAGTATTGTCTAGGCTTCTCTTTCCAGACTGAATTTAAAAAATCTTTTTGATTATTTTACTCTTAGTTTTCTTATTTTAAAAGAATGAAACACCATAAGAAGAACTCGGTATCTAATTTCAAAATTCTGTGTCTATATTGAAAAGTTATAATTCTAGATAGCAGTTCTAAAGTGTGTCTTGTCCATGTATAGCTATTATCTATTTTTTTAAAACATTGTTTTCTATATTATTAAAAAAATACTTATTTTTCTGACAAAGGAATATTGTATATAATCATTGTTTCTTTTCCTTTCTTGTATTAACAATAAAACATGTTTTGAAGACTTAGTGTTTTCTTAATATATTAAGATTTATAGAATATTTCATATTTTGTCTGGAAAGTCTTCAAGAAATTATATAGTAGTTCCTCTGGTGTTTTTATATCATATTGTATGCTAGAAATATGATTTTAAAGAACAGTACTAACAGAAGTACTTAAAATAGTATAAAATGTATATTTAAATCTATGCTTATTTTTATAACTAAATCAGTAGATAGGGACTTTTAATAGCGTTTCTTTAAGATTCTTGTTTTGTTTTTAATAGGTCCATGTATATATTTGGGGGATTTTCTAGTGTACTCCTTAATGATATCCTTGTATACAAGCCTCCAAATTGCAAGGCTTTCAGAGATGAAGAACTTTGTAAAAATGCTGGTCCAGGGATAAAATGTGTTTGGAATAAAAATCACTGTGAATCTTGGGAATCTGGGAATACTAATAATATTCTTAGAGCAAAGTGCCCTCCTAAAACAGGTAAATTTCTTTTTCTTTTCGTCTTTGTGGCAGCAAAATTTCTCTTCTACAGAAGTAGAAATATCTTCTGCTTATAAGAATTACTTTAGTAGCTACAGAAATGAAAAATTTGTATTACCCTAATTAGGAATTCTAATGTTTGAACCTAGTGATTAATAATTTAATACATTTATTAGCTATTTTTAGCTTTATTTTTGAAATCTGTATATATAGTATATATATCAATATTTTATATATAACATTGTCATATATATGAATTATTTTCTAATATAAGTTTAAAATGCTTTCCAGTACATCATTTCTAAGAAGTGCTGTTAGATTCAAAGAAATAAAATGAAATAATTTATTTTCCATGTGGTATTTTTTTTTCTTCCTGAATTATTGCCAAACCACACCATAAAGTAAAAAAATGTTACAGCATTTCATGACTAATGATCTGGTTTTATATTTCTTATAAAATGGTGAATAAATAAATGAGACTTATGAAAAGTTACCAGTCAATTATTAATCAGTTAGCTAATTAATTATTTGGATAAATATTGTTTAGTTTTTTAAGTGCTGAGAGTTTTTATACATTTTTGCGGTTACAATTAATAAATGTATTTTTAAGTTTTACTAATCTATATTAATTCAGATGTCTTTTATATCTTTAGAAAGGATGATAAACAGTATTTGTTATGATGTTTTCTTTTGTATGTATAGTAATACACTTTGTTCAGTAAAATATATGTAAATCCTTTGACTTTCTCTAAAATACGTAAATTTATTTATTTTAGTTTATTTTTTGAGACAGAGTCTCACTCTGTCACCCAGGCTGGAGTGCAGTGGTGTGATCAAACTCTGTCTCCTGGTTTCAAGCAATTCTGCTGCCTTAGCTTTCCGAGTAGCTGGAATTACAGGCATGTGCCACTATGCCTGGCTAATTTTTGTATTTTTAGTAGAGATGGGTTTTGTGATGTTGGCCAGGCTTGTCTTGAACTCCTGACCTCAAGTGATCCGTCTACCTTGGCTTTTAAAAGTTCTGGGATTGCAGGCATGAGCTACCGTGCCTGGCCCAAAATGTGTGAATTTAAAATGTCTGTAGGATCCTTGTATATTGAATAATTAAAATGGGGGTAAAAGGTCTCGAAAATCCTGTAAACACAATTGAACTACAAAAGTTGTCTTAATCTTTAGAAAACTTACTTTGAAATTGAAGGTCATTTCTTTGGTTAAAAAATGTCTTAGTGATTCTTAATGATTCTTAAATAGATATTGTAAATTAAGAAGAGTAAGATTTTCTTTTCCGTGCTGATATATCGTCCCCCATTTGTATTATAGCTGCTTCTGATGACAGATGTTACAGATATGCAGATTGTGCCAGCTGTACTGCCAATACAAATGGGTGCCAATGGTGTGATGACAAGAAATGCATTTCGGCAAATAGTAACTGCAGTATGGTTAGTATTTATGGGTAAATGGTGCTGTAGTTACAACAGACTGCTGCTTTATGATCATTAGCTTACCATTTAGTAGCACTGTAGAAAAAAAGCACTTTACACATTAAGACATTTAGAAAGTATATAGGGAATCATTCACTTCTTGGCAAATTGTGAAGTTAGATTGGTTTGTTGTTCAAATTTGTCAGTCTAGATTCCATTTTGGATCCATCAACTTTACTTCTTTTCATGGATGAGACTGGGAACATTTTTTCAAAACTGATATTGAAAAAGACTATAGCTATAAATGTTGTCTTCTGTTCCTATGAAAATAAGATTATATAGGTAGGTATTGAAATAATTACCATTGGATTCCTGTCAGACATGCATTAGTGGTCGTGTGGTCTAGTGCTTTGTTTTCACACTTTGTGTGTAAGTTTAACCTGAGTTTTTGGTAGTTGTAGTTTCTCTTTTAACTGTCTATACATTAGTGGTTCTCAAGTTGAGGCAATTTTGTCTCACAGGGGACATTTTGCAGAGACATTTTGGTTGTCACAAATGTGGAGCTGCTATTGGCATCTAATAGGTAGAAGCAAGGGAGCTGCTAAACATTCTACAGTTTGATAAGATTTTTTAACGTCCTTTTTCATCTAAAGTAGAGTTTTAGCACTATTGACATTTTGAGCCCTATAATTATTTGTTTATTTGTTTATTTGTTGTGGGAGGGCTGTTCTATATATTGCAGAATAAAAAAACATAAAATATTTATGGCAGATGAAAATGGGTTAAGAGAAGCAAAAATTAAGATTTTAAGTGGTAGCATCTAAACATTCTATGTTATGTAGAAGATATCAACAAATTGAAGGGAAAAATTTTAAAAAGTAGTATTTAGTAGAATTAAAGATTTTTTTGTTTTGTTTTGTTTTTTTGAGACAGAGTCTCACTCCATCACCCAGGCTGGAATGCAGTGGCATGATCTCGGTTCACTGCAACCTCCACCTCCTGGGTTCAAGTGATTCTTCTGCCTCAGCCTCCTGAGTAGCTGGGATTATAGGCAGGCACCACCATGCCTAGCTAATTTTTATATTTTAGTAGAGACAGGGTTTCACCATGTTGGCCAGGCTGGTCTTGAACTCCTGGCCTCAAGTGATGTGCCCACCTCAGCCTCCCAAAGTGCTGGGATTACAGGCATGAGGCACTGCACCCAGCCCAAAGATTCTTTCATGGGCCTATAGCTTGAGTAAAAATAAATAGCATGGATACATATTTCCAACTGAATATAATGTATCATTTTTTCTTTTTTGGAAATTTTATTACTGAAAGTATCTACTTGTTTTTCAAGATAGCAGGCAGAGGTAAAAGGCAAAGAAAAGGGAGTTGAAACTAAGTAAAAAATTTGATTGTATAATTAAAAAAATTCTTCACTAATTAATAATTCAAAATATGTAAGTTTTATGACTTTAATTTTCAGAACTTAAAATGGAGGGAAATTTGCAGTTACTGACTCATTAGATTGAACCCTTTTGTTTTCATACATACTCTGTTGTTATATACTTTCCAGTGATACAAGTTGTTTTAATAACAAGATATACTTCAATTTTATTTGAGTTTTAACATTAATATAACATGGTTATGCTTTGAAAATTTAAATTACGTTTGAAGATATCCACTGATATTCATCTAATGGGAGTTATTTTAGTAGAAGTCGGAGTTAAATAAAATAAGACATGGGAATCAGGGACTTGTATTACAGTTCTTCAGAGAAACAGAATCTGTCTATATATATATATACACACATACACAGTTTATATATATAAATAAATAATATATATTTGTTTATATATTATATATAAATATATAAACATTTGTTTATATATTTGTTTATATATTATATATAAATATATTTGTTTATATATTATATACAGATATATAAACAAATATATAAATCTATTATATAATATATAAATATATGTATATTATATATAAATATAATATATATTTGTTTATATATAATCTATAATATATGTGTATATATATATATAAAATGAGATTTATTATAAGAAATTGGCTCATGTGGTTATGAAGGATGAAAAGTCCCAGGATCTGCCGTCTGCAAACTGAAGACCCAGGAAAGTTGATGATGTAAATTCTACTCTACGTATGGAGGCTTGAGAACCAGGAGTGCAGATGGTGTAAGTCTCAGTCCAAGAGCAAGAAAAGGCAGAGAGAGGAAATTCTTTCTTCCTCTACTTTTTTGTTCTTTCAGGCCCTCAATTGCTTGGATGACGCCCACCATAGGGAGAGCATTTTACTTTACTTGGTTTACCAATTCAGTCTCATCCAGAACTGCCCCCTACAGACATATCCAGAAATAATGCTTAGCCTAATATGTGTCCACCCCATGTCTTGGAAAAGTTGACACATAAAATTAACCATTACAAGTCTACCCCTTGTCAACTTGGCACCTATACATATCTACATAAACCATACTTAATTTTCAAATGAAGATAATAACAAGGTCATAATTCTACCTAACATAATACAAGTATCCTGTGTACAACTGGAAAACACATCAATCTCTTTCCCAGAAAAGGAGGTAAAGTCCTGGAGTGATATTTACTCCTCTCCTTGATATTCTGTAAATTAAATACTATGATGTAAAATCAACAGTACTTAAATTCTGATATGAGCATCTTATGTTACATGATGAGGGAATAAGAGAAGAAAGAAAACAAAGATATTACACACACACACACACACACACACACACACACACAGATGTATTCTTAGCAAAATGAGGAGGAAATACAGTCCTTATTTCTGTAAGTGATCATGTGGTTGTAGCTAATATTTATACATATATTCTTTTTTTTATTATACTTTAAGTTCTAGGGTACATGGGCACAATGTGCAGGTTTGTTACATATGTATACATGTGCCATGTTGGTGTGCTGCACTCATTAATTCGTCATTTACGTTAGGTATATCTCCTAATGCTATCCCTCCCCTCTACCCCCACCCCACGACAGGCCCCGGCAATTCCTCAACGATCTAGAACTAGAAATACCATTTGACCCAGCCATCCCGTTACTGGATATATACCCAAAGGATTGTAAATCATGCTGCTATAAAGACAAATGCACACGTATGTTTATTGCAGCACTGTTCACAATAGCAAAGACTTGGAACCAACCCAGATATCCATCAATGATAGACTGGATTATACATATATTCTCACCTAACCATTTTGTATTTCCTTTACCTTCAGCAAGCACCTTACCTGCTTGTAGTTTTTTATCTGTTGGGGTGACTCAAACCTTTATTCTTGAAGGGTCATTCTTCATTAGTAGTCCTGCTTGAATTGGATTGTTGTAGTTTTCCATTGATCTTAATCACAGGGTAATATAATTTGGACATTTGTCCCTGCCCAAATTTCTGTTGAAATATAATCCCCGGTCTTGGAGGTGGGGCTTGGTAGGAGGTGTTTGAATCACAGGAGTGGATCCCTCATGAATGGCTTGGGCCACCCGCTTGTTGATACGTGAGCTCTTGCTCTGGGTTCACTTGAGGTCTGGTCGTTTAAAAGTATGTGGCAACTCCACCTCCATTCTCACTCTTGCTCCTATTCTGCCATGTGAGATGCTTACTGCCACTTTGCCTTCTGCAATGAGTAAAAGTTCCCTGAGGCCTCTGCAGAAGCAGAGCAGATGCTGGTGCCACATTTCCTGTAAAGCTTGCAGAACTGTGAACTAACTAAACCTCGTTTCTTTATGAATTACCTGATTTCAAGTATTCCTTTATAGCATTGCAAGAATGGCCCAACACACAGGGTGTAGGGTATGGTAATACTGAAAGACGCCATAAGGGATCTCTTGTATTCTAGACATATTCTTCCTAGCCTCCTGTGTGAAGTGGCAGTTCAGTTTCCCTGTACTAGAAGCAGTCACCCCAATGAGCACAGTAACTCTTCTTTGACTGATGATTTAGAGGTGTAAGGAACCCAAAGTGGCCAAGTGGCAGTCTTAATTTCCAATTCTATGGAATCAGTGTTGTGTTTTCTGGAAAAAATTATTCCTTCCTCTGGAATTAAGACATCTAGGTCAGCAAAGAATAAGGTCACAGGAATAGGAAGAAAAATTTCGCTAATGAATTACTAAGGGCAGTAGTGAGTAGTACCACTCCCATTTCCACCCCTTGATTATTGGACCCATAAATGCTGGCTGTGAGAGAAAAAGCACCATATATTGGATGCTGACTCAGAGCTTATATGGCTTTCTGGAGAACCCTTCTGTCAGCCTTGCAAGGTATTACTACGTAGCTGGCACTGTAACTGAATCATCAAAAGCCCATTCCACTGTTTTATGAAACGAGTTGCTTGACAATTGTAGGGAACATGATAAGACCAGTGAGCATAGGCCCATTGCTGTCCTCCATGTGCTGTGACATGAGTTGCTTGGTCAAAAGCAATTCTGTATGGAATACCAAGATAGTAGAGAAAGAATTCTGTAAGTTTACTGATGGCAGTTATGGCAGAAGCATTGTGAGCGAGGAAGGCAAATCTATAGCCAGAATAAATGTCTGTTTCAGTAAAAACAAAATGCTTCCCTTTCCCTGATTGAAGCTGTATCAACCTTCCTCCAGGTAGCTGGCTGATTACCTAGGGGGATGGCACCATATCAGGAGCTCAGTGTTGGTTTCTGCTACTGGCATATTGGGTACTCAGCAGTGGTCATAGCCAGGTTGGCCTCGGTGGATGGAAGTCCATTTTGCTGAGCCCATGCATAATCTCCATCCCTGCCACCATGGCCACTTTGTCCATGAGCCCGTTGGGTAATGACACAGGTGGCTAGGGAAGAAGGTATCCACAGAAGTGGTCATCTTATCCATGTGATTATTAAAATACTCTTTTGCTGATGTCACGTTTTGGTAAACATTTACGCTGGATACAAGTATCTTCACTTATTTGCCATTCAGTGAGATCTGTCCGCATCCCTTTTCCACAATTTTTTTTTTTGTCACCAATTTTCCATTCATGTTCCTTCCAAGTTCCTGACCATACAGACAAACCATTGGCCACAGCCCATGAATCCATACATAATTGCACATCTGGCCATTTCTTCTTCCAAACAGAATAAACATTGAGAAGCACTGTTTGATTTTGCCCACTGGAAAGATTTCCTTTCACTACTGTACTTCAGGGAGGTCCCAGGAAGGGATAGCAGAACTTCAGCAGTCCTTTTTTGGGTGGTACCTGCATATTGTGCAGAACCATCTGTAAATGAAACCAGTCTTCTCTTCCTCTGTCAAGTGATCTAGGGAACTTCTCTTGAAGTGATAGGTCAGACTGGGAGAGAGAAGGCAGTGTGGCAGAAGTGGGGATCATGGGCATTTGGGCCTCTTCATGTAACGTAGTTGCTCCTTCAGGGCCTCCTTGAGCCTGATCATGTATATACCACTTTTATTTGATGATAGAGTGCCGCTGTGCATACCCAACCTCATGGGTTGGTGGGTCAGATAACACCCAGTTCATGATGGGCTGAAATCACATAATTTGGTGACCCATGGTTAAACATTCAGTTTCTATTAAGGCCCAGTAGCAGACTAAGAGCTGTTTCTGCTAAAGGATAGTAGTTATCTGCAGAGGATGGTGATGTTTTGCTACAAAATCCTAAGGGTCTGCACTATTATTTGCCTATAGGGGCCTGCCAAAGGCTCCAAACAGCATCCTGTCTGCCACTGATATTTCACGTACCATTGCACCTGCAGGATCATGTAGCCCAACTGGCAGAGCTTGTATAGTACTCTGGACCTGTTGCAGAGCCCTCTCTTATTCTGAGATCTACTTGGAATTCGCAGCTTTTTAGATCACTTGGTAAATGGGTCAAAGTAACATACCCCAGTGAGGAATGTGTTACCTCCAAAATCCAAAGAGGCCTATTAGACATTCTCCCTCTTTTTTGTTTTGGTTATAGGAGGGGCCAGAGGCAACAACTTAACATTCACCTTTGAAAGGGATATCTTGACATGCCCCATACTGCTAGACCCCTAGAGATTTCAGTGAGTTAGAAGGCCCCTGAATTTTAGATGAATTTATTTCCCAACCTCTGACACCAAATATCTTGCCAGTAAGTCTAGAGTAGTTGCTACATCTTGCTCACTAGGTCCAATCTATGTGATGTTATCAATATTATGGATCAGTGTGATGTCTTGTGGAATAAAAAGGCAGTTAAATTCCTCAGAACTAAGTTATTAAATAGGAGTGGAGAGTTGGTATACTCCTGAGGTAGAACAGTGAAGGTGTATTGCTACCATTGCCAGCTGAAAACAAACTGCTTCTGGTGATCTTTACTAACAAATTTCAAGAAAGAAGCATTTGCCAGATGTTTAGCTGCTTGCCAGTTTCCAGGGAATGTGTTAATTGCCCAAGCAATGAAACCACATCTGATAAGGCAATTACAATTGGTATTACCACTCGGTTAAGCTTATGATAATTCACTGTTATTCTCCAAAATCCATCTGTCTTCTGCATAGACTAAATAGGCAAATTTCATGGGAATATGGTGGGAATTACCACTCCTGCATCCTTTAAGTCCTTGATTGTGGCACTAATCTTTGCAATCCCTCCAGGAATGGAGTATTGCTTTTGGCTTACCATTTTTCTACATAGAGGCTGTTCTAGTGGCTTCTTCTTGGCTTTTCGCTCCGTAATTGTCCTCACTCCACAGGTCAAGGAACCGGTGTGAGTTTTCTTTCAGCTGCTGAGTATGTCTATTCCAATTATGCATTCTGGAACTGGGAAAATAGCCACAGGATGGGTTTGGGACCCAGTGGGCCCACTGTGAGAGGGACCTGAACTCCACTGATCATCTGGCAGTCATAAGCCTCTGACTGGTGGCCCACAGTGATGTTTTGGGTCTCCTGGAATTAATGTCAGTTTAGAACCAGCATCTGGTACTGATACTGATTATTTCCCTTTCCCCAGTGCATAGCTAGGATTTAGTAGGATTTCTATATATTTTACTCCTAGGAGCAACTTCATGCTCAACTCACCAATGCCATAGATGTAAGCAAGTCAGACTATTCCAATTGCTGCTTTAACTCTGCTGTTCATCATAGTAACCTCACCCACCTTGCCTTTGTTAGTTGAGTGCTGCTACCTAGCCCCTGCCAACCTAGATCCAATTATTCCTGTTGCATTTATGTTTCCCAATTCAGTGGCTGCACTTCCCACTGCAAGGCTGGGCATACAGAAAACAGCAATCATGGAGCTCTTCAAGGATGCCAGTGCTCCCCTCCCAAGTTTATTCCTTTCAATACTGGTGAAAGGTGTGTCTTCTGGACCCTCTCAGTGAGGGTGAGCAGATCTTAAAGGACAAATCCACTCTAACATTCCAATCTCCCTAAGCCATTAAATGTCTTCTATATTAAACCAAGGCAGATCCAGCATTTCCAAGTCACTCACTGTGGGCCACCTTTTGGTCTATGTTTTAGCCAACTAACAGAAAGAGCCCTTTCTAACTCTCCAAGCTATAACATCAAATGTATAATTTCTGCTTAGTGAGCCCATATCAATAAATTTTGCCTGATCCAACTTTATGTTTCGTCTATCATTTTCCAATACTTTTACCGTTCTGGAGGCTGGGAAGTCCAAGATCTTGGTGGTAGTAGATTTGGTATCTGGTGACGGCCTACTTTCTGGTTCACAGTAGATGTCTTTTCACTGCTTCCTCCCCTGGTAGAAGGGGAGCTCTTGTGTCTTCAACCCCTTATAATGGTGTTAATCCCATATATGAGGACTCCACCATTATGATTAAATTACGTCCCAAAAGTTGCACCTCCTAATAACATCACATTGGGATTGGGTTTCAAAATATGAATTTTGGGAGATGCAAACATTCAGTCCATGACAGACATTTACATATGAAAATACAACATATCTGAGTGAAAACAGACATATCTTAAAAATTGTATTATGTAAATTGCTATCAAGTATTTATAAAGTGGCATTTTGCTTTATATTTTATTCAATGATGATGTGTTAACAAGGAAAACATTGGGTGAGATAGTGTAAGAGAGCAGATGGTACTCACTTGTAATTTAGAATTTGATGTAATGTGTCCTTTAGACAGTTTTATCAGAATGTCTTGTGATTAAGCTAAACCAAATGTTAATGGCAAAGAGAGGTCTTTGGGATTTCAGTCTAGATTATGTACATTGATATCCTATTTCATATAGGTCAAACAATGTGCTTTATTCTCACATATTTTCATTTACAATTTACATGTCAGTATATTAGAGTGAAGATCAGTAGAGTAGTGGTTACTATTCATAAGCGTGTCTGGTTCATTAGGCCAAAAATGCCAGCTATGTTTCAGAATAATAGCTTTCTTTTACCATTGATTAACTTGGCTCTATGTGTGATTGAAATATAATTTCATTTTTTGTACTTGTTTAGTATCAATAAATGACTATATTTTTCTTAATGAAGAGCAGTAGAGTTATTTGGATGGAGACTCTGTTACCATTGTTATTCTAAAGATTGACATAAAACTATTATTCTTTTTCTTATTCCAACATGTTTAGCCATTCTCATGTCATTTTTATAGGTTATTTTATTTATCTGATACTTCAGGTAAATTTAATTATTTTTAGTTAGCTATCAAATGTTTAGAACTATACTGTAATGATTATATAGAATAATGCTAATATTTATATACTATATGAAAACAAAAAATTATGAATCAGAACAAATAACAATAAGAAAGTATGTTTCTAATGAAAATGAAGTGGTTGAAAAAGTCATAAAATGATTTCAAATTTACAAAAATGTATCTTCTGTAATTTTTTAGGATGAATAAAGATAAAAATTATATCTGGGTACTTTTTATCTGCTACTTTACAGTAAGTGTAAAATGCTCTAATAGAAATTAACACCTTTGGAATGGAGGTGATGGCAATGTATTTTATGAAGGAAGTGGCTTATAAATAAATACTTGGTGAGTGACATTTAAAGTCTCTAAGTGGTTAAAAATTGCTTCAATAAATTTTATCTATAGGATAGCTATAACTTAATTTTAACTCTTAACTTTATTGAGTGAAAACAAATATTTAGCTCCATTACATGAGAAGGCCTGAGGTATTTATACCTATAGTCAAAACAAAACAAAAAGATTGAGGTGGGGGCTCAATGTTTAGCATTAAATCTTTGTATTTTTTTTTCTTATAAAGTAGAGCCACAGGAAAAGCTGAGCCAAAAATTTTAATATCTATTTTTCATGAGTTAGGTTTTATCATAGGTATTGATAATATGTGAATTATCTGAACCTGGGTATATGTAAGGAACCACCATCAAAGTTTCTATATTGTCTACTTTTTTTCTTTATTGGAAATTAACTTTTAATCTCTCAATGCCAGATTAGTTGAAATATGATTACATTATGTAGATTTGGAAACAAAATAAAACTTTTGCAGATTCTTTGAAGCCTCAATGGAGGAAATGTGACAGATATATACAGAAGAAATCTCAATCAACCAGAACCATTATTTAGTGTCTGTGGAAGTAAAATTAGTTTGAGTTGTGACAGTCATTTATCTTTTTATATTGTATTGGGTTTTGATAAAGCATCTTTTTACCTTTTACTACTTTTCATTTCTGCCTCATTCCCAGGGGTCTGCATGATACTTTTATTAAGACTAGAACCATTTTATGTCATCATTAATGGAAATGACTTTGTACATGACTTTATTTTTTGAATTGGAAGGCTGTTTTCGAATTCACTGGAAAAAGTTTTCATTAGATGGTGCCTGTTTAAAATTATGTAATTTGCACACTTCATTTTTTAATAAACATTCATTCCAATTCCAAGAACAATAGTTTAACTTGTTAAAAGAAAAACTTGGGACAAAATAAATTTAGCAGAGCTTATTTGAACAAAGATTGATTCATGAATTGAGCAGCATTCTGAACCAAGAGCTTCGGACACCTCCAGCTATCAATGTGAGCAGGAAGTATTTTTAGACAGAAAAAGGAAGTGACGTTTAGGAACATCTTGATTGGCTACAGGTCACCATTTGCCCTATTTGGGCATGGTGTGATGAGGCATTTACCTTGTATGGAAATAGTCTGATCAGTTGGCAGCATGTGTTTGGCTGAAGCTCAGCTGCTGTGATTAGCTGAGACTAAGCTATCTGTTGTAAGAATACACTCAAATTATGTTGCAGTTTGTTTACATACTATATCAGGCCAAATTTAATTTAATCTCCCCTTTTGGCCAGCTGTCAGTTTTGAGAAATTGACCAAAAACCTTAGGCACTAATACTACTTTCTGTCACTATCATAATGGACTTGTTTTGTCTGAATATGGAATTCACAATTTGCAATGTCAAGTCAGTTGGATGATTTTTTTATATTCTCTTTGTGTTTTTATTATTTTAACTATAGTGAGACCATCTGATATATAACAGATGGCTGCATATGAACATATAAGACTTGAGAGGGGCCGGGCACAGTGGCATACACCTGTAATCCCAGCACTTTGGGAGGCCAAGGCAGGTGGATCATGAGGTCAGGAGATCGAGACCATCCTGGCTAACATGGTGAAACCCTGTCTCTACTAAAAATACAAAAAATTAGCCGGGTGTGGTGGTGGGCGCCTGTATTCCCAGCTACTCGGGAGGGTGAGGCAGGACAATGGCATGAACCCGAGAGGTGGAGCTTGCAGTGAGCCGAGATCGCACCACTGCACTCCAGCCTGGGCGACAGAGCAAGACTCTGTCTCAAAAAAAAAAAAAATAATAATAATAATAAAGACTCTTGAGAAGATATGGCATACTAAGGAGACTATTATAATAATGACTATCATGAGGGTAATATTAAGAGACTGAACTATACTTCTTAATAGGTGCTTCCATGAATCAAATTGGTCAAAATCAAATATATCAACAACAAGCCAGAAGAGGAATCTACTTGTTTTAATCAATTATCTTGTTTGTTGATTTCTTAAAACTGAATTTCTATCATGTCGGACATAATTTTCCAAGGGCAATAGGAGGTGTCATCTGTTGCACACACTCTTCCCTCTTCAGTCAACAGATAGGCCAAAGCAACCATGTTATCTAAAACAACTTTAGCAAGAGAATTTAAAGATGTTTGATGGGCAACTGTAGCCAATTTCTGCTATAGTAGCTAATGTTTGCGACAGATTTCTAATCATAGTCTCATTTACATTTATGCCAAGCCAGGGAAGGAGCATTCTACCAAAAGATGCCTGTTTAGGGATACTTAGACTTGCTTGCAAACTCCTCTTTATTCTATAGTTAAATTAAGAGGTGTAGACCAATGTTCAATTTCCAATTGGTTATTGGAAATAATCATGACAATTCTAACAGTATTACTGTTAAAATCCCTATTCAACATTTTCCACTTATTGAGACATGGAGTTGCTCACATATATGGTTGGTTGTTAAATCCTATACAGATAAAAATATACCCTGGTGAGGCACGACAGACAGTTCCTTGCCTTGTGTGTTAGGGGCCACAGTAGAGAAGCACTAGTAATATTTCTCCAAGGCTCCATTATGAAATCATTGCATGGTTGAAGGATCTTGACAATTAAAGGGATTAGGGTGATAAATTTCTCTACAAACTGTTGAATTACCTTTCTTTTGGTTATCCTATTCCATTTCTGGCATAATGTAACTGCAAATCCCTCATAGGTTTTGACTACTGTCAGATTTAAACGAAGAACCTGATGTGTGAAGCTAAAAGCCTAACCCTGTACAAAGGACCAGATATTGCTCTTAGAACATCAGAGAAATTTGTTAGAAGGTGAAGCAGAGAATCTCTAAGATCATTTAAGGATTTGTGTTTAACATAACATATCCAACATTCAGTTACGTTGCCTGCAAAAGCTATTGATTATGAAATCATAATAAGCATGTTATCTTCCTGGGTATATATAAAAAATAAAAACAGAGAAAAGAGGAAAAGGACCATGGTTTCATGGTGACTAAGGAAAGAAGTCTTGATCTGTCTTCTTGGGAAAGCTTTCATGTCTAGGATGTCATTTGTTTCTGAGGAGAAAGGTCCCTGGTCAATTTTGCCTTGAGGTTTCCAGTGGGTGTACTGTCCTGAGACTGGGAAGGGTCCTCTTAAATTGAGAAATGTGGATCCAAGGCTCAGGCTCAAGGCCCTGAAGTTTTGCTGCAGAGAAGAACTTCGTGTAGTCCCTTACAGCTGACTTCAAGGGCAGTCTTTCTCTGGTGTCTCTTTTGAAAAGACCCAGTCTCCGGGGTGTAGACCATGAAAAGTCTGGTTGTCATCAGTTCGTGGGGGCTTCTTCTATCTGGTGAAAATATACCTTGGCAAAATGCATTAAAGCCTTGCAATATCAAGTCATGTCAGAGTTTATAAAAGCAGTAAATACATGAGGTTCTATTATTACGGGCGTAGGCCTTCCAGTAACCATTTTATAAGGGGTCAATCTATGTTTTCCAGTGGGAGTGGATATGATTGCCATTTTAATTTGTAATACCTTTGAACAAGGCAGTGTAGTTAGCTTTGCCTAATGCCATTGTGTTTATAATACCTTATTTGAATATTTTGCAGTTTGTCCATTGAAACATATGCCTCTATTGCTGTGATTGGCTGGGACTCAACTATCTGTTACAAGAATATGCTTGTAAGTTAGGTTGCAGTTTGTTTAATCCTAAATTAGGTTGTAGTTCACCACTTGTAGAGGCAGCTTCAGGCCAAATTTAATTTAATTTAATAAACTAATGAAATAAATAAGGGAGAGTCTGATTCAGTTGAATTGTATTTGGAGTTAGAAATGTTTATTTTAAAGTTCACCAGAGGATTTAAATATACACTGAAGTTTAAGAATCATTGCTGTACAAAGGTGAAAAATAACATGCTCTTTTAATTTTGTAGTCTGTCAAGAACTACACCAAATGTCATGTGAGAAATGAGCAGATTTGTAACAAACTTACCAGCTGTAAAAGCTGTTCACTAAACTTGAATTGCCAGTGGGATCAGAGACAGCAAGAATGCCAGGCTTTACCAGGTAAAGATTTCAAAATTTAGTAAATGAGTTTATGGTCTACAGATAAATACTGACATAGAAAAGTACATTTAGTAAGGACACTACATTTTCTAAAATTAAAGTCATAGTAAATATCAACCTATAATATTGTAGTACTAATAACACTGTTTCTACAAGAAAAGTTTTTTGATTACATATTTGCTTCCAATTATTTTAAGGTGTTCATATGTTTATGATACTGTTGAACTGATTAGATACCTTTTCATCGAAAAAAATCTTAAAAATGTAGAAAATAATAAGCACTCAGACTTAATATTCAGATTTAACAAATACTAACATTTTGTTATATTTTATTTAAGTGCCTTTTATTTTCCAAACTCAGTGCATATTTTCATTATACATTATAACATTTATAAAAAATATTTTAAGGCAACAATAATATAGAACATATTAATTATATATTATATATTTTGCCTCTCTGTATCCTAAAATATATATATTATATATTTTCCCTCTCCATATCCCAGGGTTTTAAAAATATTATATATATAATATATTAACAATAAATACATAAATATATTACTTATATAATATGTAACATATATTTATTAAAATTATATATCTAGTAATTTTAACTAAATATATAATTTATATATTTAATAAATTTAAACCATAAATTTATATATTTATTATATTACATTTATAATATATAATATAATATAAATTATATTTTAATATATTATCCTATATAATATAATTTTATAATAAATACATTTCTTTTTTTATTTTTTTAAAATTATTATTATTATACTTTAAGTTTTAGGGTACATGTGCACAATGTGCAGGTTAGTTACATATGTATACATGTGCCATGCTGGTGTGCTGCACCCATTAACTCATCATTTAGCATCAGGTATATCTCCCAATGCTATCCCTCCCCCCTCTCCCCACCCCACAACAGTCCCCAGAGTGTGATGTTCCCCTTCCTGTGTCCATGTGTTCACATTTCTTATAATAAATATGTGCTTTTATGAGAATCCGAATTTTATAAACTACAGCAAAGCTCATTTTTAAAAGTAATTTCATTTTTTCACAGTTAACATTGCTAGTGGATGCTAAGTACTCTTCCTTTGAAATATAAAAGATAAAATTAGAAAATTGAAAGGTAATACAGGCATTTAACCAGTTCTGCTTGTTATACAGATAAACTGAGATCCATGCTGGTTAAGTGATATGCTCAAAATTATGTGACTTGTAAATGACAGAGTTGTAGCTATTAACTAGGTGTTTTATTTCTGTTTAGTATTTTACCTCTCTTTATCCCAGGTTTTTTTTTTTTAAAGGTGGAATTATTTTTTTATTATTATTATACTTTAAGTTCTGGGGTACTTGTGCAGAATGTGCAGGTTTGTTACATAGGTATACACATGCCATGGTGGTTTGCTGCACCCATCAACCCATCACCTACATTAGGTATTTCTCCTCCTAATGCTATCCCTCCCCTAGCCCCCTACCCCCACTTTTTTTTTAAAGAAAAGTTTCTGAGCCTATTTAATTCTAAAACATATTGGAAAATTCCATCACAGAATTTGTCTGAAAGAGAATCTTTCTTACAAGTTAATGTGATAAAAATCAAAATTATTCTGCCTTTAAAAATGCCATTGCGGTCAGGTACGGTGTCTCACACCTGTAATTCTAGCACTTTGGGAGGCTGAGGTGGGTGGATCACTTGAGGTCAGGAGTTGAAGACCAGCCTGGCCATCATGGTGAAACCCCGTCTCTACTAAAAATACAAAATTTAGCTGGGTGTGGTGGTGGGCACCTGTAATTTCAGCTACTCGGGAGGCTGAGGCAGGAGAATCACTTGAACTCAGGAGGTGGAGGTTGCAGTGAGCAGAGATCACGCCATTGCACCCCAGCCTGGGTGACAGAGTGAGACTCTGTCTCAAAAACAAACGAACAAACAAACACACCATTGAGGCGCTGGAATGTCATTCATACTTTGAATTTTGTTTACATACTGGCCCTTAAAGCCTTTAAACAGTGCGATGTGCATGTGTGCTCATTTTGAGAAAGATAGTATTAATAATGCAGTAGGCAGGGTTTAAGAAGCAACAGTGAGATGATACTAAGAAGTTGAAAGTGGTATTGGTCTCTCAGAATTAAACTATAAAATGAAAATGTAGATCAATGAAAATATTTACAAAGTTTCCTGAAAATGACAAGGTTAATCTTGGACCAAAATAAGATTTGAATGAAGGAATGTATACATTTCAAGGAATATTACTTTGATAAGAATGGAAATTAGTTGCCAGTGGAAGTTTGGAAAAATGATAGTAAAGTTACTTTTGGTAGTACTCATCTACTCATTCCCTAGGAAAAAAATGTTGCTTTGTTATAAAGGCTCCACTTGACCAGGCTATTATTTTGGAAATGTAATGAAATATATTATGCACAAATTCTCTTTTCTTAATTCATATTTACTAAGCAGCCAACTGGTTATATATCGTTTGATTTCCATTCAGCTTATCTCAAGGAAGTGAATGCTCTAAATAGAGGGCCCAGTCTGTAGAGCAGTTGTACAATTCCATGACAATTGGTGTATTGCATTTTTTTTACATTGATCTCATATGAGCTTGGCAATTTGAATTTATCTCACTAAACTCATTATAAATTAATTGCCTTCCTTTTAACCCCACTGCTAAGTTGTTGCTTAATACTACAAAAGCCTGAAGTATAAAAATATTTGGTTTGGTAGTATAATTTAGTTTAGCCACAAAGGCCCATGCATTTGTTTTTATTTGTATGATTTGTCAATGAACTATTTTTGTTCTCACTAAAAAATAAATGAGGAGACAGGCAATAATAATCTAAATTCTTCCTTGATTCAGTAAGGTGAGAAAAAACCGTAATTTAAGAAAACGTTTGCATTGTAAGGAAAAGTTTTTTGGTATTTTGGATTTAAAAGGACTGTGAAAATTGAAACACATATAGCTTCAAACTGAAAACCAGGGCATGCTACACAGTCTTATTAAATGATAATTATAGTTTATTGAGGGATTACTATGTTCCAACTGCTGTGAGATTTTCATGGTACCCAATTTAATCCTTAGAGCAGCAACCGTGAACGAACAGGAGTCCCCAAGATGCTTTCGAGTGGGTCCATTTGGTGAAGACTAATAGTACTGAGACATTATTTGCTTTTAAAATTTTCCATTTGTTATGGGTTTACCATGGAGTTTTATAACGGCTATCTGTTGTATGCTATTCCAATAGACTGAATGTAGAAGAAGGTATGAGAATATAGCTGTCAAATGCCAAATATTGAAGACATTTACAAA
Organism: Homo sapiens; assembly: GCF_000001405.40. Taxonomy (NCBI): domain Eukaryota; kingdom Metazoa; phylum Chordata; class Mammalia; order Primates; family Hominidae; genus Homo; species Homo sapiens. The sequence goes on from NC_000010.11 coordinate 115,284,808, forward strand.
AATATAAAACAATAAAAATAAAATATGCTATTAAGTTGTAATGTTCCCCTTCAACATTTTGTTATGAAATATTAAAACAGAAATATTAAAAAACAGAAATAATTGTGGAGAGGACACCCAATACCTACATTCTAGATTCTGCAATTAACATATTGCTCTATCTGCACTATCCCTGATCTCTCTGCCTATCCATCCCCTATTCATTCATTAATCCTTCTTTATTTTTTGATGCTGAGGTCTAATTTGAATTGTCAGCTACTTTCCCTCGGGAAGGGAATTTGAGGATACGTTTCCTTTGGGCCTATTTGTATACCATAGTGGGGCAAGACATCTCAGCAGCTGGAAGAGTGCATTTATAGTGGGGTTTAAAATTATTATTTTAAATGAATAAATACATGTATTTGTTAAAGTTACCATTTTTAATTTTAAAACCATTTTTAATTTTAAAACGCTCCAAATCAGTAGATATAGCATGCATAAAGAGAAGTTCTGTGGGACCCTCAATAATTTTTAAGACTTAAAGACCAAAAATTTGAGAACAGCTGCTTTAGAACAACTTTATAAGAGTTGCAGCAATATATCCAAGGTCCTTCATACAGGGCTAGAGGCGCTAATACATTTCATATGATATAGAAACTAAAATGTAATCTAACTTTATAGATCAGTATATCAATGAAACACTATTATTAATTAGTGCACACTAAAGTTTAGCCTTATTAATATATTATATAAACCTGTGTTTTGGAAAACGGTGTTTCAAGTTCAATTTGGATTCTATAGATAAACCATTATTACTGAACAGTATGTTTCATTTTTAGAAAGACATGAATAATTGTGTAAAAATAAACATTAGCAAGGAAAGATCATAGCTACTTTACTAATCATAAGTGAAATGAGACTTCTCTACCCATGCTTATGAAAGAATCAGAGAACCCAACTTATACCACAACTATATACCTGAGCTATAGAAATTAGATTTAGAGGTCAATTAGCTTCACTTATAGGAGTAACTTTGAAACTGCTTCTGTTATAAGCTTGTTGTTTTTCTATTAAAGTAATCTTGTCTTATGTAAACTAGACCTTGGGACATAAATATAGTAGTGATTTTACTTATTGAAATACCATATGCCAATATACCAGATGTTACACAGAAAACCTAGCAGTCAACACATTTAACAGATGTCATAGAGCCATAATTTATCTCATGTTTAAGATTTAAAGAAAAAGTTGGGATGTTCTGCTTTCATTCTCTACCAAACTATTAGAAAAATTTATTTGAAATATTGAGATATTTAATATGTTTTATTTCAAAAATAATTTAAACAAATACAGAAGTACTTTGAAATAATTGAAAAATACATTTGCTTTTTGGTAATCTAACAATAAGACACATTTTTTTTCTTACTAGCTCATCTTTGTGGAGAAGGATGGAGTCATATTGGGGATGCTTGTCTTAGAGTCAATTCCAGTAGAGAAAACTATGACAATGCAAAACTTTATTGCTATAATCTTAGTGGAAATCTTGCTTCATTAACAACCTCAAAAGAAGTAGAATTTGTTCTGGATGAAATACAGAAGTATACACAACAGGTAACATTTCTACTTGTTTACATTATGGAAATATGCTATGATAATTTCATAATTATTTGAAATTTTTTTTTGGTTTTAATACATTATTGTTGCTAATTTTGGAAATAAAAGTGAAATTGATTTCTCAAGTGAATTGGCAGAAGACTTATTTTGTATAAGTAATAAGGTAATAAGGTTTTGTAAATTATCACTTTTTGCAGAGTAAACCACTGTATTACCTTACCAAGAAGTGATCTTATATGAATAGATACACTTAAAGAGTATATAATTTAAGAATTATAACTGCACTTGGTATAGTGTGGCAGAAACAATTTTTGCTGAAAACTTTTCAGAGCAATTATAGTCGATCCTCTGTATCTATGGATTCTGCATTCATGGAGTCAACCAACCGCAGATGAAAAATATTTTTAAAAAGTATGGTTGTGTCTGTACTGAACATGTACATACTTTTTTTCTTCCCATTAGTCTCTAAACAATACGGCATAACAGCTATTCAATAACATTTACATTGTATTCAGTAATAATCTAGAGATGATTTTAAGTATATGGGAGGATATGGATAGGTTACTTGGAATACTATGCCATTTTATATTACATAAGGGGTATGATATTTATGGATGTTAGAATCCACAAGGGACCTCCGTATCCTCCATGGATACAGAGAGATGACTATGTTACCAATTACTTGCTATATAGAAACAAGTAATGCTTACTTGTTACAGCTTACTTTAAAGAAGCATTGTAGATAGCATATCAAAATGGTGGACAGCATAAAATCTGGACATATGCTTATTTCTACAACTTAGTAGCAAGTTAACATCCCTAGCTCTATGTTTCTCATGTGTAAACTGGCATAATAATCATGGCTACTTCATATGTTTATTGTGGGTAATAAATGAGATACTGCATGTAAAGAATATAGAAAAATTTATTTTTGAGAGTTAACTTTGGTTACAATTTTTACTATTTCCATTTTAAGGGATACTATTTTTTTGTCTTTGTTCCCACTACTGCTATTACTACTATTTCCAGGAATCATTATTTAGACAATGAATTTTTAGGTAACTAAATGAATATTTCTGGTAAATAGTTAATATTGAAACTGATTGTGGAAAAATGTCTTAATTTTTCTATGGTAAGTACATTTTTTTGTTCAAGCTTCTATTAAAATTTATTTTATTGTCACTGAAGAATTGTATGTATTTATGGGGTACATAGTGCTGGTTTAATACATATAATGTATAGTGAGCAAATCAGGGAAATTAGCATATCCATTATGTCAAACATTTATTATCATTTACTTGTGTTGGGAACATTCAATATCCTCCTTCTAGCCATTTGAAACTATGTGATATATTATTGTTAACAATAGTCATCCTACATTATTATAGAACATTAGAACTTATTCATCTTATCGAGCTGTAATTTTCAATCCTTTAATAAATCTCTTCTTATCCCTCCCTTTCGCCTTACTCTTCCCAGCCTCTAGTACCTCTCCTCTACATTTTACTTCTATAAGATCAACTGTTTTTTTTTTTTTTTTTTTTTTTAGCTTCCACTTATGAATGAGAACACAGGGTGTGTAACTTTCTGGGCCTCTCTTATTTTACTTAACAAAATGTCCTCCACTTCCATCCATGTTGCCATGAATGACAGGATTTCATTCTTTTTTAATGACTGAATATTATCCCCTTACTTATATTTACCACATTTTGTTTATCTATTTTTTTCTTGTTGGAAACCCAGGTTGGTTCCACATCTTGGCTATTGTGAATAGTGCTGCAATAAACATGAGAATGCAGGTATCCCATTGATATACTGATTTTCTTTCCTTTGGATAAATGTCCAGTAGTGGGATTGCTGGAACAAATGATAGTTCTATTTGTAGTTTTCTGAGGAACTTCTATATTGTTCTCCATAGGGGCTGTACTAATTTACATTCCCACCAACAACGTATAAGAATTCCCTTTTCTCTGCATCCTCACCAGTATTTTTTGACTTTTTGATAATAGACATCTGGAGGTGAGATGATAGCTCGTTGTGGTTTTTATTTTTGTTTCCCTGATGATTAGTGATGTTGACCATTTTTTTCACACTTTTGTTGGTCACTTGTATGTCTTCTTTTTTTTTTTTTTATTTTTTTTGAGACAGTCTCGCTCAGTTGGCCAGGCTGGAGTGCGGTGGCATGATCTCGGCTCACTGCAACCTCCGTATCCTGGGCTCAAGCAATTCTTCCGCCTCAGCCTCCCGAGTAGCTGGGATTACAGGCGTGTGCCACCACGCCCAGCTAATTTTTGTATTTTTAGTAGAGACAGGGTTTCACCATGTTGGCCAGGCTGGTCTCGAACTCCTGACCTCAGGTAATCCGCCCACCATGGCCTCCCAAAGTGCTGGGATTACAGGCATGAGCCACCGTGTCCGGCCTGTATGTCTTCTTTTGGGAGATGTCTGTTCAGATCATTTGTTCTTTTCTAATTCAGATTGTGGTTCTTTTGCTGTTGAAATTTTTTAGTTCCTTATATATTCTGGATATTAATTCCCTATCAAATGAATAGTTTACCAATATTTTCTCCTATTAGTCTGTTTTCATGCTGCTGATAAAGACATATCCGAGACTGGGGAGAAAAAGAGGTTTAATGGACTTACAGTTCCACATGGCTGGGGAGGCCTCAGAATCATGGCAAAAGGCAAGAAGGAGAAAGTCACATGTTACATGGATGGCAGCGGGGAAAGAGAGGGAGAGCTTGTGTAGGGGAATTCCTCTTTTTAAAACCATCAGATCTTGTGAGACTTATTCACTATCATGAGAACAGCACAGGAAAGACCTGCCCCCATGATTCGATTACTTCCCATCAGATCCCTCCCACAACACGTGGTAATTCAAGATGAGATATGGATGGGAACACAGCCAAACCATATAATCTCCCTTTCTGTAGGTTGTCTTTTCACTGTGTTGTTTCCTTTGCTGTGCAGAAGCTTTTTATTTTTATTTAATACCATTTGTTTATTTTTGCTTTAGTTTCCTGTGCTTTTGAGGTCTTGTTCATAAAATCTTTTAGTAAACCCATTCCTGAAGTTTTTTCATATGTTTTCTTCTAGCAGTTTTATTGTTTTGGGCCTTAAATTTAGTTCTTTGATCCATTTTTTTGTTGTTGTTTTTGTATAGGGTAAGAGGTGGGGGTCTAGTTTAATTCTAATGCATATAGAGATCCAGTGTTTCTAGTACTATTTATTGAAGAGATTGTCCTTTCCCCTATGCATGTTCTTGGTGTAATTGTCAAAAATCAGCTGGCTGCAGCTATGTGAATTATTTGTGGGTTCTCTATTCTCTTCAACTGGTGTATGTTTATGTTTTTATACCAGTACCATGCTGTTTTGTTTACTACAACTTTGTAGTGTATTTTGAAGCCTGGTAGTTTGATAGCTCTAGCTTTGTTCATTTTGCTCAGGATTGCTTTGGCTATTAGGGCTCTTTTTTGTTCCATACAGGTTTTAGGATTGCTTTTCCTATTTCTGTGAACAATGTCATTGGTATTTTATAGGTAGTGCATTGAGTCTGTAGATTGCTTTGAGTAGCATGGTTGTTTTAACAATATTAAGTCTTCTGATCCATTTGCATGGAATGTCATTCCATTTGTTTGGATACTCTTCAATTTCTTTAATCAGTGTTTTGTAGTTTTTTTTTTTTGTAGAGGTCTTTTACCTTCTTGGTTAAATTAATTCTAAGTATTGTAAATGGTGTTACCTTCTTGATTTATTTTCCACCTAGTTTGTTGTTTGTGTATAGAAGTGCTACCGACTTTTGTGTGTTGATTTTGTAACCTGAAACTTTGCTGAATTAGTTTATCAGTACTAAGAGTTTTCTGGTAGAGTTGAAGTGGTGTCATTCCTCTAGGGTAATACCCGAGGTTCTTTGCCTCACACCAAGGAAATCAAGGACACAGACACACAAGGAGTGAAATTAAGAGCAGAGGTTGCCAGGCATGGTGGCTCATGCCTGTAATTCCAGCACTTTGGGAGGCTGAGGCGAATGGATCACCTGAGATCAGGAGCTTGAGACCAGCCTGGCCAACAAGGTGAAACGCCGTCTCTACTAAAAATATAAAAAATTAGCTGGGCCTGGTGGCGGGCGCCTGTAATCCCAGCCACTTCCGAGGCTGAGGCGGGAGAATTGCTTGAATCTGGGAGGCGGAGGTTGCAGTGAGCTGAGGTCGTGCCATTGCACCCCAGCCTGGGTGACAAGAGTGAAACTGCAGCCCCCCACCCCCGTCCAAAAAAGAGCAGAGGTTTAATAGGTGAAAGAAAGAGAAAACCTTTCTCTCCTGCAGAGAGAGAGGGGCTCTGGAGTGGGTCTTCTAGTTCTGTGGTGAAATGCATGGGGTTTTATAGACAAGCTTAAGGAGGTGGTGTCTGATTTACATAGAGCCCAAAAGATTGATCTGACCAGGTGTGTCATTTACATAGTGAAGAAGCTGGCTGCCCTACCTTAATCTTTTATTATGTAGATGGGTTCTCTACTTGGCTAGTGCCATGTTGCCTGTTCCTTTACTGTACACGTGGTTGACAAAGAAAAGGGAAGATGTAGCCTCCACGTTGAACATGCCTGGCCCCCAGGTAGCCTTCACCTAGTGGCACAGCTGCCGGCATTCACCGGTGTAAGCTTCCAGCTTTCTTATCTCTGTCTGCAGCTCAATTTCACAGGCTGCTCTTTGTTAGAAAAATAATGATTTTGGAGCTGCTTTTTGTTAAAAGGGAAGTCTTGCTCAGGACTCTCTTACCCTCACTATCTACCTAAATAATTTCTTTCTAGTTCTTGTATAAGAGTCTTAAGGTTTTTCTCTGTATCATGTCATCTACAAACAGGGACACTTTGACTTCTTCTGTTTCAATTTGGATGTCTTTTATTTCTTCTGTTGCCTAATTGCCCTGGCCATGGACTTACAGTGCTGTGTTAAATAATTGTGGTGAGAATGGGTATCCTTGTCTTGTTCCAATTCTTAGAAGAAAGGCTTTTAGCTTTTCCTGTTCAGTATGATGTTAGCTGTGGGTTTGTCACATATGGCCTTTATTATTTTCAGGTACATTCCTTCCTAAATAAAGGTATTTATTTATTTATTTCCTTCCTAAATTAGGTAATTCCTATGTAAATACCTAATTTAAGTTTTTATCTTGATGAGATGTTGAATTCTGTTGAATGCTTTTGCTGCATCTATTGAGATGATTGTATGGTTTTTGTCCTTCTATCGATGTGATATTTGATGTTTATTAATTTATGTAGGTTGAACCATCCTTGTAGCCCTTGGATAAATCCTTCTTGGTCATGGTGTGTATTGTTCTGATATTGTTGGATTCATTTTGCTAGTATTTTGTTGAGCATTGTTGCATATGTTCATCATAGATATTGGCCTCTAGGTTTTTTTTTTTTTTTTTTTTAATGTCCTTGTCTGGTTTTGGTATCAGTGTTATGCTGACCTCATAGAATGAGTTAAGAAAATCCCCTCTCCTTCAGTTCTTTGAAATAATTTGAGAAGAATTGGTTTTAATTATTTTTGAAAGGTTTGGTAGAATTCAGCAGTGAAGCCATCTGGTCCTGGACTTTTCTTTGTTGTGAGACTTTTCATCATTCATTCAAAATCATGAATTTTGTTGGTATTTTCAACTTTTCTATTTCTTTTTGGTTCAATTTCTAGGTTTCATGTGTACAGAAATTTATTCATTTCCTGTAAGTTTTCAATTTCTTGGAATATAGTTGTTTATAGTAGTCTCTAATGACCCTTTATGTTTCTGTGTTATTTTAATGTCTCCTGAATTTTCACTTCTGATTTTATTTATCTGGGTCCTCTCTCTTTCTTGTTTGGTCTAGCAAATGGTTTATCAGTTTTCTTTATTTTTTGAACAAGACCAACATTTTGTGTCATTGATCTTCTGTATTATTTTAGTCCTGATTTCATTTCAATAAAGATCATGATTGCCATGATCTTTATTTTTTTCCTTCTTCTAATTTTGGATTTTTTTTTTCTTACTTTGCTAATTCTTTGTGATGCAACATTAGGGTGTTTATTTGAAATCATTCTGTTTGTTTTTTTTGATGTAGATGTTTATTACTATAAACTTCCCTTTCAGTACTCCTTTTGCTATATCCTATAGGCTTTGGTATGTTGTGTTTCTGTTTTCAGCAGTCTCAAGTAATTTTTAAATTTCATTCTTAATTTCTTTCTTCACCCAGTGTTGAGGACTATATTGTTTAATTTCCATTTATTCACATTGTTTTGAATGTTCCTCTTTTTACTAATGTCTAGTTTTATTCCATTGTGGTCATGTAAGATAGTTGGTATGATTTTGATTTTTAAAAATTTGTTGATATTTGCTTTGTGTCCTACCATATATGGTCATTCCTGGAGAATGTTCCACATGCTGATGAAAAGTATGTGTATTCTTCAGTACAGTGTTCTGTAAATGTCTGTTAGATCCATTTGGTTTATGCTGCAGTTTAAATCTGATGTTTCTTTGCTGATTTTCTGTCTAGATCATCTGTCCAATGCTGAGAGCATGGTGTTGAAGTCTCCAAGTATTATTGTTTTGGGGCATATTTCTCTTTTTATATCTAATAATATTTTCCTTATGTATCTAAGTGCTCCAACATTGGGTGCATGTATATTTACAATTTATAGTCTCTTACTGAATTAATCCCTTTCTTATTGTATAATATGCTTCTTTATCTCTTTTACAGCTTTTGAGTTAAAGTCTGCTTTGTCTGATATAAGTGTAGCTACTCCTGTTCACTTTTGCTTTCTGTTTGCATGGAATATCTTTTTTCATCCCTTCACTTTTAGTCTATATATGTCTTTCCAGGTGAGGTAAGTTTCTCTTAGGCAGCATATTGTTAGTTATTTTTTTAAAAAATACCCTCAGACAGTCTATATCTCTTAAGTAAGGGAATTCATTTACTTTCAAGGTTATTATTGGAAGGTGAGAATTATTCCTATCAATTTATTGGTTGTTTTCTGGTTTTCATACATCTTTTCTTCCTTTGTATATCCTTTCTATCCTTTGTTCCTTTCTTCCTCTCTTATTATTTATTTTTGTAGTTACATGGCTTTTTGTAGTGATATGGTTTTATTTCTTTCTCTTTCTCCTTAGTGTGTTGGCTCTACCAGTGAGTTTTATAATTTTGTATATGTTCATTATGTTGGTTATCATCTTTTCTGTTCTAGATGTTAGGCTCCTTTGAGCATTTATTGTAAGGCTAGTCTATTGGTGATTAATTTCATTAGATTTTGTCTGTGGAAGATATTATTTCTCCTTAATTTCTGAAGGATAGCTTTTCTGGGTATAATATTTGTGGTTGACAGTTTTTTGTTTTCTTCTCAATAGTTTGAATATATCATTCCATTCCTCTTGGCCTTTATGGTTTCTGCTAAGAAATTCACTATTGCTGAAATGGGGATTTTCCTATATCTGACTTTATGCTTTTCTGTTGCTGCTTTTAGAATTCTTTCTGTTTGATTGTTGATGATTTGAGTATTGTGTGCATTGTAGAGGACCTGTATAGGCTGGATCTATTTGGTGTTCTCTAAGCTTCTTCGACCTGCATGTCCATTTCTTTCTGAAGACTTGGGAAGTTTTCAAGTGATTTATTAAATATTTCTAGACACCTGTTCCCTTCTGTTCTCTTTTGTAGTTCCTATAATACAAATAGGTTTTCACTAAATGTTTCTTGTAAATGCTGTAGGCCTTCCTCACTCCATATTCTATTTTATTTTTGTTACCTGTGTTATTTGCTTTTAAGTCCAGTGATTCTTCTAGCTGGGCATGGTGGTGTGAACCTGTAGTCCTAGCTACTTGGGACACTGAAGTAGGAGGATCACTTGTAAGCCCAGGAGATCGAGGCTAGCCTAGGCAACATAGCAAGATCCCATCTCTGTTAAAAAAGAAGAAAGAGTAATTATTTTTTCTGCTTAGTCAAGTCTGTGGTTGAAGCTCTCTGTTGCATTTTTAAAGTTTTATTCATTGAATTCTTCAGATCTAGGATTTATTTTGTTCTTTTTTTCTGATATCTCTGTTGTTGAATTTTTCTTCCAAATTATGAATTGTTTTTCTTATTTTGTTGAATTGTCTATCTGTATTCTCCTATATCTCACTGAAGTTCCTTAAGATTATTTTGAATTTTCTTTCTGATATTTCATATGTTTACTTATGTTGGGTTCTATTAGTGGAGAAATATTGTTTTCCTTTGGGGATATCATGTTTTCTTTGCTTTTTCATGTTTGATGTATTCCTACATAAAATTCTTCCAATTTTATGGAGTAGGTTTTGTATGGAAAGAATTATTAGTATGAATGGGTCTTGGGGTATTAGTTCAATGGGGTGTATTGGTATTGGTTCTAGGTAGATGAAGTAGTGTAGTCTCCATGTAGTTTCTTCAGCTATAATCCACATTAGTGACATAGTAGTGACATTTTCAAGTGTCTTGGTAGCCTTTGCAAAGAGAGTTTGTAGCAGTGGTGATGTGGCTTTGTTGGAGAGTGTGCTCACCTTGCTGTTTCTCAGATTACGGGCATGTGAGTACACACAGTGGGTAGGGCAACTTGCATTCTGGCTTGCTGGGGTTGAGGTCATAGGACTGTCACTCTTGGAGCATAGGCATGCAGTCACTTGGCTGACCTGGGGGCTTGCCTGTCAGGAACAACCTATGAGATTGGTTTTCAAGCTTAAGATGTGAGTGTATAGCTGCTCAGTTGGCCTGGAAAGATTTTTTCCAGGGTTGGCCTTTGGGGCTGTTTTTCAGGCCCAGGAGACAAGTTGAAGGCTGCTTGGCTGTCCTGGGGGCTTGCTTGCCAGGAACAACCCACAGGGCTATTTCTTAATCCCAGGATGCAGGTGCATTGCTGCTCGGCTGGCTTGGGGGAATATCTGCTGGGAGTGCCTCATGGGGTCGTGTCTCAGGCCCAGGATATGCTTATATGGCTTTCTGGCGAGCCTGTGGGTGTGCCTGCCAGGGGTGGCCTGTAGAGGTGTTTCTCAGGTGCTGGATGTGGACTCATGGCTGCTTGTATTGCCTGGAGGCATGCCCAACAGTGGCAGCCTGTGGAACTGTTTCTAGGCCCTGATTGCCAGTGCAAGGCTTTTAGGCAGGCCAAGGGCCTGCCTGGAGAGGTTGCAATGTGGCTGTTTCTCAGGCCCTGAGTGCAGGCATGTAGCCGCTCCTCTGGCCTAGGGGCGTATTAGCTGCACAGAGTCTCAAGGGCCTCTCCTGCTTGGGGGAGGGCATGCAATGGTTTGACTGGCTTGGCTGGCTCAAGGACCACATTGTCCTGTGTGGGACTGCCAGAACATTCCTTTGGCTCAGAAGTGCAGTGGTGGGGATTGGTTTCCCTGCTGTGTAGGACCAGAGTCACAGCCAATCCTGGACCTAGGCTCCATTCAGCTGGGGTTGTGGCATTCAGCCGCCTGTGTGGGCTTGGTGGAACGAAAATGAACTGCAGTACTGGAGAGATGCAGAGGCTACTGGACACTTGAGCAAGGTACACTCCAGAGGTGGCTCTGGTCTCAACATGGCACCATGCTGCAGCATCTTGGCTCAAGGGCTTGAGTAGGGAATGAGAAGTGCACACCTTGTATTCTTAATTGAGGGCAATGCAGCTGAGGGAATTCCTGGCAGCTTCTAAACTGGGCTCAGAGCTTGTAAGGACTGTGGGATTCTTCTGTAGTAAGGATTATAGGTGTTTTTGGTAGCAATGGGGGCTGGTGGGGATCTTCTCCTTACCTATTCCCTATAACACGAAGTCACTGCTGATCCTAAACAGATCCAATCCAGGTGGAGAAGACAGGGCAAAGGCTGGGTGCCTCCATGCTGCCTTTCTGGACTTCCATTCACCACAGGTGCATCTCCACTCCCCCACTGCACTCCAGCACTCTCCCTTCGACACTCCAGTCAAAGCATAGCTCTTTATTCATTGTCTCAATCCTCTCTTGTGGTAGGGATGAGCACCAGGTGTCTCTAGTCAGACATCTTGCTGACATCACTGCTGAAATTTTTGTATGGACACTCAGTCCACTGTTACTGCCAACCCTAATTTTTGTGATGAAATATATTAATATTAGCATGTATATTTCTCATGAGTATCAATAATGGATAATCTAATTTCTATCCCCAGTTTCTGTCTATACAGCCAAAGCCCTCTTCCCCATTAATAAAACTGATGAATTAATTATATCCTTTGGCTTTTATAAATATTAAAATATTTTGAAGTGGATATTGCAATATGGTACTTCTTGGCCTTAAGTTTTTTTTTTACGTCTGGGATTAATAGGGTAAAGAAAAACTATACTAATCATATTTATATGAACAGTTGATTCAGGAAACTACTTTTCTGTGAACTGTAGCTATTTTTCTGTGAAGGATAGAGCAGTAGTTATTCATTTGGTATACATTTATTACTTTCAGTGTACTTGGCAATCTACTGCTTTCTGAGATTACAGAGATCAAAAGACAATTGCTGTTCTCAAAGAGCTTAGTGGGGAGAGAAACAAACACAATTCTACTGAAATGTGATAATTGCAATGATAGATGCACACAGGGTGCTATATGAAGATAAAGGGTAGGCATCTAACGAGTAATGTGGACCTAAGAATAATTTCCTAGAGGAGTGCCCTAGCTATGTCTTACAGGATTTGGAGTTGGCCAGCACATGAAAATATTGGTAAAGAGGCCAGAGAAATGCCTAAGTCTTTTCTCTTGTCTTGAGAGCTACTAGCTTAATGGCTAGAGGATAAGATATATGAGGTAGCATGTAGGAGAGACCTATCAGTTTTATAATATTTTTGAAGAATGTGACAAGGTGTATTTGTAAAGTATTATTTTTAGCATATGGGACAAACAACATAAGTTAAAATCTGTTTATATTCTTGTGATGCCAGGAGCTTTATTTCTTTTACTACAAAAAATAAGGGACAATTACCGTCCGGGCGTGGTGGCTGACGCCTGTAATCCCAGCACTTTGGGAGGCTGAGGCAGGCCGATCACAAGGTCAGGAGTTCGAGACCATCCCGGCTAACACAATGAAACCCCGTGTCTACTAAAAAAAATACAAAAAAATTAGCTGGGCGTGGTGGTGGGTGCCTGTAGTCCCAGCTACTCAGGAGGCCGAGGCAGGAGAATGGCGTGAACCCAGGAGGTGGAACTTGCAGTGAGCCAAGATCGAGATTGCGCCACTGCACTCCAGTCTGGGCGACAGAGTAAGACTCCGTCTTAAAAAAAAAAAAAAAAAAAAGGGACAATTACCAATGAACATGTGAAAATTAGTTCTCACTACCACTTATGCAGAGCTTATTATTGGCAGATTCAAATTCCCTGATATTTAGAAAGTACTGATATTTGATATTAGAACTCTGTTGTTTTCTTTCTTGCTTAAGACATATTATTTTTAGTTCTTACAATATAACCTTGAAATGTGCTTTTTTGAGATTGCATATTTCAAGATTGTTATGTTAGTGTTCACTTTTTCTTCCCTATTATAAATAATAATGATTGAACTAATAATTATTTTGAATGTGTGATGAACTTAGACTTGATAAGTTCATCACACATTCAAAAGTTCCATTTGCTAAGGAATGTGATGCTAACTAGCATGCCCTGTAAATGAAGAATGTTTTGGTTTATCAGAAAGCTGAACTTCAGCAAGATTTCAAAGGTGGAGACTTCTGCAAGGTGACATTCAATTATGCATATCTTTATATAAAATGAATTCTGAGTCATTACAGTTGTATAAACTGAAGATAACCCTTTTTTGGCAAATAAAGATTGACAAATTCATGCACTTTATAGAGATATCTTGGGTCAAATGATCATTTACTTATCAGAAATGGCTAATGAAATGTTACAGTGATTTATGGTGTGCTGCAGTAAATTTTCATAATATAGTTATTTATCTTACATAAGATAATGAACTGCCTGTCCAGTTCATTTACTGAGTAATAGTTACTTTAAATGTTTTATCAGCAGCTCCATTTTTCTGTTTTCCTCCTCTTCCTCTCAGATTTTTATCACGATGAGTTAGGGAGTAATATTTCATTTTAAATGACTTGTCTTGACTATAGATAGTTCAGGGATATAGGCAGAATTGCTGTCATGTGAAACACAGTTGTTAATCTGAAATATCTATGTTGAATTGACTCCTGCTGTTATTATCAAGAGCTATAAGAATGTTTTAGGTTTTTGCTTATTAAAATATTTTTCAGAATAATATATGAAATATATGCTGGTCACAATGTGAAGCAGCATGTGTGTTTTTATAATTAGAAGCATTATTTATTAAGTACCATCTTTGTTTTAGGCACTGTGCTGATGATGGAAGATAACAATTTTTATTCTAATGAATTTTGTTTAGCAAAATTTACTGATTACCTACTATATGTACAGTACTTGGGCAATATCAGATCTATTGTCATAACAAGAATTTATAAGATATTTAAATTTTATCCAAGAAACATTTGTTGAGTGTTTACTATGTGAAATTTATTGTATTTGTACTCTGCACACATTTCTAGGTGTGGCTATCTTTTAAGATCTCTAGGACTATATGCACATCATAATTAGAATAAATACTGGATATAAATATCTTATTTCTATGTTGTTAATGTCTAAGGTGGAGAAACATTTTTCTCTATCCTGGTACTCCATAATGTTTAAAAAAAAAGAACAATGTGGAGTTTTGACATCATTTCACATTGTAATATAATATTGGTAGCTTAGTATTTTGGAAAATAAATCTATTATCATATATATTAAAATAGAGATGTTTATAATATAAAAAATTGTAAAGATTAGTAACTTGGATCATGAATATATCATTTTTAATATAAGAACATTTTAAAATTGAGTAATTATTAAGGTTATAAATATGGTAAAGATTTTTATTTCAAGTTAATTTTGAAATATTACAGCATTAAGAATAGTTATGTAGTATTTGTCAATCTTAGTTAAATTATAGGCACGAGCATCAGATTTTATTACTTTTGTTGTTTTTTGTTAATAAAATTATATGACATAAATTTATCCAAAAATCATATAGAAGTCCAGATTTATTTGTAGACGTCTGAGCTAAGAGAGAGGCAGTTATTCTTCTGTAAGTCTTTTTGCTAGGTCTTGTTATGAAGTCTTCACTCAGACTCTATATATTGTTTGTTGATTTTATTTTCTAGTTTCACAATGCAGATAATGGCAATTTATCTTTAGAGTCTTAATCCTATAACTGATTACATTGATAGTAGTAATAGTAATAGAAGCAGCAGCAGCAATAACAATATGTTAAGTTTTTAAATAATCCTACCTTATCAGATAGATAATTATATCTCCACTTTATAGAAGAGTAAACTGAGGTTCATGAAGGCTAAATAAATTATTCCAATCATGTAGCTAAATATAAAACCTGTGTTTTAAAAACAGTGTTCTATTCTACATCATTCTCCAAAATATGCTATAATTGTTAATTATTCTTAGTACTAAAACTCATTAGAAAGGCAGCTTTATATATTTTCAAATATAATTTTTAATGATAGTGAACTATTTGCTAAGGAATATGCCATATTTTTACATCTAACTTTCTTTGAATGCCCCTTTTCCTGTTGTTTACAGAAAGTATCACCTTGGGTAGGCTTGCGCAAGATCAATATATCCTATTGGGGATGGGAAGACATGTCTCCTTTTACAAACACAACACTACAGTGGCTTCCTGGCGAACCCAATGATTCTGGGTTTTGTGCATATCTGGAAAGGGCTGCAGTGGCAGGCTTAAAAGCTAATCCTTGTACATCTATGGCAAATGGCCTTGTCTGTGAAAAACCTGTTGGTAAGTAGTCCAGTAAATTAGCATTCCTTTAAAAGTATGTTTCCCACCCATCTTCTCATTCCTTCCTTCTAGGGTGTAGTCTTATTCTATGATATTTATGTAAATTTTATTTTTATACACATTCTTCCCCACTTACTATTAGTGATCTCAGCATTAACTTGTGAAAATAACATAATATTATTATTTTATGCAAACTTTGTTGGTTCAAATAGTGAGATTGTGGTTGTAGTTACTTATAATATGACAATAATCTATTCTTAATTCATTAATGTCTTTTACTTTTATCATGATAGTGTTTGGGAAGAAGATTTGCTTTTAAGATTAATGGCTAATTGGGACTCCTTTTACTCTTGTAGACATATTTCAGTTATCAAGTAAAAAGAAACATTTTTGTTACATCTTCTGAAATGGATTTTTGTTAAGTAAGAAAGGAATATTGAATTCTTTTCTTTTAAATCTTATATTTTTATCATGGTAAAATGTACTTAAAATTTACCATTTTAACCATTGTAAATGTATTTTAATGCCAATTCAATGGCATTAAATACTTTGACACTGTTGTGCAAACATCATCACCATTTAGCTCCAGAACTTTTTCATTTTGCAAAACTAAAAATCTGTACCCATTAAACAATAACTCTCCATTTCCTCCACCCCACCCCCTACAGTCCCTAGCAACTACTGTTCTACTTTCTGTCTCTATGAATTTACTACTTCAGGTACCTCATATGGTGAAATCATACAGTATATGTGCTTTGTGACTGGCTTATTCCCTTAGCATAATGTCTTTAGGGTTTAACCAAGTTGTAGGATATATGAGAATTTCCTTCCTTTTTAAGGTTGACCAATATTACATTATATGTAAATACTACATTTTGTTCATCCATTCATTTATCAATGGATACTTGCGTTGCTTCTACCTTTTTGCTATTGTGAGTAATGCTGCTATGAATGTGGGTGTATGAATAACTGTTCAGCTTCTTGCTTTCACTTCTTTGGGGTATATATATATAGCCAGAAGCAGAATTACAAAATAATGTGGCAATTCTGTTTTTCACATTCCCACCAGCAGTGCACAAAGGTTTCAATTTCTCTCCATCCTTGCCAATATTTATTTCCTATTATTTTTAAATAATGGCCATCTTAAAGGCTGTGATAAATATTGTATCTTGTGTAATATTTTATGATAAGCTGTATTTTTATTCTTTGTTTATATCAAAGACATGTTCACTTACAGGACATTTACTTTGTAAGATGTGGAATGCTATGGAAAACGTGGCTGGGAAAAAATTGTGGCTGGGAAAATAAACAGTGCTGGTATACAAACTAGGTCATAGATTACATTACTGCTTATAATACTTAAAATTATACAACTTTATATACTTTGTAAAGAATTACAAATTTCAAAGGAGTTATACATTTTCAAATTTAATAAAAATTTTAAGAAGTATTGATATATCATCTTTGTTTTTATCTACCTCATCATATTATAATGCCACAGTTGGCTTAATTGAAACATGCCCTGAACAGCAAAGCAAAGAAAACCCATACAATTGTGTTAACATGAAGTTAAAAATGAAATTATTGTATTTGTTTATTTATTCCAGTTAGTCCAAATCAAAATGCGAGGCCGTGCAAAAAGCCATGCTCTCTGAGGACATCATGTTCCAACTGTACAAGCAATGGCATGGAGTGTATGTGGTGCAGCAGTACGAAACGATGTGTTGACTCTAATGCCTATATCATCTCTTTTCCATATGGACAATGTCTAGAGTGGCAAACTGCCACCTGCTCCCGTAAGTATTTATCTAGAGTGACTTTTCACTTGACAGCAACGTAAATTTACTTTTCTGTGATGTAAAGAAGAATTAAATATTTGAAGAAGTTTCAAAAAATGAGAAAAAATATTGTTACGGCTACTTTTGAAACCAACTGGTACTGTTAACCTCTGATTTTTATTATATCATCATTTTGCATGCCACTAAGTATCTTACCCTAAATATTAACATATTGCCACATATGTACAGCCTCTTTTCCCTGAACTGTGTGTATGTTGCAGACAGTATAACACTTCATGAGAGTGTTCACCTCAAACATCACAGATTGCTTTGGTGAGCCTTTTTAGTATCTTTTAATCTAGTGCAATTCCCATATCTTTTCCTTATATGACTTTGATATTTTTGAATAACCTATACCAATTGTTTTGGAGGTTTCTCAATTTGGATTTGTCTAATTTTTCCCTCATGATTAGATTCAGGAAAGCATTTTGGGGCAAGAATATTTTATCAATGTTGGTATATCTGCTACAAGTATAGAATGCACAGTCTTGAAATCACATAGAGTTATGTCAGCAGGGCAGTACTGGGCTTGCTATGAGTTATACTTCAGGAGAAAGATTTTGCCCCTTGCTGATCTCTCATGTTTTCTAAGGACTATAGGATAAGGCTGCACCTGAATGAATATTTAATACTGGGTACTATGTGGTGAGAGTGGCCTTGCTTACAAACACAAATGGCGTCAGAATACAGCTGCCAAGGGAATTGCATAATGCTACTGGGAGCACTTGTTAGCCTTGTAGGAACTTAAGACCGTGTGAAACTCTTTCTGCTTGGGAGAAAAAAGTGCCAATCTTAGCTAGCTTCTTCATAGCAGAGAATATGGTTTATCTTTCTGCAATCCACTCTTTGACACTGACGCTCATCAAAAATATGCCTTTTCACCTGAATTAATTGGTATGTTCAGATTTGGAACAAAAAAGTAGAAAGTTTTACTTACTCCTGCTGCTCTCATGACCTGTTTCTCAATGTTGGTTGCATTCATTCATATCCCACTCATTGGTATCTGTCCCTCTTGTAATTAATCCAGACTTTATGTCCTTTTTTTTTTGAATAATATACTTTTCAGGGGCCCAGTAGTTACCATTCTACCACCATAGAAAGCTGCAGAATCACCTGAGATAAAGTTGGTATGCAGGTTTTTTTTTTTTTTTTTTTTTGAGATGGAGTCTCACTCTGTGGCCCAGGCTGGAGTGCAGTGGCCTAATTTCAGCTCACTGCAACCTCCACCTCCCTGGTTCAAGTGATTCTCTTGCCTTAGCCTCCCAAGTAGCTGGGACTACAGGCATGTGCCACCATGCCCAGCTAATTTTTGTACTTTTTTTAGAGATGGGGTTTCACTGTTGGCCAGGCTGATCTCGAACTCCTGACCTCATGATCCACCCAGCTCGGCCTCCCAAAGTTCTGGGATTACAAGCGTGAGCCACCGCGCCCGGCCGGTATCCAAGTTTATGTCCGTTGAGGATGCTTTGATTTGAACAAAGCAAAATATCAGTTATTTGGTAAAGTCCAAACAGACAAATAAAATCAGAAGTTCTTTTGCTTCTTTTTCAGTTCCCTTCTTCTCAACATCTGAGTGTCCAGGAAGCTCACAAAGAAAAAAGGAGCAAGACTCCTTGGATTTTTTTTTCTTCCAATACTTTAACCTGCAGTAAACAGGATTTGAAATGAGTGAATCTAATTAACATGTTGGTGTGTTTGATCCAGGTTCCAAAGAAACTGTAGTTACAGTTCAGTCAAAGGAGACAAAATAACAGCCACTTGGAGTCTGGTGTATCTATTAAACTCAGGAATATGTTGTGGTTGAAATGTATTCAATGAGATAGGGAAAGCAACAGTTTCCCTCTCTATACAGGAATTCTCTCCAGGGGATCTTTATCCCGATTCTAATTCCTTTCTCCTAACAGCCCTAAGTTCTCCACTATCATCATCTCTCTTCATTTGTCATATTTGAAACTTTTAAAGGTCAAAGGTCCATTTTAGGTTTTTGCATCAGTCCACTGGTTTCCCTCTGACCCTTTCTCTCCAGGAAACAGCCACTTGGAGTTTTCCTAGGAGTGTAGGCCATAACACAGCTTGTTTCTATAACGTTCATAAGTATCTTCAGGACTTTCTTATTAGATCATTGACTTTCTTGCAGTCCCTCCATAGGAGCAGCCACTGGCAGCCTGACTGATGAAAATACAAACAACTATCCCAGCAGCAATATTTATTTTCTGCCCGTCCACTCTTCCTTCCCTCCTTTGAGCTTTCTTGTTTTTCCTCTGAGAGGCAACCCATTCTAGTTAGCAATTATAGTAATGATATGGCTCCCATGAGTGGAGGAACACCAGGGCTCTTGTCTCACGTTGAATTAGATTAAACAATACGGACACACGTGGAGTGGTTTTAAGGAGCAGAGAGTTTAATAGGCAAGAAAGAAAAGAAAAGGCAGAAGGTTCGCTCTTACAGAGACAGAGGGATGGGGGCTCCACAGCCGAAAGAGGAAACCCCAAGTGTGGTGCGTACCAGGCAGGTATATGTAGAGGCTGGAGGAGGGGGTGTCTGATTTGCATAGAGCTTAGGGGATTGGTTTGACCAGGCTTTCATTCAGGTAGCCCTCGGAAAAAAACTGGCCTTCCCACCCTAGCCTTTTAATATGCAAATGCAGGGCACCATGATGTTCTACACACATGGGGATATGTGGGGCGGCCATATTCCCAAATACATGTGGGGCAAGGGCAAGAGGACAAAGGTGGGAATCGCCATGTTGAGTGGACCCAGTTTCTAATGGCTTGCATATGCATACTAAAGGTTGCCGGCTTGGCTCTAAGAGCTGGGACTTTTCTGTTAGACAAGAAACACTTTTGGAGGTGTTTTAAAAAGAAATGAAAACTTTCCAAGGACTCCTTTTTTCTCTATCTGCCTAAAATAATTTCTTAATAACTTCTATCACAGTAACTTCATAATTCTGAGATCCCTGTTGGTGGTAAATCTAGTATGTTGAAGCCTGTAAGTGTATGGCCCTTGGACAACATGGTCACCCAGTTGATACTAGTCCTTCTTGCTCAGATGAGTCATCTTCCCATTTAGAGGTAGCCACTGCATAAGGCAATGCACGTAGAGACTTACTGACTTTCTAGGCCTTTCATCACTCTCAGTGGTCCAGTCAAATATGTATTTGGTCCATAGTGGGCACCACTGTTACTTGAAGAGCTAAGGCAAAACAGTAACACAATGCAGGCTGGAATCCCAGCTGCAGCTGTTGTGTTCATTTGTTCCTTCAGGCTCTTGGCATGAAGTGGAGAGGTATGCCTGGGATGGACATGGTTGGATGTATTATGAGTTGAGCTCCCTGTTGATATCCTTTTTTAGGGATTGTGGTAAGGAATGGGGGTGTTGTACCTGATCAAGTGGGTGGCAGTGTGGTGGTTGCAGGCATAAAATGGCCTTTGTGCATAGCAAAACATTTCAAAACTAGGAGCCAGCTGCCCAGGAGAGTTGAATACAAGAGTTGAAGACTTGTGGGGAATGAGACAATGCGCACCTTCTCCTGCCTCAATAGTCATGCTTGTCTCTCGACAAACATTATTGTTCAATGAAAGAAGCTAGACATGAAAGATTACATACTGTTTGACTACATTTAGGTATAAAGTTAAAAAATAGTCAAAACGGCACTGTATTGTTTAGAAATGCGTATTTAGGTGGTAAAACTATAGAGTAAGGCAAAAGTGTATTCTCAAAAATGTCAGCTAGAGGATGTTGCTGGGGGAAGTTTAGGGGTGCTGATTAGGAAATGAAACAAGAGAGGCAATGCTCCACTTCTAGGCTTTGTGCAGGTCCAGAGTGTGTGTTTATAGGAATTTATTAATCTTATATTTTTCTTTATGTAATTGTATGTGTGTTATATTTCACAATAAAAGAGGCTAGAAAGTAGGGAAAAACTGGTTTGTGAAAGTCTAAGCTCTTATACTCTTAACAACTTTCTAAAAATTATTTAGAATTAAGCTTATGTTGTCACAAATTTTTCTTATATCCCATTCCTTCTCATTTGTTCTACTTTTTTGTTTTTTTACAATTTTTTTTGGTGGTATAACACACATAACATAAATTTTACCATTTTAACCATTGGTAAATAATCTTTAGTAATTTCTTTCAAATAAATTGTGACATAAACTTTTGAGTCTTTGCATGTCTAAAAGTGTACTTTTCATTTTCACTTGAATGATAAAATGGCTAAATGTGGTATTCCAAATAATTTTTTCCTTGGAACCTCTTTAGCACTCAGTGTTGTGGATAAGAATTCCAATGCCAATCTAATTTTCATTCCTTTGTGGAACATCTTTTTTATCCCCCCTTTGGGAGCTTTTAAGATTTTTTTCTTTCTTGTTGGCATTCTAAAATTTTTCATTGTTTTAATTCAGTTTTTCAGTGATTGATGTGGATCTTTAAAATTAATTTTTTTTTACAGTTTTTCATTGAAGAAAAGGATTTTTAGATTTTTTAGATTTTCTCATTGGCTCTTTAAATCTGAAGAGTAGTTTGTTTCTTCATCTGCTAAAAATGTTGTGTAATGTCTTAAAATACATGTTTTCTTCTCTTTACTCTTGTTGCAAATATTAAAATAGTTGCTGGAACTTCTAGATATATCTTAATATTTCTTAACTCTGTTTGCATTTTTTGTATTTTTGTTTGCTAATATTTAGCTATTTTTCTTTTTATAATCCTTTGAGACTTTTTATTTATTTGAAATAAGTTTTTTGAGAACAATATAATTATACAGTGCAAATATAAAAATTGTTGTAACTGATTTTTTTTGAGAAGGTTAATGAAACATAATTCACTATTTTAACACAGGTATGAATTAAATTCTACCACTGACAAATCAAATAATGATAACTAAATACCGCTGGTGGGATTGTCAGCTAGGCAAGCATAAGTCAGGTCTTCAGGTCTGCCATTGTCTCTCTTGTTTTTGATCTTTTGCTTCTTTTGTTTTCTTGATTATTATAGAGGCTTCATTGTCTACTTCTACCATTTGTTCCTTGAGCAGATAGTCTAGTTTGCTATTTTTTCTCCTCTATAGTTCCTTTCTCTGTTCTGTTGTCATGTTCGCCTTTCCTGAAGCTGTGTATAGATCATTTGTGCTGATAATGTCCAATACTACTCTAACAGTTATTTCTATTTCACAGGGTTTTTTTGTTGGTTTTTGTTTTTTTGAGACAGAGTCTCGCTCTGTCACCCAGGCTGGAGTGCAGTGGCACAATCTTGGCCCAGTGCAATCTCCGCCTTCTGGGTTGAAGCAATTCTCCTGCTGCAGCCTCCTGAGTAGCTGGGACTACAGGTGCCTGCCCCATGCCTGGCTGATTTTTGTGTTTTTAGTAGAGACGGGGTTTCACCATGTTGGCCAGGCTGGTCTTGAACTCCTGACTTCAAGTAATCTGCCCACCTTGGCCTCCCAACATGCTGGGATTACAGGTGTGAGCTACTGCGCCCGGCCTCCACAGGTTTTTTATTATACACCCTGTGTGTCGTTGTGGGGAAGAAGGGCATTGAACATTGCCTCAAGGAGACTTTGTATTTCTGAAAGAAGTAGTTACCTGGCAGTGATCCACTGTTTGTGAATAATGAACTCCTTCATTATGTTTAATTTTTCCCGTGTTTTTAACCAACAGACATTTGTAGAGTAGTGAAGAAATGCCAGGAAGTACAATAGGGACTAGGAGTAAAATGACATTCTTGTTCAAAATACAAGTTAAAAGTAGCTGAGTGTTACTCTTTCATAGGTGTCAGCTTCTTGGCAATGGTTTTAGTGTGCTTTTGACTTTAACTTTATGACTTTTCAGGATAAATTATATATATTTACATTATCGTTTTCTACTACACGTCTATTCATTTAACATTTGAGTCTTTAAAATATTTTTATACTTATCAACAAAACTTTGTATTGGAAGTGGTCTTTTAGTTGCCTTCAGAAAGTTGCCTCAATGTTCATTTGAGGTTTACTGGTAAATAGAAATTAAGGCAAACTTTTCTTTGGAAATGAGAAACAAATAGGATTTTGCAATATTCTCCAGTATTTTTCAGTCATAATATTGTGATATCATTGTTTAAAATTCACGAATTGAAGAGAGGAAATGTTTTTTAAGATAATTTTTGACTAATGGTTTCTGAGAAAGCTTTGCTAATAATTGGCATTATTAGTAATTGATATATTTTGGGTAGACAGATATTCTACTTGTGAAAATGAATTCCAGGGCAATGTTTAAAGAAAAATAGGAGATTTAGTCCCAAATGTATAAAGGTTCAAATGAAAATTCAATTAAATTTGTATAGTAAAAATAGAATAATACACAACTTGAGGATAAGGTGTTATCTCACAAATCTGTATTTTTTTCAGTATTTGTAAGTTTATGTGTTCAATTTAAACACTTCAACAATTAAGGAAGGTAATCATTTTTAAAATTTGATGACAATTTCTTACAGATTGATTTTTTAATATTCTTACCCATTTGAAAAACCATTTTGAATATTTTACAACTTGATCTTTTGAAAAGCCAAAAATAAATAAACAGGATTGCTCCAATTAACCATATTTCATACAAGTCCTTATACTACACATAACTTTAGGAACAATAGCATAGCCTGCATAAGGTTTCTCATATATTATCTATTTTGCTGTGTAGAAGCTTTTGAGTTTAATTAGGTTCCTTTTATGTATTTTTGTTTTTGTTGCATTTGATTTTGGGGTCTTAGTCATAAATTGCTTATGCCAATGTCCAGAAGAGTTTTCCTGAGGTTTCTTCCAGAATTTTTATGGTTTCAGGTGTTAGATTTAAATCTTTAATCCATCTTGAGTTGATTTTTGTATATGGTGAGAGACATAGATTCAGTTTCATTCTTCTACATATGTTGATCCAGCTATCCCAGCACCATTTATTGAATAGGGTGTCCTTTCCTCAATTTATGTTTCTGTATAATTTGCCAAAAAATCAGTTGGTTGTAAGTATTTGGCTTTATATCTGGGTTCTCTATTCTGTTCCATTTTTCTGTGTATCCCCATTTTTCTATGTATCTACTTTTATACAAATACTATGATGTTTTGATTACTATAGTCTTATAGTATAATTTGAAGTTGGGTAATATGATGCCTCCAGATTTGTTATTTTTACTTAGGATTGGTTTGGCTATTTAGGCTCTTTTTTGGTTCTATATGAATTTTAGGATTATTTTTTCTAATTCTGTGAGAAGTGATGTTGGTGATTTGACTGGAAGTGCACTGAACCTGCAGATTGTTTTGGGCAGTATGATTATTCTCATGATATCAGTTCTTCTAACCCCTGAGTGTGGGATGTGTTTCCATTTGTTTTTGTCATCTATGATTTCTTTCAGCAGTGTTTTGTAGTTCTCCTTGTAGGGATAGTTTACCTGCTTGGTTAAGTATATTCCTAGGTATTTTATTTTTGCAGCTGTTGTAAAAGGGGTTGAGTTCTTGATTTGATTCTCAGGTTGGTCATTTTTGGTGTATAGCAGTGCTACTGATCAGTGTACATTGTTTTTGTAACCTTAGACTTTACTGAATTGATTTATCAAATCTAGGAGTCTTTTGGAGGGCTCTTTAGGGTTTTCTAGGTATACAATCATATCAAAGTCTTTAGGGTTTTCTAGGTATACAGTATAAAATCACTTCATAGTCTTTAGGGTTTTCTAGGTATACAATCATATCATTGGCAAAAAAGGGTAGTTTGACTTCCTTGTTTCCTATTTGGATGCCCTTTATTTCTTTCTCTTGCCTGATTGATCTGGGTAGGATTTCCAGTACTATATTAAATAGAAGTGACGAAAGTGGGCCTACCTGTCTTCTTCTAGTACTTAGAGGTAATGCGTTCAACATTTCCCCATTCACTGTTATGTTTGCTGTGGGTTTGTCATATATGGCTTTTATTATTTTGTGGTATGTTCCTTCTCTGCCTAGTTTGTTGAGGGTTTTTAATTATAAAGATATGCTGGATTTTAATGAATGCTTTTCCTGTAATTATTTGAGATTATCATATCACTTTTGTTTTTAATTCATTTTATATGATGAATCATATTTATTGACTTGCATATGTTGAACCATCCCTGGGATGAAACCTACTTGATCATGATGAATTATCTTTTTGATGTGCCACTGGATTCAGCTTGCTAGTATTTTGTTGAGGATTTTTTCATTTATGTTCATCAGGGATATTAGTCTGTAGTTTTCTTATGTTCTTCCCTGACTTTGCTGTCAGTGTGATACTGGCTTCATAGAATGAGTTAGGAAAAATTTCCTATTTCTCAGTCTTTTGCAACAGTTTCAGTAGGATTGGTACCAATTCTTTGAATATCTAGTATAATTCGGCTGTGAATCCCCTGGCCCTTGACTTTTTTTGGCTGGCAAATTGGTATTACTGATTCAGTCCCGCTGCTTGTTATTGATCTGTTCAGGATTTTGATTTCTTCCTAATTTAAGCTAGGAGAGTTGTGTGTTTCCAGGAATTTTTCCATTTCCACTAGATTTTCTAGTTTGTATGCATAGAAGGGTTCAGAGTTGTCTCAAATGATCTTTTGTATTTCTGTGATGTTGTTTGTAATGTCTCCATTTTCATTTCTAATTAAACTTATTTGAATCCTCTTCTTTGTTAATCTAGCTAATGGTCTATCAATTTTATCTTTTCAAAAAGACTAGTTTTCATTTCATTGGTCTTTTGTATTTTGTTGCTTTCAATTTTATTTAGTTCTACTCTGAGATTTGTTATTTTATTCTGCTGGCTTTGGATTTGGTTTGTTCTTGTTTCTCTAGTTCTTTGAGATGTGACATTAGGTTGTCAGTGTGTGATCTTTCAGACTTTTTGATGCAGGCATTTAGTACTATAAACTTTTAGCACCACTTTTGCTATATTCAAGGTTTAGATAACTTATGTCACAGTTATTGTTCTTTTTGCAGAATTTAAAACTTTCCATCTTGATTTAATTGTTAACCCCAAAATCGTTCAGGAGCAGATTGTTAAATTTTCATGTATTTACATAGTTTTGAAGGTTCCTTTTGGAATTGATTTCTAGTTTCATTCTACTGTGGTCTGAGAAGATACTTGATATGATTTAGATTTTTTTTTTTTTTTTTTGAGACAGAGTCTCCCTCTGTGGCCCAGGCTGGAGTGCCGTGGCACAATCTTGGTTCACTGCAACCTCCACCTCCCGGATTCAAGCAATTCTCCTGCCTCAGCCTCCCAAGTAGCTGGGATTACAGGCACATGCCAGCATACCTGGCTGCTTTTTGTATTTTTAGTAGAAACCGGTTTCACCATGTTGGTCAGGCTGGTCTCAAACTCCTGACCTCATGATCCACCCACCTTGTCCTCCCAAAGTGCTGGGATTACAGGCGTGAGCCACTGCGCCCAGCCGATTTTGATTTTTTATAACTTATTGAGACTTGTTTTGTGGCCTGTCATATGGTCTATCTTGGAAAATATTCCATGTGCTGATGAGAAGAATGCATATTCTGCAGTTCTTGGGTAGAATGTTCTGTTAATATCTGTTAAGTCCATTTGTTCTAGAGTGTAATTTAAGTCCAGTGTTTCTTTGATGACTTTCTGCTTTGATGATCTGTCTAGTGGAGTGTTGAAGTCCTCCACCATTATTGTGCTGCTGTCTATCTCTTTCTTAGGTCTAGTATTGATTGTTTTATGAATTTGGCAGCTCTAGTGTTAGGTGCATATATATTTTAGATTGTAATATCTTCTTGTTGCATTGATACTTTTATCATTATATAATGAACTTCTTTTTTTTTTCTTTACTGTTGTTCCTTTAAAGTCTGTTTTCTCTGATACAAGAATACCTACTCCTGCTTGCTTTTGGTTTCCATTGGCATTGAATATCTTTTTCCACCCCTTTACCTTGAGTCTATAAGAATCTTTAAATGTTAGATGTGTCTCTTGAAGATAGCAGATATTTGCTTTGTGGTTTTTCATCCATTCTACCAGTCTATGTCTTTTATGTGGAGCATTTATACCATTTACATGTAACATTAATTTTGAGATGTGGGGTACATTTCTAGTCATCATGTTGATTGTTACTAGTTACTTTGTTTTCTTCATTGTATTATTACTTTATAGGCCCTGTGAGTTTTATACTTTCAAGAGGTTCTATTCTGGTACATATTGACCTTTCATTTTAAGATTTAGAACTCTTTTTAGCTTTTCTTGTAGGGCTGGTCTGGTAGTGACAAAATCCTTAGCATTTGCTTGTCTGAAAAGGACTTTATTTCTCCTTCATTTATGAAAGTTAGTTTTGCTGGATACAAAATTATTGGCTGGCAGTTATTCTGCTTAAGGAGGGTAAAGAGAGAACCTTGATCCCTTCTGGCCTGTAAGGTTTCTGCTGAGAAGTCTGCTATTAGTCTGATAAGTTTTTCTTTATAGATTATCTGATACTTTTGTCTTAGTGCTCTTAGAATTCTTTTATTCATGTTGACTTCAGAGAGAATGATGACTATATACATTGGTAATGTTGTTTGTGCAATGAATCTCTCAGGAGCTCTTTGAGCTTCTTGTATTTGGGTGTCTACATTTCTAGCAAGGCCAGGGGTGTTTTTCTCAAGTTATTCCCTCAAATAAGTTTTTCAGATGTTTTTCTCTTTCTTTTACCTCAGGAACACCAGTGATTGTTAGGTTTGGCTGTTTTACCTAATCTCATATTTCTTGGAGACTTTGTTCCTTTTTTAAATTATTTTTTCTTTATTTTTGTTTGATTGGTATAATTCAAAAGCTTTGTCTATGAGGTCTGAAATTATTTCTTCTACTTTGTCTTAGAGTAGTATTTGTCTAAGACAAAGTATTGTTAAAACTATCCACTTGCATTTTGCAATTTTCTAAATGTGCCTTTCATTTCCAGAAGTTGGTTTCTTTTTTTAAAATGTATTATTTTGTTAAAATTTTTATTTATATCCTGAATTGTTTTTTTACATTTTCTTATGTTGGTTTTCACTTTTCTCTTTTATCTCCTTGAGTAACATAGTAGTCAACCTTCTGAATTCTTTATCTGGCATTTCAAGGATTTCATCTTGGTTTGGATCTATTGCTGAAGAGCTAGTGTGATCTTTTTGGCAGTATTATAAAACCCTATTTTTTCATATTGCCAGAATTATTTTTCTGGTTCCTTCTTATTTCTGTAGGTTCTTATAATTATTTTTGAATTTATTTTTGATTCAACTGTGCTTTTTTCATTTCTTTTTTCCCCTTGAGAATGTGACTTTAATGTTTGTAGTTTATTTTAATCTAATTTGGCTCTTGGTGCTTTCAGTCATGAAGGCTCTGTATGAGTTCCTTGGTCATAGAGAGCCTTTTCATGGTGGCTTTCTCAGATACTGGTTGTAGTAGTGATGTGCTCCATTTATAAGTAGGTGCACTGTCTCCTGTGGGGTTGGAATGGCAGAGGTATCATGAAGCTTATTTCATTCGCCAGTGGCGTGTACTTATTTATTTATTTATTTATTCTTTCCCCAGTATTTTATTCACTGGGTTGAACAATTCAGACTTTAGGTCAATAGGTGGTGTCCACAGGTAAAATCTGGCTGTTGCTAAAGCAGGTATCATGATCCTTTCTTAAGAAAAGATAGTTTTAAAATAAAACTTACTTTCTTAGGAAATACCTGTATAACAATATTAGAAAATTTGATTTATTCAGGGTGAGTCCCACTAAAGATTTACTTTCTCCTCACGTGATATATGATACAAATCATTACATGATAGTAAATAATTGGAATGCCAAGCCAATATTACTAATTAGATATTTTCCCTTATGTCCTATTGATAGCATAGTAACCCAATATACTTTTGAAAACAATTAGAATAAACTAGTTAACAATACTGTGGGCTAACTGTAATCATAGATATACAATAAATGTTTTAAACCAACAAAACTAAGGAGGGACATGGTAAATAGGAAATGTTCAGTTATCTAAGGATTTTTAAAACTGTGTCATTTAGCGCTGTGTACTGTTGAAAAAATGTAAGATTTTAAAGGAAGACTGTGTCAATGAATTATTTATCTACAAATTTAACATTAGCCACTTTTATTTAATGACTCAAAGAGTATTCTTCCTTTTTTATTTCTTATTAAGAAAATACAGGAGGTGATACGTACTCTCTACCTTCCTATGAAGGCATGAGATCCTTACCTCTCAAAGGATTGACAACTACAAATAATGTTATAATTGGTAAATTTTTTAAATCCAGTATTCTATTATCTGTGCAGAGTCAACGATATCAAGTTCCTGATATTCACTGAGAAATTTGTGCCATTGTTTGTAGTTTTCTTAGGAATGTTTTTGTTTTAAACACTGAGTGGCAGCTGAGCCATTAACATTATACAATGAAATTGAGTCTGCCAGAAATCTACCATTTTTTCTTCCATTGTTTTTTCTTTCATGTGACTAGAAGACATCATTCATGATGCCGTGTATGTCTGTCAGTATCTTCTATTTATAAACAATCCCCAAGACAAAATATAATATTCCTAGCTAAATAATAGTAAAAGTAACTATGTAAATAGGAAAAGACTCTCAGCTTAATGTAAGATGCTTTGGTTGTTAAGTAAAGGTTTAAAACATTTCATAGCAATGGCTATGTCTGTGGTGTTTGACTATAATGTCTGCTTATCTTTGGCAAACTTCACCATATTCATAGGCTTTGTTGAGTCTCATAGGTTATACCTGAATCAAAAAACAAAAAGACAAAAAACCAACAACAACAAAGGTTGAGTATCTGCAAATGAGTCATGGAGTGTTATTTTATAGCCCTGAAAACTAGAATGTGTGCTCTGGTTGCCTGGCTGAAGGAGAGTACCAGGTTTTCATGTTCCCATCCAGCTTGGCTTTTTGGATGAGATTAAGTTTATTCATCACATAGTAGCCAAATACTAGTATCTTGGACCCTTGTGAGGAGCATTGTCCATAATAGGTAGTCCAAATATAGCCCAGCAATCTCAGGAAATGGGCAGACGTCACTTATACTGGATGTCCACAGGCAGAATACAGAGTTCTTTCATTGAATGTCCTTACGAGGCACAATAAGAATGGCTAACATGGATTTATATCACAGACAATAATAAAGGTGGTCTGTAGGGCCCTAAAAGTTCTAGTACTGCCAAAATTTTCAGGGGTCTTCAATTACTGATTTTATTTTTCTCCATGTCATGGTTAACCACACCTTTTTTCACTCCTGTGGTGGCCTGTTTATCTCCTCTTTGTTTGTGATGTATGTTTTATTTGCTTTTAGTAATTGCTGTCTCTTAAGTATTATTGCAAAAATGTTTGCATTAACTATAGATGACCTTTCATGGTTTTTATCATGATCATATTTATTTTTTATTAGCCTATAATTCTGTTTGAATATATAGTCATGTTAACATATTTGTCAATGTTCCTGTCACGCAGCTCAAAATTGTTCTGGATTGAGAACCTGTGGACAGTGTTTGGAACAGCCTGGATGTGGCTGGTGCAATGATCCTAGTAATACAGGAAGAGGACATTGCATTGAAGGTTCTTCACGGGGACCAATGAAGCTTATTGGAATGCACCACAGTGAGATGGTTCTTGACACCAATCTTTGCCCCAAAGAAAAGAACTATGAGTGGTCCTTTATCCAGTGTCCAGGTAATAATAATGTAATGGAAACAATTTCAGTTTCTGCTTAAGGGATCCAAGAAGGAGTTTTTGTTCTTATAATAAAGAAAATTTAGCTTTAGGAAAAAAGCAGAATGAAAATGAGACTAAAATGTCAAAGATAAAAAATTATTCCATAGACTATATCTATCTCAGTTTATGCAGGTGGTATTCAGTTTAGAATCATTAGATAGGCTAAATGAATTCATGGAATATCATGATTAGCTTTCATTTCTTTTTTAATATTTTGTTATTTAGTTTAAGTTTTGGGATACATGTGCAGAACGTGCAGGTTACATAAGTATATGTGCAACATGGTGGTTTGCTGCTCCTATTGACCCATCCTCTGAGTTTCTTCCCCTCACCCCCAGCCCGGCAACAGGCCCTGGTGCATGTTGTTCCCCTCCCTGTGTCCACGTGTTCTCATTGTTCAACTCCCACTTTGGAGTGAGAACATGCAGTGTTTCGTTTTCTGTTCCTGTGTTAGTTGGCTGAGGATGATGGCTTCCAGCTTCATCCATGTCCCTGCAAAGGACATGATCTCATTACTTTTTATGGCTATGCAGTATTCCATGGTGTATACGAACCACATTTTCTATATCCAGTCTATCATTAATGGGCGCTTGGGTTGGTTCCATGACTTTGCTATTGCAAGTAGTTCTATAATAAAGATACATGTGCATGTGTCTTTATAGTAGAATGATTTATATTCCTTTATGTACATACCCAGTAATAGGATTGCTGGGTCAAATGGTATTTCTGGTTCTAGATCCTTGAGGAATCACAGTGTAAAAACAAGCCTCTTTCTCCACAGCCTCGCTAACATCTATTGTTTCTTGACTTTTTAATAATCGCCATTCTGACTAGTGTGAGATGGTATCTCATTGTGGTTTTGATTTGCATTTCTCTAATGATCAGTGATGTTGAGCTTTTTTTCATATGTTTGTTGGCTGTGTAAATGTCTTCTTTTGAGAAGTGTCTGTTCATATCCTTTGCCCAGTTTTTTACGGAGTTGTTCATTTTTTTCTTGTAAATTTGTTTAAGTTCCTTGTAAATTCTGGATATTAGACCTATGTCAGATGGGTAGATTGCAAAAATTTTCTCCTATTCTGTAGGTTGCCTGTTCATGCTGTTGATAAGTTTCTTTTGCTGTGCAGAAACTCTCTAGTTTAATTACATCTTATTTGTCAATTTTGACTTTTGTTGCAGCTGCTTTTGGGATTTTCATTATGAAGTCTTTGCCCATGCCTATGTCCTAAATGTTATTGCCTAGGTTTTCTTCTAGGGTTTTTTATGGTTTTGGGTTTTACATTTAACTGTTTAATCCATCTTGAGTTAATTTTTATATAAGGTGTAAGGAATGGGTCCAGTTTCAGTTTTCTGCATATGGCTAGCCAGTTTTCCCAGTACCATTTATTGAATAGGAGATCCTTTCCCCGTTGCTTGCTTTTGTCAGGTTTGTTGAAGATCAGATGGTTGTAGATGTGTGGTGTTATTTCTGAGGTCTCTGTTCTGTTCCATTGGTCTACATCTGTTTTGGTTACTGTAGTCTTGTAGTATAGTTCGAAGTCAGGTAGCATGATGTCTCCAGCTTTGTTCTTTTTGCTTAGGATCGTCTTGGCTATATGGGGTCTTCTTTAATTCCATATGAAATTTAAAGTAGTTTTTTCTAATTCTGTGAAGAATGTCAATTGTAGCTTGATGGGAATAGCACTGAATCTATAAATTACTTTGGGCAGTGTGGCCATTTTTACGATATTGATTCTTCCTCTCCATGAGATAGAATGTTTTTCCAGTTGTTTATGTCCTGTCTTATTTCATTGTGCAGTGCTTGCTTTGTAGTTCTCCTTGAAGAGGTCCTTCACATCCCTTGTTAGCTCTATTTCTAGGTATTTTATTCTCTTTGTAACAATTGTGAATGGGAGTTCATTAATGATTTGGCTCTCTCCTTGTGTATTGTTGGTGTAAAGGAATGCTGGTGATTTTTGCAAATTGATTTTGTATCCTGAGACTTTGCTGAAGTTGATTATCAGTTTAAGTAGTTTTTGGGCTGAAATGATGGGGTTTTCTAAACTTAAAATCATGTCATCTGCAAACAAAGAAAACTTGACTTCTTCTCTTCCTGTTTGAATACCCTTTATTTCTTTCTCTTACCTGATAGCCCTTGCCAGAACTTCTAGTACCATGTTGGATAGGAGTGGTGAGAGAGGGCATTCTTGTCTTGTACTGGTTTTCAAAGCAAATGCTTCCAGCTTTTGCCCATTTAATATGATATTGCTGTGGGATTGTCATAAGAAGCTCCTATTATCGAGCTGTGTTCCATCAATACCTAGTTTAGTGAGAGTTTTTAACATGAAAGGATTTTGAATTTTATCAAAGGCCTTTTCTGCATCTATTGAGATAATTGTGTACTTTTTGGCTTTGGTTCTGTTTATGCGAGGAGTTACGTTTATTGATTTGCATATGTTGAACTAGCCTTGCATCCCAGGGATGAAGTTGACTTCTGGTGGATAAGTATTTTGATGTGCTGCTGGATTCGGTTTGCCAGTATTTTATTGAGGATTTTCACATCGATATTCATCAGGGAAACGGGCCAGAATTTTCTTTTTTTGTTGTGTCTCTTCCTGGTTTTGGTGTCAGGTTGATGCTGGCTTTATAAAATTAGTTAGAGAGGAGTCTCTCCCTTTCAGTTGTTTGGAATAGTTTCAGCAGGAATGGTATTAGGTCATCTTTGTACCTCTGGTAGAATTTGGCTGTGAATCTGTCTGGTCCTGGGCTTTTTTTGGTTGGTAGGCTATTAATTACTCCCTCAATTTCAGAACTGTTACTGGTCTATTCAGGGATTCAGCTTCTTTCTGGTTTAGTCTTGGGAGGGTGTGTGTATGTGTCCAGGAACTTATCCATTTCTTCTAGGTTTTCTAGTTTATTTGCATAGGGGTGTTTATAGTATTCTCTGATGGTAGTCTATATTTCTGTGGGGTCAGTGGTCATATCCCCTTTATCATTTTTTTATTGTGTCTATATGATTCTTCTTTATTTTCTTCTTTATTAGTCTAGCTAGCATTCTCTCTATTTTCTTAGTTTTTCAAAAAACCAGCTCCTGAATTCATTGATGTTTTGGAGGGTTTTTCATGTCTCTATCTCTTTTAGTTCTGCTCTAATCTCAGTTAT
Organism: Homo sapiens; assembly: GCF_000001405.40. Lineage (NCBI taxonomy): Eukaryota > Metazoa > Chordata > Mammalia > Primates > Hominidae > Homo > Homo sapiens. The sequence continues at coordinate 115,318,917 of NC_000010.11, forward strand.
TTCTTGTCTTCTGCTAGCTTTTGGATTTGTTTGCTGTTGCTTCTCTAGTTCTTTTAGTTGTGATGTTAGGGTGTCGATTTGAGATCTTTCCAGCTTTCTCATGTGGGCATTTAGTGCTATAAATTTTTCTCTGAACACTCCTTTAGCTGTGTCCCAGAGATTCTGGTATTTTGTCTCTTTGTTCTCATTGTTTTCAAATAACTTCTTTTCTGCGTTAGTTTTGTTATTTACCCAAGAGTCATTCAGGAGCAGGTTGTTCAATTTCCATGTAAGTGTGTGGTTTTGAGTAAATTTCTTAATCCCGAGTTCTAATTTGATTGCCCTGTTGTCTGAGAGACTTTGTAATGATTTCAATTCTTTTCCATTTGCTGAAGAGTGTTTTACTTCCAATTATGTGGTCAATTTTAGAATAAGTGCCATGTGGCACTGAGAATAATGTATATTCTGTTGATTTGGGGTGGAGAGTTTTGTAGAAGTCTATTAGGTCCACCTGATCCAGAGCTGAGTTCAAGTCCTGAATATCCTTGTTAATTTTTTGTCTCGATCTGTCTAATATTGACAGTGGGGTGTTAAAGTGTCCCACTATTATTGTGTGGGAGTCTAAGTCTCTTTGTAGGTCTCTACAAACTTGTTTTATGAATCTGGATGCTCCTGTATTGGGTGCATATGTATTTAGAATAGTTAACTCTTCTTGTTGAATTGTTCTCTTTATCATTATGTAATGCCTTTTTTTTTGTCTTTTTAAATCTTTGTTGGTTTAAAGTCTGTTTGTCAGAGACTAGTATTGCATCCCCTGCTTTTTTTTTTTTTAACTTTCCATTTGCTTGGTAAATTTTCCTCCATCTCTTTATTTTGAGCCTATGTGTGTCTTTGCCTATGAGATGGGTCTCCTGAATACAGCACACTGATTGGTCTTGACTCTTTATCCAGTTTGCAAGTCTGTGTCTTTTAATTGGGGGATTTAGCCCATTTACATTTAAGGTTAATACTGTTATGTGTGAATTTGATCCTGTCATCATGATGCTATCTGGTTATTTTGCACACTAGTTGATGCAGTTTCTTCATTAGTGTCATTGATCTTTATATCTCGGTGTGTTTTTGTAGTGGTTGGTACTGCCTTTTCCATTCCATATTTAGTGCTTCTTTTAGGATCTCTTGCAAGGCAGGCCTGGTGGTAACAAAATCCCTTAGCATTTGCTTGTCTGGAAAATATTTTATTTCTCCTTTTCTTATTAAGCTTAGTTTGGCTGGATATGAAATTCTGGGTTGAAAATTATTTTCTTTAAGAATGCTGAATATTGGCCCCTAGTCTCCTCTAGCTTGTAGGGTTTCTGCTGAGAGGTCCACTATTAGTCTGTTGGGCTTCCCTTTGTAGGTGACCTGGTCTTTTTGTCTGGCTGCCATTGACATTTTTGCCTTCATTTCGCCCTTAGAGAATCTGATGGTTATGTGTCTTTGGTTGATCTTCTCATGGAGTGTGTTAGTGATGTTCTCTGTATTTCCTGAATTTGAATATTGGCCTGCCTTGCTAGGTTGGGGAAGTTCTCCTGGATAATATTCTGAAGTGTATTTTCCAGCTTGTTTTCATTCTCCCTGTCTACTTCAGGTACTCCAATCAATTGCAAGTTTGGTTTCTTTACGAGGTCCCATATTTCTTGGAAGCTTTGTTTCTTTTCATTCTTTTGTTTCTTTAGTCTTGTCTGCATGCCTTATTTCAGCAAGGTGGTCTTCAAACTCTTAGATTTTTTCTTCCACTTCGTCACTTCGGCTATTGATACTTGTGTTTGCTTCATGAAGTTCTTGTGCTGTTTTTTTTTCAGCTCCATCAGATATTTATGTTTCTCTCTAAACTGGTTATTCTAGTTAGCAGCTCCTCTAACCTTTTATCAAGGTTCTTAGCTTCCTTTAGCTCAGCGTAGTTTTTTATTACCCACCTTCTGAAGCCTACTTCTGTCAATTTGTCCATCTCATCGTCTGTCCAGTTCTGCGCCCTTGCTGGAGAGATGTTGTGATCATTCGGAGGAGAATAGGCGCTTTGGCCTTTGGGTTTTTGGCATTTTTGTTGTTGTTGTTGATTCTTTCTCATCTTCTTGAGTTTGTCTAGTTTTGAGTTTGAGTTTCAGTTTGTCTGTTTTCTTTGAGGCTGTTTACCCTTGGATAGGGTTTTTTGTGGGGCCTTTTTTTTGTTGTTGTTGCTTTCTGTTTGTTTTTCTTTCAATGATCAGGTCCCTCTTATGTAGGACTGCTGTGGTTTGCTGGGGGTTCACTTCAGCCCCTATTCATCTGCTTCGCTCCTGCCCCTGGAGATATCACTCAAGGAGACTGGAGAACAGTACAGTTGGGTGCCTGCGCCTTCTTCTGGGATCTCTGACCTTGAGGGTCAGCAAGTCTGTGTCTTTTAAGTGGAAAGTTTAATTTGTTTACCTTAAAAGTTACTATTTGATATGTGAGGGCTTATTTATGGCATTTTGTTAATTGATTTATGGTTGTTTTATATATCCTTTGCTCCTTTCTTATTGTTTATCATTGTGGTTTTTTAGTTTTCTGTAGTGGTAGCATTTGAGTCCTTTCTCTTTCTTATTTGTGTCCTTGCTTCGTCAGGGAGTTTTATACTTTCATTTGTTTTTATGATGGCAAATATTGTCCTTTCACTTCCTGAAGCGTCTGTTTCAGGTCTTGGCTAGTGGTAATGAATTTCCTGTTTTTGCTTGTCTGAACATAGCTATCATAATACTGAAGAGGGAAAGGTGAAAGCTTTTTTTTTTTTTTTTTTTAAAGAACTGGAACAACACAGAGATGCCCACTTGCACCACTCTTGTTTAACATAGTACTGAAAGTCTTCAGACTGAGCAATTAGGCAAAAGCAAGAAATTAAATGGATCTAAATTGGAAAGAAGGGAGTCAAATTGTACCTGTTTGCAGGTTACATAATCTTATATGTAGAAAAGCATAAAGATTCTATCAAGAAACTGTTAGTACTGACAAATGAATTCAGTAAAGTTACAGAATGCCTAATCAACACACAAAAATCAGTAGCATTTTCATACATGAACAATGACTAGGAGAAAAGGAAATCAAGAAGGTAATACCATTTACAGTAGCTACAAATAATTAAAATACTTAGGAATAAATTTAACCAAGGAGATGAAAGACCTAGAAACTTTTAACATATACATTTTAACTTGTTAAAATATTTTTCAGATTTATATTACTACCAGTGAGATGTAATAATGTTATTCATATAGGTCTATTCTTTTTCTTCATTTTGGTCTTATTTTTGCTACTACATCTATATATGTTGTGGACCCAACAGTACTTTAATAAAATTATTACTTTATATAATTTTATATCTTTTAAATAATTTGAGTGATGAAAGGAGGATAAGTATATAGTTATAGCTTTTATTATATTAATCTTTTTACCATTTCTGGTTTTCTTTATTTGTTGCCATGGCCCCAAACCATCAGGTATCATACCTTTAGCCCAATACAGGTTTTCTTGACTCACCTATTTTGTGCTTTTATTGGCAAACATGTTACATTTTTATGGTTATAGGACAAATAATACCATTATATACATATATTTAAAAATAATTCCTTAAAAATATCAGGTAATAGAAAAAAGGAAAATAAATATGCATTTCCTATTTTTATTATTACACAGTAATTACCAGTACTGTTTTTCTTTTTGCATGGAGTTGAACTACCGTCTGGGTCACTTGCTTTCCTTGAACAACTTCCTTTAGTATTTCTTGTATGGCTGGCCTTCTAGCATCTCATTCTCCTAATTTTTTAATATTTAGGAATGTCATTATTTCTCCAATTTTCTAAAGGTAGATTTGCTTGATAGAGGATTCTTAGTTAGCATTGTTCTTTTGAGTATATATTATTATACTGCTTACTGGCCTCTATTATTTCTGATTTAAAATCAGTTGTTAATCTTATTGGGCTTTTTTGTAAGTGAGAAATGATTTTATCTCTTTCTTCTTTCAAGATTTTGTCCTTGTTGCTTTCATCATTTTAATTATAATGGGTCTTTTTGTGGATCTCTTTGTGTTTGTCCTATTTAGAGTTTTTTAGGTTTCTTGGATGTGTAAGTTAATATTTTTCATCAAATTTGAGTTTTCAGAAATGATGTTTTCAAATAATTTTTATTTTCTTTTCTCTTTCTCCCTCCTCTCTTTCCAGTGTTTCTATTATTCATGTGATGGTAAAATTAATGATGTCCCATATGTTTTTCCAAGCTCTGCTTACTTTTCTCCATTCCTAGTTCTCTCTGTATTTTAGATTATATAATCTGTCAGTCTATCTTTAAGCTTGCTGATTATTTTTCTACCAGTTCAGATCTTCTGTTGAATTCTTCTAGTGTATGTTATTGTACGTTTCTACTTCATTTGTTTTTTTCTTAAAAATTTTTATTTCTTTGTTGATATTCTCTATTTGATGAGACATTGTCATCATACCCTTCTTCTTCAGGCATGATTTCTCCCTCCCCTCCCCTCCCCTCCCCTCCCCTCCCCTCCCCTTCCCTTCCCATTTATTTATTGAGACAGAGTTTCACTCTTGTTGCCCAGGCTGGAGTGCAGTGGCGCAATCTCAGCTCACTGCAACCTCCGCCTCCTGGGTTCAAGCAATTCTCCTGCCTCAGCCTCCTGAGTAGCTGGGATTACAGGCATGTGCCACCACACCTGACTAATTTTGTATTTTTAGTAGAGACAGAGTTTTGCTGTGTTGGCCAGGCTGTCCTTCAACTCCTGACCTCAGGTGATCTGCCCACCTTGGCCTCCCAAAGTGCTGGGATTACAGGCATGAGCCACCGTGCCTGGCCCGTTATTTTTTATATCTTTAATTATTTTTGAATATTTTTGTCTCTTTTTTTTTCCTGAGACAGAGTCTCTGTTGCCCAGCCTGGAGTGCAGTGGCGCGATCTCGGCTCACCGCAAGCTCCACCTCCCGGGTTCACGCCATTCTCCTGCCTCAGCCTCCCAAGTAGCTGGAACTACAGGCGCCTGCCACGACGCCTGGCTAATTTTTTGTATTTTTAGTAGCGATGGGGTTTCACCGTGTTAGCCAGGATGGTCTCGATCTCCTGACCTCGTGATCTGCCCGCCTTGGCCTCCCAAAGTGCTGGGATTACAGGTGTGAGCCACCGCGTCTGACCTATTTTTATCTTTTATGTGTATTCTTTGTTTAAATCAACTCTCTCTCTTTTTTTAATCTCCTGGTTTTTATGGTGTTTTTGAATTTTTTATTTTGAGATTTAATTTAGAATTTTTTTTTCTCTTCCATGTCAGGGTTTGGCAAACCAAGGTCGGTAGGCCAAATCTGGTGTGCTGCAGATTTACGTAAACAATGTTTTATCAAAATACAACTCTACCCAGTTATTTGTGTATTATGTTTGTTTGCTTTTGCACTACAGTTGCAGAAAGGAATAGTTGTGATAGAGACTGTCCTGCAAAGCATAAAATGCTATCTAGTCCTTTATGTAAAAAAAGTTTTACCAATTCCTTTCTTGTAGTATATTTGTATAACCTGGGTTGTGGATGTATCTACAAGGGCCATTTACATCTGCTTTTACAATATCTATGGGGCTTTTTCTGTTTTCAGAGCAGGTTTGTATTAATATTTTACTTGGTGGTTTATTCACCAAATATATGATGTGAATTTAAGATTGCCATATAAGCCTGACATATACTTTAAGTTCCCACAAGTTATGTTTTTCTTTCATAAACATATCCCAGGGGACTTAAAATTCTTTTCTGCTTTTTGTAGAGCTTGTGATGTGTTTTAATACCTTTTTCATAGATAGTGTCTCCAGTTGATAGGATCATTTTATGAACATGGTTCAGTTTAGCTTGCTTCCTTTAGGATGCCAAGAATTATATCCTCTTGGTCTGCTGGATTTTGGAACCCATGCCTCCTAGTTCTTATTCGTCTATTCCACGTATAGTAAAATTTGGTCGCTAGCTCAAATTTAGCTTTACTATTCTTATTTTGAATCTCTGCTTCATTTCTAGCATCTGATAATTCCCATTTCTTTTAAAGTGGTATATGTGTTGAAAAATGCTTTGGGTAAATTTTTGTCTTAAATTTCTGTGTATATTTTTAAAATTTATTAAGATTGTCACAAAGATATTTTTAAATGTTGCGCATCTGTTGCAGAGTAACTATTTTTCAAAACTATGTACTTATTTGCATATCAAATGCTGAGTTGTCATTATATTTTATTTTGATTTTTTTCTGTTTGTGTGTCCATAAATGAGGAGCCATCTGGAGTGGTTTTAAAATTTAGAGAAAATAGAATGGATGACTTCTCTTTAGTTTTATTCATATTCCATAGCTACTGAGATATTAGATGATATTAGAACCTTTCAAGCAACAATGTAAACCTCAACACTCTTATGTGCAAGCTGACATTACCTGTCGATCTAACACTCTTTTGGTAGTGGGGAATAGAACATAACCATAGGCTTACTAATATACCATTTTCTTGTTATTTGATACAGCCATTATGCCTGGGTCCCCTTTTCTGTAATATACTTTCTCCTTTGCCATTGCTACCATATTAGTTATAAGGTGTGACAATTACCAGACTTTTTTCAGCAGATATTTTTTCTGCAGGTAGGTCTAAAGTATACTGGCTTTCTGCATCATATATAGACCATGTCAGGCTTCCTTGATTTATACTTTCCACCAGATGGATGAAGGAATACCAGTGATATGCTTCTTGACTGCCCTATGACTAACCTTTGTTTTCAGAATTTTTCTTATTCAGGAAAGGAGGGTTGAGTGGCATTTTGCTAGGGAACTTCTTTTATCATCAAGAGGTATTATAGATTACTACCTTCTAGTTTTGTTCATGTAGGTCACCATAATGCCTATCATTGCTGGTACATTTACTTATTATTTTACCATTAATCTGTGAGGGAGATGTTAGATATGAGTGCTAAATTTAGCTGTCTTATTCAGATGTTAAAACTTTTTTTTTTTTAATGATTCTTCCAAATGGCCAGAAATTTCATGAAGTTGTTACAGTAACCCATTTCTTACTTTAAATCTTCTGGTAAGTCTTTACATGTAGTGGGCACTCAATAAATTTTGTTTTTACCTGAGTGAATTAATTAGTGGTGTCACAGAGTAAATTTTCTATGAAACAGTACCTTGCCAGGGCAACTAGGCAGGAGAAGGAAATAAACGGTGTTCAATTAGGAAAAGAGGAAGTCAAATTGTCCCTGTTTGCAGATGACATGATTGTATATCGAGAAAACCCTATTGTCTCAGCCCAAAATCTCCTTAAGCTGATAAGCAACTTCAGCAAAGTCTCAGGATACAAAATCAATGTACAAAAATCACAAGCATTCTTATACACCAATAACAGACAAACAGAGAGCCAAATCATGAGTGAACTCCCATTCACAATTGCTTCAAAGAGAATAAAATACCTAGGAATCCAACTTAAAGGGACATGAAGGAACTCTTCAAGGAGAACTACAAACCACTGCTCTAGGAAATAAAAGAGGATACAAACAAATGGAAGAACATTCCATGCTCATGGGTAGGAAGAATCAATATCATGAAAATGGCCATACTGCCCAAGGTAATTTACAGATTCAGTGCCATCCCCATCAAGCTACCAATTACTTTCTTCACAGAATTGGAAAAAACTACTTTAAAGTTCATATGGAACCAAAAAAGAGCCCACATCGCCAAGTCAATCCTAAGCCAAAAGAACAAAGCTGGAGGCATCACACTACCTGACTTCAAACTATACTACAAGGCTACAGTAACCAAAACAGCATGGTACTGGTACCAAAACAGAGATATAGATCAATGGAACAGAACAGAGCCCTCAGAAATAACGCTGCACATCTACAACTATCTGATCTTTGACAAACCTGAGAAAAACAAGCAATGGGGAAAGGATTCCCTATTTAATAAATGGTTCTGGGAAAACTGGCTAGCCATATGTAGAAAGCTGAAACTGGATCCCTTCCTTACACCTTATACAAAAATCAATTGAAGATGGATTAAAGACTTAAACATTAGGCCTAAAATCATAAAAACCCTAGAAGAAAACCTAGGCATTACCATTCAGGACATAGGCATGGGCAAGGACTTCATGTCTAAAACACCAAAAGCAATGGCAACAAAAGCCAAAATTGACAAATGGGATCTAATTAAACTAAAGAGCTTCTGCACAGCAAAAGAAACTACCATCAGAGTGAACAGGCAACCTACAAAATGGGAGAAAGTTTTCGCAACCTACTCATCTGACAAAGGGCTAATATCCAGAATCTACAATGAACTCAAACAAATTTACAAGAAAAAAAACAAACAACCCCATCAAAAAGTGGGCAAAGGACATGAACAGACACTTCTCAAAAGAAGACATTTATGCAGCCAAAAAACACATGAAAAAATGCTCACCATCACTGACCATCAGAGAAATGCAAATCAAAACCACAATGAGATACCATCTCACACCAGTGAGAATAGCAGTCATTCAAAAGTCAGGAAACAACAGGTGCTGGAGAGGATGTGGAGAAATAGGAACACTTTTACACTGTTGGTGGGACTGTAAACTAGTTCAACCATTGTGGAAGTCAGTGTGGCGATTCCTCAGGGATCTAGAACTAGAAATACCATTTGACCCAGCCATCCCATTACTGGGTATATACCCAAAGGACTATAAATCATGCTGCTATAAAGACACATGCACACGTATGTTTATTGCGGCACTATTCACAATAGCAAAGACTTGGAACCAACCCAAATGTCCAACAATGATAGACTGGATTAAGAAATGTGGCACATATACACCATGGAATACTATGCAGCCATAAAAAATGATGAGTTCATGTCCTTTGTAGGGATATGGATGAAATTGGAAATCATCATTCTCAGTAAACTATCGCAAGAATAAAAAACCAAACACCGCATATTCTCACTCATAGGTGGGAATTGAACAATGAGAACACATGGACACAGGAAGGGGAACATCACACTCTGGGGACTGTTGTGGGGTGGGGGGAAGTGGGGAGGGATAGCATTGGGAGATATACCTAATGCTAGATGACGAGTTAGTGGGTGCAGCGCACCAGCATGGCACATGTATACATATGTAACTAACCTGCACATTGTGCACATGTACCCTAAAACTTAAAGTATAATAATAATAAAAAATAATTTAAAAAAAAGAAACAGTACCTTAAGCTTTTAAGGATAATGTTATAAAATTAAAGTTTTTAATAACATTATTGTAAAGATAATATTAATTTATTATAGACAATTGGTAATACAGAAAAATCTTACTTTAGTAAGATACCCATCAGCTTTTCCATAAACGTATTTATACATTTCATCACAAAATTGTCACTATGTTAAATTGAAACAAAATATGCACATGTTTCACACGGTTCAATGCGATGTTTTAATACAGGTATATGTTGTATAATGGTCGAATCATGGTAATTAACATATCTATTACCTTAAACATTTATAATGTGTTTGTTGTGAGAACATTCAGAATCCTCTCTTCTAGCTATTTGAAATGCATTATTGTTAGCTATAATCACCTTACTACTGTTCTTGTACTCTATTGCATCATAGGTATTCCTCCTATGTGTAATATTGTATGCATTAACCAACATGTCCCTATCTCCCCCTCCTCCTATTCTCTCCAGTTTCTTGTAATCATCATTATACTCTTAATGTCTATGAGATCTTTTTTTTAAAGATACCATATATGACTGAGATCATGTGGTGATTGTCTTTCTGTGCCTGGCTTATTTCACTTAAGAAAATGTCATCTAAACTCATCCGTGTTGTCCCAAATGATGGGATTTTATTTTTTATGGACCTTTTTCATGGCTGAAAAATATTTCATTGTGTGCATGTGTGTATGTGTATTTATTTGTTTATTCACACTTTCTTTATCCATTCATCCATGTTTGGTATTTAGGTTGATCCTATATTTTGGTTATTGTGTGTAGTGCTGCAATATATTAATACATTGAAGTGCTGATGTCTCTTCAACATACTGATTTTATTTCCTTTGGATATACACCCAGTAGTGAGATTGCTGGATCATATAGTATTATATTTTTATTTTTTTTGAGAAACCTCCAACTGTTTTTGATGTACCAATTTACATTCCCATAAAAAATGTATAGAGTTCCCCTTTCTCCACATACATGCCAGCATTTGTTTTTTTCACTGTCAATTTTATAATTTACCCATGGCTGTTTAGGAGCATGTTCTTTAATTTCTATCTATTTGTATAGTGTTTGAAGTTCCTTCTCTTTTCTTCTAGTTTTATTTCATTATGGTCAGAAAAGATACTTCATATGATTTTGATATATTTAATTCATTAAGACTTTTTTCCTAACATATTAGCTAACCTGAAGAATGTTGCATATGCATTTGAGAAGAATGTGAATTCTGCAGCTTTTGGATGGAATATTTTGTATATGTGAAGTCATTTTTGTCATAAATTCAGTTTATGTTCAGTGTTTCCCCATATATTTTCTGCCTTGATGATCTGTCGATTGCTGAGAGTTGGGTGTTAACATTCCCCTACTACTATTGTTTTGCTTTCTATACCTCCCTTTGGATCTATTAATGTTTGCTTTCTATATTAAGTTACTCCAATGTGCATTCCATATAAATTCTCGATTGTTCTATCCTCTTGTATTGATCCCTTTATCAGTAAGTATTGACCTCATTTATCTCTTTTTATAGTTTTTGACTTGAAGCCTATTTTGTCTAATAGAAGTATAGTTAATCCTACTTACTTTTCCATTTGCGTGCAATATGTTTTTGCATCTCATTACTTTAAGTCTATGCACATTCTTAAAGGTGAATTGAATCTTTTGTTGGCAGTATGTAGTTGGGTCTTGTTTCTTTATTCATTGACTCACTGTTTGTCTTTTATTTGGAGAATTTAAGCCCTTTACATTCAAGGTAATTATTGGAAGGTAAGGATTTTGTACTGCCATATTGCTACTTGTTTTCTAGTTGTTTTGTAGAACATTTCTTTCTTTCTTCTCTTACTGCCTCCCTTTGTGTTAAGTGATTTTCTCTAGCAATATGATTTGATTTCTTGCTTTTTATTTTTAGTGTATATATTGTAGGCTTTTGTTTTTTGCTTACCTTGAGCCTATCAAAAACATCTTATTATTTTAAAAGGCTATTTTGAATTGATAAGTTAATTTTGGTCGGAAGAAAAGGAAAAACCCACTCTATTCTTTAACTTCATTACTCTTCTACATTTTGCATTTTTGATGTCATAATTTACATCTTATATTGTTTATCCCTTAACCAAATCATTTTAGTTGTTGTTATTTTTATTTGCTTTGTTTTTTAACCTTCCTAATAAGGATATAATTGTTTCTTGACCCACGATTACCATGTTAGAGTATTCTGAATTTGTTTAGATACTTATTTTTACCTGTCAGTTTTATAGTTTTGAACTTTTTTTGTTACACATTAGGATTATTATTTTTTCTTTTTGTTCGAACAACTCCTGAAAGTATTTTTTTTGTAATGTAGTTCTGGTTGCAAGGGTTTTCTTCAGCTTTTGTTTATCTGGGAATGTCTTTAGTCTTTATTTCTAATTAATAAGTTTGCTCTATACGGTATTCTTGGCAGGCAGTTTTGTTGTCTTTGAATATGTCATCCCGCTCTCTCTTGGCCTGTGGGGTTTCTCCTGGTAACTCTCCTGTCAGGCATATTGGAATTCCTTTATGTGTTATTTGCTTTTTTTTTTTTTTTTTTTCTCATGCTGCTTTCAGTGTTCTCTGTCTTTGACTTTTGAGAAAGTGGTTATATATGTCTTAGGGTTATCTTATTTGGATTGAATCTGTTTTGTTACCTTTCACCTTTCTGTACTTGAATATTTATATCTTTCTTCAGGTTTGGACATTTTCTGTTATTTTTTTTAAATAAGCTTTCTTCCCCATTTTCATTTTTTATTCTTTTTTGAACACTAATGATACACAGATTTGCTCTTTTGACACTGTTTCATAGAACCTCTGTGTTTTTCTCATTGCTTATCTGTTTTCTTCTCTGAGTGTGTATTTTCCAATAGCTTGTTTTTGAAATCAGTGATTCTTCTGCTTTGTCATTCTGCTATTGATGCCCTTTATTGCATTTTTTTTTTTTGAGACGGAGTCTTGCTCTGTTGCCTAGGCTGGAGTGCAGTGGTGCAATCTCGGCTCACTGCAACCTCCACCTCCTGGGTTCACGCCATTCTCCTGCCTCAGCCTCCCAAGTAGCTGGGACTACAGGCGCCCGCCACCAAGCCTGGCTAATTTTTTTGTATTTTTAGTAGAGATGGGGTTTCACCATGTTAGCCAGGATCATCTCAATCTCCTGACCTTGTGATCTGTCTGCCTCAGCTTCCCAGAGTGCTGGGATTATAGGCGTGAGCCACCGCAGGTGTGAGGCCTGCATTTTTCCTTTCATTTATTATTCTTTTTAGCTCCTGGATTACTGTTTGATTTTTTAAATTATTTCAATTTGTTTGTTGAATTTCTCTAACAAATTCCTCATTTGTTCCTCTGTGTTGTATTGACATTGCTGATTTTTCTTAAAGCAGCTATATTTTAATTCTTTGATTGCCTATGATTTATGTGCATATGTTTAGGATTAGTAATTGGCACCTTGTTTTGGGCGTTTCATGAGGCCATCTTTTCCAAGCTAATCTTATATCTTCTTTACATGTGTCTCTGTATGTTTATTGACAAATTAGGTATTTTTTTCCAGTCTTTGCAGTCTGGATTTGTTTGTGACTGCTCTGTTTCGGTGGGCTTGTTGACATATTCTGAGCATACTGACTCTTGTATTTCATTTTAGTGCTAGAAGGTGCTCTGAGCCCAGCTTTGACATGATTGTCTAATGCAGGATCCAAACTCATTGTGATCATGGGAGATCCATATTGGGTGCCCAGGCCATGTAAGAGATCAGGGTCAGACCCTCACATATGAAGGATTGTAGACCATCCATCTGACATTGTGGCACTCATAAACATCCTCTGTGGTGGGGCATCCTCTCTGCCAGGGATGGTAAGCCACTGCCAAGTTCTCTGTGCTGCCTGTTACTAGCCCTACTCTTTCTTTTTTCCATAGGTGGCCTCAGGTGGTTCAGCCCCATTGTACTTGTGATGCTCTTCATGGGCTGATGCAGAAGCAAATCTCCCATGAAGGGATTCAGGATGGTAGAGAAGCATAATGCCTATCTCCGGCTTCCTCTTTTGAGTGTAGAATCCCTGAGTCCTGGAGACCTTTCTGTGTATAGTACTCTAAGGGCTTGGGGATGGGGTATTGTGGTCACAGAAAACTGATTCTCTTACCATCCAACCATACTTTTACTAGTCTGTAGTCTGGAGAGGCTTCACAGCCTTACTTGTGCATTCAGGTTTTTTTTAGCCCTCGTGAAGGCAATTGTATGTGTGAGTGGTTGTTCAAATTGATGTTTCTTCGTGGGTATAATTGTTGGAGAAACCTATTTTGCTGTTTGCTCTGCTTCCTTGAATTTAACATTGCCATCTTTCTAAATATAATGCTCTGTATTAATTGCTTCTCTTAATTTGTCATGAACATTATTCCTTGCTATTAAATTTTCTAATTGTTTCATAATGTAATATGGAGTTTAAAAACATTATAATTATTCTCAATTTCATAAAGAGGATGATGAGCATTTTTTCATAACTGCATATTCTTTCTATAATGTGTTACAATAGACTTGCACCTCTAAGAATTTCTGTAAAGTATTTGGTTTTACTCTTTTGTTTGTCTGTTTCTTCACATGCTAATTCATTTTGATGATCCTATGCTAGCCTCTTGGGAATTCCTCTCACTTTCAGATTTTCTGAATATAAGAGGCAGTTTTACATGCTATTTAATATCTGTTTTTTTTTTACATTCAATGTTCCATATACATATTTGTTTCTGTCGTTGATTAGCTGTGTGACTTTGTGTAGTTGCTTAACCCAGATTTCTCCATCTTAGAATCAGTCCTGAACACAGCAACTTCCACATAGCATTGTTTTGAAGATTAAATAATAAAATTCATATGTACAATTTGGTCCTCTGTCTGGCCAAGGCATGGTGTTTACAGTGTTTAAAAATTGATGCTTATGTACACTTACCAATCAGAACAGATACCAACTACAAACAATTGGCACCAGCAGAATATTGGCTTTCCTCATGGAGTGAGAGAGAGCTCAGTTAAATGCTAGTTGCTATCATAGTTGTAATAAGTAAAAATAATCATGAGGGTGACAATTAAGATGATTTTTGGCCAAGCAGTTACCAGACTAAGTTAATTTTATGTCCCAAATAGGCACAAAGAGCATGAGCCTTTCATACATGAACTTTATTCTGAAATTTTTATATTCTGCTGTAATATTAACATCGAAACATGGAAGTCTCAGTTACACAGATATATAAACAATCTCATACTTTATATTTCATTCTGTTTAGTTCAAACTTAAATAGACTTTCAGTTAAATCTTGAAGTTTTTCTTACCTAAAGAAGATACATATTTATGCAAATTAATTCAAAAGTACTTTTTTTTTTTTTTTTGAGACGGAGTCTTGCTCTGTTGCCCAGGCTGGAGTGCACTGGCACGATCTCGGCTCACTGCAACATCTCTCTCCCAGGTTCAAGCGAATTCTCCTGCCTCAGCCTCCCAAGTAGCTAAGATTACAGGCATGCACCACCATGCCCAGCTAATTTTTTTGTATTTTTAGTAGAGACAGGGTTTCACCAAGTTGGCCAGGCTGGTCTCAAACTCCTCACCTCAAGTGATCTGCCCACCTCGGCCTCCCAAAGTGCTGGGATTACAGGTGTGAGCCACCACGCCTGGCTCAAAAGTACTATTTTTATTAATTTTACTATTAGTTTACTTTATTCTGGTTAGAATCTATTGCCACACTATTTTCTATATTGATTGACTCTTTATTATCATGTGTTAATATAATTAAGATGAATTTTAGCATTCTTTATCAAAGTTATAGTATTTAGCCTTGTGTTTATATAACTTAACAGACATACCATTCTTATGAATTTTTAAGGATTATGCTAAAGATTATTCCCTCTTTAGCTATAACTTTTATGTTCCAGTTCATCTTTAACCATGGCATTGTAAAGAGGTTAAGGTAAAATTTCAACACATGATTTATGGTACATACTGTCTTGCACAAAACTTTGAGCTATATGTGTTATTAATTTTTAAACAAAACTTGGAAGATGCTCTTTGGGCACTTTTACAATCCAGCTTTTTAAGATACATTCTTTGTTTTGATAGCTATTATACTTGATATTATGTTAGATATTTGTAATGCTTTTTACTGTTTCCTTTAGCTTGCCAGTGTAATGGACATAGCACTTGCATCAATAATAATGTGTGCGAACAGTGTAAAAATCTCACCACAGGAAAGCAGTGTCAAGATTGTATGCCAGGTTATTATGGAGATCCAACCAATGGTGGACAGTGCACAGGTAAGTTTCTTTTAAGCAAATTTTGGTGTATTTTTACTAAGGAAAAGATAATTAAGAAAGCAGCGCCTGTTGTGGAGAATATATACTACTACAGAAAATTTTTTACTCAGTTTTAGTATGTTTTCTAAAGTAATACATATTAGAAACTGTGAACTATAAAAATTCTGTAATATGCTTGATTCAAAAATATTCCTTTTTCTTATTTCAAAATGAATGCATGTTTCTTATTGTAATTTCTCAAACACAGATAAATAAAAGAAAAAACACCTACTATCTCACTATTCAAAAATAATCATTGCTGATAGTTTTTTTAATAAGTAATAATTTATTGTTTTGACTTCAGAAATAATAATTAAAAGTTAAATGTGTTTAACTTACATCAGGTAAGATTTTTATTGCACAGGGTGGTAGTATAGAGTAGTATCTAGGAGAGTATGGGTTTGGAACCAAATCTGGGCTGAAATCCCAACTCTGTCACTGTTCAAATGTATGACCTTGGTTCATTAACCTCTCAGTGTCTTATTTTTCCCATATGTAAAATGGAGATGATAATAATTCACTGAGTTGTTGTAAAGGTCAAATGAGATTTTATGTAATATAGGCCTTAGGAATTGAAGCACATAAAAAAGAGCATTATAAATGCTAGCCATAATCATCACATTCTTGTTTACTAAACCCTACTTTCCTCCATCTTCCTCTCTATTCTGCCACTTCTTTCTCCTACTTTGTAAATAATATTTGTTCTTTAAATATAATTTCCTTTTAAAGTAGAATTTAATAGAAATCCTTCATTATCTCTAGATTGGAACTTGTCTTTTAAATTTTTAATCTACCGTCTCTAAATGGAGTTTGCCTACATAGCACCCACAGAAATACGTTTTTGGCTGTGAAGATGTGAGGAATTTGAGGGAGTGGAGCCTGACTCTGGTTAGATAATTTTTTTTTAACACTAGCTGCATATTAGAACCAGCTGGAAAGCTTTTAAAAATATGGCTGTCTGGGCCACTTTCTAAAACAATTAAATCATTATCTTGGTTGTGGTTGTAGGGTGATTCTTAGGTAATTGTTCTTTTTAAATGTTTCCCAAGTGACTAATATGCACTCAGAGTTGAGACACATGGGGAATGATGAACTGATTCAACATTTGAGTCAACAAAATTGTGCAGCTAATACAGTTGTACCTTGGTATCCATGCGGATTAATTCCAAGACCTTTCCTGTGTACCAACATCTGCAGATGGTGAAGTCCCTTACATAGTGGTGTAGTATTTGCATAAAACTGATGCATATCCTCCTGTGTACTTCAAATCATCTTTAGTTGTAATTCCTAATACAATGCCTATATTTCACTTCATTCACATGGATTCAAAGTATACTTGGTGCATGGCAAATATAAATTTTACATTTTGGAATTTGGGGGATTTTTTCTGAATATTTTTGATCTGCTGTTGGTTGAGTTCACAGATGTGGAACCCATGGGTAAGGAGGGCCTACTGTAGTATGTTGGGTGACAAATAAAGATAGGTGAATGGAAGTTTTGTGTTATGCAGTGCTCTGATCCATTTGAAGCTCTAATACAGATGCATTGGCCCACATTTAACATTTTTTATATCCTAGGCACCGTACTAATAGCTTTATTGTCATTATTTTATATTAGCTTTACAAAACTGTATGGTATTACTTTGATCCTCATTTTACATGTGGACACAAATATTTAATGCACAAAGAAGTTATCTAAAATACCCAAGATCATATTGCTAGTTAGAGTAAGAAAATGTCTCATTCCTAAACCTCGCTCTTAACTGTTAATGCAGGAGTTATGTTCATATGGACCAGGAAGATCCAGTTGTTCTCACCTAAAAGCCACAGCTTAGTGCTCTGTCCAGTGGATACATAAGATGCAGTAATTATGGGCCAAGTGGAATCCACAAAATTTAGGGTCTACATACTAGAGTCATAGTGTTTTTTAATTTTATATTTCTAAAAAGACCAAGGTTTTCAAGACAAGCTCTTTCTAAAGTGTTTCAGTACTGAATTTTCCATGGCCATACATTTTATTGGAGAAAGTGCATGTGTCAGATAGGTTATGTGTGTTAATGTATTGATTGCATAATTTGAAGAAAAAATATACTATGAGATGTTTTCATTCACATTACAATTTGTGTGTCTCTGTAAACTGTCGTGTATTTAATATAAAATTGTGGTATGTTTTATTTTACTTTTATGAAAATTATTTTGGATATATTTTCCAACATATTTTCATGCCCATATGTAATTAGTTCATTCTGTAATTTACTTAATATATTTCTGTTGGCATTTATATAATGCTTCTAACCATAACTCCAATTCTTGAGAATGACTTTTTAGCAAAGTGAAACCCACATAACAGACACTTAACTATGTACAGTGTTGTGCAACTGTCTGATTTTTTTTTCTTTTTTTTTTTAGACAGAGTCTCGCTGTGTTGCCCAGGCTGGAGTGCAGTGGTGTGATCTCGGCTCACTGCAACCTCTGTGTCCTGGGTTCAAGCAATTCTCCTGCCTCAGCCTCCCAAGTAGCTGGGGGGGGGGGACTACAGGGGCCCGCCACCATGCCTAGCTAATTTTTTTTTTTTTTGTATTTTTAATAGAGATGGAGTTTCACTATGTTGGCCAGGCTGGTCTTAAACTCCTGACCTCGTGATCTGTCTGCCTCAGCCTCCCAAAGTGCTGTGGTTACAGGCGTGAGCCACCATGCCTGGGCATTTTTTAAAGTTTTTAATTAAAAAGAATTCAATTTTTAATTTTGTGGGTACATAGTAGGTGTATATATTTATGGGGTACATGAAATATCTTGATACAGGCATGCAATGTGAAATAATCACTTCATGGAGAATAGGGTAACCTGCTCAAGCATTTATCCTTTGTGTTACAAAGAATCTAATTACACTCTTTAAGTTATTTCAAGTTATTTTAAAATGTACAATTAAGTTGCTACTGACTATAGTCACCTTATTGTGCTATCGAATAGTAGGTCTTCTTCATTCTTCCTATTTTTTTGCACCTCTTAACTATACCCCCTGCCCTCCAGCCCTCTAACTATTGTTTTTGTACCCATTAATCATCCCTACCTTCTCCCCAGCACCCCATTACCCTTCCCAGCCTCTGGTAACCATCCTTTTACTGTCTATGTTCATGAATTCAATTGTTTTGCTTTTTAGATTCCGCAAATAAGTGAGAACATGCAATGTTTGTCTTTCTGTGCCTGTCTTATTTCACTTAACATAGTGATCTCCAGTTCTATCCATGTTGTTGCAAATGACAGGATCTCATTCTTTTTTATGGATGAATGCCATAAAAAATATATACCACATTTTCTTTATCCATTCATCTGTTAATACAGCAGTCCCCAACATTTTTGGCATCAGGGAGTAGTTTTGGGGAAGACAATTTTTCCACGGATGGGGTGGTGGTGGGGTATAGTTTGTGGATGAAACTATTCTACCTCAGATCATCAGGCATTAGTTAGATTCTCATAAGGAGTGCGTAGTCTAGATTCCTCACATGTGTAGTTCACAGTAGGGTTTGAGCTCCTATGAGAATCTGATGCCACCACAGATCTGACAGGAGGCAGAGCTCTGGCCTGAATGCTTTTTCACCCGCTGATCACCTTCTGCTGTGCAGCCGGTTCCTGACAGGAAATAGACTGGTACCAGTCCATACCCAGGGGTTGGGGACCCCTGTGTAATGGACACTTAGGTTGCTTCCAAATTTTATCTATTGTAAACATTGTTGCAACGTAGGAGCGCAGGTATCTCTTTGATATACCAGTGTCCTATTTTTAAGGTTTATACCCAGCCATGGAATTGCTGGATCATACGGTTGCTCAATTTTTAGTGTTTTGAGGAACCTTCAAACTTTTCTCCATAGTACTTGTACTAATTTACATTCTCACCAACTGTGTACAAGGGTTCTGTTTTCTCCACATCCTCACAAACATTTGTTATTGCCTGTCTTTGGATATAAGCCATTTTAACTGGGGTGATATTACAGTTCTGATTTGCATTTCTCTGATGATCCATGATTTTGAGCACCTTTGCATATGCCTGTTTGTCATTTGTATGTCTTCTTTTGAGAAATATCTCTTCAAATATTTTGCCCACTTTTTGATTGGATTATTAGATTTTTTTCTGTGGCATTGTTTCAGCTTCTTATATATTTGGGTTACTAGTCCTTTGTTAGATGGGTAGTTTGCAAATATTCTCTCCCATTCTGTGGGTTTTCTCTTCACTTTGTTGATTGTATCCTTTGCTGTGCAGAAGCTGTTTAACTTGTTGTAATCCCATTTGTCCGTTTTTGCTTTAGTTGCCTGTGCTTACAGGGTATTGTCCAAGAAATTTTGGCCCAGACCAATGTCCTGGAGATTTTTCCCCAATGTTTTGTTCTGGTAGTTTCATAGTTTGAGGTCTTAGATTTAAGTCTTTATACCATATGCTTTTTATATATGGCAAGAGATAGGCTCTAGTTTCATTCTTCTGCATATGGATCTCCAGTTTTCCCAGCACCATTTATTGAAGAATCTGTCTTTTCCCCAGTATATGTTCTGGTCACCTTTGTCGAAAATGAATTCACTGTAGCTGTGTCGATTTGTTTCTGAGTTCTCTGTTCTGTTCCATTGAACTATGTGTCTGTTTTTATGCCAGTATTATGCTGCTTTGCTTGCTGTAGCTCCTTAGTATACCTTGAAGTCAGGTAATGTCATTCCTTCAGTTCTTTTTGCTTTGGATAGCTTTGGCTATTCTGGGTCTTTTGTGGTTCCATATATATTTTAATTTTTTTTCTGTTTCTGTGACAAATGTTACTGTTATTTTGAGAGGGATTGCATTGTATCTGTAGACTGCCTTGGGTAATATGGACATTTTAACAATATTGATTCTTCCAATCCATGAATTGATTCTTCCAATGCATTTTTGGTATCCTCTTCAATTTCTTTAATTAGTGTTTTATAGTTTCCATTATAGAGATCTTTCACTTCTTTGGTTAATTCCCAGGTATTTAATTTTATGTGTGGCTATTATAAATGGGATTACTTTCTTAATTTCTTTTTTATATTGTTCACTATTGGCATATAGAAATGCTACTGATTTTTGTATGTTGATTTTGTATCCTTCAATTTTACTGAATTTATCAGTTCTAAGATTTTTATGGAGTCTTTAGGTTTTTCCAAATATAAGATCATATTATCTGGAAACAAGGATAATTTGGCTTCCTCCTTTCCTATTTGGATGCCCTTTATATCTTTCTTTTTTCTTATTGCTCTAGCTAGGACGTTCAGGACTGTGTTCAATAACAGTGGTGAAAGTGGGCATCCTTATTGTGTTCCAGATTTTAGAAGAAAGCCTCTCAATTTTCCCCCTTCAGTATGATACTAGCTGTGGGTCTGTCATATATGGCTTTTATTAGGTTGAGTTATGTTCCTTCAATCCCCAATTTTTTGAGGGTTTTTATCATGAAGGGATCTTGAATTTTATCAAATGCGTTTTCACTGTCAATTGAAATGATTAGATCATTTTTATCCTTCATTCTAGTGATATGATGTGTCACATGGACTGATTTGCATATGTTGAACCATTCTTGCATTCCAGGGGGATAAATCCCACTTGGTTATGAATGATCTTTCTGATGTACTGTTGAATTTTGTTTGCTAGTATTTTGCACCAACATTCACTAGAGATATTGGCCTGTAGTTTTCTTTGTTTGTTTTTGACATGGAGTCTCGCTCTGTCACCCAGGCTGGAGTGCAGTGGCACGATCTCAGCTCACTGCAACCTCCACCTCCTGGGTTCAAGTGATTCTCCTGCCTCAGCCTCCAAGTAGCTGGGACTGCAGGTATGTGCCAACAAGCCTGGTTAATTTTTGGATTTTTAGTAGCGATGGAGTTTCACCATGTTAGCCAGGATGGTCTAGATCTCCTGACCTTGGCATCTGACAGCCTTGGCCTCCCAAAGTGCTGGGATTACAGGGGTGAGCCACCACACCCGGCTAGTTTTCTTTCTTTTTTTTTCTTTTCTTTTCTTTTCTTTTTTTTTTTTTTTGGTGTGTGTGTCTTTGTCTGGTTTTAATATCAGGGTAATATTGGCCTTGTAGAATGAGTTTGGAAGTATTTCCTTCTCCTCTATTTTTCAGAATAGTTTGAGTAGGATTGGTATTAGTTCTGCTTTAAATGTTTGGTAGAATTCAGCTGTGAAGCCATCAGACCCCAGGCTTTTCTTTATTGGGAAACTTTTTATTATACCTTCAATAACATTACTTGTTATTGGTCTGTTCAGGTTTTGGATTTCTTCCCAGTTCAATCTCGGTAGGTTGTATCTGTGTAGGAATTTTTTATTTCTTCTAGATGTTCCAGTTTATTGGCATGTAGTTGTTCATAGTAGCCACTAGTAATCCTTTGAATTTTTGCAGTATCCTTTGAAATGTCTCCTTTTCCTTTCTGATTGAATTTTTTTGTGTGTCTTCTCTGTTTTTTCTTAGTTTGTCTGGCTAAAGGTTTTTCTATTTTGTTTAACCTTTCAAAAATCAACCTTTTGTTTCATCAGTCTTTTTTTTATTGTTTTCTTCATTTCAATTTTATTATTTCTGCTTTGATCTTTCTTATTTTCTTCTATTAATTTTGGTTTTGGTTTGCTCTTCCTTTTCTAGTTTTTAAGATGCATCATTAGATTATTTGAAGCTTTTCCTCTTTTTTTGATGTAGGCACTTATAGCTAGACACTTCCTCTTAGTATTGCTTTGCTGTATCCCATAGGTTTTAGTATGTTGTGTTTCTATTATCATGTTTCAAGAAAATTTTCAGTTTCCTTCTTAGTTTCTTCATTGACCCTCTGGTCATTCAGGAGCATATTGTTTAATTTCCATGTATTTGTAAATTCCTCTTGTTATTAATTTCTAGTTTTATTCCATTGTGGTCAGAGATGATGCTTTATATTATTTCAGTTTTTTTCAATGTTTTACAACTTGCTTTGTGACCTAACATATGGTCTATACTTGAGAGTGATCCATGTGGTGAGGAAAATAATGTGTATTCTGCAGCTGTTGGATGAAATTTTCTGTAACTATCTGATAGATCCATTTGGTCTATAGTGCAGATTAAGTCCCATGTTTCTTTGTTGATTTTCTTCGAAGAAAGATCTGTTCATAGCTGAAAGTGCAGTGTTGAAATCTCCAGCTATTACTTTATTGGGGCCTATCTCTCTCTTTACCTCTAATAATAATATTTGCTTTATATATCTAGATGCTTCATTGTTGGGTGTATACATATGTTTAAAACTGTTATATCTTCTTGCTGAATTGACCGCTTTATCATTATAGAGTGACCTTCTTTGTCTATTCTTTTGTTTTTCGTCTTGAAATCTGTTTTGTTTGATGTAAGTATAGCTACTCCTATTCTTTTTTGGTTTCCATTTGCATGGAATATATTTTTCCATTCCTTTATCATAGGCTACATGTGTCTTTATTTGTAAAATATGTTTATTGTAGGCAACAGATTATTGAGTATTTTTTTTCCATCCATTCAGCCACTCTCTTGATTGAAGAGTTTAGTCTATTTACGTTGAAAGCTATTATTGATAAGTAAGGACTTACTTCTGCCATTTTATTATTTGTTTTCTGGTTGTTTTGTGTTCTTCTCTTCCTTCTTTCTTTCTGTCTTGCTTTAGTGAAGGTGATATGATTGAGTTTCTTGGTTTTTATTTCTTGTGTATCTTGTTTTTTTGTTTTGAGGTTACCGCGAGACTTGTAAATAGTACATTATAACCCATTATTTAAGCTGATAACAACTTGACACTTTTTGTGGTCCTCTTTTCCTTCTTTCTTTCCCTCCTGTCTTCCTTTAGTGAAGGCCTTTTTTTTCCTGGTGATATGATATAGTTTTTTAGTTTTTATTTTTTGTGTATCCATTGTATGTTTTTTGGTTTGAGGTTACCATGAATCTTGCAAAAACTACCTTATAGCCCATTATTTTAACCTAATAACAACTTGACACTGTTTGCATAAACAAACAAGCAAATGAAAACTAATAAAAACTCTATACCTTAACCTCATCCATCTGCTTTTTAACTTGTTATTGTTTGTATTTATATCTTATTTTACTGTCAACATCTTGAAAAGTTGTTATTATTTTTGAGTGGTTCATTGTTTAGTCTTTCTATGTAGGATAAGAGTATTTTACTCACCACAGTTACAGTGTTATAATATTCTGTGTTTTTATGTGTACTCACTGTTACTGGTGAGTTTTGTGTTTTCAGGTGATTACTTATTGCTGATTAATGTCATTTTTTTTTTCTGTTTGGAGTACTCCCTTTAGCATTTCTTTTAGGACAGGTCTGGTGCTGATGAAATCACTCAGCTTTTGTTTGTCTGGGAAAGTCTTTATTTCTCCTTCATGTTTGTAGGATATATATACACTTCAAATATATACATTTTAGGATATATATACATTTCAAATGTAAAAGTTGTTTTCCTTCAGCACTTTAAATATGTCATGCCATTGTCTCCCGGCCCATAAGGTTTCCACTGAACAGTCTGCCGCCAGATGTATTGGAGCTCCATTGTATGTGATTTGTTGCTTTTCCCTTGCTGCTTTTAGGATCCTTTCTTTATTCTTGATCTTTGGGAGTTTGATTGATTACTAAATGCCTTGATGTAGTCTTCTTTGGGTTTAATTCTGTTTGGTGTTCTATAACCTTCTTGTACTTTGATATTGATATATTTCTCTAGTTTGAGAAGTTTCGTGTTGTTACCCCTTTGAATAAACTTTCTACCCTTATCTGTTTCACTTCTTCCTTTTTAAGACCACGAACTCTTAGATTTTCACTTTTGTAGCTATTCTCTAAATTCTGTAGATGTGGTTCATTGTTTTTAATCTTCTTCTTTTGTCTTTTCTGACAGCGTATTTTCAAATAGCCTGTCTTTAAGCTCACTAATTTTTTCTTCTGCTTGATTAATTCTGCTATTAAAAGACTAATGCATTCTTCCATATGCGAATTACATCTTTCATCTACAGAATTTCTCCTTGATACCTTTTAATTATTTCAGTCTCTTTGTTACATTCATCTAATAGAATTCTCAATTTCTTCTTTTTGTTATCTTGCATTTCTTTGAGTTTCGTGAACACAGGTATTTTAAATTCTCTGTTTGAAAGGTCACATATCTCTGTTTCTCCAGGATTGGTCCCTGGTGGCTTATCTATTTCATTTGATGAGGTCATGTTTTCCTGGATGGTGTTGATGCTAATAGATGTTCTTCATTATCTGGGCATTGATCAGTTAGGTATTTATTGTAGCCCCCACTGTCTGGGCTTGTTGGTACCTGTCCTCCTTGGGAAGACTTTCTAGATGTTTGAAAGGACTTGGGACTTGGATGTTATGGTATTAGTTGTATCTGCTATAGGGGGGACCCTAAGCCCAGTAATACTTTACTTACAAACTCATAGAGGGACTGCCTTGATGGTCTTGGACAAGGTCTGGGAGAATTCTGGATTACCAGGCAGAGACTATTGTTCTCTTACCTTATTTTCTCCCGAACAAACAGAATTCCTCTCTCTGTTCTGGGCCACTTAAAGCTGGGGGTGGAGTGACAAAAGTACCACCGTGGCCATCACCAGTATGACTGTGCTGGTCAGACATGAAGCCAGCACAACATTGGATCTTGCCTACAGCCTGCTGTATGCACTCACTGGTTACTGCCTGTGTTCGCCTAAAGTCCTGGGGCTCTACAATCAGCAGGTGGCAAAGCCAGCTAGGCCTGTGTTCTTCCCTTCTGGATGACGAGTTCCCTCAGGCCCCTGGTGGGTCCAGAGGTGCTATACAGGAGTTAGGGACTAGAGTTAAAAACCTTAGAAGTCTACTTAGTGTTCTATTGTACTTTGGCTGAGCTGGCACTCAAAACGCAATATGCAGTCCTTCCCACTCTTCCCTCCCTTTTCCAAAGGCAGAAGAGCCTCACCTCATAGCCACTGCCATCAAAGGCCATGGGGAGTACTGCCAGACTACAGCTGATGATCCCTTAAGGCCTAAGGGCTCTTAAGTAAGCTTATGGTGAATGCTGCCTGGCCTGGGACTCACCCTTTAGGGGAGTGGGCTCCCCTCTGGCCTAGGGTAGGTTCAGAAGTGCCATCCAAGAGTTAAGTCCTAAAATTGGGGATCCCAAGACCCCACTTGGTGCTCCATCCACCTGTGACTGTGTTAGTTCCTAAGGTACAAGGCAAAGTACCATTTACTTTTCCCTGTGCTTTTCTCTAACATAAGAGTTTTGCCCTTTAGCCACTGCAGCTGGTAATGTGCTGTGTTTCACCTGAAGCCAGCAAGTCTCAGAGGCTCACCTAAGACCCTCAACATAGAACGTGGGTATTGCTGCTGGTTATTCAGGACCCAAGTACTCTTCAGTTAACCAGGTGATGAATGCTTCCAGGACTGGGTCCTTTCCTTCAAGTCAGTGGGTTCCTTTCTGGCCCAGTATGTGTCTAGAAATGTCGTCTGGAAGCTAAGACCTGGAAGGAGGGCCTCATCATTCTGACTGGTGCCAAGACAAAGTCCTCTCCACTTTTCCCACACCTCTTCTCAGGTGGAAGTTAGGGGTCTCTTTTGGAACCACGATTTGTGCAGTCTGGGGTTAGAGGAGAGGCAATGCCAGTACTCCCTTAGTCACCCCCTCTGCTGTCCCAGCAGGTCCTGTGCCCTCCAGTTCACTGTTTCTGGGCCCAGTTCAGCACTAGGACTTGCCTAAGAGTTGTAGTCCTTATGGCCCAGACTGCCTTTCAACTTCATTTAAAGACTCAGAGCATTTTAGCCCTTGGTGGTGAGGTCAGTGGGAACTGAAGTTCAGACTGCTAGGATTGGCGATTTTCCTTTGTCTAGTGCTGGTTTGTATGTGCCTTCTGTAGGCGGGTGTCCCCTGAGTTTTGTTCAGTTCTCCTTTCTACTATAGCAGGACAGCAGTGAGTTCAGTCCCTCACGATTATTGTTTTCTCCCTCCTTTAGTGCCTAGAGATACTTTCCTCCCCGTATACTGCCACTGCAGGGAGGTGGGAGAGGGCTGATGTTGGCAATTGGAGAATTTTTAAGAAATCACTTCAGTGCCTCTTTCACTGATAGAAGTTAACACCAGGTACTATGAGGGCTCACCTGATTTTTGGTTTTATGAAGGTGTTTTTTCTGTTTAGATAGTTGTTAAATTGATGTCCCTGTTGGAGGGGACGATTGATGGAACCTTCTATTCTGCTATCTTGCTCTGTGTCTCTATCACCTTTATCTATTTCTTAAACATTTTTTATCATCCCAAAAGGAAACTCCGTACTCATGAAGGAGTCACCCCAGCCCCTGGCAACCACTGCTCTGCTATCTGTCTTTACAAATTTACTTATATTCTAGATATTTCATATAAATGGAATCACAGTATGTAACATCTTGGGATTTCCTTCTTTCACTAAATGTTATGTTTTTGATGTTCATTCTCATTGT
Source organism: Homo sapiens (assembly GCF_000001405.40). Taxonomy (NCBI): domain Eukaryota; kingdom Metazoa; phylum Chordata; class Mammalia; order Primates; family Hominidae; genus Homo; species Homo sapiens. Next base: position 115,345,912 of record NC_000010.11, read on the forward strand.
AGCAAGTACCAGTACTTAATACCTTTTTACAGCTAAATAATACTGTGGTTTTGATTTCCATTTCCTTAATGATTAAATATTGAATATCTTTTGATGTGCTTGCTGGCCCTTGTATCTTAGTTTGGAGAAATACTTATTCAAGTACTTTACCTGTTTAAAGAAACTTTGTTTTCTTAAATTTTGGAAAAATATGCATAATATAAAGTTTACCATTTTAAACATTTTTAAGTATACAGTTTAGTGGCATTAAGGACATGTGCATTGTTTTGCCACCATCATTTTCATTCCTCTTTAAAACTTTTTAATCTTGTAAATCTGAAACTCTATAACCATTAAAAAATAGCTACCCACTCCCCCACCTCCTTCCAGACCCTAAGAACTGCCATTCTACTTTCTGTTTCTGTGAATTTGATGGCTATAGATACCTCATGTTAAGTGGAATCATGCAGTTTTTGTCCTTTGGTGACTGGCTTATTTCTCTTAGCATAAGCCTTCATGGTTCATTCGTATGATAGCATGTATCAGACTGTCTTTCCTTTCTAAGGTTGAATAATGTTTCATTATGTATTAGTACATTCACAATGTTGTACAACTGTCACCTTTATCTAGTTCTTACACACATCATATTTTATCTATCTATTTATTCATTGATGGACACTTGAGTTGCTTCCACCTTTTGGCTGTTGTAAATAATGCTGCTAAGAATATAGCTTACAAATATCTTTGTGAGTATTTGTGTCTTTTCATATGCTTTTTAGCCATTTCTTTATCTTCCTTGGAGAAATGTCTATTCAAATCTTTTACTTATTTTATAATTGGGCTTTTTTTGCTGTTGAATTGAAAAAGTTCTATATATCTTCTAGATATGAGGCTCGCATGAGATATATGATTTGTATTTTCCACCATTCTGTAGGTTGTGTTCACTTTTTTGATGGTATCCTTTAAAACGCAAAAGTTTCAATTTTGATAGTTTATCTATTTTTTTATTTTGTTGCTTATATTTTTGGTGTCATATCTACAAATCCATTGCCATATGTAACATCACAATGATTATTTTTTTGCCAACATAGGTAAAAGTAATATATGAATGGCTCTATTAGCTCCAAAATGTTTTAAATTATTATGGTAAGTTTTACTATTCTAACAGGCAGAGTGCTTTTAGGAATATGTTCCCCTTTAAGGATAATACTTCTCTGCTAGGTTGAAGACAAGTTTAGTTATTTCACATTAATTTTTGTTACTGACGTGATACATTTGACAAGCCAAAGTAAAGGCAATGAAAAATTAAATAGAGTGAATAATAGATGCCTGTTGTATTCACTGTTATACTTTCTCCGGTAGTTTATGAAATTTTTAAATAATTCTTTAAGAGTTTCCGTGTTTCTTAAAGTTGGCAGGAAATATTTTGCTGTCTATGACTTTTATATGGTGATGTGATGGGTAAAAGTCATTTTTATTTTTTGGGGCCACATTAGCTACCTAATAATAAACAATAAGTCACATCTGATGAATTATTTTAATGTAGTAATGTCTAAAATCAATTTATAAAGCATGGAAAGTAAACATTTATTACTATTCTTTCATTTTTAGTTCACTTTATTGGGAAAAGCTCATTTTTAAAACTAGTAAATATACTTATTAAAATTCAAAGTGCATGCCGATATTAAGGGAAAGTAGGAAATAAATTTATATTTGACTGGCAAAGCTTTAAATATACTGCAGCATATATATTATTTTAAAAATCCAACCTAATAAAGCCAATCTAACATTATTGTCAATTATTATTATATTATGGTTAGTCAGTTATTATAAGTTACTCTTAAAATGTTTTATTAAAATTTTATTTATAATGTTCAGGAAGATTCTCTGATTAAAAACTTGCTTTGGAGATATGTATATAAAATATTTATGTGTGTATATGTATACTATATATATATGTATATGTAATCTTTGTGGCTATGGAAAAATATAACAATGTTAAATGCTTGGGCTTTGGAATCATACCACTTGAGTCTACATGCTGGCAATGCCACTGTCACCTTGGATAAATTATTTAACTTTTAACTTAATTTTATTTTTTGAGATGCAGTCTTGCTCTGTTGCCCAGGCTGGAGTGCAGTGGTATGATCTCAGTTCACTGCAACCCCAGCCTCCCGGGTTCAAGGGATTCTCCTGCCTCAGCCTTCCTAGTAGCTGGGACGACAGGCACGCGCCACTGCACCCAGCTAATTTTTGTATTTTTAGTAGAGATGGGGTTTCACATGTTGGCCAGGCTGGTCTCAGACTCCTGACCTCAGGTGATCCACCTGCCTTGACCTCCCAAAGTGCTGGAATTACAGGCATGAGGCACCGCGCCTGGCCTATTTAACTTTTTAGTGTCTTAGTTTTCTCATCTGCAAAATGCAGCTAATTTAATTTATGTTGTAATGGTAAGTCATAAATGTGGTACTTTATATGTTGTATAATATATGTTCCTGGCAAATGTTAACTCCCTAATCCTAGCTATTATTGTGATATTATTATTACTATTCATAACATCAATAAGTTTAGTATTTTGATAAAAATATATGATTCAAACTTTTATGGCAGTATTATTTTTGTCATATTATTTCCAATCTGACTTATAAACTGTAGTAAAAGAAACTAAATTAATATTTAGTTGAATAGAAGAATGGCTCAGTACATTACACATTATGTTATTTGCAATGAAGGAATATCCTTGAACTCCATAAATACTTATTGAATGCCTAATAAATGCAAGGAACAATGTTAGGACTTGAATTTATATACATTGTGTGGGTGCTATTATAGTGTTATGAAGAAATTGAGTGATAGAATTAGTGACAAAGAGATGAATTCTCATTGAAGAATCTGGTCTTGGAAGGTCTTTCATTTCTTCAATATTTAAAAAAATAATTGGATATATAATAGTTGTACATATTTAAGGGGTACATGTGATATTTTAATACAAATAGATAATGTGTAATGATCAAATCTGGGTAACTGAAATATCCATCACCTCAAACATTTATCATTTCTTTGTGTTGTGAATGCTCCAAGTCTACTCTTCTGGATCTTTTGAAATATACAATAAATTATTTTAAACTATAGTCACTTTATTATGCTGTGGAACACTAGATCTTATTCTTTCTTTCTAACTGTATTTTTATACCCATTAACCATTTCTATTTATCCTCATCTCCTCACTAGTGTTCACAGCCTCTAGTAACCACCATTTCATTCACTACCTCCAGGAGATCAATTGTTTTAGCTCCCACATATGAATGAGAACATGAGACATTTGTCTTTTGTACCTGGCTTATTTCACTTAACATAATGTTCTCTAGTTCCATCAGTGTCATTGCAAATGACAGGATTTCATTCTTTTTAATGGTGGAATAATGTTCCATTTGTGTATATATACCACATTTTCTTTCATTGTTCATCTGTCGATGGACACCTAGGTGGATTCCAAATCTTGCCTATTGCAAATAATGCTGCAATAATCATGGATATGCAGATATTTCTTTGATATACTGATTTTCCTTCTTTTGGATATAACCAGTAGTAGAATTTCTGGATCATACGTAGTTCTGTTTGTAGTGTTTTGAGGAACTTCCATAAACCTCCATACTGTTTTCCATAGTGGTTGTACTAATTTACATCTTGACCAACAGTGTGTGAGAGCATGCCCCTTTTTCTGCATCCTCACCAGCATTTGTTATATTCTGTCTTTTGGATAAAAGCCATTTTAACTGTGGTGAGGTGGGTTGCATTTCCCTGATTATTACTGATGTTGAACATTTTTTCATAAACCTGTTGGCCATTTATAAGTCTTCTTTTGAGAAATGTCTCTTCAGGTCTTTAGCCCAATTTTTAATTGTATTATTATTATTATTTTGCTATTGAGTTGTTTGAGCTCCTTATGTGTTCTGGTTATTAATCCCTTGTCATATGAGCTATTTGCAAATACTTTCTCCCCATTCTGTAGGTTTTCTCTTTACTTTGTTGATTGTTAGCTGTGCAGAAGCATTTTAGCTTGATGTGATTTCATTTTTTCAATATTACTTTGGTTACATGTGATTTAGAGGTCTTACTCGAAATCTTTGCCCAGACCAATGTTCTGTAGAATTTCCTCAATGTTGGCTGGGCACAATGGCTCACGCCTGTAATCCCAGCACTTTGGGAGGCTGAGGTGGGCAGATCATGAGGTCAAGAGATTGAGACCATCCTGGCCAACATGGTGAAACCCCATCTCTACTAAAAATACAAAAATTAGCTGGGTGTGGTGGTGTGCGCCTGCAGTCCCAGCTACTTGGGAGGCTGAGGCAGGAGAATCACTTGAACCCGGGAGGCGGAGGTTGCAGTGAGCCAAGATTGCGCCACTGCACTCCAGCCTGGTGACAGAGCAAGACTCTGTCTCAAAAAAAAAAAGAAAAAAAAAAAAAAAAAAGAATTTCCTCAATGTTTTCTTCTAGTGGTTTCAAAGTTTCAGGTCTTACATTTAAGTTTTAAATCTATTTTGTTTTAATTTATATATATCTTGAGAGTTAGGGGGTCTAGTTCCATTCTTCTGTATATACAGGATATAATTTTCTGAGCACCATTTATTGAGAGACTATTCTTGCCCCAGTGTATGTTCTTGGCACCTTCTTTGAAAATGAGTTGTTTATAAGTGTGTGGGTTTATTTCTGGCCTCTCTATTCTATTGGACTATTTGTCTTTATGCCAGTATCATGCTGTTTTGTTTGCTGTATAGCTGTATACCATAATTCGAAGTCAGGTAATATGCTGCCTCTAGCTTTGTTCTTTTTGGTCAAGATTGCTTTGGCTATTCTGAGCCTTTTATGGTTCAATATGAATTTTAGGATTTTTTTTTCCATTTCTGAGAAGAATGTCATTGGTATTTTGATAAGGAGTGCATTTAATCTGTAGATACCTTTGGGTTGTATGGATATTTTAACAATATTTGTTCTTCCAACTTATGAACATGATATATATTTTCTTTTTTGTGTCCTTTTCAATTTCTTTCATCAGTGTTTTATAGTTTTAATTATACAGAGCTTTTACTACTTTGATTCCATTTATTTTATTTGTAGCTATTTTAAATGGGATTACTTTTTGATTTTTCAGATTGTTCTCTGTTGCCATACAGAAATGCTACTGAATTTATATGTCAATTTTGTATCCTGCAGGTCTACTGAATTTATTTATTAGTTCTAATAGGTTTTTGGTGGAGTCTTTAGGTTTTTTGAAGTATAAGATCATATCATCTGTAAACAAGGATAATTTTACTTTCTCCTTTCCTGTTTGGATGCTCTTTATTTCTTTCTTTTGCCTAATTACTCTGGGTGGGACTTCCAGTACTATGTCTAATAAAAGTGGTGAAAGTGGGCGTCTTTGTTGTATTCCAGATCTTAGAGGAAAGGCTTTCAGTGTTTCCCTAGTCAGTATGATGCCAGTGGTGGGATTGTTTTATATGACCTTTATTGTTTTGAGTTATATTTCTTGTATCCCTAGTTTTTTGAGAGTTTTTTTTTAAATCATTAAGGGACGTTGAATTTCATTGAATGCTTTTTCAACCATTGAAATAATTTTTGACCTTTATTTTGTTATATGTTATAGCAAATATGCTATATTTTGTTAAATGCGCTATGATGTATCACATTTATCGATTTGTATGTTGAACTATCTTGCACCCCTGAGATGAATCTTACTTCATTACGATGAATGATCTTTTTAATATGTTGTTGAAATCAGTTTGCTGAATTTTGTTACAGATTTTTGCATCTTGTTCATGAGTGATATTGGCCTGTAGTTTTCTTTTCTTGTGTTTTGTTTTGTTTTGTTTTGTTTTGTTTGTGTTTTTGTTTTTAATTGTGTCTTTGTCTAGTTTTGGTATCAGGATAATGCTGGCCAGTAGGATGAATTTGAGAGTGTTCTCTCATCCTTGACTTTGTAGAATATAATAAGTAGAATTTGTTAGTTCTTCTGTAAATGATTTGTAGAATTCAGCAGTGAAACTATCTGATATTGGGCTTTTCTTTGATGGGAGTCTTTATTATTGTTTCTGTTTCATAACTTGCTATTGGTCTGTTTAGTTTTTCTGTTTCTTCATGGTTCAATTTTGGTAGTTTGTATGTATTTAGGAATTTATACTTGTCTCCCAGGCTTTACAATTTATTGGGATATAGTTGCTTATCATAGTCTCTAATGATTCTTTGAATTCCTGTGGTATCAATTGTAGTGTCTTTTTTTCATTTCTTAATTATGTTCATCTTCTCACTTTTTTTCTTAGTGTAGCTAAAAGTTTATAAATTTTAGTTATTTTTTCCCAAATAACTTCTCCTTTTGTTGATCTTTTATATATATTTTTTAGTCTATAACTTATTCATTTGTGCTCTAGTCTTTATTAGTTCTTCTCTTCTCCTAAGTTTGGGTTTAGTTTGTTCTGCTTTTTTATTTTCTAAGATGCACTATTAAGTGTTCTTATTTGAAATCTTTTTTGATGTAGGCAACATTGTTTTTGTGGTGTCCCATAGGTTTTGGTATGTTGTGATTCTATTTTTATTTGTTTCAAGCCATTTTAAAGTTTTATTCTTAATTTCTTAATTGAAATTTAATGTTTTCATTCCTTCAGCAGCGTATTGTTTCATTTCCATATATTTGTATAGTTTCCAAAGTGTCATTATTCATTTCTAGTTAATTCCACTGTTGTTAGAAAAAATACTTGATACTCTCTTTGGGAGGCCGAGGCAGCTGGATCACCTGAGGTTGGGAGTTCAAGACTAGCCTGATCAAAATGGAGAAACCCTGTCTGTACTAAAAATACAAAAAAATTAGCTGAGGGTGGTGGCACATGCCTGTAGTCCCAGCTACTCGGGAGGCTGAGGCAGGAGAATCACTTAAACCTGGGAGGTGGAGGTTGTGGTGAGCCGAGATTGTGGTGCCATTGCACTCCAGCCTGGGCAACAAGAGCAAAACTCTGTCTTTAAAAAAACAACAACAACAAAAACCAACTTGATATTATTTTGACATGTAATACTTTGTTGAGACTATCTTCCTGGCCTAAGAGATGGTCTGTCCTCAAGAATATTCCATGTGCTAATGAGAAGAATGTATATTTTTCACCCGTTGAATGAAATGTTCTCTTATTGATCATTAGGTCCATCTGGTCTGTAGTGCATATTAAGTCTAATGGTGCATTGTTGATTTTCTATTTAAAATATATGTTCAGTGTTGAAAGTGGGTGTTGAAGTCCCCAGGCATTATTATATTGGAGTCTGTCTTTCTCTTTAGGTCTAGTAATGTTTGCTTTATATTATCTGGATGCTCCAGTGTTTTGTGCAAGAAATATTTGCAATTTTAATATTCTTTGGCTGAATTTGACCATTTTATTATTATATAATGACCTTCTTTGACTCTTCTTACAGTTTTTGCCTTGAAATCTATTTTATCTGACATAGGTATAGCTATTCTTGTTTTTTGTTTCCATTTGCATGGAATATTTCATTTCATTTCCTTCATTTTTAGTGTATGTTGTTTTTATAGCTAAAGTAAATTTCTTATGGGCAGCATATATTTGAGTCTTGTTTTAATCCATTCAGCCACTCTCTGTCTTTTATTTGAAGAATTTAGTCCATTTACATTCAGTGTTATTGTTGAAAGGTTAGGACTTAACTACTTCCAGTTTGTCATTTTTCTTCTGATTGTTTTGTACATTTTCTCTTCCTTTCTTCCTCTCTTCCTTTTTAGATTAGTGATTTCCTCTGGCTGTATGTTTTAATTCCTTGCTTTTTATTTTTTCAATTTCTATTATAGGTGTTTGCTTTGTCATTACTGTGAGGCTTGCAAAAATATTTTATAGCTAACAACGTTAAATTGATAAAAACTCTAATCTCAAAGAAGAGGGAACAAAAGGAAAACAAGCAAAGAAAAAACTAAAAAATTCTGTACTCTAACTTTTCCTCTAACTCCCTCCTACTTTTTGACTTTTTGTTGTCTCTATATCTTTTCATATTGTCTATCTTTCAAAAATTGTTGTAGTTATTATTTTTGATAGATTTTTCTTTTGGTCCTCATGCTGAAAATGTAAGTGATTTACACACCACAATTGTTGCACTAGAGCAAGCTTGTCTAACCCGCAGCTTGTGGGCCACATGCAGCCCAGGACAGCTTTGAATATGGCCCAACACAAATCAGTAAACTTTCTTAAAACATTATAATTTTTTTTTAGCTCATCCACTATCATTAGTGATAGTGTGTTTTATACGTGGCCCATGACAATTCTTCTTCTAATGTTGGACTCTTCTGTTAGAGTATTCTGAATTTGTCTTTGTTCTTACCTTTTCCACTGAATTTCATGCTTTCAGATGTTTTCTTGTTATATGTTAGCAGCCTTTACTTTCAGATTGATAAAATCTCTTCAGCATTTTTTTTTGTAAAATCTCTTCAGCATTCATCTGGTGATGATGAATTTACTCAGCTTTTGTTTGTCTGGGAAAGTCTTTATTTCTCCTCCATATTGAAGGATATCTTTCCTGTATGCAGTATTCTAGGTTGGAAGTTTTTTCCCTTTAGCACTTTTAATATGCTATCTTGCTCATTCTGGTCTATAAACTCCCCACTGAGAAGGCTGCTGCCAGAAATATCAGAGCTCCTTTATATGTTATTTACTTTTTTCTTCTTGTTGCTTCTAGGATGATTCTTTCATCTTTGACCTTTGATAGTTTGATTATTATATGTCTTGTGGTAGTCTTATTTCAGTTGAATCTTCTTGATGTTCTTTCACCTTCTTTACCTAAATGTTCGTATCTTTTTCTAGGTTTGAAAAGTTCTCTTATTACTTTCTTTGAATAAACTTTCTACCCCGGTCTTTTTCTTTGTATCCTCTTTAAGACCAGTGACTCTTAGATTTTCCCTTTTGAGGCTCTTTTTTAGATCCTGTAATCATATTTTATTCTTTTTTATTCTTTTAAATCTATTTTCATATAGTATGTCTTGAACTAAATATTTCCGTTTTTGCTTGATCAATTTTGTTTTTGAGAGATTCTGATGAATTTTTCAGTCAGTTGACTTTTTCAGCTCGAGTGATTTTTTATTGTTTATTTCAGTGTCTTTGTTAAATTTCTCTGTTTTATCTTGAAATGCATCATGTTTTCTCAAAACAGGTGTATTGAATTCTTTGTCTGAGAATATATGTATCTGCCACTCTAGAATTGGTCATGGGTGCCTCATTTACTCCGTGTGATGAGGTAATGTTTTCCTGAATGCTCTTGATGCTTGTGGACATTTGATGATATATGAGCGTTAAAAATTTAGGTATTTGTTCCAGTCTTTCCAGTCTGGCATTGTTTATACCTGTCCTTGAGAAAGTTTTCTGAGAATTCAAATGGGATTGAGTGTTAAATTACTTATTTCTGTGGTCCTTGCAGTTGTTTTAGCACTAGAGGGAGCCCTAAGCCCAGGTATGCTGTACTCTTGCAGACTCTAGGTACATAGCCTGGGTAGACTTCTGAAAGTGAAGGGAGAATTCCTTTTGTTATCAGGCAAAGTCCCTTTCTGTCTTTTCCAGAAGCATAAGGAGCCCTTCTCTACCCTGAACTGTCTGGAGTTGGGGAACGGGTGGCATGGGCACTTTTTATGTACATATTTGTTTATCCAATTATTTGTAAAACAAAAGATGTACTATAAGAAAAATATGTCTTCAAATCATGAAATATACAGACATTAAAAAAAATTCCAATCCTATATAACTAATAGTTTCCTCCATTTAGGTCTTACTCTTTTGGGTTAAGTTTATTGCAAGGTGCTTAATGGGTTTTGTTGGTATTATGAATACATTTTTTTCCTTTAATATTACATTTGTAATTGGTAATGTCTGTTTTTATATCTGTTATGTTTTTAGTTCATTTTGTTGATCTTTTTATAGGTTTTTGAATAGTAGGCTTATCTGATTTTCTTAATTTCTCTCTATATTTTAAGTTTTTAACAGTGATAAACTTTAATTTTTCAGTTTTGGGGAAAAAAGAGTTCTTTCAACATAATGACAGTTCTATTTTTACCTTATGTTTCTCTTTTTGGCATACTGTGACTATCTGTTCATAGCAGACTTTTACAGACGTGTTTAATACTTTAATACACACACTAGGATGTGACCCAAACATTCTCTGAGACTCAAGGGTAGTAAAAAGGAAGATGAATTACCTTTTTTTCTCTCTTCTAAGATGAGGAAATTTTTCATTTTAAACCATTCTCACACATTGTAGATTATTCAGAGAAGCAGAAAATTTATTACCAAATGAGGTTGAGCATTTCTTAAAATAAGTGTAGGAAGCTTAATTCTCTCAAACTAGGAACATTGAAAAATCTCAAGCTGCAGATACATGAAAATAGCTTGAGATGGAAATATTGGTTCTATTTATTCTTTTGACACAACAATGTTAAAAGTTTGTATTCTCTCAGTACATACTACGTTCTGTGTTGCACAGGAAAGCCAACTTGAGATTTTGAATATTCCAAAGAGAGGCCATCCTTTTGAGCTGTTTTCATTCTTTTTGTTTTCATAAAAGGAATTTCAAAGGTGAGGAGAACTGAGGCTATGAAAACTGTTTGGCCCTGATGTCAGATATTTTAGCATGCCTTCATTATGGGTTACTGGAATATGCAGTTTATTACTTATTTCTGTTAGATGCTTTTAAAAAGAACTATCTGTGGGCTAATTCCCAAAGTTCCCCTGGGGAACTTTGCCATGGCTTTATCAAACCTACTCCCTTCCTCAGGATCTCTTCTTCTAATTTTTATTTGTACAAAGTTTTATGTTCTACCTCTTCAAACTTTGACTAAGCATTACTTCAACTTTTGCTATTTGAATAGTGATTTTTAGGCCCTTAGATCTGATGTTATAGAATATCTTCACCTCTGGTTTACAAGTTTTTGACAATGAAGTGTGTCATTTACTTGCTTTCTTTTCAGGAACAAGTGGACTAATATATCTCTATGTAATTTTGAAAACTATTCAATAGTTTCAGTTCTGTAGGTAGAATACTATTTATTTGGGGCCAGAGAGAAACTATTATTTTGTCTAAGGGTTCAATATTTCTCTTTAATTTTATTTGATGTGATGCTTAGCCCCTATAATGTATTGCTTGAGGTTTGCATTACAAGAATATGGCACTATTTGGTTTTTTAAAAAGTGATATAAGATGTTATGATTGAACTTAATAATAAAAATGGTTCTTATGCCAACTCACAAGTGTTGTAGAATTCCTACTGGCTTGAAATGACAGGCCTAGGGTGAAGAAAAGATAAATTTAAAGTGGGGCATAGTTCTACTTATATTCTAATACGTATAAAACATTTATTTAGTACAGTTCAGAAGATTATAGGTTAACCTAAGAAACTTTAAACATACTTTTGGTTTTATTCTGATATTTGTACAATTTTTTCAAAAGGCAAAACCAAACTAAATTCCAATTTGGACACACACTTTTGCATTGCTCAAATAGTGCATGAATACTAATTAGTGATGGTGGAGAAGTTAATTATATTTTAGTCATGCCTACAGCAGGTGTAGGAAAGCTTCAGCATAAATATTGTTTATAAATATTTCATAAACACATTAAAATCCTCCTTAATATATTATTTAGGAAGAAGTGCCTTTCTCTCAAAGACCCATTTTTATATGCCATAGGACATGGATCCAAATATTTACTTTTCTCTTAGTTACACATACTTTTATCTATATCTTTTATCTTACCTTTACTTTATGGCCAATTTATTGATTTTATAGTAATAATTTATGTTTTTAGGCTTTAAAGGAAGTATATAAACATTTAATTATATATTTGCTTAACAGTACAGCCTATTTTATTAGGCAATTTAAAATTTTTAACTTTCTGCTGAACATTTCCAAAGTCCCACTACTATACAAATTAATTAGTTAAGAAATGGAATTCATTGTCGTTATTATTTTAAATATATTCTCTCTCCATCCCTATCTTAGTTAATGATACTATCACTCTTTTAGGCTCAATTTCAAAAGCATCTTCTTATTCCATCTTTTCCCTCTGCCAGTATATTCAATTCCAAACTGATCCTGGCTCTGCACTATCTATGATATTTATTCCCTTCTTGGAGTTCATTGCCCTTATTAGTTTAGGCCTCCATGATCCTGCTTCTCTTGTGTTCTTGTTAGATGTTACAGATTACCTGACATGATATAAGTTCTCATTAAATATTTGTTGAATTAATGCATGAATGCTCTCACTATGTATTTATAGACTCTCTCCATTTACAATCCACCTTTATACTTCCTTCATAGGAAAAGAAAAAAGAGACAATTTTCTTCCTAAAATCATTCAAAAAACTTATTTTGTTACTATTTCTAAAATATTTGTTGCCTGCAAATTATCTATGAAGTACATTTAAAGCTCCTTTATAAGGCTTGTAAATCCTTTTATACTGAGCCCAGATAACTTTTCTTGCTTTACGTCTTACCATATTTTTCATATTCTATCATATCTTTATTTTTTTATTTTTTGCAATTTACATTTTACTCAATAATACATTTTCCTTGTCAGTTAAGCTCCAAGCATTATATCTAAAAATGTGGATAATGTTTATTGATTATACCAGGTACATTGCTAAAAAGCTAATCTAAATGTTTTTCGATTAATTCTAAGCATTTAATAAAGATTTTAGTATACCTATTTTAGTTATTATTTATTATACCTATTTTACAAATGAGTAAACCAAGGACATAAGCCTAACTCCTTTTTGAAAGGTTAAGTCATTAAGTGCTAGAATGAGAATTGAAACCTTGAACTACCTGATTCTAACAGTGGTCTAAACCAGTATGTTCTTATATTTTCTTTGACTCTCACATGCAACTAGTGGCCAGCTCTTATCCATTTTAAGGCCATAATATTGCACATCCATTGTCCTACTTATGTCTATTATTATTTAGCCTTGACTGTTACATTAGCTTCTAAACAGATCTTTTAATCAGTATTTTATTCAGTTTCCAAGACTTCCACAATATTATATAGTTTTTACTTCATATCCAACCACTCCTCCCTATAAACCCAGGTCTTTGCCTATTTAAATGGGTGTTATGTCCCTGCCTTTGAACTCAAATTACTCATTTTTCAAATCTCAGCTCCAATAAAATTCCAGCCTAAAAACTTGTCATAATATCCCCACTAACTTCAGGCAGGTTTGTGCCTCCATGATTATTACCATCAGTGTTCTTGTTAAGTCATAATTTACTTGTCTTTTTATCTAGCAGGATGTGAACATCTTTATGAGAGAATTTTTGTCTCATATGTTTTGTAGTTTTTTACATTCTTGTATGCTCACTATTAGGTAGTACTGTACTTGGTACATAGTTAGAATTTTGCTGTATTAATATTACTACAAAGTAACATTTGTTTCATCTGTTTTAATCATTTTTATATTATCGAAAAGAAAATATTATTTAGTCTTCCTAGCAAACGAGTTTTCTAGTTTCAACTAATTTTTACTTTACAGGAAGAGGCAAAAAGTAGCTTCCTGTTTTTAAAATTATTGATTATTCTGCTTGCTTTTATTTTCAGCAATTGGGCCAACAGTGAAATAACACTGGCAGTTCCAATGTATGTATTATATTTGCTCTGAATGAGAATTGGTTTTAATTATTATAGATGATTTCCCATTCTCATAACTCTTATTGAGCAATAATGCAATATTTTATATATAAATTTTTTCATTGAAGACTGGTAAGAGAAGTTATGTAAAGCTCAAATAAGGAAGAAAATGCAATTTATGTAACTCTCTTCAGTTTCTAGTTTTTCTAGAGAAGATAAATAGAATCTTGATATCTGACTTTTCAGAGCTTAACTATCTTACATTTTGACTCACTAACCTATTAATTCTGGAGTCATTTTAGCAGAATGTATTATTCTATACAATAAGTTACTAGATAACTTCAAAGTACTAATATTTCACTTTACCATAACATATGTATTTTATGTGATTTTTAACATACATTTTGTGCATTCTTCTAGCTGTAAGCGTCCAACTTCTGGAATTTCAAAGTAGTATAAGACTATGTAACTCCCATTATTTGTAACAGAAGATATTTGAGTAATTATTCACATATGATATTTTATATATTTTAAAAATTAAGCACTAGTGTTTTCTTGACAAATGGAATAATCGTTTATTTCATATATTCCTAACAACATCCCAATACCCAAAAAGAAAAAAATAACTACCCTTAATATATGTAGGAAAAACAAAGAACTCTTCAAATAAAGTTGTTACACATAATGTTATTATTGATTTACAAGTCAAAAGAATAAAAATGCATTTTATTGTCTATTTCTAAGTGTAGAAATGTTTAGTATTTATAAAATGGAAAAGTTCTATTTAATTTGTTTGTTTTGACATAAGTCCATGTGAAAGAGCTATAAAGAAAATACAAACAGTTCCCCCAAATTGCCTTTCTCTCTTCATGGCTTTCAGTTAAACATTGTAAACTTAAGGTCTCTTTACCCCTTAAATACTTTAGTGCATATTTCTTAAAAACTAGGAATTCTCTTAACCACAGTATAATTATTGAAATCAGAAACTTAACATTGATGCATATTGTTATTAAATATAGATTTTATTCAGATTGTGCCAATTGTCTCAATGTTGTTTTTTAAAGCAAAAAAAAAATCCGATTATTAGTTGTGTTCATTTTTGAGGCCTTCTTAGTCTTTTTTTTTTAAAAAAAAATTTATTTTACTTTAAGTTCCAGATACATTTGCAGAATGTGGAGGAGGTTTGTTACATAGGTAAACGTGTGCCATGGTGGATTCCTGCACCTGTCTTAGTCTTTAACCTGGGTAATTTCCCAACTCTTTCATTTTGTTTAATGTCATTTGACATTTTTTAGGACTACACTATATTATTTTTGTGTATGGATAGAATGTGCTACAATTTGTGTTTGCTATGTCTTCATGATTATGTTCTGATTATGCACTTTTGGCAGGAATACCTCTGAAGTTATGTTAAATTCTTACCAACGTATCAGGAGCCACATGCTGTCATCATGCTCTTAATAGGGATGCTCACAATGAACCTTTGGTTACAGTGGTGTCTGCCAGACTTCATCACTGTAAAGGTGCTATTTTATCCTTTACAATGAATGAGAATCTTATGGGAGATACTTTGAGACTATGTGCATGTTGTGTTAGTCCTCAGTCTTTCACCCGCTAGTTCTAACATATATTGATAGTTCTTCTGTAATCAATGATTATTATGATTTTTACCAAATGGTGATTTTCTAATTTCTTTATTCTTTCCACATTGATTAGTTGGCTTTCTACTATAATGAGAAGCTTGCTTTTCTCTCTTTTGTCTACCTGTCTATGTATGTATGTATGTATGTGTGTAATCCTTTCATTCTTTGAGCATTTCCTTATAGTTTCGGCATTTATCTTGTACTTTTCCAGCCATAACTGTGGAAGCTAGCATTTATCAAGCAGCTTTGGTACTTTTAGTGGGCTCTGAGCATCATTGTTTGTGGATCACCTCAGCAGACAAACTAGAGAATACATGTATGTGTACAGAAATGCTTACATAGGTGTCTACTCACAGACACATGTATTTTCATACATATGCACAACCTCACCTACATCAATATTCATTTCTTCCTTCTTCACAATCCTTTAAAAATGCAATAACATTCTTAGCTTGAGAATCATAGAAAAATTGGACATGGGCTGGATTTGGACCCCATATCATAGTTTAGTGACCCTTAGAATATATGGTTTGAGTTTCCTCTCATTTTTTAATGTGGTATACAATGTTGGACTGTAAAATGTAAATTTTATAGCACTCTTGGCCCTTTGAGTCTCCAATTTATAACTTAAATTTTTGAAACAGTGCTATTTTCTGGAAGATTCCAGTTACTTAAGGTTTAAATTATTGTTTATGATCATGTTCACGTACTGGAGCACTGCTTTGAAAACATTCAGTAAGTACTGGATCAAAGAATGAATTACTTTACCTTTTTTATCGAAGAAAGAATCATTTCTTGTTTTCCCACTCTTTAATATAGGCAAGTACAGGTGCCTAATATCCTAAATAAACAAAGTAATCTGATTAAGTCATATGGCCTTTTCTAAATTGCAAGAGCTATCATGTATCCAAAAGAAAAAAAAATTTACACTTCTCATAACAGCAGGTTAATATATGGCAATGGTTGTAAATCTAGGGCTTTTTTGTGAGAAAAATCAGATAGTGAAGATATTGATATCAGCATTTCATATTTATTTATATAAAAAAGAAACAGCTATATTGTTTTCCTTTTTCATAAACTATAAATTGATGAAAATTTGGGCTTAGAGCTATAAATAAAAATGTAAGTTAAAAAATAGAATGAAAATTTATTTTTCATATTTTTAATTGACCAGTGAAAATTATGTATATTTATAATATACAACATCATGTTTGGTTTATGAGGATATATTGTGGAATGCTTAAATTAACTTAACATATTTATCACCTAACATACTTATGATTTTTTGTTATGAGAACATTTAAAATCTGCTCAGCGGTTTACAAGTATGCAGTACATTGTTTTTTTTTTTTTATTATACTTTAAGTTTTAGGGTACATGTGCACATTGTGCAGGTTAGTTACATATGTATACATGTGCCATGCTGGTGTGCTGCACCCACTAACTCGTCATCTAGCATTAGGTATATCTCCCAATGCTATCCCTCCCACCTCCTCCCACCCCACCACAGTCCCCAGAGTGTGATATTCCCCTTCCTGTGTCCATGTGATCTCATTGTTCAATTCCCACCAATGAGTGAGAATATGCAGTGTTTGGTTTTTTGTTCTTGCGATAGTTTACTGAGAATGATGATTTCCAATTTCATCCATGTCCCTACAAAGGACATGAACTCATCATTTTTTATGGCTGCATAGTATTCCATGGTGTATATGTGCCACATTTTCTTAATCCAGTCTATCATTGATGGACATTTGGGTTGGTTCCAAGTCTTTGCTATTGTGAATAGTGCTGCAATAAACATACGTGTGCATGTGTCTTTATAGCAGCATGATTTACAGTCCTTTGGGTATATACCCAGTAATGGGATGGCTGGGTCAAATGGTATTTCTAGTTCTAGATCCCTGAGGAATCGCCACACTGACTTCCACAATGGTTGAACTAGTTTACAGTCCCACCAACAGTGTAAAAGTGTTCCTATTTCTCCACATCCTCTCCAGCACCTGTTGTTTCCTGACTTTTTAATGATCGCCATTCTAAATGGTGTGAGATGGTATCTCATTGTGGTTTTGATTTGCATTTCTCTGGTCAGTGATGATGAGCATTTTTTCATGTGTCTTTTGGCTGCATAAATGTCTTCTTTTGAGAAGTGTCTGTTCATGTCCTTTGCCCACTTTTTGATGGGGTTGTTTGTTTTTTTCTTGTAAATTTGTTTGAGTTCATTGTAGATTCTGGATATTAGCCCTTTGTCAGATGAGTAGGTTGCAAAAATTTTCTCCCATTTTGTAGGTTGCCTGTTCACTCTGATGGTAGTTTCTTTTGCTGTGCAGAAGCTCTTTAGTTTAATTAGATCCCATTTGTCAATTTTGTCTTTTGTTGCCATTGCTTTTGGTGTTTTGGACATGAAGTCCTTGCCCATGCCTATGTCCTGAATGGTAATGCCTAGGTTTTCTTCTAGGGTTTTTATGGTTTTAGGTCTAACGTTTAAGTCTTTAGTCCATCTTCAATTGATTTTTGTATAAGGTGTAAGGAAGGGATCCAGTTTCAGCTTTCTACATATGGCTAGCCAGTTTTCCCAGAACCATTTAGTAAATAGGGAATCCTTTCCCCATTGCTTGTTTTTCTCAGGTTTGTCAAAGATCAGATAGTTGTAGATATGCGGCGTTATTTCTGAGGGCTCTGTTCTGTTCCATTGATCTATATCTCTGTTTTGGTACCAGTACCATGCTGTTTTGGTTACTGTAGCCTTGTAGTATAGTTTGAAGTCAGGTAGTGTGATGCCTCCAGCTTTATTCTTTTGGCTTAGGATTGACTTGGTGATGCGGGCTCTTTTTTGATTCCATATGAACTTTAAAGTAGTTTTTTCCAATTCTGTGAAGAAAGTCATTGGTAGCTTGATGGGGATGGCATTGAATCTGTAAATTACCTTGGGCAGTATGGGCATTTTCACGATATTGATTCTTCCTACCCGTGAGCATGGAATGTTCTTCCATTTGTTTGTATCCTCTTTTATTTCCTTGAGCAGTGGTTTGTAGTTCTCCTTGAAGAGGTCCTTCACATCCCTTGTAAGTTGGATTCCTAGGTATTTTATTCTCTTTGAAGCAATTGTGAATGGGAGTTCACTCATGATTTGGCTCTCTGTTTGTCTGTTATTGGTGTATAAGAATGCTTGTGATTTTTGTACATTGATTTTGTATCCTGAGACTTTGCTGAAGTTGCTTATCAGCTTAAGGAGATTTTGGGCTGAGACAATGGGGTTTTCTAGATATACAATCATATCGTCTGCAAACAGGGACAATTTGACTTCCTCTTTTCCTAATTGAATACCCTTTATTTCCTTCTCCTGCCTAATTGCCCTGGCCAGAACTTCCAACACTATGTTGAATAGGAGTGGTGAGAGAGGGCATCCCTGTCTTGTGCCAGTTTTCAAAGGGAATGCTTCCAGTTATTGCCCATTCAGTATGATATTGGCTGTGGGTTTGTCATAGATAGCTCTTATTATTTTGAGATACATCCCATCAATACCTAATTTATTGAGAGTTTTTATCATGAAGGGTTGTTGAATTTTGTCAAAGGCTTTTTCTGCATCTATTGAGATAATAATGTGGTTTGTGTCTTTGGCTCTGTTTATATGCTGGATTACATTTATTGATTTGCGTATATTGAACCAGCCTTGCATCCCAGGGATGAAGCCCACTTGATCATGGTGGATAAGCTTTTTGATGTGCTGCTGGATTCAGTTTGCCAGTATTTTATTGAGGATTTTTGCATCAAGGTTCATCAAGGATATTGGTCTAAAATTCTCTTTTTTGGTTGTGTCTCTGCCCGGCTTTGGTATCAGAATGATGCTGGCCTCATAAAATGAGTTAGGGAGGATTCCCTCTTTTTCTATTGATTGGAATAGTTTCAGAAGGAATGGTACCAGTTCCTCCTTGTACCTCTGGTAGAATTCGGCTGTGAATCCATCTGGTCCTGGACTCTTTTTGGTTGGTAAACTACTGAGTATTGCCACAATTTCAGCTCCCGTTATTGGTCTATTCAGAGATTCAAATTCTTCCTGGTTTAGTCTTGGGAGAGTGTATGTATCGAGGAATTTATCCATTTCTTCTAGATTTTCTAGTTTATTTGCATAGAGGTGTTTGTAGTATTCTCTGATGGTAGTTTGTATTTCTGTGGGATCGGTGGTGATATCCCCTTTATCATTTTTTATTGTGTCTATTTGATTCTTCTCTCTTTTTTTCTTTATTAGTCTTGCTAGCGGTCTATGAATTTTGTTGATCCTTTCAAAAAACCAGCTCCTGGATTCATTAATTTTTTGAAGGGTTTTTTGTGTCTCTATTTCCTTCAATTCTGCTCTGATTTTAGTTATTTCTTGCCTTCTGCTAGCTTTAGAATGTGTTTGCCCTTGCTTTTCTAGTTCTTTTAATTGTGATGTTAGGGTGTCAATTTTGGATCTTTCCTGCTTTCTCTTGTGGGCATTTAGTGCTATAAATTTCCCTCTACACACTGCTTTGAATGCGTCCCAGAGATTCTGGTATGTTGTGTCTTTGTTCTCGTTGGTTTCAAAGAACAGCTTTATTTCTGCCTTCATTTCGTTATGTATCCAGTAGTCATTCAGGAGCAGGTTGTTCAGTTTCCATGTAGTTGAGCGATTTTGAGTGAGATTCTTAATCCTGAGTTCTAGTTTGATTGCACTGTGGTCTGAGAGATAGTTTGTTATAATCTCTGTTCTTTTACATTTGCTGAGGAGAGCTTTACTTCCAAGTATGTGGTCAATTTTAGAATAGGTGTGGTGTGGTGCTGAAAATGTATATTCTGTTGATTTGGGGTGGAGAGTTCTGTAGATGTCTATTAGGTCCACTTGGTGCAGAGCTGAGTTCAATTCCTGGGTATCCTTGTTGACTTTCTGTCTCGTTGATCTGTCTAATGTTGACAGTGGGGTGTTAAAGTCTCCCATTATTAATGTGTGGGAGTCTGAGTCTCTTTGTAGGTCACTCAGGACTTGCTTTATGAATCTAGGTGCTCCTGTATTGGGTGCATATATATTTAGGATAGTTAGCTCTTCTTGTTGAATTGATCCCTTTACCATTATGTAATGGCCTTCTTTGTCTCTTTTGATCTTTGTTGGTTTAAAGTCTGTTTTGTCAGAGACTAGGATTGCAACCCCTGCCTTTTTTTGTTTTCCATTTGCTTGGTAGATCTTCCTCCATCCTTTTATTTTGAGCCTATGTGTGTCTCTACACGTGAGATGGGTTTCCTGAATACAGCACACTGATGGGTCTTGACTCTTTATCCAATTTGCCAGTCTGTGTCTTTTAATTGGAGCGTTTAGTCCATTTACATTTAAACTTAATATTGTTATGTGTGAATTTGATCCTGTCATTATGATGTTAGCTGGTGATTTTGCTCGTTAGTTGATGCAGTTTCTTCCTAGTCTCGATGGTCTTTACATTTTGGCATGATTTTGCAGCGGCTGGTACCGGTTGTTCCTTTCCATGTTTAGTGCTTCCTTCAGGAGCTCTTTTAGGGCAGGCCTGGTGGTGACAAAATCGGTTAGCATTTGCTTGTCTGTAAAGTATTTTATTTCTCCTTCACTTATGAAGCTTAGTTTGGCTGGATATGAAATTCTGGGTTGAAAATTCTTTTCTTTAAGAATGTTGAATATTGGCCCCCACTCTCTTCTGGCTTGTAGGGTTTCTGCCGAGAGATCCACTGTTAGTCTGATGGGCTTCCCTTTGTGGGTAACCCGACCTTTCTCTCTGGCTGCCCTTAACATTTTTTCCTTCATTTCAACTTTGGTGAATCTGACAATTATGTGTCTTGGAGTTGCTCTTCTCGAGGAGTATCTTTGTGGCGTTCTCTGTATTTCCTGAATCTGATCGTTGGCCTGCCTTGCTAGATTGGGGAAGTTCTCCTGGATGATATCCTGCAGAGTGTTTTCCAACTTGGTTCCATTCTCCCCATCACTTTCAGGTACACCAATCAGACGTAGATTTGGTCTTTTCACATAGTCCCATATTTCTTGGAGGCTTTGCTCATTTCTTTTTATTCTTTTTTCTCTAAACTTCCCTTCTCGCTTCATTTCATTCATTTCATCTTCCATCGCTGATACCCTTTCTTCCAGTTGATCGCATCAGCTCCTGAGGCTTCTGCATTCTTCACGTAGTTCTCGAGCCTTGGTTTTCAGCTCCATCAGCTCCTTTAAGCACTTCTCCGTATTGGTTATTCTAGTTATACATTCTTCTAAATTTTTTTCAAAGTTTTCAACTTCTTTGCCTTTGGTTTGAATGTCCTCCCATAGCTCAGAGTAATTTGATCATCTGAAGCCTTCTTCTCTCAGCTCGTCAAAGTCATTCTCCATCCAGCTTTGTTCCGTTGCTGGTGAGGAACTGCGTCCCTTTGGAGGAGGAGAGGAACTCTGCCTTTTAGAGTTTCCAGTTTTTCTGTTCTGTTTTTTCCCCATCTTTGTGGTTTTATCTACTTTTGGTCGTCGATGATGGTGATGTACATATGGGTTTTTGGTGTGGATGTCCTTTCTGTTTGTTAGTTTTCCTTCTAACAGACAGGACCCTCAGCTGCAGGTCTGTTGGAATACCCTGCTGTGTGAGGTGTCAAGTGTGCCCCTGCTGGGGGGTGCCTCCCAGTTAGGCTGCTCGGGGGTCAGGGGTCAGGGACCCACTTGAGGAGGCAGTCTGCCCGTTCTCAGATCTCCAGCTGCGTGCTGGGAGAACCACTGCTCTCTTCAAAGCTGTCAGACAGGGACATTTAAGTCTGCAGAGGTTACTGCTGTCTTTTTGTTTGTCTGTGCCCTGCCCCCAGAGGTGGAGCCTACAGAGGCAGGCAGGCCTCCTTGAGCTGTGGTGGGCTCCACCCAGTTCAGTTGGAGCTCCCTGGCTGCTTTGTTTACCTAAGCAAGCCTGGGCAATGGCGGGCGCCCCTCCCCCAGGCTCGCTGCTGCCTTACAGTTTGATCTCAGACTGCTGTGCTAGCAATCAGCGAGACTCCGTGGGCGTAGGACCCTCTGAGCCAGGTGCGGGATATAATCTCGCGGTGCGCCGTTTTTTAAGCCGGTCCGAAAAGCGCAATATTCGGGTGGGAGTGACCCGATTTTCCAGGTGCGTCCGTCACCCCTTTCTTTGACTCGGAAAGGGAACTCCCTGACCCTTGCGCTTCCCAAGTGAGGCAAAGCCTCGCCCTGCTTCGGCTCGCGCACGGTGCACGCACCCACTGACCTGCACCCACTGTATGGCACTCCCTAGTGAGATGAACCCAGTACCTCAGATGGAAATGCAGAAATCACCCGTCTTCTGCGTCGCTCACGCTGGGAGCTGTAGACCAGAGCTGTTCCTATTCGGCCATCTTGGCTCGCAGTACATTGTTTTTAGCTACAGTCACCATGGCTGTAGATCTCCAGAAATTATTCTTCCTTTCTAACAAAAACTTTGTACATTTTGACCATCTCCTCATTTCCCATCCCCTTTTCCACACCAGCTCCTGGTAAACATCATTCTAACTCTCTGCTTTTGTATATTCGATTCTATTTTTTTTTTTTTTTGAGGTGAATTCTCGCTCTTCCGCCCAGGCTGGAATGCAGTGGTGTGATCTTGGTTCACTGCAACCACCGCCTCCTGGGTTCAAGTGATTCTCCTGCCTGAGCCTCCTGAGTAGCTGAGATTACAGGTGCCCACCACCACGCCTGGCTAATTTTTGTATATTTAGTAGAGACGGGGTTTCACCATGTTGGTAAAGCTGGTCTTGAACTCCTGACCTCAGGTGATCTGCCTGCCTTGGCCTCCCAAAGTGCTGGGATTACATGCATAAGCCACTGCGCCCAGCCGTAAATTTGAGATTTTAGATACTGCATACGAGTGAAATCATACAGTATTAGTCTTTTTTTAACCTGGCTTATTTTCACATAAAATAATATCCTCTAGGTTAATCCATGTTGTTGTAAAACACCGGATTTGCTTATTTTTAAGGCTGAATAATATTTCATTTTTAAATATATATATTATAAATACTATGTATATAATGTGGAGAAAATATGGGGGATGGAGGATTCTGTGATGAGGATAGGGGTTGTGTGAGGGGGATGGGGTAATTCTTTGAAGGGGATTGGGGTTCTGTGAGGGGGAAGGGGGTTCCATGAGGGGATGGGGGTTCTGTGAAGGGGATAGGATTCTGTGAAGGCGATGGGATTCCGTGAGAGGGATGAGGGATTCTGTGAGCGGGATTGGGGTTTTGTGAGAGGATGAGGCTTGAATGAGTTGATCACTTTTGTGTAGTATTCATCCATTGATGGATATTTAAGTTGATTTTGTATCTTTGCTAGTGTGAATACTGCTGCAGTAAACATGGGGAGTGCATATATCTCTTTGAAAATTGATTTCATTTTCCTTGGATATATATACACAGTAGTGGGATTTTTGGATCATATGAAAGGTCCATTTTCAGTTTTCTGAGTAAACTGCATACTACATTCCATAATGGCCTTATTAATTTACATTCCCCCCAACAATGTACAAAGGTTCCCTTTTTTTCCACATCCTCTCTAACTCTTGTTATCTTTTGTCTTCCTGATAACAGCCATTCTAACAGATGTGAGGTGGTATCTCACTATGGTTTTAATTTGCTATTCCCTGATGATAAATGATGTGGAATATCTTTTCCTATATTTATTGACCATTTTTTAATCTTTTGAGAAGTGTCTTTTCATGTCCTGATATGGTTTGGCCATGTCCCCACCCAAATCTCATCTTGAATTGGAGCTGCTGTAATTGCCAGGTGTTGTGGGAGGGATCTGGTAGAAGATAATTGAATCACAGGGGTGGATCTTTCCCATGCTATTCTTGTCATAGTGAATAAGTCTCCCAAGATCTGATGGTTTTATAAAGGGGAGTTTCCCTGCACAAAATCTTTTATCTTGTCTGCCACCATGTGAGATGTGCCTTTCACATTCTGCCATGATTGTGAGGCCTCCCCAGCCATGTGGAACTGTAAGTCCATTAAACCTCTTTCTTTTATAAATTGCCCAGTCTCAGTATGTCTTTATCGGCTGTGTCAAAATGGACTAATACAGTAAATTAGTACCAGTAGAGTGGGGCACTTCTGAAAAGATACCTGAAAATGTGGAAGCAACTTTGGAACTGGTTACAGGCCAAGGTTGGAACAGTTTGGAGGGCTCAGAAGAAG